>NC_000017.11:59435980-60685980 GCF_000001405.40 Homo sapiens | reverse complement strand
GCAGAATGGCATGAACCCGGGAGGCAGAGCTTGCAGTGAGCCAAGATCATGCCACTGCACTCCACTCTGGGAACAGAGTGAGACTCTGTCTCAAAAAAAAAAAATGTCTAATATAACAAAAAGTTACTCCTATTATTGCTTTCCTAAGCAACCTATGGTCAGTAGGTGCTAAAATGACGACGTCTCACCATTACAATTAGAAATTGTAATGTATCTGGCTCATCTGATTATTTCGACTACGATTGTACACCAAAAATCTACATCTCTACCCTGGATCTCCAGTCTCAAGCTCCCTCCAGGAAAGACTACTTAGTATTTGCTTTGCTTTATTTTATGCTTTATATACATGACACCCTTTAAGCCTCAAAACAAACCCATGACGAATAAGATGATTAACCCGAGTTTACACATAAGGATACTGATGTTTAGAAAGGTTCAGTAACTTGTCTGAAACTAGTAAGATGCAGAGCTGAAATATAAAGTCAGATCTAATATCAAAGACTATGTTCTTTTTTTTTTTTTTTTTTTTTGAGACGGAGTTTCACTCTTATTGCCCAGGCTGGAGTGCAATGATGCGATCTCAGCTCACTGCAACCTCCGCCTCCCGGGTTCAAGTGATTCTCCTGCCTCAGCCTTCCTGAGTAGCTGGGATTACAGGCATGCGCCACCACACCCGGCTAATTTTTGTATTTTTAGTAGAGATGGGGTTTCTCCATGTTGGTCAGGCTGGTCTTGAACTCCTGACCTCAGCCTCCCAAAGTGCTGGGATTACAGGCGTGAGCCACCGCACCCGGCCCAAAGTCTATGTTCTTAATCACTAAGCTACTCTAAGCCTAATGTGCAAAATGTTAAGTTATAACCTCTCTGCCAAATAAAGCAAACACCTACTAGGATCCTGTTGTCCCCATTACATTCTCACTAAATTGATCATTGTTGGATTTTATTCCACTCTATTCCTCAATTCAGATGGCATCTCATTCATTAAGCCTTCTTTGATGTCCTCCAACTGAATTTAATTTTCCTTCTACTATATTACCATAACACTGTTTCTTTTCTCCTTTTTTTCCCACTCAGCTTTTCAGGTTGAAGGCACTGTGTTTTCTAGGATCCTCTCATAAAGCTGGGACACTGGATCTATGAATGTCCTTTTTGAACACTCCAGTTACACATACCCATGGTAGTCAAGGAAGACTACAACCATAAGGAGAAAGTATGGAAACCTTTCCCTTCAGTAGTCCCACTAGAACAGTGCTTCCCAAAGGTACCATTTCATAAGAATCACCTGAGATTCTTACTATTGCTACAAGTTACCAGTTACCATCCCAAATCAATTGTGTTAAGACTCTGAGAGAGGAAATTATTACTTTTAATAAGTATGCCAAGTGATAATTATGTTAAGTTTGGCAATAGTATACTAGATAATCCCAGTAAGGCTATTCTCATTCTTTATTCTCATATTTATATAAAAGGAACAGTAAAAGACTTAATCTTTTATCAGTTAGAGTAACAGGATACCTTAGTTGGCATAAAAATGCTGCTCAATATAAAAGAGATGTAGATTTGTGTTCAGGTACAATACTTAGCTAATATCTAGTTAAGGAGTGCAGAGTGTATATTGCTTTTCTCCCTTCTGGCAGGCAACACTTAAATAGGACAAGAAAATAGAAACCTAAGAAAGAAAGTCCCAGGTCTCAAATCTCTACTAACAATTCACCTTGATTCTTCTTAGGAAGGCAAAGTCCTAAGGAATAATATTTATGCCACTGTCATCACAACACTGCGGCACATCTAAACAATAATGTAGTCCCACCCTACGAATGCTCAGGATGCTAAAACATCAAAAACCTTTTGGAAGTTGCTGGTACTAGTGTCAAGTTTAGGAAACCAAACATTTCAGAGCTCTCCTGACCAAAGGGAAAGGCGAAAGCACATATAGACACTTACCTGTGGCACAACATCCTGCAGAAAAGTCACAACACTTTCCATGTAGGACTGCTCTCTGGAAAAGGGTGAAATGGACAACACTGGTCAGGAGAGCTTAATATAGAACATGAAAAAAGCTCTATTTACAAGCCTTAATAAAGTCACTTGTTTTTTGTTGTTGTTTGTTTTTTGGGGTTTTTTTGTTTGTTTTGTTTTGTTTTGTTTTGAGACAAGGTTTCACTCTGTCACCCAGGCTGGAGTGTAGTGGTGCGATCTCGGCTCACTGCTCCCTCGACCTCCGGGGCTTAAGCAATCCTCCCACCTCAGGCTCCCAAGTAGCTGGGACTACAGACATGCGCCACCATGCCCAGCTAATTTTTGTATTTTTTGTAGAGACGGTGTTTCACCATGTTGCCCAGGCTGGTGTCAAACTTCTGAGCTCAAGCGATCCTCCCGCCTCAGTCTTCCAAAGTACTGGGATTACAGGCATCACTCATAATATTCAAAAAAGGCAAAAAAAAAAAAAAAAAAAAAAAAAAAAAAAAAAAAAAAGGCTAACTCTTATCACCTGATATTTCTGCTAAACTACTTTCTCGTTTCATGGGTCTTTATATATGTTATTAAATGTAAATGGGCTTTTAACATTTTTAAACATTATCTCTTTTTAAAAGTCATGCTCTCCTAATTTGATAGAGATAGCTTCTAAGTCATATTTGGAGGAGTGATGACAGAGACCTAAGGTAGGACCTTCCTCTTGAGTCAGAGCAGAAGAATGCCCTAATTAGAGCAAGTAAAACTATTGCTGATGACTCACTATCTAGTGACCTTCTCCTTAAATTGGTTATGAACCTAGTCCCTTACCTGTATATAGCAGGTCAGTCTACATTTTCTGGTAGATACAGGCATTAGAAGAAGCTATTAAGCCTTTACAGAACTTTTGGTATAGAAAAGACATGGAAAAAAATTAAAATGCATAAAAATGAGGGAAAGCTGGATGCAGTAGCATGTGCCTATAGTCCCAGCTATTTAGGAAGCTGAGGTGGAGTTGAACCCAGAAGTTGGCAGCCAGACTAGGCAACATAGCAAGACCCCATCTCTAAAAAACAAACAAAAAAAGGGAAGGGGAAAAAAATAACACTGTTAATTAAGTAAGGACACTAAATTAATGTATTTTAAATACAAAGTACGTAAATTTCAGCAAGTGGAAAAAAACAACTTCTTCAAAATACTATTTTAGGCCAGGCGTGGTAGCTCACACCTGTAATCCCAGCACTTTGGGAGGCCGAGGCGAGTGGATCACTTGAGGTCAGGAGTTCAAGACCAGCCTGGCCAACATGGTGAAACCCTGTCGCTACTAAATATACAAAAACTAGCTGGGCCTGGTGGTGCACCCTGTAATTTCAGCTGCTCGGGAGGCTGAAGCAGGAGAATCACTTGAACCCAAGAGGTGGAGGTTGCAGTGAGTCAAGACCGCGCCACTGCACTCCAGCTTGGGCAAAAAAGCAAGACTCTGTCTCAAAAAAACAACAACGAAAAAATCAAAATACTAATTCAAATCCATTTCAAGAGATGTGAAAAATCACACTTGAAAATAATATGATTTATCATAAATCCTATTAAAAAAGCAATATGCCCTAGAGACCTACAAAAATCGATTAGGCCTAAAAAAGAAAATTATTAGGCTACCTCTCCAACCTCATTTTTTGCCACTCTCCTTATTCTGATTCAGCCATATGCAACTTCAATTCCTAGCACACACCAAGTTCTTCTTTGAATCAAGACCTTTATACCACCTTTCTTTCTATCTGGATTCCTTCCCATCCCCTTCCCTTCCTTTTAGTTCTCCGGGTTAAGTGCTGCCTCCTTTGAGAGAGCTTCCGGGACAGCCTTATATGTATTCTCCTTTGTCACTCTCCATTGTAGTACACGGTGCACAATCACAGCCTGTCATTATTTTACTTATTCACTTGTTTGCTTCAGCCTAGCCAATTTGATGAAACCCCATCTCTACCAAAAATACAAAAATTAGGCCGGGCGCGGTGGCTCACACCTGTAATCCCAGCACTTTGGGAGGCTGAGGCAGGCGGACCACCTGAGGTTGGGAGTTTGAGACCAACCTGGACAACATGGAGAAACCCTGTCTCTACTAAAAAATACAAAATTAGCCAGGCATGGTGGCGCATGCCTGTAATCCCAGCTAATCGGGAGGCTGAGGCAGGAGAATCGCTTGAACCCAGGAGGCGGAGGTTGCGGTGAGCCGAGATCGTGCCATCGCACTCCAGCCTGGGCAAAAAGAGCGAAACTCCGTCTCAAAAAATATATATATATGTATACAAAAATTAGCCAGGCGTGGTGATCCACATTTGTAATCCCAGCTACTTGGGAGGCTGAGGCAAGAGAATCATTTGAACCCAGAAGGCGGAGGTTGCAGTGAGCCGAGATCATGCCACTGCACTCCAGCCTGGGCAATGGAGCGAGACTGCATCTCAAAAAAAGAAAAAAAAAAGAATAATATATATACATATAAAATATATCTATTTATTTTTCTTATTTTTTGGAAATGAAGTCTTGCTCTTGTCCCCCAGGCTGGAGTGCAGTGGTGCGATCTCAGCTCACTGCAACCTCCGCCTCCCGGGTTCAAGCGATTCTCCTGCCTCAGCCTCCCAAGTAGCTGGGATTACAGGCTATTGCCACCACCCCCAGCTAAGTTTTGTATTTTTAGTAGAGACGGGTTTTCTCCACATTGGTCAGGCTGGTCTCAAACTCCCAACCTCAGGTGATCCGCCCACCTCAGCCTCCCAAAATGCTGGGATTACAGGCATGAGCCACTGCGCCCAGACATATATTTTTTTTAAGACACAGTCTCACTCTGTCACCTAGGCTGGAGTGTAATGGCACAATCACAGCTTACCACAGCTTCAAGCTCCTGGGCCGAGGTGATCCTCCCATCTCAGCCTCCCGAGTAGCTAAGGCTCCAGGCGCCTGCCACAATGCCTGGCTAATTTTTGTATTTTTTTAAGGCATGAGGGTCTCAGGATGTTGTTCAGGCTGGTGTCAAACTCCTGGTTTCAAGCAATCCTCCCATGTCAGCCTTCAAGTATACATATCTTTGGCCAGGCACAGTGGCTCACACATGTAATTCTAGCACTTTGGGAGGCCAAGACAGGCAGATCACCTGAGGTCAGGAGTTCAAGACCAGCCTGGCCAAATGGCAAAACCCCGTCTTTGCTAAAAATACAAAATTTGGCCAGGCCTGGTGGCGCTCGCCTGTAATCCCAGCTACTTGGGAGGCCAAGGCAGGAGAATCGCTTGAATCTGGGAGACAGAGGAGGAGGTGGAGGCTGCAGCGAGCCGAGACGGCGCCACTGCACTCCAACCTGGGCAACAGAGTGAGACTCCATCTAAAAAAAAAAAAAAAGTATACATATCTTCAAACCATATTAGATTATAAACTCACTCTAGTAAGTATAGACATTCTTTGTCAAAGAATGCCAAAAACAGAGACATATACTATGACACTTACTTTGAAACTTTCTGACAGAGACCTAGACTAAGAGATTCCTTTTATAGATAACACATGGATACATAGACGGGAACACCACACACTGGTGCCTATCAGAGTTGGGTGGGAGCGGGGAGAGGGTCAGGAAAAATAACTAATGGGGACTATGCTTAATACCTGGGTGATGAAATAATCTGTACAACAAACCCCTGTGACATGAGTTTCCCTATATAACAAACCTGCACATGTACCCTTGAACTTAAAAGTTAAAAGAGATACATTTTACATCACTGTCTGGTAAATATATACATACACATGAACATATTTATGTGCATGTCATGAAACAATACAAACTCTCAGCTATATTTTCTAATTTTCTATTATATTCTATTTCATTTTCTTTCTTTTTTTTTTTTTTTTTGGAGACAGAGTCTTGCTGTGTCGCCCAGGCTAGGGTGCAGTGGCGCGATCTCAGCTCACTGCAAGTTCCACCTCCCAGGTTCACGTCATTCTCCTGACTCAGCCTCCCGAGTAGCTGGGACTACAGGGGCCACCATACCCGGCTAATTTTTTGTATTTTTAGTAGAGACAGGGTTTCACCGTTTTAGCCAGGATGGTCTCGATCTCCTGATCTCGTGATCCGCCTGCCTGGGCCTCCCAAAGTGCTGGGATTACAGGCATGAGCCACTGCGCCCGGCCTCTATTTCATTTTCTACTACAACTCCTGACCCACTAAACTGATTTAACAATCCACTAATTTGTTAAACCTGGAGTTTGAAAACACTGCTCTTCAGGATTTAGCATAGTGCTCTTCACGTACTCTGTAAATGTGCTGAATACGTCAACTTAACTCTCCAATTCTTCATTTGGTCTTGGCAATTATTATTATTCATCCCATAAAGCCAACAGTTAAAAGATTTTTACAAAAGTAACCACTGTTCATAAAGAAAACCTAAATGTTAGTATTCTGAGTAATCTTTTCTTCAGCTATTGGGTTTATCTGAAATGTGCTTACGTGACAGCCTGGGGGCGAACCACAACTCCACCAGTACAACGACTGGGTCTTCTTGGGGAATCTGTAGCCATAGCTTCATTCATAAAACCTGTTTCCAGAACAAACAAACAAACAAAAAACAGAAAAACATGGATCGTTGTTGGGGGTAGGGAGGAAGATTTATGATTACTCACTAGAGATCCCTTGTCAAAAATGCCTCAAATGTAGGAAACTTTCCCAGAAATTCCTGTTACACCAGAAAGGGAAAAAAGGAGGAAGTAGGTTTTTAATTTTTTTCAAATTATAATGAGGGGTTTGGGGGGTTATTATTATTTTTGAGATAGAGTCTCGCTCTGTCGCCCAGGCTGGAGTTCAGTGGCACGATCTCTGCTCATGGCAATCTCCGCCTCCCAGGCTCAAGCAATTCTCCTGCCTCAGCCTCCTGAGTAGCTGGGATTACAGGCGAGCGCCACCATGCCGAGCTAAATTTTATATTTTTTTGTAGCGACGGGGTTTCACCATGTTGCCAAGGCTGGTCTCGAACTCCTGAGCTCAAGCAATCCATCCGCCTTAGCCTCCCAAAGTGCTGGGATTATAGGCTTGAGCCACCGCGCCCATCCTGTTTTGTTTTTTAATAGGACCAGGTCTCAGAACCACAAAACAATGTAAGGAAGACTCCTGCTGTACCCCTTGGTCTGTTGTTAACATAAATTACAAGGGTGAGAGAACCAGATCATGGGATGGGAATTTACTGCAATTTTATGTTGAGATAGTGAAAATACACATGGTACAATATTTCAAGACCAAACGGAACAAGTGACATGATATCACTCTACCTTCCAATTAAACCTGTTGGGAATCTATGAGTAAATCACAATTTAAATCACATTCGTAACCCCCTGCTACTATAACAAATAAGTCAAGTAATTATTTGACTAGTAGCAAGTAGTCAAATAACTAACATAAACTAATACGTTGTTACAGCCCTTTACCCTTTCCCGTCACATCAGTAAATCCTGATCCTAGAATGTTTCATGACCCTCTGAATCACTGAGATTTTAAGAGCATGGAGTCGGCTTGGTTAAGGTTAAAAGAGGACTGACAGCAATATCAAAGATCTCTTACAGGGCTCAGGGAAGCCCACAACCTGGAACTCATCTTGAAGGCACCGAAAACCATTTTTAAGTAGGGAGCATTCACACCTGATGTGAAAACTCTAAACCTGTGCGCCCCACCTCCTACAACCAAAACACCCTCTGCCCCAAGGAGCAGAGCCACCACCTCCTCAGAGGATACCTGCACCTCCAGCCCCTCAGCCCTCTCATTCTCATCCCATTCTTGCTTTCTCGAACCACAGTCTCCCAAGCCCTGCCCTTTAAGGGCCCTGTCTCCTGGGGACGACCCTCGCCAGCCACTCAGGCCCCAGTCTCCTGAAAGACACTCGTACGGCGCTGCCCACTTAACCTCCAACACGGAGCCACCGCTGCCCCCGGCCGCCCTCCGGCCCCTTGCACTGTTCCCCTCCCCCTCCAGTATCGACACCTCTCTCCTGTCGAATTCCTGCCAGCCCGACCCAGTCCCCTCACGCCGCCAGTCCCTCGTCCTCCCCAAGCCTCCCCAAAGCCAAAGCCCTGCCAGCCCTCTCACCGGCCGCCCCGCCGGTTAACGCTAGTCTCCAGCTCTAGGCTCACTGTTTGGAGTCTCCCCGAGTGATTGACGGCAGCCACTTCCTACCACGCCTCAGCGGAACCACCCCCTCTAGCCAATCCCAGAAGCAAACCGGCTATGGCCGGGCACCGCCCTTGGAGGTCAGCTTCGCCAACCAGCAAGTAGGAAAGAGGCGGACCCGCCTTCTGAATGTGTCCAATCCGCTGGGGCTGGAGGGAAAACACAACAGCATGTAAGTTCGGGTGAAGCCGAGGTGTCAGGTTCGGTTGCAAACGCAGGCAGCTGGGGAATAATTACGAACATGTACATTTTTTTTGGAAGACAGAACCTTCGTGGCTTTGAAAAGAAAAGCAACATGATCCAGACTCCTGTCCCGCTCACGTGAGCGTTTCAGGTTGGAGCCGGAGGACAGGGAGACTGGTCTGTTTACATCGAATTCTCGCGACAGCTGGTTCCAAGCTCGGAGCACGTGGACATGGCAGCTGCCAATCACTTTTAGCTGGCCACTCACCCGTCCCACACCCGCCTTCTGCCCAGCCCTTGGCGATGTGTTTACCTTCCGGGAGCCTAGGCTGGCTCGCGCCGGCGATCAGCCGAGGAGGGGTTGATCTGAATAAGGGGCACGGCCGGTAATCTCAACAATTTGAGCTAGGTTTGTAGACCACTTCTTGCTTCAGTTTCCATCTCCCTTATTGTTGAAGATCGAGATCTCGCCATTGTCATTTCATCAGTTCATTTATTAATATAAGTAGAATAATACTGACTGACTTCTTGAACACTCAGCACAGGCCTTCGTATACTTCATATACAATACTCTAATGTATTATCAAATTTAATGCCAATGACAGGTCCGTGAGGGTATAGCTTATTAACAGGCGTGGTGGGCTGGGCGTGGTGGCTCACGCCTGCAATCCCAACATTTTGGGAAGCCTAGGCGGGAAGATCGCTTGAGGCCAGGAGTTCTAGAACAGCCTGGACAACATGAAGAAACCCCGTCTCTACTAAAAATAGCCAGGTGTGGTGGCCAATGCCTGTAATCCTAGCTACTGGGGAGGCTGAGGCGGAAGAATTGCTTGAACCCAGGAGGCGGAGATTGCAGTGAGCCTATAGATCACGCCATTGCCCTCCAGCACTTTAGCCTGGGTGACAGAGAGTCCCTCTCAAGACAGATAGATAGATAGATAGATAGATAGATAGATAGATAGATAGATACATACATACATACATACATACATACATACATACATACATACATAAAATTTTAAAAAATTTTAAAAAAAGAAATGAAAGAAAAGGCCGGGCACGGTGGCTCACACCTGTAATCCCAGCACTTTGGGAGGCTGAGAGGGGCAGATCACTTGAGGTCAGGAGGTCAAGACCAGCCTTGCCAACTTTGTGAAACTCTGTCTCTACTAAAAATACAAAAATCAGCGGGTTTTGATGGTGCACGCCTGTAATCCCAACTACTCAGGAGGCTGAGGCAGGAGAATCGCTTGAATCCGAGATGTGAAGGTTGCAGTGAGCCGAGATCGTGCAACTGCACTCCAGCCTCTGGGCGACAGAGCAAAACTCTCGCTCAAAAAAAAAAAAAGAAGAAGAAGAAGAAGAAGAATATATTTGGAAATATTGAAATAACTTGATAATGTGGGATTGAAATAACTTGATAATGTGGAATTGTAACATTGAAAAGGAGGCCTAGCATGACTAACTCCATTTTGCTCCTAAACTCCCCACTCCCACCCATCGGTGATATCTAAGTTAACTGCTTTTGCTTATCTCTGCACATAGACTAAGCTAACCAAGGGAGGAATTTATAGTTTAACTTTAAAGCAAGGATGATAATAGTCCCTTCCCAAAACTAACCCCCAAGGAGAAAAGGAGGGTGTACACACAAGTAACAATGTTGAGAGTTTGAGAAAGTATTGTGACCTGACCAGTAACAGAGAGGCTTCAGGCCTCGAGGAACCCTTGCTGGCGCCCAGATGTCTACGGTCATCAGTCACCCCTTGATTCAAACCCTCTCTTCTTCCCCCTGCCCTTAACACAAAAAGAGCCTGAAATGTGTACTAACTTAAGATGGTTCTTCAGGCTGGGTGTGATGGCTCACACCTCTCATCCCAGCACTTTGGGAGGCCGAAATAGGTGGATCACCTGAGATCAGGAGTTCAAGACCAGACTGACCAACATGGAGAAACCCCGTCTCTACTAAAAATACAAAAATTAGCTGGACGTGGTGGTGTGCGCCTGTAGTCCCAGCTACTCGGGAGGCTGGGACAGGAGAATCACTTAAACCCGGGAGGTGGAGGTTGCAGTGAGCCAAGATCAAGGCACTGCACTCCAGCCTGGGCGACAGAGCAAGACTCCAACTTTTTTTTTTTTTTGAGATGGAGTCTCACTGTGTCACCAGGCTGGAGTGCAGTGTCTCAATCTTGGCTCACTGCAACGTCCACCTCGCGGGTTAAAGCGATTCTTCTGCCTCGGCATCCTGAGTAGCTGGGATTACAGGCACCCGCCACCACTCCTGGCTAATTCTTTGCATTTTTAGTAGTGACGGGGTTTCACCATTTTGGCCAGGCTGGTCTTGAACTCCTGACTTCATGTTCCACCCGCCCTGGCCTCCCAAAGTGCTGGAATTACAGGCGTGAGCCACCATGCCCAGCCAAAAAGATGGTTCTTTAGTACATTATTCTGCAATTTTCCGGGTTTGCTAGCTCTCAGAAATAAAGTTACTATCCTTGCTCTAACTCCTTGACTCTTCACCCCTTGGCTGTCATGCAGTGAGCAGAACAAGTTAGGACTCGGTTACAGGATGAAGGTGAGAGGTGAAGCCAGCTGGACTTCCTGGGTAGAGTGGGGACTTGGAGAACTTTTCTGTCTTAGGAGAGGATTGTAAAACACACCAGTCAGCACTCTGTAGCTAGGATTGGAAAACGCACCAATCAGCACTCTGTAGCTAGCAAGGGGATTGTAAGGTGCACCAATCAGCACTCTGTAGCTAGCAAGGGGATTGTAAAATGCACCATTCAGTGATCTGTAAAAACGCACCAATCAACGCTCTGTAGCTAGCAAGAGGATTGTAAAATGCACCAATCAGCACTCTGTAAAATGCACCAATCAGTGCTCTGTAAAATGCACCAATCAGTGCTCTGTAAAACGTACCAATCAGCAGGAGTCTAAAAGCCAATCGTGGGGAAGATTGAAGAAAGGGCACTGTGCTAGGACAGAAACGGAACATGGGCGGGGACAATAAGGGAATAAAAGCTGGCCACTCCCCCCAGCAGCGGCAACCTGCTCCAGGCCCCTTCCACTCTGTGGAAAGCTAAAAGCTTTGTTGTTTCCTTCTTTACAATAAATCTTGCTGCTGCTCATTCTTTGGGTCCATGCCACCTTTAAGAGCTATAACACTCAACGAGAAGGTCCTCGGCTTCGTTCTTGAAGTCAGACCACGAATCCACCGGAAGGAACCAACTCCGGACCCAAAGGGAAAGAATCAAGGATGTTCAAATCCAAGAAACCTTAAAGGTGTTAGAGGAAAAAAAAAAAAGATGTTTTCTGTGTTTTGGGCTTGATCAGCTGAGTGGTGCCATTTACAAATAGGATGAACACTAGCTGAGTTTTACATTTCTTGGTAAATTTCTGTGCCTTCATTGTTTCATCCTTTGTAAATTGTAGAAGGAATAATATGGGCGGGGCGCGGTGGCTCAGGCCTGTAATCCCAACACGTTGGGAGGCCGAGGAGGGCGGATCATGAGGTCAGGAGATCGAAACCATCCTAATGGTGAAACTCCATCTCTACTAAAAATACAAAAAATTAGCCAGGCGTGGTGGCTGGCGCTTGTAGTCCCAGCTACTCGGTAGGCTGAGGCAGAGAATGGCGAGAACCTGGGAGGCAGAGCTTGCAGTGAGCCGAGATCGCGCCACTGCACTCCAGCCTGGGCAACAGAGCAAGACTCCGTCTCCAAAAAAAAAAGAATATTATGAGCCTCATAGGCTTTCTTTTTAGCAGGGGCGTCAGAGGGGGGCAGTTTTGCTGTTACCCAGGCTGGTGTGCAGTAGTGCAATCATAGCTCACTGCAACCTCCAACTCCTCGGCTCATGTGATCCTCCCACCTCAGCCTCCTAAGTAGCTGGGTTTACAGGCACACACCAACATGCTGGCTAATTAAAAAATTTTTTTCTGTAGAGACAGGGCCTCCCTATGTTGCCCAGGCTGATCTTGAACTCCGGAGCTCAAGTGATTCTCCCATCTCAGCCTCCCAAAGTGCTGGGATTACAGGTGTGAACCACTGCACCCGACCCCATAGGCTTTTTATGACTAAATAAGTTTTTTTTTCTTTTTTTTTTTTCTTTTGAGACAGAGTCTCACTCTGTCACCTAAGCTGGAGTGCAGTGGCACGATGTGGGCTCACTGCAACCTCCACCTCCCGAGTTAAAGCAGTTCTTTTTGCCTCAGCCTCCTGAGTAGCTGGGACTACAGGTGTGCACCACCATGCCTGGCTAATTTTTGTATTTTTAGTAGAGACGGGGTTTCACCATATTGGCCAGGCTGGTCTGGTTTCACCATATTGGCCAGGCTGGTCTGGAACTCCTCATCTCGTGATCTGCCTGACTCGGCCTCCCAAAGTGCTGGGATTACAGACGTGAGCCACCACTGCGCCTGGCCATTTTTTCTTTCTTTCTTTTTTTTTTTTTTTTTTTTGAGACAGAGTGTCAGTCTGTCTCCCAGGCTGGAGTGCAGTGACACAATCATAGCTCACTGCTACCTTGACTTCCCAGACTCAAGTGATCCTCCCACCTCAGCCTCCTGAGTAGCTGGGACGGCAGACCTGCACCACCACTCCTGGTAATTTTTGTATTTTTTATTTTCTTTTTCTTTTTTTCTCTTTCTTTTTTTTTTTTTTTAATTTAGACAGTCTTTGCACTGTCGTCTGAGCTGGAGTGCAGTGGTGCAATCTCGGTTCACTGCAACCTCCGTGTCCCGGGTTCAAGCAATTCTTCTGCGTCAGCCTCCCGAGTAGCTGGGATTACAGGCGCCCACTACCACATCCAGCTAATGTTTTGTATTTTTAGTAGAGACAGGGTTTCCCCATGTTGGCCAGGCTGGTGTCGAACTCGTGATTCGCCCACCTCGGCCTCCCAAAGTGCTGGGATTACAGGCGTGAGCCACTGAGCCCGGCCATTTTTGTATTTTTTCTAGAGATGGAGTTTCACCATGTTGCCCAGGCTGGTCTCGAACTCGAGCTCAAGCCATGTGCCCGCCTCAGCCTCCCAAAGTGCTGGGATTACAGGCGTGAGTCATCCGCCCAGCCCAAATTTAAAGTTCTTAGATCAAAGTAGAAATTTCTCCAAATGCACCGGGCGCAGTGGCTCATACCTGTAATCCCAGCACTTTGGGAGGCTGAGGCAGGCGGATCACCTGCGGTCATGAGTTCGAGACCAGCCTGACCAACGTGGAGAAACCCCGTCTCTAAGGGCCGGGCGCGGTGGCTCACGCCTGTAATCCCAGCACTTTGGGAAGCCGAGGCGGGCGGATCACGAAGTCAGGAGATAGAGATCATCATGGCTAACACGGTGAAACCCCGTCTCTACTAAAAATACAAAAAATTAGCCGGGCGTGGTGGCGGGCACCTGTAGTCCCAGCCACTTGGGAGGCTGAGGCAGGAGAATGTTGTGAACCCGAGGGGCGGAGCTTGTAGTGAGCCGAGATCACGCCATGGCACTCCAGCCTGGGCGACAGAGCGAGACTCCGTCTCAAAAAAAAAAAGAGAAAGAAACCCCGTCTCTACTAAAAATAAAAAATAAGCCAGGCGTGGTGGCGAATGCCCGTAATCCCAGCTACTTAGGAGGCTGAGGCAGGAGAAACGCTTGAACCTGGGAGGTGGAGGTTGCGGTGAGCCAAGATCGCACCGTTGCACTCCAGACTGGGCAACAAGAGCGAAACTCCGTCTCAGAAAAAAAAGAAAGAAAGAAAGAAATTTCTCCAAACGAACGACCAGCCAGTTCTAATTACCCCATTTTATTATCCACAAAGATGGTTTGAGATTCTCTTATGAGCCTTCACTGGAGATAAAACGTGTGGTGATCATATTTTTTAATGGAAGAAACTAGTGGGTGCTTTGTACATACTGCCAGCTCATGAGTCACTTCAAAGTACAGAGACATGGAGAAACTCTTCAGTGAACTATTTGTTCTTGCTACCTAGCAATCCCAGCTACGAAACTCATCTTTAATGGAAAAGAGTAACTTTAAGGGAGTTCTTTGTTCTTCCAATTGCTTCCTTGGCCCAGTATAGTAAATTACTAATGACCAAGATTGCCTCTCATATGACCCTACAGAACAAAAAATCAAAATCCCTAGAGAATAATCAGGGAGCTGTCCATATGCAAACCAAATTTCAAGATCAGTGTGTACTTTCTGGTGTGTTTTTGCTTTGGTTAGGATTCTTCTTTTGGTTTGTTTGTTGTTTGTTTTTTAAGCCTTAAGCTATTGCCTCACTGACCCAGGCCACCAAAAACACTTGAATAATGATCCTGTAATTTCAGCAGCAGGGAAACAACCTGTTTTCACACAAAACTGTGGTGAACATTAGTATTTTAATTTTCAGCGAAGTATTTTAAAAAGTTTAAAAAATAAAACCTCATCACTTTTCTCTAAAATCCTCTAGCTGTAGCTAGGATTTTATCTTGTAAGATAAAAATATATTGATTACTCATGATATTGACTTTTTCTGATGCATTCATTAGGTCCCAATTTCTAAACACTACCCAAAGTAGAATCCCAAAATTCATAGACTAGCAAAACCAACATAATCCAAACTCCTATCACCTCACCTCTATTGATTACAATTAGTGCCTGCCATTTGTCCATCCTGAATACTAGGTACTAGGTAATCATGCTTTCTAAAACAGCATTTCCCCATAATTTCTATTCAAAATTTTAAGTCTTTGCAGTTGTTTATTATGTTGGATCCCTCTGCTCCTTCCCAAGTCCAGCAAACATCCTGAAGATGGCCGGGCGTGGTGGCTCATGCCTGTAATCCCAGCAGTTTGGGAGGCCGAGCCGGGAGGATCACCTGAGGTCAGGAGTTCGAGACCAGCCTGGCCAACATGGTGAAACCCCGTCTCTACTAAAAATACAAAAATTAGCCGGGCATGGTGGCACACGCCTGTAGTCCCAGCTACTCCAGAGGCTGAGGCAAGAGAATTGCTTGAACCCAGGAGGGGGAGGTTGCAGTGAGCCAAGATGGCACCACTGCACTCCAGTCTGGGCAACAGAGCAAGACTCTGTCTCAAAAAAAAAAAAAAAAATCCTGAAGATACGGTGATTATTTTCCTTTAGTTTTTCATTCTGTTGAAACCAACTAGTATCTATAAAGTGGTCATAGAATTTGTCATCTTGTCAGGACAGTGAAATGAGGCTCTTCTAATAATTACACCAAAAAAAAAAAAAAAAGTAAACTAGGACTGCTCCGGGCAAACTATTAAGTATGGTCATCCCTGTCACTCAGGCTAGAGTACAGTGGTGCAATCAGAATTCACTGCAGCCTCAACCTTCTCGGTTCAAGGGATCCTCCTGCCTCAGCCCAGGTGCGTACCACCACACCCAGCTAATTTTTAAATTTTTTTTGTAAAGACAGGGTCTCACTTTGTTACCCAGGCTGGTCTCAAACTCCTGGGTTCAACCAATCTGCCTGCCTTCGCCTCCCAAACTGTTGGGAGTTGCAGTTGCAGTACAGGAGTGAGCCACAGCCAGGCCAAGTGTGGTCATTCTTTATCTTTGACACATCAGTGCTGCTTTGTAACTGCTTATAATTCTATTGCCTGTAACTGAAATGTAACAAAATCTCTTTACCAGAAACGATTATTTATTTGTTTCATTTATTCTCCATGATGCTCTATTCACTAACAGGAACAATTAAATGTCGGAGCTCCTACTATTGCCCAGGCACGGTGGTGTCAGAGGCCTTTGAACTGGAGCAACTCCATCTTGAAGAGGGGCTATGTAAAATGAGGCTGAGACCTACTGGGCTGCATTCCCAGGAGGTTAGGCCTTTTAAGTCACAGGATCAGATAGGAGGTCAGTACAAGATACAGGTCATAAAGACCTTAACTAATAAAACAGGTTGCGGGAAAGAAGCCTGCCAAAACCCACCAAAACCAAGATGGCAACAAGAGTGACCTCTGGTTATCCTCACTGCTCATTATACACGAATTATAATACATTAGCATGCTAAAAGACACTCCTACCAGGGCCAGGATAGTTTACAAATACCATGGCAGTGTCAGGGGGGTTACCATATGCGGTCTAAAAAGGCGAGGAACCCTCAGTTTCGAGAATTGCCCACCCCTTTCCCGGAAAAGTCATAAATAATCCACCCCTTGTTTAGTATATAATCAAGAAATAACCATAAAAATGGCCAACTAGCAGCTCATCCTGCTGCTCTGTCTATGGAAGAGGCATTCTTTACTCCTTTACTTTCCTAATAAACTTGCTTCCAGTTTATGGACTCACCCCGAATTTTTTCTTGTGCAAGAGCCAAGAACCCTGTCTTGGGGTCTGGATCAGGACCCCTTTCCAGTAACAGTAGCTCAGGCCTGGAATCCCAATACTTTGGGTGGCTGAGGCGGGAGGATTGCTTGAGCCTAGGAGTTTGAGACCAGCCTGGTCAACGTAGTGAGACCCCATCTCTACAAAAAAAGTAAAACTTAGCTGAGCGTGGTGGCCCATGCCTTTAGTCCTAACTGCTCGGGAGGCTGAGGCAGCAGGATCACTGGAGTCCAAGAGTTCAAAGCTGCAGTGAGTTGTGATTGTGCTACTGCACTCCACACTGGGAAACCAAATGAGACCCTGTCTCTCCAAAAAAAAACCCAAAAAAAACAACCATAGACAGTTATAAAGATACAGGAAAGTGAAACTGCCGACAACGACCAAATCTTGTTTTTGTTGTTGTTTCGTTTTGTTTTGAAACAGAGTCTCCCTTGGTCACCCAGGCTGAAGTGCAGTGGCTCAATCTCGGCTCACTGCAACCTCTGCCTCCTGGGTTCAAGTGATTCTCCTGCCTCAGCCTCCAGAGTAGCTGGGATTACAGGTGCGCACCATCACATACGCGCCACCATGCACAGCTAATTTTTGTATTTTTAGTAGAGATGTGTTTTCAGCATGTTGGCAGAGCTGGTCTCACACTCCTGAGCTCAGGTGATCCACCTGCCTCGGTCTTCCAAAGTGCCGGGATTACAGGCATGAGCTACCACGGCCAGCCCTCAAACCTTAGTTTTATCAACTGTTTTAAAAAATACACAAGGTGGTCAGGCATGGTGGCGCATGCCTGTAATCCAGCATTTTGGGAGGCCAAGGTGGGTGTGTCACCTGAGGTCAGGAGTTTGAGACCAGCCTGGCCAACATGGTGAAACCCCGTTTCTACTAAAAATACAAAAATTAGCCGGGCATGGTGGTGCGCACCTGTAGTCCCAGCTACTCAGGAGGCTGAGGCAGGAGAATCACTTGAACCCAGGAAGTGGAGGTTGCAGTGAGCCGAGATTGAGCCACTGCACTGCAGCTTGGGCGTGACAGAGCAAGACTCTGTCTCAAAAAAATGAAAATGCCGCTTCCTCTGGTCTTCATGTTTGTTTTTTTTCTTCCTTTTTTTTTGAGACGGAGTCTTGCTTTGTCTTGGCTCACTACAACCTCCACCTCCTGGGTTCATGCAATTCTCCTGCCTCAACCTCCCAAGTAGCTGGGATTACAGGCATACGCCATCATGCCTGGCTAATTTTTTTACTTTTAGTAGAGATGGGGTTTGACCGTGTTGGCCAGGCTGGTCTCAAACTCCTGACTTCAAGTGATCCACCCACCTCGGCCTCCCAAAGTGCTGGGATTACAGGTGGAGCTACCATGCCCGGCCCTATCATGGTTTCTGAAGAGAAATATGCAGTCATTTAAATTAGTCCTGTGTATGTCAGTATGCATTATATTTTCCCTCTGGTGGCTTTCAAGATTGTTTTTCTCTTTAGTTTTTAGCAATTTGGTTATGTCAGGATTTCTTAATGTTTTCTGTTTGGGGATTTGCTGAGCTTGAATTTGTAGGTTTATGACTCATTAGACTTAGGATGTTTTAAAGCCATCTTTAATTATTATTATTATTATTATTATTATTATTATATTATTATTATTATTATTAGAGTCAGGGTCTTACTCTGTTGCGAAGGCTGGAGTGCAGTGGCCCGATCTCGGCTCAATTCAACCTCCGCCTCCCGAGTTCAAGTGACTCTTCTGCCTCGGCCTCCTGAGTAGCTGGACTACAGGCATCCACCACCATGCCTGGCTAATTTTTGTATTTTTAGTAGAGACAGGGTTTCACCATGTTGGCCAGAATGGTCTCAAACTCCTAACCTTAAGTGATCCACCCACCTTAGCCTCTCAAAGTGCTGGGAATACAGGCATATTCCGTGCCCAGCCTAGATTTTTTTTTTAGCACCACATTCTTCTCTGTTTCCATTTGTTTTTGTTTTTTTGTTTTTGTTTTTGCAACGAAGTCTCACTTTGTCACCTAGGCTGGAGTGCAGTGGTACATTCTCAGCTCACTGCAACCTCTGCCTCCCAGGTTCAAGCAATTCTCCTGCCTTAGCCTCCCAAGTAGCTGGGATTACAGGTGTGTGCCACCGCGCCCAGCTAATTTTTGTATGTTTAGTAGAGATGGGGTTTCACCATGTTGGCCAGGCTGGTCTCAAACTCCTGACCTCAGGTGATCCCCCCACCTCAGCCTCCCAAAGAGCTGGGATTACAGGCATGAGCCACCGCACCCGACCTGTTTTCATTTTGTTATTTTGTGTTTTGTGTAAGAGACAGGGCCTAACTATGCTGTCCAGGCTGGAGTCCAATAGCTATTCACAGGTGTGATCATCGCACACTATAGCCTGGAACTCTTGGGCTCAAGCAATCCTCCCACCGCAGCTTCCTGAGTAGCTAGGACTACAGGAATGCACCACCATACCCAGCTTGCTTTCTTTTAACTTTTTTTCCTTTTGCTAAAACTTTTGTTACTTTTATTATTTATTTTTGAGGCAGTGTCTCACTCTGTTGCCCAGGCTGGTGTGCAGTGGTGTGATCACGGCTCACTGAAGCCTCAACCCCCTGGGCCCAAGTGATCCTCCTACCTCAGACTCCAGAGTAGCTGGGACTACAGGCACATGCCACCACACCTGGCTAGTAACGTTCCTACATTCCACTTTTAGTCATAGAACATTGATTCTAAGTAGTCTATAAGTGTATGTACATTGTAATCCCTAATGCAACCACTAATACTGCCTAAATATTTTGTCTCTAAGATTAAAATTTGCCTAGCACTTTGGGAGGCCGAGGCAGGAGGATCACTTGAGGCCAGGAATTTAAGACCAGCCTGAGCAACACAGTGAGACCTTGTCTCTAAGGAAATTTTTAAAATCCACCAGGTGTGGTGATATGCACCTGTAGTCCCAGCTACTCAGGAAGCTGAGATGGGAGGATCACTTGAACCCAGGAGTTAAAGGTTACAGTGACCTATGATTTTGCCACTGCACTCCACATCAGCCTGGGGACAGTGAGACCCTGTTAAAAAAAAAAAAAATTATTCTCAACTTTGTTAGTGAGATAGTTTATTTAGGGACAAAATACATTAAGATGTTTTACTCCACTAGAGCAATCTTCCAGATGTCTGGAAGATGAAAATAACATTGTTCATTAATGCTATTACCAAAACATAACTATTGCACACCCTACTAAAACAATGTTATACACGCTGTATTTCAGAATATCAATGCTTTTAACTTCCAGGTTGTGACAGCCTCCTTCCAGATGACACTTAAAAATGCCCACCTCCTAGAATTCATGCCTTGTGTAGGAGTCTCCCACGTTGTAGTTGACTTGGTCTGTGTGACCAACAAAATACAGAATTGGTATGACACTTTCAGAGGCTAGGTTACAAAAAACATCATGGCTTCTTCCTTGCCCTCCGGTGTTGCTTGCTCTGGGGACAAATAACTGCCATGTTGTGAGAGGCCCTCTGGAGGGGAACATGTGGCAACAAACTGAGGTCTCCTGCCAACAGCTGTGAGTCTTGCGGGAAGCAGATCTTCTAGCCCCAATGACACCTTCGAAAGATTGTAGCCCTGGTTGGTAGCTTGACCAAAACCACGAGACTATCACCCAGCTAAACCACTCTCAGATTTCTGAGGCTCAGAAACTGGAGATAATATTTGTTGTTTTAAACTGCTAAATTTCGAGATATTGTTTTGTAGCAATGAATACATATTTTAATCCTTGTGGCATAAGACACACCGATCAAGAATTATCTTCTGCAAAATATTGAAAATAACCAGAATGTGTGGACATGGTTAAATAATGGCATAGTTGGCTGGGCACGGTGGCTCACACCTGTAATCCCAGCACTTTGGGAGGCCTAGGCTGGTGGATCATGAGGTCAAGAGATCAAGACCATCTTGGCCAACATGATGAAAACCCATCTCTACTAAAAATACAAAACTTAGCCAGGCATGGTGGCACGCACCTGTAGTTCCAGCTACTCAGGAGGCTGAGACATGAAAATCACTTGAACTGAAATGTAAGAAATACATTGAAAGCATAAAACTCAGGCCGGATGCGGTGGCTCACGCCTGTAATCCCAGTACTTTGGGAGGTCGAGGCGGGTGGATCACGAGGTCAGGAGATCAAGACCAGCATGACTGACATGTGAAACCCCATCTCTACTAAAAATACAAAAATTGGCTGGGCACAGTGGCGCGTGCCTGTAATCTCAGCTACTCAGGAGGCTGAGGCAGGAGAATCGCAGGAACCCAGAAGGCAGAGGTTGCAGGGAGCCGAGATCACACCACTGCACTCCAGCCTGGATGACAGAGCTAGACTCCATCTCAAAAAAAAAAAAAAAAATTAGCCGGGTGTGGTGGCACACACCTGTAATCCCAGCTTCTGGGGAGAGAGATTGAGGCAGGAGAATCACTTGAACCCGGGAGGCAGAGGTTGCAGTCAGCCGAGATCACGCCACTGCACTCTAGCCTGGATGACAGAGTGAGACTCCATCTCAAACAAACAAACAAAATAATAAATAAATAAAATACACTCACTGTAAAGCATGATCATGGCACAACAGAATGTTAATCCAGGTTAAGCATCCCTAATCTGAAAATCCAAAATCCAAAATGCTCCAGAATCAGAAACTTTTTCAGAGCAGGCATGATGCTCAAAGGAAATGCTCATTAGAGCATTTTGAATTTCAGATTGGGAACACTCAAAAGCTCAGTATAAAGCAAATATTCCAAAATTTTAAAAAATCTGAAACACTTCTGGTCCCAAGCATTTTGGATAAGGGATACTCAACTTGTACATACCATTAAAATAAACCAACAACTACAAATTCAGCAACATGAGGAACAGTTCACTGATTTATTAGATGAATATATACCCATATAATCAATGAAAACTGTATGATATAAAATAATTTAAGAAATGTTGGGAATTAGCAGCACCATCTGTTATTGAAATAGCAAGGAAAACTTCACATATTTTAAGCAAACACGAGAAGGGAGTAACTACTTTAAGACCTAATAATGCCATTGGTCTGGGATGAAAAAGAAGGGAATTGTTTTAGATTGTTTTAGGCAAACACACTTCCTTCTATGCTGAAGATTTAGTAAGCATATCTGATGACTAAGGTTTTAGAAAAATGCTACTGATGTAAGAGATACTGCATAGTATTTTAATTGGGACAAGACTAACTGTAGCATGGCTCAACACTTCTATGAAAAATTTAGTTCTGAATTATGAAATCAGAAATAAAAAATAATGTTTAAAAGACACTTGGCTCTAAGAAACATTAAGTGAAACACAGGTCACTATGAAAATACATCACTTTTCCAGTCTGCTTAATAATTTACTTTAAAAAGTTGCACAGTTTTCAAGACAAGTGGCTTATACAAATTTTTTAATAAGTATTTTAAAAAGTTTAAATGTTTTTCTAAAATCTAATAGATTCTTTTGATTTCTTTAAACATTTAGCCCTATTGTCACAATTACTGTGTATCAGAGACTCTGAATACTGTGTATTCAGAGACTGAATTTGTGTGGATACAAATTTACACAAATTTTACAGCAACTTATACCCTAACATCTACAAAATCCACATTTACAATACAAGCAAGTACAAGGCCAGGATAAAACTGCTGAATTCCAAAAAGTCAAACTGTATATTTCTTTTAATTTTCTCCCCTTAAAAAAAGTTCAACATCGGCACCAAATTTAAAAAGCCCTCTTATATCCTAAGTTTGGAAAAACCTCATTTCCCAGATGCATTTCAGCAAACACAAACAGTTTTCCTGTGTTGATGAAGTAAAGGATTTCCAATTTTCTTCTGGCCCCTAAGTCTGCGTCGCATGGTGAGTTTAACAGAGTTCTTTCGCTGTGAGGTTGTGGGGAGACTTGCAGGCTGAGCACCACTACTTCGACTTAAGCCATTTCGTCTATGCTTCTTCATCAGGGGGCCAGAATTGGACTCTTCTAATGTCCTTTTAAAGTTTGTTGGAGGGGTTCTTTCAATTTCTTGGGCTTTCATTTGGCCAGGAGTTGACATCTTCAAATTTTTTTGGTCCATGACAGTGTTTGTTGAATTAGTAGGCACAAGGCCAATTGGAAGGCTATTATTCAAAGAATCATGTATCCTTAAAGTCAGGGCTTTAGCGCAATTTTCTTCAAGTGGTTCTGGATCTTTTGAGGGTATGACTACACCTTGGACATTCTCTCGAGCTATCTCAGCTGAAACCTCTAAAAAATTCTCTGAGAAGGCATTGCTACGAACCAGGGCAGGTATATGGTCCTTAGAATTCACCCTTGGCCATGGATCCTCCTCCAGTGACTGAAAAATAAGAAGGTAAAACAAATAAGAAAAAATTTATCCCAGAACTCAACAAATCTATGCATGTGATATTAGGCTTCTTATGAAGCTAGTAGGATGGCAAAAACGGGGTATGCATTCACTAATTCGTTCACCTTCTATTTACTGAACTATGTGTTAAGGTTTAATGGGAGGAACCTGAGTGAGAAGACAATATAAAGGTAAGAATGACATTGAATTCTGTCTTCAGGGTAATAGATGAAATTATAAAGTAATCTATTCAAGTGGGTGAAAATTCACGTGGTCACAAGCATTTTCTATCCATTGGCAGGTAAACAAAAATAAGATACATTAAGGAACAAGATTTCAAAACAAACCCTCAAAATTAACCATAGGCACACATTCACTCTTCCACTATTCTGTACTCAAACATGGAGAAGATCAAAAGTATCGCATTCTCTGTGTGCATTTTAATTTACTTTTGGTAATAACATAATGCTGATGAAATCGCTCTATTTTTCATAAAAGTCATATTTTTCCATAAGAACCATCAAAAAATTGCTTTAAGATGCCATTAAGTGCTTACTACAGCAGCACATATACTAAAATTGGAATGATACAAAGAAGATTAGCATGGCCCCTGTGCAAAGATGACACAAATTCATGAAGCGTTCCCTATTTCAAAAAAGAAAAAAAAGCTTTTAAAGATCTCAATTTTTGGCCGGGCACACTGGCTAACCCCTGTAATCCCAGCACTTTGGGAGGTCGAGGCGGGCAGATCATTTGAGGTCAGGAGTTCAAAACCAGCCTGGCCAACATGGTGAAACTGCGTCTCTACTAAAAATACAAAAATTAGCCAGGCATGGTGGTGTGCACCTGTAATCCCAGCTACTCTGGAGGCTGAGACAGGAGAACTGCTTGAGCCCAGGAGGTGGAGGCTGCAGAGAGCAGAGATCGCACCACTGCACTCCAGCCTGGGTGACGGAGTGAGACTCCGTCTCACAATAAATAAATAAATATTAAAATTAAAAATAAAAATCTGAATTTTCTAGTAATGAAAACCAGTGTAACCACTGGAGGGGATGGTAGCATCTCAGTAGGATAAGCAACAAATTTGTAGTTTTTTGGTTTATCCTATCTCCTAAATTCTAATTTCTGAGTATGTAGTGTGGAAAGCATTACAACATTAAAGCACATCATTAAAGCAAAGTACAACATTAAAGCAACTATGTCATAATGGTCATAATGGAAACTCAGAAGAATGCTGCTTTGCACCCATCCTGCAAACACTAGATACTGCTCTGTGATTTGAGAAAAGTAGTACACATGGGACCATTCTGAGAATGGTTAGGGAAATTCCCAATTGATGAAAACAAATGAGAATTATCCAAGGCACTTTATTGTTTTTAAAAATGCTGTTTTCACAACGCTTCATGTCAATCTAGATATGCACCACTACTTTGAGTGTAGTGCTCTAAATCTACATATACTCAGAATAGCCGCTCACCTCCAGATAAGAACATTCTTACTATCAAACCCAGCTCTTCCAAAGTAATAACATTTCATAAAATCATTGTCTTAATACTTTATCAAGGTCCAGAGTTAAAGCATAAATACTCTCTCCCCCAAACATGTAAAATTTTCCTCAAGTGGACTCTCAATCAAATGTATCAAAATATTAATAGATTCTGAAAAGCCCAAGCAGAGCAGCAAATGAAGACGTATTTATCTGATCTTTCTCCGAAATAAAATCTCCTATAAATAAACACCTTTCCTTTTTTTTTTTTTTTTTTTTTGAGATGGAGTTTCGCTCTTGTTGCCCAGGCTGGAGTGCAATGGCACAATCTTGGTTCACCACAACCTCTGCCTCCCAGGTTCAAGGGATTCTCCTGCCTCAGCCTCCTGAGTAGCTAGGACTACAGGCATGCGCCACCATGCCCAGCTAATTTTTTTTTTGTATTTTTAGTAGAGACAGGGTTTCTCCATGTTGGTCAGGCTGGTCTCGATCTCCTGACCTCAGGTGATCTGTCCGCCTCGGCCTCTCAAAGTGCTGTGATAACAGGCGTGAGCCACTGCGCCCAGCCTGAATATACAACTTTCTTAGAAGTGCTATATAAAAGTATACTTATCATAGGAATGTTTCCTTTAATTTGTCTAGAGTTAAAAACAAAGGGAAATAAGGGAGGCAGGGAGGTTCAAAAAATAAAATGAAAGGGAAATTGAAGGCATCCAGAAGCTTCCTTTTTTCTTTTTTTGAGGCCGAGTCTTGCTCTGTCACCCAGGCTGGAGTGCAGTGGCGCGATCTCTGTTCACTGCAACCTCTGCCTCCCGGGTTCAAGCGATTCTCCCACCTCACCCTCCCGAGTAGCTGGGGTTAGAGGTGCTCACCACCATGCCCAGCTAATTTTTGTATTTTCAGTAGAGATGGGGTTTCACCATGTTGGCCAGGCTGGTCTCAAATTCCTGACCTTAAGTGACCCACCACACCCGGCCCAGAAACTCGTTTCTAAAATGATCTCGATCTAATCATAGATATGAATATGCTTTACTGAAAAACACATATATATATAGACTTTAGGACCAATGGACACTGAAGAAAAGGACAAAGAATTTCTAGTTACTAATCTGGTACTGCCCCAAATACATCACTTCTCTGTTTTTTTGTTTTTGTTTCTTTTTGAGACAGAGTTTCATTCTTGTTGCCCAGGCTGGAGTGCAATGGCACAGTCTTGGCTCAATGCAACCTCCGCCTCCTGGGTTCAAGCGATTCTCCTGCCTCAGCCTCCCAAGTAGCTGGGATCACAGGCACCCACCACCACACCCAGCTAACTTTTGTATTCTTAGTAAAGACAGGATTTCACCATGTTGGCCAGGCTGGTCTCAAACTCCTGACCTCGGGTGATCAGCCTGCCTCGGCCTCCCAAAGTGCTGGGATTACAGGCACATGTCACCACACCCAGCTAATTTTTGTATTTTTAGTAGAAACAGGGTTTCACCATATTGGCCTCGAACTCCTGACCTTGTGATCCACCCGCCTCGGCCTCCCAAAGTGCTGGGATTACAGGCGTGAGCCACCACACCCAGCCTAAATGCACAGAATATTATTCTGACACCACAGGTGTGCTGGCTTCCCTTCCCCTACTTTCTTCTTGAACATTTCTGAAGGGAATTCTCTTTTTATTGGCATTCTGTGGGAATACATTGTATCTGTTAGCACAGGCAACTGTTTAGACTTCTTAGATGTACCCCAGGTTAATTTGTATTGCTAAGGCCTGCATGTTCGTAAAACAGTTATGTGATATTGAGGTTACCCCTAAAAATACATACTTTAAAAAAGTTCACTGCTTCAGAGATCAACTTTCTCCTCCCATCTACCCTGTAATCCAATATTAAACAATTAATTACAAACTGTGCCTAAAATGCAACTAAAACTAAGTTTTAATTTTCTGAAACTCTTTGCTCTCTTCCCCATTCCGTTCTTAAAGATCTTAGCTTGTAAAACATAGCTAAATTTAGTTTTGCCCTAAACAAAGGACAGAGAAAGAAATGTGTGTCATAGTAATCTATCTTACTTAAACAAAGGCTTTTCCACTATCTCCATCCCAAAACAAAGACTAATTTATGTGAGAATTCAAATGGAAGCTGACATGTTTACAGACAAATCTAGTCTCAAATGCCTTGTCTAAATGTGATTAAGTCTCTGACTGTTCAACATTAACCACATTATAATTAAATTTATCTCTATGTTACTAAACATGAGACAACTTTAATAATGATGTAAATTAAATATAGTCAGGAGTACTCACCTTTATGTCAATTAAGGTAAATAAAACAAACCAAAAACAATTTCTTGGGCAGAAATCTGTCTTTTGTTAGTTGTTAGATCAGAGCCAACAATACTAATTATTCTGAATTAACCTAAATATTTTCCCATATTTGGGCAGGGCCAATGGGTTAACAAATAACTATACCTGCATATGGCAAACATACGTCTTCTTATCTTTACTTTAGTAGTATTATTAGGTCATTATCAGAATTATTATTATTATTATTATTTGAGATGGAGTCTTGCCCTGTCAGCAGGCTGGAGTGCTGCAACGCGATCTCAGCTCACTGCAACCTCTACCTCCCGGGTTCAAGCGATTCCCGCCTCTGCCTCCCAAGTAGCTGGGATTACAGGCACGAGCCACCACATCCAGCTAATTTTTTGTATTTTAGTAGAGATGGGGTTTCACCATGTTGGCTAAGATAGTCTCGATCTCCTGACCTCATGATCCATGTGCCTCTGCCTCCCAAAGTGCTGGGATTACAGGCGTGAGCCACCACGCCCAGCCCAGAATTTAAGGAATTTTTTTTTTTTTTTTTTTGAGATGGGGTTTTGCTGTTGTTGCCCAGGCTGGAGCACAATGGCACGATCTTGGCTCACCGCAACCTCCGCCTCCTGGGTTCAAGCGATTCTCCTGCCTCAGCCTCCCAAGTACCTGGGATTACAGGCATGCATCACCACACCTGGCTAATTTTGTATTTTTAGTAGAGATGGGGTATCTCCATGTTGGTCAGTCTGGTCTCAAACTCCTGACCTCAGGTTATCTGCCCAACTCAGCCTCCCAAAGTGCTGGGATTACAGGCATGAGCCACTGTGCCCAGCTTAAGTAATTTTTTAAACGTATTTTATGTATGGGTTTACTAATGCCAGTCAGCAGACTGCAATAATTTTTATTTGAGGTCAATATTAAGAATGCCCTTTTGTTCCTCACACTATTCCCCACCCTAATGTCTCCTCCTTCTCTATACTGCCTAAAGGTCAGTTATAAGGGAACATGAAAGTAATAATTACATACAAATATTCAGAAATACGCAAATATACAAACATAAGCTCTTTCACAGCTTTGAAAAGAGAATAAAGAGGCTTTAAAGGGTTTCAACCTGCATTACCATTCATGGTTTTCAAAGAAAAGAAACCTTTTGTGAATGAAAATACTTCATTTCAGCCAGGCCTATAATACCAGCACTTTGGGAGGCCGATGCGGGTGGATCACCTGAGGTCAGGAGTTCAAGACCAGCTTGGACAACATGGTGAAACCCCATCTCTACTAAAAATACAAAAAATTAGCAGGGCGTAGTGGCGGGCACCTGTAATCCCAGCTACTTGGGAGGCTGAGGCAGGAGAATCACCTGAACCTGGGAGGTAGAGGTTGCAGTGAGCCAAGATAATGCCATTGCACTCTAGCCTGGGCAACAAGAGTGAAACTCTGTCTCAAAAACAAAAAAAAGAAAAAGAAATGAAAACATTCCATTGTATCTGGCCATATGTGGTTTTTGCCATATGTATGTAAAGTGAAAGAAAGCAAAGCAGTAATAATCCATTTCCAAGTATTGACTATAGGATTACGACGCCCAAAATTAAAGGCCTTTGACACTTTAAAAAACTTCCTGAATAGGTGACATTAGATTTCCCTACATTTCCCATTTTAATGGTCAGTCTACTGAAAACACATTCTCAGAAAGCCAGGTTAGCCATGCTATGTATTAAAGCAATTATCAATCAATACTGCTAATTTTTGGTGGGAAAAATTAGGATGAAAACACAACCAAGTATTTGAGTTCTTAGTAAATCAAAAAAGTATGATATCTACTTAAAATTTGCTTATTTCAAAGCATATCTTAAACTCAATCAATATTAACATGGATAAGAAATAGGAATAAAGTTTCTTATACGAGTTAACAGACAACCAGTTGTAACGTCTGCTATCCTCAGGTCCAGCTCAATTTTGATTCTCTATGACCTTGTTTAGACAGTTTAATCTCTCAGGCTTATTACTGATAAAATGAAATAATAACATTAGCTCTACTTCTGGGCTACGAGATTCAAATAAAATATATTTAAGTGCTTCACAAACTTCTAAATGCTTTAAAAATAATGTTCATAGCATTAGATGGCAAACAATAATATTCTTAAGGGCCCACAATCACCTTTTTATTAGTGCTGTACACATGGCTGGCATTCAGATTAGTATTGATGTAAAGATGGCTCTCTGATAATAAGTTACATCACTTTCTTGAATCGAGTTCAAATCCAAAATCCTGTAAGAATTTAAAAATTGTTTCCAGGTGACGCTAACCAAAGAACTGGTGTCTATTAAAACATAACTTAAAAACTATGGAACTATATACCTTGACTGGTGGTGTAGAACATGGGGAAGGAGTCATCACACAGGTTTCTTGACTATTATAGGAAGGGCTGTCAGTCAGGTTCAGGTATAACTCATCTTCATTGGTAAAGTTTCCCTGATTGTCCACTTCTGGAGAGATGCAGATTACTATGGCACTAGTGTTATCTGCTCGGAGCATACGCTGCCTCCAGCGGCCCAATGCTCGATTCACAAGCATTTTGGCACAAGATTGTCCATGCTCACCCTGTATTCAAAAGAACAAGGAGAAGGAAAGTAACTCAGATTTAGCTGCCACTACATCTGTATCTATATCAAATTAAATATTTGGTGTTCGCTGTGGCCCAAACAAAGCTCCCAATTTTTTTTTTTCTTTTCTCTTTTTTTTTTTTTGAGACAGAGTCTTCCTCTGTCACCCAGGCTGAAGTGCAGAGATGCAATCTCGGGTCACTGCAAGCTCTGCCTCCCGGGTTCATGCCATTCTTCTGCCTCAGCCTCCCGAGTAGCTAGGACTACAGGCGCCCGCCACCATGGCCGGCTAATTTTTTGTATTTTTAGTAGAGACGGGATTTCACCATGTTAGCCAGGATGGTCTTGATCTCCTGACCTCGATCCACACGCCTCTGCCTCCCAAAGTGCTGGGATTACAGGTGTGAGCCACTGCGCCCAGCCAAAGCTCCCAAATTTTCAAACATTATCCCCAGTCTCCTTAGCCATGTTAAAATAATACTTTTCTAAATTCAAAAAATACTAATAAAACAAGGTTTTATCCTGTCATTAAATTTCACTATTTTTATTTTTATCAAGAAACTCAGCCTTCACTGTAACTTTATTTAGAAAAAGTTGTCCAGACGCAATGGCTCATGCCTGTAATCCCAGCACTTTGGGAGGAGGAGGCGGGTGGATCATGAGGTCAGGAGATCGAGACCATCCTCGCTAACATGGTGAAACCCTATCTCTACTAAAAAAACAAAAAATTAGCCGGGCGCGACGGCACATGCCTGTAGTCCCAGCTACTCAGGAGGCTGAGGCAGGAGAATCGCTTGAACCCAGGAGGCGGAGGTTGCAGTGAGCCAAGATCAGGCCACCACATTCCAGCCTAGGCAACAGAGCAAGACTCCATTTAAAAAAAAAAAAGAAAGAAAGAAAAAGAAAAAAAGAAAAGAAAAAGTTATAAAGAAGTTACTTAAAAAGAAAGTAGCCAGGTGTGGTGGCTCACGCCTTTAATCCCAGTACTTTGGGAGGTGGAGGCAGGTGGACTGCAAGGTCAGGAATTCAAGGCCAGCCTGACCAACATGGCGAAACCCCATCTCTGCTAAAAATACAAAAATTAGTCAGGCATGGTGGTGTGTGCCTGTAATCCCAGCTACTTGGGAGGCTGAGACAGGAGAATTGCTTGAACCTGGGAGGCGGAGGTTACAGTGAGCCGAGATCACGCCACTGCACTCCCGCCTGGGCGACAGAGCGAGACTCCGTCTCAAAACAACAACAACAACAAGAAGTAAACATCAAGTTATTTAAGAAAACATAATTCACAAACAAGACAATCAGGCATGGTACAAAAAAAAATCATTGCAAAGGGTCAAATTCCTTCTAACATAAGAGATTCTGCAAATCGAAGAAAATGACTCAACATAAAAATTGTCAAAGAATATAAACAAAATCCAGAGAAAAGGAAATATAAACAGCTCATATATATATATAAACAGTCAATGTCACTCATATGAGGAAAAAGTAATACAATAACTGCTTATAGTATAAAGAACAAATATATACCAATTGAACGAGTAAAGAAAACAAAACCAAAAGGATCTCATTTTATGCAAATAAATGTGGCTTGGAATAAAACTTCCAGTGTCATATATGAATTTAAAATCTGCTAGGTTTCACAGAACAAAAGTGAAAATGATGTACTCCAGGAAATAAGCCTACATGTATTTTTTTCTTTCTTTTCTTTTCTTTCTTTTTTTTTTTTTTGAGATGGAGTTTTGCTCTTGTCGCCCAGGCTGGAGTGCAATGGCAAGACCTCGGCTCACTGCAACTTCCGCCTCCCAGGTTCAAGTGATTCTCCTGCCTCAGCCTCCCAAGTAGCTGGGATTACAGGCACCTGCCACCATGCCCAGCTAAATTTTTTTTTTGTATTTTTAGTAGAGACGGGGTTTCACCACGTTGGCCAGGCTGGTCTTGAACTCCTAATCTTAGGTGATCTGCCTGCCTCGGCCTCCCAAAGTTCTGGAATTACAGGTGTGAACCGCCGTGCCCGGCTGCCTGCATGTATTAAAAGTACCCATAGAAATAAATGACTAATGAAAATGAGTGGAAAATTTTGTTTGTTGTTTTTTGAGACAGGGTCTCACTCTGTCACCCAGGCTGGAATGCAGTGGTGTGACCTCGGCTTACTGCAGTCTCCACCTCCTGGGCTCAAGTGATCCTCCCACCTCAGCTGCTTGGGAGGCTGAGGTGGGAGAATCAGTTCAGCCCAGGAGGTGGAGGCTGCAGTGAGCCGGGATCGCACCACTGTGCTCCCAGCCTGGGTGACAGAGTGAGACTCTCTCTCTCAAAAAAAAAAAGCATATTATTTCAATAGACACTGAAAAAGCATTTCGTAAAATTGAACATCACTTTATGATAAAAACCCAACAAAAATAAGTATAGTAGAAATATACCTCAAAATGACAAACTCACAGCCAACATCAATACTGAATGGGGAAAAAAATTGAAGGTCTTTCCTCTAAGGACTGAAACAGACAAGGATGCCCCACTCTCACTTACTGTTATTCAATACAATACTGGAAGTCCCGGCCAGAGCAATTAGGCAAGAGAAAGAAATAAAGGGTAACCAAACTGGAAACGAATAAGTCAAATGAGCCTTGTTTGCAGGTAACATGATCTCATACCTACAAAAACCTAAAGACGCCACCAAAAAACTGTTAGAGCTGATAAATTCAGTGAAACTGCAGGATACAAGATGAACATACAAAAATCAGCAGCATTTACATATACCAACAGCAAACAATCTGAAAAAGAAATCAAGAAAGCAATCCTATTTCCAATAGGTACACAAATTATAAAATGCCTAGTAATCAATTTAACCAAAGATGTGAAAGATCTATAAAGGAAAACTAGAAAATACTGATGAAAGAAATTGAAGAGGACACAAAAAGATACAAAGGTAGTCCATGCTTATGGATTGGATGGATTAATATTGTTAACATGACAATACTACCCAAAGCAATTTAAAGATTCAATCCCTATCAAAATTGAAATGACATTCTTCACATAATTTTTTCTTTAAGCTCAGAATTCATATGAAACCACAAAATATCCTGAATAGCCAAAGCAATTCTAAGCCAAAAGAACAAAGCTGGAGGCATCACACTACCTGACTTCAAAACTATACTAGAGGGCTACAGTAACCAAAATAGCATGGTACTGCTACAAAAACAGACACATAGACCAATGGAACAGAACAGAAAACCTATGTATAAATCCACGCAATTTGCAGCCAGCTCATCTTCAACAAAGGTGCCAAGAGCAACAATAAATGGTAGGGGGAAAACTGGATAACTATATGCTGAAGAATGAAACTATACCCCTATCTCTCATCACACACAAAAATCAAATCAAAATGGATTAATGACTTAAATCTAAGATCTCAATTAGTAGAATTGGTAACCACAATTCTATTCCCTCTGTGAGATCTACTTTGATCTCACAAACTATGAAACTACTAGAAGAAAACAACATTGGAGAAACGCTCCAGGACACTGTTCTGGGCAAATAATTTTTGCATGAGACCTCAAAAGCACTGGCAACCAAAGCAAAAATAGACAAATGAAAATACAAGCTAAAATGCAAAGGAAACAATCAACAAAGTGAAGAGAGAACCCACAGAATGGGATAAAACATCTGCAAACTATCCATCTGACAAGGAATTAACAACATGTAAGGAGCTCAAATCAGTAGCAACAAAACAAAACAAGCCCCAAATAATCCAATTTTAAAATGGGCAAAAGATCTAAAATACACATTTCTCAAAAGACATACAAATGATTAACAGATATATGAAAAAATGCTCAACATCACTAATCATCAGAGAAATGCAAATCAAAACCACAATGAGGTATCATCTCACTCCAGTTAAAACCACTTGCATCAAAAAGATAGGCAACTACAGATGCTGGTGAGGATGTGCAGAAAGGGGAACCCTCAGTGTTAGTGGGAATGTAAATTAGAGCAGCCACTACGAAGAACAGTATGAAGGTTCCTCAAAAAAAAAAAAAAAAAAAAAAAAACAGAAGTAAACTACCATATGATCCAACAATTCCACTACTATACATATATCCAACAGAAAGAAAATCAATACACTGAAGGTATATCTGCACTCCCATGTTTATTGCAGCACTATTCACAACAGTCCAAATATGGAATCATCCTACGTCAATTCCATTTAATACATGAATGGATAAAGAAAATGTGGTGTATATACACATACACAATGAAATAGTATTCGGCCATAGAAAAGAATGAAATCTTGTCATTTGCAGCAACAGGGATGGAACTGGAGGACATTATGCTAAATGAAATAATCCAAGCACAGAAAGACATGATCTCACTCATATGTGGCAGCTAAAAGAGTAGATCTCACAAAGAGAGAGAGTAGAATTGTGGTTACAAGAAGCCAGGAAGGGTAGTAGGGAGAGAGAGATGAAGGGTGGAAAAAAAGAATATAAATGGATTTTTTACTATTGAATTGTACAATTTCAAATAGTACAAATAGTAAATGTCATATGTATAGTATACTTCGAATTTTTTAAAGTGTGTTTTAAAAATCTCTATTTTTAAGTGTAGTTATGTCCACTCAAACTTTTTTGTGCTTTTCTCTTGAACTAGAAACAATCAATCATGCCTTATGTGTCTTCTTAAAAGACTGCCCTTCTGGGTTTTGTGAATCTCCCTAAATAATTAATTTCTGCTCTATTATTTTCAACCTCCTACTTTGAGGGGTTTTACTATGATATTCTTTTTTGTAACTCTGACTGGATCACTTAGATTGTTTTCTTCATGTAGAATACCATGAGCCTTGTGTTATGGATGCATCATTTTATGTGCCACAAACGAAATAAAAAACACTGTCGGCTGGGCGTGGTGGCTTGGCATGGTGGTTCACACCTGTAATCCCAGCACTTTGGGAGGCCGAGGTGGGTGGATCATGAGGTCAGGAGATGGAGATCATCCTGGCCAATGTGGTGAAACCCCGTCTCTACTAAAATAAAAAAAATTAGCCAGGCATGGTGGCGCGCGCCTGTAGTCCCAGCTACTCGGGAGGCTGAGGCAGGGGAATCGCTTGAACCTGGGAGGCAGAGGTTGCAGTGAGCTGAGATCGCGCCACTGCACTCCAGCCTGGCAACACAGCGAGATTACATCTCAAAAAAAAAAAAAAACCAAAAACACTGTTAATTGAACTGTGATATACCATTTGTAAAAAGTATTCCAATTTCAGAGATATTAAAAGAAAATATGCACCTCAGAATTGATTAAAGGCAGCATTAATCTCTAATTCATGAATCTATCACATTCCCTACGGCATGTGGTTCCACTCTCCAAACACCAGCTGACTGAGCCCTTACCTCTCACTTTTTCAGTGTGCCTGTTTCCCTTCCCATCAATGCTCTATGAAAACAATTATATAAACCATTTTCCACTATCTTACCTGTATATTTTTCCCTCAGCTCACTAGAATTCTGCTGACTTGAGTCCCCCTAATATTGTGTGCTCTTAAACCACAGAGTCTCTCTAAGTGCATATATTGCCACAATTTACGCAACTCTTGTTAACTGTTAAATTAGTATTTCCACGCTTCCCTCCCAAGTTTTTATTTTTAAAGAGATGAGGGTCTCACTATGTTGTCCAGGCTGGAGTGCAGTGGCTATTAACAAGTACAATCATAGAGCCCTACAGCCTTGAACTCCTGGGGTTAAGCAATCCTCCCACAGCCTCCTGAGTAGCTGGGACTATAGGAGCATGCCACCCCTCTCTCTCAAATATTTATAACTGCCTACTGAAGATATCTATCTAGATGAACCACAGGTACCTCAACTCAACATGCCTATGTCTGAACTAATTACCTCCCCCATCTCTCCCTAAATAATGTCTCTTCTTTATAACAGCTTACTAGTCACCAGAGTTAGAAATTTAGGTGTCATCATATTCTTCCTCCTTATAAACATAAGAGCTGTCAATTCTACTACTTATGTATTTGTGTTTTTTGTTGTTGTTGTTGTTGTTGTTGTTTTGAGATGGAGTCTCGCTCTGTCACCAGGCTGGAGTGCAGTGGCACGATCTCAGCTCACTGCAACCTCTGCCTCCTGGGTTCAAGCAATTCTCCTGCATCAGCCTCCTGAGTAACTGGGATTACAGGTGCGAGTCACCACGTCTGGCTGATTTTTGTATTTTTAGTAGAGATGGGGTTTCACCATGTTGGCCAGGCCGGTCTCGAACTCCTGACCTCAAGTGATCCACCTGCCTTGGCCTCCCAAAGTGCTGGGATTACAGGCTTGAGCCACTGCGCCCGGCCTACATGTATTTCTTTGTGTTTTTTCCAAAAACCACTGCTGCCTTAGATTAAGCCTGCAAATTTTCTTGCTCAAATATCACTCTCTTCCATGAAGCTTCCTATGCAGTCTTGTGAAGTTTTCTATCGTCTCACTCTTCCAGGTCTCATAAGACTTGTTCTAATTATACATTATACGGATGCTTCCTTCAATACTCATCTTAAAACACTTTATGGTTCATAAATAGGTTCTTCCAATGCACTACAAACTGGTTTTTGTCTTTATGCCATTGAAATGATCTCTCTCAGATCATTAAAGAATTCTAAATCCATTAGACAGAAGAGTCTTTATGTTACTCTTTGATACATGATAATCTCCAACTAAATGCAACACACCAGGCCCTGAACATGTAAAACTGAATCAAGATGACTCTCACCTTAAAAGAACTCATGATCTAATGGGATTGTTAGTTTTTTATATATTCTATTTATAATAATATGGTAAGTGCTGAGGAAGGACCATATTCTATTTACCTTTGCAATCCCTGTACCTAGTACCTAGTATGTTAATTGAGTGAATGAATGGAGGCAATTTTTTTTTTTGAGACAGAGTTTCGTTCTTATTGCCCAGGCTGGAGTGCAATGGCATGATCTTGGCTCACTGCGACCTCTGCCTCCTGGGTTCAAGAGATTCTCCTGCCTCAGCCTCCTAAGTAGCTGGGACTATAGGCGAGTGCCACCACACCCAGCTAATTTTGTATTTTTAGTAGAGGTGGGGTTTCATCATGTTGGCCAGGCTGGTCTCTTAACTCCTGACCTTGGGTGATCCACCCGCCTCAGCCTCCCAAAGTGCTGGAATTACAGGCGTGAGCTACTGCGCCCGGAATGAATGGAGGCAATTTAACAAAAATTCAATCAATTTGCCCCTCCTTCCACCTCAAAATACAGCTTTACTATTCCTGCCATCTGAGAGAAAGATCATCTTTTCTAAGGATAACCCATCTTTGGATTTTTGATTCCAGATACTTCCATGTGCTCTGTTAGGGGATGATGATGAAAATGTTTTGAGATTAGGAGCTGGGCATGGCACCACAGTAGTCCCAGCTGCTCAGGAGGCTGAGGTGAGAGGACTGCTTAAGCCTAGGAGTTCTAAACCAGCCTGGGCAACATAGTGACACCTCATCTCTTGGGGGGAAAAAAAAACAAAAAAAGTAGTAGAAGTAGTGGTGATGGAGGCCGGGTGCGGTGGCTCATGCCTTAAATCCCAGCACTTTGTGGGGCTGAGGCATCACCTCAGGTCAGGAGTTCGAGCCCTGCCTGGCCAACATGATGAAACCCCATCTCTACTAAAAATACAAAAAATTAGCTGGGTGGGGTGGCACACACCTGTAATCCCAGCTACTCGGGAGGCTGAGGTGGGAGAATCGCTTGAATCCAGGAGGCAGAGGTTAGAGTGAGCTGAGATCATGCCACTGCACTCCAGCCTCGGTAACAGAGCGAGACACTGAGACAGTCAGAAAAAAAAAAAAAAAAAGTAGTAGTGGTGATGGTTGTACAACTTTGTGAACTACACTAAGAATCACTGAATTATACACTTTAAAAGGATAAATTTTGGCCGGGCGCAGTGGCTCACGCCTGTAATCCCAGCACTTTGGGAGGCCAAGGCAGGCGGATCACGAGGTCAGATCGAGACCATCCTGGCTAACAAGGTGAAACCCCACCTCTACTAAAAATACAAAAATTAGCCGCGTGTGATGGCAGGCGCCTGTAGTCCCAGCTACTCAGGAGGCTGAGGCAGGAGAACGGCGTGAACTCAGGAGGCGGAGCTTGCAGTGAGCCGAGATTGTGCCACTGCACTCCAGCCTGGGTGACAGAGCAAGACTCCGTCTCAAAAAAAAAAAAAAAACGATAAATTTTATGGTATGGAAATTATATGTCATTTAAAAAAATAAGGAATTAGCAACGTTTCACAGGCCAATTTATACTGAAGTCAGTGGTTGTGTGTTTTGTTATTAGACTTCGGTTATATATTTCTTGTCTCATTCCTCTAATGATTAGGAGCTACAAAGCCTATGTTTTACCCACTAGCAGATCAAGGCAAATGCAAAAATCTACCCAAGGTCAATGTCCTTAGTTCATATTCAAGATTCTGACAGAAGTACCAAAACAATGTTTAGACAACAATATCAAGTTATTCAATCACATCTCACCATCAGGTATTTTTTCTCCTCTTGGTCCTGGCACATTGAGATGGCATCTTGTGGTGGAATCATATTCCAAAGTCCATCACTCCCCAATATAATATACTTGTGCTTCTGAGGGTCAAGAGTGTGGACACTTGTGTCTGGTTCAGGTGACACCACAAATTCACCACTGAAGAAATCATAGCTCCACAAATCACCTGGGGGAAGGGAGCAGAAAAAGCAAGAAGTATTAGTTGGAAGCTAATAGTACAACAGCAACAGATTAAAAGAGAAAATCTACACAGTTCATCTCAATAGACGCAGAAAAGCATTTGATAACATTCAAACTCCTCTCATGATAAGATTTCCTAGCAAACTAAGAATAAAAGGGAACTCCCTTAACCTGATAAAGTATATCCACCAGAATTCTGTAATAATCATCTTAAAGGTAAAATGTTAAAAGTATTCCCTTTAAAATGTAGAAATAAGAAAACTATGCCTTGTATCATTGCTTCTCTTCTAATACTATACTGAGTCCTTCCCAGCACAGTAAGATAATAAAAATAAAGTATATACAAAATGGAAAGGAGAAAATAATACTAATATTATTTGCAGATAATTTCATTTATACATGGAAAACCAAAAATAAATTATTACAATAGAAAAGTTTAGCAAAGTTGTTAAATACAAACCCAATATATAAGTCAACGTATTTCTATATGATAGCAAGACATAGAAAATATAAATGTTTAAATAATCCAATTTTAACAATGAACCAAATGTAAGGAACTTAGGAACAACTTTAACAAACGGTATACATGCCTGTTATGAAGATTATAGATTCTATTTTGAAACATTAAAAAGATAATCTAAATAAATGAAGTAACCAATCAGATTCATAGATAGCAATACTTACTATAATAAAGATGTCAATTATTCCCAAAATAATCTACAAAGTCAATGTAATTCTAACCAAAATCCCAAAAGGATTGTTGTAGAATTTGACAGGCTAAGCGCAAAGGGCCAAGATTAATCAAGATAATTTTGAAGAAAAAGGACAAGATGAGAACTTATCCTACAAACAGAAGTACCAATGGCTGTTTGCAAACTTCCTGTTAATCTCTAGATCAGTAAAGTACCTACATCAAAACTTACAGAACAAGTACCAGTCACTTGCAAGAAAATTCAAAATATAAAAATGAGCATTGTAATGCTCTTTACCAACCATATGACCAAACTTTGGAGAGCAACAGTTCTCCCTTTCACTGAGCCGGAAAAAGAAAGCTCTTACATTTATCCTTCTCCTTGATTAGCTCCACATAAAAACAATGCCTAAACTTCTGCCTTTAGACCTATTAGATACAAACATCAAAATGTTCAAGAGACAATAACTTTTAGTCGACCCAGGCCATAAAAAAGATCAATAAAACTAAAACAGAAGAAAATAAAAATGATTTATAGAAACCATCTACTTTTCTGTAATATATAAGACAACATAAATGAAACAATATAAATTTTTCTTCTGTTTCCAATAAATGTGGAAGAGGAGACAGAAAGGAGAAAACATTAATTTCTGCCTCTTTTGTTTATTGTGAACTATTTAAGGGAAAGGCCTAAATTAAAAGCAAAAGATTTTCAGACAAGAGGTTAAACAATTTTTGTCCCCTTTCAGTAGGTCTGGTTTTTTTGTTAAACAAGAGGAAGCTTTGTCCTTTTCTTTATTTAAACTTCCCCACTAGCTCCCCATCAGAAATACTGGCAATTCAAACATGCTCAGAGTCCAAAGAAAGAATAATTCAAGTCAATTACTCCCACTTGAAAGTAGCAAAATCATTGCTAACCAGACTCTTCAAAAAGCAATTCAGCCCTCTGAGCAGCAAAACAGAATACATGCAAGCACTAAAAGCTAATTATAATCCAGATAAGCTCACAAAGACACACTTACCTCTTTATACCAGCAAAACAAAGCTCCCTGGTTGACGAAATAATAAAAATGAACATGGGGACAGTGGCACAATCATGGCTCACTGCAGGATAGATCTCCTGGGCTCAAGTGATCCTCCTACGTCAACCTCTCAAGTAGATGGGACTATAGGTGTATACCAACAGGCCCAGCTAATTTATTTTTTGTAGAGATGGCGGTCCCACTATGTTGTCCAGGCTGGTCTCCAAGTCCTGGATTCAAGCAATCCTCCCACCTCGGTTCCCCAAAGTGCTGGGATTACAAGTATGAGCCACGGTACTGGGTCTGCCTTTTTATAATATTATGTAATATATTCGCATAGTATGAAAACCAAAAGATATAAAAGGGTACATATACAGTGAAAATTCTCCCTTCTCACCACTGCCCTTCCAGTTTTCCCTGTAAGGACTATTATTCTTATGTTCTTATCTTTCTGGAGATACCTATCTACCTACCTACATATGTATATGTATATGTGTGTGTGTGTATATATATATATACACACACACACATATACATATACATATATATATACACACATATATATACATATATATACACACATATATATATACATATATATACACACACATATATATACATATATATACACATATATATATACATATATATACACATATATATATACACATACACACACACACACACACACACACACACACACACACATATATATTTTACATTGCTTTGGTGAAACCATCCTTTCAAGTTTCCAACTCTTTTACTGACAACTTCCAAATCACTAGTCTCCAATATCTTTTTCTTTTTTTTGAGATGGAGTTTCGCTCTTGTTGCCCAGGCTGGAGTGCAATGGCACGATCTTGGCTCACTGCAACCTCTGCCTCCTGGGTTCAAGTGATTCTCCTGCCTCAGCCTCCCGAGTAGCTGGGATTACAGGTGCCCGCCACCACATCTGGCTAATTTTTGTATTTTTAGTAGAGACGAGGTTTCATCATGTTGGCTAGGCTGGTCTGGAACTCCTGACCTCAGGTGATCTGTACACCTAGGCTTCCCAAAGTGCTAGGATTACAGGCGTTAGACACCACGCCCAGCCTCAATCTCTATTTCTTTCTCAATAAACCTCAATACATTTTCAGAAGAAGGGATTGTTTCTTCTAACTTAAATTTTTAAACTCTGGGTTTTGACTAAGATATGTGGTATATTTCTATTTCTTTGATTTCTTTCATCATTTTGTAGTTTCACGCATATAAATCTTAAACACAGTTTGTTACAATTATACCTAAGTATTTCATGGTTTTCTTGGGTGCGATTATAAATGATACTTATTTAAATTTTATTACGAATTGTTCATTTTTAGTACATAAAAATATGATAGACTGTGTATGCTAAATCTAGGTCCTGTGAACTTGCTGACTCCACTTATTAATTCCAGTAGTTCTTTTGAAGATTATCTGGGATTTTTTATGCAGATAGTGTTGGAATCTGTGGATAGAGCTGGTTTTAGTTATTTGCTGAACCATCTGAGATTAGATTACAGACTCAAAACACTTCACCTCCAAACAGTAATACTTCAACATTTATCTCCTAAGCATGAGGATGTTATTCTACCACACTCAGGCAATTTCATATTGCTATAGCACTGTATAATATAAAGTTTATGTTCAAATCTTCCCAGTTGTCACAATAATGCATTTTTAATATCCAGGATCCATTCAAGGATCATTCTTCAGTCAGGTTAGGTGGCTCATGCCTGTAATCCCAGCACTTTGGGAGGTGGAGACAGGAGGATTGCTTGAGCCTGGGAGTTCGAGACCAGCCGGGGCAACACAGTGAAACCCCATCTTTATTTTTAAAAAAACTTTTTAAAAAGTTAATTGCATTTGTCATTTTTTAGTCATTTTTAACCTAAAACAATTCCCTAGGGTTTTGTTTTGTTTTTATCATTCATGGTATTGACAACTGTGAAGAGTTCAAGATAGTTCTTTTGCCAGGCACGGTGGCTCACACCTGTAATCCCAGCACTTTGGGAGGCCGAGGCAGGTGGATCACTTGAGGTCAACAGTTGGAGACCAGCCTGGCTAACACGGTGAAACCCCGGCTCTACTAAAAATACAAAATTAGCTGGGTGGCACGCGCCTGTAATCCCAGCTACTCGGGAGGCTGAGGCAGAAGAATTGCTTGACCCCAGAAAGCGGACATAGCAGTGAGCCAGGATCATGCCACTGCACTCCAGCCTGGGCGAGAGTGAGACTCCATCTCAAAAAAAAAAAAAAAAAAAAAGAAAAGAAAAGAGTTCTATTGCACAATGACCTTTAAATTGGATCCATCTGATTGTTTCCTCTTGTTCTCGTGCTCTACAGGGGTTCATGAACGGGTAAACTCACTTTTGGCTACAGGACTACATTGCTGATGTCATGTCCTTCTCCGTATATCACATGAGGAGAGACAGTGTGTCAGTCAGTCCTATTATTGGCAGTATTGACTTTCATCATTTGGTTAAAGTGCTATCTACTGGCAGCATAAAGGTGCCTTTTTCTTTTTTTAACTGGTGAGTAGTCTGTAGGGTGAAAGTTTGAGGCTCTGTGAAATATCCTGTTCTGTACCAAAATATGCCATATTTTAGCATCTACTGATGATTCCTGAATGAATCAATTATTATAACGGTTATAAACTGATGACAGAATTAGGACATTCTAACTACATTTATTAGCTGACAGTTTATTTTACTTTATTTTGGTTCTTTTTGCTCTTCTTTCCCAACCCCAAAAAGGTTTCTTTTTTTTGAGACTGGGTCTTACTCTATTGCCCAGGATGGAGTGCATTGGTGCGATCATGGCTCACTGCAACCTGCGCCTCCCAGGCTCAAGCAGTTCTCTCACCTGCCTTCCAAGTAGCTGGGACTACAGGTGTGTGCCACCATGCTAGGCTAATTTTTTTGTATTTTTTTCTACAGATGGGGTTTCGCCATATTGGCCAGGCTGATCTCGAACTCCTGAGCTCAAGCGATCCACCCACCTCGGCCTCCCAAAGTGCTAGGATTACAGGCTGCTGGGATTAGAGACATAAGTCACTGTGCTCAGGCCTGAAAGTCTTTTTTTTTTTTTTTTTCTTTTGAGACGGAGTCTCGCTCTGTTGCCCAGGCTGGAGTGCAGTGGCGTGATCTCGCCTCCTGGGTTCACGCCATTCTCCTGCCTCAGCCTCCCGAGTAGGTGGGACTATAAGGCGCCCGCCACCATGCCTGGCTAAGTTTTTGTATTTTTAGTAGAGATGGGGGTTTCACTGTGTTAGCCAGGATGGTCTGGATCTCCTGACCTCGTGATCCGCCCACCTCGGCCTTCCAAAGTGCTGGGATTACAGGCATAAGCCACCGTGCCCGGCTGAAAATCTTTTTTAAAGAAGAGTTTCCTGGCCGGAGGCAGTGGCTCACGCCTGTAATCCCAAAACTTTGGGAGGCCCAGGCTGGTGGATCACGAGGTCAAGAGATTTAGACCATCCTGGCCAAAATGGTGAAACCCAGTCTCTACTAGAAATACAAAAATTAGCTGGGCATGGTGGCACACGCCTGTAGTCCCAGCTACTCGAGAGGCTCGGGCAGGAGAATCACTTGAACCCAGGAGCCAGAGGTTGCAGTGAGCCGAGATCGCGCCACTGCACTCCAGCCTGGTGACAGAGCAAGACACCATCTCAAAAAAAAAGATTTTCTTTGGAGTCTCTCTGAATCTGCTGTGGGCGGGGGTGGCTACCCAATTCACAAATCGTTCATTGCCCAATTAAACTCCTTTAAATGTAAAAAAAAAAAAAAAAAAAAAAATCCATTCTTCTACCTGTACAATTTTTTATCTCTATATAGACTTACAGATTCTTTTTTATTCAATATTTTTTAACTTATTCCTGTTATAATTTGTTTTGATGCTCAAGTTGCTTCAAATTTGCTAGTAAAAGTCCCTAGAATCTGACCTTTCAACAAACTCACCAGATGATTCATACTCATAGACACTTTCCCTTGTTTTACCAGTTCAAAGAGTCTATATGATTCTATCTAATATCAAATAACTGGTAAGGATCAGAATTGGGCCTTTAACTAAGGGTTTTTATTACTGGTCTAGTGTTTGTACACCAAAGTACGATCATAGAACATCATTTCTGTAGGTCCTGAAAGGAGGTGCCTTGGAAACTGGCAGACAGCCAATTCCCTTTTTTCCTCAGTAGAGGGTGCTGAAGGGACACCAGAAGAGAGGAGGCCTGCTTTCTGGTTCCAGTATATTTTCTGCTTGCTCCTGTGGCACTTGGCAGCCAGCAGTCCACAAGACACTCAGTGGTCCTTACACCTATCAAATTTCAGCACCCCTTTGAGTGGCTTCCCATGGAGAACTTCCAACAATGTTTACCCCCTCTAATCCATTCTCAAAACTCAATGAAAATTCTCTCTTTAAAACACAAACTAATGGATTAAAGATTTAAATGTAAGACCTCAAACTGTAAGAATCGTGGATGGACATCAGCCTTGGGAAAGAATCTGTGACTAAATCCTCAAAAGCAACTGTAACAAAAACAAAAATTGACAAGTAGGACCTAATTAAAGAGCTTCTGCACAGCAAAAGAAGCTATCAACAGAGTAAACAGACAACCTACAGAAAGGGAGAAAATATTCACAAACTATGTATCTGACAAAGATCTAATATCTAGAATCTGTAAAGAACTTAAACAATTCAACAAGTTAAAAACAAATAACCCCATTAGAAAGTGGGCAAAAGGCATCAACACTTTTCAAAAGAAGACATGCAAACGGCCAAGAATCATAAAAAGCTCCACATTAGTAATCATTAGAGAACGCAAATCAAAACCACAATGAAATACCATCTCATACCCTGTGAGAATGACTATTATTAAAAAGCCAATAAATGACAATGCTGGCAAAGCTGCAGAGAAAAGGGAATGCTTATACACTGTTGGTGGGAATATAAATTAATTCAGCCACTGTGGAAAGCAGTGTGGAGATATCTCAAAGAACTTAGAACTACCATTCGATCTAGCAATCCTGTTAGTGGGTATACATCCAAAGGAAAATAAATCGCTCTACAAAAAGACACATGCACTCAAATGTTCATTGCAGCACTATTCACAATAGCAAAGACAAGGAATCTACTTAGGTGCCCATCAAAAGTGAAATGCATAAAGAAAATATGGTACATACACACTACAGAATACTACACAGCCACAAAAAAAAAAATGAAATTATGTCCTTTGCAGCAACACAGATGCAGCTGGAGGCCATTATCCTAAGTAAATTAATCCAATTTACTTAGGAAAAGAAATTTCTAAATTTCTAAATAAAAGAAATTTCCAATTTCTTTTAGGAAAAGAAAGCCAAATACCACATGTTCTCACTTGCAAATGGGAGCTAAACATTGAGTACACATGAAGATACAGATGGCAACAATAGACACTGGGGACCACTAGAGGGAGAAGGGAGAGAAGGAGGAAGACATGAAAAACTAACAATTGGGTACTATGCTCCCTACCTGGATGACGGAATCAATCGTACCCCAAACCTCAGCACCATGCAATATACCCATGTAACAAACCTGTACATGTACTTCCTGAATCTAAAAGCTGAAATTACAAAAACAAACAAACAAAAGCCCACAAATCTAGGATGAATGGTGGATGACAGTTGCAAAACAGTGTAACCGTACGTAACATCAATGAACCACATGCTTTACAACGGTAAGTTACGTGTATGCTAAGCATATATTACCACAATTAAAAACACACAAATCTGGTTATGTTTCCCATTCCAACTCTGTTATAGTTCACAATTGTTTTTAAGATAAAGACACAATTCTTTTGTTTTTTCTGAAACAGGGTCTTGCTCTGTTGCCCAAGCTGGAGTACAGTGACATAATCTTGGCTCACTGCAGCCTCCTGGGCTCAAGCAATCCTCCCAACCAAAGCCTCCTGAGTAACTGAGACTACAAGCGCGTGCAACCACGCCCAGCCAATTCTTTGTAGAGGGGAGATTTCGCCATGTTGTCCAGCTGGTCTTGAACTCCTTGAACTCAAGCAATCCACCTGCCTTGGCCTCCCAAAGTGTTAGAATTATGGGTGTGAGCCACCACATCCAGCCAAACATGATTATTTACCACTGCCTATAAAATGCAGTATTTTCTCATTTTATCCAAGTCTCTTATTTCCTTATCCGTTCCAGCTACACTGCCCTTCATCAGAGTTCCTATATCACTATGCTTCTTCCTATCACCGAACTTTTCGAAAATGTTGTTTTCTATGCCTAAAACACACTTTCTTCCTCCTTAACCTCCAGTAATTCTTCAAAACTCAGTTCAAATATCACTTTTCTGGCCTCTCTGGTTAAGTGAAATATCCTTATTTTAGGTTTTCATTAGTACATATAAGAAGTTAAGAATTGGCTGGGTGTGGTGGCTCACGCCTGTAATCCCAACACTTTGGGAACCCGAGGCAGGCGGATCACCTGAGGTCAGGAGTTCGAGACCAGCCTGGCCAACATGGTGAAACCCCGTCTGTACTAAAAATACAAAAAGTAGCTGGGTGCAGTGGCGTGCGCCTGTAGTCCTAGCTACTTGGGAGATGGAGGCAGAAGAATCGCTTGAACCCGGAAGGCGGAGGCTGCAATGAGCCGAGATCGTGCCACTGCACTCCAGCCTGGGCGACAGAGTGAGACTCCATCTCAAAAAAAAAAAGAAGAAGAAGAAGAATTAAAAATGTTCAGTTTTAGCCAGGCGCTGTGGCTCTCATCTGTAATCCCAGCACTTTAGGTGGCTGAGGCGGGTAGATCACCTGAGGTTAGGAGTTAGAGACCAAGTTGGCTAACATGGCAAAACCCCTGTATTTTTGTACAAAACTTAGCCGAGCATGGTGGCGGGTGCCTGTAATCCCAGCTACTTGGGAAGCTGAGGCAGGAGAATCGCTTGAACCTGGGAAGTAAAGGTTACAGTGAGCCGAGATTGTGCCAATGCACTCCAGCCTGGATGACAAGAAAAAAACTCAGTCTCAAAAAAAAATAATTTTTTTTTCAGTTTTTTGTTATCATCTGATGAATGCCTTTCAACCCTTTCCTAGACTGCAAGCTCCATGAGGGCAAAGATCATGTGCTTGTACATACAGCAGAGTGCTTCATACACACTATACTCAAAAATTATCTCCCCAGTGAATAAAATGATTTGCAAGACTCAAAATGCAATTCCAGCAGGCAGCCACTAGAGGGCACCTTTGCTACATTTGTACTTGGGTAATTATCATCAGTGTCTATAGGGTGGGTACCAATGTTGACAAGGAGACATCTATTCCCACCCCTTCCCCCGCCCAAAAAAACCTATAAGAAAAATGGCCGTAAACCATAAGGGTGTGTGCTAAATATGAGCATTTAATTTACTTTAGGCCAGTAAGTATTTCCATGCAACAAGCTAAACTCAGAAAACCAATAACATGGCTCTTTTAAAAATATTATTTCCAGGCCGGTCGGTCGCGGTGGCTTGCGCTTGTAATCCCAGCACTTTGGGAAGCAGAGGTGGGCGGATCAACTGAGGTCAGGAGTTCGAGACCAGCCTGGCCAACATGGTGAGATCCCATCTCTACTAAAAATACAAAAATCAGCCAGGTGTGGTGGCACGCACCTGTAATCCCAGCTACTTGGAAGACTGAGGCAGAAGAATCATTTGAGCCGGGGAGGCGGAAGTTGCAGTGAGCTGAGATCGTGCCACTGCATTCCAGCCTGGGCAACAGAGTGAGATTCCATCTCATAAAAAAAAAAAAATTTTTCCAAGTGTCAGAATAATGGTTTGAAAAGTAATACAGCAAAGCCTTTTTAGCTTAAATATTAAAATCTAAAAGGTAGCATTATTTTTGAAAAGAAAATATTTATGTGACAAGAGAAATCAAGAGGAAAAAAGCTTTTTTATCACTAAAACGATTTTCTCTTATAAGCCCTTTTATCAAAATATTAATTCATTTCTGTATGTGTTTACAAAATTATGTTGAAGTAAAGTAACTTCTATAAAAACACTGTCTAAAAACTCGCTGTATCAAATTTTATTCCTCCCACTCAAGAAGACAGTTCTTTCTTCAATAACCCCAATCATGGTTGTGGTCTTGCTATTCCACCAAAAGCTACCTTCTTTTTCAAGGTCACCAATGACCTCCACATTCCTAAATCCCATGGTCATTTTTCAATCCTCCCTCCACCTAAATGACAACAGTATTTGAAACACTTTCTTTCTGGAAACACTTTCTTCACTTAGCTTCCAGGGTACGCTAACCCAAATTTCCTATTTGACTTACAGCTGTTAGTTGTTTTACCTTGTTCTTCCATTCACATCCCCTAACTCTTTTAGATTTTTTTTTAATTTTAATCCAACCCTCAAATGAAACCAGAGCACATCCCCCGAGTCTTAACAGTGAGAGTATCTCAGGGCTCAGCCACTAGACCTTGTCCCCTTTTCTATCTGCACTCAATCCCTACATGACCTCAAGACTTTGTATACTATCTATATGCTACTGGCTCCCCCAAATTGAAAGCTCCACCCTAGACAACACCTGAAATCAATTCTTATAATGGGAAGCCAAATAGGTATCACCACCTTAATGTCTAAAACATGCCGAAAGGGTAATGTGTCCAAAACTGAACTTCCGACCTCTCCTTTACACTGATGTTCCAGTCATTTCTTTATCACTTAGTGGCAACTCCATTTTTCCAGCTGCTCAGTTAAAAATACTGAGTAGGAGCGGGGCACAGTGGCTCATGCCTGTAATCCCAGTACTCTGAGAGGCCGAAGTGGGTAGATCACTTGAGGTCAGGAGTTGGAGACCAGCCTGACCAACATGGTGAAACCCCTGTGGCACAGAGTGAGACCTCATCTCAAAAAAACAAAAAAAGAAAGAAAGAAAAAGAAAAAAGAGAAAAATTCATGAGTAATGAGAACCCTTACATTTGTTACTTCTGCCTACATTCTGTGGCCCCAGACACTCACAGGTCTTTACTAAAAATACAAAATTAGCCGGGCGTGGGGGCGCACGCCTATAATCCCAGCTACTTGGGAGGCTGAGGCAGCAGAATTGCTTGAACCCAGGAGGTGAAGGTTGCAGTGAGCTGAGATCACATCACTGCACGCCAACCTGGGCAATAAAAGCGAAATTCTGTCTAAAAAAAAAAAAAAAAAAATCATGAGTAGGCTGAGCGCTGTCGCACATGCACTTTGGGAGGCTGAGGTGGGCAGATCGCTTGAAGCCAGGAATTTGAGACCAACCTGGGCAAAGCGAGACGTCTCTACAAAAAATTTTTAAAAATTAGTTGGGTGTGATGGCATGCACCTGTAGCCCCAGCTACTTGGGAAGCTGAGGCTGGGGGAACACTTGAGCCCAGGACTTTAGGGGCTGCAATGAGCTCTAGCCTAGGGCACAGAGTGAGACCTCATCTCAAAAAAAAAAGAGAAAAATTCATGAGTAATGAGAACCCTTACATTTGTTACTTCTGCCTAAATTCTGTGGCCCCAGACACTCACAGGTCTCACTGCCTCATCTCTTTACTTACACTTTACTGACATATCATCTTAGCGAGACCCTCCTCTGACCATCCCATTTAGAATTATTATACAGGCCCCACCCTCATAGCATTCCCTGCTTTATTTTTCTTGGTAGCATTTCTAACACAGTATGTGTCCTACTTAGTTATTTTAGTTTATCATGTTTTCCCCTAACCTAGAAAGTAAGCTCCATGGGTGCAGGAATTTTTGTTTCATTCACTGCTGAATCCTCAGCACCTGGAACAGTACCTAGCACATAGCAGGTATTTAATAAATATTTGGTGAATAAAGAACAATCATGAAGAAGTAGGAACTATATGCTTTTAAAATACATCCACAAATTATTTGATATACTTGAGGGTGGGCTTGATTTAGTGATTCAGGGCTAACAAAATACAAAGCTGGGTTCCCTACAGCAAGTGATCAAGAAAGCAAGGTAGAAGTCAAAATGTCTTTTTATGATCACTTGCTCTAAGGAAGCCAGCTGCCATGTGATGAAGACACATCAAGCAACCCTATGCAGAGGCCGGCAAAGCAAGAAACTGAAGCCTCCAGCCAATCCAGGTTACTCAGTGAGCTGTCTTACAAGTAGATGCTCCAACCCCATTGAAGGCTTCGATGATTAATGACATCTTGATTGCAGCTACACAAGAGACCCTGAGCCAGAACCATCCAGTTAAGTCACCCCGGGTTCCTGAGCCGGAGGAACTGTGTACATAAAAAATGTTTTAAACTCCTAAGTGTGGGAGTATTTGATTACACAGCAATAGATAACTAATACAGCGGGACTGTAATAACCTGGGATAATCACTTTGGGAAGAAATTTAGCAATACCTAATAAAACTAAACATGTAGATATCTCTGAACTGAGTCTCCCAATTGGTATTCCTTGGATGAGTGAGGCCTAGGGGCAGCAGGGTGGGTCCTCAGTGGCTAGAGAGTCCATGTTAGTTACCTCAGTCTCAAGTAGCCTCCTCTGCTTACTGTAGAAATATTATCATCTTGTGTGAGTGTTACGACACAAAAACAGTTGGTAAGTAACATACTATGACCCAGAAATTCCATTTCTAGTTATGTATCTTAAAGAAATCTTGCCAGGCACAGTGGCTCACGCCTGTAATCCCAGCACTTTGGGAGGCCAAGGCGGGCAGATCACCTGAGGTCAGGAGTTCAAGACCAGTCTGACCAACATAGAGAAACCCCGTCTCTACTAAAAATACAAAATTAGCCGGTAGTGGTGGTGCATGCCTGTAATCCCAGCTACTCGGGAGGCTGAGGCAGAAGAATCGCTTGAACCCAGGAGGCAGAGGTTACAGTGAGCCGAGACTGCACCACTGCACTCCAGCCTGGGGAACAAGAGTAAAACTCCATTTAAAAAAAAAAAACAACCCATATGTGTATATAAGGAAATATTTATTGCAGTATTTTTCATAATAGCAAATGCTTGGATATAACATAAAAGTCCACCAGTCAGGGTGTGAAAGAAGAAAATTAGTTTCACATTGGAAACAAATTATTAATATATATAGTAGTTGTGCTGGGTGTGGTGGCTCATGCCTGTAATCCCAGTGCTTTGGGAGACCGAGATAGGAGGATGGCTTAAGCCCAGGACCACCCCGGGCAACACAGTGAGACCCCGTCTCCTTAAAAAAGAAAAAATTAGCCAGGCGTGGTGGCTCACACCTGTAGTCCCAGTTACTCGGGAGGCTAACGTGGGAGGATCACTTGAGCCTGGGAGGTAGAGGTTGCAGTGAGCTGTCATCATGCCACTGCAATCCAGGCTGAATAACAAAACAAGACCCTGTCTCATAAAATAAAAATAAACAAATGTGCGTTTTCTCAGAGACATTTTCTTTGAAAAAACTACCCCCATCTAGCATAGCCAAGGTAAGACACCTTAACAGGTGTAATTCTCTAGCCTTCTTTCCAAAGCCAGGTAGACCAGAAATATAACTATTTTTTTCATAGTTATTTTACTTTCCTAACTAAAGAAAAAAGAGGTTTTGAAGGCTCTCAGGAGGACTATTAAGGGCTAAAGGAGAATGGGATACTTAAAAATAGTTTCAAGGGTAACATTAAGCCTAGATATGCATATACTTCCCTAAACAGAGATAGAAATTAGCAAAACATTGAACGTGACTCATGAACAAAGGGCAACTGTCAGTGAATTATATACCTAAACCTTCCCCTCAATTAGGCTTTTTTTTAGAGTCTTGCTCTGTCGCCCAGGCTGGAGTGCAGTGATGCGATCACTGCAACCTCTGCCTCCTGCTTTCAAGCAATTCTCCTGACTCAGCCTCTTGAGTAGCTAGGACTACAGCTACACATCACTATGCCCAGCTAATTTTTGTATTTTTTAGTGAAGATGCAGTTTCACCATGTTGGCTAGGCTGGTCTCAAACTCCTGACCTCAAGAGATCCGCCCACCTCAGCCTCCCAAAGTGCTGGGATTATAAGCGTGAGCCACCATGCATGGCTTCGATTAGGTTCTAAAGCAGTTAATAGAATATCATGATATCTCTACCCTCACTATATGCCAAGTAAGGGTTTAGTTCTGTCTCCTCTTTTATTTTGCCACCATATATTGTAGAAAATTCAATATAATTTCACCAAATTAAGTCCTACTTACCAAGTGCTCTTGCTACTGCCAGAAAAGGAATCTGGTCAATAACTGTGCTCCTTCTAACAGGTCCATTGTGAGTGAGTCGAGGTCGTTTCCAAACTACACGATTCACCCCAGACTTGTTCATTACACTAAAAATAAAGAGTTCACATAAATAATCTAAATGATTAAAATACAACAACTAAGATAGCTCAGTATATTAAATCACTAATAAAATAAGACTACATTATTACAAAATAATGTCTTATGTGTTTCAAATACAAAGATGCATAAGCCAAAATTCCTGTTCAGAGAGGAATTAGGGTAGATTCAAAGTGGAAAATTTTGAGATTACTGGAATAGGCAGTATAACCAAATGAATGTAATGTGAAGAAAAGTAAGTATAAATACCATGTCAAAAAAAAAGCAACACTACCTAATTAGTAAACAATTGGGGGTTGACAGAAGGCCTTATCTAAGTGGAGAGAGAACTGCTTGAACTCGGGAGGCAGAGGCTGCAGTGAGCCGAGAATCACACCACTGTACTCCAGCCTGGATGACAGAGCGAGACTCTTGTCTCAATAAATAAATAAATAAATAGGCATTAAATTGTGATATAAGCAATTAAAAAGGAAAGGTTATAGGGTTCTGAGTGTTTATGTTGAGGACGGGCGAAACAGCAGAACTTCAGTTTTAATTTTTGTTGTTGTTGTTGTTTTTGAGATGGAGTCTCACTCTGTTGCCCAAGCTGGAGCACAATGGTGTGATCTCAGCTCACCACAACCTCCACCTCCTGGGTTCAAGCGATTCTCCTGCCTAAGCCTCCCGAGTAGCTTGGATTACAGGCGTATGCTACCATGCCTGGCTATTTTTGTATTTTTAGCAGAGATGGGGTTTCAGCATGTTGGCCAGGCTGGTCTTGAACTCCCAACCTCAAGTGATCTGCCCACCTCGGCCTCCCAAAGTGATGGGATTACAGGCTGACGTCAGCCACCGTGCCCAGCCAGTTTTTTTGTTTATTTTTATTTATTTATTTTGAGATGGAGTTTTGCTCTTGTTGTCCAGACTGGAGTGCAGTGGCACCATCTCGACTCACTGCAACTTCCGCCTCCTGGGTTCAAGCGATTATTCTGCCTCAGCCTCCCAAGTAGCTGGAACTACAGGCACACGCTACCACGCCTGCTAATTTTTGTATTTTTAGTAGAGACAGGGTTTCACCATGTTGGCCAGGCTGGTCTCGAACTCTTGACCTCAGCCTCCCAAAGTGCTGGGAGCCACCACGTGGGCCACCACGCCTGCCTAATTTTTTCTTTTTTGAGGAGACGGGGTCTCACTATGTTGCCTGGGCTGGTCCTGGGCTTAAGCCATCCTCCCACTTCAGTCTCCCAAAGTGCTGGGATTACAGGTGTGAGCCACAGCGCCCAGCCTGTTTTTTGTTTTCTGATACAGGGTCTCTGTCGCCCAGGCTGGAGTGCAGTGGTGCACTCATGGTTCACTGCAGGCTTGACTTCCTCCTGGGCTGCAGTGATCCTCCCACCTCAGTCTCCTGAGTAGCTGAGAATACAGGCATGTGCCACCATGCCCAGCTAATTGTTGGCAGTTTTAATATGATTTCAGCAATATACAGAAAATACTATATATTTAGGTATTTCTGTAATTCAAAGTTTGAGACTAGACTTTGTGAAATAGATCAGCTGTAGACATATAGATTTGGGAGTTACAAGAGTAAGAAAACCCTCCTAAAATGTGTCATAGGAGCAAAAGAAATGCCTAAAACTTGGAAATATGATTAGGTTTTTTTTTTTGTTTTTGAGACAGAGTCTGGCTCTGTCACCCAGGCTGGAGTGCAGTGGTGCGATCTCAGCTCACTGCAAGCTCCGCCTCCCGGGTTCATGCCATTCTCCTGCCTCAGCCTCCCGAGTAGCTGGGACTATGAGTAGCTGGGACTACAGGCACCTGCCACCATGCCTGGCTAATTTTTTGTATTTTTAGTAGACACGGGGTTTCACCAGGTTAGCCAGGATGGTCTCGATCTCCTGACCTCGTGATCCACCCACCTCGGCCTCCCAAAGTGCTGGGATTACAGGCGTGAGCCACCGCGCCCGGCCTGAAATATGATTAGTTCTTTAGGAAAAAACACTGATAATCAAAACATTAGAGATGGTCTCTCAAACTATGCCTGGCATGACCGAAATGAGCTTTACTTCAAATGGGAATTGATTTTTTAAATTTAATTTTTATTAATTTAAACAGCCATTTGTGGCTAGTGGTGAGTATACTGAACAGTCCAGAGGAAGACTGAAACAAGTAGAGAATGACCAGAAAACATTGTGGGTGTTAACAAAGAAGAGAAATTCCAGAAAGTTGCTCATTCACCATCCCCCCACCCTTTTTTTTTTGGAGACAGTCTCGCTCTGTTACCTAGGCTGGAGTGCAGTGGTGTGATCTTAACTCACTGCAGCCTCAGCCTCCTGAGTAGCTAGGATTACAGGCACCCGCCACAATGCCCGGCTAATTTTTTTATTTTTAGTAGAGACGGGGTTTAACCATATTAGCCAGGCTGGTCTCGAACTCCTGGCCTCAAGTAATCTGCCTGCCTCAGCCTCCCAAAGTGCTAGTCTTACAGGCATGAGTCACCATGCCCAGCCTACCATCCCTTTTGAGAACTAGTTTTCATTTGGTTTTGAGACAGGGTGTCGTTCTGTTGCCCAGGCTGCAGTGCAGTGGTGTGATCGTGGCTCACCACAGCTTTGACTTCCCAGGCTCAAGTGATGCTCCCACCTCAGCTTCCCAAATAGCTGGGACCAAAGGCATGTAATTTTTTTGTAGAGAACAGATCTCACTATGTTTGCCAGGCTGGTCTTAAACTCCTGGGCTCAAGCCATCCTCCCATCCGGGCCTCCCAACATGCTGGGATTACAGGCGTGAGCCACCATGCCCAGCCAAGAACTAGTTTAAATAAGTTCTGATATAAATAGGTTGATCATAACAAGAGTTAAAATATCAAAGGCATTCATTTTGTTGTATTAAGCTTTCTTCAATGATGACTCTCAAAAGTCAACAGCAGAGTAAAGACTAAACTTGCCATTCACAAGAATCCATGAAACACAAGAGTTATAAGATGCCAACATTCTGCCTTAATACCATCTTAAAGCTCTATTATTCTTTGCTAAACCTTCTCCTTACAAGGTAAGGCTTAGTACCTAAGTAATTTACAGTAGCTGCTTCCAACATAACTAGACGAGCAGCTCTCTCGACACTTAATATTCAAAGATATTATGATCTGTGTTTCTGAGAAACAAAAAGACAAATAATGATACTGGTTAAAACATAGAAGTTTCAACATCTAGTAACAAAAAACCAAAGCAATGTTATAAAAGATGCTTTTACTGCACTTCCTGTTGTTGTCCTATATGATTAAAAGGCATGTAAAAAGGAACAGCCTGACACGCAGAGAGCTGACTGAGCAGCAACAGAAGGCTGGAAAAACAAAATGCTGGCCCGTTGCCTAGGCCGGGACAGAGGGAAGCAAGGAAATAACTTATAATAAAATAGCTCAATTTTTGCAAAAAGTTACCTGCTCCAAAATAGCGGAGTATCTGCCCAACTGTCCAGATGGTGTTTTTGGTAATAAAGCCAAAAAACTCTTTCTAAAAACATTATTAAAATCAAATAAAATATAATTTTAAAATTCAAGTAAAAAAACAAACAAGAAAGAATAGTCAAGAAAGGTATTTTTAAAACACAAAAGGGTAATTTCTTCTGTAGAAAATAATTATTTCCTTTTTTGTTCATTTATTTTATTTATTTATAATTATAAAAAAATTTTTTAGAGATGGAGGTCCCGCTATGTTGAACAGGTTGGTCTCAAACTTCTAACCTCAAGTGATCCTCCCATCTTGGCCTCCAAAGCGCTAGGATTACAAGTGCCGCAGCCAGCTGCTTTATTTTATTTTATTTTTTTTGAGACAGTTTTCACTCTTGTTGGGCAGGCTGGAGTGCAGAGGCAGGATCTTGGCTCACTGCAACCTCTGCCTCCCAGGTTCAAGAGATTCTCCTCCCTCAGCCTCCCGAGTAGCTGGGATTACGGGAACATGCCACTACGCCTGGATAATATTTTTGTATTTTTAGTAGAGATAGGGTTTCGCCATGTTGGCCCGGCTTGTCTCGAACTCCTGACCTCCGGTGATCCGCCCGCCTCAGGCTCCCAAAGTGCTGGGATTATAAGCGTAAGCCACTGTGCCCGGCCCCAAGAAAAGTATTTTTTAAAAGGAAGATTAATGAGAAGGAATCAGGCCTACCAATATTTAAAATTATAATAAAGTCTCCGTTTTAAAAATTATAATACTGGTAAATAAGCAGGAAAAAAATTATAGCCCAGAAAAGACCCAAATATATGGAAGAATTCTGTTTATAATTTGCAAAGCCCACTTAGCATGACAACCAGCAGAGATGTCAGATATATTCTCACCTTCACAATCACAAGATCAAATAGACTATAGCCTGAAAGGAGGTTCATCTAACTTTGCAGAATACTGGGCAGGAAATAGAGTATGCCACCATAGCAGCTTCAAGGATATTGTCTTCAGCAGTGATTCAGACAGCCAGAAGCCATTTTTCCATCTCCCAAGTGATGGCTCAGTTGTAAGCAAGACGACAGGGTCTAGCTTAGGTAAGCTTCATGTGTCACAGAAACCAATGTAATAAATAGCACATGACTACAGTTTCTTGGTCCCTACACAAGACAAACTGCATGCATACAAGGAAGCCAAGGCCTGTGCTTCCGAATAGAAATGTACAGTCCATTCAACAACTTCCCTACCAAGATGCAATTCCATTCAGGGATCATTCTACAATAAGCAATGCTGTCTTACAACAGAGGTGATATTTCACATTTATCTTCACCAGAGAAATACAAGAAGAGGGTAAATTCAAGGTCATCTTCCCACTAAAGAAGGGTCTTAAGCCTGGTCACCCTGCTACTCAGTAATGAAAAGATGTATAATTATTCAAGTGGCTACTAGTAGCCATCTAGAAAAAAAGTTAACTTGCCTATTTACTACATAGCTTAGATCTTAAAATTCCAGAAGGATTAAAGATTAAAATATAAAAGATGATGAAACCATACGAGTACTGGCAAAGTGGTTCTCAAAATGTGGTTTAGGGGCCCCTGGCAGGTTACTACAGACTTTTTCAGGGTGTCTCCAAGGTCCATTTTTTTTTTTCATAATACTACTAAGACCACATGTATACAGTGGAGTTTTTTGAGAGGCTGCATGACTGGATATTATATAGTATAATAAAAAGTGTCAATATTTGCAAGATCTGTATAACTCAGTGACCTAGTATATTACAAACAATAAATGCATATATTAAAAAGTCATGCATAGGGGCTACATACTATATGGTTCCAACTATATGACATTCTGGAAAAAGCAAAATTATGAAGGCAGTAAAAAGAGCAGTGGTTGCCAGGAGTAAGTGGGGGAGGGATGAACAGACAAAGTACAGAGGACTCTTACGGTGATGAAACTAATCTGCATGATACTATAATGATGGATACGTGTCATGACGTATTTGTCAAAACCCATAAAATGTATAACACCCGGAGTGAACCCTAATGTAAACTATGGACACCAGGTGATAACAGTATGTCAGTGTAGGTTCACTGATTGATTATAACAAACACTCTGGAGAAGGATAGTGGGGAAGCCTGGGAGACGGGGGGTAGGCCAAAGTATATATGAGAATTCTGTGCTTCCCACTTAATTTTGCTGTGAATCTAAAAGTACTCTTAAAATTAAAGTCATTAATTTTTTTAAATTATGCAGGGATTTTTAAAAAGCATTCAATTCAGGGCCGGGAGCAGTGGCTCACACCTGAAATGCCAGCACTTTGGGAGGCCAAGGCAGGTGGATCGCCTGAGGTCGGGAGTTCGTGAAACCCCGTCTCTACTAAAAATACAAAATTAGCTGGGTGTGGTGGTACATGCCTCTAATCCCAGCTACTCCGGAGGCTGAGAACCCAGGAAGCAGAGGTTGCGGTGAGACGAGATCGTGCCACTGCACTCCAGCCTGGGCAATAAGAGCAAAACTCAAGTCTCAAAAAAAAAAAAAAATTTCTATTCAACTAATGTCTTCATTGACTGACTAATGGCTGTTAATGTAAGAATATGCAAAGTTCATTAATAAAGTTTCAGATACCTTAAGAAACTATCATTTCTTGAGTTTTGAAACAGTATCAAAGACAAACATTTATGGAAAAGTGAGCAAAATACTCCTTCCTGGTCAGGCGAATTGGCTCACACCTGTAATCCCAGCACTTTGGGAGGCAGAGGTGGGCGGATCACAAGGTCAGGAGTTCAAGACCAGCCTGACCAAAACGGTGAAACCCCGTTTCTACTAAAAATACAAAAATTAGCTGGGCATGGTGGCGGGCACCTGTAATCCCAGCTACTCAGGAGGCTGAGGCAGGAGAATCGCTTGAACCTGGGAGGCAGAGGTTGCAGTGAGCCCAGATCCCGCCACTGCACTCCAGCCTGGGTAACAGGGCAAGACTCTGTCTCAAAAAAAAAAAAGAAAGAAAAAGAAAATTAGCTGGCATGTTGGCACACGTGCACCTGTAGTCCCAGCTCTCAAGAGACTAACATGGGAAGATCATTTGAGGTTGCAGTGAGCCATGATTGTGCTACTGCACTGCAGCCTGGGCAACAGAGTGAGATCATGTCAAAAACAAATACAATGAACAAACAGAGTTTCTAAGACCAAAAATATTCCTGTTGTACTAAAAGAAAATATAGCAGACTTTATTAAAAAGCTTCACTGTGTGTGTGGCATAAAACCCAAAAAGTTGTAACAGAAGAGACTAATAAATTTAACTACATTAAAAGAAACTTCCACGTGGAAAAAGTTCCAGGAGCATAATCAAAAGACAAACTGTGGAAACAATATCTAAAATTCACATCACATACATCAGACTAATTTCTTTAATGTACAGCTAGCCCCTACACATTAATGTGGGAAAAAAATGGCTAACAACAATCCCCCAAAATGAATAATAAATATTAAAAGAAATACAGAGAAAAGAAAATATAAATGGCTCTTAAATATATAAAAAGATTCAATATTTCTCATAAGATAAATTCAAATTAAAACATTACTGAAGCTGGGCACGTGGCTCACATCTGTAATCCCAACAATTTGGGAGGACAAGGTGGGAGGATCGCTTGAGCCTAGGAGTTCAAGACCAGCCTGGGCAACATGGTAAGACCTCATTTCTATTTCTTAAAATTTTTTTTTAAAACAACATCATTGCCGGGTGCAGTGGCTCACGCCTGTAATCCCAGCACTTTGGGAGGCTGAGGTGGGTGGATCATGAGGTCAGGAGATCAAGACCATCCTGGCTAACATGGTGAAACCCCATCTCTACTAAAAATACAAAAAATTAGCCGGGCGTGGTGGCAGGCGCCTGTAGTCCCAGCTACTAGAGAGGCTCAGGCAGGAGAATGGCATGAACCCAGGAGGCCGAGCTTGCAGTGAGCCGAGATCGCGCCACTGCACTCCAGCCTGGGCGAAAGAGCCAGACTCCGTTTCAAAAAAAAAAAACAAAAAAAACCCCAAAAAAACACATCATTGAGACACCTCTTTTTTAAACCTGAAACTGGATATGATCAAAAAGTTTTATTTGTTGTCCAGGACATCCACATACACTGATGGTAGAAGTGTAAATTGGTACAACCTTTATAGAGACAAATAGTTATCAATATTCAAAACATACACCTCTTTGGCCAAGCAATTCCACTTTTAGGAAATGATCCTACAAATATACTGGCAAGTGCACAAAAACACATATGTGCAGATTTTTCATTTCACAGCAGTTTGCAATAACAAAAAAAAATTAGAAATAAAAATCCTTCAATAGGAGACTGATTAAAATAAATGACGGTACATCTGTACATGGTACAGCTCCATAATATATTTGATTGTATATGAATATCTCTCTTTTGAAAGGACACACAGCCATACTGGTTGCTTAGCAAGTGGAGGGGAACGAGGTGGCCTTTGGGACAGTAGCAGCTGAGAGACCTTCCATAGCATATCCTCTTTTTTATGCTACCTGAATTTGAACCAAATGAATGTCGCCATTAAAAAAATAAAAATAAACGTATGGCATAAAATCTCATCACTCATTTATAAAAATTTAGAATATTTCCATCTTATTCCCATGTCTCTGCATTGCTAACACCAGAAATATAATTTTATATCCTGCTTTTTTGTGACCATAAACATTTTCCTCTATCATTAAACCTTCCCCATATACATGGGAGTTCATATTACTCTACCTTTACTTGGAAAAATTTCAAAACACCATGAGTTTTATAAACTTATCTATAAATGTTATTTTTAATGGCTGTATCATATTCAGCATTATGAATATGTTGCTAAATATACTTAACCATTATCCAGCTGTTAGGCCTTCAAGTTACTTCTGGCCTTTAACAGTCATTACAAATGCTGCAATCAGTAACTCTATTCAGATATTTTTGTCCACAGTTCAGATTTCTTCTTTAGATTCCCTAAACATTTAAAGCTACTGGTATATATTATTTTCTATATAGGTAGTACCAATTTGTAATCTTACCAAGAAGGTAACCATTTCAATAAAAATATTGAGAGGAATCTCTTTATCTTTCCTAATCTAATAACAGGAAATGAAGTTTCATCTTAATGTTTTACTTTTATTTCACCAAATGTTTACTACTGTTTTGCATTTTTTTGTTGTTCAAACTTTCTCTCCTTTATCCACCTAACCGGGGTTGCCATGCACCTTAGTACTTTATTTTATTTTATTTTTATTTTTTTAAGAGATGGAGTCTCGCTCTGTCGCCCAGGCTGGAGTGCAGTGGCGCAATCTCAGCTCACTGCAACCTCTGCCTCCTGGGTTCAAGCAATTCTCCTGCCTCAGCCTCCCGAATAGTTGGGACTACAGTTGCACGCTGCCACGCCCGGCTAATTTCTTTTGTATTTTAGCAGAGATGGGGTTTCACCATGTTCCCCAAGCTGGTCTCGAACTCCTGAGCTCAGACAATCCACCCGCCTCGGTCTCCCAAAGTGCTAGGATTACAGACGTGAGCCACTGCGCCCAGCCTCACACTTTAGTACTTTATTAATTTGTTGAACTCCTTATAGTTTAAGGATGCTAATTCTTTTTTCTTTTTTGAGATGGTGTTTTGCTCTTGTTGCCCAGGCTGGAGTGCAATGGTGCAATCTCAGCTCACCACAACCTCTGCCTCCCAGGTTCAAGTGATTCTCTTGCCTCAGCCTCCGGAGTAGCTGGGATTACAGGCATGTGCCACCACACTCAGCTAATTTTGTATTTTTAGTAGCGACGGGGTTTCTCCATGTTGGTCAGGCTGGTCTCGAACTCCCGACCTCAGGTGATGTGCCCGCCTCAGCCTCCCAAAGTGCTGGGATTACAGGTGTGAGCCACAGTGCCCAGCCAGATGCTAATTATTTTCCTTAGTTTGTCGTTTCTCTGCAAAAGACCAATTTTGATTTAATAAAAGCAAAAAAGAGGCAAGTAACGATATCATGGGAAGGCTTTAGTTAGAAGGATTATTTAGAAAACATTGGATTCTACTCAACTTGCCTCATATCCTCAATTTTTAAAAATTAGTATTGAGATAATTTTTAAATTTTTTCATGTTATTCACTCTCTTGATTTTTAGAATAATCTTTCATTTAAGTTTGAATCATAAAAATATAAAATTGAAATCAATTTCAGTTCCTAGTTTACAAATTACTTACACATTGAAACGCTAAGTTCAAACAAAGAAAACAATAACTGGAAAGGTTTGCAGTAAATCTGAAATCAATGAAAAAAGCTGAAGGTTAATTCTAACTTAATCTTTTTCCCCCAGCCAGATTCAAAGTGTTCTACTCTGGAACTCCAAGAGCTGCTCCGTCTAGATTCTGAAAGTCATCTGAAAGGTTTTCAGTAAAACCTTGAATTGTTTCCTTGGGGCTCACTGAAATATTATTTCCTATTAGAGTCATTATCAGAAATAAAAGTCAATTCATAGTAATGAGAAAAATATGAACATACATACATGAGTATTACATCAGACAAACTAAAAAACCTGTAATACTAAGAAAGTAACTTCAGTAAAAGGGACAGTAGTAGGTCAATTTCATTAGTAAAGCATAAAAGGACTAAATAGAACCAAAAGAGGAAAGAGAAAACGACAGAATGTTACCTCCCACCAAGTCCTTCGATTCGTTCTCTTTCCTTGGGAAGTTCTGGCTTATGGTCCTGTGTCACCTCCACAGCTCTGACAAAGTCATCCTTCGGGTCATCCTGAATTCCAAGAACCACCCCTGAGTCACCTACGTGAGCTACATACATCTTCATGCCCCGAATGATGACCACACTGGCAGTTGTCCCTGATGTGCTAGGAAGACCCGTCATAGTCTTTGGCCATTCCGCTGTAATAAGAAATAAAATATTTCACTCTTGCAAGTATAAACATTAATACACTGTCAGGATACAAATGGCAACAAACTCTGAATTAGCATGTTAACATTCGAATTAGCACAGGAAACAATTTAAGAAAAATATTCTGAAAACTACTAAAGGACTTAGGTTAATTAATGAATACATTAATAAATTAATGTTATAAATAATGCAATTATGATACAACTATCAAACCAATCCTAAGAGAAATATATTACAGGACAGGTTTACTACTGCTACATGACTCTTAGTCCTAACTACATTGATAGGAAAGAATGTGTTAAGAGGTTTTTTTAATCTGAATCAGTTTTGATTCAAGAGTTGTGGTATCATTTAGCCAGCCACTTAGCATCTGTTTACTCATATCTCTTCTAAAAGGCTTTCTGAAAAAGCTACTTGTTTTTCTGTTTTGTTGTTTTTTAGATTGAGTCTTACTCTGTCACCCAGGCTGGAGTGCAACCTCTGCCTCCTGGGTTCAAGTGATTCTCCTGACTCAGCCTCTCGAGTAGCTGGTATTACAGGCGCCTGCCACCATCCCCAGCTAATTTTTGTATTTTTAGTAGAGATGGGGTTTCGCCATGTTGGTCAGGCTGGTCTCAAACTCCTGACCTTGGGTGATCCACCCGCTTCGGCCTCCCAAAGTGCTGGGATCATGGGCATGAGCCACCGCACTCGGCTTGATTTGTTTTTGAAATAACTATTTTGAATAGTCACTACTTAACAAATTACATTTACTGAGTATATTCACTGTATACCAAGTTCTATACTAAGAGCTTTACATGTATTATCTCAAATAATGCTTGTGACGAACTTATGAGACAGATATGATTATTCCCTTTATTTATTTACTTATTCCTCATTTTGCAGATAAGGATATCAATACTTTGAATAATTAAGAAACCTGCTTCAGATAACTCAAATATTTAGGGGCAGAATCCCTGTATATTAAATTACAAACCCTATACTGTTTAATTAAATTCACTGTCATTCAACAATTCTGAAGTATTATGTAACACTAAACAAACTGCAACTTATAGTTCATGATGGCAAAATGAGTCCAAACAATGACATATTCTCCCCACCAAAATCCCACTGAAAGGACAGAATGTAAATGTTAGAAATAAATCCACAACATATAGACACACACAGAAAGGTCATAGGCAAAGATGAAGAATTCCTGGAAGTTTAAAGGAATAGAATTATGTTAAGAAAAAAAATAAAAATGCAGACTTGTAATCCAACATAAGCAAAAAGAAAAATCAGTAATAAAGACAGTAAATGAGTGTTCCTTTTTTTTTTTTTTGAGACAGAGTCTCGCTCTGTCGTCCAGGCTGGAGAGCAGTGGCATGATCTCGGCTCACTGCAAGCTCCGCCTCCCAGGTTCACGCCATTCTTCTGCCTCAGCCTCCCAAATAGCTGGGACTACAGGCGCCTGCCACCACACCCAACTAATTTTTTTGTATTTTTTTAGTAGAGACGGGGTTTCACTGTGTTAGCCAGGATGGTCTCGATCTCCTGACCTCGTGATCTGCCCGCCTTGGCCTCCCAAAGTGTTGGGATTACAGGCGTGAGCCACCACGCCTGGCCGATAATTTTTTTTTTTTTTTGAGATAACTCTTAACACGCTGGGAGTGGTGGCTCACGCCTATAATCTCAGCACTTTAGGAGGCCAAAGTGGGCGGATCACGAGGTCAGGAGATCGAGACCATCCTGACTATGGTGAAACCCCGTTTCTACTAAAAATACAAAAAATTAGCTGGGCGTGGTGGCAGGTGCCCGTAGTCCCAGCTACTCTGGAGGCTGAGGCAAGAGAATGGCGTGAACCCGGGAGGCGGAGCTTGCAGTGAGCCGAGATTGCGCCACTGCAGTCCGCAGTCTGGCCTGGGCGACAGAGCGAGACTCCGTCTCAAAAAAAAAAAAAAAAAAAAATACAAAAAATAGCCAGGCATGTGTGCCTGTAGTCCCAGCTACTCAGGAGGCTGAGGTGGGAGAATCACTTGAACCCAGGAGGTGGAGGCTGCAGTGAGTGGAGATGGTGCCACTGCACTCCAGCCTGGCCAACAGAGTGAGATCCTGTCTCAAAACAACAAACAAACAAACAAACAAACAAAACTCTGAGGTAGGGATAGTCTTCAATAAATGGCACTGGAAAACCTGGATATCCACATGCAAAAGAATGAAATTGTACCCTTGTCTTATACCATACACAAAAATTAACTGGAAAGTGATTAAAAACTGAAATGTAAGAAATACATTGAAAGCATAACTCAGGCCGGATGCGGTGGCTCACACATGTAATCCCAGCACTTTGGGAGGCCAAGGTGGGTGGATTACCTGAGGTCAGGAGTTCGAGACCAACCTGGCCAACATGATGAAACCCCATCTCTACTGAAAATATAAAAATTAGCCAGATGTGGTGGTGTGCGCCTGTAATCCCAGCTACTCAGGCAGCTGAGGCAGGCAAATCGCTTGAACCTTGGAGGTGGAGGTTGCAGTGAGCCAAGATCGTGCCGCTGCACTCCAGCCTGGGCAACAGAGCGAGAATCTGCCTCAAAAAAAAAGAAAGAAAGAAAAGAAAAGAAAAACAAAAAGCACAAAACTCCTAGAAAAAAAACATAAGGAAAAATCTCGACGTTGGTCTTGGCAATTACTTTTTTAATATGACCACCAAAAGAAATGGCAACAGGCTGGGTGCAGTGGCTCATGCCTGTAATCCCAGCACTTTGGAAAGCCAAAGTGGGTGGACCATGAGGTCAGGAGTTCTAGACCAGCCTGACCAACATGGTGAAAGCCTGTCTCTACTAAAAATACAAAAATTAGCCAGGCATGGTAGCGCACACCTGTAATCCCAGCTCAGGAGGGATCCTAACCTCAGGAGGCAGAGATTGCAGCGAGCTGAGATCACGCCACTGCACTCCAGCCTGTGTAGTACAGCGAGACTCTGTCTCAAAAAAACAAACAAACAAACAAAAAAAACAGCAACAAAAGCAGAAAAAAACAGTTGGGCTACATCAAACTAAAAGGCTTCTGCACGGGAAAGGAAACCATCAACAAAATGAAAAGGCAACTTTCAGGAGAAAATATTTACAAACTTTACACTATGTGGTAAGATATTAATATCCAAAATATATAAGGAAATCATACAACTCAATAGCAAAACAAACAAACAAACAAAAACACAGTTAAAAACTGGGCAGGCCGGGCGCGGTGGCTCATGCCTGTATTCCCAGCACTCTGGGAGGCCGAAGTGGGTGGATCAGGAGGTCAGGAGTTCAATACCAGCCTGGCTAACACGGTGAAACCCCGTCTCTACGAAAAATACAGAAATTAGCCAGGCATGGTGGCAGGCGCCTGTAATCCTAGCCACTGGGGAGGCTGAGACAGGAGAATAGTTTGAACCCAGGGGGTGGAGTTTACAGTGGGCCGAGATCATGCCACTGCACTCCAGCCTGGGCGACAGGGCGAGACTCTGTCTCAAAACAAAACAAAACAAAACAAAACAAAACAAACAAAAACAAAAAAAAACTGGGCAAATGACCTGAATAGACATTTGTCAAAGAAGTCATACAAATGGGCAACAAGTATATGAACAGAAGCTCAACATCAAGCATCATGACGGAAATTCAAATCAAAAACAAAATGAGACAGGAAGATCGCTTGAGGCCAGGAATTTATCACCAGCATAGACAACATAACGAGACCCATCTCCACTAAAAATTTAAAAATTAGCCGGGCATGGTAGCACACATCTGTAGTCCTAGCTACTCAGGAGGCTGAGACAGAAGGTTCCATTGAGCCAAGGAGTCTGGGGCTACAGTGATCACACCACTGCACTCCAGCCTGAGCAACAGAGCGAGAAGACCCATCTAAAAAAAAATTAAAAAAATAAAGAGAGAGATAACCTCACACCTATTAGGATGGCTATTATCAAAAAGATAACAGTAAACAAGTGCTGGCCAGGATGTGAAGAAGGGAGAACATTTGTACACTGCTGATAGAAATGTAAATTGGCATAGCTATTATGGAAAATATTATAGAATTAAAAATATATCTAAAAATAGAAGTACCATATGACTCAGGAATTGCACCTCTGAATGTATATCCAAAGAAAATGAAATCAGTCTCTCAGAGAGATACATGTACCTCAACACTCCCTGCAGAATTATTCAAAACATCCAAGATATGAAAACAATCTAAGTATCCAGCAAGAGATAAATAAATAAAGAAAATGTATGTATACACAATGGAATATCGTTCAGCCATAAAAAAAAAAAAAGGAAATCCTGCCATGTGCAACACAAGGATGAACCTGTAGGACATTATGCTAAGTGAAATATGCCAAACACAGAAAAAACAAATACTGTGTGATCTTACTTATACGTGGAATCTAAAGAAAAAGTCACAGAAGGAAAGAGTAGAAGGACGGTTGCCAGGGATTAGGGGTTAGGAGAAGTGGGGAGATGTTGGTCAAACAGCACAAACTTCCCATTATGAGTAAGTTCTTAGTATCTAATGTACAACACAGAGAGTATAGTTAATAATACTGTTTTGTATACTTGAAATTTGCTGAAAATAAATCTTGAGTGTTCTCACCACCAAAAAAAGGTAACTATGTGAGGTGATGGATGTGTTAATTAACTTGACTGTGGTAATCATTTCACAATGTATACATACATAAAATCATCTATCACATTGCACATCTTTTTTAAAAGCAACTAAAAAAATCTATTCTTCAGAAGATACCATTATTAGAATAAAAACAACACAGAGAACAGAATACACACACCTACGCGCCAAAGGAAAAGCATCCAGAATATATAAAATTTTCCTACAAATCAAATCAATGAGACAGACTACCCAAATGGGAGAATGGACAAAAAGCTTAAACAAGCCTTTTACAAAATAGGAAATCCAAACAGCCACAAAATATGCAAAGGTATTCAGCTTCTTTAATTATCAGAGAAATACTAATTTAAAACCACAATGAGATAGTGCTGCATAACTACAAGACCGCACAAATTAAAGTTCGACAATAGCAACCGAACTGTGGTCAAGAAAATGGAGCAACATGTACTATCATCAACTACTGTGAAAGTGTAAACTGGTACATTGCAGGTAACATTTAGGCATTACTTATTAAAGGTAAAGATATGTATACTCTTTGACTACCTCCTAGGTATATACCACAAATTAACATACATACACAACAAATACATGAGTCAACCATGGTAGTATGTGCCTGTAGTACCAGCTGCTCAGGAGGCTGTGAGGCAGGGGGATCGCTTGAGCCCAGGAGTTTACAGCCTGGGAAATACAGCAAGACCCTGTCTCTAAAACAATAATAAGGGCTACAAATGGGCAACAGCCCAAGTTGTTCAACATGAAAATGGACAATACTACATAAAGCACACAAGAATCTCACAAGCAGCACATGATAAAAGAACACATAGAGCATGACTTTCTTCAAAAACAACCATCATGTTTAGAGAAAAGTGGTGAAACTATTAAGAAAAACAAGTAAACCATTACAGAACTCTCATGATGAAAGTCAGGAAGGTAGTTTTTTAGGGGGAGATAGAAATATGAAATCAGAAAGGACATACAGATATCTGCAGTGCAGACAATGTTCTTTCCTAACTGGATGGTGTTCAGTTTATAATTATTCATTGAAGTGTACATTTATGTTTTATGACCTTTTCTATACATATGCTTATTTTGCAATATTTAAAATAAAAAAAAAGCAGAGAAAAGGTATCAATTTTGCCGGCAGAAATCACAGCAAGGACAGCTTCATAGCCCATCCAGTTTGCAATCTGGTTGCAGAAGTTATTTCATGGAAGCTCAGCCTAGAGTATACTGTATGTTTCTTCAGCCCTTTCAATTATTTGGGGTGTTTACTAGCTTTTGATAAAACCCTTTCTTCTATTTTTTTTTTTTTTTAACAACAGGGTCTCAATATGTTGCCCAGGCTGGAGTGCAGGCTAATTCACAGGTGTGATCATCACATACTACAACCTTGACCTCCTGGGCTCAGGCAATCCTCCTGCCTCAGCCTCCCAAGCAGCTGGGACTATAAGCATGTGCTACTGTGCCTGGCTATCCTCTTTCTTTTTAAACAAACTGAAGTAAATTAAAAAACAAACAAACAAAAAAAAAACTTCTACTACAATAAATGTGAATGAATAAATGAGGCGAACTCTCAGAAGTTCTACAGCACATTCAAAACACAAAATTTGGCAGGGTACAGTGGCTCATGCCTACATTCACAGTGCTTTGGGAGGCCAAGGCAGGAGGACCACTTGAGGCCAGGAGACCAGCTTGGGGAACACAGCCACATTCTGTCTCTACAAAAAAAAAAAAAAAATTTTTTTTTTTAATTAACCAGGTTTAGTGGCATGCATCTGTTAGTTCTAACTTCTTCAGAGGAGGAGGCAGGAGGATCACTTGAGCTCAGGAGTTCAAGGCTGCAGTGAGCTATAATCGTGCCACTGCACTCCAGCCTGGGCGACAGAGCAAGACTCAGTCTCCTAAAGAGTAAAAGAAAGAAAACAAAACAAAATTTACCTACAGTATACAAATAATTCAGCCATTCACAAAAATCACCTAAAACAAAATGGCAAGTGAAAAAACGAGCTAAAAATAAATATCCTTAGATGCAATATTATTTAAATCACACTTTTGGTCAAAAGCCTAACATGAACAAAGAGATATTTTGCAATGACCTAAAAATGACTAATTCATACTTTCCCTATTCATCTGAAATGTCACCTTTATTATATGCTACATTTTGCCTTAGATCTATTTCTAAACTCATCCTACTAATCTATTTATAGTACTTTTTAATAATTGGTAGTTTAAGTATCCCTCAATTCTTTTTCTTTTTTTGAGACAGTCTCACTCTGTCACCCAGGCCGGAGTGCAGAGGCGTGATCTTGGCTCACTGCAACCTCTGCCTCCTGGGTTCAAGAGATTCTCCTGTCTCAGCCTCCCGAGTAGCTGGGATTATAGGTATGTGCCACCACACCAGGCTAATATTTTTGTATTTTTAGTAGAGACGGGATTTCACCATGTTCGCCAGGCTGGTCTCGAACTCTTGACCTTCAGTAATCTGCCGCCTCGGCCTCCCAAAGTGCTGGGATTACAGGCATGAGCCACTGAACCTGGCCTTTTTCTTTTCTTTTTAGTTTTCCTTTTTTTTTTTTTTTGAGACAGAGCCTTGCTCTGTCGCCCAGGCTACAGTACAGTGGCTCAATCTCAGCTCACTGCAACCTCCGCCACCCAGGTTAAAGCAATTCTTGTGCCTCAGCTTCCAGAGTAGCTGGGATTACAGTTGTGTGCCACCACACCCATAACCCCAGTTACAGGAGGCTGAGGCTCAAGAATCACTTGAGCTTGGGAGGCAGAAGCTGCAGTGAGCCGAGATCATGCCATTGCACTTCAGCCTGGGTGACAGCAAGACTCTGCCTCCAAAAAAAACAAAAACAAAAAAATTAATCTTACATAGCTGGGTGCAGTCACTCATGCCTGCAGTCCCAGCTACTTGTGAGGCTGAGGCAGGAGGATGCTTGAGCCCAGGAGTTAGAAGCTATAGTGCACTGTGATTGAACCCGTGAATAGCTACTATACTCCAGCCTGGACAACACAGAGATCCTGTCGCTTAAAAAAGGGGGAGGGAGGTGCAGGCGCGGTGGCTTACATCTGTAATCCCAGCACTTTGGCAGGCCAAGGCAGGAGGGGATAGCTTCAGCCCAGGAGTTCAAGACCAGTCTGTGCAACATAGTAAGACCCTATCTCTACCCAAAAAAAAAAAAAAAAAAGTAAAAAGAAAATTCTCCCACATACTTTTCCAAAGGAACTTTAGTAGCAACTTGCAAAATTAAAAAACCTTCTTGAGATTCTGATTGAAACTGCACTAAATTTATATATTAAGCAACTGGTATTTTTATGTTGTCTTCCTTAACTATAGTATTTATTTCCTACTTTATATTTTAATTTTTTTAATGACATAAAACGAGAAGTGCATTAAAAGACAGCACCATCTAGTATACTAACTCTCACTTAAGTATTCTTTTCATTTTTTCCTCAGACAGAGTCTCACTCTGTCACCCGGGCTGCAATGCAGTGGCATGATCTTGGCTCACCACAACCTCTGCCTCCTCGGCTCAAGCGATCCTCCCACCTGGGCCTCCCAAGCAGCTGGGTTTGCCTGGGCTGGCTACAGGTGCACGCCACCACGCCCAGCTAATTTTTGTATTTTTTGTACAGAGGGGGTTCCACTATGTTGCCCAGGCTGGTCTTGAATTCCTGGGCTCGAGCAATCTGCCCACCTCAGCCTCCCAAAGTGTTGGGATTAGAGGTGTGAGCCACCACACCCAGCCTAAGGAAAATTTTCTTAAGCAAGAAAATATGCATGTCATAAAGGCAAAAACCAATAAATTGTTATAACATCTCTATTTTATAGGTAAGGATACCCTGGTGCAAATAGTTTTACTGAAGGTTACAAAGGTAGTAATGTGTCCAGAATTGGTGGGTTCTTGGTCTCACTGACTTCAAGAATGAAACCGCAGACCCTTGCCACGAGTGTTACAGTTCTTAAAGGCAGTGTGTCCAGAATTTGTTCCTTCTGATGTTCGGATGTGTTCGGAGTTTCTTCCTTCTGGTGGGTTCGTGGTCTCGCTGGCTTCAGGAATGAAGCTGCAGACTTTCCCGGTGAGTGTTACAGCTTTTAATGCTGCGCGTCTGGAGTTGTTCGTTCCTTCTGGTGGGTTGGTGGTCTCCCTGGCTTCAGGAGTGAAGCTGCAGACCTTCGCAGTGAGTGTTACAGCTCATAAAGACAGTGTGGACCCAGTGAGCAGCAGCAAGATTTATTGCAAAGGGCAAAAGAACTAAGCTTCCACGGTGTGGAAGCCACCCCACCGTGTTGCCAATGTTGGCTGAGCCTGCTTTTATTCCCTTATCTGGCACCACCCACATCCTGCTGATTGGTCCATTTTACAGAGAGCTGATTAGTCTGTTTTACAGAGAACTGATTGGTCCGTTTTGACAGGGTGCTGATTGGTGCATTTACAATCCCTGAGATAGACACAAAAGTTCTCCAAGTCCCCACTAGATTAGCCAGACACAGAGCACTGATTGGTGCATTTACAAACCTTGAGCTAGACACAGAGTGCTGACTGGTATATTTACAATACCTTGGCTAGACATAAAGATTCTCCAAGTCCCCACCAGATTAGCTAGATACAGAGTGCTGATTGTTGCATCCACAAACCCTGAGCTAGACACAGGGTGCTGACTGGCGTGTTTACAAACCTCGAGCTAGATACGGAGTGCTGATTGGTGTATTTACAATCCCTTAGCTAGACATAAAGGTTCTCCAAGTCCCCACTAGACTCAGGAGCCCAGCTGGCTTTGCAGTGGATCCCGCACCGGGGCCGCAGGTGGAGCTGCCTGCCAGTCCCGGGCCTTGCGCCCACACTCCTCAGCCCTTGGGCCCGCACTCCTCAGCCCTTGGGCAGTCGACGGGACCGGGCACCGTGGAGCAGGGGGTGGTGCTCATCGGGGAGGCTTGGGCTGTGTGAGGCGGGGGGGTGGCGGGGGGGGGGCCTCAGGTATGGCAGGCTGCAGGTCCCAAGCCCTGCCTCATGGGGAGTCAGCTAAGGCCCGGCGAGAAATCCAGCGCAGCGCCGGTGGGCCAGCACTGCTGGGGGACCCGGCGCACCCTCTGCAGCTAGTGGCCCGGGTGCTAAGCCCCTCACTGCCTGCGGCCAGCAGCGCCAGCTGGCCGCTCCGAGTGCAGGGCCTGCGGAGCCCATGCCCACCTGGAACTCGCGCTGGCCCACAAGTGCAGCACGCAGCCCCAGTTCCCACCCGCGCCTCTCCCTCCACACCTCCCCACAAGCTGAGGGAGCCGGCTCCGGCCTCGGCCAGCCCAGGGAGGGGCTCCCACAGTGCAGTGGCGGGCTGAAGGGCTCCTCAAGCGCAGCCAGAGTAGGCGCCAAGGCTGAGGAGGCGCTGAGAGCCAGCGAGGGCTGCCAGCACGCTGTCAACTCTCAGTAAGTGGAGAAGCTGGAATTCGAACCTAGGCAGTACAACTCTAGGGCACATACTCTCAATCACTTAAGAGTTCTTACAGAATTCCAATTCCAAAGTAGTATGGAGATGTAAAGCCTTCAGGGAAGCAATTTGAAAATACTTATTGGCAACCATCAAAAGGTATACATTGTTTAAGCAAATAATTCAGTTTTGAGAATTTTTTTTCTGAAGAAATAGTCCAAATGAAAAAAAAAAGGCTACACTGCTTTCACTTTAGCCCTTATTTAAAGGGTTTATTTAAGCAGTAATACTATTTAGTATTACATAGTACACAATTCCCCAATTCCACAGACTGAATGGAATATCAACTAGCTGGACAAAAACTAATAGCTTCTCCTGAAAGCTCTTAACTGATAGGTTAGGAAGCCTATTATGGTAGAAAAGGCCAAGTGCAAGACTTTGGAGCACCTCAACAATGAGACTCTACTCCAAACTAATAATTTAAAAGCACTGTCGCATCCTTCAAAGAATAACAAAGATTCCTGCCACCACTAAAACATGAAAGAAGAAGGGGTGGTAAATCCCATCTATTCCTATTACATAGTTTGACCACTGCAAAAGTCTGATAGCTCTTGGAAAATGACAGTGAATTATCATAACCAAATGGTGACTCCAAATGCTGCTGTTTCTTATTTATTCTCGTCATTGAAAAAAAAAACAGACTGTTATCTGGTACACATCCAGCAGCAAGACCCTGATGAAACTGCTACCTAGATTCCTAAAAGTATCCGGGTTTCTGATCTTTTTATATCTTCAGCTTTACCTTTCCTTTTTTGCAAGAATAATTCTATTTTCTTTTTCTTGAAGCAATAGTGTGTAAACCACCAAATCCCATCAATTTTAAATATTTATAGTATTTAATTCCTACACACAAGGACAGTCTCCTACATAACTACGATCCCATCAAAATCAGGAAGTTAACAATGATACCATACCACCTGCATACAGGTTTGTAGCCTAGGAGCAACACGCTATATACAATCTAGGTGTGCAGTAGGCTATACCATCTAGGTTTGTGTCAGTACACTCTGATATTCGCACACCAACACAAAATCACCTAAGACACATTTCTCAGAACATATCCCTGTTGTTAAGCAACATATGACTGTATATAAAATTATAGAAAAAATAATCTACAAGACAGAAAGCGGCTCAGTGGTTACCTAGAAATGGAGATTGGAGAATGTGGGATAATTGCAAATGGTCACAAGGAAACTTTTGGGCGTGATAGATGTTTATTGCTTTGAATGTGATGATGGCTTGACATGCGCATATGTCAAAAATTATCAGAGTATACTTTAAATGTGTACCATTTATTGTATGTCAATTATACCTCTATAAATCTGTTTTCTTTTTTTAAATACCCACATGTAGCCACTGACTACATGTAGTCAGTGGCTACATGTGTACTCCAGTCAATTGGACAGCACATAGGTAAAGGACAAAAACAAAAATGATAGGAGGACTTAATTGTGAAAGCAGAGCTGTATACCTCTTAGAAGAGAACACAATAGCATCTTTAAAAACATGAGATATCAAGAAAATGATTAATAAAATTACATAAGTTTAACATCTTCTGTTCATTAATAAACATCACGAAGTGAAGAGACAAACTAAAAACTGGAAGATACCTGCTAACTCTGTAACAAAGAATTAGTATCCAAAATACATAAAGAATTTTGGGCCAGGCGTGGCAGCTCACACCTACAATCCCAGCGCTTTGGGAGGCCGAGGCAGGTGGATCACTTGAGGCCAGGAGTTTGAGACCAGCTTGGCAAACATGGTGAAACCCCATTTCTACAAAAAACACAAAAATTAGTCAGGCATTGTAGCACATGCCTGTAATCCCAGCTACTCAAGTGGCTGAGGCAGGAGGATTGCTTGAAACTAGGAGGCAGAGCCAAGATCGTGCCGCTGCACTCCAGCCTGGGTGACAGAGCAAGACCCTGTCTCAAAAAAAAACCCAACAAAACAAAAAAACCCCACAAAATACATAAAGAATTTCTACAAATCAGCAAGAAAACAATTCAGTGTTAACATGGGCAAAAAAATTAAAAGGTATTTCATAAAAAGAAAACATGGCCAGGCATGGTGGCTTACACCTATAATGTCAGCACTTTAGGAGGCCAAGGCGTGCAGATCACTTGAGGTCAGGAGTTCAAGACTAGCCTAGCCAACATGGTGAAACCCTAACTCTACTAAAAATAGAAAAATTAGCTGGGGTGGTGGTGCATGCTTGTAATCCCAGCTACTTTGGGAGGCTGAGGCAGGAGGATCGCATGAACCTGGGAGGCAGAGGTTGCAATGAGCTGAGATCGAGGCACTGCACTCCAGCCTGGGCAACAGGGCAACAGAGCGAGACTCCGTCTCAAAAATAATAATGTACTCAATCTTATGAGGAATCAGGGAAATGAGAATTAAAACCACAATAAGATATAATTTCACCACCATAAAATGCAGACCACTTCAAGTATTGGCAAGAAGGTGAAAGAATGATACTCTCCTACACTTCTTCAGGGGAATAAACAGGTATAAACACCTTGGAAAGCAATTTGGCAATATCTAGTGAGGTCCAAGATATCATACCTCATGACCCAGCAATTGTTCCCCTAGTACACTAGAGCAGGGTCAGCAAACCTTTTCTATGAAAGACCAGAAAATACTTTTGGCTTTGCAAAACATATGGTATCTGTCACAACTATTCAACTCTGCTGTTGAAGTGTGAAAGCAGTTACAGACATTGTATAAACAAATGATCTTGGCAGTGCTCCAATAAAAAAAATTTTATCTACAAAAATTGGTGGTAGCCCAATGCGGCCTGTAGGCTTTACTTTGCCAAACCTGGGCTCTCAGAGAACCCCTCAGATATTTGAAGAACAACCAAAGACATGTACGGAAATATTCCAAACATCATTGTTTTTAATTATAAATAGTTGTAAAACTAAATATCCTTCAAGGATACAATGGATGAGCACAATATTGGTATATTTATACTATCCATAAGTGAAAATGAACGAACTAGAGCTACGTGTGTCAACATGAAGAAATCATACAATACTGAACCAAAAAAGTAAGACCCAGAAGAATAGAGTAGTACCCCCTTATCGCAGGGGCATATGTTCCAAAACCCCCAAAGGATGCCTGAAACTTTGGATAGTACCAAATCCTATATACACTATGTTTTTTCCTATACGTACATACATATCTTTTTTTTTTTTTTTTTTGAGACAGTCTCACTCTATTGCTAGGTTGGAGTGCAGTGGCACGATCTCGGCTCACTGCAATCTCCACCTCCCAGGTTCAAGCAATTCCCCTGCCTCAGCCGCCTGAGTAGCTGCGACTACAGGTGCGCACCACCATGCCCGGCTAGTTTTTTGTATTTTAGTAGAGACAGGGTTTCACCATGTTGGCCAGGATGGTCTTGATCTCCTGACCTCATGATCCGCCCACCTCTGCCTCCCAAAGGGCTGGGATTACAGGCGTGAGCCACCGTGCTTGGCTCCTATACATACGTATCTATGATAAAATGTAATTTATAAATTAGGCACAGTAAGAAATTAACAACATTAATAAAATAAAACAAGTATAACAATATGCCAGCATTACTACTCTTGCTCTTTGGGTCCATTATTAAGTAAAATAAGAGTCACTTGAACATAAACACTGCAATACCATAAGAGTTGATCCGATAACCACACCCAAGATGGCTACTAAGTGACTAACAAGCTACTAAGTGACTAACAGGTAGGTAGCATATACAGCGTAGATATGCTGGGCAAAGAAATGATTAACATCCAGGGCTGACACAGTGGGACGAGACAAGATTTCATCATGCTACTCCCAACAGCACACAAGTTAAACTTACAAATTGTTTATTTCTAGAATTTTATATTTAATATTTCAACATTGAACAAAGTTAACAAACTGCAGAAAGTGAAACCAACACATAAGGGATGACAATAGCATACATATAGTAAGATGTCATATATAAGTTATAAAAACCATGCAGGCTGGGCACGGTGGCTCACACCTGTAATCCTAGCACTTTGGGAGGCCAAGGCGGGTGGATCACGAGGTCAGGAGTTCGAGACCAGCCTGGCCAACATGGTGAAACCCCATCTCTACTAAAAATACAAAAAATTAGCTGGGCGTGGTAGTGCGCGCCTGTAATTCCAGCTACTGGGGAGGCTGAGGTAGGAGAATCGCTTGAATCCAGGAGGCGGAGGTTGCGGTGAGCCGAGATCACGCCATTGCACTCCAGCCCGGGAGATTAAGCAAGACTCTGTCTTAAAAAACAAACAAACAAACAAAATACAAAATGTACTGTATATTGGTTAAAGATATACATAATAAAGGCCGGGCGCGGTGGCTCACGCCTGTAATCCCAGCACTTTGGGAGGCCGAGGAGGGCACATCACGAGGTCAGGAGATCGAGACCATCCTGGCTAACACGGTGAAACCCCGTCTCTACTAAAAATACAAAAAATTAGCCGGGCGTGGTGGCGGGCGCCTGTAGTCCCAGCCACTCGGGAGGCTGAGGCAGGAGAATGGTGTGAACCCAGGAGGCAGAGCTTGCAGTGAGCCAAGATAGCGCCACTGCACTCCAGCCTGGGCGACAGAGCGAGACTCTGTGTCAAAAAAAAAAAAAGATATACCTAATAAAATTATAAAAAAAATAGTGAGGATGATAAACACTGAATATAGAAGCAGTTGCCCCTCATGGGGAGTGAAAAAGATGTAATATGACACAGAGAGAAGGGGCTTAACTATACTGGTAATGTTTTATTATTTTATTTATTTATTTATTGTTGAGACAGAATCTCGCTCTGTTGCCAGGCTGGAGTGCAGTGTCGTTGATCTCAGCTCACTGTAGCTGGGACTACCAGCGCATGCCACCACACCCAGCTAATTTTTTGTATTTTTAGTAAAAACTGGGTTTCATCAGGTTCTTGACCTCATGATCTGCCTGCCTCGGCCTCCCAAAGTGCTGGGATTACAGGCGTGAGCCACCATGCCCGGCCTGGTAATGTTTTATTTTTTAAGCTGAGTTATGGATGGGTGTTTGTTTAATCATTTTACATCTTTTTGAATATTTCATAATATAAAGATGCAAAGAAATCTAGTTTTACCTGCATAATGTAGAAACTAATGAGAATTTAAATTGCTTCTATTTCTCTAAGTGATATCAATTCTGGAGAGACTACCTAATAAGGATCAAAAGTAATGACTGATAATGAAAATAGAAAAAATAAATTTGAACTTGATAAGTAATATGGCACACAACTCTTTCAGAACGTATAATTTATGAGAAGGTGAAGATCCTTTATGATGAAAAAATGCGAACAACCAACATAAAACAAGATACACATTTAAAATTCTATAGTTTAAGAGGTTTCTCCAAATTCAATTCTCTCTCCCCACTTTGGTTTCTTTCCATTTTAAATTAAAGTAATGCCAAATCTAGAACCAACAATTTATGTTAAGATTAACTTCTTCACGATTTCCTTGGTCATACTCTTTTAAAATGAATGCTCTAAATCTTCAGTCCAAGTTAACAAATGAAACTTTTGTATTTCATCTTCCTTTACAAATACTGTGGCCAATTCCCTGTAATCACACCAGAGATCACCCTTTGCAGAATGTCATCTTTCTATTGACTCTATTGATAAGACTATGACACAGAGCTAAAAGCTGCACTTCATTCACCATCTTCTTTAAACTATCAAAAGAAGGGACAATGAAAACATTATTTCCAATAAGTAAACCTAAAAAAGCCTATACAAACTTTAAAACTTATTTTTGCCAGGTGCGGTGGCTCACGCCTGTAATCCCAACACTTTGGGAGCCTGAGGCAGGTGGATCACTTGAGGTCGGGAGTTCAAGACCAGCCTGACCAACATGGAGAAACCCCAGAGACAGAGTCTCACTTCTTTTCTACTGAAAATACAAAATTAGCTGAGTGTGGTGGCACATGCGTGTAATCCCAGTTACTCGGGAAGCTGAGGCAGGAGAATCGCTTGAACCCGGGAGGTGGAGGTTGCAGTGAGCTGAGATCGCACCATTGCACTCCAGCCTGGGCAACAAGAGCAAAACTCCGTCTCAAAAATAAAACAAAACAAAACAAACAAAAAAACTTATTTCTTAGAAGGCAAGCATAATAAAAGGGCAGTAAACATATATATGTGAGTATAAATTAGGCATAACCTAAAACTTATGATCATGAATAAAGAAAAAAGAAAAATAATGACCTTTTAATAAAGAATATATTCAGGCCTGGATGTGGTGGCTTATGCCTGTAATAACAGCATTTTGGGAGGCCAAGCTGGGAAGACTTCTTGAACCCAGGGTAAGGAACCACCCTGGGCAACATGGCAAGACCCTGTCTCTATAAAAAAAAAAAATTAAAAAAAAAAATTAGCTGGGCGCATGCCTGTAGTCTCAGCTACTTTGCAGGCACATGCCTGTAGTCTCAGCTACTTCAGAGGCTGAGGCAGGAGGATCCCTTGAGCCAAGGAAGTCAAGGCTGCAGGGACCTTTGATCATGCCATTACACTCCAGCCTGGACAACAGAGCAAGACCCTGTCACACACACAAAAAAAGAATATATTTATATACTCTTTCATTCCATACTGTATTTACCAAATCTCCCTACCTCAAGACAAAAATAAGCCATTTAAAAAATTTTCCTTTGTAAATTTGGGAGGCGTACACATCATTAGAAAGACAAGAGAGGTCAAGCTTAACACCAAATAATTCAAGAAGGGCTCAGTAACATAGAAAAGCTATAATTTTAAAATGTAAGACAGTCCACATTCATCAGGATTTTTTTTTTTAATACAAAAGTTAACAAGCGTTAGAATATGGGGAAATTGAAGCCTTCATACCTTGCTGGTAGGAATGTAAAATGGTACAGCTGCTGTGTAAACAGTTTGGCAAGTCCTTAAAATGTTAAACATAGAATTACCATATGATCCAGCAATTCCACTTATAGGTTCATACCCAAAAGAATTGAAAAACTGGGATGCAAACAAATGCTTGTACACCAATGTTCACAGCAGTACTAGTCACAATAGCCAAAAAGTGGAAACAACCCAAATGTCCATCAACAGAAAACTGGATAAACACAATGTGGCATGCATACATCTATATGATGGGATATTATTCAGCAGAAATTCTGACTCATGGTACAATATGAATGAACTCTAAAGACATGCTAAGTAAAATAAGTCAGACACAAAAGAACACTTTTCTACTTAAATGGAGTACTGGAATAGTCAAATTCATAGCAGTACAAAGTAGAATGGGGAGGTTACCAGAGATGGGAAAGGGGGAAACAATGAGATATTATTTAATGGACACAGAGTTTCTATTTGGGCTGATGAAGTTTTGAAAACTGATAGTGGTGATGGTTGTACAACATTATGAATACACTTAACGCCACTAAATTATATACCTAAAAATGGCTAAAATGGTATAAATTTTATTTATTTATTTATGAGACAGAGTCTCGCGTCTTCTCCCAGGCTGGAGTGCAATGGCGTGATCTCAGCTCACTGCAACCTCTGCCTCCCAGGTTCAAGCAATTCTCCCACCTCAGCCTCCCCAGTAGCTGGGATTACAGGTACACACCACCACGTGCGGCTAATTTTTTTGTATTTTTAATAGAGACTGAGTTTCACCATGTTGGCCAGGCTGATCTCAAACTCCTGACCTTGGGTGATCCGCCCGCCTTGGCCTCCCAAATTGCTGGGATTACAGGCGTGAGCCACCACGCCTGGCCTGGTATAAACTTTATGTTATCTGTATTTTAGCACAATTTTTTAAAAGGAGAAATTTTAATTAAAAAATGGAAGAAAGTCCATTTATTTACTTACACTCAACAGAAATTCAACTAAACTCAACTAGTTGTTGAGCAGCTACTTTGGGCAAGGTATTATGTGGCCAATCCTAAAACAATTAAAGATGAGTAAGGCAGTATCTCTGGCCCCAAAGACCTCAAGATTTAGCTGACAGGCAGATACTATAGCAGACTAGCATCTCCCAGTGGTCTGTGTAATCTTTATAGGGATTCTACAAGGCCAAAACTATTTTCATAATAATTCTAAGAGTTTATTTGCCCTTTTCACTGTGCTGACATTTGTACTGATGGTAGAAAGCAATGGCTGGTAAACTACTGGTACCTTGGCAGGAGTCAAGGCAGTGGCACCAGATTGAGCCATTAGTCACTGCATTCTTCACAGCTACCTAATTACAGTCCAAAAAAAGCAAGCTAGTTTCACTTAAGAATATTCCTGGCCAGGAGTGGTGGCTCATGCCTGTGGGAGGCCGAGGCAGATGGATCACTTGAGGTCAAGAGTTCAAGACCAGCCTGGCCAACATGGCGAAACCCCATCTCTGCTAAAAAAAATACAAAAATTAGCTGGGTATGATGGCACATGCCTGTAGTCCCAGCTACTCAGAAGGCTGAGGCACGAGAATCGCTTGAACCTGAGAGGAGGAGGTTGCAGTGAGCTGAAATTGTGCCACAGCACTCCAGCCTGGGCAATACAGTGAGACTCCGTCTCAAAAAACAAAAACTAAAATTAAAAAAAGAATATCCTTGATGACACAATAAAAATTAATTGTATTAAATCCCAACCCATGAATACCTACTTTTTTCTTCTGTTGCCCAGGCTGAGTGCACAGGCTCCATCATGGTTCACTGTAACCCCACCTCCCAGGCTCAAGCAATCCCTCCATCTCAGCCTCTGGAGTAGCAGAGACTACACGCACATGCTACCATGCCAAGCTAATTTTTTATTTTGTATAGCAACAGGGTCTTGCCATGTTGCCCAGGCTGCATATCTTTTTAATATTCTATATGACAAAAAGGAGACTACATAAACAGGCTTTTGTTACATACTACAGGAAAAGCACCTGTGATTGTCTGAGTCATGTAATGAACTAGCCACATTTTTCATGGACCATCATCTTTACTTGAGAGACTGATAAACTGTGTTAATAAGACTTGGGCATTTGGTGTACATCTTCAACATGAACAAAGTGAGCTTTTCGCTTCAAGAAAAACTGACAGTATTTGTTCTCAATGATACATTTCTAATTGTTGCTTGAAAAATACATTTTGGATAATGTGTATCCACAACAGTGAACTAGATAGCTTCCCAATATTTAAAGAGTTTTCTGATGAGATCAGTGATATTAACAAACATGATTTTCTTTGATATTGTATAATGAAATGTGTTGCTATTCAGAGGACGTTCTTAACTGAGTGAACCATTATTTTCCAAATAACTAATGCACTATGTCACAAAAATCACACATGGATGAGATTCGTTCAAAGTACAAAATAGACCAATGGATCTTAACGTATTAAGTATGAAATTCATTACTAAGGTTTCAAATTCCAATTCAGCAAACTTTAAGAAACTACTTTTCTTCCACCTTTCTCTGGGGGGGAAAATAGCTACCATTTTAGTGCAGAATATCCACAATTATCTGAAAAGACTAATAAAATATTTCTCCTTTTTCCTACTACATATGCATGTGGGGCTGCTATTTCTTTAGATACTTCAACCAAATAGCGCAAGAGATTGAGTGCAGAAGTGGATATGATAATTCAGCTGTCTTTTTTTTTTTTGAGACGGAGTCTCACTCTGTTGCCCAGGCTGGAGTGCAGTGGCCCAATCCCAGCTCACTGCAACCTCCGCCTCGCGGGTTCAAGCAATTCTCTCTGCCTAAGCCTTCTGAGTAACTAGGATCACAGGCATGCACCACCACACCCGGCTAATTTCTGTATTTTTAGTAGAGACAAGGTTTCACCATGTTGGCCAGGCTGGTCTCAAACTCCTGACCTCAGGTGATTCGCCTGCCTTTGTGTCCCAAAGTGCTGGGATTACAGGCGTGCGCCCGGCCATTCAGCTGTCCTCTATTAAGCCAGACATTGAAAGAGGTTTGCAAAATGTAAAACAACCCCACTCCTCCCACCACTATTTCTTATTTGGGGAAAAAAGTGTTTTTTCTTTAAAATATATATATAAACATATAAGTTTGTTTTTAAAGAAATATTTTTAAATTGCCTAAGTTTAAATTTCTCATATAGTAAATACTGGAAGATGTAGCCCACATAAAAACTCTCTGGGGTCCTCAATAAGCATATAAAGGGTTCTGAGAGCAAAAAGTTTGAGAACTATTACTACAATCCAATGAGCACTACAAAAGTAGAAAAAAGGGTGCTCAATTCCAAAAGAAAGTAGTCTTCACAGAAGAAAACATACTGACTGGGAATCTACATGATGGATATATTTTTGTTTGAGTTTTCCTTGTTGGGGGGGCAGGGTGAGAGAGGCAGAATCCAAGAAAATGGAAATGGAGTATTTCCATGTGTCCTGAAAAAAGGTGAGTAGAGACTAATGTAATGGAAATTCGTGTAACAAATATAATTTACTGGAGAGGCTGAATATGTACAGGAAAGGGGTTGGCCTGCAGATTGCAAACTACAGTTTACTTTACAGAAAATGTGGAGCCATCCAAGAATTTGTGATTGAAAAAAAAATTTAAACCTTCGTTTCCTTTGTCAAGACTCCCAAAATAATTAGCATACTTTTTTTTTTTTTTTTTTTTTCAAGCTTTGAGGACGAAGTCTGAGGTCTAGCTGTGGTACAAAACAAACTTTAACATTTTTCTGGAGTATAAGGCTCTAAACTTTATGCATCATAAGAGTGACAGCTTAATTCGAAAAGTCTGTGTATGTAAAACTAAACCATACATATTTACATTTAACAGCATGGCCCCTGCTTTATTAAAAAATGTTCCTGAAGGTCCGGCAGGGTAGCTCACGCCTGTAATTCCAGCACTTTCGGAGGCCGAGGAGGAAGGATCGCTTGAGCCCAGGATCGCTTGTTGCCCAGCCTGGGCAACAAAGTAAGGCGGCCCACACCCGTCCCCCGCCCCTGCCCGTCTCTTAAAAAAAAAAAAATTTAATACTAATGTAACGGAGTTTATACCTTAAAGATTTTTTATCCTTAAAGTTCAAACATATGGCAAATTCATGTTACTCCAAGTATACTGCAAAATAAACAGCACTCTAAATAGTTCTGTGCCTAGTCTTCCTCTCTTGTGCTGCTGTCGACTTCTCGTTGCCCTGCAGTCAATGATATCACATATTTCTACAATACACTACAGTGCTTTCAGCTCTACGGTGCCTACACAAAAACAAAATAAATCCATAAAGAGGGGCCCCTGGGATGGATGGGAAACGCCTCCAACAAGCCTAGTGGCTGGTTTTTGAGTCAATCAACTAACTCTTGGCAGAAAGCCAAGCAAATGGAAAACAGACTTTGAAACCGGCTAATCTACAACTCTATGACAATACCTTTCTAAAAATGTTCTGTATTTGCTAAATCTAACTCTTTTCTCTATGTCTCTATCCCTCTGCTGAAAATAAAGCAACGTTATTATGCTGCCATAAACAAGGTTTTTTCCCACCACTGGAAGTATTGTCTTCTTTGCTCTAACAAAGATGCATGCCATTTATTCACTGCAATAGATAAGCAATTATAATGCTGTAAGATGATTCTGTAAATGTTGGGCACAGAAATCCTGCCTGCTTTACAAACATTTAAAAAAACTTAGATGAAACTACAACTACACCGAAATTTTTAGACATTTAAGACCTTTATTTCCTTCTAGCATACAGTAATTCCTTGCCTTTTCTTATTTTGATGGGCAGTTACAATTTATAAGTACTTTTTAAACTAGGAACAACCGGTTGGGAACTATCTGAAAGCAATCAGCTAAGGCAATTTCCAAAAAGAAAACCCAAGCAGAATCTAACGCACACCCTTAACACGGGGCCAGTTTTTAAGAGGTAACAACACGTTCCGCGTTTTTAGTTTTCATAAGCAGTACAGGTTTATGATCCTAAAAACATCTCACCATCATTACAACGGAATTCCTTCCAAAACTTTAAGTTGCCGGATGGTTACGTTTCAGCCCTTCTAAATTAGCTTACGCTTTACTCCAGCAACCAACCCCAGCAATCCCGGGTCAATCTGGAGAACTGACACCACCGGTAGGAGGCAACCGAGAGGGATAAGACTTTCAGGAGCAGAATTATGACAGATTCTCTAAGGAAACACTACAGTTTTTCCTTCGCCTGGCCCAGGTGCAACATCGATTTATCTTTTGGCCAAAATCTGGCGCCAGGTTTCAAACACGTTTCCTCTGGTTGCCACCAAAGTGAAGCAGGGAAGGGAGTGGACTGCTTCCCATTGATCCTTGGAGGATGGAAATAAAGCAAGAATAGGCTGCAGGGAGACGGCAATCCTATCTTCCCCAAGGCCGCTTGGTTTGCCCGGACCTCCACCCAGCAAAGCGCTATTACAGCTTTTAGTCACTTCCATCAGTGTATACTTTGGTTGCGCTCTGGGTGCCGGGGGCCCACGCGGGGCTGGTGCCATAAAAGCCCTGAACTGCCTGAAAAAGGGGCGGGCGCCAAACAAGCCAGGGAACTTACCCAGTTTCTTCCACATGGCAAGGTGACAAGCGAGAAAGCCTTTGCGGATGGCAGCGCAAACCTTAGCCGGCTCGGACGAGGTGAAACCCTTCTGCTTCTTGATGAAACCCCACAAGTGCTCCCGGGCAAACTGTGCCGCCTCCCGCCCGCCGTGCCCGTCGCACACGGCGAAAAAGGCCACGGAGGAACGGCGGCGGCAGCAGCGGCTAGGTGCCGGCGAGGCCCCGGCGTCCGGGAGAGGGTCGCGAGCCTCTCGGGCTGCCACCGCTGGGCCTTTCCCCGAGACTTCGCCGCCGGGAAGGGCGGCCGGCGACGGCCGCGGAGGCAACGGCTGAGACAGCGACCGCCGCGGCGAGGGCTTTTCTTCAGCCGTCGGTTCGGGCTCCACAACGATTTGAGTAACGTCCTCCATGTACTTCCTCCCGCCCTGGTCGGAGAAGACGCTCACTCCCAGCGAGTACAGCCCCGCCATGGCCGGCTGGCCGGGATCCCGCCGGTCCCACGCAGCCCGCCGAATCCGGCGGCGGGAGACACACTAGGCGCTCGCCGGCCAACTATTGTTTATCTTCGACGACGCCGAGAAGGGGGAGGGGGCGGACCCGGAGAAGGGGGGGCGCGCGATGTCTGGACTTGTCCGCGAGAGCTGGGCCGGAGCGCCGGAGCGAGCAGAGCCAGGCAGTTGCGCCTGCGCACTGCGCTTCCCCCCACCGCCCGCGCCCACCACACAAATCAGGCGTTCTCCCCCGCTGACGTCACTCGGCTCTCTAAGCTCGACCAATCCGGAGTCGAGTGGAGCGAGCCCGCCCTCCGTCCCCGCCTTCGCTCCCGCCTGCGACGGCCGCGCTGCCTCCTCCCGCCGCTGGCGCTGGGCCCGCGCATCTCCTAGTTTGCTTCCCCTACGCCGCGGGCGTTTTCGCCCTCCGGGTTGTCGGCAGTTGTTGATCCTTTCCCGAGCGGCTTGGTCTGTGTAGGCTTTTGGCTCAGTCCAGCGTTCTTAATGCGGCCTGCTGGCCTTGGCGTCCCGCTGCTTGCTTTGCTAGGAAGGTGGTGTGGGCTCGGGCCCCCAGCGAGTGGAGAATGAAGGGAGAAGAGTTCACCCTCCTCCTAAGCGAAATGGCGGGAAACCTCCCTTCCAAAGGGCGATTGTGAGCTGGCCGGAACAAGTGCTGCACCCTTGAGCTGGATCTGGGTGGGACGTATTCGACTGGGAATGGAGGAGGGAGGGAGTCCAGTTCTGTTGTTTAAAAAGCACTTAGGAAATTTCCACCGTCAGCTGCACAGTCTCGGTTCACATAACTAGGTATGTCAGAGACGTAAGAGGGCTGTATTCTAACGAATTCCTAGGCAGATCTTTTCAGCTTTTGTTAAAGGTAGTGCTCGTTCCGACCAGCTCTGGATACAGCATTTTATTCCTGCGGTATCACTTCAAGTTATCACTTGAAAATAACTGACAAACACTGCCAAGAGCCCCAGTGCTCTAACGGTTTGGTGATCGTCCCCTCTCTTCACCGAGTCGGTCACAATCCCAACGCTAAAACCTTTGCACGGATTTTCATGGAGTTAAGCCGCAGAGCGAGGAATACACTAGTATTTGCTCAGTAGCATACGTTTTGTAGTTGAATCACTTTAAAGTTCACTTTTCCCGTTTTTGGCCATTTCTTCATCAATCTGTACTTTCCTGTAAAACCTTTGAGATTTTCAAATGGCCTAAAAACAGTATGGAAACGGGAATGGGGGGAATGTACATACAGTTGGCACAAGAAATAAAAATAGAAAAAATCTTTATATCAATAAAAATATAAATAAGCAAAATCAGCTCAAGAAAATGTAGAAAATCTGAATAGATCAACTAAGTAAAAATAAATACAATTGAAGATATTCATTACCCCAAAAAGCACTAGACCAGATGGTTCCAGGGCATGGAAACGCTTGAAAAAAAAAATCCCAGCTTGTTTGGAGAGGTAATCATAACCCTGTTAGTAAAACCTAAGCATTATGAACACTAAAAGGAAACCTACAGACCCTGTTTTGTAACGATGAATACAAAAATCCTAAATGAAATATTAGCATTGTAATTAGGGAGCAGCCTCCATATCACAAGAACGGTTTGTGTAGCTCTATATTATTCATCTTACCGTTCACCACGTTTGACCCAAGAGATTACCAAAAGATAATTCCATCATGCTTTATAATCCTTTCCACCTCAATCACAACCAGTAGGATCTGCGTCATCCGTTTATTGCTCTAGTATCTCCATGCTACTCTCTGCTTCAATTACTCTGATTCCATATCCCACTCTTCACCAAATATCCTAACCATTTCACTTCACACTTTTGATTTCAACATCTGCCATCAACCACTTCCCCTTTATTCTTAGCCTCTTCTGTAAATGTTCCCATCAACTTCCCATTCCAACTGAAACCCGGTTTATCACTTAGCAAAACTACCTCCCTTGCAACTTTTCAAGTACAGGAGGTTATTTTTCCTCTCATAGGTATTCTTATCTGTGGCCTATTCCTCATATTACCTCCAAACCACTTCTCTTCCTTCCTCCCTCAGAAACTCAAGTGCTTTTAAAATTTATGCAGACTGCTGCTACTCTGAGATGCTGTCAGCTACTGATCCCTGGTATCTCCCCATCATTTTTCATAGCCCACCGTCTTTGTTTCTTCCACTATTCGTGTCACTTCTCATCCACTTTATTTTTCAAGATACTATCCATATCTTCCATACTGTCTCCTTTTCAAGAGTTTTACTGCTCCAACAATTATCCTCCTTGCTCCTGCCTCATCAATCTCTCCTTTCTCTCTGTCTTTCTAAATGTTAAAGACGGGGTCTATGATGCCCAGGCTGGGGTGCAGTGATTATTCACAGGCGCAATTATAGCTCACTGCAGCCTCAAACTCCTGACCTCAAGTGATCCTCCAACTTTAGCCCCCAAGTAGCTGAGATTAAGGCACATGTCACCACACCCAGACTAATTTCTCCTCTTCTGGGTCATTTCCATTTGTGTATAAATATGTTCTGTTTTTTTTCTTTTTTTTGAGACAGAGTCTCCCTCCATCACCCAGGCTGGAGTGCAGTGACGTGATCTCGGCTCACTAGCAACCTCTGCCTCCTGGGATCAAGGAATTCTCGTGCCTCGGCCTCCCTAGTAGCTGGGACTACAGGTGTGAGCCACCATATCTGGCCACTATTACCTCTTACCTGGACCACTACACTCGCCTCCTCACAAATCTTTCTTTCACTCTTGGCCCTCTGCTATCCTTTTTCCGCTAGGTACTATAGCGATCTTTCAAAAACCATGAATCAGATCAAGTCATTCTTTTACTCAATACATGGCTTCCATCACATTTAATATAATGTAGGCCAGGCACAGTGGCTCACACCTGTTATTCCAGCACTTTGGGAGGCCAACGCGGGCAGATCACTTAAGGCCAGGAGTGGAGACCAGCCTGGCCAACATGGCAAAACACTGTCACTTCTAAAAATACAAAAATTAGCCAGTCATGGTGGCGTGCACTTGTAGTTCCAGCTACTAGGGGGAGAGGCTGAGGCAGGAGAATCACCTGAACCTGGGAGGCAGAGGCTGCAGTGAGCTCAGATCACACCACTACCTTGAAGCCTGGGCAACAGAGACTTTGTCTCAAAAAAATAAAATAATATGCAAACTCCTTATGAAGGCCTGAATCATCTGTTTGGCCCCTAAATGTTTGTCTAACATCTTTTCATAACACTTTCCCCTTCACCACTCACCGCTAGCTTCACTGGCCTTTTTTCTGTTCCTTGAACAGAAAATATCAAACTATTAGGAGACTTAGTGATTTTTTTTTTTCATTAGCGGTTCCCTCTCCTTGAAATGCCATCCCCACTCCCAGCAGCTTTACAAAGCTGGATTCTTCTTGCTACTCAGATCTCAGTTGAAATATTAAGGGACTTTCTTAACCACCCAATCTAACGTAGCCACCCAATATCTCTCTATCACATAACCCTATTTTAATTATCTGCAGAGGACTACTCACTAGCTGATCTTTTTTGTTTATTTGTCCCAATTAGAATATAGGCTCCATGAGAACAGGGAACTTGCCTTGTTCATTGCTGTACACTCTGAGCCTCGGACAAAGAGTTGTTGAGTGAGTTGATTAATTAATTTACTCAGCACGAAATGTATAAAATTAATATGAGGAAAACCAGGAAACGTTGCTAAAGAAAAAATAAGTCCTAAATAAATGTAAAAACATACCATGTTTCTAGATGAGAAAACAACTCAATTGGTCTCAAATTAATCTACAAATATAACTTTAATCAAAATTCCAACTGGATTCTTTTTTTTTTACTTGACAAGTTGATTCCAACATTTATCTGGAAGAGAAAATGGATAAGAATAGCCAAGATGTTGAAAAAGAAGGTGATTAGTTGTCCTACAGATATTAGAATATTTTTTATGTTTTAATTTTTATTTATTTATTATTATTATTTTTTTTTTTTTGAGACAGACTGTCACTCTGTCGCCCAGGCTGGAGTGCAGTGGTGTGATTTCAGCTCACTGCAAGCTCTGCCTCCCGGGTTCAAGCAGTTCTAATGCCTCAGCCTGCCGAGTAGCTGGGATTACAGGCACACACCACTATGCCAGGCTAGTTTTTGTATTTTTAGTAGAGACGGGGTTTCACCATGTTAGCCAGGATGATCTCGATCTCCTGACCTCGTGATCCGCCCGCCTCTGCCTCCCAAAGTGCTGGGATTACAGGCGTGAGCCACCGCGCCTGGCCATATGTTTTTTTTTAAATACTAAAAGAAAACATGGGATAAAAATATCCTAAAACATCTTTTTAAGTTTCCTTTGTTATATTTCCAGTGGTTTTATGCTTAAAATGTCCTCAGTGTCCTTTTAAGCCAGGTATTGTGGCTCATGCCTGTAATTCCAGCACTTTGGGAGGCCAAAGTGGAAGGGTTGCTTGAGGCCAGGAGTTCCAGACTAGCAAAGGTAACATAGCAAAACGAGGACCTCATATCTTAAAAAACAACAACAACAAAAACCCAGAAAATAAAACGTTCTTATTACTTCTGAGATTACTTAAATATGACTAAAATTTTATGTTTTCTTCTAGTATTTTTCTGGCTAAAATGTGTTTTTACATTCAAATTTATCTGGAATTATTTTGGCATAAAGTGAGTTTGAATTTCTTTCAAAAAAGTGTGTTTCCAATTGGTTACTGATACTTCCTTTATTAGTAAGTTTTTATATATGCTTGGATCTATTTCAGGGTTACCTATTGTCATCCACTGATTTGTTCATTTTAGGAGTCATGTCTTTAATCATAGAGTTCAAAATCTTCAAACATACACTCTGAGAATTAATTTTAGGCCAGGCACAGTGGCTCACGCCTATAATCTTAGCACTTTGGGAGGCCGAGGTGGGTGGATCGCTTGAGCTCAGAGTTCAAGACCAGCCTGGCCAACATGGCAAAACCCTGTCTCAACTAAAAATACAAAAATTAGCCGGGCATGGTGGCACCCGCCTGTAATCCCAGCTACTCGGGAGGTTGAGGCACAAGAATCACTTGAGCCTGGGAGATGGAAGTTGCAGTGAGCCAAGATCGCGCCACTGCATGCCAGCCTGGGTGGCAGAGCAAAGCTCTGTCTCAAAAAAAAAAAAAAAAAAAAAAGAATTAATTTCAGAAACAAAGTAAAAATCTCATTAATATGCTATTGTTTCTTCCCATAGCTAGAAAATATCAGTGACATCTACCAAGGAGAGTAGTAGTCCATTGTCCATCTATTAGAGCCACTTTGTGTATTTACAGCTGTGAGATAACGTGTCTCAAGAGGTTACATTCTGTACACCTGCCTTTACTCTGACCCTGTTGTTTTTGCAACTCAGTATTTAACAAAATAATCACTCTAATCTGACTACCACTGTCACATTCATTGTGTGTGAATGTAAATTGGTGGGAGACGCAAAATTGGAATCACAGCTGCCAGAGTCCCAAAGGTGTCAAAGCTGTATATGTTCTTAATTAGCCATGGAAATTCAATCTGTCATGTTTCTGCAGATAAGTGGTTTCTGAGTCAATAATGGGGAAAGAATATTTGTACCTTTGTCTCTTCAGATAGTTCTACTGATACACTTAGGCTTTTTTTTCTTTTTCTAAAGAGATGTGGCCTGGTCTTTATTGCGTCATTGCATTTTCTTTATAAAAAGTTCCTTTTTTTCCATTTTATGAAAAGTTAAATAAAAGCTATTTGTTTAAATAACTTGGAAAAACCATCTTTTTCCTTGAGGTAATTATTGCATGGTTTAGTTTTACTCAGCAGTACTATTTACTACACTTCTGCTGCAGAAGATTTTATGCCCCAAATAGTGTACCATCCAGAATTTGAGACGAAATTAGAGAAACCACCTTTAAGATAGAAACTAGGAGGCCGAGGAGGGTGAATCATGAGGTCAGCAGTTTGAGACCACCCTGACCAACATGGCGAAACCCTGTCTCTACTAAAAATACAAAAATTAGCCAAGCATGGTGGCGCCTGCCTGTAATTGCAGCTACCTGGGAGGCTGAGGCAGGAGAATCGCTGGAACCTGGGAGGCGGAGGCAGCAGTGAACCGAGATGGCACCACTGTACTCCAGCCTGGGTGACAGAGTGAGACTCTGTCAAAAAAAAAAAAAAAAAAAGATAGAAACTAAAGTTAAACATGACATTTGTGTTTGCAGATGTTAACAAAATTTTGATTTCTGAGCTAGCATAGGAGCAGATTATCTTAAAACACTCAGTGTTCCTTTGTGTTAAATGGGCACGACATTTTTTTTTCACATTTTCTTGCCTCTATCCAGTATGTAGAACTTAATTGAACTTAGAAGGGACCTCAGAACTATTTATTTATTTATTTATTGAGACAGAGTTTTGCTCTTGTTGCCCAGGCTGGAGTGCAATGGTGCAATCTTAGCTCACCGCAACCTCTGCCTCCCAGGTTCAAGTGATTCTCTTGAGTAGCTGGGATTACAGGCATGCACCACCACGCCCGGTTACTTTTTTGTATTTTTAGTAGAAACAGGGTTTCTCCATGTTGGTCAGGCTGGTCTCGAACTCCCGACCTCAGGTGATCTGCCTGCCTCGGCCTCCCAAAGTGCTGGGATTATAGGCACAAGCCACCGCACCCGGCCCAGAACTATTTATTTATTTAGAAACAGGGTCTTGGCCTGTTGCCCAGGCTGGAGTGCAGTGGTGTGATCATAGCTCACTGTAAACTTGAACTCCTAAATCACCTATTTAAAGAGAGGAAGCTTGGTCCAGGTTGGGTGGCTCACACCTATAATCCCAGCACTTTGGGAGGCTGATCACCTGAGGTCAGGAGTTCAAGACCAAGTTCAAGACCAGCCTGCTCAACATGGTGAAACCTTGTCTGTACTAAAAATATAGAAATTAGTCAGGCGTGGTGGTGGGTGTCTGTAATCCCAGCTACTTGGGAGGCTGAGGCAGGAGATCACTTGAACCTGGGAGGCGGAGGTTGCAGTGAGCGGAGATTGCGCCACTGCACTCCAGCCTGGACAACAGAGCAAGACTCCGTCTTAAAAAAAAATTAATTTGCCTTTATTGAGTCTTTCCAAAGTATTAAATTTAGTTTCATAGAGAGAAGTTATTTTTCCTCCACTCTTATTTCATCACATAATGTAACATTTACTTAAATATGTAATTAAAACAAGAACAACTGGAACAAACAGGTTAGTGAACAAGCATTAACTCAACAGTGGGAGCAGCAGTGTATGGATGTATCAGAGGATCAGAGGGTTGAAGTCTATCTCCAAGGGTTCAGCACGCACTGGGCTTCTATACATTTTTTTTTCTGAGACAGGGTCTTGCTGTATTGCCCAGGCTGGAGTGCAGTGGCACATTCATAGCTAACTGGAGCCTCAAAATCCTGGGCTCAAGTGATCCTCCCACATCAGCCTCTCACATGGCTGGACTACAGGGGTATGCCACCACATCTAGCTAATTTTTGGATTTTTTTGTAGAGACAGAGTCTTGCTGTGTTGCCCAGGCTGGTCTCAAACTCCTGGTCTCTAGTGATCCTCCTACCTCAGCCTACCAAAGTACTGGGATTACAGGCGTGAGCCACTGTGTCTAGCTCAGTATCTTCTTTTACAGGCAATCGAGGGCACTGATTTAGTTTTATCATTTAATGATTAGGCTTATCATTTAAGTGGTGATTAGTGGAAAGTGCTTCTGGCCTGTAATTATTCTTGGATGGGTTTTAATGAAAAATGGGGTAAATAAGTCAAAGGATTTACGGACAATGACAGACTGTCTTTGTAATGAGATTAATATGGCTTACTCTACCTGCTTACATATAATTAACTAAAAATCATATAAAGTATGTTCTGATACTTTAGTGGACATTTTGTTTTTTCCTTTCCAGTATCCATAACATCCATTCACCCTTCTTTTTTCTTTTTCAACTTTTATTTTCACATTAGAGGGTACATGTGCAGATTTGTTACAAAGATATATTGCATGATGCAGAGGTTTGGGGTATGAGTGAACCCATTACCCAGGTAGTCAGTATAGTACCCAATGGGTAGTTTTTCAGCTCTTGCCCTCCACCCCCTCTTCCCCCTTTAGTACCTAGTGTCATTGCGCTCATCTTTATGCCCATGTGTATCCAATGTTTATCTCCCACTTATAAGTGAGAACATGAGGTATTTGCTTTTCTGTTCCTGTGTTAATTTGCTTACAATAGTGGCCTACAGCTCTACCCATGTTTCTGTAAAGGACATGATTTTGTTCTTTCTTATAGCTGCATAGTATTCTGTGGTGTATGCGTACCACATTTTTTAAATCTAATTCACCATTGAGGGCACCTGGGTTGATTCTGTTGTCAACAGCGCTGCAATGAACACATGGATGCATGTGTCCTTTCGGTAGAACGATTTATTTTCCTTTGGGTGTATACCCAGTAACGAGATCGCTGGGTTGAACACCCTTCTTTTGGTGAAATAATACAAAGATTTTATCCTGGGTAATCACTCCCTCCCCTACTCTCAAGCTATGTGATTGGGTAGAATTGGTCTCAGCCTCAGCTCTGGGAGAGCTCAGACTGGGTTAGGTCAGTCAACATATTCCATCTCCATGGCCTTACTGATGGTTCATTAATGAACTCATAACCTAGTCAGAAGCCCAGTGAGATATAAGGATATTTGCTGGGGCTCTTGGGAAAGAAAAACCTCTCCCTAATAAAATGAAGCTACTGGAAGATAAGCTAAATTCTTCTTCAGGATTCTGTGTCCTATGAATGTGAAGTTGAGACTGCTACAGCCATTCTGTTACCAGGAAAGGAACTTGCCTGAAAATGAAGCTAACACTCAGAGGAAGAGGATCTGGGAGCTAGGTCCTACTAACATGATTTGAACTTTGGATAAAGTCATGACCATCACTGGACTTAGCAATAGTCTTTTCTGTTTCCTTTTCTAGTGAAAGCAGTTTGCCTTGGATTTTTCTTCACTTGCAATGTAAAGAATCTTTACTGACACAGATAAAAATCTCCTGTTCCTCCTCGCTAGGGAATTGAGGATACCCTGTAACTAGTATGATTGGTCTTGTTTGTTTGAGCTCCTAACTATACTGAATTCTTGTGTTGCACTGTTCTTTTCATCCTGTGTGGTCTGTTCTGAGATTTCTGCTTCTTTGTGAGTCTTTTTGATGTCCTAGTTTTTGTTTATGTACTAATTCAGAATATAATTTCTAATATATTAAGACTTTATAATTTCTTTTTAGCAGGAAATTATTTTTATAATGTTCACTAGCTTTCCACCCCTAGACATCCCTACTCCCTCTTGATCCTTCCCTCACTGAAGGATATTTGGGTTTGTGCCTCAGGAACATGATGTTAGAGAGGAAAAAAAGTTAAACATTCAGCTTTTTTGTTTCAAAAACATATCCTGGTATGCAAAAATATACAATTTAGCAGAGCCAGTTTTTTTGTGCAATGGAGACGATAAAGATTTTACAAATTCACAAGAAGACATATACAAGGTTGTTCATTGCATCATTGCTTGAAATGGCAAACATTGGAAACATCCATCAGTAGTGGAATAAGTAAGAAAATCCATATAACAGTGATAGCAGTCACAAGAAATATTCTTTTAGGAATAATATACTAGACATTGACTGACCCAGCAACCATTCCTGACTCTTTTCTCCATTTGCCACCTTCTCTATGGGGCTGAAAAGACTAATTATCCTCTTTCCTAAGCTCCTTTGCACGTAGGCCATGGGAAAATAATGATCGATGAGATTTTTTTTTCTTTTTTTGAGAAGGGGTATCATTATTTTGCCCAGGCTGGTCTCAAACTCTTGGGCTCAGCCTTTTGAGTAGCTGGGACCACAGGTGCACCACCGTGCCCAGCTGATCAGAGATATAAATGGAAGTTTGTTGAGGGATTCTAGAGACAAATGCAGCTGGCACTGCACTTTCCCCCTGCATACAGCCGTGAAGAAAGTGCCAGAAGTACAGAAATTCTGTCCCTGACATAACTGAGTTATGGGAAAAAAAATGCCAACAGCTATCGACCTCCAGAATATTTGTATGTGAGAGAAAAAAGTTCGTTTGTTTAAATCACTCTTGGTTGGGTTTCGTGTTATCTTTAGCCAGAAGCATTCCTAACTGGTACACTGTGTCAACATGGAAACATCTCAAAAATAATATTACAAGATAGTAAAGGAATAATTGCTTTTTTTTTTTTTTTTTTGACAGAGTCTTGCTCTTGTCACCCGGGCTGAAGTGCAGTGCTGCAATCTTGGCTCACTGCAACCTCCACCTCCCAGGTTCAAGCAATTCTCCTGCCTCAGCCTCCTGAGTAGCTGGGATTACAGGTGCCTGCCACCATGCACGGCTAATTTTTTGTACTTTTAGTAGAGACGGGGTTTCACCATGTTGGCCAGGTTGGTCTTGAACTCTTGACCTCAGGTGATTCACCCGCCTCAGCCTCCCAAAGTGCTGGGATTACAGGCATGAGCCACCACGCCCGGCCAAATAATTGCATTTTTATAAATTTTTTTTTGAGATGGGGTCTCACTCTGTTGTCCAGGTTGGAGTACAGTGGCAGGCTCATAGCCCACTGTAACATTTAATTCCTGGACTCAAGTGATCCTCCCACCTCAGCCTCCTCAGTAGCTGGGACTACAGGTGTACATTATTATACCTGGCTAATTTTTGTATTGTTTGTAGAGACAGGGTCTCACTATGTTGCCACCCAGGCTGGTCTTAAACTCCTGGCCTCAAGCAATCCTCCTGCCTTGGCCTCCCAAAGTGCTGGGATTACAGGCATGAGCCATGCACCAGCCTAAGTGGATTATTTTATTTTTAATATTTTAATTTAATTTAATTAATTTTTTTTTGAGACAGAGTCACACTCTGTCACCCAGGCTGGAGTGCAGTAGCGTGATCTAGGCTCACTGCAGTCTCTGCCTCCCAGGTTCAAGCAATTCTTCTGCCTCAGCCTCCCAAGTAGCTGGGATTACAGGTGCCCACCACCATGTCCAGGTAATTTTTGTATTTTCAGTAGAGATGGGGTTTCACCATATTTGCCAGGTTGGTCTCAAACTCCTGACCTCAAGTGATCTGCCCCCCTTGGCCTCCCAAAGTGCTGAAATTACAGGCATGAGCCACTGTTCCCAGCCAATATTTTAATTGTATAAAATAGAAATGGGGTCTCACTATGTTGGCCAGTCTGGTCTCAAACTCCTGGCCTCAAGCAATCCTCCCATCTCGGCCTCCCAAAGTGCTGGGATTACAGGTGTGAGGTACCATGCCCAGTCCTAAGAGGATGATTTGAAATGAATACACAAATTGATATGGCATAGCATATTTATATACATTTCATACACATTCAAGACATTATTATAGGCCAGGCGCGGTGGCTCATCCCTGTAACCCTGACACTTTGGGAGGCCAAATTGGGTGGATTACTTGAGGTCAGGAGTTCGAGACCAGCCTGACCAACATGGTGAAACCCCGTCTCTACTAAAAATACAAAAATTAGCTGGCCATGGTGGCACACACCTAATCCCAGCTACTCAGGAGGCTGAGGCAGGAGAATTGCATGAACCCAGGAGGTGGAGGTTGCAGTGAGCCGAGATCGCGCCACTGCACTCTAGCCTGGGCGACAGAGCAAGAATTCATCTCAAAAAAAAAAAAAAGACATTATCATATATTGCTAAAGTAAAATAATTTGTGTAATATATATAGTATAAAGTAATCTAATGTACGTAAAATCTAAAAATTGTACTGGAAAAATACAAACAAATATGGTAGTTGTTACCCTTGGGGAGAGGACATGGTTAATGGGACTCTGGGGTGCAGAGCAAGAGGTAAAAGAATATAAAATTTATCTGTAATTTTTGTATTTCTTTAAAATACAGCAGAAATATGACAAAATGTTAATAATCTTTGATCCTTGGTAGTGAGGACACACGTTCATTTTATTATTCTCCATATTTTTCTGTATTTAATAAAAAAAGACTGGACTCAGTGGCTCAGTGCTTTGGAAGGCTGAGGTGGGAGGATCGCTTGAGGACAGGAATTTGAGACCAACAAAGCGAGACCCCCATCTTTACAAAAGAAAAATTTAAAAATTAGCTAGGCATGGTGACACACACCTGTAGTCCCAGCTACTTGGGAGGCTGAGACAGGAGGATCATTTGAGCGTAGGAGTTGGAGGCTGCAGTGAACTATGATCTGCACTCCAGCCTGGGTGACATCAAGACCCTGTCTCAAAAAACAAAACAAAACAAAACAAAATAAAATGTTTTAAAGTTCTCAGAAAAAAAAAATAATTCTACAAGCTATAAGGGGAGGAGAACTGGAGAAAAAACTAAAGAACTTAGATAGTGGTGTGTTCAAAAGTAAGTTATCCTGTTCCTGGCCCTCTCCACATGCAAGGGCCCGTGAGGGGAGTCAACTGAATTCCTCCAGATGGTTTGGGGCTCAGTTGCAACAGAATATGTGCCTCATTTTCTTGGGCCAACCTGGGAAGGCAGGCACCAGTCTTTAAGCCTTACCTCTACCTTGCCCAGCATGGTGAGGTTGTAGGATAGTAGAAACTGTGCTCCTGGGATTTGGGAGATGCACCCAAGGAACATCATGGTCCTCACAGGGGCCAGGATGTCAAGAGAAGTAGCAGAAAAAGCTATCTCAGCAGATGCCAAAGCATAGGAACCGTGATTTATTAACATTTGCCCCTTTCACCCTTCAAATTAAGTAAAGCTCCATATATGGGACCCCCTGAATGGAATCAGCCCATCTGAATTATTTAAAAGAATGTTCAGGGCCGGGTGTGGTGGCTCACACCTGTAATCCTACCACTTTGGGAGGCTGAGGCAGGCGGATCACCTGAGGTTGGGAGTTCGAGACCACCCTAACCAACATGGAGAAAACCCGTCTCTACTAAAAATACAAAATTAGCCGGGTATTGTGGCACATGCCTGTAATCCCAGCTACTCGGGAGGCTGAGGCAGGAGAATCACTTGAACCCGGGAGGCAGAGGTTGCGGTGAGCCAGAGATAGCGCCATTGCACTCCTGCCTGGGCAGCAAGAGTGAAACTCCTTCTCAAAAATAAATAAATAAATAAATAAAATAAAATAAAATAAAAAGAATGCTCAGTTTATTGGCTAGGCTTGTTGGCTCACACCTGTAATTCCAACACTTTGGGAGGCGAAGGCGGGAGGATCACTTGAGCCTAGGAGTTCAAGACCAGCCTAGAGCTGGGCACAGTGGCCCACACCTGTAATCCCAGCTACTTGGGAGGCTGAGATGGGAGGATCACCTGAGCCTGGGAAGTTGAGGCTGCAGTGAGTCATGATGGTGCTACTGCACTCCAGCCTGGGCGACAGAGCAAGACTCTGTCTAAAAATAAAAATAAAAATAAAAAAAGACTGGCAATCTATGCCAAACCCCTCAATATAGTATAAGAAAAAAAAATGATTTGTTACACACATATAGGGATATCTCCTAGAACCAGAGGGCAGGAAGCCTACCTAAGCCTGATGAGGACCTTGGACAGGGACTTGTCAGGAAACAAGGCAATTGTTCTCTGCATCTTTCTAGGAGCATAAGGGTCTCCACCATACCTTTCACAGCAGAACAGCCTTTTGCTTGCTCATCAGCACAAATATTTACTGAGCACTTACCATGGACTAGAACTGCTCGAAACACTGGGAATAGAGAAGGGAATCAAACAGACAAAAAACATGTTCAAGTCTCTCAAGTCTACGTGTCCTATCAATTCCAAGGACTCATCATTTTTGTATTTTCTATTTTTCTATTCCAATTCTTCAAAGTGAGAAAGCAGAGGTCTTAAAACCCTGCTCCAAGTTTCCAGTTGGAGCTGTCCAGCCTCCTGACCTAGTGTCAGCAGAGGGCACAACTGAGCCTCAGGTGCAGTGAAAAGAGGTTTCTTGATCCCAGCCAGATCTCTTCTTAACTTCTATGTTCCAGGTGCCCCTCAGCTGTACAAAAAGAGTTGCTTCTGAGATTCCAGGTTGAGGCCTGGGAACTGGCAGTCATTGTGACAATGGTGAGATGCTAGCCTCCGTGTAAAATGTGGAAAAAGATAGAGGAAAAGTTAGTATCTACTGGGAAAAATAAATTAGAAAACCAAACTGCAAATAAAATGTCAATCTGAAGGGGACGGGCTGAGAGACAAAGAGGGAGAAGGAAATGGGACAACAGGAGATCAGATGAGTAAGTGAGTTTGAAAGGTGTATTAGCCAGGACTAAATCCAGAGGAAGGGCTGACATCAGAACTGGTTGATCCAGCTATGTCATCAGAAACCACCTCATTCTTCATCCAGAGCTATAAGATAGCTACCTGTGGCAATCAATACTACATGCTTCCCCATGTGACGGGAGAGAAAGAATAACATCCCATAGCTTTTTCTCAAATAAAGAACTTTCCTAGCAGGCCAGGTGTTATAGCTCTCACCTGTAATCCAAGCACTTTGAGAGGCCAAGGTAGGCGAATCACTTGAGGTCAGGAGTTTGAGACCAGCCTGACCAACATGGTGAAACCCCATCTCTACTAAAAATACAAAAATTAGCCGGGCGTGGTAGCACACACTTGTAATCCCAGCTATTCGGGAGGCTGAGGCAGGAGAATCACTTGAACCCGAGAGGTGGAGGCTGCAGTGTGCCGAGATCAAGCCACTACACTCCAGCCTGGGTAACAGAGCAAGACTCCATCTGAAAAAAAAAATAAAAGAGAGAGAACTTTCCTAGAAATTTTCAGCAAGGATGTCTTACTGTTTACCAGAACCAGGTCACATCTGATCTGATTGCTTTTAGACCCTTTCTTCTCACCATGGGCAATTTTTCCCCTGATGGGACATTCTGTAATATCTGGACACATTTTCGATTGTCACAACTTGAGGAGAGGAAATGCTACTAGTGTCTAGTGGGTAGAGGCCAAGGATGTTACTACTAAACATCCTTCAATGCACACACAGAAGGACACCCCCACCCCTGAGGCCTCCCCCTGCCACCCTCCCGCCCCCTGCAACAAAGAGTCAAGAGTGCTGAGACCGGGAAACTCTGTTTTAGATCAAGTAGGCCCACTCACTAGCCATACCCAGGCTAGGTGTAGGAGCAGGGGACACCAAAGAAAGATGATAATGAGTGGTCAGGGAGATAGAAGAAGATGGAAAGAATGTCTTATTCAAAAATCTAAGGAGACTTTTAAGAAGGCAAACATGGCCAATATCGTCAAATGCTGTAGAGAGGTCAAGTGAGTTTACAACTGAAAATCATCCAGTGGATTTATCCATAAGGGGTTTCTTGTTTCCCTCGCTCAAGAATTTCCAGTAGGGTGGCAGGGACAGGTCAGGCTGATAGGGATTGAGGAGTGAGTGAGGTGAAGAGAAAAAGACTCTGTTTACAGTATGGGTAAGTCATTTAAGAAGCTTGTCTGTGAATAGGAGAGAGAAGTAGCTAAAAAGTAAATAGAATAATGACATTTTTATTTTTTCATTAAAACTTTTTTTTTTTTTTTTTTTGAGATAGGATCTCACTCTGTCACCCAGGCTGAAGTGCAGTGGCTCGATCTCGGCTCACTGCAACCTCTGCCTCCTGCGCTCAAGCGATCCTCCCACCTCAGCCTGCTGAGTAGTTGGGACTACAGGCACACCCAACAACACCTGGCTAACGTTCTGTATTTTGGGTAGAGACGGAGTTTTACCATGTTGCCCAGGCTGGTCTCCAACTCTTGGGCTCAAGTGATCTGCCCGCCTCAACCTCTCAAAGTGCTGGGATTACAGGTGTGAACCACTGTGCCCACCCAGAATAATGATTTTTTAATATTAAAGAGACATACTCATTTTTAAAATGCTGACAGGAGCCAGGCGCAGTGGCTCATGCTTGTAATCTCAACACTTTGGGAGGCCGAGGCAGGTGGATCACCTGAGGTCAGGAGTTCGAGACTAGCCTGGCCAACATGATGAAACCCCCGTCTCTAGTAAAAACACAAAAAATTAGCCAGGCATGGTGGCACATGCCTATAATCCCAGCTACTTGGGAGGCTGAGACAGGAGAATCGCTTGAACCCAGGAGGTGGAGGTTGCAGTGAGCCAAGATCACGCCACTGCACTCCAGCCTGGGCAACAAGAGCAAAACTCCATCTCAAAAACATAAAAATTAAAAAAATGCTGACAGGAAAAATCCAAAACAGTAGAAAAAGTAAAAGAGAGAGGGAAAAATGAGAAATATCCCTGAGAAGAGATTATTATTTAGAGCAGAGCTTCTCAAACTTTAACATGCACATGAACCATCTGGGGATCCTGTAATCATCTGGAGGATCCTATTAAATGCAGATTCAGCTCCATTAGGTCTAGGGGGCATCCAAGAATCTACAGTTCTAATATGCTCTCAGGTGGTACCAAAGTTGCCACTCCATGGGCCACTTTGAATAATAAGGATTTAGAACAATTGTTCTCAAACTTCAGCATGCATCAGAATCACCTGATAGGCTGGTTAATCCAGAGAATGCTGGCCCCACTCCCAGAGTTTCTGATTCAGTAAGTCTGGGATGGGGCATAAGAATTAACTTTCTGTCAATCTTCAGGTGACCATTGATTTAGAGTATGTGTGGAGAAAATCATCTTAAAAGAGAGAGAATTTCACGACTGAGAAGAAAAGGAAAAAGCAAGAATTGACAGGGTTGCAGATAAGTTGTTGGTTTATGGGGCAGGGTAGGACCCTGAAGAATCCACTGCCCATTGGCCTGTATCTTCTCTGTGAAGTAGGAAATTGTCAGCTGAGAGCAAGGGGGAGGGCAATGGGAGAGGGAACTATGAACATTAGGTGAAGGCTTGTTGCTCTCCAGTTGCTCTCATAACACTATACAGAAAGTCTATTTGTGGATTGACTGATTGATTGATTGAGAGTCTTGCTGTGTTACCCAGGCTAAAGTGCAGTGGCATGATGGGAGCTCACAGTAGTCTCCAGCTTCTGGGCTCAAGCAATCCACTCACCTCAGCCTCCTGAGTAGGCCAGACTACAGCTGCTAGGCCACCATATCTGGCTAATTAAAAAAAAAAAAAAGATATAGATGGGGTCTTGCTATGTTGCCCAGGCTGGTCTGGAACTCTTGGCCAAATCCTCCCACTTCAGCCTCCTAAGTAGCTGGAATTATAGGTGCAAGCCACCTCACCCAGCTTGTTTTGTTATTTATTAAAGGAATATTTGCAATTAATTCATCCAGACAAGTTGACCAGGAAGTTATGTGGTGCAGTGAAAGAATTAAGATTGTTCTTTGGCTGACAACTAGAAACACCTGCTTGAAAATTCTCACAGTTATTGAATATGTGGTTTATTTTGTTTTGTTTGAGAAGGGATCTGACTATATTTTTCAGGCTGGCCTGGAACCCCCCAGGTTCAGGCAATCCTCCCACCTCAGCCTCCCACTATATAGGACACAGGTCACCACGCCTTGCTTAAGTGTTGTGATGTAGAAACTTAAGAATTCAATGACTTTAAGCAAACTGGCATAGAATTTATAAGGGAGATGGACTTCAGAACAAGAAGCTCTGGCTTCCACCGGGCATGGTGGCTCATGCCTGTAATCCCAGCACTTTGGGAATCTGAGGTGGGTGGATCACCTGACATCAGGAGTTCGAGACCAGCCTGGCCAACACAGTGAAACCCCCATCTCTACTAAAAATACAAAAAATCAGCCAGGCATGGTGGCAAGTGCCTGTAATCCCAGCTACTTGGGAGGCTGAGGCAGGAGAATCGCTTGAACCCAGGAGGAGGAGGTTGCAGTAAACCGAGGTCGTACCATTGCACTCCAGCCTGGGCAACAAGAATGAGACTCCATCTCAAAAAAAAAAAAAAAAAAAAAGAAGAAGCTCTGGCTTCTAATCCTCCTCACCACTTAACACTTTAAAACTTTAGGCAAATTAGTTAACTTCTCTTAGCTTGTTTCTCAATGGTAAAATGGGGACAGCAAAGGTACATAACTCACAGAGGGTTAAATGAGATAATGTAGTAAATGCTTCACCAAGAAGTCAATTTTTCTATTGAGTCACAGTTTCACAAAAGTCTTGGGAGGGAATTGGATTAAATCAACTTTTAAGCCATATCCAGGCCAGGTGCGGTGGCTCAGGCCTATAATCTCAGCACTTTGGGAGGCCAAGGCGGACGGATTACTTGAGGTCAGGAGTTTGAGACCAGCCTGGCCAACATGGTGAAACCCCATCTCTACTAAAAATACAAAAATTAGCCAGGCGTGGTGGCGCACACCTGTTTTCCCAGGTACTTGGGAGGCTGAGGCAGGAGAATCGCTTGAACCCAGGAAGCGGAGATTGCAGTAAGCCAAGATCACGACACTACACTCCAGTCTGGGCAACAGAGCTAGACTCTGTCTCAAATAAAAAAAGGCCACATCCATATTCATAATTCAAGATGACCATTTGTTTGAAGTTGCAAAAAGAATAATAATATTATTATTCCTATAACAGCTAACATTTATTGAGACTTTTCTGTGTGCATGGCATTATTTTAAGGACTTTACGTGTATAAATTCAGTTGATTCTTACAACACTTCCGAGAGGTGGGTGCTATTATTCTATTTTGTAGATGAGAAAACTGGCACCTGAAGAAAATAACTTGCTCAAGGTCACACAGAAAATAAATGATAGAGTTTAAACTGAGACAACGTAACTCCACGGCTATATTCACAACCACTTAACAGTATAGCCTCTTTAGGGCTCTGTTTAGTGAATTTTTTTTTGGCGGGGGGCAGGTGTTGAGGGGACAGAGTCTTGCTCTGTCGCCAGGGTAGAGTGCAGTGGTGCGATCTCAGCTCACTGCAACCTCCGCCTCCTGGGTTCAAGCAATTCCCCTGCCTCAGCCTCCTGAGTAGCTGGGGCTACAGGTGCATGCCACCACATCTGGCTAATTTTTTGTATTTTAGTACAGACAGGGTTTCACCCTGTTGGCCAGGATGGTCTCGATTTCCTGACATCGTGATCTGCCTGCCTCGGCCTCCCAAAGTGCTGGGATTACCGGCGTGAGCCACCATGCCCAGCCTGATACCTGTTTTTCTGTTTGGACTGGCTTGTGGTTCAGGTACAAGGCATAGCAGTGTGTGGTTCCCTTCCTGGCTGTTTTGTAAATTGAGGTGAGGGAAACTGCCCCATGGGGTCAGTTGCCCATAAGAATAAGGAAACTTCTCCCAGTGTTGAGATGATCTACCTGCTCTAATGAGATGTTCCAGTCAGGGTAGAACCTCACCACAGATTTTCCTGTTTTTATGGCCTCCTTTTCTCTCCTAAACTCTGTGCAATTACCTTCAAGTATTTTTGTCCTGCCCATGAAAAGAGATTCCAAGTAAAATGGCCCACAAATCTTCAAGAAACAGCTTTTTCTAGATCTTGAATCTGTGATTAGTAGTTATTAGCAGGGGTCTGTCAAGAGTTCCTGTTCTCAATTCTCATGATACTGCGCTATTCTCTTATTTTCTTACAAGTAGATATATACATGAGTTTTACCCTAGCATTCAGTCCTAGGTAACCATTATCTGGCAGAAATTCTTCTATCACTGGGGTATATTTCTCTCCCTTCCACTGTTTAATCAGTTGTGTGTGTCTGTGTGTGTATTTTTTATTTTTTTATCTTTATTTTTTTTGAGATGGGGTTTCATTCTGTTGCCCAGGCTGGAGTGCAGTGGCATGATCTCGGCTTATTTCAGCCTCAATCCCCCAGGCTCAAGTGATCCACCCCCCTCAGCCTCCTAAGCAGCTGTGACTACAGACATGTGCCACCACACCATATATATGTAGAGACAGGGTTTCGCCGTGTTACCCAGGCTGGTCTGAAACTCCTGTGCTCAAGCGATCCGCCCACCTGGGCCTCCTAAAGCACTGGAATTACAGGCATGTGGCACCATACCTAGCCCAATATGTATATTTTTATCACTGATGCTAATTTTCCTTTGATTATTATTATTATTATTTTGAGACAGGGTCTTGCTCTGTTGCCCAGGCTGCGGTGTAATGGCATGATATCAGCTCACTGCCACCTCCTCCTCCTGGGTTCAAGTGATTCTCCCACCTCAGCCTCCCTAGTAGCTGGGATCACAGGTGTGTGCCACCATGCCCAGCTAATTTTTGTATTTTTGATAGAGACGGGGTTTCAGCATGTTGCCGAGGCTGGTCTCAAGCTCCTGGCCTCAAGTGATCCGCCCACCTCAGTCTCCTAAAATGCTGGGATTACAGTCATGAGCCACCACGCCTGGCCCCTTTGATTATTTTAATCAGTTGTTTGGAGATAGAGGAGTAGGTGTCTATTTCTTCATCCACACTCAATCATTGTAGGATAATAAAAGCTCATTAAAGACAGAAAGTGTATATTCTGTCACACTACCATCTGAGACCCCAAAAAGGCACAGTTTGTGTCCCAGCAGTAAAGTCATGAATGACATGGGGACAATGTGAACTGATTCTCAGGGGGAGGGACTGAGAAGTCTGGAGAAATGGTATTATTGATTGGCTCCAGGTAAAACAATGAAATGCCAGGTGAAAGGTTTGAGTTAAGTAGGAAGAATTAGCACCTCATCTCAAATAGTCCACAGTGCTTTGCCTTTCCCCACAGGTGGTAATGATAGATAAAGAACACATCCTGGGCTCATGCCTGTAATCGCATCATTTGGGGAGGCCAAGGTGGGCAGATCACCTGAGGTCAGGAGTTTGAGACCAGCCTGGCCAACATGGTGAAACCCTGTTTCTACTAAAAATACAAAAATTAGGCGGGCATGGTAGCGAATGCCTGTAGTTCCAGCTACTCGGGAGGCTGAGGCAGGAGAATTGCTTGAACCCAGGAGGCGGAAGTTGCAGTGAGTCGAGATCACACCACTGCACTCCAGCCTGAGAAACAAAGATTTATTTATCTATAAATAAATAAATAAATAAGAACACATCCTGGATGATAAGAAAACACAACCAAGTTCAAGTTCTGCCTGGGCAACATAGCAAGAAGCTGTCTCTAAAACGAAAATAAACAGAACCAGAATAATCTATTTGGATTTGTTCCAGCAATTGCACAAGTTCTCCTGTGCAGAAAACATGACAGTACTCAAGTTATCTTCTTTTCTTTTCTTTTTTTCTCTTGCCCTTGTAAATCATCTAGTTATCTTTGGTTTAGGATGCTACTATCAGTAAACAGCCTTCTACCACACAGCCGGCTAGTGGGATGCTCTTTATAAAATATGTTCCATGAACCTCTGGGAGTTCCATTTTAAAAAAAAATACACCTTAAGGATAGCTGGGGTATTCCACATCAGAATCAGAATAAGCTTAAATCATATTGTTATGAAGATTCATAGTCTGGCCTTGAGCTTGATGAAAACAGGACAAACTTTAAAAACTTTCCCTGCAGAAATGTAGGAGACTTGAGAAGAACCATGTTTAAGAATGAGCGGCCGGGTGCGCTGGCCCATGCCTGTAATCCCAGCACTTTGGGAGGCCGAGACGGGCGGATCACAAGGTCAGGAAACCCCGTCTCTACTAAAAATACAAAAAATTAGCCGGGCATGGTGGCAGGCGCCTGTAGTCCCAGCTACTCGGGAGGCTGAGGCAGGAGAATGGCCTGAACCCGGGAGGTGGAGCTTGCAGTGAGCCGAGATCGCACCACTGCACTCCAGCCTGGGCGACACAGAGAGACTCTGTCTCAAAAAAATAAAAAAACGAAAGAAAAAGAAAAAAAAGAAGGAACGGCTGGGTGCGGTGGCTCACGCCTGTAATCCCAGCACTTTGGGAGGCCAAGGCGGGCGGATCACGATGTCAGCAGATTGAGACCATCCTGGCTAACACGGTGAAACCCCGTCTCTACTAAAAATACAAAAAAAATTAGCCGGACGTGGTGGCTGGCGCCTGTAGTCCCAGCTACTCGGGAGGCTGAGGCAGGAGAATGGCCTGAACCCGGGAGGTGGAGCTTACAATGAGCCAAGATCGCGCCACTGCACTCCAGCCTGGGCGACAGAGCAAGACTCCGTCTCAAAAAAAAAAAAAAAAAGAAAGAAAGAAAGAAAGAATGAGCTTGCCTGGCCTGGCACGGTGGCTCACGTCTGTAATCCCAGCACTTTGGGAGGCCGAGGCGGGTGGATCATCTGAGGTCTGGAGTTTGACAGCAGCCTGACTAATATGGTGAAACCCTGTCTCTACTAAAAAATACAAAAATTAGCCAGGTGTGGTGGCGTGTGCCTGTAGTCCCAGCTACTCGGGAGGCTGAGAGAGGAGAATTGGTTGAACCTGGGAGGTGGAAGTTGCAGTGAGCTGAGATCGCGCCACTGCACTCCAGCCTGGGTGGCACAGCGAGATTCCATCTCATTAAAAAAAAAAAAAAAGAAAAAGAAAAAGAAAAAAGAATGAGTTTGCCTGGAGATTAACTTCCAGAATAGTTCACCTTCGGTGAACTTGCTCTCCCACAAAAACAAAGAAAAATACTGGCAAAACCACTAAGGCCAACCATTTTAGAACTCTAGAAAGAGAAGCTGTTAAACTTTGCTAAGACAGTGTGATCTGTGATATTTTAACTTGTGGCTGGGATGCTATTCCCATCCACCCTCCCTCCTCAGCTCAGTAGAGGTAGCCGAGAGCAGCAGTCTCACAGCCAATGGCAAGGGCTGACCTCTTGTGGCGCTCAGTTAAAAGAAAGATCCCCAGAGTACAGCCAATATTTAGTTCAAAATTGCAGCTCTCTGGAAAATCTCTATTCCTAGGGAGTTGTAATTACTTGATGACTTAGAACTCAGCTCATCAGAAAAAATGCCCGACTCCCAAGGCATTAACAAAACAAGAGCCATCTGCTAGCAATGTTGAGGCTAAGACTGTAATTTCAATTGGGGTAAGCAAGAGACAGGCTGGGAATCTAAAAGTACGTCCTGGAGAACTAGACAATATAGGGAACTAGAAAAGGGAACTAGACATAGGGAACTTCGAAAAGTTCCAGCATATTTCAGGGGATCTAAAAGGCTGCATGCATGCACAAGGCTGTGCACTTACCCAGGAGAGAGATGGGAATGAAGAAGTTTCCAGTCACTCGCTTCTGGCTGACCTTAAGGCTCTGTAGCAAGCAGAAAACGAAAGCTAAGGCTGTCTTGTAAACTGCCTGAAGTATGAAGGCATGCCTTCTCACACAGATTCCCTTGGCAAAGAAGAGAGGACAGAAAGACAAAGCATTAAAGGGCATTAAAGGAATTCTTCTGACTGATCATTGGTTGATCACTAAATTTTATTGACCCAGGGATCACACCTAGGAATTCTGGCTTATAATTTTTTTTTTTTTAAAGCTAGCAGAGAACTCAATTGCCACACAATGCAGAGAATACAGAATCTACAGAATTATTTGAAGAAAGTCACCAGAGAAGCAGCAACAACAACAAAAAAAACAACCACCACCACCACCTCTGGAAAGTATGCCACATATGCAGGACAAAAAGCAGCAAACAGAAAATGTCATCCGGGCACGGTGGCTCATGCCTGTAATCCCAGCACTTTGGGAGGCCGAGGCGGGCGGATCACCTGAGGTCAGGAGTTCAAGACCAGCCTGGCCAACATGGTGAAACCCCGTCTCTACTAAAAATACAAAAATTAGCCAGGCGTGGTGGCAGGCACCTGTAATCCCAGCTACTCGGGAGGCTGAGGCAGGAGAATCACTTGAACCCAGGAGGCGGAGGTTGCAGTGAGCCGAGATCACGCCATTGCACTCCAGCCTGGGGTACAAGAGCAAGACTTTGTCTCAAAAAAAAAAAAAAAAAAAAGAATAAGAAAATGTCCCTGGGTGCGTCCAGATTTTGACTTTAGCAGACAAAGACTTTAAATCAGCTATTATAAATATGTTCAAAGAACTAAAGGAAAGTAAGTCTAAAGAGCTAAAGGAGAGGGCCGGGCACAATGGCTCATGCCTATAATCCCAGCACTTTGGGAGGCTGAGGCCGGTGGATCACCTGAGGCTGGGAGTTCGAGACCAGCCTGACCAACATGGAGAAACCCCATCTCTACTAAAAATACAAAATTAGCTGGGTGTGGTGGTGCGTGCCTGTAATCCCAGCTACTCAGGAGGCTGAGGCAGGAGAATCGCTTGAACCAGGGAGGCAGAGGTTATGGTGAGCTGAGATCACACCATTGTACTCCAGCCTGGGCAACAAGAGTGAAACTCCATCTCAAAAAAAAAAAAAAAAAAAGAACTAAAGGAGAGTATGACAAAAATCTCGCCAACAGAGGATATCAATAAAGGATAGAAATTAGCTCAAAATAGAAATTTTGGAGTTGAAACGTGTAAGAACTGAAATGAAAAATTAACTAGAGGTGCTCAACAGTGGATTTGAATTGACAAAGAATGACCAAACCTGGGGCTGGGTGCAGTGGCTCACGCCGGTAATTCCAGTGTTTTGGGAGGCTGAGGAGGGAGGATTGCTAAAGGCCAGGAGCTTAAGACCAGCCTGGGGAACATAGTGAGACCCCATCTCTACAAAAAATTTAAAAATTAGCTATGCATGGTGGCATATGCCTGTAGTCCTGGCTACTCAGGAGGCTGAGGCAGGAGGATCACTTGAGCCCACAGGTTTGAAGCTGCAGTGAGCTAAGATTGTGCCACTGCACTCCAGCCTGGGAGACAGAGTGAGACCTCATCTTGAAAACAAACACACAAAAGCAGCTTGGTGTGGTGGCTCACACCTGTAATCCCAGCACTTTGGGAGGCCAAGGCAGGAGGATCACTTGAGCCCAGGAGTTCAAGATTAGCCTGGGCAATATGGTGAGACCCCATCTCTAAAAATAAAAATAAAAATTAGCTGGGCATGATGGCCGAGGTGGGAGGCTGAGCTAGGAAGATCACTCAAACCCAGGAGTTTGAGGCTGTAGTGGGCCATGATTGTGCCACTGTACTCATCCTGAGTGACAGAGCAAGATCCTGTCTCAGGTTTGTCTTCAGCAAATCTCAAGACAAGTCCACTGAGAGCCAATCTGGGGGACAGCAAGAAAATAAGAATAAAGGCCTTAGAGAATTGTGGGAAACCTGCAAGTGTACCAAAATACAAACAATAAGAGTTCCAGAAGGAGAGGAGAGAGAGAAAAGGGTGGAAATAATATTCGAAGAAATAATGACTGAAAACTTGTCGAATTTGAAGAAAGCACAATACATTCAAGAGTGCAATGAACATCAAGTGGAATAAACTAAAAAACCTTAGCTAGACACATTACAGTCAAATTGCCTCTGCTAGCTTCTGGTGGATGCTAGCCCACCTTGGCTTGTGGCCACATCCCTCCAGTCTCCACCTCCAAGGTCACATTGCCTTTTCCTCTTCTGTCTGTGTTAAATCTCCTTCTGCTTTCCTCTTACAAAGATACATGTGATTTTATTTAGGAGCCCCCTAGATAATGCAAGATAATATGCCCATCTCAAGATCTTTAACTTAATAACATCTGCAAAGTTCTTTTTTTCCCCATATAAGATAACATTCACAGGTTCCAGGGATTAGGATGTAAATATTTTATTTTAGGGAGGATCATTATTCAGCCTACCACACTTACTATTAATCTGAACTACACATATATTTTTGTACTTTCTGAGTTTTATACCTCATACAGGCATAACATATTCAAAATATATTTGAGAGGGAGAGAGAAGAATGGGGAAAGAGGGAGGGGAGAAGAAAAAAGATGATGGGTAGGAAACTTCTTTAAAGTCATGTATCCTCTTCCTCATGCAGGGACAGTTTCTCAACTCTGGGAAGCACTGTTTTGTTTTGTTTTTTTTTTTTTTTTTTTTTTTTGAGACAGAGTCTCACTCTTGTCGCCCAGGCTGGAGGGCAATGGGGCGATCTCGGCTCACCACAGCCTCTGCCTCACGGGTTCAAGCAATTCTCCTGCCTCAGCCTCCCGAGTAGCTGGGATAACAGCCGCCTGCCACCATACCTGGCTAATTTTTTGTATTTTTAGTAGAGATGGGGTTTTGCCATGTTGGCCAGTCTGGTCTCGAACTCCTGATCCCAGGTGATCCGCCCACTTTGGCCTCCCAAAGTGCTGGGATTACAGGTGTAAGCCACCACGCCTGGGCTGGGAAGCACTTTTGATTCTGTGATAAGGAGGCAAAGTATTTCAAAGCTGGATTCTGGGAATGGCCTACCTTAGTCTTATATCTATTCTATTTTTCATAGTTACTTTTTTTTTTTATTTAAGGAAATGACAATCCTTATTTAGATCTTATCAGTTTTTTTACTAATATCTTTTTTCTGTTCCGGGATCCAATCCAGGATCCCACATTGTATTTAGTTGTCATGTCTCCTTATGTTACTGACCATGGGTTCTTGGGCTCTCAATGCAAAAGAAATTGACATGAGGCCAAAAGAGCTTTCCCAGACAAGGCTTCATTGGAGCTTATGCTGAGACATAAGGGAGGCAGCACAAAAGAAAGAATTCCCTGAAGAGCTGGTAGGGCTTTTTTGGTAGGCAAAGCATGAGAATTGACATCAAGGGTAGGGTATGCAGGCTGGGCTGGACAAAACACGTGATGGGTAGGGTATGCAGGTCAGCATATCTGATTGTGATGGTTTTCTTGAGTAATGGGCCAGCTGGTGGTCTGGCCAGGGCAACCAGGCTGTAAATCAGTTGTTCAGCATTCCTTCCTGAGGGGGAACACTCTGTGACCTTGATTATCTCCAAGGCCAGTTCCTGGAATTCTTTAAGTAAAAGGACTATTAGCAGTGACGTAGTTGTGTGAGCATTTCAGTGGGAATGCTCTAGTTGGGGGTGAGCTGAATGAAGCCAAGCCCCAACTCTACTTTGTCTCACTTGGACTCCTACAATCTGTGACAAACTTAGACTTTGTAAAAACAAAACAAAAAATCCCACATCTGTGACAAATTTAGACCTTGCCAAAGAGGTAAAGAGGCCATTGGATAAGGTAATGCAAGCCTAACCAAGTACTGAAGGTGAAACAAATTCTTCAGTGGGGAGCTAAATTTTAAGCTCCTCATAAGGCAAATGGAATGTTCATAGAGATTTTCCTTCAGAGGTTTCTACTTAGATCATTCTTTGGAATGCTCTATTCCAACCCTTTGATATATGTAGAGGGAGAGGCTAGGCTGCCCTTTCCCAGACACTGGTGAGCTGAGCAGTCTCTGTTAAAAATCTGTATTTATTTTTGCACACAAGTCCAAGAAAACATTATCAATTCTTTACAGGCAAAAGGAGATTTATTGGGTTTATTATTATTACTTTTTGAGACAGAGTCTCACTCTATAATCCAGGGTGGAGTGCAGTGGCACGATCTTAGCTTATGGCAACCTCTGCCTCCTGGGCTCAAGAGATCCTCCTACCTCTGCCTCCCCAGTAGCTGGAACCAAAGGCATATGCCACCATCCCCAGCTTATTTTTTAATTTTTATTTTTTGTAGAGACAGGGTTTTGCCATGTTGCCCAGGTTGGTCTCAAACTCCTGGGCTCAAGCGATCTGCCTACTTGGCCTCCCAAAGTGCTGGGATTACAGGCATGAGCCACCATGCCTGGCCCAGGAGATTTATTAATCAGCAAATGTATGTTGAGTACCTACTTGTACTTGGATCTTAGGTTTTGAGGAGGAAATAGGTGATCAATAAATTAACCAGATAAATTTATACCGGCTATGAAGAAAAAAAACAAAGTAATATGTTACGGTGTTGGGAGTGTGTATATGGTGGCTACTTTTGGTGATCAAGGTTGTTTTCTTTGAGAAAGTGACAGTTGAATTGAGATTTGAATGACAAGATGCTGCCAGTCATGTGAAGCCACAGAAAGAAAGTGTTCCAGGCAGAAGGAACAACTCCTCCACACACCCTAAGACAGGAATAGGCTGGTTTGTTTGAGAAACAGAAAGAAGGCCAGTGTGGCAACAGCATATTAAGCATAGAGAGATAAAAAATGGGAATAGATGTCACCCCACTTAACCAAATAAAACATCGGGAGTGAATAAGTATACTCTTCTTTTTACTTTTTTTGAGATGGAGTCTCACTCTACTGCCCAGACTGGAGTGCAGTGGTATGATCTCGGCTTACTGCAACCTCCTCCTCCCAAGTTCAAGCAATTCTGGCTCAGCCTCTCGAGTAGCTGGGATGACAGGTACCCACCACCATGCCCAGCTAATTTTTGTATTTTTAGTAGAGACAGGTTTTCACCATGTTGGCCAAGCTTGTCTCAAACTCCTGACCTCAAGTGATCTGCCCACCTCAGCCTCCCAAAGTGCTGGGATTACAGGCATGAGCCACCGCACTTGGCCCAGAATAAGTATACTCTTCTTAACTTACTAAGAGCAAAAATGGACTTCAGAATGCTTTCTCACTTGTCTCCTAGTGAACACAGATTGGGTTCCCTTCAAAGCAGAGGCTGAGACAAGGAATTGAATTAAGGTAGTTTATTTGGAAAGTGATCACAGGAGAGATGGAGGACAGTAAAACAGAGGAGCAAAAGATCATATAAAGGTAATTATCCAGGTTGCGACTGTGGAGATCAGGAGCTCCAGTCAGCCAGGGCCTCCAAGAATGATTCTTCCAAAGGAAAGGAGGCTGGATCATCACCTATTCCTGTCCCCCTCTGCCTGAGGGTTACCCTGGACTGCACTTGTCCATGGGTCTAGCAGGTTCCTGTGGCACTGAAGAATGTCCTGGGCATTGAACAAGATGCACACAGGTACTCATGGACACCATTAGTGCTAGGTGCATCTGAACTTGTATGGAACTATTCAGCACAGCTGTGTCTAAAAGCAGAGACATACGGAGGGGACATTATATAAGACCCTAGGGGGTCTGCCATAGGTGCCTCTCATGATTTTTGAAACTTTCTCATCCAAAAAATTATTCACCCCATAATTTCTAATAGGTGTTTATTTGTGTCCCTTCCTGTAGCTGAAATTGAAATGTGAAATTGCTAGTGGGCAGAGAGGAGGAAATGAACCATTTCCCAAACCCAGGACGGAGCAACACAAAGGAAGAAACAGAAAAGGGCTGTAATGGGCTGCTGTGTGACTCAGGAAAGGTGGAGTCACAGATAATTTGAAGTTCCAAGTACTCTCAAAAGTTTCAGCAATTTTTCTGTCTAAACTCAGAAACTGGATCTCAGTTTTGCCCTGACATTTCTCAAAAGAAGATTTCAGGGATCTTATCTGAAAGTACTCCATATTTGAAAGAAAGGAATGCCTCCTATCTTTGTTTAAAATATTTCCAGAGTTTTAAATTACTACTCTTAGGGGTGGGGAGAAACAGTCATGATTTATATGTTTTTTTTCAAACAATAAAGTACCTATTGAATTCTCATATTATGTTTGGAATTTTAGTTTAGCGATTTTCCTGCTGAGTGTAAACTATTCTATGCAGTTGGAGAGGGGACATACTAATTACTAACTTCCCATCATTGCCCAGCACATGAACCTTTGTTCCATATACTTTCCCCAAATATTTTGCCATTACAATAGCTAGCAACTTGGATGTCATAACAACATGAATTGGAACAACCAACATTTTCTTCTTGATGTTAATTCTTTTGTATTTTTTTTTCAGACAGAGTCTTGCTCTGTTGCCCAGGCTGGAGTGCAGTGGCGCAATCTTGGCTCACTGCAATCTCCTCCTCCCTGGTTCAAGTGATCCTCCTGCCTCAGCCTCCTGAGTAGCTGAAATTACAGGCATGAACCATCATGCTCGGCTAATTTTTGTATTTTTAGTGGAGATGGGGTTTCACCATGTTGGCCAGATTGGTCTTGAACTCCTGACCTCAAGTGATCCGCCCACCTCAGCCTCCCAAAGTGCTGGGATTACAGGTGTGAGCCACCGTGCCTGCCCCCAATATTTTCTTTTGAATTATTATGTCATGATTAATTTGGAGGGAAGCAGAAAAGACAGGATAAAAGTCTTCACAGGGCAGGACACGGTGGCTCATGCCTGTAATCCCAGCACTTTGGGAGGCCAAGGCAGGTGGATCGCCTGAGGTCGGGAGTTCGAGACCAGCCTGACCAACATGGAGAAACCCTGTCTATACTAAAAATACAAGATTAGCCGGGCGTGGTGGTGCATGCCTGTAATCCCAGCTACTCTGGAGGCTGAAGCAGGAGAATCACTTGAACCCAGGAGGCAGAGGTTGCAGTGAGCCGAGATCGTGCCATTGCACTCCAGCCTGGGCAACAAGAGCAAAACTCCATTTCAAAAAAAAAAAAAGAAAGAAAGAAAAAGAAAGAAAGAAAGAAAGAAAGAAAGAAAGAAAGAAAGAAAGAAAGAAAGAAAGAAAGAAAGAAAGAAAAAGAAAAGTCATCACAGGCCATTTGGCTGGTTTGTGTGCTGAAGTGGACCCAGCTGGAGGGTTTGCTAAATCCCTGGGCTCACTCTCGTGATTATCCCATGACTGGTTGTTATCATGAAAACCTTACTAGCTCTGTCCACTAGGTGGCATTTTCAAAATAGAACGTATAAAATTATTTTGCAAGATCTGCTTTTGCCAAATTAGAGAATGATTCAAAGTTATAAGGTTGATGTCTAGTTTCAGAGAGGGTGCATCCTTTAGGAAGAAACTAGACCCGTAAGGACTCTCATCACTAGATGAGAAAGGTAGTATATTACATATTGCCAGGATGTAAGAGAGATTTCTGTTGCCAGCCCTCTGTTAGCTGCAGAGAATCAGATGTCGTCTGGGCTCATGTGCGACTTTTAATACAAATTTGGCAGAGGGTAGAATAGAGGTTTATTAGGATGCGAGGGAGAAAAGGGAGGGGCCTGTTATGAAGAAAGGCTGTGAACATAGAAGTCTAAAGGACACATGAAGAAAACTTTTCTCAGCTATAATAGTCCTGAACATTTTTCTTTTTCCTTTTTTTAGATGGAGGCTCACTCTGTCACCCAGACTGGAGTGCAGTGGCACAGTCTCGGCTCATTGCAACCTCCGCCTTCCAGGTTCAAGCGATTATCCTGCCCCAGCCTCCCGAGTAGCTGGGATTACTGGCACGTGCCACCACACTGACTGATTTTTGTATTTTTAGTAGAGACAGGGTTTCACCATGTTGGCCAGGCTGGTCTCAAACTCCTGACCTCAGGTGATCCACCCACCTCAGCCTCCCAAAGTGCTGGAATTACAGGCGTGAACTACTGTGCCCGGCCAAAAATATTCTTAAGAAATAGGGAGGATGTCTGGGACCCGAAAGGATTTTGTAAACTAGCAGTTAGTGATTTCAGAAACTGCTGGATCTCCCTCAGAGAAGGCCCAAGTTCAGGAAAATGTTGAAAGATACCCTCTGAAAGCAGCAAATGAAGAGCAGGGCTGGGACTAGCGCAAGGCAAGTGAGGAACCGGTCGTGCACAGATGCTCACCCACAGTGTCCTCCAAGTGCAGGTATATGGAAAATAGAACTTTTTAATCAGGAGCAGTGGCTCACACCTGTAATCTCAGCACTTTGGGAGGCCAAGAGAGGATCACTTGAGCCCAGGAGTTCAAGACCAGCCTGGGCAACATAGTGAGAGACCCCATCTCTACAAAAAAATTCAAAAATTAGTGAGGTGTTGTGGTGTGGGCCTGTGGTCCCAGCTGCTTGGGAGGCTGAGGTGGGAGGATCACTTGAGCCCAGAAGGTCAAGGTCACAGTGAGCTGAGCTGGCGCCACTGCATTACAGGCTGGGTGACACAGCAAGACCTGTCTCAAAAAAAAAAAAAAAAAGAAAAGAAAAGTTATATTTAATTTTGTTAATTAATTTGGTTTTTTGAAATGAGGGTCTCTTTCTGTCACCCAGGTTGTACAGTGGCATGATCAAAGTTCACTGCATCCTTAACCTCCTGGGCTCAAGTGATCCTCCCACATCAGCGTGCCAAGCAGCTGGGGGACCACTGGTATGTGCCACCATGTCTGGCTAATTTTTGTATTTTTTGGGAGAGACAGAGGTCTCACTATATTGCCCAGGCTGGTCTTGAACTTCTGGCCTCAAATGATCCTCCTTTCTTGGCCTCCCAAAGTGCTAGGATTACAGACATGAGCCACCATGCCCAGCCAAATAGAACTTTCCTACAGTTCAATCTTAATTTATGACCTTGAGTCCCCATCCTGCCTGAAGCAGAAAACAATCTTATTAATCTAAGGCAAACTAAATCAAATTCAATTATATCTCAATTCATGTTTAAAATACCTTAGTTTACGTTTCTTTCTACTTGATCTTTCTTCCTTTTGGAGTTAATACTCCTGGGAAGGGGGGTAAAAATGCTACCAGGGTGGTTGTAAGAGTGAGCAGAGGTTGTGACATTCTCAGTCTCTACCTATCTGGTCATCTCTGCTGACTGATTTTATCTTCTTTCTTAATATTTTTTGCTTTATGAGACAGAAACTGCTTTTGAACTTACAAAACAAAATTTACTGACTTTCATTTCTGACATTCCACAGTGATGTCCCCACCTGCCTCAGCCTCCCAAAGTGCTGGGATTACAGGCATGAGCCACTGCATCCAGCCCTCTCAGTAATTTCATCTCTAGGAGTTTATCTTAACAATAACACATAGGTGCACAAAGATGTAAAGAAGGTGGCAATATTATTAATAATATTAAAAATTAAATAAGTTGTGTCCATTAGGAGGAGATGGATTAAATTGTGGTACATCCATTATAATACTGTTAAGATTCTTCTGACTATAATCTGAGCGTGGTGGAGCATGCCTATAGTCCCAGCTACTTGGGAGGCTGAGGCAGGAGGATCACTTTAGCCCAAGGAGTTTGAGGCCAGCCTGGGCAACATAACAAGACCTCATCTCTAAAATAAAATAAAAAATTATTATTATTATTTTAAGCAAAAGAAACAGACTGGGTAGTTTTGGGGAAAATGAAAATATGTATTTCATGAAAAGGAAGAAAAAGCTGAAGAATTATTGTGCAGAAATGGATGGAATCAAGGCAGTTTCAGAGAAGATTGAAGGAGTTGTCCTATTTGTATAATTATTATTATTATTAAGACATAGTTTTACCCTGTCACCTATGCTGGACTGGAGTGGCATGATCTTGGCTCACTACAACCTCCGCCTCCTGGGTTCAAGCGATTCTTGTGCCTCAGCTACCCAAGTAGCTAGGACTACAGGCACCTGCCACCATACCCAGCTAATTTTTGTATTTTTAGTAGAGATGGGGTTTCACCGTGTTGGTCAGGCTGATCTCAAACTCCTGATCTCAGGAGATCCACCCTCCTCAGCCTCCCAAAGTGCTGGGATTACAAGCGTGAGTCACCGCACCAGGCCTATTCACATAATTCTGTATTCTGCGTGTGTATGTGTGTTTAACAAGAAGGACACATTATAATATTTAAAACTTTAGTAATGATTTTTTTTTACAATGGCTAGCATGAATAACGTAATCTTAGGGCAGCAATTTAGATTTATCAGGCTCAGTTTTACTATTTGTATAGATCTTCAAGTGACTCTTTCCAAATTCTCCTAGATGTGGTCTATTAGTTATCTGTTACTGCATAGCAAATTACCACAAAATTTGATGGCTTAAAACAACAAACGTTTCTTATTTCATAGTATCTGTGGGTCATAAATTGGGAAGGGGCTTAGCAGGGTGGTTCTGACTTAGGGTTTGTTTGTCATGAGGTACAATTTAGATATTGACTGGGGCTTCAATCTCTTAAGACTTGACTGGGGCTAGAGAATCCACCTTCAGGATGGCTCACTCACATGATGACTGTTAGCAGGAGGCCTCAGTTTCTTGTTGGCTCTTGGCTGAAGGCCTCAGTTCCTCACTACAAGTACCTCTCCATAGGGCTGCTTGAATGTCTTCACACCATAGCAGCTAGTGACTGATCCAAGAGACAGCAAGGCAAAAGCCACAAAGTCTTTCTATACACTAGCCTTTGAAGGGACATACCATTACTGTTGCAATTTTCTACTAGTCACACAGAGCAAATCTGGTACAATATGAGGGGACTACAAAAGGGTAAACACCAGGAGGCAGGGATCACTGGAGGTCATCTTGGAGGCTGCTGTATGGCAGATGTGCCTAACAGAAATAATTTAAGCATACCCGGAGAATGACCCTATGGCCTAAGAAGAATGTGTGTTCGGACGGCCCAGGGCAGTGGCTCATGCCTGTAATCCCAGCACTTTGGGATGCCAAGGCGGGTGGATCACCTGAGGTCAGGAGTTCGAGACCAGCCTGCCCAACATGGTGAAACCCCATCTCTACTAAAAATATAAAAATTAGACCAGGAGCGGTGGCTCATGCCTGTAATCCCAGCACTTTGGGAGGCCAAGGTGGGCAGATCACGAGGTCAAGAGATCGAGACCATCCTGGCCAACATGGTGAAACCCTGTCTCTACTAAAAATACAAAAATTAGCCGAGCATGGTGGTGCACACCTGTAGTCCCAGCTACTTGGGAAGCTGAGGCAGGAGAATCGCTTGAACCTGGGAGGCAGAGGTTGCAGTGAGCCAAGACCACACCACTGCACTCTAGCCTGGCAACAGAACGAGACAGCGTCTCAAAAAAATAAATAAATAAAAATAAATAAATAAATAAAAATTAGCCAGGCATTTTGGTGCGTGTCTGTAATCCCAGCTATTCAGGAGGCTGAGGCAGCAGAATCGCTTGAACCGAGGAGGTGGAGATTGTAGTGAACTGCACTCCAGTCTCCATCTCAAAAAAAAGAAGAATGCGTGTTCGGAACTCTGAGCTAAAGAATCTCTGGGAGTTCAATTGCTGGTCGGTTCACTCCTGGAACCTTCACTAACCAGATCCAGGAAACCTTCTGGGAGCCACAGCTTCTGGTGGTTATTGATTCCAACAATCCAACAACGACCACCGGCCTGTCACAGAGGCAACTTATGTTAATCTTATCTACCATCGCTCTGTGCAACACAGATTCTCCTTTGCGCTATGGGGACATTGCCATCCCATGCAACAACAAAGGAGCTTACTTACGGGTTTGATATGGTGGATGCTGGTTTGGGAACTTCTGTGCATGCATGGCACCATCTCCTGTGAACACTCATGGGAGCTCAGGCCTGATCTCTACTTTTATAGAGATCCTAAAGAGGTTGAAAAGGAAGGCCAGGTGTGGTGATTCACGCCTGTAATCCCATCACTTTGGGAGACCAAGGTGGGTGAATCACTGAGGTCAGGAGTTCAAGACCAGCCTGGCCAACATGGTGAAACCCGGTCTTTACTAAAAATACAAAAATTAGCTGGCATGGTGGCACGTGCCTGTAGTCCCAGCTACTTGGGACACTGAGGCAGGCGAATCACTTGAACCCAGAAGGTGGAGGTTGCAGTGAGCTGAGACAGCACCACTGCACTGCAGCTTGGGCAACAGAGTGAGACTCTGTCTCAAAAAAATATATATATATAATAAGATAAAAAAAGATGAAAAGGAAGAGCAAGCTGTTGCTGAAAAAAAGCTGTGACCAAGGAGGAATTTCAGGGTAAATGGACTGCTCCAGCTCCTGAGTTCACTGCTCCTCTGCCTGAGGGTGCAGACTGATCTGAATGTGGCAGGTGCCCTCTGTGCCTATTCAGCAATTCCTTACTGAAGATTGGAGAGCTCAGCCTGCCATGGAAGTCTGGTCTGCAGCTCCCACTGCTCAGGCCACTTGAATGGGTAGGAACAACCACCAAGTTGTCTTACAGGCTCATAAGCCACATGGAAATAAGGTTGACCGAAAATAAACATGTTTCTTAAAAAAAAAAAAAAAAAAGGAACCTGGGAGTTGCCAATCAGGAGATTCATTCCTTACCTATGAGGAACATAGGAATCCCCATCTCATCCCATGGAATGCAGGCCATACAGGGGATCAAGGCCCTTTGTTTTGGGTTAAATCAAGGTTGCCAGGTGGAGGTTGCTAGGGTGAGAATGCTAAGTGAAAACACTATATAACCAGTATACTTTTTTTTTTTTTTTTGAGATGGAGTCTTGCTCTGTTGCCCAGGCTGGAGTGCAGTGGCACGATCTCAGCTCACTGAAACCTCCGCCTCCCAGGTTCAAGCAATTCTCCTGCTTCAGCCTCCCAAGTAGCTGGGATTACAGGCACGCACCACCGTGCCCAGCTAATTTTTTGAATTTTTAATAGAGACAGGGTTTCACCATGATGGCCAAGCTGGTTTCGAACTCCTGACCTCAAGTGATCCACCTGCCTTGGCCTCCCAAAGTGCTAGGAGTACAGATGTGAGCCACCGCGCCCAGCCAGTATGTTTTTTGTAAGCAAATGCAGTTCTCCTGTCCAGCCTGCCACCACTGGATTGCCCTGTATGTAAGTCTCCTCAATAAACCCTATGTCTCAGCCTGGGAAACATTGTGAGGACCCATCTCTATAATTTTTTTTTTTTTAATTAGCCAGAACTAATGCCTGTAGTCCCAGCTACTCAGGAGTCTGAGGCAGGAGGATTGCTTGTGTCCAGGTGGTTGAGACTGCAGTGAGTCATGATTACACCACTGTATTCCAGCCTGGGTGACAGAGCGAGACCCTGTCTCAAAAAGTAAATAAATTAATTAAACAAACCCTGTGTCTCATTCACTGGCTCTGCATCTCGTCTTCAGCCTCTCAAACATGGTGCCATTGCTGTTGAAGTCAATAGGGGTCCAGCATGACAGCTGCCTACCAACATAAAATTTTGGTTGCCTCTAGGAAAGGGAGATAGATGGTTTGTGCCTGGCAGGAAAGGAAGATTTTCACTGTGTATGTTTTTGTACTTTTTGAATTTTGAACCCTGTTAAATGTACTTAGCAAAGAAAAACCAGTTCCCCATAATTTAGACTGCTGATTGTGACATTTAACATGTTATCAGAATCACCTGAAAGGCTTGTTAAACCACAGGTTGCTGAGCCCAACTATCAGAGTTTCTGATTCAGTAGGTCTGGGGTGGAGCCTGAGAATTTGTATTTCTAACAAGTTTTAGGGTGATGCTTATCCTGCTGCTCCAGGGACCACATTTTGGGAACCACTGACTTAGACCTGCTTGTCCAATATGGTAGCCACATGTGACTATTAAGAACTTCAAATGTGTCTAGTTCAAATTAAGATGTGCTGTAAGTGTAAAACATACACTGGATTTCAAAGACAGTACAGAAAAAGAATGCAAAATATCTCTTTAATAATTTTATATTGATTTATGTTTGAAAATGTTTTAGATATATTGGGTTAACAAAAATATGTTATTAAAAATAATTTCACCTTGGAAGAGGAGGAAGTGAAAAAAAGAAAAAAATTCACCTGTTTCTTTTTACTTGCTAATTGCTAGAAAATTTCAACTTATATGGCTCATATTATATTTCTGTTGGACAGTGCAGACTTAGACAATTCTTTCTTCTCTCCTGTTTCTGTGCTGTTTAACAACAGGATTTCACTACAAGACTAATAAATCTGATAAGCTGATAGTCTAAATTATTGATAGGTGATGATAACGTAATAGGTTTAACCTGTTTTCATTTTAACAACAATAGCTAATGTCCATGTATAAAAGAGTATCTACTAGGGAGAATTTTCTGACATCTTGGAAGTCAGGTGGAAACAATACCTTTGGTTAGGCAGTTCTTTTCCCCGCTTCTCAGTCCCTACTAAACTCCAAACACGTATGTTGCTGCCTCTTCAGCTCATGGTAGGACAGGGCCTGAAAGCAAAAGAACAACTCATTTCTCACGCTTTTTTCTCATAAAGTAGACATGTTGAGAGAGAAAAGCTAAATTAATTTGGAGCTACAGAACAGCTGTTTTAAAGCTATTAAGTTACTATTTCATGAATGTCACATGTTCTGTTTAAGTGGGTCAAAGGAATTCAGTGAATCCATACACCAGGAAACACTTTCACAACATTTAATCATTTGCTAGTTACTTTATCAAAGAGAAAAATTCGCTTTTAATATCCATTTAAGGGCAATAATTAACCAGCTTAGTCACTATGAGTTAATTTTTTTATCTAATACCCTAAATTGAATGATATAAAATATTTTATAATTAGTTTTTTCAGGTTATACAATCATATAATCTAGAGTCAAATAGTTCCATAAGTTGAATAATGTAAAATGCTATTTTTAAAATTTATAAAATATTTTAATTTGTGCACATTAAAATTCATTGCCATTATATTTACGATAAAATGAATGTTAACGACTTGCTTCCAATAGGGATGAAAATAGAACTATGAGAAAAGTGTTATAAAGGTATTTGCATTTTCTTGTGTGTTTAGTGTACATATCACTTTGCATTTCAGAGGTCTTGAAACTGAACAGAACATCAATATTTCACAGCCCTTTTGGATTTCTTGATTTCCATACAATCCTGCTGGATGAATATTAAGAGCGGCTTTTCGTGGGAGGCAGGGACCTTGCGTATTCCCTCAGCTTGGAGAGAATCAGTGACAGCAGTTTTCAACAGTTCACATTGTTTTGGCTTTCTAATTGAAGGTATACTCCATGCTCCACTTGTCCTGCTGGAGCTTACTTCACCATCACCTGGAGCATCCTCTCAGCCCCTGATGTGTATAGAACTTCAGTTTCTCAGGTCCCCCATTGATAATCTGCCATGTTGTGCAGGCATATCCTCTCCTAGCTTAATCATGGTGGAAGGCAAAGGAGAAGCAAAGCAACTTCTTCACAAAGTGGCAGGAAGGAGAAGTAAAAAATGCTGTTTTTTTTTTTTAGACGGAATTTTGCTCTTGTCACCCAGGCTGGAGTGCAATGGCATGATCTCGGCTCACTGCAACCTCCACCTCCAGGGTTCAAGCGATTCTCCTGCCTCAGCCTCCTGAGTATCTGGGATTACAGGCACCTGCCACCACAGCTAATTTATGTATTTTTTTTTTTTTTACTAGAGATGGGGTTTCACCATGTTGGCCAGGCTAGTCTCGAACTCTTGACCTCAGGTGATCCACTGGCCTCGGCCTCCTAAAGCGTTGGGATTATAGGCATGAGCCACCACACCCAGCCGAAAAATGCTATTTTTATCCATGCTAATATTATAGTATGATTACTTTCCCTTTTACATTTTTGTCTTTCCTGGGGTTATTGTTTGTTCATTTATCTGGCTTTTAAATTATTTATTATTAATTTAACCCCAAACTTACTCCAGTTATATAAATCTGCTCTTGATACATTCAAAACAGTGGTGTAAGGTATATGGATATGCTTTGGTCGATAGGCCCAGGTGGATATCCAGGCCTGCATAACTCAGTGAGTTTGGCGCACAAGCGCACATCTCCACTTGTTATATAACCTTTTGGTGTAAGTTCATACTTGGCTCTGAGCCACTATTGTCTGAAAAAGGTATAATTGCCCTGCTAACGCTATACAGGGGCTCTGGGCTCGGCTCAATATGGCTTGACATGGAGCGTGTGTTGACGCCCAAAGAGAGAGAGAGCCAAAGCTGTCTGTCTTGCAGACTGATAGGAGGGAGCCATGACGCAGTTCAGCTTGCTCGTGTCCAGAGAGAAAAAGAGTTAAGCTGCTGACCCTAAAGGCAAGGGAGAGCTGGCCACACAGGTGTGTGTGGGAGTCGCCGGACTAAGCAGCCAAGACAGGGTGGACAGTCTAAAAGAGCTAGTTTGAGTAAGCTGTGTAAGACAGCTGCTGCTAAATAGAACCAAATTCACCTGCCTATGGCCGGCCACCCAGTGTTCTTTCTGCTCATCCACCTACTGCCCTTAGACTTCAGCATGGGCTGGACCCAGACCCCAGGATCTAACAACTGGCGACGAGGATGGAAGGAGGTGAGTGGGTCTTCAGCCCCTGAGGGCTCCCGGGACGGCTACGTGGCCGCAGCATGAGCTGTGGTACCCGGTCGCAGTGGTGCTGCTTGGATGAGCCCCAGTGGAAACATGGGAGGCAGTGTACAGATCCCCTATGAGTGTGGAGAAGGCGCTGAATCACCTGGAAATGCACAGCATTGAAAGGAACATACCTTTGCCAGCAGAGTCAGATGGGCATTTGCGACTATGCTGAGGGAAATGAATGCCCAATCCCTGCAGGATGCAGCGCAGGGAGGAGGAACCTCCGTTGCAGGCTTGCCCGGTAGTCCGTCAGAAAATAGAGCATGAACAGCTGTTGGGCCCCAAGAGGAGGCCCAGAGACCCCCCATCGTGGTGGAACACATTTCCTATGGTGCCTGTGTCCCCGCTGAATTGAGGGAGTTAAGCAACTAATGTCGCCAGTTGTGTACAGACTTAGTGCAAGTCATTCGGGAGAAGGACATTGCTGCGCAACCTAGTCCTACTCGAGCATTCCAGTTCAAAGAGTACCTGCTGCAGTTGGCGGAAGTGTAAAGCCTTTTCTGCTTGATAAGAGAACTGGCCAAGGTGCCGGCTTGCGGGGCACTGGAAAACCAGAGCCACATGTGGATTTGGCAATCCACTGGTCTCTGAACCCGGATAAGTTTCCGGGCAGAGCCGCATGAACAGCTATGAAAGTTGGTCAGTGAAAGTAAAACCTGTGTCTTTGCATCTTGGCATCCGCTGCTTGGCTCTCCACTTATGCACTGTGTATGTGTCTCACATACCTGAAGACATTCTGGGGGTGGATGTTTTGCACGGCTTGGCAGCTGTATTGTCTGTCACGGACTTGCCGACCGCTTGACAACGGAACTGGGACTTCTTGTCCAGAGAGCCAGGAACAGTTTGCCTTCATGGGAGGGCAACAATGGACTTTTTCTTTTTTCTTTTTCTTTTTTTTTTTTTTTTTTGAGATGGAGTCTTGCTCTGTCGCCCAGGCTGGAGTGCAGGGCACGATCTCAGCTCCCTGCGACCTCCGCCACCTGGGTTCAAGCAATTCTCCTGCCTCAGCCTCCTGAGTAGTAGTCCTAATGCAAGATGAGGCCATGAGGCCTGAGGCACCCCTAGACCTAAGCCTTCACCATTAGGAAGCACACCCCCCCATTCCTAATAGGGTATCGTGTACAAGTGGGTCCAGCTGGGGTGCTACTGCTGCCTGGACTGCTGGTGCAGTCCAGGCTAGTACTGACATCATATGGTTTGAAAGCAGGTATGGGCAAAGTGGTTAATAAGCTAAACTCAAGGCAGTGTGAATGGTAATCACCAAGGAGGTGACACCTAAGGTAATCTGCGCCAGTAGCTGGGCAGTTTATCATAGCTTATGTATGCAAGGGGCCTGCGTACCCAGAAGCTTATGTATGTATCGGGCTTGTGTGCCCAAGGCTTGTGTGTCAGGCTTATGTGTCAAGCCTGTGTATGTATTGGGCCTGCATGCCCAAAGTTTATATGTCAGGCCTGTATGCCAAACCTGTGGATCAAACCTGTGTGTCCAAGGCATATGTCTCGTTTGGCCTAGGGGGTGGAGTGTAAGGTACATATGGATGTGCTTTGGTCAAGGAACAGGCCGAGGTGGATATCCAAGGCCTGCGTAACTCAGTGAGTTTGGTGCGCAGGCGCACACCTTCACTTGTTATATAACTTGTTTGTGTTAAGTTCATACTTGGCTCTGAGCCACTATTGTCTGCCCTGTTAATGCTGTACGGGGGACCTGGGGGCTTGGCTCGGCTCAACATGGCTTGACATGGGGGATGCACTGGCACCCAGAGAAAGAGAGACAGAGAGAGCCAAAGCTGTCCATTTTACAGATGGACAGGAGGGAGCCAGGACACAGCTTGGCTTGCTCATGCCCAGAGAGAAAAAGAGTTAAGCTGCTGACCCTGAAGGCAAGGGAAAGCCTGCTGCACAGGTGTATGTGGGAGCCACCAGACTAAGCAGTTGAGACAGGGTGGACAATGTAAAAGAGCTAGTTTGAGTAAACCGTGTAAGAGAGCTGCTGCTAAATAAAACCATATTCACCTGCCTACAGCCCATCAAGTGTTCTTTCTGCTCATCCACCCACTCCCCTCAGACTTCAGCATGGCTGGACCCAGACACCAGGATCTAACAAGTGTTTTTCTAGCAATCATAATCTATTAATTGAATCTTTCTTTGGAAATCTCTTCCAGACCCTTCTGGCCTGCTCCAATCTGTATTGGTTCCTCTCTAGGCCTATACCACTGTCTCATTGGTATCTCCCTTTACAACCATCCTAGTGGTTTACTTTATACCACTCTTTTGGTTGTACCCTTCATTTTGTGTCATATTTTTCCTCCTGCTTGGTTTACTCCTTATTTTGGAGGAGCCATCCCTGGCAGCTTCCTAAATTTTAAAAATATTTTACTTTTTTTTTTTTTTTTTTTTTAGAGACAGGCTGTTGCTATGTTCCCTGGGCTGACCTCAAACTCCCGGGCTCAAGGGATCCTCCTGTGTAAGGAACATGGCTGCAATGCAGCGAGGCAGGCATGGGCCAAGGTAAACATCCCACATGACTCAGCAAGTTTGGAGTGCAGGTGCATAACTTTGCTTGTTATATAATCACAGCTACATAGGCATAACATGGGAAGGCTCATCACTTGGCTTGGAGCCACTATTGTCTGTAAAAGGTATAACTGCCCTGCTGATGTTGTACAGGCATGCTCTTGCCCAGAGAGAGAAAGTGTTAAGCTTCTGACCCTGTAGAGACAGCTGGCTTTGCAGCTGTGTGTGGGAGTGGCAGGAGTCACAGAGCCAGAACAGGTAGCTGAGACAGAGACAGACAGTGTAAGAGAGCTGCTGAATGAAACCATCTTTCACCTGCCTATGGCCCCTTGAGTGTTCTTTCAGCTATATAAGATGGGGGTCTCACCATGTTGCCCAGGCTGGTCTCAAAATCCTGGGCTCAGGTGATCCTCCCACCTTGGCATCCCAAAGTTAGGTATTACAGGTGTGAGCCACCATGCCTGAACTCCATCTTGAAGGTAGAACTAACAAGATTTACTGATAGGTAGAAGGTGGTGGGGTGTGAGAAAGAGAGGAATTGAAGATAATTCCAAGTGAGTCTGGTGACTTTTCCATATTCCAAAGATAAAAAGAAACTCATAACTTTTCATGTTTTCTCATATGCAGCAATAGATACAAAAAGACAGTGGAGCAGTGTTTCCTGTTTTAGGGGAAAAGGATCACAATTTTACACTAGTATGCTTGACTCTCTTTGAAATGGCAATTTACCTAGGCAGCCAGAGAGATTGGCTAGCTGAGATCCAACTAATTTTAGGCAACTACAACAAACAAGAAGAGAGAGAATTGGGGACAAAAAGAGAAAGACTCAGCACAACAGTCAAATCACATCAGCGAAGTCCCTTAAGCCTCCACCACTTCCCTTGCTTTCTTGCTCCGGCAGGGTCTTAGCTTGTCAGCCAGTTCCATGGCCACTCATCATACTCAGGGTGAAACTGGCCAGCAGAATGCTGCAGCCTTGGGGTGGGAGGCCTAGCTCAAGCGAAATTGAATAGCCCAGTAACTGACAAGTTTTGAGGGAGTGCAAACCATCTATCAACAGATATTTTTTTTCCCTTAAGAAAGAAGAACTGTAGCAAAATGACAGATGAATTACAATAAAAAGCTCAAAAAAGGGCAGGGGTGATATATAAGAAACAGTGATGAGTAGGCGGGGCGCAGTGGCTCACGCCTGTAATCCCAGCACTTTGGGAGGCCAAGGCCGGCAGATCACGAGGTCAGAATATAGAGACCATCCTGGCCAACATGGTGAACCTCGTCTCTACTAAAAATACAAAAATTAGCTGGGTGTGGTGAAATGTGCCTGTAATTCCAGCTACTCAGGAGGCTGAGGCAGGAGAATTGCTTGAACCCGGGAGGAGGAGGTTGCAGTGAGCCAAGATCCCGCCACTGCACTCCAGCCTGGTGACAGAGCGAGATTCTGTCTCAAAAAAAAAAAAAAAAAAAAAAAGAGGCCGCGGGCGGTGGCTCTCGCCTGTAATTCCAGCACTTTGGGAGGCTGAGTGGGGAAGATCATGAGGTCAGGAGTTTGAGACCAGCCTGGCCAACATGGCACAACACTGTCTTTACTAAAAATACAAAAATTAGCCGGGCATGGTGGCGAGTGCCTGTAATCCCAGCTACTCAGGAGGCTGAGGCAGGAGAATTGCTTGAACCCGGGAGGTGGAGGTTGCAGTGAGCCAAGACCACACCATTGCACTCCAGCCTGGGTGACAAGAGCAAGACTCTGTCTCAAAAAAAAAAAAAAAAAAAGAAAAGAAAAAGAAACAGTGATGAGTAAAGAAACTGACAATGTTTACAGCTGTATAGATTAAATAGTTGTTGATAGTGGTTTTGATGTTTAGTGCAATTTGTCAGAAAAGATTCTTAGAAGAGACTTAATAAGAAAGATGAATAACAATGTTGAACTAAATCACAACAAAAGTGGAAGTGAGTTATAAGGCAGAGGAGAAAGAAAATCTTGCTAAAGATTTTCTGTAGCAAGTAAAATTATAGGGGAGCAAAATTATAGCTACTGTTTCCTGATGGTCATTAAAAATATTGGGCAGAGCGTGGTGGCTCACGCCTATAATCCCAGCACTTTGGAAGGCGGAGGCAGGAGGATCACTTGAGCCCAGGAGTTTGAGACCAGCCTGGGCAACATGGCGAAACTCTGTCACTACAAAAAATACAAACATTAGCTGGGTGTGGTGACATGTGCCTGAAGTTCCAGCTACTAGGGAGGCTGAGGTAGAAGGATCACCTGTGCCCAGGAGGTGGAGGTTGCAGTGAGCTGTGATCACCCCACTGTACTCCAGCCTGAGTGACAGAGCCTCATCCTGTCTCAAAAAAAGAAAAAAAAAAGAAAAAGAAAAAGAAAAAAAGTAAAAAAAAAAAAAAAAAAGAAAGAAACCAGTGACCCATAACATAATTGTTAACAATTTATAGGTAACCAATTGTAAAAGAGAAAAAGAATTAAAACAGAAAATGCAAACCCAAATGACCACAGGGGCCAGAAGGGTAATGTGGAAATGGATATTTTTACTTTTATTTCTTGAAATATGGCTCTCTTGGTCTTCAATAAAAGTAATAGAGTCATGGAAACAGATATTCTACCATAAGAAAAAAATAGTGCAAGGAGAGACCATAAATATAAACTAAAATTCTCTCCACTTTGGAAAAATAACATAGAATGGGGGGCACTGTGGTGAACCAGCGGGTACATACCCCATCTAAAGGGGCCAGCCACCACTCAGTGATGTGAGATTAAGGGGCCTCACATTATAGATCCTCTAATTTTTAAAGTGTGGATACACAACTTAATTTCTATGTAAAAGATCCAGATTTCAAAACGTTGGATCAGCCATGTGTGGTGGTGCACACCTGTAGTCCCAGCTACTCAGGAAGCCAAGGTGGGAAGGATCCTTTGAGCTTAGGAGTCAGAGGCTTCAGTGAGCTATGATCATGTAGTAAATTCTCCCAAAGTCAAAGTCATGTTGAGAAAAGAAAAAAATCCCAGCCATTTACAATTTACATAAGATATACCTAAAACAACATTACTAAAAGAGTTTGATAATACTGGGAAGTGTTTCTATTAAAGCAAATGCTAACATAAAGAAGGCTATTGTGGCTAAGATGATAAGGAACTGTATTGGCTCATATAACTAGAAGGTTAAAGTTAAGGAGGGGTTTATGGTTATTTATTTCAGTAGCTCAATAATTTCACCAAGGACGCAATTTATTAGGTCCATCTGATTTGCTATCTACAATATTATATTCACCCTAAAGTTGGCTTTTATTTTTTTGGAGACAGGGTCTTGCTCTGTTGCCCAGGCTGGAGTGCAGTGGTGCAATCACGGCTTGCTGCAGCCTTGACCTCCCAGGCTCAAGCGATCCTCTTACCTCAGCCTCCTGAGTAGCTGCTACCACAGGCATGTGGCACTATGCCCAGCTCATTTTTGTATTTTTTGTGGAGACAAGGTTTCCCCATGTTTCACAGGCTGATTTCAAACTCCTGGCCTCAAGCCATCTGCCTGCCATGGCCTTCCCAAGTGCTGAGATTACAGGAATTAGCCACCACACCCAGCCACTTTCTTTCTTAAGACTCATCAAGTGCACTAATGAGGGCTTTATTTATAATGATGGCTGCCAGCCACACTTTGAACATAGGTTTTCATGTTTATGGGTAGTAGAAGAGAGCTATTCACCCAGCTGTTTATAAGTCTGTCCCTGGGTCTAATTAGGACAATTTCATAACATACCTATTCTTGAACCAGCAAAGTTCACAGGGGAATGCCACATGCTGATAGGCTTAGGTTTGGATTCCTAAACTAATCTTGTATTAGTTATCTCTTGCCACATAACAAATTATCTAAACACTTAGTGGCTTATGGCTGAGCATGGTGGCTCATGCCCGTAATGTCAGCATTTTGAGAGGCCAAGGCAGGCAGATCACCTGAAGTCAGGAGTTCAAGATCAGCCTGACCAACATGGTGAAACTCTGTCTCTACTAAAAATACAAAAATTAGCTCGGCATGGTGGCGCACTCCTGTAGTCCTAGCTACTTGGGAGGCTGAGTTGGGAGGATTGCTTAAGTCCGGGAGGTGGAAGTTTTAGTGAGTTGAGATCGTGCCACTGCACTCCAGCCTGGGCGATAGGGTGAGACTCTATCTCAAAAACAAACAAACAAACAAACAAAAAACTTAGTGGCTTAAAACAACAACAAACATTTATTATCTCTCAAAGTTTCTGTGGTCAGGAACAGATTAGCTGAGCAGTTCTGGCTCAGGATCACTCATGAGGATGCAATAAAGATGTCATCTGAAGGCTTGACTGAGGCTGGAGTATCCACTGTCAAAGTGGCTAACTCCAGCCAGGCACAGTGGCTCATGCCTGTAATCTCAGCACTTTGGGAGGCTGAGGCAGGTGGATTGCTTGAGCCCAGGAGTTTGAGACCAGCCTGGGCAACATGGCAAAACCCTGTTTCTACAAAAAATGCAAAAACTAGCCAGATGTGGTGGTGTGCACCTGTCCTGGCTACTCAGAAGGCTGAGGTGAGAGGATCACCTGAGCCTGGGAGGTGGAGGTTGCAGTGAGTGGAGATCATGCCACTGCACTCCAGCTTGAGTGACAGAGTGAGACCCTGTTTCAAAACAAACAAACAAACAAATGAAAAACCCCAAAGTGGTTCACTCACATGGCTGATGCCCTAGTTGTTCTTCACAAGGTCCTCTCCTCAAGGCTGCTTGGGTGGCCTCACAATATGGTGGCTGCCTTCCCCCAGAGTGAGTGATTCAAGAAAGAGGGTACTGAGTGGAAGCTATGTCCTTGGAAGTAACACAGCATCACTTCCACCATATTCTATTTGTCAGGTGTGAGTCACAGTAGAGAAAGGGAACCTCTCTTTCCCAGTAGTTTTAACTAAAGTTCCAGAATTGATTCCCATTAGCCTTGCCAGGTTCATCATCACCCTGGCCATGCCTGGCTCTTGGCCAGTCTCTGGAGCTGAGAGGTGGGCTCAGTCCCATCTGAAACACATGAATGGAAATTGGAAGAGAGATAGCTCCCCAAAGGGAAATCAGGTGGTGTTACCAGAAGAAAGAATAGATACTAGATGAGCAAAAATAAAAGATGTCCACTATAATGCCTCAATGTTATTGGAAATCTTTACAGCAATTGCACATTACTTCATGAAAAAAAAATTTTTTTTTTAATTTGTTTTTTTATTGATAATTTTTGGGTGTTTCTCACAGAGGGGGATTTGGCAGGGTCATGGGACAATAGTGGAGGGAAGGTCAGCAGATAAACAAGTGAACAAAGGTCTCTGGTTTTCCTAGGCAGAGGACCCTGCGGCCTTCCGCAGTGTTTGTGTCCCTGATTACTTGAGATTAGGGATTGGTGATGACTCTTAACGAGCATGCTGCCTTCAAGCATCTGTTTAACAAAGCACATCTTGCACCGCCCTTAATCCATTTAACCCTGAGTGGACACAGCACATGTTTCAGAGAGCACAGGGTTGGGGGCAAGGTCACAGATCAACAGGATCCCAAGGCAGAGGAATTTTTCTTAGTGCAGAACAAAATGAAAAGTCTCCCATGTCTACCTCCTTCTACACAGACACGGCAACCATCCAATTTCTCAATCCTTTCCCCACCTTTCCCGCCTTTCTATTCCACAAAGCCACCATTGTCATCATGGCCCGTTCTCAATGAGCCGTTGGGCACACCTCCCAGACGGGGTGGTGGCCGGGCAGAGGGGCTCCTCACTTCCCAGTAGGGGCGGCCGGGCAGAGGCGCCCCTCACCTCCCAGACGGGGCGGCTGGCCGGGCAGGGGGGCTGACCCCCCCCACCTCCCTCCCGGACGGGGCGGCTGGCCGGGCGGGGGGCCAACACCCCCACCTCCCTCCCGGACGGGGCGGCTGGCCGGGCGGGGGGCCGACACCCCCACCTCCCTCCCGGACGGGGCGGCTGGCCGGGCGGGGGGCCGACACCCCCACCTCCCTCCAGGACGGGGCGGCTGGCCGGGCAGAGGGGCTCCTCACTTCCCAGTAGGGGCGGCTGGGCAGAGGCGCCCCTCACCTCCCAGACGGGGCGGCTGGCCGGGCGGAGGGCTGACCCCCCCACCTCCCTCCCGGACAGGGCGGCTGGCCGGGCGGGGGGCTGACCCCCCAACCTCCCTCCCGGACGGGGCAGCTGGCCGGGCAGAGGGGCTCCTCACTTCCCAGTAGGGGCGGCTGGGCAGAGGCGCCCCTCACCTCCCAGACGGGGCGGCTGGCCGGGCGGAGGGCTGACCCCCCCACCTCCCTCCCGGACAGGGTGGCTGGCCAGGCGGGGGGCTGACCCCCCCACCTCCCTCCCGGACGGGGCGGCTGGCCGGGTGGGGGGGCTGACCCCCCCATCTCCCTCCAGGACGGGGTGGCTGGCCGGGCTGAGGGGCTCCTCACTTCCCAGTAGGGGCGGCCGGGCAGAGGCGCCCCTCACCTCCCGGACGGGGCGGCTGGCCGGGCAGGGGGCTGACCCCCCCACCTCCCTTCCGGACGGCACGGCTGGCCAGGCGGGGGGCTGACCCCCCCACCTCCCTCCCGGACGGCACGGCTGGCCAGGCGGGGGGCTGACCCCCCCACCTCCCTCCCGGATGGGGCGGCTGGCCGGGTGGGGGGCTGACCCCCCCCACCTCCCTCCCGGACGGGGTGGCTGCCGGGCGGAGACGCTCCTCACTTCCCAGATGGGGTGGCTGCCGGGCGGAGAGGCTCCTCACTTCTCAGACGGGGCAGCTGCCGGGCGGAGGGGCTCCTCACTTCTCAGACGGGGTGGTTGCCAGGCAGAGGGTCTCCTCACTTCTCAGACGGGGCGGCCGGGCAGAGACGCTCCTCACCTCCCAGACGGGGTCTCGGCAGGGCAGAGGCACTCCTCACATCCCAGATGGGGCGGCGGGGCAGAGGCGCTCCCCACATCTCAGACGATGGGCGGGCGGGCAGAGACGCTCCTCACTTCCTAGATGTGATGGCGGCTGGGAAGAGGCGCTCCTCACTTCCTAGATGGGATGGCGGCCGGGCGGAGACGCTCCTCACTTTCCAGACTGGGCAGCCAGGCAGAGGGGCTCCTCACATCCCAGACGATGGGTGGCCAGGCAGAGACACTCCTCACTTCCCAGACGGGGTGGCGGCCGGGCAGAGGCTGCAATCTCGGCACTTTGGGAGGCCAAGGCAGGCGGCTGCTCCTTGCCCTCGGGCCCCGCGGGGCCCGTCCGCTCCTCCAGCCGCTGCCTCCCGGGCGGCGCTCGCCGGCGCGGCGGCAAAGACTGAGACAGCTCCGCTGCCCGCTGAACTCCATCCTCCCGGCGGTCGGGCGGCGGCGGCTGCGGTCGAAAAAATTTAATAATACGAAAAATTAAAGATATTAATAGTGATTATCTCTGCATGGCACTTTCCTTCTAGTTTGCTATTTATTCCAAATTTCTGTTCATGAGTATGTATTACTTTTATAATCAGAAAATAAAAATAACTATTGTTTTCTAAAAGGTAAAATTCACCACCATGAAAGTGGAAACAGGATACAGTACTTCTGGCCAGGTGTGGTGGCTCATGTCTGTAATCCCAATACTTTGGGAGGCCAAGGCAGGCAGATCACCTGAGGTCAGAAGTTCGAGACCACCCTGGCCAACATGATGAAACACTTTCTCTACTAAAAATACAAAAATTAGGCCGGGCGCAGTGGCTCATGCCTGTAATCCCAGCACTTTGAGAGGCCAAGGCGGGCAGATCATGAGGTCAGGAGATCAAGACCATCCTGGCTAACATGGTGAAACCACGTCTCTACTAAAAATACAAAACATTAGCCAGGCATGGTGGCACGTGCCTGTAGTCCCAGCTACTCAAGAGGCTGAGGCAGGAGAATCACTTGAATCCAGGAAGCAGAGGTTGCAGTGAGCAGAGATCACGCCACTGCTCTCCAGCCTGGGCAACAGAGCAAGACTCTGTCTTAAAAAAACAAAACAAAGCAAAAACAAAAATTGGCTGGGCATGGTAGCGTGCACCTGTAATCCCAGCTACTCAGGAGGCTGAAGCAAGGAGAATCACTTGAACCTGGGAGGCGGAGGTTGCAGTGAGCCAAGATTGCGCCACTGCACTCCAGCCTGGGCGACAGTGCGAGACTCTGACAAAAAAAAAAAAAAAAGGGGGGATACAGTACTTCTAATCCCAGCATTTTGGGAGGCTGAGGCAAGAGGATCACTTGAGGTCAGGAGTTCCAGGCTGCAGTGAGCTTTTTTTTTTTTTTTCCTTGAGACAGAGTCTCCCTCTGTCACCAAGGCTGGAGGGCAAAGGCACAATCTTGGTTCACTGCAACCTTTGCCTTCTGGGCTCAAGTGTTCCTCCCATCTCTGCCTCCCGAGTAGCTGGGACTAGAGGCATATGCCACCACACCTGGCTAAATTTTTTGGTATTTTTTTGTAGAGATGGGGTTTTGCCATGTTGCCCAGGCTGGTCTTGAACTCCTGAGCTCAAGCGATCCGCCTGCCTTGGCCTCTCAAAGTGCTGGGATTACAGGCGTGAGCCATCATGCCTGGCCTTGAAGTGAGCTTTGATAGTGGCATAGCAATCTAGCATGGGCGACAAGAGCAAGACCCTTTCTCTTTAAAAAAAGAAAAAAAAATCCATTTAGCCGAAGACTTTTCTTTCCAAGGAAAAGAAAGAAAGCAAGAATATACAATGAGTGGAAAGTATAAACCATGATGGCTGAAAGTGTAAACATGATGGCTGAAGCAAAATCGGGTATACCAATTATTAATATATGAAAGAGTTTCTTTTATTAAAGGGCAACAACTGTCAGATTTAGCATTTACCAAAAAAAGATACAACTATATGCTGTTTTGACCACAAAAATGAGTGGAATTGTTGAGAGTAGAAACAATTCTATTCTCAATAGAAGTCAAAATTTCACAATATTGTCTTTCCGGGAACAAAGCATGTCCCTCCTTTCATTAAAATCCTCTTTCACCTCCCCCTATTGTCCTGTAGCTTTTCCACACAGGTCCATCGCATTTTTTTTTACTTTATTCTTCCATATTTTATGTTTTTATTGCTTTTATAATCTTTCCTTCCATATTTTTAACTTGTCTATATGTTTTATATATATTGTATATATACTGTGTGCTTATATATGGATGTATTTGTATATAGGAAAATTACTGCCACTACTGGAAGAAATGTAGATGAGTAGAGTACAACATAGTAAGATAAAAATTTGGTCAAAAATGATTGTATCTTTCCATATAATTAGATCTATAGGAAGAAAGGTAAGAGTATCAGTTGTTGTAAATAATTGCTAACACTGGGCACAGTGGTGGTGGCTCACGCCTGTAATCATAGCACTTTGGGAGGCCGAGGCAGGAGGATCACCTGAAGTCAGGAGTTCGAGACAAGCCTGGCCAACATGGTCTCTACTAAAAATAAAAATTAGGTGGGCATGGTTGTGCACGTCTGTAATCCCAGCTACTCAGGAGGTTGAGGCAGGAGAATAACTTGAACCTTGGAGATGGAGGTTGCAGTGAGTCGAGATTGTGCCATTGAACTCCAGCTACTCAGGAGGTTGAGGCAGGAGAATAACTTGAACCTTGGAGATGGAGGTTGCAGTGAGTCGAGATTGTGCCATTGCACACCAGCCTGGGTGACAGAGCAAGGCTCCATCTGAAAAAAAAAAAAAAAGAAAGAAAGAAAGAAAAAAGAAAAAAAAATTGCTAAACATACAAGATTCTGTGGCAGGGCGCAGTGGCTCACGCCTGTAATCCCAGCACTTTGGGAGGCTGAGGCAGGTGGATTATCTGAGGTCAACAGTTCAAGACCAGCCTGGTCAACATGGTGAAATCCCATCTCTACTAAGAATACAAAAACTAGCTGGGTATAGTGGCAGGGCCCTGTAGTCCCAGCTACTTGGGAGGCTGAGGCAGAAGAATTGCTTGAACCTGGGAAGCAGATGTTGCAGTGAGCCAATCACACCACTGCACTCTAGCCTGGGCACAGAGCCAGACTCTGTCTCAAAAAAAAAAAAAAAGATTGTGTTCTTTCTTGTGATTTACTTAAAAGGCGATGATTCTTTAAAGAAAAGAAAAAACAAAATACTGTAAGAGGAGCTTATAATAAATGTAGAAATAAAAGATATGACAATAATCATAAAATCATCAAAATACAGGAAGGCAGATAAATGTATTTGTAAATTTTTTATTTATTGTAAAGGTATTTCATTGTGCAGCAGAAAGTGTGAGATAAGTAGAAGGGGGCTTGTATAGAAACTGGGAAGTGTTAATTGTAAAGAGACAGTATTGACTGAATAGAGTCTGGTAAGTTAAGGACTCATATTGTTAGCCATAGGGCAGTCTCCAAAAAATAATTTTAAAAAGGTACAGCTAAAAAGCTAATAGGAAATAAAATGGAATATTAAAAGTATTAGACCATTACCCATTTAGACAAAATTCTACAACAGGCAAAACTAATCAATAGTACCAGAAATCACATCAGTGGTTGCCTGGGCTGGGGCATTTGTGACAACTGACTGCACAGGATCACCAGGGAACTTCTTGGGAGATGGGAATGTCCATCTTGACTGGGGGTGGTGGTTACATACATGTGTACATCTGTCAAAAGTCATCAATGTGTACACTTAAAATGTATCACTTTTATTGTATGTAAATTATGCCTTAAAAGTTGGTTTTTTTTTTATAGCCAGGCGTGGTGGCGTGCATTGCACCCTGTAGTCCCAGCTACTCAGGAGGCTAAGGTGGAGGATCGCTTGAGCCCAGGAGTTGGAGTCTATAGTGAGCTAGCCTGGGAGACAGAGTGAGACCCTGTCTAAAAAAAAAAAATTTTGATTAAAAAAAAAATACTGGCCGGGCACGGTGGTTCAGACCTGTAATCCCAGCACTTTGGGAGGCTGAGGCAGGTGGATCACCTGAGGTCAGGAGTTCAGGACCAGCCTGACCAACATGGCAAAACCCTGTCTCTACTAAAAAAATACAAAATTAGCCAGGCATGGTGGCGCACACCTGTAATTCCAGCTACTTGGGATGCTGAGGCAGGAGAATTGCTTGAACCCGGGAAGCAGAGGTTGCCAAGATCGTGCCACTGCACTCCAGGCTGGGCAACAAGAGTGAAACTCTGTCTCAAAAACAAAACAAAACAAAAAAACACTATCATATCTTTACTTGCAGATAGTTTTTTGGGAAGAAAAACAAAAACCCAACAAGCTACTTTATCTTTGACACTGTAAGTCCCTGTGGTGAATTCAGATATTTGTAGTTTTTGCTTGCCAGACATTCCTGATCCTGTCTTTTGGTAACATCCCCTGATTGTTTTCTTAGGTTATTATCCTTTTGCTAGCTGATGTAGTTTTGGTGAACAATTATATTGACCTGTCCTCTGGCCAAAGGTGGACATGTGACCAAGAGAGCCAATCAGCCTTTCTATCCCTGGAATTTTAATTTTGAGTCGTGTGATCTAAGGACCAAAAAATGCTTAGAGCTGTTTCATCCTGCTAGTGATCAGCATCTGCAAGATGGCCAATGTCTATTTTGCCCTTGGCCATGGTCTGTGCCCATCACTGCTGTGCTTTCCTCCTTCTGGATCACAGAGCTTCTTGAGAGGCAGATTTCTCTCTCCTTTCTCCAGGGCACCTTGGAATTGTCACCCCCTGTAACAGGCTGCCAGTGGCCAGTTCGGGAGGCTGCCTAAAGTTCCTAAACACACAGAAATCATTCTGTTTTTCTGAGCAACTCTTGAGTTACCCAAAACACTTCACAGATGCTAGTTACCACCAGATAATTCAAGAGCATCATTGTACGACTCCCATATCATGCTGCAGGGCCCGGAGATGTTGTCTAAGGCCTAACAGCCTGGGCATATCAGGCAGCTGTTCCACTTTGGGTTCCTACTGCCTTTCTCAAATCTTCCTGTGAAAGTAGGTCCTATGTACTCAGATGCCACAGATCTTTAGTTTTTGATTCCTACTCTGGGATCCATGAGTGGAGGTAGTGGTGGGGTGGTGAGGGGACGGGGTACAGGGTACTTTCTACATAATAAGATTCCTATGCTTTCTACTTTGGGCTTTCCCTCCTTTTCCTTTCTCCTCTCCAGGGAAACTGGCTGGTCTAAGGGATGCAGAAGCTCTATTCATCAAGTTGCTCCCAAATCTACGGCTGTGTCTATGCATATTAGCGCTTTCTATTTCCCGGCAGGGGCTAGACTTTTAAACAAAAGGCTCCTGTTTCTCTCTTCTGTGCCCTCTCACTTAAAATAAGTAAACATAGAACCACAATAGCTGTTGTCTCAATGCAGGGGAGGGGTTGCAGAGTAAGTTCAGTTCACAATTAAAACGGTTATGTTAAGCGGGCATGGTGGTGCACGCCTGTGGTCCCAGCTCCTCAGGAGGCTGAGGTGGGAGGATCACCTGAGCCCAGGGAGGTTGAGGCTATAGTGGGCTGTGATTGTGCCACTGCGCTCCAGCCTGGGCAACAGAGTGAGACCCTGTCTCAAAAACAAACAAACATAGAAACTGATATCTTACCACATAAACAAACTGTATAAACATCCTCATACATAATCTATTTGAAGATGTGCGAAAACATCAAAAAACCAGTTGAACATTTTTAAGTTTCCTAACATGTTTGCCTAAACATTTTCTGATGTAACTTTAGTGTCTTCAACTCTAAACTTAATAGGCCTTTCTTATCAGGCTAGCTCACCCTTCTGTGGATTTTGTAAGACAAAATTTTAAAAATGTATTTTAATTAATTAGAGACAGGGTTTTGCTCTGTCACCCTAGCTGAAGTGCTGTGGTGCAATCATCACTCACAAGTGCAGTCTTGACCTCCCAGGCTCAAGCGATCCTCTTATCTCAGCCTCCCAAGTAGCTGGGATCAAAAGCATGCACTACCACAACTGGCTACTTTTTTAAATTTTTAAAAAAATTTTGTAGAGATAGGGTCTCACTATGTTGCCCAGGCTGGTCTTCAACTCCTGGGTTCAAGTGATCGTGAGCCACCACCTAGCCTTTTTTTTTAAGAGACAGAGTCTCTGTTGCCCAGTCGCCCAGGCTGGAGCACAATGGTGCCATTCTAGCTCACTGCTGCCCTGAACTTCTGAGCTCAAGTGATCCTCTCTCATTGGCCTCCCCAAAGTGCTGAGATTACAGGCATGAGCCACTGCACCTGGCTACAAAAATATTTTAATACCACTTCACACCCATTAGAATGACTATTATTTTATTTATTTATTTATATTTTTAATTTATTTTTATTTTCTTTTTTTAAATTTATTTTTTGAGAAAGAGTCTTGCTCTGTTGCCCAGGCTGGAGTGCAGTGGCCTGATCTTAGCTCACTGCAACCTCTGCCTGCTGGGTTCCAGCGATTCCCCTGCCTCAGCCTCCTGAGTAGCTGGGATTACAGGCATGCACCAACATGCCTGGCTAATTTTTATATTTTTAGTAGAGATGGGGTTTCGCCATGTTGGGCAGGCTGGTTTTGAACTCTTGACCTCAGGTGATCCGCCCGCCTCAGCTTCCCAAAGTGCTGGGATTACAGGCATGAGCACGGACCCAGCTTTTTTTTTTTTTTTTTTTTTTTTTGAGATGGAGCCTCGCTCTGTTGCCCAGCTGGCATGATCTTGGCTCACTGCAACCTCCACCTCCAGGGATCAAGAGATTCTCCTGTCTCAATCTCCCAAGCAGCTGGGATTACAGGCGCTCGCCAACATGCTTGGCTAATTTTTGTATTTTTAGTAGAGACAAGGTTTCACCATCTTGGCCAGGCTGGTCTGAAACTTCTGACCTCAAGTGATCCACCCGCCTTGGCCTCCCAAAGTGATGGGATTACAGGCCCAAGCCATCGTTCCCAGCCAGAATGACTATTATTTTAAAAAAGGAAAATAACAAGTGTTGGCGAAGATGCTGAGAAACTGGAACCCTTGTACGTTGCTAGGTGAATATAAAATGATGCACATGCTGTAAAACAGTTTGCCAGTTCCTCAAAAAGTTAAACATAGAATTACCATATGGTCCAGCAATTCTACACCTAGATATATTCCCCAAAGAATTAAAAACAGGGACACAAACAAATACTGTACACTGATGTTCACTGCAGCATTATTCACATTTGCCAAAAGACGAAAATAACCCAAATGTCCACTGACCGATGAATGAATAAATGAAATGTGGTATGTACATACAATGGAATATTAAGCCTTAAAAAGGAATGCAATTCTGATACATGCTATAGCATGGATGAACTTGAAAACATTATGCTAAGTGAAATAAGCCAGACACAAAAGGGCAAATATTGTATAATTCCACTACATTAGGTACCTAAAATAGGCAAATTCAGAGACAGACAGTAGAAAGGTGGTTACCAGGGCCTGACTGTGAGGACAGGGGAATGAGGAGTTATTGTTTAATAGGTATAGGCTTTTTGTTTGGGATGATGAAAATTTTCTAGAAATAGATAGTCGTGATGGTTGCACAACATTGTAAATATACTTAATGGCAATGAATTGTACATTTAAACGTGGTTAAAATGGGCTGGATGTGGTGGCTCACACCTATAATTCCAGCACTTTGGGAGACCGAGGCAGGTGAATCACTTGAGCCCAGGAGTTTGAGACCAGTCTGGCCAACACGATGAAACCCCATCTCTACTAAAAATACAAAAATTATCCAGGTGCAGTGGCGCACACCTGTAGACCCAGCTACTCAGGAGGCTGAGGCACAAGAATTGTTTGAACCTGGGAGGCGGAGGTTGCAGTGAGCCATGATCGTACCACTGCACTCCAGCCTGGGTGACAGAGGAAGACTCTGTCTCAAAAAAAAAAAAAAAAAGATTAAAATGGTACATTTTATGTTATAGCACAATTTTTTTAAAAAAGGAAGAAAATTCTTTTTCTTTTTCTTTTTTTTTTAGAGATGAGGTCTTGCTATGTTACCCAGGCCAGAGTACAGTGGCTATTCACAGGTGCAATCACAGCTCACTAGAGCCTCGAACTCCTGGGCTCAAGTGATCCTCCTGCCTCAGCTTCCTGAGTGGCTGGGATTATTGTTGTGCACCACCACACTCAGCAGGAAAAAATATTTTAAAGTGTATGTTTTTGCTACCTTGGGTTTTACAGAAAGTAAATGTTTTGCGATGCAGCAAACACCTACATAAACACCTATGTGCAAAATGTGCTTTCCCCCCTAGAGAAAAATAGGAAGGATCTTTCCTTTTCATCCAGTTATTAAATACTCATCCTATATCTGCACTATGCTTGGTACCTGAAATACATATTTATGTTTCTGTCCTCAAGATGCTTATGAGGGCTGGGCATGGTGGCCCTTGCCTGTAATCCCAGCACTTTGGGAGGCCAAGGCAGGCAGATCACCGAGGTCAGGAGTTCAAGACCAGCCTAGCCAACATGGCAAAACCCCATCTCCACTAAAAATACAAAAATTTGCCGGGTGTGGTGGCACACGCCTGTAATCCCAGCTACTCAGGAGGCTGAGGCAGAAGAATTGCTTGAACCTGGGAGGTAGAGGTTGCAGTGAGCCGAGACTGTGCCACTGCACTCTACCCTGGGGGACAGAGCGAGGCTCCATCTCAAAAAAAAAAACACAAAAAACTTATGGACCAGTTTGGGAGATAAGGCATCCGTATATAGCAGTCCCTCCTTTTCTGTGGCGGATACATTCCACGACTCTCAGTGGATGCCTGAAACCTCAGATAGCATCAAACCCTACATATAGCATATTTTTTGATATACAGTAATGAGTGTATACAATGTAGACAAACTGTACAAAAAGATGATTCATGTCCTGGGCAGGACAGAGCAGAATGGAGTGGGACCATGTGAGATTTTTTTCACACTACTCAGAATGACGGGCAATTTAAAACTTATGAATTTATTTTTGGAATTTTCCATTTAATATTTTTGGACCCCAGTTGACTGTGAGTAACTGAAACTGCAGAAAGTGAAATAGCAGATAAGGGGTGACTACTGTATATTACACTATAATATAAATTATAACAAATCATTATAAGAGATCTTAGGGGGCAGATTATAATGTGATCTCTTTTTCTTTTCTCTTGAATTACACATTTGTCTTAGTCCATTTTCTGTTGCTACAACTTAATATCTCAGATGGGGTAATTTATAAGAAAAATAAATTTACTTTGTACAGCTCTGGAGGCTGGGAAGTCCAAGGTTGAAGGCTATATCTGGTGAGGGTCTTCTTGCTGGTGGGGGCCCTCTGCAGAGTCCTGAGGCAGCACAGGGCATCACGTGGCTAGGGAGCTCAGGAGAGAGAGTCAACCTGGCCTTTTATAACAGACCCACTCCCATGATAACTCACCCACTCCCATGATAATTCATTAATACATTAACACATGAATAGATTAATCTATTCATGAGGTCAGAGCCTTCATGACCCAATCACCTTTTAAAAGCACCACCTCCTAACACTGTTACACTATGGATTAAGGTTCTTTTCATTTTTTTTCCGTTGAGACAGTCACTGTATCATTCAGGCTGGCGTGCAATGGCATGATCACAGCTCACTGCCACTGCAAACTCTTGGGCTCAAATGATTCTCTCACCTCAGGCTTCCAAGTAGCTGGGACTACAGGTTTGTGCCACCACATTCAGCAAATTTTTAAAATTTTTTGTAGAGACAGGGTCTTACTATGTTGCCTAGGGTGATCTTGAACTCCTGGGCTCAAGAGATCCTCTCACCTTGGCCTTCCAAAGTGTTGGGATTACAGGCATGAGCCACTGTGCCCAGCCTAAGTTTCAACATGAGTTTCAGAGGGGACAAACATTCAAACCATAGCAATATTCTTTCTCTCTTTCGATATACTATACTCTCTTATCGTTACCTATCAACAATTATCAGGTTATTTCCTTAGTCTTAAAGCTTTTTCCCATGTCTTCCTGAACATATATATGTGTGTGGGTATATGTATACATAATATATATTTTGTATATATTATAATGTATTATACATGTTATATATTATGTATTATGTATAATATGTAATTGCATATATTATATGTATACACACATATATCATGTATTATACATATATTATGTATAATACATAATATATTATATGCACACACACATATATGATGATGTATAATACATATATATAATGTATCATATATAATATATATGTATGTGTGTGTGTATATATTTATTTATTTATTTATTTTAAGATATGGGGTCTTGCTATGTTTCCCAGGCTGGATCAAAACAACTCAGCTCAAGAAATCCTCCTACCTCTGCCCAGCTTCCAGAGTAGCTGGGACTATAGCTACCTGAACATCTTATAGATACATCAACCTTAATAAATAAAAAGTTGGACACAAATTCCTCAGTATTTGTTAAGCTCAGTAGATGGCCTCACCATATATGTTGCATTCTAAGTTAAAAATGTGTCATTTGCACATTTTAAATAAAATGTTTGGTGGGAGGTTGGCGGTATATGGGATCACTTAGGATAATGGTAGTTCTATCAGATGGCTCAAGAGTTATCATTATTATATATTATATTGCCTATAGCTTTCCTTGTGCCTATTTTTTCTTTTCTTTCTTTTTTCTTTCCTTTTTGTTTTTTTTAAGACAGGGTCTCACTCTGCTACCCAGGCTGGAGTGCGGTGGCACAATTATGGCTCACTGCAGCCTTGAACTCCTGGGCCCAAGCAATCCTCCTGCCTCAGCCTTCCAAGTAGCTGGAACTACAGCTGTACACTACCATGCCTAGCTAATTTTATTTTTCTTTTGTAGAGATAGGGTATCACTATGTTGGCCAGGTGCATTTTGAACTCCTTTTAAATTTTTTTCCTGATCCATGATCTTTGCTATTTTCTATCTCATTGAAAAAGTCATAACCTTTCACCATTACAAATAAAGAACTACAATTTTTTTTTTTTTTTTTTTTGGAGACAAGGACTCACTGTGTCACCCAGGCTGAAGTGCAGTGGCGTGATCTTGGCTCACAGCAACCTCTGCCTCCCAGGTTCAAGGGATTCTCCCCTCAGCCTCCTGAACAAGCTGGGACCACAGGTGCATGCCACCATGCCTGGCTAATGTTTAAAAAATTTTTCATAGAGACAGGGTTTCACCATGTTGCCCAGGCTGGTCTCAAACTCCTGAGCTTGAGCAATCCAGCCACCTCAGCCTCCCAAAGCGTTGAGATTACAGGTGTGAGCTGCCACAGCCAGCCAAGAACCACAACTTTGATTCACAAACTTCTATGTATTTTATACATTCTGATAATTAGAAAAGATTCCAGAAAATTTTACTAGGTGCAATGTCAAGGTGAAAACGAACCCACGTTAAAAAAAAAGAAAGAAAATGAACGCACTTATAATTGCCCAAGTAAATCTGTTCCATTGTTATTTTCCTATGAGTTTCATTGCAACTAAAAATACTTGAGCATTGACCTATATTGGAACTGTTACAGCATTATTACAACCCAAAACAAGTCATTATCTCCTCCTCTGTGCTCCCATAAGATTCTGTGCAAACTCTACCACAGACTTTTCACAATGAATTATCATTGGTTACATATCTGTCTTTCCATATATGATCCTTAAGCCTTTATTCCATATATTAAACCAGCCTTGGCAGCACAAATCCAGAACTACTCAGTCCTTCTATGCTGGGTTTCTACTTCAGATTGTCAAGTAGGCAGATTGTGTGTGCACAATCTTACCTCCCAGGCTCAAGCAATCCTCCTGCTTCAGCCTCAGGTGGGCTTCTTCAAAATAAGGACTGGCCTAATCACAGGCTATACCTTGTTTTGCTTCTTAGAGCAAAATAGGGATGATGGTTTTTTTTGTTTGTTTGTTGTGAGATAGAGTCTTGTTCTGTCGCCTAGGCTGGAGTGCAATGGCACGATCTCAGTTCACTGCAACCTCAGACTCCCGAGTTCAAGCGATTCTCCTGTCTCAGCCTCCCAAGCAGCTGGGATTACAGGGGTGCACAACCATACCCGGCTAATTTTTGTATTTTTAGTAGAGTCGGGGTTTTGCCATGTTGGCCAGGCTGGTCTCGTGCTGGCCTCAAGTGATCCACCCTCCTTGGACTCCCAAAGTGCTGGGATTACATGCGTGAGTCACCGTGACCGGCCTGTTTTTTTTTTTTTTTTTTTTTTTTGGGAGGTCTTGTTCCATCACCCAGGCTGCAGTGTAGTGGTGCAATCACAGCTCGCTGTAGCTTTGAACTCCCAGGCTCAGGTGATCCTCCCACGTCAGCCTCCCAAGTAGCTGAGACTACAAGTACACCACCACACCCAGTACATTTTTGTATTTTTTTGTAGACGGGGTTTCACCATGTTGCCCAGGCTGGTCTCGAACTCTGGAGCTCTAGTAATAGCCCTCTCCTCTGCCTCCCAAAGTGGTGCAATTTCAGGTGTGTGCCACGGCAGCTGGCAGGGATAGGATTTTTTTTTTTTTTGAGACAGAGTCTTGCTGTGTCACCCAGGCTGGAGTGCAGTGGCACGATCTCAGCTAATTGCAACCTCTGCCACCTCCAGGGTTCAAGCGATTCTCCTGCCTCAGCCTCCCGAGTAGCTGGGATTACAGGCATACACCACCACACCCAACTAATTTTGTATTTTTAGTAGACATGAGGTTTCACCGTGTTGGTCAGGCTGGTCTCGAACTCCTGACCTTGTGATCCGCCTGCCTCGGCCTCCCAAAGTGCTGGGATTACAGGCATAAGCCACCGCGCCCAGCAGGGATAGGATTTTTTTGAGACAGGTTCTCGCTCAGTCGCCCAGGCTGGAATGCAGTGGTGTGAACCCTGCTCGCTGCAGCGCTGATCTCCCGGGCTCAAGCAATCCTCCTGCATCAGCCTCAGCGAAGTAGCCGGATGCGCCCCACCACATTTGCGTAATGTTTTACAAAAATTTTTTGTAGAGATTGTGTCTTGCTATGTTGCCCAGGCTGGTCTCTAACTCTTGGGCTCAAGTGATCCTCCTGCCTCAGCCTCCCAAAATGCTGGGATTACAGATGTCAGCCACCACACCCAGCAGGGAGGTGTTTTTGTTAGTGGAGACAGTAAAGATGAAGAACAAGGGAACAGCCTAGCAGGTAGCAGTTTGGATTAATTTTGGCCATAGGATCTATGTCTAACAAGCAGGGTGAATTTAAAGGGGCCAGGACAAGATGGATGGTAACTATGAACATGTTCAGAAAACTCTTTAGTTTTCTGCAGATATGGGTGATGAGGGATGATGAGAATTAGGCTGGATTTAGGCCAGGTGTGGTGTTTGACACCAGTAATCCCAAGACTTCTGGAGGCTGGCAGATTGCTTGAGACCAGGAGTTTGAGATCAATCTGGGAAACATGACAAAATCCTGTGCCTACAAATATATATATTTAGCTGGGCTAGTGTCGTGTGCCTGTAGTTCCAGCTACTCAGGAGGCTGAGGTGGGAGGATCACTTGAGCCCAGGAGGTCAAGTTTGCAGTGAGCTGTGATGGCGCCACTACACTTCAGTCTGGGCAACAGAGCAAGACCTTGTCTCAAGACAAGCAAACAAAAAATAATTAGGCTGGATTTCTTATCTGCATTGTTTTCTCGGATGACCAGAACTTGTTGACAAAGACTTGCTTTGATTTTTGGTAGTTTCAAGTTACATGGGTCATTACAAAATGACCTAGTCATTTAGCTTATATGATGTGTGGTGCCATAGGTGTGCCATGACAAGACCCTATTTATTTGATAGGCAACGAATACATGCACTTTAGACTTGGAGGGCTCCGAAGAAGACTTCAGATTTAGGACAAAAATCGTTGTCTCCATTTTGAAACTCTGTGACTAGGCAGTTCACTTTTTTTTTTGAGCTGGAGTCTCGCTCTGTCACCCAGGCTAGAGTGCAGTGGCACGAACTTGGCTCACTGCAAGCTCCGCCTCCCGAGTTCATGCCATTCTCCCGCCTCAGCCTCCCAAGTAGCTGGGACTACAGGCGCCCGCCACCACGCCCGGCTAATTTTTTTGTATTTTTTTAGTAGAGATGGGGTTTCACTGTGTTAGCCAGGATGTTCTCTATCTCCTGACCTCATGATCCGCCTGCCTCGGCCTCCCAAAGTGCTGGGATTACAAGCATGAGCCACTGTGCCTGGCCTAGTTCACTCTTTAAAGTGTAGCAGAGTCATAGTCTGTAAACTATGAAAGTTGTCTAGTATAGGCTACGAATCCTATCATTTTCTTTTCTTTTCTTTTTGAGATGGGGTCTCATTTTGTTACCCAGGCTGGAGTGTAGCGGTGCGATCTCGACTCATTGCAACCTCTGCCTCCCAGGTTCAAGTGATTCTCGCCCCTCGGCCTCCCAAGTAGCTGGGATTACAGGCATGCGCCACCATGACCGGCTGATTTTTATATTTTTAGTAGAGACAGGGTCTCACCATGTTGGCCAAGCTGGTCTTGAACTCCTGACCTTGAATGATCCACCCGCCTCAGCCTCCCAAAGTGCTGGGACTACAGGCGTAAGCCACTGCACCCGGCCTGAATTTTCATTTTCATGAATGTATCCGCATGCTTAGTGATATGTATCCCTGAAAATTATGGAGTCTAAGACAATGAGTTCCTGGGAACTTTAGAGGATTGGGATGGGGTGTTCCAGTTATCTATTTTGGCATAACAAACCACCCCCAACATTTGTGATATAAATGAACTACCATTTTATTATGCTTTTGTGAGTAAGGAATTCAAACAGAGCACAGCAGGGATGCTTGTTTCAGCTCCATGATGCTGGGCCCTCATCTAGGAAGACTGAAGGTATAGGGTCTCCCAGTTTCCCCCACTTTCTGTGTCCTGACCAAAAATCAGAGTGTCTTGACCACTCTGTGATTCTGCCAGCTGTATGTTTTTCCCAGCAAGCTTGAATTCAAACTGTGGCCTTGAATGTCCCCAGGCCCTGATAAAGGTAATTAGGTTTACTAGAAAGAAACCAGCCCCAGCACTGAGTCAAATTCCTAAAACCCTCATGTAAACTCTATGCTTTGACCCCTTTGCTGCAGACATACCCGGGTAGAACATTCTTTTTCTCTTGCCCTCTGTCATGAGGATATGAGGCAGCACTCTGCATCTAAGTTCCACTAATAATTGCTTTGGACTGATCACCCTGGCATTTTGTGCTTCTTTCTTGTGAATCCCAATCAGCCCCATCTTGAGATGGTTTGGAGCACTTTGTGGGAACATTCTTGCCTCCACTTTTGGGGTGACCCAAGCTATAGGTTCAGTGGGACAAAATAAAGGGTGACTCAAATGTCTTACAGTTGGAATCGTCTACAGGTTCTTCACTTAAACATCTGGTAGCTGGGCTGGGATGACTCAAGGGCTGTGCTCTGGAGCTGCTGACCAGAGTGTTTACATGTAGCCTTCCACGAGGCTTGGGCTTTGTCAGGGTATGTATGAGCAGAAAAACAAACTTAGTTTTTCCTACTGTACCCTCATAACATGCTTGCAACACCAGCATATGTGGATTTTTTCCCCCTACACATCAAGCAATCAATCAATTCTGCAGCAGACACCAGCTGGGTATCCTCCAGTTCAATTCAGACAGTATCTACTTGGAGAAAGCATTAGATCCCACAGGTTGAAGGCTCAGTCCCACAAGACTGCCCCCAACTTTTGATGCCAACAAATGCCAATTGCAAGCCCCAGGATGTTTTACCTGTGCTTCTGACGGACTGGCTATAAATCAGGGTTTTCATGTCGCTCTTCTTGGGTTTGATTAATTTGCTAGAGTGGCTCACAGCTCAGGGGAATGCTTACTTACATTTACCAGTTTATTATAAAGGATTTTTTTTTTTAATTGAGACAAAGTCTCACTCTTGTTGCCCAGGCTGGAGTGCAGTGGCGCGATCTTGGTTCACTGCAACTTCCAACTCCCTGGTTTAAGCGATTCTCCTACCTTAGCCTCCCGAGTAGCTGGGATTACAGGTGCCTGCCACCATGCCCAGCTAATTTTTGTATTTTTTTTTAGTAGAGATGGGGTTTCACCATGTTGGTCAGGCTGATCTCAAACTCCTGACCTCAAGTTGTCCACCTGCCTTAGCCTCCCAAAGTGCTAGGATTACAGGCATGAGTCACCGTGCCGGGCCAGGATATTTTAAAGGGTACATATTGTAAAAGAAAATAAAAACAGGACCCTCTAAATTTATTATGCCACGTAAGAAGTTAAGTCCTGGAGACCGAGTCACATGGCAAGTTCGCAAGTTCTGCTTCTTAGATTATAGATTAATTCTCTTCCTCATTGTTCTTGTTTTATAAATGACTAAGGGAAACTACAGCCCCTCCCCTTCCAATCACTCATCTTTGTTATAGATTAACTGCCTCCTTTATTGTTGTGTACCTAACTCAGAACAGAGGGTGCAAAAGACCCCACGACTGCTACATCTTCAGTGTGTAGTATTAAATACACCTTTCCTGAAAGAAAAAGACCACCTGACTAATCAGATTGTTGTAACTATGCATTAAGCCTTATATAGAGCTGGATGTAGTGGTTGGCACCTGTAATCCCAGATACTCAGGAGGCTGAGGTAGGAAGATCCCTTGAGCCCGGCAGTTAGAAGCTGCAGTGAGCTATGATTGTACCACTGGACTACAGCCTACACAAAAAATAAGACCCTGGAGAGACAGATGTTGAAATTCTGTTAAGCTTCCCCAATCTGTCTATATAAACAATCCAAACTTCACATTCACAAAACACTGACTTCCATCCTTTGGAATCTGTGTTTCCCAGGAGGCTGTCCTTAAACTCTATGCTTGAATAAACTCTCTTTAAACCAGACTCTGGCTGGGTGAGGTGGGTCACACCTGTAATGCCAGTGCTTTGGGAGGTCAAAGTGGGAGGATTACTTGAGCACTCCAGCCTGGACAATACAGCAAGACCCTGTCTCAATAAATACATAAATAAACTAGATTCTCACCCTCTTAACTATTTTAGGTTGACAAAATGAACAGCCAGATTAAGAGATACATAGGGTGAGGAGGTCCAGAAGGGTCCCAAGTGTAAAAACTTCCATCCTCATGAAGTTGGGGTGAACTGCCTTTTAGACACGTAGATGTATTTTTCTTCAACTTCTTGGAAGCCCCCTGCACTCGATCCTTCTGGTTTTTATAGAGGCCTCATTACACAGTCACGACTCATTAAGTCATTGGCCATTGGTGGCCTTTAGTCCCTCTTCTCTCCCTGGAAGTGGAGGGTAGGGCTATGAGTTCCAACGCTCTGGGCACTTGGTTCACGTTTGGTTTATACGTCACCTTTTAACCAATGCCCTCTTTGGCTATTATATCCAAAATTACTGCTTTCCCTTCAAAGTTAACCTGTCTCTGGTGATACCCTTTCACTTATTCCCCACTTCACCCAGTAATAATCTTGTCTGGGCACTTCTTCAGAATATCTGCGAGCTTTAGGGCAGGAGAGTACTCTGATCTGATCTGATTGATGACTTAGAAAGAAAACTGACATGTAGTGTGAGACTGTTTTGGGACTAGAGGCTATAAATGAGGGTTATTCTTTAGAATTGCTTCCCTATCATTCTCCCATTTTAAATAAGCATCCCTTGATGTGGAAATATATCTACATTTTAGACGGAGTCTCACTCTGGAGTCTCCCAGGCTGGATGGCAGTGGCACCATCTTGGCTCACTGCAACCTCTGCCTCCCAGGTTCAAGCAATTCTCCTGTCTCAGCCTCCCAAGTAGCTAGGATTACAGGCATAAGCCACTGCACCTGGCCCAAAAAAAGATTTAAATTTTTAATTTTTGTGGGTACATAGTATATATATTTTTATGGGATACATGAGATGTTTTGATACAGGCATGCAGTGTGAAACAATCACATCATGGAGAATGGGGTATTCATCTCCTCAAGCATTTATCCTTTGTGTTACAAACAATCCAATTACGATCTTCTGGTTATTTAAAAACGTACAATTGTTATTATTAACTACAGTCACCCTGTTGTGCTATCAAATAGTAGGCTTTATTCATTCTTTCTAGTTTTTGGTAGCCTTTAACCATCCCCATCTCCTTCCCAACCCCCGACTACCCTTCCCAGCCTCTGGTAACTATCCTTCTACACTCTGTGACCATGAGTTCAATTGTTTTGATTTTTAGATCCGACAAATAAGTGAGAACATGTAATGTTTGTACTTCTGTGCCTGGCTTATTTCAGTTAACACTAATGATTTCCTGTTCCATCCATGTTGCTGAAAATGACAGGATCTTTTTTTTTTTTTTTGAGATGGAGTCTTGCTCTGTCACCAGGCTGGAGCGCAGTGGCGCAATCTCAGCTCACTGCAACCGCTGCCTCCCACGTTCAAGTGATTCTCCTGCCTCAGCCTCCCAAATAGCTGGGACTAGAGGCGTGCACCACCATGCCCAGCTAATTTTTGTATTTTTAGTAGAGACAGGGTTTCACCATGTTGGCCAGGATGGTCTTGATCTCTTGACCTTGTGATCCGCCCACCTCGGCTTCCCAAAGTGCTGGGATTACAGGTGGGAGCCACTGCGCCTGGCCTGGATCTTGTTTGTTTTAAGGCTAAATAGTACTCTATTGTGTATATGTAACACATTTTCTTTATCCATTCATTTGTTGATGAACACTTAGGTTGCTTCTAAATCTTAGCTATTGTGAATAGTGCTGCAACAAACATTGGAGTGCAGGTATCTCTTTGAAATACTGATTTCCGTTTTTTTGGGTCTATACCCAGCAATGGGATTGCTGGATCACATGGTAGCTCTAGTTCTAGTTTTCTGAGGAACCTCCAAACCATTCTCCATAGTGGTTGTACTAATTTACATTCCCACCAACAGTGTATGAGGGTTCCCTTTTCTCTACATCCTTGCCAACATTTGTTATTGTCTGTCTTTTGCATAGAAGCCATTTTAACTGGAGTGAGATGATATCCCATTGACTACTCCTGCTCTTTTTTTGGTTTCCATTGGCATGGAATATCTTTTTCCAACCCTTTATTTTTAGTTTATGTGTGTCTTTATAGGTGTAGTGTGTTTCTTATAGGCAACATATCAATGGGTCTTGTTTTTTCACCCATTCGGCCACTCTGTGTCTTTTTATTGAAGAGTTTAGTCCATCTACATTTGATATTACCATTGATAAGAACTTATTCTTGCCAGAAGCGGTGGCTCACACCTGTAATCCCAGCACTTTGGGAGGTTGAGATGGGTGGATCATGAGGTCAGGAGTTCGAGACCGGCCTGGCCAACATGGTGAAACCCCGTCTCTACTAAAAATACAAAATTAGCTGGGCTTGGTGGCGCATGGCTGTAATCCCAGCTATTCAGGAGGCTGAGGCAGGAGAATCGCTTGAACTCAGGAGGCAAAGGTTGCAGTGAGCTGAGACTGTGCCACTGTACTCCAGCCTGGACAACAAGAGCGAAACTCTGTCTCAAAAAAAAAAAAAAAAGAACTTATTCCTGTCATTTTATTTGTTTTCTAATTGTTCTGTGGTCTTGTTTCCTTCCTGTGTTTTCCTCTAGTGAAAGTGATTTTCTCTGATATTATTTAGTTTCCTGCCTTTTATTTTTTGTGTATCCATTGTATGTTTTTTGGTTTTAGGCTAACATGAGGCTTGCAAATACTATCTTATGACCCATTATTATAACCTGATAACAATTTAACACTATTTACATAAACAAACAAGCAAAAAAAAAAAAACTAACAAAAACTCTATGTCTTAACTTCATCTCTGTTTTTTAACTTTTTGCTATTTCTATTTATATCTTATATAGTCTATGTCTTGAAAAGTTGTCACAGTTATTATTTTTGATTGGTTCATCATTTAGTCTTTCTACTTAGAATAAGTAGTTTCTACACCATGGTTATAGTGTTATAATGTTCTCTATTTTTCTGTTTATGTCCTATTACCAGTGATTTTGTACCTTCAGATGATTTATTGCTCATTAATGTCTTTTTCTTTCTCATTGAAGTATTCCCTTTAGCATTTCTTGAAGGACAGGTCTGGTGTTGAAATTCCTCAGCTTTTGTCAGGGAAACCTTTATTTATCCTTGATCTTTGGGAGTTTGATTATTGAATGCTTTGAGGTAGTCTTCTTCGGGTTAAATCTGTTTGGTGTTCTATAACCTTCTTGGACTTGGATATTGGTATCTTTCTCTAAGTTTGAGGAGTTCTCAGTTATTATCCCTTTGAATAAACTTTCTACATCAATCTCTTTTTCTACCTCCTCTGTAAGGTCAATAACTCTTAGATTTGCCCTTTTTAGGCTATTTTCTAGATCCTGTAGGCATGCTTCATTATTTTTTATTCCTTTTTCTTTTGTCTCCCTGATCATGTATTTTCAAATAGCCTGTCTTCAAGCTCACTAATTCTTTCTTCTGCTTGAATAATTCTGCTACTAAAAGACTCGAGGCTGGGTGTGGTGGCTCACACCTGTAATCCCAGAACTTTGAGAGGCTGAAGCAGATAGATCACTTGAGCCCAGGAGTTCAAGACCAGCCTGGGCAACATAGCAAAACTCTATCTCTACAAAAAATACAAGCCGAGCATGGTGGTACACACCTGTAGTCTCAGCTTCTCAGGGGACTGAGGCAGGAAGACTGCTTGAGCCTGTGAGGCTGAGGCTGTAGTGAGCTGATATCCTGCCACTGCACTCCAGCCTCAGTAACAGAGTATGGCCTTACCTCAAAAAAAAAAAAAACAAACAAAAAAAGATTCTGATGCTTTCTTCAGTATGCTAATTACATTTTTCAGCTCCAGAATTTCTGCTTCTTTTTAATTATTTCGATTTATTTGTTAAGTTTATCTGATAGAATTCTGAATTCCTTCTTTCCATTATCTTGAATTTCTTTGAGTTTCTTCAACATGGCTATTTTGAATTCTGTCTGAAAGGTCTCATATGTCTGTTTCTCTAGGACTGGTCTCTGGTGGTTTCTTTAGTTCATTTGGTGAGGTCATGTTTTCCTGGATGGTGCTGATGCTATAGATATTCTTCACTCTCTGGGCATTGAAGAGTTGGATATTATCAGTCTCCAGTGTCTGGGCTTGTTTGTACTTGTCCTTCTTGGGAAGGCTTTCCAGGTATTTCAAAGGACTTCACTACTGTGATCTAAGCTGTATCTGCTTTAGGGGGCACCTCAAGCCTAGTAACGCTGTGGTTCTTGCTGACTTGTAGAGGTACCACCTTGGTGTTCATGGGTAAGATCCAAGGGAATTCCCTGGATTACCAGGCAGAAACTCTTGTTCTCTTCCCTTACATTCTTTAAACACAAACAGTCTCTCTCTCTGTGCTGAGCTGCCTGGAGCTGGGGGAGGGATTACCCCGAACCCAATAACACTGTAGTTCTCTGAAGTTCTTGCAGACTCTTAGGGGTACCACCTTGATGGTCAAGGACAGCATCTGGGAGAAATTCTCTGGATTACCAGGCAAAGACTCTTGTTCTCTTACCTTACTTTCTCCCAAACAAATGGAATTTCTCTCTCTGTTCTGAGCCACATAAAGCTGGGAGTGGAGTGACAGAAGTACCTCTGTGGCCACCCCCACTATGACTGGACTGGGTTAGAGATGAAGCCAGCATAGCATTGGGTCTCACCCAAGACCTGCTGTAACCACTCCCTGGCTACTGCTTATGTTCACTCAAGGCCCTGGGGCTCTACAATTAGCAGATGGCAAAGCCATCCAGGCGTGTGTCCTTCCCTTCAGGGTGGCGAGTTCCCCCAGGCCCTGGGTAGGTCCAGATGTACAGTCCAGGAGTCAGAGACTAGAGTAAAAAATCTCAGAAGTCTACCTGGTGTTATACTGTATTGCAGCTGAGCTGGCTCTCAAACCGTAAGACACAGTCCTTCCTACTCTTCCCTTTCCTTCCCAAAGGGAGACTAGCCTCACTCTGTAACCACCATCACCACAGGCCACAGGGAGTACTGCCAGACTTCCACGGATGTTTCCTTAAGGCCCACGGCCTCTCAAGTCAGTGTGTGGTGAATGCTGTCTGGGCAGAGACTCAACCGTCAGGGCAGAAGGCTCTACTCTGGACCAGGGCAGGTCAGAAATGCCATTTAGGAGTCAAGTCCTGGAATCAGGAACCCCAAGGGCCCACTTGGTGCTCTACCCCTCTGTGGCCATGCTGGCATCTGAAGCCAGCAAGTCTCAGAGGTTCACCCAAGGTCCTCAACATAGTATCTGGGTATATCTGCTGGTCATTTAGGGCCCAAGGGCTCTTCAGTTAGAAGGTGATGAATACTGCCAGGACTAAGTCCTTCTCAGGGGACTTATCCTTTCTGGCAGTTTATCTGCTCTTGGTCACGACCTCCTAGTCCATCATACACATCTGAATAACTTTCAATCTGAAAGCAGTGAAGAAGGGATCAAGAGGCCCTTCCATCCAGAGTCCCCTTTGTGACTATATACATTTTTTAATGTCTAACTCAGTCATATGGTTTTGCTCTGTGTCCCCACCCAAATCTCATCTTGAATTGTACTCTGATAATTCCCACGTGTTGTGGGAGGGACCCAGTGGGAGATCACTGAATCATGGGGGTGGTTTCTCCCACGCTGTTCTTGTGGTAGTCTCATGAGATCTGATGGTTTTATAAGGAGAAACTCCTTTCGGTTGTCTCTTTTTGCCTGCTGCCATCCACATTAAGATGTGACTTGCTCCTCCTTGCCTTCCACCATGATTGTGAGGCCTCCTCAGCCATGTGGAACTGTAAACCCAATAAACCTCTTTCTTTTATAAATTGCCCAGTCTCAGCTATGTCTTTATTAGCAGTGTGTAAACGGACTAATACACTCAGCATCTAAGGTCCATAAAGCAATCAATATGTGTGTCTGACACACCTTTACCTGTTTACAGGAGCTTAATACGGGTCCTGATTTAGCCAAAATGTCCAAGAACATGTGCATTCAATGTTAGGGGATTCATGGATCCCTTTAGGTAGGATTGCTGGATAAAATACAGGTGTCCAGTTAAATGTGAGTTTCAGATGAACAACAAAGTTTTTTGTTGTTGTTGTTTTCTGAGACAGGGTCTCATTCTGCCACCCAGGCTGGAGTGCAGTGGCATGATCATGGCTCACTCAACATTCTGGGCTCAAGTAATCCTCCTGCCTCAGCCTCCTGAGTAGCTAGGACTACAGGTGCACACCACCACATGTGGCTATTTTTTTTTTGTAGAGATGGGGTCTTGCTATGTTGCCCAGGCTGGTCACAAATAAGTTTTTAGTATAAATATGTCCCCTGCAATATTTGCAGAGATAATAATTATTCTTTTATGTGGGGCAGGGATCCTGATCTTCAAAAGCGCCAGTGTCTAAGAAGTGATGAAGGATTTGCTGAATGAACTGATACACTTGAGTGGCTCCGAAGGCATGAGCAAAACTATTGCACAGAACATACTTACATTTCAAAACCATTTGTTGTTTATCTGACATTAAGATGTGACTGGGCACTTGTAATTTTTTTTTTCTTTTTTTTGAGACGGAGTCTCGCTCTGTTGCCCAGGCTGGAGTGCAGTGGCGCGATCCTGGCTCACTGCAAGCTCCGCCTCCCGGGTTCACGCCATTCTCCTGCCTCAGCCTCCCGAGTAGCTGGGACTACAGGCGCCCGCCACCACGGGCTAATTTTTTGTATTTTTAGTAAAGACGGGGTTTCACCGTGTTAGCCAGGATGGTCTCGATCTCCTGACCTCGTGATCCACCCGCCTCGGCCTCCCAAGTGCTGAGATTACAGGTGTGAGCCACCGCGCCCAGCCTTGTAGTTTTTTACTTGCTAAACTGGCAATCTGATCTTGAGGCCATCCACAGCTTTCCTAGGTTCACAGTATAGAGTAAGAATTTATATAGACTGAAGAAGATTAAGAGTGTTTATTTTTTGTGGAATTATTTAACCACTTAACACTGAAGTACCAGGTGAAGGGTAAATTGAAATAACTCTTTCCACTTCTTTTAGCTCTAAATATCAATCAGGACATTATTATTATGGCTGTTTTCTGGACTTACATCGTTATAGAGTGACTATGAGTTTGATAGTGTCACCAACAATTATGGCCAATAATTTCCATGGTAAATTCCTAGAACAGAAAGATGTTGCATCAAATTCTTGAAATCGCAGACTTAGGAAATTAAGTTACATAAACAGCAGATGTTCAGGCTGAGGAAGGAAAGAAGCTGAAACAAGTACTCCCAATTATTCAACAATCCCTTGAAGCCGCCACTGTAACTCTGGGAATTGAAATACCATTAAGTCCTATCACGGCCACCACTTAGCCTTTTTTCTCTTACTATTATTTGTAATTCCATAATCAAGCTAGTTTTCCTACGAAGTTCTGGGGCAGGAGTTTTCTTTTTTCGGAAATTTCATTTGGATAAAGAAACATGGTCAAAAAGTTACAACGGTGCAAATGGTTATACAAAGAAAAACAAGTCTCTCTTCTATCGTTACCCCTAGTTCCTGGACCGCGGGTTCTTAACTTGGGTTAGGAACTGCAGTCTAAGGGTTTCTAGAGTAATGTGAATTTTCTCAATGCATAATTTTCAATGTACAGATAATTTTGCTCGTTTGTGGGGAGAGGATCCAAACTTTTACCTGAGCCTCAAAAGGGTCCGTGATGCAGAGAACCTGCTGAAGTAACCGATGGCCCCGAGTGACTCGGAACAGGGGGCGCAGATATCCTGTAATAATTTGTCCCCGTGTGAAAAGTCTACCCCTATCCACTCCACTCCACTCCACTCCGGGGCCGCTTGGAAGGGACGCTCTCCGTGGGAGGCATCCAGCTCTTCCTAAGTTTTCCGCCTGCCGCATTCCTCCCCTCCGGCGCGCCGGCGTGCGCTTACGTCATGACGCCGCACACGCAGCCCCGCCCCTGCAGAGATCAGCGCTGGGACGGAACCCGGGTTCCTCTCGAACCGGGATTGTGACGCTTTTGGCCTGGCTGGCCGCTGTTTTCTGTCCCACTTTTTACTCGGGCCTGCGTCCGCTGCCGCCGTCCCTCAGTTTGCCCCCGGAGGAGGCAGGGCGGCCGTGCCTTCTGCCGTGCGCCCGCGTGGCTGCCACCGCCCCTCCGAATCCTCCGGGGCCGCAGAGGGGTTCGCTACGGAGGGAGGTGGGGGCCTTCGGGAGGAGGAGGCGGAGGAGGCGGAGGAGGAGGGAAGGAAGATGGCGGCCGTGGAACTAGAGTGGATCCCAGAGACTCTCTATAACACCGCCATCTCCGCTGTCGTGGACAACTACATCCGCTCCCGCCGAGACATCCGCTCCTTGCCCGAGAACATCCAGTTTGATGTTTACTACAAGGTATGCGCCGTGGGCCTCCTCTCTGCTCTCCTCCAGCAACCCCGGGGGCCGCACCCCCTTCCACGTCTGCGAACCCCCGCAGTTAACCCCTCACCCCTTCCGGCAGACTTGCCTCCCGAAACGTCTGGTGCGGTGTCTGCATTGCCAGTGGAGAAGCACCCCATCTCCCTATGCCCTGTCTCTTAAGCTTTGGGGCCTTGAAGTAATCTTGGGGAGTCTTGCTCCCTGTTGGTGTTCCCTTCTACACAGTGGCCCTCTTGGGTAGGCCTTTTGCGTGGACTTACTCTATCGCGCCCCTGTCCCACCTAGTCCTTTCCTTCTAGCCCGTATCTTCAGGATATTTTCCATCCTCTCCTTCCAATTAAGTGTCAGCATCAGCTGGACTTTTTTCCGTGCTCCTCCCCCCACCCATTCCTACTTTCTCATCTCGCCGCCTTCCTTCCCCGAGTGTTTTGGTGTTTTTGCTTCGTGTTCCTTCGTTTCTCCTTTCTTTTCCCAATTGGGAAGGAGTTAGGGATTATTGGAAATAATCTGTGTGTTTTATTTGCATATTCTTTAAAGCTTTGATTTTTTTGTGGGAGAGGAGGGGCTCTATACTTGAATTAGGGATTTTGTGAAAATGGGAGTGCTGATCAACTGTTTGAAGAGGACAGGGAGAGATCTTTACTGAAAGAAAAAAACACTTTAGATTATGTTCCTGTGTTTGAAAGTTGCAATCTTGCAGCATTCTTAAATCACTCCCCCTCAAAAATCTGAACAGCAAGTCTCCCAAGCCACTCTCCAAGGAGTTTCAAGGGTAAGTGTCCTTAGATGTGGACTATTTTTGCAGTGTTTTCAGAGTGTGGAGAACTTTATGGACTCAGAGCCTGCCCTTTTCTCTCCCCCACATTTGAATGTGAACACTGGATTTATTATTCAGTCTTCCTTGTCTTGAATCCGCGTCGATAACTCCTAGTGTCCAGTAGCCACCCATGCAAAATGTGACTAAAAGTAGAATGTAATTTATTTTTTAGACCTTAAATACTTCCTCTTGATCTGTAAGTTGGCTGGAACAGTGTAAACTGATATTTTAACAGATGTTTATGTTCTTACGTATGTACAGTGTTTTGTGGCAGTTGTTTTATTGGGAAGATTGCCTGCTTTCTCCACCCCTAGATTTTTTTTTTTTTTTTTTTTTTTTTTTCAGAATTAGCAGTTGATGGGCTGCGTTCTACTAAATCCAGCTGCTTTGCACCAATTCTAACAATTAAAGTGGGGTTTCCCCCCTAAATATTTGGAGAAGATTCATTTAGGTCATGCGTATTATTATTTTGGATTTCGAGAAAAAGCTCCCTTTTTTCCTAATCCCTTTGATACATTGATTTACTTTTGTGTATTCTAAGGAAATTTTGTTCATTTAAGATACATTCCTCCCCAGGAAGGACAAATTAGATTTGTCTTTCTCAGCCTGGGAAACTGCAGCTTTGTGTGTGCTCTCTGTCCATTTTATTAAATCATGTGTAATCTTGTACCTCATATGTAATCTCTCAGAGGAAATCATTGGGAATGTAATCCAAGTGTATTTACTAGTTGAATTCGTTCAAAATACTTGAATATCTTTTAGTAACTTTCACTTCTAATTGAAGCTTTTCATTTGAAGATTATTAGTATGAATAGATGGTGCTTTTGTTAGAATTTCTGTTTCACATAGTTCACACAGTTTTAATATTGCTCCTTTTTGGTACACTTTTACTTCTTAATAGTTGTATGCTTATTGGGAGTATGGCACTGTGCTAAGATGAGGGAAGTGTTAAACATGTGCCTGTAACTATGTTGTGCTTTTATGTGTTATTTTGTTTAATCTTCAGAATTAAACTGTGAAGTAGAGTACAGTATAACCTTGCTTTATTGGTGAGAAAGTTAAGTAATTTAATTAAGGTCTCAAACCTGATATTTAGTTCCTGAGTTCCTTGCTCTTTTACTTAGATATCTATCTTAAGATAGTAGATTATTTTAATGAAAGATATTATAACACTAATTTTTTTATTAGCTTCTATGGAAGTGGAGTGAAAGTCAGTCCCAGGACTCTATTCTAATCTTTAATGGAGATGTAAGAAGAAATTATTCTTTTTATTAAAATTTAAAAAAAATAGAGATGGGGTCTCGCTGTTTTGCCCAAGCTGGTCTTGAACTCCTGGGCTCAAGCTATCCTCCTGCCTCAGCCTACTGAGTAGCTGAGACTACAGGCATATGCCACCGCACCTGACTTTTCTTCCTTTTAAACACTATTAGCATATACATATAAGAAACTTTTTTTGTGGAGACAGGATCTTGCTCTGTTGCCCAGGCTGGAGTGCAGTTGTGATCATAGCTCACCGCAACCTTGAACCCCTGGGCTTAAGCAGTCTTTCCATCTCAGCCTCCTGAGTAGCTGGAACTACAGGTGTATGCCACCCATGCCTAGCTAATTTTTTTTTTTTTAATTTTTAGTATAGATGAGGTCTTGATATATTGCCCAGGCTGGAAAAACTTTTTAAAGCAATATAACTGCACACATAAATATAAGATACTCACCCCCTGCCCAACTTGTGAAAATTTTAGGAGGCTTACTGTTTCCAATTTCCAATTTTCTGCACTTTAAAGCCAAGGAGAAACTCATAATTACATCTCTCTTGCAGTCCAAATTTCCATCAGTAGGCATAGTCATAGACAAAATTGGAGTATTTGTGGAATCAAATTTCCCCATTCTGCTTGTTTGGTGTACTACAGTATGACTGTGTTAATTTTTGTAATAGCTTCAGATAAAGGCACAATCGTAAAGCATTAGGAGATGGGGTTATGGAATGAATGGAAGGTAAAGAAGCAGGAATGTTGACTGCTGTATAAGCAGGGAAGGGAGAGCATAGAAAGGGTAAAATATGAAATGTTTTTTCTTTTTTTTAAAAAAAAAAAAGAATGGAAGACACTAGAATATATTTGTTGGCTGAGTGGCAGAAACCAAGAGAATGAGGTTGAGTATCCAAGTGTGGTGGGAAATAAGTTACGGAGCAAAGTCCCTGAGCAGGAACATGAGTTGATGAGTCTTGCCTGTTTTTGGTCTTTCCTCCTTCACCGTGCATAAATTAAGGTATTATCCTTATATTGGAGTTGGGGAAAGAACTCTTCTTCTAAGATCAGAACAAAAGAATTAAAGATGTAAAGGCGCAGGGCTCACACTCATAATTCCAACACTTTGGGAAGCTGAAGCAGAAGGATCGCTTGAGCACAGGAGTTCGAGACCAGCCTAGGCAACATAGACCCCTTCTCTACAAAAAGTAGAAAAAGTTATCCAGGCATGGTGGTGCATGCCTGTCATCCCAGCTACTCGGGAGGCTGAGGTGAGAGGATTGCTTGAGACCAGGAGGTCAGAGCCTGCAGTGAGCTGTCATTGTGCCACTGCACTCCAGCCTGGGCAACAGAGGGAGATCCTATCTCAAAACAAAACAAGTCGTTAATATAGGTAAGTTTGTAAGAATGATTGTCATGAATTAGGAGGTGAGTTCATTTGCTGCGGGTAAGTGATAGGAGTGGTAGCTTTTATACAGGAAGTCTAAACAGAAGTTGGGAATGTCTACTGAGGTGTATGAGAAGGGAAGGTGACTAAAAATGTGTAAAAGAATAGTTAATAAAAATCAGAACCCTACACAATACAGTCATGTGTTGCTTAATGACGGGGATATGTTCTGAGAAATGCATTGTTAGGCGATTTCATGCTTGTGGGAACATCAGAGAGTGTATTTACACAAGCCTAGATGGTATAGTCTACTACACACCTAGGTTATGTGGGATAGCCTATTGTTCTTAGGCTACAAACTCATATAGCATGTTACTTTACTGAGTACCGTAGGCAGTTGTAACACAGTATTAAGTGCTTGTGTATCTAAACCAGGGGTGTCCAATGTTTTGGCTTCCCTGAGCCACATTGGAAGAAGATAAATTGTCTTGGGCCACACATAAAATACAATAACGATAGCTGATAAGCTGAGGAAAAAAAAAATCTCATAATGTTTTAAGAAAGTTAACGAATTTCTGTTGGGTCTCATTCAAAGCTGTCCTGGGGGCTAGGTGCAGTGGCTCATGCCTGTAATCCCAGCTCTTAGGGAGACAGAGGTGGGAGGATAGCTTGAACTCAGGAGTTCGAGACCTGCCTGGGCAATAAAGCGAGACCCCATTCTTCACAAAAAGAAAAAAAAAAGTGTAACTGAAAGCTGACCTGGGCCACGTGTGGCCCGCTGGCTGTGCATTGGGCAAGCTTCATCTAAACATGGAAAAGGTACAGTATAAAAGATAAGAAATGGTACACCTGTATAGGGCACTTACCGTGAATGGAGCTTTTAGGACTGGAAGTTGCTCTGGTAAGTCAGTGAGTGAGTGGTGAGTGAATGTGAAGGCCTAAGACATCACTGTACACTACTGTAGATGTTATAAACAGTGTATACTTAGACGACTATAAATTAATGTTAAAAATAAAGTAATTCAACTACAATGTCTCTAGGCAATAGGAACTTTTTGGCTCTATTATAATCTTATGGGGCCACCTTTTTATATGCAGTCGGTTGTTGACTGAAACTTTATGTGGCATGTGATCATAATGCTTGGATTCTGAAAGTTTTCTCTCCAAGGGCGTGCAACCATTTTGGTATAAAAGCAGGTAAGATGAAGTGAAAGAATTGTGAGGCAGATGGAGTGATATATGCCTGTAGTCCCATCCTAGCTACTCAGGAATCTGAGGCAGGAAGATGGTTTGAGCCCAGAAGTTGGAGGTTATAGGGTGCTAGCTGCGGTCGTGCCTGTGAATACTGCACTCCAGCCTGGGCAACACAATTATCTCTTAAAAGAAAATTCTAGAACTCTATACAGAGTGAAAGGAAATAGAGACGGGGCTGTGTTCTTATTCTAAAGAATGAAGTTTATGGCCAGGTGTGGTAGCTCACACCTGTAATCCCAACAGTTCGGGAGGCTGAGCCGGGAGGATCTCTTGAGTCCAGGAGTTCAAGACTGGCTGGGGCAATGTAGTGAGACTCCATCTCTTTAAAAAAATGAATGAAGTTTATGATCTTTTTATTTTAACTACTGAAGGTCTATTTTGTGTTTTTTCCAAATACAAAGTGTGCCGTAGAGTTAAACTTTGTCTGGGTGAAGTGTTTCAGCAGTGTGTTCTATGTATTGTTTTCACAATCTTAATTTTTTTTTTTTTTTTTTTTTAACAGAGTCTTGTTCTGTTGCCTGGGCTCGAGTGCATAGGCACAATGTCGGCTCACTGCAACCTCTGCCTCCTGGGTTCAAGTGATTCTCCCGCCTCAGCCTCCCAAGTAGCTGGGATTACAAGCACCTGCCACCACATCCAGCTGATTTTTGTATTTTTAGTAGAGATGGGGTTTTACCATGTTGGCCAGGCTGGTCTTGAACTCCTTACCTCAGGTGATCTGCCTGCCTCGGCCTCCCGAAGTGCTGGGATTACAGGAGTGAGCCACTGCGCCCGGCCTCCTTAATGATTTTTTTAAAAATTAAAGTATTATGCTGAAAAGAAAAAACAAAATAAAAATAAATACCATGCTGAAAACCATACTAATTAGGTTCTGATTTAGGATCGGAGTTAATTTTTTCTTTTTCTCTGTATATTTCAGTTGTATAGCTACATACAGCCTGAACTAACATTCAGTTTTCTGAGAATTTAAAAAAATACACTGATGGCCGGGCATGGTGGCTTATGTCTGTAATCTCAGCACTTTGGGGCCATGGTGGGAGGATTTTGCTTGAGTCCAGGAGTTCGAGACCAGCCTGGGCAACATAGTGAGATCCCATCTCTAGAACAAAGAAAAAAATTAGCCATGTGTGGTGTTGCATGCCTGTAGTCTCAGCTACTCAGGAGGCTGAGGCAGGAGGATTGCTTGAGCCCAGGAGGCTGAGGTTGCAGTGAGCTGTCATTGCATCACCGTACTCCAGCCTGGGTGACAGGGTGAGACCTTGTCTCAAAAAAAAAAAAAAAAAAAAAAATTAAATTTGGCTACTAAAATTATAAAAGTATCAGAATAAATTATTGGGTCAATATTTTGCAGTGGGAAATGACCAAAATTTCTTCTTTAAAGAAATTGTTTTTCTTTCTTTTTTAAGAGACAAGTCCTCCTTCTGTCTCCCAGGCTGTAGTGCAGTGGCATAATCATATCTCACTGCAACCTTGGACTCTTGGCCCCAAGTGATCCTCCTGCCTCATCGTCCCGAGTAGCTAGGACTACAGATGCTTGCCACCACACCTGGTTAATTAAAAAAAAAATTTTCTCCTTTCTGTAGGAGATAACAACAAAAAAAACCTTAAAAATTTTTTTTTTGTAGAGACCGACCGTATCTCACTTTGTTGCCCAAGCTGGTCTTGAACCTTAGCCTCAAGCAGTCTTCCCACCTCAGCCCCGTAATGTGCTGGGATTACAGGTGTGAGTCACTGTGCCTAGCCTAAAAAATTATTTTTAAGGTAATGTACAAATCATGAAAATGTCAAACACTATAAAAATAAGTGGCCAGGAGCAGTGGCTCATGCCTGTAATCCCAGCACTTTGGGAGACCAAGGCAGGAGGATTGCTTGAGCCCAAGAGTTTGAGACCAGCCTGGGCAACATAGGGAGACACTGTCTTTACCAGAAAAAAAAAAATTTATTCAGGTGTGGTGGTGCATGCCTGTGGTCCCAGTTGCTTGGGAGGCTGAGGTGGAAGGATCATTTGAAGCTTGGCAAGTCGAGGCCGCTCAGTGAGCTGTGATTGTGCCGCTGCACACTAGCCTGGGCAACACAGTGAGAACTTGTCTCAAAGGGGGGGAAAAAGGTAATGTAAAAATAATTTTAAAATCTATCTTTACCTCTTGTCTTACCTTGCCAACACTGTAATGCCATCTTGGCATGAAGAAGGCATTTCTAAGAATGAAACCAAAGCCCAGAAGGAAAAAAAAGAAATTGATGTGTTGGAATGCATTAAAAAGTAGAGCAGGGAGCAGTGGCTTACTCTTGTAATCTGAGAACTTTGGGAGGCCAAGGTGGGAGGATGGCTTGAGCCTAAGAGTTCTAGACCTGCCTGGGCAACATAGGGAGACCCTGTCTCTACAAAAAAATTAAAAATTAGCCAGACATGGTGGCACATGCCTACGGTCCCAGCTACTCAGGAGGATCGCTTGGGCCTGGGAGATTCAAGGCTGCAGTGAGTGGTTATCATGACACTGCACTCTCAGCCTCCAGAGTGAGACCCTGTCTCTCTCTCTTTCACACACACACACACACACACACACGGCTGGGCATGGTAGCTCATGCCTGTAATCCCAGCACTTTGAGAGGCCGAGGCAGGCAGATTGTTTAAGCCTAAGAGTTCAAGACTAGCTGTCTCTCTCTCTTACACACACACACACACACACACACACACACACACACACACACGCACGCACACACGGCTGGGCATGGTAGCTCATGCCTGTAATCCCAGCACTTTGAGAGGCCGAGGCAGGCAGATTGCTTAAGCCTAAGAGTTCAAGACTAGCCTGGGTAACATGGCAAAATGGTGTCTCAACCAAAAACAATAAAAAATAAGCTAGGCATGGCGACATACACCTGTAGTGCCAGTTACTTGGCAGAATTGCTTGAGCCCAGGATGCGGAGGTTGCAGTGAGCCAAGATCATGCTACTGCACTGCAGACAGGATGAGACTGTCTCAAAAAAAAAAAAAAAAAGGAAATTGTAAGAACACTTTAAAAAAACACTATGCAGATGACAGCATTTGACAGATGAAGGGCATGTTTTCTAATACAGAAAGATCTAATACTAATCAGTTTGAAAAAGGCAGCTAAGGCAACTAATTCATGTCCCAAAAACCAGTTTACAGAAGAGGAAATATGAATGGCCAATGAACATTAAAAGATACTCAACTGAAATACAAATTCAAATACAAGATAAAGCCAGATGCAAGGTAATCATGACGATGAAGAAAGAAAATCTGGAGGAATTCAACTTGTTACCTGGCTATAACAATTAAGGTAATATGGTATTGGCACATGGATTGACAAATAGACCAATGGATCAAAATCGACAGTCCAGAAACAGACTGACACATATACTATCACCTGTATTATGATAAAAGTGAGACAGCACTATGATAGGGAAAGGAAAGTCAAATTAATGGTATTGGTTAATTAATTTCTGTATCAGGGAAGAAAGTATCTTGACTTTACCTCACACCACACACAAAAGTCATTTCCAGATAAATTGCTGATCTAAATATGAAAAAAGTTTTTTAGAAAAAAATTTTATGTCAGCAAAGATTAATTTGGATCTCAAAGTGGTTAAATATAAAGGAAGTGTGATAAATTGGTGCTATATTAAGATCAAGAACATCTCATCAAAAGATATCATTAAGCAAGTGAAGAGTCAAGCCACAGAGTGGGAGAAGATATTTGCAGCACCTGTATCTGACAAAGGACTCATTGTACACCTAAAGAAAGAACTGTACATTAATAGCAGAGAAAAGGCCCAACATGGTGGCTCACGCCTGTAATCCCAGCACTTTGAGAGGCCAAGGCAGGGGATCACCTGAGGTCAGGAGTTCAAGACCAGCCTGGCCAACATGGTGAAACCCCATCTCCACTAAAAATAAAAAAAATTAGCCAGGCATGGTGACAGGCACTTGTAATCCCAGCTACTTGGGAGTCTGAGGCAGGAGAATTGCTTGAACCCAGGAGACGGAGGCTGCAGCGAGCTGAGATCATGACATTGCACTCCAGGCTGGGCGACACAGCGAGAAAAATACTCAGTTTTTTGTTTGTTTGTTTTTTGAAGAGAATTTGAATAGGCATCCCAAAAGAGAATATTCAAAAGGCCAAACATTTAGAAAGAAACTCAACCTTATTTTGTCTTCAGAGAAGTACTGTTTTACTGTACACCCATCACAGTGACTCAATGAAAATGTTAGCAAGGATATGGAGAAATAAAAAACTCTCATACATTGTTAATGGGAATATAAGTTGATATGCCATTTTGGAAAAGCAGCATTATCTACTAAAACTGAACATAAACATACCCTGTAACCCAGTAATGCTACTTCAAGATATATACACTTATGAATGTTCATAGCACTGCTATTCATAATAGCCCAAAGGTGGAAACTGTCCAAATACCCATCAATAGAAGAATATTAATAAATAGTGGGATAGTCACGTAGTAGAATATTACACAATGAAAATGAATGAACAACAACTACTTGAAATAATATGAATGAATCTTGCAAATGATAATGAGTGAAATAAACCAGTCACAGGAATATATACCAGAGGTTCCTAAACTTTCTCCCTTTATAACCCTTGGTTCATGGCAACCCCAGGCCAAAAGAAATACCTGACAGTTCTGTTTATTAAGTAGTTAGATCCAAAAAACTTCATATTATTTATGTCCTAACAACTTAAGATCTGTTTCTTAAAATGCACAAAAATTGAACGAAAAAACTTTCATTCTTAGACAACCACATTAACTAATGGGATGTTTGTTTATTGGGCACTGTACAGCGTCTCAAACCTTGGAATCAGATTGGATACCACCACTCTCATCTGGTTTTTTTTGTTTGTTTTTTTTTTGTTTTTGTTTTTTGAGAGGGAGTCTCACTCTTCCTCCGAGGCAGGAGTGCAGTGGCATGATCTCTGCTCACTGCAACCTCTGCCTTCTGGGTTCAAGCAGTTCTGCCTCAGCTTCCCCAGTAGCTGGGATTACAGGTGCGTGCCACCACACCTGGCTAATTTTTTATATTTTTGGTAGAGACGGGTTTTCACCATGTTGGCCAAGCTGGTCTCCAACTCCTGACCTCAAGTGATCTGCCTGTCTCGGCCTCCCAGAGTGTTGGGATTACAGGCGTGAGCCACCGCACCCAGCTTCATCTGATGTTCCTTATTGACTTTTTATATTACTCTTTTTATCACAGCAACCACTGAAAACACAGCTTCATAAAGATCTCATTGAAAGCAGTGTAGTATACCAGTCTAGTAGTTGGTATAGCGCATTGCAGATGCTGAATGTTGTTTCTCTCAAATTAAGAATATCTAGCAGGGCCTCAGGGCACCTTGGTGCACAGTTTGGAAACTGGATGTATAATATATGATCTCATTTATATGAAGTTCAAAACAGGCAAAATTTAGTTGTTGAAAGTTAGGAGACGCTATTCTTGGACAGTAGTGACGATGCAGGGACAGATATGAGGGGAGCCTTCTGAGATTGTGGTTATACTTTGTTATTATCTGGATGCTGGTTACAAGTGAAAAATTTATCAAGCTTCACATTTAAAATATGAGTTGTGCGCTCTTCTGTATGCATGTTATACTTTGATTTAAAAATGTTAAAATAGGCTGGGCGTGGTGGCTCATGCCTGTAATCCCAGCACTTTGGAAGGCCAGGGTGGGTGGATCGCCTGAGTTCAGGAGTTTGAGACCAGCCTTGCCAACATGGTGAAACCCCGTCTCTACTAAAAGTACAAAAATTAGCCAGGCATGGTGGCTGGTGCCTATAATCCCAGCTACTTGAAAGGCTGAGGCAGGAGATCTGCTTGAACCCAGGAGGTGGAGGTTGCAGTGAGCTGAGATCGTGCCACTGCACTCCATCCTGGGTGACAGGGTGAGACTCTGTCTCAAAAAAAAAAAAAAAAAAAAATTTAAAATAGGCCAGGCGCAGTGGTTGATGCCTGTAATCCCAGCACTTTGGGAGGCCGAGGTGGGTGGATTACTTGAGGTCAGGAATTCAACACCAGCCTGGACAACATAGTGAAACCCCGTCTCTACTAAACATACAGAAATTAGCTGGGCATGGTGGCGGATACCTGTAATCCCAGCTACTTGGGAGGCTAAGGCAGAAGAATCACTTGAACCTGGGAGGTGGCAGTTGCAATGAGCTGAGATTGCACTGCTGCACCCCAGCCTGGGCGACAGAGTGAGACCCTGCCTCAAAAAAAAAGAAAAGTTTTAAAATAACATCAGCCTTCACCTGTCAGATTGTCATGCTTTAAAAATTCAAATCACTCATACCCTTTAACCAACAATACAATTTAAAGAATTTTTCTTCCAGGAATACTTGTTGAATGTGTGGAAAATCCTGTTAGAGGATATTCAGTGTTTGTTCATAAGCAGCATTGTTTATGATGGCAAAAATTGAAAACAACCATATGCTAATCAGGAATGGAATATCATAGTGCATTTATAAAGAATGAGTATTCTATGTATACTAGAGATGCCAGAACATAGAGCAAGTAGGGAGAATAAAAAGTTTGTTACAAAGTAGTGTGAATAGAATCATCTTATGTGTGTGTTTTGTTTTTGTTTTTTTGATAGAAACGGGGTCTGGCTCTGTTGTCCAGGCTGGTCTTGAATTCCTGGCATTAGGCGGTCTTCCTGCCTTGGCTTCCTAAAGTGCTGGTATTATAGGTATGAGCCACCTTGCCTAGCCTCCATTGTGGGTTTTTTGTTTGTTTGTTTTGAGACAGGGTCTTGCTCTGTTACCCAGGCTGGAATGCAGTGGTGCAATCACCACTTACTACAACCTCCACCTCCTAGGCTCAAGTGATCCTGCCTAGTAGCTGGGACTTACAGGTGTGTACTGCATGCTCAGCTAATTTTTGTATTTTTTGTAGAGATGAGATTTTGCCGCATTGTTCAGGCTGGTGTTGAACTCCTGGGTTCAAGTGATCTTCCTGCCACAGCCTTTCAAAATGTTGGGATTATAATGGTGTGAGCCACCATGCCTGGCTGTGTTTTTTTTTTTTTTTTTTTTTTAATGTGGGGAAAATATGTATATGTGTTTGCATTGAAAGAAGAATATAGGGGAACACAACAAAATTTTAATGGTGTTTACTCCAGGGGTAGGATCGCAATTGCTTTTTACTTTGTACATATATGCTCTATTTTCTTTTTTTTTTTCTGAGATGGAGTTTCACTCTTCTTGCCGAAGCTGGATTGCAGTGGCATCTGCAACCTCTGCTTCCCAGGTTCAAGTGATTCTCCTGCCTCAGCCTCCCGAGTAGCTGGGATTACAGGCACCCGCCACCACGCCCGGCTAATTTTTTGTATTTTTAGTAGAAATGGGGTTTCACCATGTTAGCCAGGCTGGTCTCGAACTCCTGACCTCAGGTGATCCTCCCGCTTTGGCCTCTCAAAGTGCTGGGATTACAGATGTGAGCCACCGTGCCCGCCCTCAAAATAAAAATGTAGAAAACATTGATTTTGGTGGATCTATCTTGACAACCATATTTCTCCGTGAGAAGCTTCAGCTGTTCCTCCTTCTTCGTGTCCATCTTCTGAAATGCCCTGTTGGCATTATAGTACAAAACCACAAGTTATCTGTCACAAAAATTGAATCCCGATAGGTGATCACAAGCATTCTTGGCAACAAAGATGTCTTCATAGACCACATAAGCTGTTCCTCTAGTTTCAGGTGTGTTTTCCACTCTGATTTGATGAATAGGTCCATATTTCCCAAATATACATTGATTGAGCTGTGATTGTGTATGGCAAATTTCTTATATACAATATCTGATTTACTTCAGGTGGAAGTCGAATGCTCGCCCTCTTGGCCGCTTGCACTGCTGTCTTGGCAGGCTGATGAGGTTACTGTAGCAAATACTGAAATTCTTCTGGACACCTTCCGAGCTCGCTGGGTTTCAGGCGCTGCACAGCATCAGGGGTGGGACATCAACACCCAAGTACTGCTGGAACCTGTTATAGCACCCACGGAATAGCGCTGTCTCACGCCAAGATGCGACCATGTAGCGTTCCCTTTTGAATAGGCTCCCAGGGTCAAAAAAAAAAAAAAAAAGGAAAAGAAAAATTTTTTTTTTAAGTGAAGACTTTCAGACTTATTTCTGAAACTGTATACTAGATATTCAGCATTCTTTTTTTTTGTCGTTTCTTTTCCTTTCCTTTTTTTTTTTTTTTTTTTTTTAGATGGAGTCTCACTCTGTTGCCTAGGCTGGAGTGTAATGGGCAGTCTCGGCTCACTGCAACCTCCGCCTCCTGAGTTCAAATTATTTTCCTGCCTCAGCCTCCTGAGTAGCTGGGACTACAGGTGCGTGCCATCACACCCGACTATTTTTTGTATTTTTAGTAGAGACGGGGTTTCACTATGTTGGCCAGTCTGGTCTTGAACTTCTGACCTCGTGATCCTCCCGCCTCAGCCTCCCAAAGTGTTGGGATTACAGGTGTGAGCCACCGCACCCAGCCCTATTCAACATTCTTGAGGTGCTAACCAGTACTGTTAAAATAAGTAAAAAGCCAGCAAAGTCAACTGAAAAACTATAGCAGTAAGATAATTCAGTAAAGGGGCTGATTACACGTTTATAATTAAAAATTCAATTTTTCTATATGCAATATAGGAAGGATTATATCTGACTCAAAATAATAAAACACCTCTTTGGGAGGCCGAGGCGGGCGGATCACGAGGTCAGGAGAGCGACACCATCCTGGCTAACACGGTGAAACCCCGTCTCTACTAAAAAATACAAAAAATTAGCTGGGCGTGGTGGTGGGCACTTGTAGTCCCAGCTACTCGGGAGGCTGAGGCAGGAGAATGGCTTGAACCCGGGAAGCAGAGCTTGCAGTGAGCCGAGATTGGGCCACTGTACTCCAGCCTGGGTGACAGAGCGAGACTCCATCTCAAAAAAAGAAAATAATAATAATAATAAAAAAACACCTCAAGGAGTGAGACCAAAAAGACACCCAAAAGTCTTCAATAAATGTAGAAGAGCCAATATTTTGTTCCTAGATTGGAAGATTTGGGGTTTCAAAGATGTAACTTTTCCCAGAATCTATATATTCAGTGTGAACTTAATCAGAATCCCCAGAACAGTTCTTAGAACCGTTAAAAATTTTAAAAATGTGTAGTGGGAAAAAATATATCTTTATATAATAGAGGATTAAAGTTTATTAAGCATATTCAAAACTCTTGCAAATCAATAAGAAAAGGAGAACTGGAAAGAAGTGTGCCATTATGTTGACAGTGATTTTCCTCTGTAGATGGATGGTAAAAATCAGCAATTATTTTTGAAATTCCCTGCATTTTCTAATGTTTTTAAAAACATAAATGCTGAAATCAGAGGAAACAAGTGTTTTACAGTTGGTTATCTAGAATACAGAATGAGTTTTCTTATAGAGACAGGAAGTGTTTTCTTTTTTCTTTTTCTTTTTTTTTTTTTTCAATGGAGTCTTGCTCTGTCGCCAGGCTGGAATACAGTGATGCGATCTCGGCTCACCGCAACCTCTGCCTTCCGAGTTCAAGTGTTTCTCCTGCCTCAGTCTGCTGAGTAGCTAGGATTACAGGCACACAACACCACGCCCAGCTAATTTTTGTATTTTTAGTAGAGACGGGGTTTCACCATGTTGGCCAGGATGGTCTCGATCTCCTGACCTCATGATCCACCCACCTCGGCTTCCCAGAGTGCTGGGATTACAGGCGTGAGCCACCGCGCCCGGCAGAAAGTGTTTTCTTATAGCTATACTGCCCTATCCTTTTGTCTCATGGAAACACTTCCGATTTTCACCACATATTGGTAGTGAAACTTCAAGAAGAGAAGCTGAGAGACTTATCCCAAATATAGAGATTGCTGGTATATATTGTGTTATGTATGACTGGTTATCACTGACTAGGCCTTACATCTAACTAGATTTTTGTTTTGAACTTCCATTTGTGCTGTGGTAACATCTCCTACCACTAACAAAATCATACTATCTTGAAAATTATGCCATTGACCTATAAAGTGAGGTATAGAGTTGGAGCATCTGGGTAAATACACATAAGTTCATTCTTTTAACCATTGGGGGGGAAAACTCTTAATTTCTTGTTTCATGGATGATTGACCTAGTGACATCATCATCATAAATGGACAGCATATTTAAGTTTTAGTAAAGGGTTGCCCTTTTATTTGAATATTATCTGAAATGACACTTTAATGAAGCAACAGATAAAGGACATTAAATGTAAGGTATAAAGTACAAAGAAAAGGAATATCAATATTCTAATATAATGTTTTTCAGAGTACATTTCAGATGATTTTTTTTTCCCCAGAAACAGGATCTCACTTTGTCTCCCAGGCTCTGGTGTAGTGGAGCAATTATGGCTCACTGCGGCCTCAACCTCCCAGGCTCAGGCAAACCTCCCACCTCAGCCTCCCAAGTACCTGGGGCACACGCCACCATGCTTGGCCAATTTTTTTTTTTTTTGTAGTGATGGGGGTCTCCCTATGTTGTCCAGGCTGGCCTTAAACTCCTGGGCTCAAGCAGTCCTCCCACCTTGGCCTCCCAGAGTGCTGGGATTACAGGTGTGACCCACCACGCCCAACATCAGATGAGTTTTTTACTTTTTAAAATTATTTGTTTTGAGGCAGGATTTTGCTGTGTTGTCCAGGCTGGAGTCCAGTGGTATAATCATGACTCACTGCAGCCTTGACCTTCAGGGCTCAAGTGATCCTTCCACCTCAGCCACCCAAGTAGTTCAGACTACAGATATGTACTACCACGTCTGGCTAATTTTTTATTTTTTGTGGAGTTGGGGGTCTTGCTACATTGCCCCGGCTGGTCTCAAACTCCTGGTCTCAAGCAATCCTCTTGTCTCGGCTTGCCAAATTGCTGGGATTACAGGTGTGAGCCACTGTGCCAGCCTTCAGATGAGTTTTGAGATCAGAGCATAATAATAAATGAATCATGTAAGTGACGATAACTCATGTTTGTTAAATGAAACATATTCTTTTATGTTAGAGGTAAAGGATACATTTACAAGACTTCCTTTTTTAAAAAGTTAAATACATACAGAAATAGAATAGAATAATGAATTCCTATGTCTATCACCTAGCTTTAACAATTATCGATTCTGGCCAGTCTTGTTACTGAATCTGTTCTCCCATTCACTTTCCCCTTTCATGTGATATTTGGAAGCAAATCTAGACATCAGATGATTTCTTTGTTGTTGTTTTTTGTGTTTTTTGAGATGGAGTTTCACTGTTGTTGCCCAGGCTGGAGTGCAATGGTGCAATCTCAGCTCACCGCAGCCTCCACCTCCTGGGTTCAAGCAATTCTGCCTCAGCCCCCCGGGTAGCTGCGATTACAGGCATGTGCCACCACGCCCGGCTAATTTTGTATTTTTAGTAGAGATGGGGTTTTTCTATGTTAGTCAGGCTGGTCTCAAACTCCCAACCTCAGGTGATCCGCCTGCCTAGGCCTCCTAAGGTGCTGGGATTACAGGCGTGAGCCACCACACCTGGCCAGGTAATTTCATCTAGAAATATTTTAGTAACTACCACACTATTATAACACCTGAGGAAAATGAACAGTAATTCCTTAATGTTCTTAAATGTACAGTCACTGTTCAAATTTTCAGTTGTTTCAAACATGTTTTTTTTTTTTTTGAGACGGAGTCTCGCTCTGTCGCCCAGGTTGGAGTGCAGTGGCGCAATCTCGGCTCACTACAACCTCCGCCTCCCAGGTTCAAGCAATTCTCCTGCCTTAGCCTCCTGGTAGCTGGGACTACAGGCACACACCACCATGCCTGGCCAATTTTTGTATTTTTATTAGAGATGGGGTTTCACCATGCTGGCCAAGTTTGTCTTGAACTCCTGACCTTGTGATCCACCTGCCTCAGCCTCCCAAAGTGCTGGGATTACAGCCATGAGCCACCACTCCTGGACTCAAATGTGTATATTTTTATAGTTTGCTTGTTTGGATCAGGATGCAGGTAAGTTCCACATGTTAGCATTTTCTTGATACACCTCTTGAGTCTCTCTTGATCTATAGTTTACCTTTCCTTCTGTTTTATTTTCTTTGCAATTTACTTGTTAAGAAACACATTCGTTTGTCCTGTAGACTTTAAAGAGTTTCCTGAAGTCTAGATTTTGCTGATCAGTATATACAGCATTTTCATCTCCCCTCAGAAACACCTGGGTGTTTTTGCATTTGTCTGTCTGGGGACTTCATGGGTTTCACTGGTTTCAGGCTAGTTTTTAATGCCAGATTCTGAGTTTGGGGTCTGTAAATCATCTAGGTAGTATCAATTTGGACTAGGTACCCATGTGTGTCCTGGACTGGAGGTTTCAGTTTTTCATAGGAGACTGCTAAAGCTAGAGGAGATGTTCTAGACTTCTTTAGGCAGGTAGTTAGACTTCTTTAGGCAGGTAGTTAATCTCCAGGTCTCTTTGCTTACAGGATATGCTGCCTCAGCTCCTTTCTGGTCTTTGATACTCTAGCTTGAAACCATTCAGAGGTATAAACTACTCTGTTTTCCTTCTTTCCTAGCTGCTTTCAAGTTTGTGTTTTCTTAATTTTTGGCAACTGTGGAGTTTCTATGCTTGGTTTCAATTTAGCTATTTATCCAAAAGTTATTTTGTGATTTTTTTTAAATATATATCCAGCCTTTCTGTGTCCGAAAAAGGGTTGAAAGGTTAGCATCTTTGTCAGTGCTATGTGCCATATTGCTAGAAGTGTTACTAGCAATTCCTCTGCATCTGAAGTTCTTGGAGTGGATATTTTATCTGTATTCTTAAAGCAGTTTGCCTACCTTCATCATATAATCTGTGAACATTATTTTTCTGTTCTGAAAGATTCTAAATTTTTTGAAATCAGAGAACAGTTCTACCAAAAACTACACAAATTAGCCAGGCATTGGTGGCTCGCACCTGTAGTCCCAGCTACTCCGGAGGCTGAGGCTGGAGAATCGCTTGAGCCCAGGAAGCGGAGGCTGCAGTGAGCTGGGATTTCACCACTGCACTCCAGCCTGGGTGGCAGAGTGAGACCCTGTCTCCAAAAAAAAAAAAAAGAAGGAAAAAAAAGAAACAACTTGGCTGGGTGTAGCAGGGTGTGTCTTTAGTTGTAGCTACTTGGGAGGTTGAGGTGGGAGAATCTCTTGAGCCCAGGAGTTGGAGGCTGCAGTGAGCTATGATCACGCCACTGTACTCCAGCCAAGGTGACAGTGAGACCCTGATTCAAAAACATGAAAATGAAAGGTGCTTATAGTCTGATTGGAGAGGCAGTAGTCAACTGTGTGAAAGTGAGGTTTTTCCCAAAGTATCAAATTTACCAACCGGGTTAATCTCGATAATTTCAGTAAATAAGGATGTAATATAATAACAATACTAAATAATTGATTCCCTAATTATAAACTCCAGAGTAGAGACTGTGTCTTGAATTTTTTTGTGTCTTCTGAGGTTCTGAGTTCCATCCAAAGTAATTAAGTACCAATTTGGGTTATTCATTTAGAAAATATTTAAGGGGGCCAGGCATTGTGGCTCATGCCTGTAATCCCAGCACTTTGGGAGGCTGAGGTGGGCAGCTCACGTGAGGTCAGGAGTTCTAGACCAGCCTGGCCAACATGGCAAAATCCCATCTCTACTAAAAGTATAAAAATTAGCCGGGCATGGTGGTACATGCCTTTAATCCCAGCTATTTGGGAGACTGAGGCACGAGAACCACTTGAACCCAGGAGGCAGAGGTTGAAGTGAGTCAAGATTTTGCCACTGCACTCTAGCTTGGGTGATGGAATGAGACTCTGTCTCAAAAAAAAAAAAAGAAAAAAGAAAAATATTTAATGTGGCAAGGATTGAAAAACTACTTACTGGGTACTGTTTTGCTACTTGGGTATGGGTTCACTTGAAGCCCACACCCCAGCATTATGCAATATAACCGTGTAACAAGCCTGCAAATGTACCCCTGAATCTAAAATTTTTGAAAAGAGAAGAAAGAAAAAATTTTTATTTTTTTGAGATGGAGTCTTGCTCTATCGCCAGGCTGGAGTGCAGTGGCGTGATTTCAGCTCACTGCAACCTCTGCCTCCCAGGTTCAAGAGATTCTCCTGCCTCAGCTTCCCAAGTAGCTGGGACTACAGGCACCCGCCACCACGCCCAGCTAATTTTTGTATTTTTAGTAGAAACGGGGTTTCACCATGTTGGCCAGGATGGTCTCGATCTCTTGACCTCGTGATCTGCCCGCCTCGGCCTCCCAAAGTGCTGGCATTACAGGCGCGAGCCACCGCGCCCGGGGGGAAAATGTTTTTTTTAAAAAAGAAAATATTGAATGTATATCTTGTACTAGGCACTGTGCTAGGTATTGGGAATATAGTGGTGACTGTAGTCACCTCATAGAATGTAGAGTGTGATGGAATAATATATTTAACAAATGACTGTTTAAGTGAATGCATGCATGTCTTAATGCTACTGTGGAGGTAAAAAAAACAGTGTGTCATGAGAAAGTTTAACAGGACATAGAATTTAGATTGCTGAGTCAGGGGAAGAGCTCTGTGAGGAAGTGACATAGTGTAGTTGAGAGGATTTGGATGAGTTATAAACTAACCAGGCAAAGAATCATGTTACCAGTGCTTCATGTAGAGGTAGTAGCATATGTGTGCAAAAGTTATGAGCCAAAAGAAAGCTAAGGTGGCAGGAGTGTAGGAGACAGGGAGAAACAATAGTAAACGATGAGGTCAGAAATATAGGCAGGCGTCAAGGCCAGGGGCAGTGGCTCAGGCCGGTAATCCCAGCACTTTGGGAGGCCTAGGTGGGAGTATCACTTGAGCCCAAGAGTTTGTACACCAGGCTAGGCAACATAGTGTGACCCCATCTCTACAGAAAAAATGGAAAAATTAGCCAGGCATGGTTGTGCATGCCTGTAGTACCAGCTACTATCTGGGGCTGAGGTGGGTGCATTGCTTGAGCCCAGGAAGGAGATTGAGGCTCCAGTGAGTCATGATCATGCCACTGCCCTCCAGCTTGTGAGACAGAGGCCAGACTGTCTCCCAGGGAGAAAAAAAAAAGAAAGGCCAGGCATGGTGGCTCACACCTGTAATCCCAGCACTTTGGGAGGCCGAGGCAGGTGGATCACCTAGGTCAGGAGTTCGAGAACAGCCTGGCCAACATGGTGAAGCCCCATCTCTGCTAAAAATACAGAAATTAGCTGGGCATGGTGGCGGGCGCCTGTAATCCCAGCTACTCAAGAGACTGAGGCATGAGAATTGCTTGAACCCGGGAGGCAGAGGTAGTGATCCCAAGTGGCACCACTACACTCTAGCCTGGGCAACAAGAGTGAAACTCCATCTCAAAAAAAAAAAAAAAAAAAAAAAAAAACCGCAGGGGTCAGGTGGCTTTTAGGATCTCAGAGGTAACATTAATAAAGATTTTGGATTATGGGCCAGGCGCGATGGCTCACACCTCTAATCCCAGCACTTTGGGAGGCCACGGTGGGCGGATCACAAGGTCAGGAGATCGAAACTATCCTGGCTAACACCGTGAAGCCCCGTCTCTACTAAAAATACAAAAAATGAGCTGGCCATGGTGGCAGGCGCCTGTAGTCCCAGCTACTCTGGAGGCTGAGGCAGGAGAATGGCGTGAACGCGGGAGGCGGAGCTTGCAGTGAGCCAAGATCGTGCCACTGCACTCCAACCTAGGCGACAGAGCGAGACTCCGTCTCAAAAAGAAAAGATTTTGGATTATGTTCTACATTGGGGGTGCCATTTAAATAAAGGTTTTAAACAAGAGAATGGCATGATATGAGTTACTTTTTTACAAGATTATTCTGGTTACTGTGTGGACCGTAATTTTGAGGGAGACAAGAGTGGTAATGGAGGGACTAATTCTATCAAACCTTTACAGTAATCTAGGTGAAATATTTGAGATATTAATCCTATACCATATATATAAGCATTGTATTATTTCAGATTTTTATATGGATGCATATATAATGTAGATATACAATTTAGAAGCAAAAGTGGAATTTTATTACACGTTTCAGGAACTTGTTCACTTCATATAACATGGCCATTTTTCCTTGATAACAACCCCTTTTCATTTCTGAAGTTTTGGCTATTTAAAGACTCTCTGAGAAAGTTCCAAACATGAATGAGATGCACAGGTTTCATTGGTATGTGTGAGTGTGTGCATGCAATTATGTGCCTTCAGTTTTTCTTAGAACATAGGTGTTTTTTGGTTGGTTGGTTGTTTTTGAGACAAGAGTCTCAGTGTCACCCAGGCTGGAGTGCAGTGCGCAATATCAGCTTATTGCAACCTCCGCCTCCTGACTTTGTGCAATTCTTATGCCTCAGCTTCCCAAGTACCTGGGACACGCAGCCATGCCGGGCTGATTTTTATATTTTTGGTATAGTCAGGGTTTCGCCATGTTGGCCAGGCTGATCTTGAATTTTATGTGATGTGATGCTTAGGAAAGCAATGTTAGCAGGTAGCTTTTAATACTGCTATGATATAATTTTTTACCATTTAAAACTTTGATAAATCTGGAATTCCTTTTTGTTACATTTTATCAGGTAGGCATCTTTGTTTACCCATTTTTATGCACTCTTTATTAAGTAATTTTTTTCTTTCCTCAGTGATCTTAAAATGCTTCTTTTGTCATACGTTGATATTTATATACACTAAGGTCTGTTTTTGAACTTTGCATTTTGTTCTGTTGGTTGATCTATCTTCATAACTGTATAATACTGTTTTAATTGTATTTTATTATCTGTTTTTATATCTGGTGGGTGATAATTTGCCTACTTCTAGAAATAAGCTTGTTTTCCCTTTTGTTTAAGGTAGGAACAGCTGAAAGTGGTTGATATAGCCCTTTAATAGCTTCATTATGCTACGGGTACATAATATAAACTAAAATAAGTTTTAAAAATCTTATATGAGAATCATTACTGGAACAAAAAGTATCAGTTTCCTCTCTTCTAAGCTCTGTTTCATAAGATGTTTGAATCTATGAGGGGATTAACCTTTAAATCTTCCATCATTTCTATAAAAATATTTTAAATTGTCCATTTAATACTTTTAAAAATTTCCTTTTATATTATCTTCAAGAGGCAATATAGGGTAAGTTGTTAAGAACATGGATGTAGGGACAGACTGCCTGGGTAAGATTCCTGCTTTGCCCATCCTAATTATATGATTTTGAGAAGGTTATTTAACTGTATATGACTCAGTTTCCTCATCTGTAAAAGGATAAAATGAATAATTTATGAAAAGCACTGACAACAGTGCCTGACACATAAAAGATTAGAAGTTATTTTTTTTCTGGATTGGTATCCAAAAACCCCTTTAATTCATAAAATGTCTTAATTTCAGGCCGGGCACGGTGGCAGACACCTATAATCCCAGCACATTGGGAGGCTAAGGCAGGCGGATCACCTGAGGTCAGGAGTTCAAGACCAGCCTGGCCAACATGGTGAAACCCCATCTCTACTAAAAATACAAAAATTAGCTGGGCGTGGTGGCGGGCGCCTGTAATCCCAGCTACTCCAGAGGCTGAAGCAAGGGAATCACTTGAACCTGAGAGGTGGAGGTTGCAGTGAGTCAGTCACGCCACTGTACTCCAGCCTGGGCAACAAGAGCAAAACTCTGTCTCAAAAAAAAAAAAATTACTTTGCATTTTTTAGATAAACTTGGTAAGGATGAGTTGAAACAAATTACCCTTTCCCGTCAATTTAAATGTGAGCGCATTTTAACTAGAGAAACTCATGCCTGTAATCCCAGCACTTTGGAAGGCTGAGGCGGGCGGATCATGAGGTCAAGAAATCGAGACCATCCTGGCTAACATGTTGAAACCTTGTCGCCACTAAAAATACAAAAATTACCTGGGCGTGGTATCCCGCGCCGGTAGTCCAGGCTATTCGGGAGGCTGAGGCAGGAGAATCGCTTGAACCCAGGAGGTGGAGGTTGCAGTGAGCTGAGATCATGCCACTGCACTCCAACCTGGTGACAGAGTGAGAGACTCTGTCCCAAAAAAAAAAAAAAAAGAAAATTTAAACAGCCAAATATCAAATATAGACTCTCATTTAGTAGGATACACCAGTTTCAGTCATTAAAGGAATGCAGTGAATTGTAAGATAACATAAAATTTTGTTTTTAGGCAAAGTAGTTGTATAACTTGTTTTTGTTTATTCTTTTTTTGTTTTTTTTGAGACAGAGTTTTGCTCCATCACCCAGGCTGGAGTGCAGTGGCGCGATCTTGGCTCCTTGCAACCTGTCTTACGAGTTCAAGCGATTCTCTCCCAGCCTCCCGAGTAGCTGGGATTACAGGTGCCTGCCACCATGGCCTGTTTAATTTTTATATTTTTAGTAGAGACAGGATTTCTCCATGTTGGCCAGTCTGGTCTTGAACTGTTGACCTCAGCTGATCCACCCCCCCTTGGCCTCCCAAAGTGCTGGGATTACAGGCGTGAGCCACCATGCCCAGCCTGTTTATTCTTTTTTTAAAAAGAAATTCTAAGCCTTAAGTTTGATAATGAAAAGTCAGTCATTTTGGTAAGAAGCTAAGATTGTTGTCTTAGTGTTTTTGGAGTGTATGTTTGTATTTATTTTGGTAACTGTTGTGTCGCAAATCAGAAATTTATCACCTTGTTAAGCCCATGTTATAAGAATGTGGTCGTAAGTTCTCAGCTTTACTTTCCCTGAGTTATTCTGTTTTGGTTGTCAAGTAAATAAGACAGCAGTTAATAGTAGTGAATTTTACAGCATGCATTCCCAGAAGCTCTTACTTTTCTATAGCAGAAAACAGAGTCCTCTATAAGGATAGCAAATATAGGCTGAACGCAGTGGCTCACGCCTGTAACCCCAGCACTCAGAGAGTCTGAGGCAGGAAGATCACTTGAGCCCAGGAGTTTGAGACTGCAGTGCTGCATTGAGCTATAATTGTGCCACTATACTGCAGCCTGGATGACAGAGTAAGACCATTAAAAAATAAATAAATAAATAAATAAAAATAACAAATCTTTCTTGCTGAAGGTTTTAATGTTAACATAAATGTCTAACTATTACATGAAGATAACATTTCTGCCTTTCCTTCGTGAGCATGTGGTGGTCCCTGTCCCCTCTCCCCTCCAGGAGTTACAGATTTTTTGAAGCAGTCATTATGGATTTGGATTAATATATTTACCTAATTCGACCTGACCTCCATTGTGACTAGTGATTTATGCCCAGGAGTGTGCTGAGGTTTTATTATGTTTTCCATGCACCAAGTAAACTGGCCCATTTGGAGAGTGACCTTGTTTTCTTTATGAAACCCATGTTCTCATCAACTGAGCTGTTAAATGCCTGTAATATAAAGTCAAATAAATCCTGCTTTCTAAGGCACTGTATTATTTATATAGCATGTGTAAATTTAGAAGCATTTGGTCTTGAGGTCAGGAGTTCAAGACCAGCCTGGCCAACATGGTGAAACCCCGTCTCTACTAAAAATACAAAAAAAAAATTAGGCATGGTGATGCATGCCTGTAATCCTAGCTACTAGGGATGCTGAGGTGGGAGGATTGCTTGAACCCGGGAGGCAGAGGTTGCAGTGAGCCGAGATTGCACCACTACACACTCTTGGGTATTGTATTGCCTGGGCAACAGAGCAAGACTGTCTCAAAAAGCATTTGGTGACATTGAGGCGGGGTTGCAGGGAGGGACAATAGTATTTGTCTTTCTGTTTATTTATTTATAATTTTTTTGAGACAGGGTCTCACTCTCACCCAGGCTGTGTATTCTAGAGACAGGGTGTCACTATGTTGCCCAGGCTGGTCTCCAACTCCTGGGCTCAAGCAGTCCCCTTGCCTCAACCTCCCAAATAGCTGAGACTACAGGTGCATGCCACCACACCTAGCGAATTTATTTATATTTTATAAATAGGGTCTTGCTATGTTGCCCAGGCCTGTCTCAAACTCTGGCCTCAAGCAATACTCCCTCCTTTGCCTCCTTAGTAGCTGGAATGACAGGATCAAACCACAGCGCCCAGCCTTAAAATGTTATTTTAAATTGTAGTTCTAAAAAGTCAGAATGTATAAACGATTATGGCATAATTAGAAATCCTGCCATCCTGTATTACTATTGACATGCTCTACTATTGGTGTGTTTTTGACGTGTTATAACCAGGACTGAACTGAGATTTTTGAGGTGGCCATATTGACCAGCTCTGTTTTCTGGACATTATCTTTGCTATTATTTTGATAATTTTACACCGACTCTCCAGTTTTGTTTAAGTAAAAAAGTTAACAGTTTAACATGATTTTTATCTGTATTTAATGAATACATAATTATACAGCACTTTGTAGTACTTGCCATGTTCCAGGTACTGTTCTAGGTGGTTTACAAATACCAATTTGTAACGATTATATGCAACTATTAAAATATTTTTATATGAATTGTAGAAATTTGTTAGTGTTACATTTCTCTTAACATAAGCATCTTTCCTGAAATTAATCAAATTACATTTATCAAATATGATTAAAGTAAAAAGAAGAATTAAATTGCAAAATTTTTAAATCATTTGTTTTTTATTTCAGCTTTACCAACAGGGACGCTTATGTCAACTGGGCAGTGAATTTTGTGAATTGGAAGTTTTTGCTAAAGTACTGAGAGCTTTGGATAAAAGGTAAATTCTTTTTTAAAAAATTGTAAAATATACATAACATAAAATTTACCATTTTAACCGAATTGAGTGGCATTAAGTATATTCACATTGTGGGCTGGGTGCTGTGGCTTACGCCTGTAATCCCAGCACTTTGGGAGGCTGAGGTGGGCAGATCACGAGGTCAGATCGAGACCTTCCTGGCTAACGTGATGAAACCCTGTCTCTACTAAAAATACAAAAAATTAGCTGGGCGTGGTGGTAGGCGCCTTAGTCCCAGCTACTTGGGAGGCTGAGGCAGGAAAATGGCGTGAACCTGGGAGGCGGAGCTTGCAGTGAGCCAAGATCGCGCCACTGCACTCCAGCCTGGGTGACAGAGCAAGACTCCGTCTCAAAAAAAAAAAAAAAAAGTATATTCACATTGTGCAACCATCAACACCATTCATTTCCAGAACTTTTTAATCACCCTGAACAAAAACTCCTTACCCACTAAATAGTAACTCCCCATTCTCTCTTTCCCTTATCCTGTGTAGCCACCATTGTACTTTAGATGAGTTTGACTTCTCTGATTTCCCATATAAGTGGAATCCTTATAATGTTTATCCTTTTGTGTGTATTGTATTTCATTTAGCATAATGTTTTTAAGGTTTATCTATGTTGTAGTACAAGTCAGAATTTCATTTCTTTTTATGGCTAGATTATATTCCATTGTGTGCATATACCACATTTTGTTTATCTATTCATCTGTCAATGGATATTTGGGTTCTTTCTACCTTTTGGCTAGTGTGAATAATACTGCTGTGAACATGAGCGTAGAAATATCTCTTCAAGCCCCTGCCTTCAGTTATTTTGGTTATATACTCAGAAGTTGAATTGCTGGATTATATGGTAATTCTACTTTTGTTTATTTTTTAAGAGACTTAGTTTGACTATGTTGTACAGGCTGCCCTCGAACTCCTGGGCTCAAGGGATCCTCGTTTTTCAGCCTCTCTGCTAGCTGGGACTAAAGGCGCTATGCCACTGCACCCAACTCTTATTTCCAGTTTTTTTGAGGAACTGTCATACTGTTTTCCATATTTTTTTTTTTTTTGAGACACAGTCTTGTTCTGTTGCCAGGATGGAGTTCAGTGGCATGTTCGTAGCTCACTGCAAACTCAAACTCTCCTTGGCTCAAAGCCATCCTCCCACCTCAGCCTCCTGAGTAGCTGGGACTATAGGCGCATGCTATCACACCCAGCTAATTTTTTTATTTTTAGTAGAGATGAGGTCTCGCTGTGTTGCCCAGGCTGGTCTCGAACTCCTGGGCTCAAGTGATCCTCTTGTCTCAGTCTTCCAAAGTGCTGGGACATAAATTTCATTTTTAGGTTACTTGTTTTTTAAAATTCCATTACACCTCTTTTTAATGCATGAAGTTACGTTTATTTTTGACTAATTTCTTATGTGGTTTAGAAATTATTTCATAAATATGATTATATCAGAAAATTTAGAGTGGATAAAATAATTTTGCCTCATAAGTATAGTACCAATATAAATCTATAAAGTTGTTTCATTGAGAAATTGTCTCAATTAGTTTTTCCATATACCTGGTATTATTTCACTATGAATTATGTTTATTTGCAGTTGTTACCAGAACCCCTGTCTTGTCTTTTTCCAGTCACTACTTCCCCTCCCCTAGGGTAACCACTAGATTCATTTTATGTATTTTAGAACATATTAAATACAATTATACAGTTTGTGCCCTTTTGTGTCTGGCTTTTTTTTCCCCCAGTATTGTTTTATGAGAATCACCTATGTTATGTGCAATTACAGTGTGTTCATTCTTGTTGCTGTATATATATATGGTGTTTTATTATGTGAATACAGTATTATTCATTCTATTATTGATGGACATTTGGGCTGTTTCCACTTTTTAGCTATTATAACTCTTGCTGCCCTGAACATTCTTGTAAATGTTTTTTGGTGAACATATGTATGCATATCTATTAGATACATACCTAGAAGTAGAATTTGAAAGCAATTTAAGACAACTCAAGAAGTCTTTGCCAGCATCATAGAGAATATAGTAAAAATATTGTGGCAGTAATTGTACAACCCAAACAGAAGCTTGGTGACAAAGAGAAGATAATTTGTTCTGCCTCCTTCTATCCCCTTTGGAAAGTTAACACTTTGGAAGTTTAGCTTTTTGAGTTCAAGAAAGGGAGATTGAATTCATCTTCCCGTTTTAAGTATCATCATGTAGTAGTAGTAGCTACAGATCTGGCTTTTCATTGTACTTGCTGTTCTTTTTTTTTTTTGGAGCCAGGGTCTCACTTCCATCACCCAGCCTGGAGTGCAGTGGCAAGATCATGGCTCACTGTAGCCTCGACTTCCAGGGCTCAGGTGATACTCCCAAGTAGCTGGGAATACAGGCATGCCCCACCACGCCTGGGTAATTTTTTGTATTTTTAGTAGAGATGGGGTTTCGCCATGTTGCCCATGCTGGTCTCAAACTCCTAAGCTCAAGCCATCCACCTGCCTTGGCCTCCCAAAGTGCTGGGGTTACAGGTGTGAGCCACCGTGCCTGGTCTGCTTGCTGTTCTCTTTAGTGTTCTTCCCTAAGTTTAACTGCCATTTTATTTCCTAACCCACATTTCTAGGAAAATAAGAATATAGTTTCACAAAATACTGCTGATCTCTAATAAGAATCTTACCAAGTTGTTAGCATTTATTCAACAAATTAAATAAATACTTGCTGAGTGCCTAATATGTTCCAGGTACTGTTTTATTTTAAGTTTTTGGGGGTACATAGTACATACATATTAGGTGCATATATTTATGGGTTACATAAGATACTTTGATACAAGCATGCAATGTGTAATAATCACATCAAGATAAATGAGGTGTTCATCACCTCAAGCATTTATTCTTTGTGTTACAGACAATCCAGTTATATTCTTTCAGTTATTAAAATGTAGAACTAAATTATTTTTTACTATAATCCTGTTGTGTTAGCAAATACTAGATTTTATTCATTCTTTCTATTTTATTGTACCCATTAACCATCTTCATTTGCCCCCCTCTCCCAGTTACCCTTCCCAGCCTCTGGTAACCATCCTTCTCCTCTCTATATCCATGAATGCAATTATTTTAATTTTTAGCTCCCACAAATAAGTGACTACATGCAAAGTTGTTCTTTCCTTGGCTGGCTTCTTTTACTTACCATACAGTTCCATCCGTGTTGTTGCAGATGACAGGATCTCATTCTTTTTTATGGCCAAATAGTACACCATTGTGTATATATAGCACATTTTCCAGATACTGTTTTAGATGCTGGGGCCATAGCAGTGAGTAGGATCCACAAGGTCCCTTCCTCATGGAGTTTGTATTTTAGAGAGAGATGATAAGATAATAAACAAGTAAGTCGGCTGGGCGTGGTGGCTCACACCTGTAATCCCAGCACTTTGGGAGGCCAAGGTGGGTGGATCACCTGAGGTCAGGAGTTGAAGACCAGCCTGGCCAACATGCTGAAATCTTGTCTCTACTAAAAATACAAAAATTAGCTGGGCGTGGTAGCTCATGCCTGTAATCCCAGCTACTCGGGAGGCTGAGGCAGGAGAATCACTTGAACCCGGGAGGCGGAGGTTGCAGTGAGCCAACATCACACCGCTGCACTCCAGCCTGGGTGACAGAGTGAGACTCTGTCTCAAAAAAAATAAAATAAGTAAGTAAACAGCATGATTTCAGTGTTCAAGGGTAACTTTGAAATGTGGCCTGTGTGCTAAGATTATAGAGAAACTTCTTGATTAGTTGATTAAAGTTAGGCTGTAAAAAAAAATCTAATAAATAAGAACTTCTCATTTTGGTAAAAGAAGACTAGAAAAACTTTTAAAAACATTCCTTACTCTAAAGAAAGGATAGCTTTTGGGGATTTGAATCTCTGTAGGTAGTTTTAAACGTGGCTGTTGTAAAGATTCAGTGGAATACCTCTTTTTCATCTCTTAGGTTATCTTTCACCAAGTCCAAATCCTTTGGTAAGTGTTTTATGTATTTGTGAAACTAAAAGCATGTAATTTGACCTTTTTTTCCTTTACCCAAAGCAGTGACTCTTACAATTTTGTTTAAAAGGTTTTTTTTCTATTGAAATGTGATTCACACACTATAAAATTCACCAATTTAAATTCTACCATTCAACTATTCACAAGATTTTGTAACCATCACCACTGTCTAATTCTAGAAAATTTGGTCACCACAAAAAGAAATCATTAACAGTCAACTCCATTTCCTCTTGGCTGACCATTTCCTCAGTTAACAGTAACTTTTTCCTCAGTTTCTAGCTGACCATTAATCTACTTTCTGTCTCTCTGGATTTGCCTAGTCTAGATATTTTATATAAGTTGATTCTTATATGGTCTTTTGTGACTGACACTTAGCATAATGTTTTTAAGGTTCATTCATGTTGTTGCTTGCATCAGTACTACTTTCCTTTTTTATGGCTGAATAATTTTCCATCGTAAGGATAATACTGCATTTTGCTTATCCAGTCATCTGTTCATGAACATTTGAGTTGTTTCCACCTTTTGGCTATTATGAATAATGCTGCTGTGAATGTGGTTGGACAATATTTTGTGTGTATATAGTCTCAATTCTCTTGAGTATATACCTAGGGTGTATAATATGGTAACCCTATGATTAACTTTTTGAGGAACCACTACACTTTTTCACAGCAGCCATATCATTTTATAATCCCACCGCCAATGTATGAGGGTTCCCGTTTTTTCACCTCATGACAACACTTCAAAAAAAATTATAGCAGGGTGCAGTGACAGGCATCCATAGTCCCAGCTACTGTGGAGGCTGAAGCAGGAGGATCTTAATTGAGACCAGTTCAAGGCTACAGTGAGCTATGATCATGCCACTTCTCTCCAGCCTGGATGACAGAGCAGGACCTTGTCTCTAAAACATAAATAAATAAATAAATAAATAAATAAATAAATAAATAAATAATAAATAAATAAAATATTTTTAAAAATTCTATTGGGTGTAAAGGGGTATCTCATGATTTTGGTTTGCATTTCCCTAATCATTAATGATGTTGAGCCTCTTATTTCGTGTTTATTGGCATTTATATATCTTTTGTGGAGAAATATCTGTTCATATCAGCCAGGCGTGGTGGCTCACACCTGTAATCCCAGCACTTTGGGAGGCCGAGGTGGGTAGATCACAAGGTCAAGAGATTGAGAGCATCCCGGCTAACATGGTGAGACCCTGTCTCTACTAAAAATACAAAAAAGATTAGTTGGGCATGGTGACACGTACCTGTAGTTCCAGCTACTTGGGAGGCTGAGGCGGGAGAATCGCTTGAACCAGGGAGGTGGAGATTGCAATGAGCCGAGACCACGCCACTGCACTCCAGCCTGGATAACAGAGTGAGACTCCATCTCAAAAAAAAAAAAAAAAAACAAAACAAAACAAAAAAAACTCTTCTATCTTCATTGCCTTTTAAAAACTGGGTTATGTACCTTTTTATTGTGAATTATAATTTGGTTTTTAAAAGCCAATTTTAAAAGTTAGCTTCATCCTTCCTTGTCATCAAGTTACACATTGTGTACTTTTCCTGAATGTTGTAGGATCACTCAGTTATCCACTGAGTGAAGAGATTAGGCTAAATTTTGAATTATGGCCTTGTAATTGATAAGGCAAAATGCTTTTTATCTTATTCCGTCCTGGAAAATAATGGTGCTATTATTTAAAAGAGAAGCAGTTAGCACTTTCTAAAAGGAGAAAAATAAATTAACTCTATAAAATAATCTTTTTCTTTTCTTACAGACATTTGCTTCATCATTGTTTTCAGGCTTTGATGGATCATGGTGTTAAAGTTGCTTCAGTCTTGGCCTACTCATTCAGTAGGCGGTGCTCTTATATAGCAGAATCAGATGCTGCAGTAAAGGAAAAAGCCATTCAGGTTGGCTTTGTTTTAGGTAAGTAATGGTGGAACAGAAGTATTTTGTCCTGTGATGGACTCAGAATTAAATCTGCTAACAAAGAATTCTTCCAGGGCTTTCCCAAAGTCTACGTAAGAAGGTTATGAGAAGAACATCAGAACCACTTAACCCCATGCCAAAGCATTATACTATACATTTAAATAGTATCTTTCTAAATCCTCATGACATTCCAACGAAGTGATGGTATTAATAGCATTTTACAAATGAGGAAACAGACTCAGAAAAGTTGAGTAACTGGCTCAAGTCACATAGCTAGTAGTAGAGCTAAGTTTAGATTCCTGTGTCTATGTGATTCCATAATATGTGTTTTTCTACCATGTCATGCTGCCACCAGCCTCTTTGACCTGCTTACTGTAGGCTGTGGCAGAGAACTTCATCCTTTCGGAGCCTCAGTTTTCCCATCTCTAAAATGAGGGTTATTCTGTATTTCCTCATGTGGATGTTATGAGGATAGTGAAAAGAAATGTAAAAGCAACATAGTGAGACCTTAAAAATATGTGATAGAGCTGGGCATGGTGACTCATGCCTGTAGTTCCTAGCACTTTGGGTTACTGAGGTGGGTGGATCACTGTCAGTAGTTCGAGACCAGCCTGGCCAGCATGGCGAAATCCTGTCTCTAGTAAAAATACAAAAAATTAGCCGAGTGTGGTGACGCATGCCAGTAATCCCAGCTACTTGGGAGGATGAGGCATGAGAATTGCTTGAACTTGGGAGGTGGAGGTTGCATTGAGCCTAGATTGTGCCACTGCACTCCAGCCTGGGTAACAGGGAGACTCTGTCTCAGAAAAAAAAAAAAAGAAAAAAAAAAGGCTGGGCATGGCGGTTCTCACCTGTAATTCTAGCACTTTAGAAGGCTGAGGTGGCAGGATCACTTGAGCCCAGGAGTTCGAGACCAGCCTGGGCAACATAGCAAAACCTCCTCTCTAAAACAAAAAAATTAAAAATAAATGATAAATATAAAAGTAGTTAGAAAAATGTTTTGTGTGCTATACATGTAGAAAAATATTGTTTAATGTATGTATACAATTTTATATGGTTTTCACAAATCTGTTTAGATGTGTGTTTCAGGCAATTTCTTATTAAAGTTTTTGCTACCTTTTTTGTTTATTTTGTTTTATTATTTTATTTTGAGACAGGGTTTCACTGTGTCACCCAGGCTAGAGTGCAGTGGCACAATTGTATTAATCTGTTTTCATGCTGCCATTAAAGACATACCCGAGACTGGGTAATTTATAAAGCAAAAAGAGGTTTAATGGACTTATAGTTCCACATGACTGGGGAGGCTTCACAATCATGGCGGAAGGTGGAAGGCATGTCTTATATGGTGGCAGACGAGAATGAGAGCCAAGAGATAGGGGAAACCCCTTATAAAACCATCAGCTCTCATGAGACTTATTCACTAGCATGAAAACAGTGTTGGGGAACCGGCCCTATGATTCAGTTATCTTTCACCAGGTCCCTCCCACAACACGTGGGAATTATGGGAACTATAATTCAAAATGAGATTTGGGTGGGGACACAGCCAAATCATATCATTCCACCCTGGCCCCTCGCAAATCTCATGTCCTCACATTTCAACACCAATCATGCCTTCGCAACAGTCCTCCAAAGTCTTAACTCATTTCAGCATTAACTCAAAAAGTCCACAGTCCAAAGTCTCATCTGAGACAAGGCAAGTCTCTTCTGCCTGTGAGCCTGTAAAATCAAAAGCAAGTTAGTTATTTCCTAGATACAGTGGGGGTACATGCATTGGATAAATACAACCATTCCAAATGGAAGAAATTGGCCAAAATGAAGGAGCTAAAGGCCCCATGCAAGTCTGGAATCCAGTGGAGTAGTCAAATCATAAAGCTCCAAAATGATCTTTTCTGACTCCATGTCTCACATCCAGGTCATGCTGTTGCAAGAGGTGGGTTCCCATGGTCTTGGGCAGCTCCGCCCCTGTGGCTTTGAAGGGTACAGCCTCCCTCCCAGCTGCTTTCACGGACTGGCGTCGAGTGTCTGTGGTTTTTTCAGGCACACGGTGCAAGCTTTCAGTGGATCTGCCATTCTGTGGTCTGGAGCACAGTGGCCCTCTTCTCATAGCTCCACTAGGCAGTGCCCCAGTGGGGACTCTGTGTAAGGGCTTCAACCCAATATTTCCCTTCCACACTGCCCTAGCAGAGGTTTTTCATGAGGACCTCACCCTGCAGCAAACTTCTGCCTGGACATGCAGGCGTTCCCATACATTCTGAAGTCTAGGCAGAGGTTCCCAAACCTCAATTCTTGACTTCTGGGCACCCACAGGCTCAACACCATGTGGGAGCTGCTAAGGCTTGGGACTTGCCCCCTTGGAAGCTATGGTCTAAGCTGTACGTTGGTCCCTTTTAGCTATGAGTAGAGCAGCTGGGACACAGGGGTCCAAGTCCCTAGTCTGCACACAGCAGGGGGGCCCTGGGCTCAACTCACAAAACCATTTTTTCCTCCTAGGCCTCTGGGCCTGTGATAGGAGGGGCTGCCACAAAGTTCTCTGAAATGTCCTGGAGACATTTTCTCCATTGTCTTGGAGATTAGCATTTGGCTGCTCGTTACTCATGCAAATTTCTGCTGCCAGCTTGCAGTTCTTCTCACAAAATGAGTTTTTCTTTTCTATCGCATCCTGAGGCTGCAAATTTTCCAAACTTTTATGCTCTGTTTTCCTTTTAAAACTGAATGCTGACTGGGTGCAGTAGCTCACACCTCTAGTCCCAGCACTTTGGGAGGCCAAGGTGGGTGGATTGTTTTGATATCAGGAGTTTGAGACCAGCCTGGCCAACATGGTGAAACCGTATCTCTACTAAAAATACAAAAACTAGCCGGGCCTGTTGGCGGGTGCCTGTAATCTCAGCTACTCGGGAGGCTGAGGCAGGAGAATCACTTGAACCTGGAAGGCAGAGGTTGCAGTGAGTTGAAATCGCCTCACTGTACTGCTGAGATCACCCCACTGCACTCCAGCCTGGGTGACAAAGCAAAACTTCATCTCAAAAAAATAAAAATAAAAAAATAAAAATAAATGAGACAATGCTTTTAACAGCACTCCAGTCACCTCTTAAATGCTTTGTTGCTTGGAAATTTCTTCTGCCAGATACCCTAAATCATCTCCCTCAAGTTAAAGGTTCCACACATCTCTGAGGCAGGGACAAAATGTCACCAGTCTTTTGGCTAAAATATAGCAAGAGTCACCTTTACTCCAGTTTCCAACAAGTTCCTCATCTCCATCTGAGACCACCTCAGCCTGGATTTCACTGTCCATATCATTATCAGCATTTTGATCAAAGCTATTCAACAAGTCTCTAGGAAGTTCCAAACTTTTCCTACATTTTTCTGTCTTCTTCTGAGCCCTCCAAACTGTTCCAAACTTTGCCTGTTACCCAGTTCCAAAGTTGCTTCCACATTTTCAGGTATCTTTATAGCAGCTCCCCACTCTGCTGGCACCAGTTTACTTTATTAGTTCATTTTCATGCTGCTGTTAAAGACATACCTGAGACTGGATAATTTATAAAGGAAAATGAGGTTTAATGGACTCATAGTTCCACGTGGCTGGGGAGGCCTCACAATCATGGTGGAAGGTAAAAGGCACATCTTACATGGTGGCAGGCAAAACAGAATGAGCCAAATGAAAGGGGAAACCCCTTATAAAACCATCAGATCTCGTGAGACTTACTACCACAAGAACAGTATTGGGGAGACTGCCCCCATGATTCAGTTATCTCCCACCAGGTCCCTCCCATAATGTGGGAATTATGGGAGCTACAATTCAAGATGAGATTTGTGTGGGGACACAGAGCCAAACCATATCAACAATCATAGCTCACTGTAACTTCAAACTTGGGCTCAAGCAGTCTTCCTGCTTCAGCTTCCCGAGTAGCTAGGACAACAGGCATGTGTCAACATACACAGCTAATTTTTATTTTTGTTGAGACAAGGTCTTGCTATGTTGCCCAGGCTGGTCTTGAACTCCTGGGCTCAAGCATTCTTCCCAAACTACTGGAATTACAGGCATGAGCCACTGCACTTGGCTCTTTTTTCTCTATTAAACAAACTTTTTTTGAAGTGACTGTAGATTCATAGGAAGTTGCAAAAGAGTACCCAGAGTTCTTTGAACCATTCCTCCAGCTTCCCCCAGTGGTCACATATTATATAACTGTAGGGCAATATCAAAACCAAGAAATTGACACTGGTGTTATACCATTAACTAGACTACTGGCCTTACTTAGTTTTCACCAGTTTTTACGTGCACTCATTTGTTTGTATGTGTGTCTGTGCGGTGGATTCCATGTAGAGTCGTACAACCACCATCACTATCAAGATACAGTACTATTTGATCACCACAAACTATTTTTGTTTGGGGGTTTTTGTTTTGTTTTGTTTTGTTTTGTTTTGTTTTCTGAGATGGAGTCTCACTCTATCACCCAGGCTGGAGTGCAGTGGCATGATTTTTGCTCACTGCAACTTCCGCCTCTTGTGTTCAAGCTATTCTCCTTCCTCAGCCTCCCAAGTAGCCGAGATTACAGGCGTGTGCCACCACACCCAACTAATTTTTGTATTTTTAGTAGAGACGGGGTTCACCATGTTGGCCAGACTGGTCTCAAACTCCTGACGTCAAGTGGTCCACCCACCTCTGCCACCAAAAGTGCTGGGATTATAGGCGTGAGCCACTGCACCCAGCCCTACTTTTGTTTTTAACTTCTCTCATTACTGTGTGCATGTGCCATGTATGTGTTTTCTGTCTTAAAGTGTACACACGTGCGTATACATCCTTCCCAACAACTTTTAACAGTCATTTTTAATCTTTTTTTTTTTTTTTTTTTTTGAGACATGGTCCCACTCTGTCGCCCAGACTGGAGTGCAGTGGCACGATCTCAGCTCACTGCAGCCTCCGCCTCCTGGGTTGAAGTGATTCTGCTGCCTCAGCCTCACAGGTAGCTGGGACTACAGGCATGCGCCACCACACTCATCTAATTTTTGTGTTTTTAGTAGAGATGGTGTTTTATCATGTTGGCCAGGCTGGTCTCAAATTGCTAACCTCAGGTGATCTGTCCACCTCAGCCTCCCAAAGTGCTGGGATTACAGGCCTGAGGCACCGTGCCTGGCCTGTTTAATCTTAGAATAATTCTTTGTAGTAGCCAAAGACAGGTTGCCGAAGGGACTTCAGAGCATATTTTTTTGAAAAGGACCCTCATTATTTCTTTTTTTTTATTTGAGACAGAGTCTTGTACTGTCGCCCAGGCTGGAGTGCAATAGTGTGATCTCAGCTCACTGCAACCTCCTCCTCCCGGGTTCAAGCCATTCTCCTGCCTCAGCCTCCCGAGTAGCTGGGATTATAGGCACCTGCCACCATACCCAGCTAATTTTTTGTATTTTTAGTAGTGATGAGGTTTCACTATGTTGGGCAGGCTGGTCTCAAACTCATGACTTCGTGATCCACCCAGCTCAGTCTCCCAAAGTGCTGGGATTACAGGCATGAGCCACCGTGCCTGGCCAGCATTTATTTTTTAAATAGTCTTATGGAAATGTCAGTAGCGACAAAGAATTGTCCAAAGAAAGTCTCTCAAAACTTGTGATCTTGACTAATGTTAAGGATGATATCCCTTTAGTTCTATATGATCATGTAAAAATGTGTGTGTGAGAGAAATTTAGTATGAAAGAAGATGAAAGGAAGACTAGTGTTCATTGAGGTCCTCTATCATCTCCACATCTACTTATGCCAATCTGGCCATTATAATGACCCAACTAGATACCTTGGAGAGAGAACCAAGTCCTGGCAAACTCACAGTTATCAGTCTTAATCCTAAAATTACCCAAGAGGAAAAAGTCATACCAGAAGAGTTTTGCAGACATCACCACAAAAAGTTTTAGAACATTATTTCCTCCCCAAAAAGAAAACAGTACCCATTAGCAGTCACTCCCATTTCTCTCCAACACCAGGCAAACATCATCTACTTTCTGTCTCTATAGATTTGCCTGTTCTGGACATTTTATATAAGTGTACTCTTGAAATACATGGTCTTTGTGACTGGCTTGTTTTATTTACCATAATACTTTCAAAATCCATCCATGTTATAGAGACAGAATTTAATATAAATAATATTTTTTGACCTCTGGGGTCAGGGCATAGCTGAACAAAAGGCAGCAGAAACTTCTGCAGACTTAAACATCCCTGTCTGACAGCTCTGAAGAGAGCAGTGATTCTCCCAGCACGGAGTTTGAGCTCTGAGAACAGACAGACTGCCTCCTCAAGTGGGTCCCTGACCCCCGTGTAGCCTAACTGTGAGACACCTCCCAGTAGGGGCTGACTGACACCTCATACAGCCAGGTGCCCCTCTGAGACGAAGCTTCCAGAGGAAGGATCAGGCAGCAATATTTGCTGTTCTGCAATATTTGCTGTTCTGCAGCTTTCGCTGGTGATACCCCAGCAAGTAAGGTCTGGAGTGGACCTCCTGCAAACTCCCAACAGACTGCAGCTGAGGGACCTGACTGTTACAAGGAAAACTAACAAACAGAAAGGAATAGCATCGACATAAACTAAAAGGACATCCACACCAAAACCCCACCTGTAGGTCACCATCATCAAAGACCAAAGGCAGATAAAACCACAAAGATGGGGAGAAACCAGAGCAGAAAAGCTGAAAATTCTAAAAACCAGAGTGCCTTTTCTCCTCCAAGGGATTGCAGCTCCTCGCCAGCAATGGAACAAAGCCAGATGGAGAATGACTTTGACAAGTTGACAGAAGTAGGCTTCAGAAGGTTGGTAATAACAGACTTCTCCAAGCTAAAGGAGGATGTTCGAACCCATCGCAAGGAAGCTAAAAACCTTGAAAAAAGATTAGACAAATGGCTAACTAGAATAAACAGTGTAGAGAAGACCTTAAATGACCTGATGGAGCTGAAAACCATGGCGCGAGAACTACATGACACATGCACATGCTTCAGTAGCCGATTCGATCTAGTGGAAGAAAGGGTATCAGTGATTGAAGATCAAATTAATGAAATGAAGTGAGAAGAGAAGTTTAGAGAAAAGAGAGTAAAAAGAAACAAACAAAGCCTCCAAGAAATACAGGACTATGTGAAAATACCAAATCTACGTTTGATTGGTGTACCCGAAAGTGACGGGGAGAATGGAACCAAGCTGGAAGACACTTCAGGATATTATCCAGGAGAACTTCCCCAACCTAGCAAGGCAGGCCAACATTCAAATTCAGGAAATACAGAGAACACCACAAAGATAATTCCTTGAGAAGAGCAACCCCAAGACACACAATTGTCAGATTCCCCAAGATAAAAATGAAGGAAAAAATGTTAAGAGCAGCCAGAAAGAAAGGTCAGGTTACCCACAAAGGGAACCCCATCAGCCTAACCGTGGATCTCTCAGCAGAAACTCTACAAGCCAGAAGAGAGTGGGGGCCAATATTCAACATTCTTAAAGAAAAGAATTTTCAACCCAGAATTTCATATCCAGCCAAACTAAGCTTCATAAGTGAAGGAGAAATAAAATCCTTTACAGATAAGCAAATGCTGAGAGATTTTGTCACCACCAGGCCTGCCTTACAAGAGCTTCTGAAGGAAGCACTAAAGATGGAAAGGAACAACCGGTACCAGCCACTGCAAAAACATGCAAAATTGTAAAGACCATCGATGCTCGGAAGAAACTGCATCAACTAATGGCCAAAATAACCGGCTAACATCATAGTGACAGGATCAAATTCACACATAACAATACTAACCTTAAATATAAATGGGCTAAATGCCCCAATTAAAAGACACAGACTGGCAAACTGGATAAAGACGCAAAACCCATCAGTGTGCTGTATTTAGGAGACCCATCTCACATGCAGAGACACACGTAGGCTCAAAATAAAGGGATGGAGAAAGATCTACCAAGCAAGTGGAAAGCAAAAAAAAGCAGGGGTTGCAATCCTAGTCTCTGATAAAACAGACTTTAAACCAACAAAGATCAAAAGAGACGAGGCCATCACATAATGGTAAAGGGATCAATTCGACAAGAAGAGCTAACTATCCTAAATATATATGCACCCAATACAGGAGCACTCAGATTCATAAGGCAAGTCCTTAGAGACCTACAAAGAGACTTAGACTCCCACATAATAATAATGGGAGACTTTAACACCCCACTGTCAATATTAGACAGATCAATGAGACAGAAGGTTAACAAGGATATCCAGGATTTGAACTCAGTTCTGCACCAAGCAGACCTAATAGACATCTACAGAACTCTCCACCCCAAATCAACAGAATATATTCTTCTCAGCACCACATCGTACTTATTCCAAAATTGACCACATAGTTGAAAGTAAAGCACTCCTTGGCAAATGTAAAAGAACAGAAATCACAACAAACTGTCTCTCAGACCTCAGTGCAGTCAAATTAGAACTCAGGATTAAGAAAGTCGCTCAAAACCACACAACTACGTGGAAACTGAACAGCCTGCTCCTGAATGACTACTGGGTAAATAACGAAATGAAGGCAGAAATAAAGATGTCTTTGAAACCAATAAGAACAAAGACACAACGAACCAGAATCTCTGGGACACATTTAAAGCTGTGTGTAGAGGTAAATTTATAGCACTAATAGCCCACAAGAGAAAGCAGGAAAGATCTACAATTCACACCCTACCATCACAATTAAAAGAGCTAGAGAAGCAAGAGCAAACAAGTTCGAAAGCTAGCAGAAGGCAAGAAATAACTAAGATCAGAGCAGAACTGAAGGAGATAGAGACACAAAAAACCCTTCAAAAAAATCAGTGAATCCAGGAGCTGGGTTTTTGAAAAGATCAACAAAATTGATAGACCACTAGCAAGACTAATAAAGAAGAAAAGAAGAATCAAATAGATGCAATAAAAAATGATAAAGGGGATATCACCACTGATCCTACAGAAATACAGACTACCATCAGAGAATACTATAAATACCTCTAAGCAAATAAACTAGAAAATCTAAAAGAAATGGATAAATGCCCGGACACATACACCCTCCCAAGACTAAACCAGAAAGAAGTTGAATCTCTGAATAGACCAATAACAGGCTCCGGAATTGAGGCAATAATTAATAGCCTACCAACCAAAAGAAGTCTAGGACCAGACTGATTCACAGCCAAATTCTACCAGAGCTACAAAGAGGAGCTGGTACCATTCCTTCTGAAACTTTTCCAATCAATAGAGAGGGAACTCTCCCTAACTCATTTTATGAGGCCAGCATCATCCTGATACCAAAGCCTGGCAGAGACACAACAAAAAAAGAGAATTTTAGACCAATATCCCTGATGAACATCGATGCGAAAATCCTCAATAAAATACCGGCAAACTGAATCCAGCAGCACATCAAAAAGCTTATCCACCAAGATCAAGTTGGCTTCATCCCTGGGATGCAAGGCTGGTTCAACATATGCAAATCAATAAACGTAATCCATAACATAAACAGAACCAAAGACAAAAACCACATGATTATCTCAATAGAGGCAGGAAAGGCCTTTGACAAAATTCAACTCTCAATAAATTAGGTATTTATGGAATGTAACTCAAAATAATAGCCGTTTAAGACAGACCCACAGCCAGTATCATACTGAATGGGCAAAAACTGGAAGCATTCCCTTTGAAAACTGGCACAAGACAGTTTTCTGTCTTTCTCTCATCACTCCTATTCAACATAGTGTTGGAAGTTCTGGCCAGGGCGGTCAGGCAAGGGAAAGAAATAAAGGGTATTCAGATAGGAAGAGAGGAAGTCAAATTGTCCCTGTTTGCAGATGACATGATTGTATATTTAGGAAACCCCATCATCTCAGCCCAAAATCTCCTTAAGCTGATAAGCAACTTCCTTAAAGTCTCAGGATACAAAATCAAAGTGCAAAAATCACAAGCATTCTTATGCACCAATAACACATAAACAGCCAAATTATGAGTGAACTCCCATTCACAGTTGCTTCAGAGAGAATAAAATACCTAGGAATCCAACCTACAAGGGATGTGAAGGACCTCTTCAAGGAGAACTACAAACTACTGCTCAACAAAATAAAAGAGGACACAAACAAATGGAAGAACATTCCATGCTCATGAATAGGAAGAATCAGTATCATGAAAATGGCTGTACTGTGCAAGGTAATTTATAGATTCAATGCCATCTCCATCAAGCTACCAATGACTTTCTTCACAGGATTGGAAAAAACTACTCTAAAGTTCATATGGAACCAAAAAAGAGCCCGCATTGCCAAGCCAATCCTAAGCCAAAAGAACAAAGCTGGAGGCATCACACTACCTGACTTCAAACTATACTACAAGGCTGCAGTAACCAAAACAGCGTGGTACTGGTACCAAAACAGATATAGACCAGTGGAACAGAACACAGCCCTCATAAATAATACCACACATCTACAACCATCTGATCTTTGACAAACCTGACAAAAACAAGAAATGAGGAAAGGATTCCCTATTTAATAAATGGTGCTGGGAAAACTGGCTAGCCGTAGGTAGAAAGCTGAAACTGGATCCCTTCCTTACACGTTATACAAAAATTAATTCAAGATGGATTAAAGACTTAAATGTTAGACCTAAAACCATAAAAACCGTAGAAGAAAACCTGGGCAATACCATTCAGGACATAGGCACGGGCAAGGACTTCATGTCTAAAACACGAAAAGCAATGGCAACAAAAGCCAAAATTGACAAATGGGATCTAATTAAACTAAAGAGCTTCTGCACAGCAAAAGAAACTACCATCGGCTAGGTGCGGTGGCTCACGCCTGTAATCCTAGCACTTTGGGAGGCCGAGGCGAGCGGATCACGAGGTCGGGAGATCGAGACCATCCTGGCTAACATGGTGAAACCCCGTCTCTACTAAAAATACAAAAAAATAGCCAGGTGTGGTGGTGGGCGCCTATAGTCCCAGCTATTTGGGAGGCTCAGGCAGGAGAATGGCGTGAACCCAGGAGGCAGAGCTTGCAGTGAGCCGAGATTGCGCTACTGCACTCCAGCCTGGGCGACAGAGCAAGTCTCCATCTCAAAAAAAAAGAAACTGTCATCAGAGTGAACAGGCGACCTACAGAATGGAGAAAATTTTTGCAATCTACCTATCTGACAATGGGCTGATACCCAGAATCTACAAAGAACTTAAGCGAATTTACAAGAAAAAATCAAACAACCCCATCAAAAAGTGGGCAAAGGACATGAGCAGACACTTCTCAAAAGAAGACATTTATGCAGCCAACAGACACATGAAAAAATACTCATCATCACTGGTCATCAGAGAAATGCAAATCAAAACCACAGTGAGATACCATCTCACACCAGTTAGAATGGTGATCATTAAAAAATCAGGAAACAGGTGCTGGAGAAGATGCGGAGAAATAGGAACACTTTTACACTGTTGGTGGGAGTGTAAACTAGTTCAACTATTGTGGAAGACAGTGTGGCGATTCCTCAAGGATCTAGAACTAGAAATACTATTTGACCCTGCAATCCCATTACTGGGTATATACCCAAAGGATTATAAATCATGCTACTATAAAGACATATGCACATGTATGTTTATTACGGCACTTCACAATAGCAAAGACATGGAACCAACCCAAATGTCCATCAATGATAGACTGGATTAAGAAAATGTGGTGCATATACACCATGGAATACTATGCAGCCAGAAAACAGGATGAGTTCATGTCCTTTGTAGGGACATGGATGAAGCTGGAAACCATCATTCTGAGCAAACTATCACAAGGACAGAAAACCAAATACCACATGTTCTCACTCAGGTGGGAATTGAACAATGAGAACACTTGGACACAGGGCAGGGAACCTCACACACCAGGGCCTGTTGTGGGGTGGCGGTCTGGGGGAGGGATAGCGTTAGGAGAAATACCTAATGTAAATGACGAGTTGATGGGTGCAGCAAACCAACATGGCACATGTAACCTGCACGTTGTGCACATGTACCCTAGAACTTAAAGTATAATAATAATAAATTTTTAATCCTAAAAAATAAAAAAGAATTGTCTTTTAGAAAGGACTGCATTACTAAGTAGGACTATCACCCTGGACATTCAAGCCCTTTTCTGACAGGCCACATCTTTATTGGGATGAGGCTATTCAAAGGGAAAATTAAACATTTCTTAACAGGAATATGTTTTTAAAATGGTTTGGATTCATTTATTTCTTGTTTATAAGTATTTAATTTGATGCTTATAGTCAAGGAACACATTTCTTAAAATTAAGTTTTTAATCGAAGTAGTAACCCGGCCGGACGCGGTGGCTCACACCTGTAATCCCAGCACTTTGGGAGGCTGAGGTGGGCGGATCTCCTGAGGTTAGAAGTTTGAGACCAGCCTGACCAACATGGAGAAACCCGTCTCTACTAAAAATACAAAATTAGCCGGGCGTGGTGGCACATGCCTGTAATCTCAGCTACTCAGGAGGCTGAGGTAGGAGAATCACTTGAACCCAGGAGGCGGAGGTTGCGGTGAGCCGAGATCACGCTATTGCACTCTAGCCTGGGCAACAAGAGCAAACTCTGTCTCTAAAAAAAGAAATAGTAACCTATCCTGTGGTTACTGGATTGATACTTCTATTAACAGCAAATGTCCACTTCATTTTCAAGCACAAATGGTCATTGTAAGAAGCTGTAACAGCTGCCACAATTGTGCTGTTGTCTTCTTTTCCTAACTTCTTTTGAAAACAAGGATCTCATTTGTTTTGAACAGAGAAAATAAATTTGGTTCTGGATTTGACTTAGCTGAAGCCCAGCTCTATTGTAGTATTTTCCTTGAGTTTAGGTGAATTCTAGGGTCAATATTACAAGTTTTGACTTTGTCATGCTCTAGAATAAACCTAAATTTTTAGGGATTGTCAAACTAAGAACCAAATAAAATTAAGTACATTGTATAAATTTTCTCCTTCTCAACAAGATGTGGATGAAGTAGATGTTATATCTGAATAGTTCATTTCACTAGGCTATAAAATCAATTATCAGCATAAAAAATATTTATTTATTTAGGAGACAGGGTCTCACTGTGTTACCCAGGCTGGTCTTGAACTCTTGGCCTCAAGGGATCCTTCCACCTTGGCCTCCAAAAGTGCTGGAATTACAGGCATGAGCCACTGTACCTGGCCTAATACAAATCGTTTTTAACCAGATACTAGAGAACTAAAGAGGCAAAAAGGGAACAGTAGGGTATTATGGACAAAGCAGCTGTGAGAATTGGCTACCATACCTATGGCTTGGGGAACCAAGGAAAGAGATTGGAATTATTAAAAAGTAGGAGTTGGAGGGGTTTGCCCCATGAAGCTGGGATACTGCTAGGCTGTTACTGGTGCCTCAGAGGTCTGAAAAGAGGGCCCGTGGGTCTAGGATCTAGACCTCTAGGAGGAGCAACCTGGATGGCTATTGCTGATGTTTGATGGAGTGCTGTGAAACTGGTTTTGCAAGCATTGGAAAACTGCAACTGGTATTGACTATTATTTAATGGAATGAACTACCACCAAAGAAAAGAAGCACACCCTGGGGTGTTTTTGTCAGCAGGAACCTCACTAACAGATACAGGAAGGAGAGTGTCCATTGCTCTTCCAGTCATGCAGCCCATTTCTCCAGTGCCTCCTATTCGCTGAGCCAAACGGAGCCAGCTAGCAAAGGAGAAATGTGGTTTGCAGAGTCCTTGCTCAGCATCCTCAAACAGACTCTAGTAGTATGGGTTTGAAGCTGAGAGACAGTATTCTAATAACCAGCACAATATACAATATGTTGGGATGATAAGTAGAATATTGCTTAGTATGAATATGAATAATCTCATTATTCTGCTCAACTTGGTGAGGAAGCTAGAAAGTTTTAAAGCACAGTTCTCTCCAATTAAAAAAATGCTTAATTACATGTAGTTTTAATTAAATATAAAACATGAGTCTAAGCAAAATATAATATTTTGTCAACTCATACATTAATACTATTAAGACACCATATTTTTTGTGTGCCAAGAAAAAGCCACTTATTGTAATATACCATTACTTTTATGACGTACTCTAATTTCAGAGTTTTGTTGTTGTTGTTGTTTGAGACAAGGTCTGGCTGGCTCTGTTGCCCAGGCTGGAGGGCAGTGGTGTGATCTCCGCTCACTGCAGCCTCTGCCTCCCAGGCTCAAGCCATTCTCCCACCCCAGCCTCCTGAGTAGCTGGGACTACAGGCACTCGCCACCACATCCGGCTTACTTTTGTATCTTTTGTAGAGACAGGATTTTGCCATATTGCCCAGGCTGGTCTCAGATAATTTCAGAGATTTTTTAATGTGCAAAAAAATGTGTTTTAGAACATACCATGATGGTATGTTACTTTGTGTTTTCTGGTTATTGTAACTAATCCTGAATAGCACTAAGAAATTATTCCTTAATAACTGTTGCAGTATAGGGACTACAGACTTAGCCTCTGAAGTCACATTGTGTGCATCTGAATCTTTTCACTTACTGGATTATAAGCTTTGGTTTTTCTGTGACTCAAGTGTTTTCATCTGTTACGTTGGGGCAGTTATTTAAGTCGAAGGTGTGTTGTGAAAGTTAAATGAGTGAGTTCGTGTAGTTATGTAGTTACCACAATACGAAGTGTTTTACATGGTGTAGTAACAGTGTATTAAATGTTAGTCATATTTAGGAGGCAGAATCCTCAAAAAGATAATATGCTGAGGAAATACTGCCCAGGACAGTAATTTCTTGTTTAAAAAAATAATAAGATAATCGATTAAGGATCACAGTCTTTTTTTATCTGTGTATCCTCCGTTATGTGCTGCTATACTAAGTATATTCAGATTTATCTTCTTTGGGATTGTGTATTGGGAGATGCTAAAGTTATATGTACACTCCAAGATGAAAATAGTAAAATAATTTAGTTAGCTCATTAGCTGGAAAGTAACAACTCTTAGGCCATGGAGTATTCTTAGAAGGTTCAAACTTTTGACTCCTTATTCAAGGTCTTAGCCTTAACCCTCCTTCCCGTAGTTCAAAACCTTTATATAAAAATCTCACAGTTCATACCTGTGTTGTATGCTAAACACAAGATTTTACTATCATGGTTTATTTTTAATTTAGGTAATATTCACTGTCAGCATGTCATTTTATCTTGCAGGCTATTTATCAAGTTTTCTAAAATTGGTGTTTCTTATTTTTTTAGGTGGCTTTCTTTCAGATGCAGGCTGGTACAGTGATGCTGAGAAAGTTTTTCTGTCCTGCCTTCAGTTGTGTACTCTACACGATGAGATGCTTCATTGGTTTCGTGCAGTAGAATGTTGTGTGAGGTAAGTTGGAACATATCCTGTAATTACGTGCTATAACAGTATTTAGTGGCTTTTATAGTTTTAGCTCTTATAAGTATATGCCAACATTTGAGTAAATCTCTGAGATGATATTTATATGTCATAGTTTCACTAGTCTGGCATCCTCTCATCTCTAAAATATAGTTAATCTGCTGTAGACAGCTTAGGTTAGATTTGAGTATTATGAACCAGAATGTGTTTCTTTTTTTATTTTTATTTTGAAACAGAGTCTCGCTCTTTCACCCAGGCTGGAGTGCAGTGGCACAGTCTTGGCTCACTGCAACCTCCACCTCCTGGGTTCAAGTGATTCTCCTGTCTCAGCCTCCCAAGTAGCTGGGATTACAGGCATGCGCCAATTATTTGTATTTTTAGTAGAGATGGGGTTTTGCCATGTTGGTCAGGCTGGTCTCGAACTCCTGACTTCAGGTGATCCACCTGCCTTGGCCTCCCAAAGTGCTGGGATTACAGGCATGAGCCACCGTGCCTGGCCCAGAATGTGTTTCTTACATATCTTTTTGCTTTGTCATAGAGCTTGTTTGTTTATTCATTCAACAAATATTTATTGAATGCTTGTGTACTAGGAACTGTGGTAGACACTGGATGCTCGGAAACTCCAGAAATGTACTTTTTCTTTGGTGTTACTTTTGTACCCCCTGCTTTGTTTACATTTCCATAATTGTGCATAACAAGATTAGTGCTTTACTTATGAATAACTTTTCTTTGAGTATACATTTATTACTTTTTTACAGATTTCCTTAAAGTCAAGCAAATCTAGAAGTAACTCTGCTTTATTGTCCTTATTTTTTTCTGCATGTTACATTTACCTTTAGCTATTTTCATACAGGTTTTCTCTTTGTCCCCCAATTTGATTTGGCATTTCTTAAAAGTATTTTTTTATATAAAACTAAAGGAAAATTAAAATAAAGTCAAAAAATTAAACAGCAGAAATTCTTTATCGTAAGGTAACTAAAGTCCAATCAATTTATTGAATTTACAGTCTTCTATTTTTATGGAATTAAGGTTCATATTTCCTAGGTATTTTTTAGATGAGTTAATTGAATCTGAACCCTTTCAAACCTAGAATATTCTCCTATAAAACCATTGTATTTTTGTTTTGGGTTTTTTTTTAAATATATTTTTTACTTTATTTTTATTAGAAATGGTGTTTTGCTGTATCGCCCAGTCTGGTCTCCAACTCCTGGGCTCAAGCAATCCTCTGCCTGGGCCTCCCAAAGTTCTGGGATTACAGGCATGAACCTCTACACCCAGCCAGATTATTGTTGCTTTAAGCTAAAATTGAGTAAAACTCTATTTTTTTTTTTTTTTTTTGGCCAGTTGGATTTCAGTCTTTTGAGGCTGTCATTGACCTTTTTTATACAAGGCTTATCTATGTCAGACAGACATTCAATCCTGAAGTTAATTTTGTAATATGCAAACTTAATTATAAATAATATTTTAGAAGGTGATAATTTCCCACATATACTTTGGAAGTGTATGATAAATTATAGGAATATTTGTGTGCAGAAACTCTAAAAGGATTAGTATTTAGCCCTATAATTTATAGTACTCATAAAAATAATCTCTCATTTTTTTCCCCCTCTTCTGCCTATTTTATATTTTTAGGAATAGGAGACTACATTATCCCATATGGGATTTGGGAGGTTAGTTATATATTGCTATGTACATAAACTGGTTAATTTGGAACAGAAAGGGGATTTTGTATGATTTTTATCATAGATTATTCACTATGGCAATCTTGACCAAAAGATAAAACACTTTCTTTTTTGTATGTGCTTTATTTTTTTATTCACATATTCAGATTTATTTCACCCAAATACCTGTGTTTCTTCTGATTTTAAGGTTCCTGTATAAATTTGGCTTTAGCCTTACCAAAAGGTTTAGTTTTCTCACAAGACAAGTCAGTCTCCTTCTCTCCTTCCTAGTTTGTCATCTGTAGCAAGTAGCTCACATCATTATGGCTGCAAGTGTTAATAGGCAGTAAGAAGAGGGGAGGTCAAAAAGTGCATGCCAGCTGACTCTTTTTTAAATCAGAAAAAAATTGCTTTCCCAGAAGTCTAACCCTGTCTCTTGGATTACTTGTCTTTTAAACTGGAAACTGGGACACATTCTACACAACTTCTAATCTGTGTAATAAGTATAGTCTGAGGAGCAAAACATTTTTAATTGTGCATGAATGAACTCATGGGTCTACATTAAGGAAGAAAACATGAGGAATATTGGGTAGATAACTGGCTGGGTGCAGTGGCTCACGACTGTAATCCTAGCACTTTGGGAGGCCAAGATTTGAGGATTGCTTGAGCTTAGGAATTGGAGACCAGCAAGACCTCATTTCTATAAAAAATTTTAAAATAAATTAAAAACAATAGATAATTAACAATTCAGAACTAGCTGTCTTTTTAGCAAGCACATGTGAAACTAGAATATTGTCTGGACCAAGGAACAAAGCCATTTATAATGCCAGCTCACTGCCTGTATACCAAGACCTTATGTCTTTATGAATTTGAAATTTCACAATAAAATTTGCCTCTATTCAACTAACCTTGCCAAATTCTTGGCCGTTACAGGTGTATTTAATATAATTTATTTATAATAAGTAATTTTTTTCATCTACTTAGTATTATTTGAAAAGATTATTAAAATTTTATGACTTAGCCTTTTTTTAAGGCAGAGAGAAATTTGGGGTATTAATTGACCATGTGTTTAATTGAATTAGAAAAGAAGTGTTTTGCACAACAGATACTAATCAAATGCTTTGGCCAATCCCAGGGGCTTTGAGCCTGATGCAAGAATAAAAGTATATTTTTCAATTTAATGTCACAAAGCCAATTTCTAATATGGGGCTAACATCAAAACATTATACAACAAAGGTCAGAGAACCTTCCTAGCCTTTCTTAATAGAAAGTAGTTAAAACTGGTACCATTTTTCAGTCCTTTTGTATTCTTTGGAGACTCTGCCTATTTCCATTTATTCATTTTCTATTTAATGGCTTTGTTTTTCTTGCTTATACATGTCTGGCCAAACACATCCAGAAAATACAGAAAGCTATGAGGAAGAAAATTGTTGTCTATAACCCTGCTGCTCAGAAATAACTACAGTTACTGAACTGGCTTGTTTTTGGGGGATGACAAACTTAAAATCACACCCGCAACCCCCTTTTCAGTTTTTTCTTTGGAGCTAATCAGTCCATGTGAGCATGGTTTGTTTAAGGTCAGGAATTCTCTAGAACCTCCAGATAAGGGAACAGAGATTGCTTTTGGGCTTGTGAGAGTTGGGCAGAACAAACTTACTTTTTATTTTAAATCCTTTTCTACTATTTATTATGTTTTTAAACCATTGACATGTATTCCTTTGGTGGGTTTTTTTAAATAATAAAAAGAACTTCTTGAACTACTGGACTGTGGGGTGGGGTTGGGGAGCGTGTGTGTGTGTGTGTGTGTGTGTGTGTGTGTGTGTGTGTGTATAAAGAGTTGAATGTGGATTGAAAGAGAACCCTGGGCAGCTGAATTTCCTGAAATCCAAAGATAAATAGAAATTAGAAGCTAGAAGAAAGTAGCAGTATCTTAGTTACTGAGAGAAAATACTGTACCTCACCAGTTTGAAGGGCAAAAGAAGTAATTTTCAAATACATGAAGACCCAGTATATCTCCATGTACCGTATCTGAGGGAAATAATCGAGGAACTTCTGTAACCAAATATAAGTTCCAGCAAGGCATGGTACCTCATGCCTGTAATCCCAGCACTTTGGGAGGCCAAGGCAGGAGGATCGTTTGAGCCAAGGAGTTTGAGACCTGCCTGGGCAATATAATGAAACTATCATGTTATGTTATGTCATGTCATGTTATGTCTGAGTCATGTTTTTTGTTTTTTGTTTTTGTTTTTTTTGAGATGGAGTCTCTGTCGCCCAGGCTGGAGTGCAGTGGTGTGATCGCGGCTCACTGCAAGCTCCACCTCCCAGGTTTAAATGATTTTTCTGCCTCAGCCTCCCGAGTAGCTGGGACTATAGGCGCCCGCCACCATGCCCAGCTAATTTTTTTGTATTTTTAGTAGAGATGGGGTTTCACCATGTTAGCCTGGATGGTGTCGATCTCCTGACCTCGTGATCTGCCTGCCCTGGCCCCCCAAAGTGCTGGGATTACAGACGTGAGCCACTGCACCTGGCCTCTATTTTATTTTAAAATAAAAATTTTAAACTTTTATTTAAGTTCTTAAATTAATAATAACAAATCCCAAGGTAGGGGAAGACAGTATAAAAACAGTGGTAGGTAATGAATATTGTAATATATGTCTCACATGTAAATGGAGTAGGAAGAGAATGAAGAACAAATTGAGAATTTGTAATAGGCCTTAAATGAGGATTCTTTTCAAACCAGAGATGAAAAGGAAATTTTGGAAATAACAAAAAACAAAAATTTACCACGTCAAACCTATTACAGGTTTAGTGTTCCTAATCCAAAAATTTGAAATCTGAAACATGATTGGTCCCAAACATTTCAAATAAGGATACTCAACCTGTATTTTGAACAACAAAGTAGTATTTAGGAAAGAAATGTTAAGCTGAAATTTCAGTTAGTGCTGATGTCAGGAAGCTTTATAGAGATCACCTAGTGAAATTTTCTTTCTAAATAAGTTATGAGGCTGGGCGGGGTGGCTCAACACCTGTAATCCCAGCACTTTGATAGGCCAGGGTGGGTGGATCACCTAAGGTCAGGAGTTCAAGACCAGCCTGGCCAACATGGTGAAACCCTGTCTCTACTAAAAATACAAAAAAATTAACTGGGCATGGTGGTGGGTGCCTGTGATCCCAGCTACTTCGGGAGGCTGAGGGAGGAGAATCGCTTGAACCTGGGAGGTGGAGGTTGCAGTGAGTCAAGATTGCACCATTGCACTCCAACCTGGGCGACGAGCAAAACTCTGTCTCAAAAAAAAAAAATAAAAAAAAAATGAAATTTAACAGATTTAGAATTATTCTGGAGGTCATGACCTTATAGTTTTAAGAGTTGGATAATTTTATTAACTGGCTTTTTAAAGATTACTTTGAAAAGTGATGGAGTAATTCAGTTCTGGAGATCCTGGATATCTGCTTGCCATAGGAGAAATTGAAAAGCCCAGCAGTCCTAATGCTTTGCAGATGGTTACTGGTAGCTTTGGATTAAATTTCTGATGACATCATACAGAGATTCAGAAGTACTGGTTTTCAAACAAGTGAAAATGTTTTACTCTAAAAAGCTGTCATTCCAAAGAAGGATTTATTTAAAAGATAAAATAAAAACTGTCAGATGACTCAAATAACTATGGTGATGATGAAGCTAAATGTTTAAGGTACATGTGAATAATTTGGATAAAGTTTTGTAAATTGTGAGGAGGAAAAGCGATTTTTGAAAATTTAATTTAGATTTTAAATATATTGGTATAAGGAAAGATTTAAATGTTATAAATTTTTATTCTTTTTGTTTTTAATAGAAAAGGGACCTCAGTATGTTGCCCAGGCTGGTCTCAAACTCCTGGGCTCAAGTGATCCTCCTGCCTTGGCCTCCCAAAATACTGGGCTTACAGGCATGACCACCACACCTGGCCTTAAATATAAATTATAAGTGTTTTAATGTTATCACATATATCCCTAAAACTTGATATATATGAGTTGGCAAAAATATTTTTAGATGGAAAATGGAGGTTCATCTTACATTCAGGTTGTTTTTTAATAGACATATAGCCTATTTTTAAAATATGCATTTGGGAGAATGGATGAGTAAAAGTGTTACAGAGTTCTCATCTTAGTGGGTAGAGTAGGAAAGGGCATCATTATTTAGTTTAAACATTATCAGTGCTAGAGATGGGCATTTGATGCCTTGTGTAATAGAAAAGTGTGATAGAACTTCCAAACTAGGGTGGTGTGAATATGGGTGAGAATGATTTGAAACTTGACCAAGCTAGATATAAGCAAAGTGAATAGAGGAACAAACTGATTATGATAAGTGAAAAATAAGATGAAAAGGTTAGACCAAATATAATTATCATCACAATACATGTAAATGGGCTCAATTCTCCTACCTAAAGATGGCAGTTACCAAGAGGGTTAAAAAATTAAAACTAGTGCTATATCATAAAAAGGAAACACCCCAAAACAATAATACTAACAATAAGGAAGAATTCAGGATAAAAGTCATTAGTTAATACAAAAGGGATATTGATAATAGAATGTATAATTCACAAAAATGTCATAAACCTATGTGTAGCAAATAAGATAGGAGCCACCTACATAAGCAGTGTACCTTAAAAGTACAAAAACTTTGATAAAAAGATAATCAGTACAATGTTAAGGGCCTCCAGGGTAGGTTAATTCTGAATATATAGAGGTTATTAAGGAACTAGATTCTTTCAATCTGTCTGCTAATTCTTTGTGTACCAGTCATTTCTTTGGCTAGCTCTCCAGTGCTTGTAAGATTGCTGCCATGGTTTGAGGTGTCAGGTGCAGATTCCACGTTCTCTAGCAGAAGAAACACTCTCACACTGATGTCCTCCCTGACTTGAAATTAAAACCATACCAGACTAACAAAGAAAAAGACAGAAGACTCAAATAACTAAAACCAGAAATGGGACTTGGAACATTACTACCAACCTTCCACAAATGAAAAGGATTTAAGGTGAATCCTATGAACAGTTGAACACCAGTGAATTAGATAACATAAATAAAATGGACAAATTTTTTAGAAATGGACAATTTACCTAAATGCCCCAAGAAGAAATAGAAAATCTTACGAGACCTATAACAAGTAAATAAATTAAATCCATAATCAAAAACCTTCCAACAAAGTCCAGGACTGAAGACTTCACTAGTGAATTCTATCAAACATTTAAAGAATTAGCACTAGTTCTTCTCAAACTCCTCCAGGAAATTGCAGAGGAAGGAACACTTCCTAACTTGTTTTGTTTTGTTTTTGTTTTTGTTTTTGTTTCCATTTTCATTTTATTTGCTTTATTTTATGAGACAGAGTCTTACTCTTTTGCCCAGGCTGGAGTGCAGTGGCACCATCTTGGCTCACTGCAACTTCCGCCTCCCAGGTTCAAGCGATTCTCCTGCCTCAGCCACCCAAGTAGCTGGGATTACAGGCTCCCACCACCACACCTGGCTAATTTTTGTATTTTTAGTAGAGACGAGGTTTTGCCATGTTGGCCAGGCTGGTCTCGAACTCCTGACCTCAGGTGACCTGCCCACCTTGGCCTCCCAAAGTTCTAGGATTACAGGCATGAGCCACTGCGCCCAGCCCCTAACTCGTTTTAAAAGGTTAACGTTACCCTGATACCAAAGACCAAAAATGACATCACAAAAAAGGCAATTTCAGACGAGTATCTCTTATGAATATGGATGAAAAAATCCTCAACAAAATACTAGCAAATCAAATCTAATAGAATATTAAAAGGATTTTACACTATGACAAAGTGAGATTTATCCCAGGAATGCAAGGGTGGTTCAACGTAAGAACATCAGTGTGATACACCATGTTAATAGGATGAAGGGAAAAAAAAAAAACCCAGTTATCTCAGTTGACACAGAAAAGACATTTAGCAAAATCTAACACCTTTTCATGATTAAAAAAAAAAATTCACAAAGCTAGGAATAGAAAGGAACTTCTTCAATATGATAAAGAGTATTTATGAAAAACTCACAATAACATCATACTCTATAGTGAAAGACTAGAAGCTTCCCCCATAGGATCAGGAACAAGACATAGTTGCCTGCTTTCACTAGTGGTATTCAACATTGTACTGGAAGCTTTAGCAGAAGAAATTCGACAAGAAAAATAAAAATCATCAGTATTGGAAAGGAAGAAGTAAAACTATAGATTTGTTGGACTTAATCAAAATAAAAACTTTTGTAAATCAAAAACATCAAGAAAATAAAAAGACAACCTATGGAATGGGAGAAAATATTTGCAAATCACATGTCAATTAAGTTTCTAGTATCCAGAATATATCAAGAACTACAACTACAAACAACAGAATTTAAAAATGAGGCCGGGCCCTGTGGCTCACACCTGTAATCCAAGCAGTTTGGGAGTTTGAGGCAGAGAGATCATCTGAGGTCAGGAGTTTGAGACCAGTCTGGCCAACATGATAAAACTCTGTCTCTACTGAAAAAAAAAATACAAAAATTAGCCAGGCGTGGTGGTGCACACCTGTAATCCCAGCTACTCAGGAGGCTGAGGCAGGAGAATCGCTTGAACCCAGGAGGCAGAGGTTGCAGTGAGCTGAGATCGTGCCACTGCACTCCAGCCTGGGCAACAGAGCAAGACCCCATCTCAAAAAAAAAAAAAAATCCAGTCTGGCCAACATGGTGAAACCCATCTCTACTAAAAATAGGAAAATTAGCTGGGTATGGTGGCAGGCGCCTGTAATCCAAGCTACTCTGGAGGCTGAGGCAGGAGAATCACTTGAACCCAGGAGGCAGAGGTTGCAGTGAGCCAAGATTGTGCCACTGCACTCCAGCCTGGGCAACAAGAGCGAAACTCTGTTAAAAATTTAATTAATTAATTAATAAAGAGCAGGCTGGGCATGGTGGCTCACACCTGTAATCCCAGCACTTTGGGAGGCTGAGGCAGAAGGATTTCTTGAGCTCAAGAGTTTGAGACCAGCCTGAGCAAAATAGCAAGACCTTGTCTCTATTAAAATAATTTTTTTAAAAATCAGCCAGGTGTGGTGGCACTGGCCTGTCGTCTCAGCTACGTAGGAGGCTGAGGTGGGAGGATCACTTAAGCCCAGGAGATCATGGCTGTAGTGAGCTTGATCATGCAACTGCACTCCAGCCTGGGTGACAGAGTGAGACTCTGTCTCATAAAATTAAAAATAAAAAATGGACAAAGGACTTGAATAGACATTTTCCCAAGGAAGATACACAAAAGACCGGTAAGCACATGAAAAGATAAGCACATGAAAAGATAGTGTCATTCAGCATTAGGGAAATGGAAATCAAACATAATGAGCTACCACTTTATTCCTACCAAGATGGGTACAGTTTAAAAAAAAGAAAATAACTGTTGGCAAGGATGAGAAGAAATCAAGTGATTCTGCTGAGAGAGCATTTGAAAAAAAAAAAGAAATTGGAAACTTTGTGCACTGTTGCTGGGAATGTAAAATGGTGCAGCTGCTGTGGAGTACAGTTTGGCAGTTTGTCAAAAAGCTAAACATAGAATTACTGTATGACTCAGCAATTTCACTCCAAGTATATGCCTAAAAGCATTGAAAGCAAGGAATCGAGAGATATTTGTGTGCTAGTGTTTATAGCAGAATTTTTCACAAGTCAAAAGATAAAAACAATCCAAGTATCCATCAGCAGATAAATAGATACACAAAATTTGGCATTTACATATATACACATACAATGATTCAGCCAGTTTTGGTACATGCTACAACATGGATGAACCTTGAAAATTTTATCCTAAGTGAAATAAGTTAGACACAAAAGGACAAATATTGTATGGTTCCACTTACATGAAATATGTAGAATAGGCAAATTCATAGAGACAGAAAGTAGATTAAAGGTTACTAGGGACTGTTTGGGGTGATGAAAAAGTTTTGGAAGTGGATAGTATTGATGGTTGCATGACATAGTTAATATAATTAATGCCACTGAATTGTATACTTAAAAATAGCTCATATGGCAAAGTTTTATATATATTTCACCATAGTAAAAAAAAATTATTAAACCCATACCGGTCTTTATTTTCATTATGCAGCTCTCCCCTTTCAAGCTATCATTTATTTCCAATTTTTTTTTTTTTTTTTTTTGAGATGGAGTCTTGCTCTGTCGCCAGTCTGGAGTGCAGTGGTGTGATCTCGACTCACTGCAATCTCTGCCTCCTGGGTTCAAGCGATTCTTCTGCCTCAGCCTCCCAAGTAGCTGGAACTACAGGCACGCACCACCATGCCAAGCTAATTTTTTTTTGTATTTTTAGTAGAGACGGGGATCGTGTTGGCCAGGATGGTCTCGATCTCCTGACATCGTGATCCGCCTACCTCGGCCTCCCAAAGTGCTGGGATAAACTAGTTCTAAGAAAAAGACACTTACAAGAAGGAGAGAAATTCTTTTCCTTTAGGTTCACTTTCAGTGTATTTTACTTTCGTCATGTCTGGCTGATGAGGCTCTAACTAGTCATGTTCAGTCTTATGGTAAATATATTAGTAAACTAATGACTTACACATTTGTATATTTTTCATTTTAAACAATGAATAGTTCAATCAAATAGTAATTGTTCTTGACAGTAGGTGTTGATCAGGTAGACATAATTTTATGTTATGAAAGTAAAATACTGTGTTTACATGGTAGTGCCACATTTTGAGAACCTCCTTTTTCCTTAGGCAGAAGGTTGGGATAAAATTAGACCATAATAAGTTGGACCACAAGTTCCTTGGATTCAATATACTGCTTAGTGTCAGCCCAGATGGACACACAGAACCTAAAGAGTCTCCATATGTTTAATTTGCCCTTTTGTTTAAATAGACATTCAGCAGGGACTGGAGAAAATACCAAGCTGTGCCTTTCTGGCATACAGTGTTTATTTTGCTACTTCATCATGTGCCAATTACTAAATAATTTCCACAGATTGTTATTTCAGGAGAATACTTACAGTGAAGGTCTTTGGAAAGGAAATTCTTAGCATTGTGGAAATGAGAAGTAAGCACTGTTCTTTTTATTCTCTAAATTTTCAACCTATGGGTTTCTCATTTTTTTCTCTTTCAACCATTTGGCTATCAAATCTGTGTTTCAAATACTAATCCTTTTTTTCTCAAGGACTTTTTTTTCTGGACTGTTACAGTATCTTCTGCCTTGGTTGCTTTGCTTCCCCTCTTGGCTTTGCTATAGCCAGAGTGTAGCCAGAGCATTCTTGATAGAGTTGCATTGTCCCATATGGTAGCCATTAACCATATGTGATTATTAAGTTTAAATTAATTAAAAGTAAAATGTGCCTCAGTCACACTAGGCACATTTCTAATACTCAGTAGCCACTGTGGCTAGTGGCTACCAAATTGAGCAACACAAGTATAGAACATTTCTAACATCTCAGGAAATTATATTAGATAGTGCATAAGTCAAATCACCTCCCTTACTGTTGCAAACAAAACTCCTTTCCACGGCCCGCAAGGTGCTATAAAATCTTGCTTATCTCTCCCTTCTCATTTCTCTTTACATAATCTTTTATTCACTGTAGTCTAGATGAATTGGCCTTCTTTCTGTTCCTTTGACTATGCCAGGATTTCCCCCCATCCCTTCTCAGGGGCTATTCCTTCTGTTTTGCTGTTCCTTCTGTTTTGGAACATGCTTCCCCACCAGATCTTCACTTGGCTGGCTACAGTGTCATCATTTAGATGTCAACTTAAATGTTACTACCTCAGGAGGATTCTTCCCTGTCTACCCTAAATACCTCCTTTCAGAATCTTTTGATCATATTACCCTACTTTTTTATCATCTTTATGGCATTTATCCTTAAATGAAAGTCTTACGTATTTTATCTTTGCCCACACTAATACCCTTCTCACCACTAGAACATAAGCTGCTTATGGTAATAGATTTTGCAGATAATTGTATGGTACGTGTTGGGAGGATACACATTGGCATTGTATAGTAGTCATCACTTTATTGATTAGTCCTGGTTCTTTGGAAGTTAATCTGTTTCTGTGACTATACAGAGGAATGATAGAGATTAAAAGATTGTCTGAATTTTTCTCATTATGAGTTACTAATCTGTTAATAATTGTGGTATAGATAGAAAAAATAAATTTTTTGTATCTGTTGATTTGATGCTCCTGAGGAATACTTCCTAACCTGTCCATCCTTGTTTTTCTTTTAAATAGCTTTTATACCTTTGTTCCTTCTCAGTCTGAGCATTTTCAGAAAGTTGTATTGGCTTGATACATGAACATAATGTTCTAGCTAGCATTTAATAAATAAATAAATAAATAAATATTTGTCCAGTCCTAACACTATTTGCCTATCTTGTACAGTCTATATAGATACACAGTCTGTTGCTATCTAGACCAGTCTGATCTAAAGCATTGTACTATTTTTGCATATCATTAAATAGTCAGCATAGTTGTACAGTTAATTTGTTTAAAGAACTCTGTATTTCTACTATAGAGGATAAAGATTTTAAAAGAAATAGTTGACACTACTGCTATTTTCGGTAAATTTATCTTATTGGAAAAAATGAACATTATGAAGCATCATGAAATAAGTGGTAACTGATCAAGTGTTAGACTATACCAAAAATAAGAAAAGAAGATATTTTATGTCAATTTTATTTTCTTCATTATTTTCCAAGTTTCTTATACTGAAGCTATATTACTTGTGGATTTGGAACAAAAAGATTAAATGTCATTTTTTTAGATGCAGTACATGCTGAGTACATAAAATATATAAAATATTTAGAGAAGGAATCAACAATTGATGAGATGAATTATGGGACGCTTTCAGGAAAGAGCATGTACTTCTTTATGGGCATGAGGTCAACTCCAATTTGGGCCACACACTTATTTTCAATGCTGCCTTGTAATTGTATTTAATTACCTTAAGTCATTCAGGTGATTGGTAAGAGGTCATCAGGTCTACCAAGCTGAAAATATCAAAAATAGAGCAATGTTATTGGTGTTTTATAGGTTGCTTCATGTGCGAAATGGAAACTGCAAATATCATTTGGGTGAAGAAACATTTAAATTAGCTCAGACATATATGGATAAACTATCAAAACATGGCCAGCAAGCAAATAAAGCTGCACTCTATGGAGAACTGTGTGCACTCCTATTTGCAAAAAGTCACTATGATGAGGTAAGTGTTTTAAGGTACATTTCACTGTGACCAATAAGTACCTATAAAAACAGAGGGTAAATCAAATAGTCTTCTCTTATTTTTCTTACAGATCTCTTTTACATATTAGGTTTATATAAGGCAGTACACATTTGTAATGGAAAATTTAAAATCAGACAAGCCGAGCACTGTGGCTCATGCCTGTAATCCCAGAACTTTAGGAGGCCAAGGTAGAGGATCACTTGAGCCCAGGAGTTTGGGGCCAGCATGGGCAACAAAGTGAGAGAGACCCTGCCTCTATAGAAAATTAGCCGCATGTGTAGCACACGCCTGTGGTGGTCACAACTACATGGGAGGCTGAGGCAGGAGGATCCCTTGAGCCCAGTAAGTTGAGGGTGTAGTGAGCCATATTTATACCACTGTACTCCAGCCTGAGTGACAGAGTGAGACCCTGTCTCAAAAAAATAAAAAATCAGGCAAAAGGAGTGTTTGTGAGGTGAATTTGAAATATATACATGTGTAATTTAGAGCCCTTTCTTTTGTTGTTTTTCTTTTAATTTAACCAAATATTTGCCTAAATTGTTTGGTTGGGCCTCGTGTTGTAGTTTTTGAGACAGGATCTTGCTTTGTCACCCACGCTGGACTCAAACTCCTGGGCTCAGGTGATCCTCTACCTTGGCCTCCTGAAGTGCTGGGATTACAGGCATGAGCCACCATGCCCAGCCTGACAGTTATTTTCCTTCTACATTTGGATTTAGGGGTTTATACTGTGCCTTATTCATGTCTTTGCAGCTCTCAGCACATTCGTGAGGAATGTTGAAGTCTTGGATAATTTTGACAGTTCAATCTTCTAGTGATAAATAAGCTTTTCACTGATATCTACAGAAAAGTACACAAATCTTACAGACATGGTTTGATGAATTAGCATCATGTTTTTGTGTTAGGATAGGCTAGGTTATGCAGAGGTAATATCAACCCCAGAATAGCTTGGAACAATAAAAGTTTCTTTCTGGCTCATAATATATCCCTGTCTTCAGATGGCTATGGCTGTTCTTAACATTATACCTACGCTTTGATCAAGACACAGCGTGGTTTTGGGTCTATCTGGAACGTATCTATCTAGAACATTACCAGCCTGGGCACAGGGGCAGAAACTTCATGGAGAAGTACTGCCGGCTCTTGGACTTTTCTTCCAGAAGTGGCACATTTCACTTCTCATATTTTAATTGTGGAAAGAAATCACATGGCCACACTTGTCTTTGTTTGTTTGTTTGTCTGTTTGTTTGAGACAGCGTCTCACTCCATCACCAAGGTCTGGAGTGCAGTGGCATGATCACGGCTCACTGCAGCCTCCACCTCAGCTCTACCAAGTAGCTGGAACTACAGGTGCACATCACCACGCCCAGCTAATTTTTTTGATTTTTGATAGAGACAAAGTCTCACTATGTTATAACCCAGGCTGGTTTCAAACTTCTGAGCTTGGCGATCCTCCCATCTCAGCCTCCCAAAGTGCTGGGATTACAGGTATGCACCACTACACCCAGCCTAAGACAATTTATTTTGCCTTTTTTATTTCTTCCACTAAGCACCAGGAGAGGAAGGACATTTTTGGTTTTGTTTCCCACTTCATACCTAGATACTAGCACATTACCTGCCACTTAACCTCTCTACACCTGTTTCCCCTAATAGTACGTATCTTATAGGGCTGTTTTGTCAGGTAAATGTGTTAATGCACATAAAATACTTTGGACAGTAGCTGGGACAAAGTAAACACTCAACTAAACAGACAATTCAGACATAAAATAACAAATGTTACAATAGGAGGATGGAATGTATAGGAAAACACAGGAAACCCCACAAGACAGATGAGTTTAAGGGGTTGGAGGAAGGGGGAATGTATTTTAAGGCAGAGGGAACAGTATGTGCAAAGGCTTCTGGGCAAGAGAGAACATACCTCTGATTTCCAGAAGATATGTCATGTATCCACAACGTCTGATTCAGATAAGCTATAGATATTAAGAGTAAAAATAATATAACAGATTTATACTTTGAAGAAAGTTTAGCCTCAGAAAATTCTAACTGTAAATATTTTGTGTGTGTTCTTATTTAAGTGCTTGTAGAAAAATTTTGCAGTCATCTTGTTAAATATTGTCAACTTGATTTAACCACAGTTCTGTCTCTTCTATAAATAATTTTTTTAGGCATACAAATGGTGCATCGAGGCAATGAAAGAAATTACAGCAGGCTTACCAGTGAAAGTTGTGGTGGATGTCTTAAGACAAGCTTCTAAGGTAAATATAATGTTAAAATTATTAAATGAATTATAGGATTTATCAGGCTTTAAGTTTGTTTTAATTAACCTGTTATTTAACATTTTAGTTATTTGTACACTCCGTAGGCATAGGTCTGTTTTATAAGTTTCTGTGCTCATTTTTAGAAATCTGGTTTCTAACTAAAACTATATCACACATAGATTTTTAGCCAATTTTTCTTTACCAAGAAAACCAGTGAAATAATTCATTTTGATCATTGTTTCAGTGCACTAAAGTACAGCTCAAAGTAGTATTTGGGTGCTATTCTGGCTTGAGTTTGTTTTTGTTTTTCTTAAATATTTATAGCAACCAGAATTCCTTATGCCAAAATCCTGTGAACTTTGGTCACTTTTCTGCTAAAGATAGCCTGGTGTTAAATCTCTTTGTCATAGTATTGCAGTCTCACAGCAAGGCAGCTTGCTATACTTGACCTGCTAGGCAGTCCTTACTTGATTTTTCTCTAGTGTTTTCTTATTCTGTAAATAAATGCATTAAATCTTTTACATTTTTATTTTATTTTAAATAGAGACAGGGTCTCACTATGTTGCCCTGGCCGGTCTCAAACACCTGGACTCAAGCGATCCTCCCACCTGAGCCTCCAAAAGTTCTAGGCAAGCCTCCAAAAGTTCTAGGATTACAGGTCCACCACGGTTGGCCTGCGTTAACTCTTTGAGGACATTTAGTAGTATTTTAAAACTACTCCTTTGGTGCAGTGAGGACTTAAAGCATTAATGTACTTTTCAGATACACTCTTCTACCCTGAAGTTTCTCAGATTTGAATATTTCATTTTGGTTGATTTTACTTATGGAAATTCAACTAGAAAATAGATTCCAAAATTATAGATCTGAGAGAGTCTAATATTTCTCTGAAATTTATTAAATCAGTCATTTTAGAGTAAGTAAACAGCATAAATATTTAAGTTATCAGAGCTAGAACAGGGATATTCTTACGTTTTTAATTAATTGAAATAATTGAATATTAATATAAAGACAACATAATATTTATGCAAGATTTATATTTCTGGGTTTTTTTTTCTTTTTTTTTTTTTTTGAGATGGAGTCTTGCTGTCGCCCAGGCTGGAGTGCAGTGGCGCGATCTCGGGTCACTGCAGGCTCCGCCCCCCAGGGTTCACATCATTCTCCTGCCTCAGCCTCCTGAATAGCTGGGACTACAGGTGCCCGCCACCTCACCCGACTAATTTTTTGTATTTTTAGTAGAGACGGGGTTTCACCGTGTTAGCCAGGATGGTCTCGATCTCCTGACCTTGTGATCTGCCCGCCTCGGCCTCCCAAAGTGCTGGGATTACAGGCATGAGCCACTGTGCCCGGCCACAAGATTTATATTTCTATATGCAAATTATATTTAGAGTTTTTAGAAAATGCCTAGCTATAATCATGGATCAAAATAACAACTGAGAGCTGTGCACAGTGGCACATCCCTGTAGCCAGGAGTTCAAGTCCAGCCTGGGCAACATAAAACCTTGTCTCTTAAGAAAAGAATTAATAGGAAAACTTGAAATTCTATGCATTTAAAAATTATTAAATGAAAATAACAAAAGATTGTTGTCAGCCACTCCAGGACTGGGATATAAGGACCTTAGAAAATGCTGTGGTAAATTCTGCCCCCATTGTTTTATTTTAATAATAGCGGAAAATGGGGGTATACCAGCTTTGTAAGGTAACTTTGTTTTGACAGATTTGTACTAGGACTGACTGTCAAAATTTTAAACTTTATAATTTTCCCAGCTTATATACAGATCTGTTTATAATAGAATTTTTAAGTACTTGGAAGGAAAGAAATTACAAATAGAACCTTTGTATTTATGTTTGGAGGGTTTTTTTTCTTATTAACTCTTATAGCCAGAATATATAAACTACACGTATTTTAGCACACTAATGAACTGTTTGAGAGTTAACCATTTTTCACTTTATCTTTAGGCTTGTGTAGTAAAACGTGAATTTAAGAAGGCAGAACAGTTAATTAAACATGCAGTGTATTTGGCACGGTAGGTGATTATTATTAAAAATATCCTTTTAAATTGTCTCTATACTTTATATCCTAATAATTTTGTGTCTTTTTATAGGGATCATTTTGGATCCAAACACCCAAAATATTCTGATACACTGCTAGATTATGGGTTCTACTTACTCAATGTAGATAATATCTGTCAGTCTGTTGCAATTTATCAGGTATGTTAATGGTTACCCTTTTTTTCTTTCAACCTGTATTGACTTGCTGACCTGTATTTGTTTGTGGTGTATAAACCACTCTAAAAATGACTTTTTGACAACTACCCCGCCCACCAATATAGGTTGCATCATTATTTTATTAAGTATTACCTAGAAGGTGTAAAAGTTAATGCTTTGGGAATTAAAGAAAATCATTCAGGAAAGGAATTATTGGGTTGTGAGCTCATATGTGGGAGTAGTTTTCCATTTTTTATTTACCCATGTAATGGCTTGTCTTTGTTGTTGATTTAGCAAATGTCACTAAAACTGCCTTTGTAGTAACAAAGATGGCTGATAATTATTTTAGGTCTTTCTTACTCATTCTCAGGTAAATGATGTATTATGCCATTGCTGTAGACAAGGCATACTTGACTTCAAGGTTCACTTTTTTTTTTTGAGACACAGTTTTGATCTGTCGCCCAGGCTGGAGTGCAATGGCGCAATCTCAGCTCACTGCAACCTCTGCCTCCCAAGTTCAAGCAATTCTCGTGCCTCGGCCTCCTGAGTATCTGGGATTACAGGCCCGTGCCACAATGCCCGGCTAATTTTTGTATTTTTAGTAGAGAGGCGGTTTCAGCATGTTGCCCAGGCTAGTCTTGAACTACTGACCTCAGGTGATCCACCCACCTTTGCCTCCCAGAAGTACTAGGATTACAGGTGTGAGCCACCGCGCCTGGCCTAAGGTTCACTTTTGAAGAAGGAAACAGAGCAAAACATTCCCAATGTCTTGATTCTCAAGACATAGGAATGATTATTATTATTATTATTATTAAGCCGTGGCCTTTTAAGTCAAACTCGTATCTTCAGAAATTCAGGACTTCTAGGTGACTTTCATGTTCTGTAATTTAAATACAGCAGGACTTTCTGGGCTTCAAAATTTTATGGTGTTAGGCATATAGATATATATTTAAATTACTAGGATGTTTAATTTAACTAGGTGGTATTTTCTACAGTATTGACAAATATTTTTATGATTCTTTCAGGCAGCCCTTGACATTAGACAGTCAGTGTTTGGTGGCAAAAATATCCACGTAGCAACAGCTCATGAAGATTTGGCCTACTCTTCTTATGTCCACCAGTATAGCTCTGGGAAATTTGACAATGCACTGTAAGTTCCACATTCCTTTTCTCTGAAGGAGGAAATACTGTTTTTGTTTTATTTTGTTTTTTCCCATTAGGGAACTATTATTACATTAATAATAGTACTTGATATACTTTATGGATTGAACTTGTCTTCCTGGAGCTTTATCAGAATGCCTAAAATGTTCTTGAAGTCATTTAAAATCATACCAGTTTTCAGGTGCAGAGGCTCCCGCCTGTAATCCCAGCACTTTGGGAGGCTGAGGTGGAAAGATTGCTTGAGCCCAAGAGTTTGAGACCCTGTCTACTCAAAAAATTTTTAAAACTAGATGGACGTTTTGGTGCATGCCTGTGGTCCCAGCTTCTCTGGAGGCTGAGGCAGGAGAATCGCTTGAGCCCAAGAGGTCAAGGATGCAGCGAAGCATATTCACACCACTGCATTCCAGCCTGGGCAACAGAGTGAGACCCTGTTTCCAAAAATAAATAAAGTCATACTAATTTATAGGTTATTCATTTAGCCTTTATGTGATTTACTATTGAGACTTGTATATTTTCATGCAGAATATAACTTATGTTTTGAGTATTTCCTTCAATAATTTTTGAGTAATACAGTAGCAAACTTAATAACCTAAAAACTTCTTGGTGATAACACATAGAAATACTGAATAACAATTGTCTTTTTAAATATATAACTGAGCTTGCAAGAGTGAGGGGGAAATCCCCCAAGGGCCAATAATGGACACTAAAATTTAAAGGATTAAGTATGGCCTGTGGTATAACTGCTCTGGGGTGATGGGAAAGTTTACAGATTTCTGTAACCTTGGTTTAAGAAACAGCCTATAGGAGGCTGGGAGTTAGAACTGAAACCCTCACATGAAGCAAAGTCAAGACTGCAACCCGGCCGGGCGTGGTGGCTCACGCCTGTAATCTCAGCACTTTGGCGGGCCAAGGCAGGTGGATCACCTGAGGTCAGGAGTTCAAGACAAGCCTGGCCAAGACGATGAAATGCCATCTCTACTAAAAATACAAAAATTAGCCGGGCATGGTGGTGGGCACTTGTAATCCCAGCTATTCGGGAGGCTGAGGCAGACAATTGCTTGAACCCAAGAGGTGGAGGTTGCAGTGAGCCGAGATCACGCCACTGCTCTCCAGCCTAGGCAACAGAGTGAGACTCTGTCTCCAAAAAAAAAAAAAAAAAAAAGGGACTACAACCCCAGGGAAAGGACAGGTGGACATCTATCTAATTAATAGATGACAGGGAAAGTTGGCCATCTGAGCTTGGTGTCACAGTTGAACCCAAAAAGAAGCCTCACAAAACATAATTATTTACCTATACCGCTCTTGAGTTTAGGGATAATGCATCAGGATCTGCAAACAGAAAAATATTAAAAAGCACTTTGGGGGTGCTGGTTCTCCTGGGATGCCTTGTGAGAGAAAATGCAAGACTTGGAAATAATTATCTGTCAACCCAAACTATACAGACATTTCATAGACGAAGCTTTACCTAAAATGAACTCACCATTAAAAATTACAAAACATAAGGAAATATTTCCTCTGAGTCAGCAGACATAATGAACAGGATTAGAATCCTGAAAACTTTAGTTAACAGAACTTTTTTTTGGCTGGGCGCAGTGGCTGATACCTGTAATCCCAGCACTTTGGGAGGCCGAAGCGGGCAGATCACGAGGTCAGGAGATGGAGACCATCCTGGCCAACACAGTGAAACCCCGTCTCTACTAAAAATACAAAAATTAGCCAGGCATGGTGGCATGCGCCTGTAATCCCAGCTACTCGGGAGGCTGAGGCAGGAGAATCGCTTGAACCCGGGAGTCGGAGGTTGCAGTGAGCCAAGATCACCACTGCACTCCAGCGTGGCGACAGAACGAGACTCCGTCTCAAAAAAAAAAACAAAAAAAAAAACCAGAACTTCTTTTTGGTTGATGCTGTAAAGTATGTGTTCTTTATATGATTAAAGATACAAAATAGGTTGACGAACTAGGCCTATAAGTAAAGTTTTATGTTTTACTGGAACATAGCCATGCTCATTCATTCATGTGTTTTCTATAGCTTCTTTCACACTACAGCAGCCAGAGTTCAGTAGTTGCAGCAGAGAATGTGTGGACAACACAACCTAAAATATTTACTATCTGGCCCTCTACAGAAAAACTTTGTTAACTCTAATATAAAAGAAAGAATGAAGAATATTCCCATAAAGAAAACAGGAAGTTTTTTTGTTTTTGTTTTGTTTTTTTTTTGAGACAGAGTCTGTCACTCTGTCGCCCAGGCTGGAGTGCAGTGGCGTGATCTCGGCTGACTGCACTCTCCACCTCCCAGGTTCAAGCGATTCTCCTGTCTCAGCCACCTGAGTAGCTGGAATTACAGGCACACGCCACCACACCTGGCTAATTTTTGTATTTTTAGTAGAGACAGGGTTTCACCATGTTGGCCAGACTGGTCTCGATCTCCTGACCTCAAGTGATCTGCCCCCCTTGGCCTCCTAAAGTGCTGAGGCTGCAGATGTGAGCCACCATGCCTGGCTGGAAAAGGGCAGATTTTAAAGTAACTGTTACATGCTACAGCATGGATGAACCTTGAAAACACTGTGCCCAGTGAAAGAAGCCAGTCACAAAGGATCACATATTGTATGATTTCATTTATGTAATATGTCCAGAATAGGCAAATCCGTAGAGAGAACATAAATTGATGTTATCTAGGCTGGGGAGTTGGAGGGAAATGGAGACTGACTGCTAATGGGCATAGGTTTCTTTATGGGGTAATGAAAATGTTGTAAAATTGATTTTGGTGATTGGCATACTACTCTGTGAATACACTAAAAATCATTGAATTGTACACATTAAATGGGTGAATTGTGTGGTATACTAATTATATCTTGAGCTGTTATAAAAATAAAACAAATGGCTAGAAATGGAAATAGTCATTGACATTAAAACTCAGCAGATGGGCCAGGCGTGGTGGCCCACGCCTGTACTCCCAGCACTTTAGGAGGCCAGGGTGGGTGGATCACTTGAGCCCAGGAGTTTGAGACCAGCCTGGACAACATAGCAAATCCCTGTCTCTTCAAAGAAAATGCAAAAAAATTAGTTGGGCATGGCAGTGTACACCTGTAACCCACCTATCCGGGAGGCTGAGGTGGGAGGATCACCCGAGCCCAGGAGTTTGAGGCTGCGGTGAGCCATGATTGCATCACTGTACTCCAGCCTGGATGACAGAGCAGGATCCTGTGTAAAAAAAACAAACAAACAAAAACAAAACAAAAAAAACCTCAGCAGACAAGTTAAACAGAAGTTTAGTTACAACAAAAGAGAGAATTAGTAAATTGGAAGACAGATTTGAGAAAACTAGTGGTTACCTGGAGGGTGGGGGAGAGGGAGGCTTGGCATTGTTTGAAAGAAACTGACAATAAAACAGAAATAGCTTACCTTCTATTTGGTGATATGGGCCATAAACAAATAACCAAACTTGTCAGGCAAGAATACATGTTGTGAAGAAGAGTAAAGTAGGCTGAGTTGAGAGAGTGATGGTAATTTTTTTTTTTTTTTTTGAGACAGTCTTTGTCACTCATGCTGGAGTACAATGGTGCAATCTTGGCTCGCTGCAACCTCCACCTCCCAGGTTCAAGCGATTCTGCCTCAGCCTGCTGAGTAGCTGGGATTACAGGCGTTCACCACCACACCTGGCTAATTTTCGTATTTTTTTAGTAGAGATGGAGTTTCACCATGTTGGCCAGGCTTGTCTCGAACTCCTGACCTCAGGTGATCCACCCACCTCAGCCTCCCAAAGTGCTGGGATTACAGGCATGAGCCACTGCACCCGGCCAGTGGTAAATTTTTTTAGGGCCTTTTATGTGGTCTGTTCTGGAAAGACCTGAGGAGCGAGTCGTGAGAATGTTCAGGGGAAGAGCATTATAGAAAGGGTAAAGCCAGGGTGAGAACATGCTCTGCATGTTCAGGAAACTGCTAGGCCTGTGTGGCTGGAGGGGAAGGCGGAGAGGGTTGGTGTGAGAATGGCAGGAGATGAGGTCAGGGAAGTAGCAGGCTGAAAGATCATGTAGAATCTTGTAGTCTGTAGTAAAGATTTCCTCTCATTCTGAGGGAAATGGGAGTCTCTGTTGGGTATTAAAAGTTCAGTCTACAACAGATTGGAAATTTAAAACAAAAAGCTGGATCTTTACCACAGATAGTTTTAGAAGTACTTTCTATCAATATTATATTACAGATTGTGATTTTTAAAATTCCTAAATCATTTGTAACTAAAAAGAAATGCCAGACTGTATCTATCTGTATTACAGATTTCATGCAGAAAGAGCTATTGGTATCATTACCCACATCCTACCTGAAGATCATCTTCTTTTGGCTTCTTCAAAGAGGGTGAAAGGTATCCTTTGTAATCTAGTCTCAGATATTTTAAAATAGATGATATATGGTATAAAATAGGGGTATTTGTTTATTTTCTCAGAGGATTGGAGGATTTTCTCACAGGATTTGACGGTGTCTATGTATTACTAGATAGCCATTTTACCACAACTCTACTTAAGGGGTTCCAGTGGCTCATAATGAAAGACTGTTTGCATCTCTCATAAAACATTGTTAATAGGCCGGATGGGGTGGCTTATGCCTGTAATCCCAGCACTTTGGGAGGCCGAGGCAGGCAGATCACCTGAGGTCAGAAGTTTGAGACCAGCCTGGCCAACATGGTGAAACCCCATCTTTACTAAAAATACAAAAATTAGCCGGATGTGGTGGCGTGCACCTGTAATCCCAGCTACTTGGGAGGCTGAGGCAGGAGAATCGTTTGAACCCAGGAGGCAGAGGTTGCAGTGAGCCAAGATCGTGCCACTGCACTCCAGCCTAGGCAACAGAACGAGACTCTGTCTCAAGAAAAAAAAATCAGTAAGCCAGAATTTCTTTCTTTTCTCTCTCCCTTTTGTCATTCACTCATGCATGCATTAATTTTTTTGAGGATTGCATGGAAGCATAATACAAATGTTTCTACACAACATGAATAGAAGATGGGTTTCATAACTTCAGCTTTGTAGTGCAGGATTCTTATCCTGAGCTTCGTATCAGGTTACCCCGAATGTTGCAAGGCTCTTGCAAAATACCCCTATCTTCCATTTCTTATTTTAACTTTTCTTCTGATTACCACCAAGGCTTTTTCACGTAATGCATTTATTTTGCTAACATGATTGGGTCACCTATGTGTTATTTCCGTGCATGTTGGATATGTTCTACCTTAATTCTGGAACTGAGTTTTTTCTCCCTCTAGGTTTGTATTTTTTAAGTTGCACAAGTAATACATGATGTTAGATAGAAAAGAGAAAAATAAATTGCCTTAAAATCCCACCAATCCTCAGTCAACATTTTGGTGAATATTATTTTAGACTTTTCTTACTTCAAATAAGATAACTAAATGAATGATTTAATTTTATAATCTGATTTTTTCACTTAATATATTACATTTTTTCATGTCTCTACATATATCCTTTTTTCTAATGTATTTAACCTTACCTTTATTATTTGACTCTTATAATTATTTTTAACCTTTTCTTTTTAAAAAATGCTACAGTGAAGTAAATCTCTTTTTCTTACCTTTGTGTACATAGACAGTTTTCCAATAAATCAAATTATCTGGTAAAATAATATGTATATTCTTAAGACTTTAGATAGAATTTGAAAGTCTTGAATGGAGCTTTGAAATTGAAATGTCTTGCCTGATTTGGTTGGTCAGATGAGTAGGAGGAAATCAGTTCTTTTAGCCGTGTTTGGTTAAAGGTTATGTTTTATAAAGTGTGTTTTCAAAATTTTCAGAAGTGCTTAGGTACTCCTTGACACAGTTTCATGACTTTAAAAAACTTGCCTTGTGCTTCCGTTTAATTTGAAAAACAAATTTCACATCAGCAAAGTATAGCAGTCTATTAAAATAGAAGCTAATTCTGCAAAATCGTTTATACCATTGTTTTTCTTAAATTTGAATATATATACTGTGCAAAATAGAATGACCACCAAAAAGTGTACTTTTTTGTTAAAAGTGGAATTCTTTCATCTTGACCAGTTCCAAACCATAATCACATATAAATATATTCAGTAAACATTTATATTATTTAAGTTTAAATTAGATGTTCTTACTAGCTTTGGTAGATGGTTTTGAAGTACACTAATTTATTGCCTTCTTTTTTAGCACTTATTTTAGAGGAGATTGCAATTGATTGTCATAATAAGGAAACTGAACAGAGGCTGCTTCAAGAAGCTCATGATTTGCACCTGTCTTCACTCCAACTAGCTAAAAAAGCTTTTGGGGAATTTAATGTACAGACTGCAAAACACTATGGAAACCTTGGAAGACTTTATCAGTCAATGAGAAAATTTAAGGTAGAAACATGTTTTTACTATATTTTTCTCTCTTAAGTAATGAAATAGAACCTGAAATAATAAATTTTAAGTAAGCTCAAATAAATTATACACTTATTGCACAAAGGAATTGAGAAGATAGTGAGTATAAAACAACATAGGCCAAGCACAGTGGCTCATTCCTATAATCCTGGCACTCTGGGAGGCTGAAATGGGAGGGTCCTTTGAGACCAGGAGTTTCAGACCAGCCTGGACAACATAGGGAGACCCTGTCTCTACAAAAATTAGGCAGGTGTGGTGGCACATGCCTGTCTTCCTACCTACTTGGAAGACTAAGGCAGGAGGATGAGTTGAGCCCAAGAAGTTGAGGCTGCAGTGACTATGATCACATCACTGCCCTCTAGCCTGGGTGACAGAGTGAGACCCTATCTCTAAAACAAACAAACAATAGTCAAAATATAAATAAAATTTAAAAATCAGGACCGTGGGCCAGGCACAGTGGCTTATGCCTGTAATCCCAGCACTGGAGTCCAGGGTGGGACAATCACCTGAGGCCAGGAGTTGAAGATTAGCCTGGTCAATATAGGGAAATCCCATCTCTACAAAAAAGAAAAAGTTAGCCAGACATGGTGGCTCACACCTGTAGTCCCAGCTTCTCCAGAGGCTGAGGCAAGAGGATGACTTGAGCCCAAAAGGTTGAGGCTGCAGTGAGCTCTGATCACACCACTGCACTCCAGCCTAGGTGACAGAGTGAGAGCCTGTCTTCAAAAAAAACAAAAAAAAAAACAGGATCATGAAAAATTAGGAAACATGTCAAACTAAAAAGATTAATATATGAGGCCGGGCTCAGTGGCTCATGTCTGTAATCCCAGCACTTTGGGAGGCCAAGGTGTGCAGAACACTTGAGGGTCAGGAGTTCAAGACCAGCCTGGCCAACATGGTGAAAACCCATCTCTACTAAAAATACAAAAATTAGCCAGGCATGGTGGCATGCACCTGTAGTCCCAGCTACTCAGGAGGCTGAGACAGGAGAATTGCTTGAACCTGGGAGATGGAGATTGTAGTGAGCCGAGATCTGCACTCCAGCTTGGATAACAGAGTGAGACTCATCTCAAAAAAAAAGATTAATATATGAAAGTAGTACTTGAGATAAGAAAAAATTTTTTAAATAAAAAAGACAAATATGATTGCTATATTTCAAACAGTTCTTAGTATATAGTTCTTGATATATAATTCTTAGTATATACTAAGTATAGCTCTTAGCAGAATGCCTGGCACATGGCAGGTGTGCAAGAAATGTCAGATATTGCAACAAGTATTATCAGTTGTAGCAATAAATATGACTAACTTCAATGTATTTTAGAATTTTGAGTTATATATATATTTTTTAATATGGGTTCTTACTCTGTTGTCCAGGCCGTAGTACAGTGGTGTGATCATGGCTCACTACAGCCTCAACCTCCCTGGGCTCAGGTGATCTTTTCACCTCAGCTTCCCAAGTAGCTGGGAATACAGGCGCACACCACCACACTGCCTAATTTTTGTATTGTTTGTAGAGACAGGGTCTTGCCCTATTGCCCAGCCCTGTTGCCCAGGCTGATCTCGAACTCCTGGGCTCAAGCAATCTGCCTGCCTCGACCTCCCAAACTGTTGGGATTACAGGCATGAGCCACTGTGCCCAGCCTATAAATTCTTAATATTATTAATTTTGGGATCACAGTAAGTAAAGAGTGAGAGGTCTTCTTTACCTGAAAAGCAACCTGTATATCCCTCAATTAGCTTGAGTTTAGTTTGTTGGAATAAAAATTGTCAAAATTCCAAAAAATGAAATGAAAGTGTATGCCCATGTAAATTAACATATTATGATCTAGAGCTTGTTAAGAAGGTTCAACTAAATTTTGGACTGTGTTAACTGTGTTAACCAAAGGAAGTAATTTTTGTTTTAGAATGTTTTGTTAATTTCTTCTAACAGTTTCTTAAAATTTTGCAAATTTCTTTGTTGTGAATTTCTTGTAACAATTTTTTATTACCAGGATAAGTTTTCACTTGTTACTTTTGACATAGGATACTATTGCTGTCATCAGTTTATCTGCAGTTTCCAAAACTCTGTAATGCTTCCCATAGGCAATTTTTGGAATAACATAGTATGTTCTTTGATCTGATTACCTTATGGCATTCATAAGATGTCTTTGGCATTTAGATCAGTTTTGCTCATTGAGTAAGAACTGTTAAGATGAGAAAAAGTATAATGATTGATATGGCATAATTGTTTTTCAGGAAGCTGAAGAAATGCACATCAAAGCAATTCAGATTAAAGAACAACTTCTTGGTCAAGAAGATTATGAAGTAGCCCTTTCAGTGGGACATCTGGCTTCTTTATATAATTATGACATGAATCAGTATGAAAATGCTGAGAAACTTTATTTGCGATCTATAGCAATTGGTATGTTACATTTAAATTTTCTTTAGTCAGTTGATTACAAATCAACATGTCAGCATGTCTTATATGTTGTATAAGGAAAATGTTATTAAAGACTTAAATGGGGCTGGGTGCGGTGGCTCATACCTGTAATCCCAGCACTTTGGGAGGCCGAGATAGGCAGATCACTTGAGGTCAGGAGTTCGAGACCAGCCTGGCCAACATGGTGAAACCCCATCTCTACTAAAAAATACAAAAACAAATTAGCTGGGCATGATGGTGCATGTCTGTAGTCCCACCTACTCAGGAGGCTGAGGCAGGAGAATCACTTGAACCTGGAAGGCAGAGGTTGTCATGAGCTGAGATTGTGCCACTGCTCTCCAGCCTGGGCAACAGAACGAGACTCCATCTCAAAAAAATAAATAAAATAAAATAAAATACTAAAATATTTAATAAAATAAAATAGATTTAAATGGGATAAGTTGCTAAGGATATTCAGGAACCACCCAAAAATCATCTGGAACATTTTGCTAAAGGTGCTTTTTTTGATACTGAAGCCAGTAGTAAGAGGTATGACAGTAGACTGTCATGTGTAGGCAAAAGTAGTTATTTTAAACTATTTGTGCAGTTACTGCCCACTCATTCCTCCCCCTCCCTTCTCCTACCTTTAACATCATAGATCAGGCTTACCTGTTTTTGAACTTGATGAAGTTATACAATGTATATTTTTATGTGTCTGGTTTATTGGTGAACAATAATGGTGAAATCTGTGATGTTGCGTATCACTGCCATTTGTTGGATTAGGATGTCATCATTTATCCATTCCACTATTAATGAACATTTGGAACATTTGGATTTCCATTTCAGGACTATTACAAAATCAAAATAAGGAATCTATGGCCATCATCTTATGAAGTGCCTGTTAAAACTCTTGCCCATTTTTATATTGATTTGTCTTGTCATTTTCTTATTGACTTATAGAAGTTCTTTATATGATATGAATATGACAGACCTTCGTTGGTTACATGTGTCATAGATATCATCTCTTATTCTTGCTTGTTTCCTAATGGAGCCTTTTAAATAACAGAAGTTCTTTTTTTCTTTTTTCTTTTTTCTTTCTTTTTTTTTTTTTGAGACAGGATCTTACTCTGTCACCCAGGCTGGAGTGCACATCAGGGCTCACTGCAGCCTCAATCTCCTGAGTTCAAGTGATCCTTCTGCCTCAGCCCACCTGAGTAGCTGGGACTACAGATGTGCACCAGCACACCCGGCTAATTTTTTTTTTTTTATTGTTTCAATAGGGACAAGGTCTCACAATCTTGGCCCAGGCTGATCTCAAACTCCTGAGCTCAAGTAATCCTCCTACCTCAGCCTCCCAAAGTGCTGGGATTATAGGCATGAGCCACTGTGCCCAGCCAGTTCTTAATGTAATCAGATGCATCAGTATTTTCTTTTTTTTTTTTTTTGAGAGGGAGTCTCGCTCTGTCACCCAGGCTAGAGTGCAGTGGCGCGATCTCGGCTTACTGCAACCTCCGACTCCCAGGTTCAAGCAATTCTACTGCCTCAGCCTCCGGAGTACCTGGGACTACAGGTGCCCGCCACCATGCCCAGCTAATTTTTTGTATTTTTAGTAGAGACGGTGTTTCAGCATGTTGGCCAGGATGATCTCAATCTCTTAACCTCGTGATCTGCCTGCCTTGGCCTCCCAGAGTGCTGGGATTACAGGCCTCATGAGCCACCGCGTCCAGCCTGCATCAGTGTTTTCTTTTGTGAATAGCACTTTTTGTATTGTTTAAGAAATCTTTTCAGCCAGGCACGGTGGCTCACACCTGTAATCCCAGCACTTTGGGAGGCCGAGGCAGGTGGATCACTTGAGGTCAGGAGTCCAAGCCCAGCCTGGCCAACATGCTGAAACCCCGTCTCAACTAAAAAGACAAAAATTAGCCGGGCGTGGTACAGTACGCCTGTAATCCCAGCTACTCGGGAGGCTGAGGCAGGAGAATTGCTTGAACCTAGCGGGCAGAGGTTGCAGTGAGCCGAGATTGCACTGTGCACTCCAGCCTGTGTGACGGAGCAAGACTACGTCTCCAAAAAAAAATATGGAAATCTTTTTCTACCCAAAGTAATAAAGATATTTTTTTCTAGAAAATTATCTTCAGGAAACTTTATTTATATTTAGATCTACAATCCTGAAACTGATTTTTTTTTTATGGTGTGAAGTAGGGATCAATTTTTTTCCCCATATGGACACAGAGTTAAGCCAAGACCATTTCTTCAAAAGACTTTTTTTTGGTTTTGTTTTGTTTTGAGACAAGAGTCTCGCTGTGTCGTCCAGGCTGGTATGCAGTGGCGTGGTCTTAGCTCACTGCAGCCTCCACCTCCTGGGTTCAAGCGATTCTCCTGCCTCAGTTTCCCAAGTAGCTGGGACTACAGATGCACACCACCACACCTGGATAATTTTTTTGTATTTTTTTAGTAGAGGCAAGGTTTTGCCGTGTTGGCCAGGTTGGTCTCGAACTTCTGACCTCAGGCAGCCTGCCCGCCTGGGCCTCCCAAAGTGCTGGGATTACAGGCGTGAGCCACCGCTCCTGGCCAAAAGACTCTTTTTTTCCCTCTGCTATACTGTGTTCTTCATAAATCATTTATCCATATACATGTGGGTTCCCTATTATCTATAATATATTGACTGACTTGCTCATTCCTCAAGTGCATGTAGTTTAAGAGTTGCTAACCCATACCGCTGTGAAAAACAGACCTACTACTTAGAGTTCAATATTCGTTTACAGTTTTCCTTTTTCTCTAGCCCGAAGGTAGTATATTTTCAGAATACTATGTTCAAAAGTTACTTGGGGTTATTTACACCCCTTTCCTTTCAATGTGGTTATGTTATTCTTTTGCACAACAATTAGGTTTATTTAACATGTTAAATTGTTGCCCCATCCATCTTTGTTTATTTTGTTAATTTTTTTGAGTATGCGAAATATTAACGTACTGTAATTAGAACTATACAGAAAGATATGTCCAGATACATATAATTTTCTCTGATTTCTTCTACCCAGTTCCCACCCACTCACTATGGATAACCAGTCTCATTAGTTTCTGGTTTATCATTTTTGTGTATCTTTTTGCACAATGAACAGATAAATATTTTCTTATTTCCCTATCATACACAAAAGATAGCATACTATAGATACTCTTTGGTATTTTACTTTTTTCAATCTTAACAATATACCATCAGTCACTCCGTAACCGTTACAGAGAGCCCAGAAATTTCCCCATCAGTTTGCAGCTACATAATATGCCATTGAGTGAAGGTACCACAGTTGATTAAACTATTCTACGTGTTTTTGTTTGTTTCTGTTAATTTGTAATTACAAATACTGTTGCAGTGAATAGCCTTGTGCATGTGTTTTGGTTTTTCATTTGTTGGTTGGTTTTTTTGAGACGGAGTCTCTCTCTGTCACCCAAGCTGGAGTGCAGTGGCCTGATCTTGGCTCACTGCAACCTCTGCCTCCTGGGTTCAGGCAGTTCTCATGCCTCAGCCTCTCGAGTAGCTGGGATTACAAGCATGCACCACCACGCCCAGCTAATTTTTGTATTTTTAGTAGAGACGGGTATTCACCATGTTGGCCAGGCTTTCACCATGTTGGCCAGGCTAGTCCCAAACTCTTGACCTCAGGTGATCCACCCACCTTGGCCTCCCAAAGTGCTGGGATTACAGGTGTGAGCCACCATGACTGGCCTGTGCATGTGTATTTTTCTGTTGTTGGAGATGCTGCCATTCTTCTTTGAGATCTCTTTAAACAGTTCTTTCAAACCATGAATTTTTATAATTCTATTCTAATGAGGCCAACTTCTTTAGACGAGAAAATTTTTTTTAAGTCTTAGTGATAGCTCATGGTTGGGACTGATTTAGGGGATGCTGATACAAGAATTATATCTATTCCTTTCAGGGGAATAAACCTAAGCCACCCTGTTTAAAGAATTGAACTTGTGTTCATGTTATAGAAATTGCTTGTTATCTCATTATTTGTGCTTTTTTTTTTTTCCTTTTTCTTTTTTGTTACAGGGAAGAAACTTTTTGGTGAGGGCTACAGTGGACTAGAATATGATTATCGAGGTCTCATTAAACTTTACAACTCCATTGGAAATTACGAGAAAGTGTTTGAATATCACAATGTTCTGTCTAACTGGAACCGGTTGCGAGATCGGCAATATTCAGTGACAGATGCTCTTGAAGATGTCAGCACCAGCCCCCAGTCCACTGAAGAAGTGGTGCAGTCCTTCCTGATTTCTCAGAATGTCGAGGGACCGAGCTGCTGAGGGAGGACCTCAGTTAACCAATTACCTTTTCCCGGATTCCAGGGAATTCATACTGTGAAATCAAAACCATGTTGTTTTGGGGGGCTGGAATTTGCATTGAAACACTGGTCCAGTCCATTGAAGACCCTATTTTGGGTGATCCCTATCTTGCAGAATGTCTGTAGGAATAAGCATATATTCAGTTATATTCAGCATGTACCGCATGTGTAAGTAGTCTGGCCCACATTTTCAACCTAGTAGAACAAACAACAGGAAATCTTTTTTTTGTTGTTTTTAAAAAATTCATTTTGCAGAAAGCCTGAAAGAAAAAAAATACCCCTAAATAAAACTATTTAAGAGTTTAAAAGAGTTGCATTCTTATTATGTAAGGATGATTTTAACAACTTTTTAATATGTAATTCTTCCATGTGGAGGTATTCAATACTGTAGTGTAAAGAAATTTTATGCGGAAAATCTTTATATGCAGTATAGAAAAGTTAACACAAGTACTAATAAAAGAGGGACATCCCGACTTACGTTTTTCTACCTTGCCCAGATAAGTGGATACAACCACTCTATATTACAAGGAAAGGACTGTCAGATTCATCTGAACTGGACCAGTGTTGATCTGTAATGTAATAGAAAATCTGATAGACCAGCACTTCTGACTTTTTTTTTTTTGGTACAACAATGCAAGATGCTCTGATAGCATTTGCTAACAGGACCAGGAGGATCTAAAAAGGACCAGCCTAATGTAGAAGGTGGTTACTTGGACCAGAGGCTTTAGATTATTATTTTAGATCCTACATATACTTTTATCAGTAGAATGATTTCATTTAGATGTATAATGAAAAAGGATAATGCAAAAATTATGTAATAGATACCAAATTAGGGAAGTTTGGCAATTTCAATGGCATATTTTTAGTCAAGGTACACAGATGGCAGTGCCATAAGCAAGTCTATAAATATCGGCTGCAGCCATCCCCCTCATTTTAAATGTTGCCCTAATAATCAATGCAGTTAACAAGTATATTGGCTGTGTGTCATGAAATAGTTCATGTTCAGATGGAAATGTTAGGTTACTGTATGGTTTATGGAGATTAATGAAAATGAATGCCCAAAAATAAGTCTTAGAAAATCCTCCATTTTTATGGTAAATAGTAATACAACTAGGTCATTTCATTTGAAATCTAGGAGTCAAATGGAAAGATCCCCTAATAATACACCTATTTCACTAACTTGTCTTTCTGTTTATTGGGTTTTGATTTGATTTTTTGTAAGCCAGTCAGGTTATTTAATGATGAGGTAATAATCAAATTTAAGAATTTGTGACATGTAGCAATTCAAGAAACAAAAAGGTATTTTGCTGTTACCTCAATTCTTACTGTAGTAGCCCATCTGATGCTTCTATAGTTAAGAATCTGGGTTCCCCCCCTATTTTCAGGGGTTCATGACTTGGCTGTTAAAGATGTTGCTCCTAGCTAATGCTTGGAGTAGTCTGTGGGTGAATGGATGTGTGTTGAATTTTAGTTTTCTTTTAACATGCATGTTGGGTGAGAGGGGAAAAAAATCTAAGCTGTCTGCCACATTGAGTACAGAAAAGTTGTAGATTTCAAATTTTATTAATATTTTAAGCACTTTTTTGAACTTCCCAACCTTGTTTGAAGCTGTTATTTGCAGTCCTATTAGTTTTGAGCCATTGCATTTAAGTTCCCTAGGAGGGGGTTGGTTGGGGGATGTACTGAAAGAGATGAAGCAAACCCACACCCTAAGATGGTAACTGTGTGATTTAGAAACCTGAGTTTACTCCTCAAATCGAATTATTTTCTTTTTAAATTTTGGAAAGAGTAAATTGACGTACTTGCAGTTTATGAAGCTGCCCCCCACCCCTCAGTTAATTGCAGTCTAATGTCAAGAGGCACTTCTTTATTAATTACCAAATAGTCTTTGTGACCAAGGACTAACATTTTTAAGTTACTCAGCTCTATCCTCATGGGCCTATATATTTAATACCTCCAAAGATATTTTCAGGATAGGCTTTGTATACTTTTATTGGTTATTTAGAATCCAGTGGTATGTTTGTGGTATAGGAATGTCATGGTAAATTGTTTTTCAATAAATATTTTGAAACATGTTTCCATATGAAGTTTTTTTTTCAATCTGTATTTTTTGGTTTTGTGCACATACAGCATTTCCTAGGATAAAAATAAACAAATGACTTACAGCCTCATCCTCCCTAACTCCATTTGAACTCAACTTAGCTCACACTCAGTGATAAAACAACATGGTATGTAGAAGCCTAGGATCACAGGGTGATAATGTCAATTGGCAGCCAGTTGTGTTTTTTTGAAACATCATTATTGGCAGTTTCTCCTTATCACCACTGCTTTAATGTAGTTTTTTTGTAAATCCATATACTTTAATGCATACACTCTAGCTTAAGAAAACATTGCCATTTTGGTTAGGGATATGACTTAATGTGCTATTATTTCTGGTTCTAATGAAGAATAATACCCTATGACTTTAAGTGTAAGATTCATCCTTTAAGTAGGGATGTTTAGGATAAGTTAGATGTGTGCCACTATGATTTATTGGGTTTCTTAAAAATCTTGAAGAAAATAATAAAATTTATCTCACAATAAGTTAACTTGCGCAAACTTTTTACATATGGTGAGGTGCGTAAGGAAGCCCTGGCCAACTTAAAGATTTTTCTGGAGGTTCAGCAAAGTTATGTTAAATTAGGGGCCTTTGGTCTCATCCTTCTCTGACTCTTCTACCCAGTCTTTTCCTAAAGTTCGGTGCTACTCCAGTTGGGTGCATCAGGGAGCTCCGTCAGCACTCGCATGTGTCGCTCAGGTGGCCACTCATGCCTGCATTCCATTTAATAGAGTCAATTGGAATTTTTAGAGCATAATCTTTATGGATCCTCAAAGCTGACTTTGCCAAAGGGATTGAGACCCTTACTACCATCAAATCTCTGTCTCTGCTTGGTTAAAAATTGGCTCACTATTGCTTTGTAGTAACCCCTGCCCAGGTATTTTTTCACTTGTGAAAATAATTTGAGAAAGACCTTTGTTCCTAGCCTGTTGGGAAAAGTTTATAATTTTATGAAAATTAAGTACAGAGGCTGCGATCTTAGAAATAATGAAGGTGCCATTTGGCTGCTCCTTAATAGTGCAGACAGAAAACTGCAGTGAACACATGCCAAAACATGATTGAAGCCTTTGGCTGAAACTTTATACATAGAAATAATGATTTGCTCATAACAGGTATCATTAACTGCCACTTTTTATGTTTTCCCTAGAATTTGTAGCCTTGCTGCTTGCTTTTCTTCTGGGTGGCAAAGTTACTACTGGAAAAACACTATAAGTACAAAGTTTTTGGGGTTTTATCTTTGCTTTAGAAGTGGATGTGTACTTCACCTCTTGGCTGTGGAGGAACTTAGTTGCCAGGAAATTTTTTTTTTTTTTTTCAGACGGAGTTTCGCTCTTGTTGCCCAGGCTGGGAGGGCAATGGCACCGTCTTGGCTCACTGCAACCTCCGCCTCCCGGGTTCCAGCGATTCTCCTGCCTCAGCCTTCCGAGTAGCTGGGATTACAGGCTCCTGCCACCACGCCTGGCTAGGAAATTTTTTGTTGTTAATATGACATTTGGATTAATCTCCAGCTTCAACAGTACTTCTTTTGTCCATAAATCTCAGGAATGTTTTAGGCAGAAAACTGGTTTTACCCTGTTGATAATCAGAAGGAGTGTGCTTTAGGATTTATTGCATAATACTATTCTTTAATTGCAATCCTAGGTATCTATAGCATGAGTGGCCTTAGTGAGTTTGTTGAAGTGCACATGTTTTTCAAGAGTAAAATTTAAGATTAAAAATATATCCTATATATAGATATCTAGAAAACTTGGTTTGTGGTGCACAGTTAAGTGTTGGATCACTAAATAACCATTGCAGGTACCGTTTGTGTAACATTACTCATTTCTGTATATTCCTTTTATGGGAAGATATTTTGCCATGGTAACTAAAACTTTTCAGTTCTACTTTTATGATGTGAATGAATGCTACGTTTTATTAAATATTACCAGGTCAGTACTATTTTTATACTTTATTAAGCAACAGGGGATTTTAGTTTAATAGGCTCAAAATAAAAAGTTCTTAATGGAACAGTTAAAAACAAAACACTAACAATCTTTACGTGAAAATCCCCACTAATAGTGCCACAATAATTTCTATAGAAATATCTAAGGTCATTAAATAGATTTTTGAAGACGGTTCTTCATTGTGTCAGGATGACCTTTCATATCATTCTCACCAACTTGTAGTGCCCACCGTTATTTGTAACTATTAAACCATACTAAGTATGTTTGTAACCAGCATTGTGATATATTCTGTACTTGTATTGCTAAAAATGAATTATTGACCTAATAAATATAGTGTTCCTGCATTCATAGTGTATCTGTTTCCAATTTGGTTTTGATTGCTTTTGGTTGGGATTAAGCTTTGCAGACTGTTTTTATTAGAGAACAGTGTGAGAGAAACTGTTGGAACTAGAACAAAAGTGCTCTTGTTCAAGAAAATTAAGATGTGTGGCAGAGGAGGCGCATGGTAACATCTGGAGATTGTGCTGATGAAAAGCACTTGGAAAAAGACAAAGCACTGCATTAATGCAAAGGGATTTTTTAGTCTTTACAAAAGTATACCATTCTTTTAAGAATCCTCTCACTCTAAAGGCTGAAGATGAATGATGAGACCTGGTAAAGTTCTGCTGGAATAGTGAAGAAAAGCCTAGATTGGAGTTTCAGTTCCAGCTGTCTCTGAACTGGAAGATTCTGAGTTACGTCATTCCAGCCCTCTTTGTGTTTTATTTCCTCACATGAATAAGGGGGTAAAATCAGGTCTTTAAAAAACTTCACCATGAAACAGCATAAATCTGAAGGACTCAGAAACCAGTTGTAGGAAACGAAGCCATATTTTTAAAGATTAGGAAGAAAATATTGTAGACAAAATCCCACCATCACTTGGAATATAGTCAGCACCAGCTTCACTGCCTGCCACCTTCAGTGATACTGAATTTAAAAATGTTTCTTTTTACATCTCCATGACTGAACCTCTGAACATGCGATTTCGTCGTCCTTGTGGAATGCCATTTCCTGGATAGTGTTGCTCATCTGTCAAGCTCAAAGATCAAGGGAACCCTTCCCTTAAAGTTTGAGTTGCCACTTGGTATTAATGCAGCATTTTAGAGCTTTGTGAAAGCAATTACCATATGGCCATATAACTTACAGTGTTAAGACTCTTTCCAACTTGTAAACTTTGCTGATCTGTGTATTCAACATAGAGTTTATCCTGTGACAGATACTGTCCTGAGTGTGTTAGCAAACCACACTCAGTTACTTTAAGCGCACATTTCTATAGACAAATGCCCATTAGGATGGCTATTACAGAAAGTAAGTGTTGGCAAGGATGTGCAGAAATGAGAGCCCTTGTGCACTGTTGACAGGAATGTAAAATGCTGCATCTGCTGTGAAAAACTATCACCTGTGCTCAAAAAATTAAAAACAATTACTCTTATGATCCAGCAATTCAACTTCTGGGTATAGATCCAAAAGAATTGAAAGGGTCTTGAACAGATATTTATATACCCGTGTAGCAGCATTATTTGCAGTAGCCAAAAGCGAAAGCAACCTAAATGTCTTAACAATGCATGAACAGATAAATATGGCAGGCCAGGCGTGGTGGCTCATGTGTATTCCTAACTCTGGGAGGCAGGCCGACGCAGGAGGATTATTTGAGCCCAGGAGTTCGAGACCAGCCTGGGCAACAAGGTGAAATGCTGTCTCTACAAAAAATACAAAAAAATAATTAGCTGGGCGTGGTGGCACACACCTGTAGTCCCAGCTACTCAGGAGGCTGAGGTGGGAGGATTGCTTGAGCCCAGGAGGTTGAGGCTGAGTGAGCCGTGATCACACCACACTGCACTCCAGCCTGGGCAAGAGAATGAGAACCTGTTGATAAATACGGCATATACATACAGTGGGATATTATTCAGCCATAAGAATATACGAAATTCTGACATAAGCTATAATGTGGACAAACCTTGAAGACATTATGCTAAGTGAAATAAGACAGTCACAAAGAGTATGATACTATTAGATGATGCATCTAGAGTAGTCAAATTCATAGAAGCAGAAAGTAGGATAGTGATTGCCAGGAGCTGGGGATAGGGGAAAATGGGGAGTAGTTGCCTAATGCAGGGGTCCCCAACCCCCGGGGATCTGTGGCCTGTCAGGCACTGGGCCACGTGGCAGGAGGTGAGCAGTGGGTGGGTGAACGAGCAGAGCTTCTGTATTTACAGCCCATCCCCATCACTTGCCTGAGCTCCACCTCCTGTCAGATCAGTGGCAGCATTAGGTGAACCCTATTGTGAACTGCACGTGTGAGGGGTCTAGGTTATGCACTTCCTATGAGAATCTAATGCCTGATGATCTGTCACTGTCTCCCATCACCCCCAGATGGGACTGTCTAGTACAGGAAAACAAGCTCAGGGCTCCCACTGATTCTACATTATGGTGAGTTGTATAATTATTTCATTATATATTACAATGTAATAGTAATAGAAATAAAGTGCACAGTAAATGTAATATGCTTGAGGCCAGGCACAGTGGCTCACACCTGTAATCCCAGCACTCTAGAAGGCCAAGGCAGGCATATCACTTGAGCTCAGGAGTTCGAGACCTGAACATAGCAAAACCTCGTCTCTACCAAAAAATACAAAAAATTAGCTGGGTCTGGTGGTACATGCCTGTGGTCCCAGCTGCTCAGGAGGCTGAGGTGGGAGGGTTGCTTGAGCCTGGGAGGTTGAGGCTGCAGTGAGACGTGATTGTGCCACTGCACCCCAGCCCGGATGACACAGTGAGACCCTGTCTCAATTTTTTAAAAAAATTTAATGCATTTAAATCATCTCAAAAGCACCCCACCTCTCCCTGCTTCCGATCTGTGGAAAAACTGTCTTCCACAAAGCCAACCCCTGGTGACAAAAAGGTTGGGGACCACTGCACTAATGGATCTAGAGTTTGTGTTTTGTGTGATGCAAAAGTTCTGGAGATTGGTTTCACAACACTGTGAAAATTAATACTAGTGCATTTTACATATAAAATGGTTCAGACAGGGCTGGGCGCAGTGGCTCATGCCTGTAATCCCAGCACTCTGGGAGACTGAGGCGGGTTGATCACCTGAGATCAGGAGTTTGAGACCAGCCTGACCAACATGGTGAAACCCCATCTCTACTAAAAATACAAAAATTAGCCGGGTGTGGTGGCGGGCGCCTGTAGTCCCAGCTACTAGGGAGGCTGAGACAGGAGAATTGCTTGAACCCAGGATGCGGAGGTTGCAGTGAGCTGAGATTGTGCCACTGCACTCCAGCCTGGGTGACAGAGCAAGACTCCACCTAAAAAAAAAGAAAAAAAAAAAAAGATATATATATGTATTGTTCAGACAGTAAACTTTATGTGTATTTTATAACTATATATTATATATTTTATATATAATATATAGTTCAGACAATAAATTTTGTGTATTTTACAACTATATATATAATATATATTGTTCAGACAGTAAACTTTATGTGTATTTTACAATAATTTTTAAAAATCAGACTTCACTTTGCACAAGCAGTTAAATATGATGCATAAGTTTGAAAAAAATCTGTGAATGATCACTTCCAGAAAGTGCCTTGAAAAACCTCTAGTGTAATTTATTTTTGAATTAGAACTTTTGTGTAACAAGTGAAAGTTGATTTGCATTTAAATTCTTTCCAAGTACAGAATCAGGCTTTTTCATTCCTGCTGCTCTTTAAATAGTTTGAGTATTTTTCTTTCCTGTTACGTAATGACTGATTATTTCTCTCTATGAGCTAAGAATGACCCAGATGTTGCCTCCTGTTTCACTTAGCTATGAGGTGCGTGTTTCTGTTTTGTTTTTAGACAGGTTCTCACTGTTGCCCAGGCTGGTTTCAAACTCCTGGATTCAAGCAATCCTTCTGCCTCAGCCTCCTGAGTAGCTGGGATTACAGGCTTGAGCCACTGTGCCTGGCTCAAGAATAGTTATTTTTCATTTCTAAACGTTCTATTTTTTTTCAAGTCTGTATACTCTTTTCCTATCACATATTCTCATGCCTGTAATTCCAGCACTTTGGGAGGCCGAAGCAGGTGGATTGCTTGATGTCAGGAGTTTGAGACCAGCCTGGGCAACATGGCGAGAATCCGTGTCTACAAAAAAACATTTTTAAAGTTAGCCAGGCATGATGGTACATGCCTGTAGTCCCGGCTACTCAAGAGGCTGAGGCAGAAGGGTCACTTGAGCCCAGGAAATCGAGGCTGCAGTGAGCTATTATCATGTCACTGCACTTCAGGCTGGGTGACAGAGTGAGACCCTGTCTCAAAAAAAAAAAAAAAAAAAAAAAGGCTCGGCGCGGTGGATCACGTCTGTAATCCCAGCACTTTGGGAGACCGAGGCGGCCAGATCACGAGGTCAGGAGAGCGAAACCATCCTGGCTAACATGGCAAAACCCCGTCTCTACTAAAAATACAAAAAAATTAGCCAGGCATGGTGGCGGGCGCCTGTAGTCCCAGCTACTGGGGAGGCTGAGGCAGGAGAATGGCATGAACCCAGGAGGTGGAGCTTGCAGTGAGCCGAGATAGCACCACTGCACTCCAGCCTGGCGACAGAGCAAGACTCTGTCTCAAAAAAAAAAAAAAAAAAAAAAAAAGCAAATGTCTGTTTACAAAAACAAGAAAAATCAAAAAGACAGAGCCTTGTGTGTGGAGGAGTCAAAAAGCTTGGGCAGTCAGCATCTCAACTCAACTAAGTCAGCCCCTAAGCCCCTGTTTTCTTTTTCTTTCTTCTTCTTCTTGTTTTTTTTTTTTTTTTTTTTTGAGACAGAGTCTCGCTCCGTCACCCAGGCTACAGTGCAGTGGCACAATCTCGGGTCGCTGCAACCTCTGCCTCCTGGGTTCAAGCAATTCTCCTGCCTCAGCCTACTGAGTAGCTGGGATTACATGCACGCACCGCCAAGCCTGGCCAATTTTTGTATTTTTAGTACAGATGGGATTTTGCCGTGTTAGCTAGGCTGGTCTCGAACTACTGACCTCAAGTGATCCACCGACCTTGGTCTCCCAAAGTGCTGGGATTACACATCTGAGCCACCAAGCCTGGCCATAGCCTGTTTTCTTTGTAATGGGGAGAAGGAGTTTCCCTCACAAGTTTGACACAAAAATCCAGTGAGAATGGATGCAAAACTCTGCTATTTCTCTTCAGTTACATATATTTGTGATAATTATTATAAAGAGGAAACTTCGGGTGACTCCTGAGAGACTGGGGTGGGAGTGGGTCAGGCAGTAGTTAGTCACTACATTCGCGGTTAGGAGCCTCTTCCATTTAAAACTCGAAACCACCATCAGAGTGAACAGGCAACCTACAGAATGGGAGAAAATTTTTGCAACCTACTCATCTGACAAAGGGCTAATAGCCAGAATCTACAATGAACTCAAACAAATTTACAAGAAAAAAACAAACAACCCCATCAAAAAGTAGGCAAAGGATATGAACGGACACTTCTCAAAAGAAGACATTTATGCAGCCAAAAAACACATGAAAAAATGCTCATCATCACTGGCCATCAGAGAAATGCAAATCAAAACCACAATGAGATACCATCTCACACCAGTTAGAATGGCGATCATTAAAAAGTCAGGAAACAGCTGGGCACGGTGGCTCAAGCCTGTAATCCCAGCACTTTGGGAGGCCGAGGCGGGTGGATCACGAGGTCATGAGATTGAGACCATCCTGGCTAACACGGTGAAACCCCGTCTCTACTAAAAATACAAAAATTAGCCGGGCACCATTGGGCGCCTGTAGTCCCAGCTACTCTGGAGGCTGAGGCAGGAGAATGGCGTGAACCCGGGAGGCGGAGCTTGCAGTGAGCCAAGATTGCGCCACTGCACTCCAGCCTGGGTGACAGAGACTCCGTCTCAAAAAAAAAAAACAAAAAAAACTGAAAGTAAAACTTTAGGGAAAGTACCCTTTATTCTCTAAGGAAAAGGACCCTTCTCGAAGGCTCCGATAGTGAGGCACTTTCTCTAGGATGAGCCTCACCCCTAAGGCAGCATAGGCCAAGGTATGATTTGGGGATTTCCACCAAGGCTCCCCACTTCCCAATAGCCTCTCCAACAACCTGTTTCTGGTGTTCCCAAGTCCACCATTATACTTTTGGGTAGAGATACTTTTAAAAAATAAAAATTCTAGAAGAAGTAATACATTTTGGTTAGGCGCAGTGGCTAATGCCTGTAATCCCAGCACTTTGGGAGGCTGAGGTGGGCGGATCACCTGAGGTCAAGAGTTCGAGACCAGCCTGGACAACATGGTGAAACCCCATCTCTACTAAAAATACAAAAATTAGCTGGGCGTGGTGGCGGGCGCCTGTAATCCCAGCAACTCTGGAGATAGGGCAGGAGAATCGCTTGAACCCGGGAGGCAGAGGTTGTGGTGAGTGGAGATTGCACCACTACACTCCAACCTGGGTGACAGAGTGAGACTGTCTTAAAAAAAAAAAAGAAGAAGAAGAAGGAGAAGAAGTAATACATTTTAGTCTTGAGGGTTATTTCTATCTTGTGAGAAATGAGTGTGTGGGCCAAGAGTAGGTGAAACATATGTCGTTGGTATGTAGGAAGTGCGCTGGCCTGGGGGACCTCAGGTCTGAGTTGTCGTTCCAGTTCTGCCATTGACTTCCTGCACAACCTTGGAGAAGTCGCCTTTCTTCTTGGGCCTCTGTTTTCCCCTCTGAACGAGGAGGTGGTTGGTCAGAATTCTCTGTTTTGGGTTGGTTCATTCATTAAAAGTTTGCTAAGTACCTATTATATGTTGAATACTATTGTAATTGCTTTGGATACAGCAATGAACAGGACAGACAAAAATCTCTAACCCTGTGGAACTTACATTCTAAGGGAAGAAGACAGTTAATAAACAAGAAATACAATAATTGACCGGGTGTGGTGGCTCACGCCTGTAATCTCAGCACTTTGGTAGGCGGAGGCCAGCGGAGTTTGAGACCAGCCTGGACAACATGGTGAAACCCCGTCTCTACTGAAAATACAAAAAAATTAGCCAGGCTTGGTGGCGCGCTCCTGTAAGCCCAGCTACCTGGGAGGCTGAGGCAGGAGAATCGCTTGAACCCGGGAGGCGGAGGTTGCAGTGAGCCGAGACTGCGCCATTGCACTCCAGCCTGGGCGACAGAGCGAGATTCCGTCTAAGGAAAAAAGAAAGAAAGAAAGCTTCAAAACCAAGCCTCACTTGTTGTCCATTTTTGCCTTTATGCGTCCCGATTGTTCTCAAGGTTGATAAACGAACCCCTGGCTCCCTTCTCTCATCTTCATCTTTTGCACACGCTGGTTTGCACATGTTGGTTGAAAGAACAAGGCTGTAGTGTCTCACAATTCCTCTAGGTGGCAGTGCTGCCTTGACTACTGGGGATACTTCGTGTTTTTGGACTGTTCCCAAAACAGCCACATTTCTGAAATCTCTTAGGAGTAGAAAACATTGGAAAGCCCATAGTCATCATGGACACCCTCCAGCCCGGCTTCCCTTCTCTCTGAAATCCTCCCTGCTTTGACAAAACTGTCAGGGTCTAGCCAAGCCAGGCTGGCCCCAGGCCTATGCCTTGGCCGTCTCATCTTGCCACTTCCAGGAGGCGATGACTCTAAGGAGGAAAGAAATGGCGCTTCCTCCCCGCTTCCCCCATTCATGCTTCCCTGAACTCCTTCTTCGAGACTAGATTGATATTCATTTTAGCCTTGTCAGTCTATGACGATACTTACTTCTGAACACAAATCGAGGGAGGGAGGGAGAAGAGTCACACACATCTGCCCTGGCCTCTCCTGCTCCAGGGCAGCCCTGCACCCTATATGCTGCTGCCTCAGGCAGAGCCCTGGAAAATATGTCATTTGTGTTTTTGGGGAATGTTTGGACCTACTTACCCTCCTGGAAATGATAAAAGTTCACAAAATTTGGAGGAAGAAGAGGCGAGAACGATCCCCGAACCGAGCAAAGCCCGCGCGCCGCTGCATCCTGCGCCCAGTGCCTACGTCTCAATGCCATCGTCGCCGCCACCATGACCAAGAGAAAGGCTGAAGGGGATGCTAAAGGAGATAAAGCCAAGACGAAGGACGAACCACAGAAAAGATCCGCGAGGTTGTCTGCTAAACCTGCTTTTCCAAAGCCGGAGCCCAAGCCTAAAATGGCCCCTGCAAAGAAGGGAGAGAAGGTACCCAAAGGGAAAAAGGGAAAAGCTGATGCTGGCAAGGAGGGAATAGCCCTGCAGAAAATGAAGATGCCAAAACAGATCAGGCACAGAAAGCTGAAGGTGCTGGAGATGCCAAGTGAAGTGTGTGCATTTTTGATAACTGTGTACATCTGGTGACTATACAGTTTGAAATACTATTTTTTATCAAGATTTATAAAAATGCAGAATTTTATTTTACTTTTTTTTTTTAAGCTACGTTGTTAGCACACAGAACACTTCATTGTTGTTTTTAGGGGAAGGGGCATACGTCACTAATAGAATGACTCCGAAGCTGGATTGATATGGGGAAAACACCTTTCCCTTCTAGTTTTTAGAGACTTCCTTTTGGCTCCCAGGAGGAGGGATTCCCTGGCTTTGATACACATGGCCACCTTGGCACAAAAGGCTTGCGGTATGGAAAAACAAATTTATTTTTATGTCCTCTTCTCCCTTTCCATCTTTCAGCATAGACTTAACTCCCTTAAGCCCAGACGTCTGTTGGGACCTGACCCCTAGTCATTGGTTACCAGTGTCAGGCAATCTGGACTTTCCAGATGCCACTGAGATGGCACCTGTCAAAAGAGCAGTGGTTCCATTTCTAGATTGTGAATCTTCAGATAAATTCTGCCATTTTCATTTCACTTCCTGAAAGTCAAGGTTGGTTTGTGAAAAGTTAACAGCATGCTGAATGTGAAATATCAACCCTCACTCTAAACTTTCCCTGTTCAGAGCATCAGATGAAGACTTCATTGGGTTTTATACTGGCTTTCTTTTTGGTAGTCCACTGAAGAATCCAGGGAGTTTGAAAGTTGTTGTATACTGTTAATGATTGTCTGCCCATGTCCTGCCTGAAATACCATGACTGTTTATGGAAAGTATCTTTAATAAAGCTGGATACAGTTTGGCTTGGAAAAAAAAAGTTCACAAAATTTGCAGCCTGACAATGCAATAGAAAAAGAAAAACTCGCTCTTGGCTTTCGGCTTGGAGGAGGCCAAGGTGCAACTTTCTTCGGTTGTCCCGAATCCGGGTTCATCTGACACCAGCCGCCTCCACCATGCCGCCAAAGTTCGACCCCAACGAGATCAAAGTCATATACCTGAGGTGCACCGGAGATGCCACTTCTGCCCTGGCCCCCAAGATCGGCCCCCTGGGTCTGTCTCCAAAAAACGTTGGTGGTGACATTGCCAAGGCAACGGGTGACTGGAAGGGCCTGAGGATTACAGTGAAACTGACCATTCAGAACAGACAGGCCCAGATTGAGGTGGTGCCTTCTGCCTCTGCCCTGATCATCAAAGCCCTCAAGGAACCACCAGAGACAGAAAGAAACAGAAAAACATTAAACACAGTGGGAATATCACTTTTGATGAGATCGTCAACCTTGCTCGACAGATGGAGCACCGATCCTTAGCCAGAGAACTCTCTGGAACCATTAAAGAGATCCTGGGGACTGCCCAGTCTCTGTGGGTTGTAATGTTGATGGCCGCCACCCTCATGACATCATAGATGACATCAACAGTGGTGCTGTGGAATGCCCAGCTAGTTAAGCACAAAGGAAAATATTTCAATAAAGGATCATTTGACAACTAGTGAAAAAAAAAGAAAAAGAAAAAGAAAAACTCATTTTCTGGGGAGAAATTCAAGCTGGCAGCAGAAATTGGCATAAGTAAGGAGGAGCCAAATGCTAATCCCCAAGACAATGGGGAAAATGTCTCCAGGGCATGTCAGAGACCTTCTTGGAAGCCCCTCCCATCACAGGCCCAGAGGTCTAGAAGGGAAAAAATGTTTTCCTGGGCCAGGTCCAGGGCTCACCTGCTGTGTGCAGGCTCAGGATTTGGTGCCCTGCATCCCAGCTGCTCCAGCATGGCTAGAAGGGTACAGCTTGGGCCATAGATTCAGAAGGTGCAAGCCACAAACTTTGGCAGCTTCCACATGGTGTTGAGCCTGTGGATGCACAGAAGTCAAGAATTGAGGTTTGGGAACCTCCACTTAGATTTCAGAGGATGAATGGAAATGCTTGAATGTCCAGGCAGAGGTATGCTGTAGGGGTGGAGCCCTCATGGAGAACCTTTCCTAGGGCAGTATGGAAGGAAAATGTAAGGTAGGAGACTCCACACAGAGTTCCCACTGGGGCACTGCCTGGTGGAGCTGTCAGATGAGGCCCACTGCCCTCCAGACCCCAGAATGGTAGATCCACCAACAGCTCACCATGTGCCTGGAAAAGCTGCAGACACTCAATGCCTGTGAAAGCAGCCAGGAGTGGGGCTGTATCCTGCAAAGCCACAGGGCTGGAGCTGCCCAAGACCATGGGAACCTATCTGTTGCATCAGCATGACCTCAGTGTGAGACATGGAGTCAAAAGAGATCATTTTGGAACTTTAATATTTGACTGCCCTGTTGGATTTTGGACTTGTATGGGACCTGTAGTCTCTTCATTTTGCCCAATTTCTCCCGTTTGGAATGGGTGTATTTACCCAATGCCTGCAACCCCATTGTGTCTAGGAAGTTACTAACTTGGCTTTTGATTTTACAGGTTCATAGGCGGAAGGGACTTGCCTTGTCTCAGATGAGATGTTGGACTTGAACTTTTGGGTTAATGCTGAAATGAATTAAAACTTTGGGGAACTGTTGTGAACGCATGATTGGTTTTAAAATGTGAGGATATGAGATTTGGGAAGGGCCGGGGCGGTATGGTATGGTTTGGCTCTGTGTCCCCACCCAAATCTCACCTCTAATTGTAATAATACCCACATGTTGTGGGAGGGACCAAGTGGGAGGTAACTGAATCATGAGGGTGGGTTTTTTTCCATGCTGTTCTCATAAGTCTCATGAGATCTCATGGTTTTATAAAGGGGAGTTCTCCTGTACACACTCTCTTGCCTGCTGCCATGTAAGATGTGACTTTGCTCCTCATTTGCCTTCTGCCATGACTGTGAGGCCTCCCCAGCCACGTGGAACTGAGTCAATTAAACCTCTTTCCTTTATAAATTACCCAGTCTCAGGTATGTCTTTATTAGCAGTGCGAGAAAAGACTGACACATGGGCTCAAGCGATTCTCCCACCTTAGCCTCCCAAATAGCTGGGACTACAGGTGTGCGTCACTATGAACAGCTAATTTTTTTGTAGAGATGGGGTTTTCCCATATCGCCCTGGCTAGTCTGGAACTCCTGAGCTCAAACAAACCTCCACCTCAGCCTCCCAGAGTGCTGGGATTACAGGCATGAGGCACCATGCCCGGACTTAAAGTGTTTTAAACAACAAGTAGAACATGACCCAGGACAAACAAAACACATCAGTAGCCTTACTTTAGTGTGCAGGCTGTGGATTTGTGACTGATGGCTCGAGCCACCATGTTAGCTAAGACCATCGGTGTTGTTTCCTCTTTGGTCTCCTGCCTCTAGCCTCGCTCACTTCCATGCACTTTGCTCACAGTCACCAGAGCATCTCCCCAATACCGTAGTGACACCCATTCATTCCACTACTTGACACTTCCCTTACCACTGCCCATCCCAAGCTACCCACAAAATGAAGTCCAGACAATGCAGGCGGGCTGCCAGGCTTGCCATTCTCTGACCCCAGGCTCCCTCCCTCCCCACCTGTGTGCTCCACTGGCAAACACCCAGCTCCTTTGTTAACTCCCCGGAGGCCTGCCCCAGTCACCTGTATTTACCCTGCTGTCGTGTCTTTTCTATGTCTGTCTGCTCCACTAGACTGTGATGGTCCTTGACAAAGTGACCACATCTTATTCATCTGTGCATATGTGGGGCACCTGCCACTTAGAAGGTGGCTGGCAAATATCTTTTAAACAAATTTAAAATGTACGAATGATGACTGTTGGTCAAGTAAGGTAGAACTGTCATAAGAATGTTTATTTCCCACCTCATTTATTCCTAATTAAGACCTGAGAATCTTTTTGATAAGGACAATTCTTTTCCCTTTTTGGTCTCCATTCCCCGTGCTCTGAGAGCCAGGACAAGCGGGCCCTTTGTCCCAGTTGGTCTTCTTACGGTTCAGTCTCTGGAGTTTCTGGGGCTTCCTTTATCCTCTTCCTCTTGAGTTTTGGTTTTTGAGAAAGCTCCCTTAAAGAATCTGAAAAAGAGAAGGTCAGAGACAGTCCCAATGACATCACAAATAGTAAGAATCTCAGTCTGTAATACATGGGGGGTGTTGTAGGGGCAGAGAGGAAGAATAGCAAAATCCTATCTTACTTCCCACCTATATCACTTAGTTTTTTCTCACAGAAACCCAGTAGAGAGATGGCATTGTCCCCAATTTACAGATGAGGACTGTCACCCAGGTCCAGGGTAAAGCAATGACCTGCCCAAAGTCTTACAGCAAGTTAGGGGAAGAGTCAGGGCAAGACCCGAGTTTCCTCGACCTCTGGCTCCAACCTCTGATTCTTCCTTACTCCTCTCCTAGGCCTCATGACCCAATTCCCAGTACTGTTTGCAAACCCCATTGCCAAGTTTTAATTAAGAACTGACTTTATGGCCAGGCACAGTGGCTCACGCCTGTAATCCCAGCACTTCGGGAAGCTGAGGCGGATGAATCAGTTGAGGTCAGGAGTTTGAGACCAGCCTGGCCAACATGGTGAAACCCCATCTCTACTAAAAATACAAAAAATAGCCAGGTGTGGTGGCACATGCCTGTAATCTGAACTACTCAGGAGGCCGAGGCAGGAGAATCACTTGAACCGGGGAGGCTGAGGTTGCAGTGAGCTGAGATCGCACAACTGCACTTCAGCTTGGGCCGCAGAGTGAGACTCCGTCTCAAAAAAATAAAAATAAAAAATAAAATAACTTACTTTATTAACATAGTGCCAAAGAAATACCACATAGGTTATTTTCATTGCAAGGACAGACTCAGTGACTAATCTTAGCCCATTCCCGGTGGGTCCATGAGATATTCTGTGCTTTGTCAGGTAATAATGGGAAGAGCATAACCTCATCTCTTATGTAGCCTCTAGCCAAAAACATGTTTCATTTGAACCCATGAAGACTTTCGAGTCCTGTTTATAGAGGAACAAGCTAAAAGATGTCAAAAGGAAGCAATAGGGAATAAATCAGGAAGGAGAACATTCTGCTGAATAATAGCCTCATCTTTTCAACAGGTCAGGAATGTAAAAAAAAAAAAAAAAAAAAAAAAAAGCCAGGTGCGTGGCTCACACCTGTAATCCCAGCACTTTGGGAGGCTGAGGCGGCTGGATTGTGTGAGCTCAGGAGCTCAAGACCAGCTTGGGCAACACCGTGAAACCCTGTCTTTACTAAAAGTACAAAAATTAGCCAGGCATGGTGATGGGCATCTCTAATCCCAGCTACTGGGGATGCTGAGGCAGGAGAATCGCTTGAACCCAGGAGGCAGAGGTTGCAGTGAGCCGAGATAGCGCCATTGCATTCCAGCCTGGGTGACAGAGCGAGACTCCGTCTGGAAAAAATAAATAAAATAAAATAAATAAATAATAAAAACAAAAACCTTTCTATAATGAGCAAGCCTGGGGAAGAGGGGGACTAAAAAGAGAAGAGAAAGTGGAGAAAGAGAAGAAAAAACAGAAAGGAAAATGCGGGATGAAGAGAAGATGGAAAGGAGGGAAGAGGAGCTTGTCAGGCTGGGGGCAGAGGCTCCCGGCTGCTTGAGTCTACTCTTGGGAAACACCCAGACACCACTCACAAACTCCTGGGTCCAGGCATCACCCCAACACCAAATGGTCATTACCTTTCTTGACATGGTCCTGGGATCTTGGCTGCCCAGGCAGGGGGCTCCCTTGACCTGGGGTCTGCATGTTGGACAGCCGCTCCTTCATGCCGCTGATGTTGCTGTGCAGCCCCCATGCATGGCAGAGCTTGGGCAGACTGTCTTCCCGGTCGGCCAGCAAGGACCTCTCCGGCGCATCCGAGGCGCAGAATGTCACCTGCCATGGAGCCTCCGTGTTAAGGAGAGTGTTGAGAAGAGGGGGACCTGAACTTTAGAGTCCCAGCACCGCATTTGTTGAGAAATGCTAAGGTCTGCCTGCCGGTCACACTTGCCTAACCAAAAGGATGGGGTAGGAATCACAGATGTGGGAGAGAAAAGACTGTGGGGACATGGAGGCAAGCTGCCAATGGTGTCCTCCTGCGTTGTCCTTTATTTTGAGATCATGTCTTCCATCTCTTTTTGGAACTGCAGTGTCTTATTGTTTTTTTGCAATGAAATGATATGTGTTTTAAAGATCTAACTTAGCAAAAATTAAATTGGGAGCCTTACTCGTTTAGCTGAGGCAGGAGAATCCCTAGAACCCTGAAGGCGGAGGTTGCAGTGAGCCGAGATCACGCCACTGCACTCCAGCCTGGGCAACAGAGCGAAACTCTGTCTTAAAAAAAAAAAAAAATGGGAGCCTTTGTAAGCTTTGAGTCTGTTAAAAAAAAAATAAAAATTTTAGAAATGAAATAAATTGAGAGCTTGAATTTTGAAATTAAAATTCAAAGACTATATATATATAAATTTTTCGGCCTGGTGCGGTGGCTCATGCCTGTAGTCCTAGCACTTTGGAAGGTCGAGGAGGGCAGATCACTTGAGGTCAGGAGTTCAAGACCAGCCTGGCCAACAAGGTGAAACCCCGTCTCTATTAAAAATACAAAAGTTAGCTGGGCATGGTGGTGCATGCCTGTAATCCCAGCTACTCAGGAGGCTGAGGCAAGAGAATCGCTTGAACCTGGAGGTGGAGGTTGTGGTGAGCCAAGATCTCACCATTGCACTCCAGCCTGGGGGACAAGAGCAAAACTCTGTCTCGAAAAAAAAAAAAAAAAAATTCAGGCCAATGAAATCCAGAAATCTAGAAATCAGTAAAGTGGCAGCTCCTCTTATTCAGAAGAGAAATCATTGAAGTTCTCCAATCGTTACATGTTCAGAGGAAGAAACAGATGCAGAGAGGGAGAGGACTTGGTTAGGGCTGCACGGCGAGAGTGCAGGAGGGCGCAGTTAGAGCACGGCTCTCATCCCAGCCAGATGGAGGCTGAACCCTTCCTCTTCCTTCCTACTTGCTATAAAGACTGCGACAAATTACCTTACTTCCCTGTATTTGGGATCTTCATTTACACACTGCAGACAATAAACCTAATTACCACTTAGGGTTACTTTTGAATATTACTTGAAGGAATATAAAGTACCTGGCACATAGAATGCTTTTACATCTGCTTTATCTATGATTATTATTCCAGACCAGTGGTTCTCAAAGTGTGCTCTGCAAACCCCCAGGAGTCCCTGTAATATTTTGACCTCATGGAGCCCCTGAAACCAATGGATTCTAATGAAACCTAGTATGAAAATTTCACTGATACGAATCTGAAAAGGCTACATATTGTATGATCCCGACGATATGACATTCCGAGACAGCAAAACTAAGAGACAGTGAACCTAAGATCAGTGGTCGCCAGGGGAGTGGGGGCAGGAAGGCAGGGACAAATAGATGGAGCACAGGGGGTTTTTAGGACCATGGCACTCTTCCATATCATACTGTAATGGTAGATACATGTCATCATACCTTTGGCAAAACCTATAGCCCATACAACATGAAGAGTGGTAGGCTGGGCGCGATGGCTCACTCCTGTAATCCCAATGCTTTGGGAGCTGAGGCGGGCAGATCACCTGAGGTCAGGAGTTCGAGACCAGCCTGGCCAACATAGTGAAACCTCGTTTCTACTAAAAATACAAAAATTAGGCACAGTGGTGTGCACCTGTAATCCCAGCTACCTGGGAGGCTGTGGCAGGAGAATCACTTGAACCCAGGAGGCGGAGGTTGCAGTGAGCCAAGATCGCGCCACGACACTCCAGCTTGGATGACAGAGTGAGACTCCATATCAAAAAAAAAAGACTAGCTGAAACAGGGAAGGGGTGAAAGCACCTCTCCCTAAGACACACCTACCAATGCTATGTCAGTTTACCATTGCCATAGCAATACTTGGAAGTTGCGACCCCTTCCCATGGCAACAACCCAGAAGTACCACCCTTTTTCTGGTAAATTCCAAATAACCACCCCATAATTTGCAAGTAATTAAAAGCGGGGATAAATATGAGCTCAGAGCTGCCCCTGTGCTGCTACTCTGGGCACACTGCCCATAGGGTAGCCCTGCTCCACAAGGAGGAGTGCCTCTGCTGCTACTCTACACGGCCGCTTCCATAAACTTGCTGTGTAATACCACCAGCTCACCCTTAAATTCTTTTCTGGGCAAAACCAAGAACTTTCCCGGGCTTGCCCGTGCATCAAATATATATGGAGAACTTGATGCTGAGCCTCGGCCTCTTCAGCCCACTCTGCCCAGGGCAGGGGTAAAGGTCAAGCAGCAGAGTCTTGCCCTGGCAGTGAGCCCTGGGAAGGACCAGAGGGGCTCTGGGTGTGTCAATCCCAGGCCTCCCCGCAAGTCTAAGGACACATCAACCAACCCTCAGCTGTGCTCGGGCGGAATGTCTTGCGCCTCACCAGGAACTTGGCCGGCTGGCTGCTCTTGGTGTACTTGTAAAGTCGGCGAAGCTGCTTTGCTTCCAGCTCCGAGAAGAGGGAGATGAACCGCCAGAGCATCCTGCAAAGGGGGAGACCCTAGGCTGGGGAGGTGGAGCACAGCGCTTCCTCCCTCCAGCATTTGTCTCAGGGTCAGGACCCACCCAGGGGAATATGGGCCACATGCCCCTTTGGGGTTTGGGGTTGGGGGAATGGAGGGGTGGGGATTTGCCCAAACTTGAATATCCTATCCTGGTATTGAGCGCCTGCACGCAGTTGTTCAGTCAGAGACAAGGTGCAGTCAGGGCTGTCCTGAGTGACTAGGAGCTCTCTCCATCCCCTCAGGCTCTTGACTCCTCCACATAAAGATGAAGGACTGGGGGATTGACTAAGGTGTCCCCTTGAATGAAGAGGGGGTTGCCCAGGAGTAGGTATGGGGAGCAGAGCAAAGAGACTGCCCTACTTTCTCCAGTGTTTGATTTCCCAGGCTTGGCAGTAATGCTGCAGAAAGGTGTTGATGTGGTCCCCTAGGACCACAAGGCTCTGCTTCATGTACTTCAGCTTCTTCTTCTGGGGAAGGTCCCTGGGCAGGTGCAACTTTCGCAGGAACTTCTTCAGCGGTCTTAGGTATTCTTTACACTGAGGAGGCAACAGGTGAGGTGAGGGGCCATGGGAGAAAAGAAGAGGCAGATGGGCAGTCCCAGGTATCCAGCACACCGGTCTGGCCGCAGCCCTGAGTGGCCCAGTGCTGCGTGTTTCGGGAGGTGGCTCTGGTGCACCTCTCACCAAAAGTCCTTACCAAGAGTAAGACAAGTGGGGCAATGCGCTGTGGGTCTGAGGCCTGCCATTTCCTGACTCAGGCCTCCTGACCAATGGGGAAAAGGGGACAGGGTTCCAGGCTGGCTCTTTACTCACAGTTTTGAAGGTGTCCTGATCCAGGCCCTTGGCATGGCGCATGAGCGAGTCTCTAGCAGGGCTGGCGCTGGAGCTTGTCTCCAGGCATGACACATTTGTCACCTAGGAGGAGGCAGGGGGCACTAAGCCGGGGGATTGGACCGTTACTCCTGGGGGCAGTGCTGGCAGGGACTGACCCAAATGGCAGCCAAAGCCCTTCTCCATTGCCCTCAGACCTTCTTGACCCAGCATGGATGTGAGTGAGCCTTGGGCAAAGAAACCCATCTCTGAAAATCTCTGCTTAGAAAACCTAGAATATTCCACCTCTTTCTTTTATAATAATCACAGCATATTCTACTAGGTAACTGCAAAGCACTTGGTAAACATTAGCTCATTTTATCTTCCCGCAAATTCTGTCAGGTTAGATGTTGTTATAGGACCAACAGGTTTATATGCCTGCTGGACACTCACAGTCCAATATATAGAGACAGCAAAAGTGGCAGCAGACCAGTCTGGGCAATATAGTGAGACCTGGTCTCTACAAAAAATTACAAAAATTAGCTGGGCATGGTGGCGTGCACCTGTGGTCCCAGCTACCCAGGAAGCCAAGGTGGGAGGATTGCTAGTGTCCAGGAGTTGAAGGTTGCAGTGAGCCGAGATCATGTCACTGTGAGAAAGAGTTTATTGATTGCTGGGTGCTCAGTGAGGAGATGGAAGGAGATCCTCAAATCTATCTTCCCAAGGAGTTCTGGACTGGGGTTTTTAAGGAGATCATGGAGTGGGAGGGATTGAAAAAACTGGGGCCATTGATTGGTCAGAGTCGGGGGATGAAATTATGAGGATGTGGAAACTGCATTCTTTGGTGAATCAGGTTTTTGAAGGGTTCTTTAGACCAACTGCCATCTGTAGTTTGAGTGGTATGTAGGATCTGAAATAATATTTAAAGAGAAAACGCAATGCTTCATAATGTTCGAGCTGTTATCTGCAGAGCAGTTAAGGGAGTATCCTTGTAACAGGGTCTATGGAATTCCTTTTTTTTTTTATTCACTCTATCACCCAGGCTGGAGTGCAGTGGTGTGATCTCGGCTCACTGCAACCTTGGCCTCCCGGGTTCAAGCGATTCTCCTGCCTCAGCCTCCCGAGTAGCTGGGATTACAGGCGTGCACCACAACGCCTGGCTAATTTTGTATTTTTAGTAGAGACCATGTTGGCCAGTCTGGTCTCAAACTCCTGACCTCAAGTGATCCACCCACCTCGGCTCCCAAAATGCTGGGATTACAGGCATGAGCCACCGCACCCAGGGTCTACGGAATTCTAAGGAAACAGGCACCAAAGAACTCCAAGGAAGTGGGTCAGAGAGCAGGCTGACCTCATGATTCATGCTGAATGAGCTGCAAGCTCAGTTAATTTTCATTTTTCCCCTCTTTTTTTCTGATTAATTTTATAAAGTTTCTAGGGACGGTTTCAATATCATTAACCCTAGTTACAGATGAGAACAATGAGGCATCAAAAGATTTAAGCAGCTCCTTGGGGGAATGAACAGGGATTCATTTACTCACTCACTTGGCAAATGTTTACTGACTGCATCAGACTGGGCCCATTTCTTTGCATCCCTAGCCTCTAGCATCGTCATGTGATATGGTTTGAATGTGTGTCCCCTCTAAATCTCATGTTGAAACGTGATCCCCAATGTTGGAGGCAGGGTCTGATGGGAGGTGTTTGGGTCATGGGGGTGGATCCTTCATGAATGGGCTTGGTGCCCTCCCTGCCCCAATTAAGTGAGTTCTCACTCTGTCAGTTCATGTGAGAGCTGGTTGGTAACAAGAGCCTGACACGCCCTCCTCTCTCTCTTGCTTGCTCTCTCACCATGTGACAAGCTTGCTCCCTCTTCATCTTCTGTCATGCTTGTAAGCTTCCTGAGGCCCTCACCAGAAGCAGATGCTTCGTGTACAGCCTGCAGGACTGTGAGCCAAATAAACCTCTTTTCTTTATAAATTGCCTAGCCTCAAGTATTCCTTTATAGGAATGCAAAATGGACTAATAAACCATGCATCTAATGACTATTCAGAAAAAGTGGATGATGGTGATGATGAGAAAGAACCTTTGACCACAAAAGTGGGGCAAAGAAAGCTGAAAATTAGGCCAGGCCCAGTGGCTCACGCCTGTAATCCCAACATTTTAGGAGGCTGAAGTGGGTGGATTGCTTGAGCCCAGAAGTTCAAGACCAGCCTGGCCAGCATGGCAAAACCCAATTTCTACCAAAAATACAAAAAAATCAGCTAAGTGTGGTGGCACGTGCCTGTAATCCCATCTACTTGGGAGGCTGGGGCAGGAGAATTGCTGGAACCCAGGAGGTGGAGGTTGCAGTGAGCCGAGACTGAGCCACTGCACTCCAGCCTGGGTGACAGAGCAAAACTGGGCACAGTGGCTCACACCTGTAATCCCAGCATTTTGGGAGGCCGAGATGGGTGGATCACCTGAAGTCAGGAGTTCAAGACCAGCCTGGCCAACATGGCGAAACCCCCTCTCTACCAAAAATACAAAAATTAGCCAGGTGTGGTAATGCATACCTGTAATCCCATCTACTCAGGAGGCTGAGGCAGGATAAATTGCTCCAACCCAGGGGGCAGAGGTTGCAGTGGGCCAAGATCATGCCACTGCAGTCCAGCCTAGGTGACAGAGTGAGACTCTGTCTCAAAAAAAAAAAAAGAACAAAGAAAAAAAGAAAGCTGAAAATAAGTGGCAACAAAGTGACTGTGAAATAACACTAGAAGTCAGAACTGGATTTGCCCCTCACCTTTCAAAAGCTTCTCAGAAAAGTATGAATTCTAGTCTGTGTTCGGGGAGAACAAGGAAGATCCCGTCCAGACCACTCTGAAGGGAAAGGCCAGGGGGAGGGAGGTGCATGGAGAGGAGATGGGACACAGGCTCCTCCAGGTCCTAGAGACAGGACTCTGGCTGATCAACTCCTCCAACACAGCACACACACCACACAACCACACACAGACCATGTGTATACATACACATACTCTCAAGTCTTCATAACCAACAATGAGAGGCGACCTCTTCCCCATCATCTCGCCAGGAACACAGGTCATGCATAAACTTCTGAATGAATGAAAGTTCTTGTGCTTTAGGCCTCTTGCTATCTCAGGTACCCTATCATTGTTCTTCTCTTCTTTCCTGAATTTCATGTTCTCTACTTTCCAAAACCAGCCCCTCCGGGACCCTCCTTCCCTCCCTCCCTCACACCCCACTTCACCTGCTCTAGTGGCTTGTCCCCTTCACCCCCTTGCCCATCTGAGGCCTCCATCTCAGCAGGTGTGCCGGTAGGCTCCAGGGTGGCACTCCCCACGTCCCCTCTGGCTTCTGACCCACTGCTTCTGTGACCTAGCCGTCTCAGGGAGTGGGCGGTTTGGCTCCAGAACTCGGAGCAAAGCCACGGCAACCGCCAACACAGAACCCAGCCCCCCACCCCGCTCCCATTTCCTCATTCTTAGGGGTGGCTGCAGCTGGCCCCTCCAGCTGGGATCTGGACTAGGGAACGGAGCAAGATGTGCGGGGTCGAGCGAAGACTTTGGCAGAGCGCACAGCAGGCCAGGAGAGGCTGGCGCCCCTTCTCCCAAGAATACTGTCAGATGCTGATCCTGACACCACCTGGTAAGGCTGTTGAACTCATTTTCCTGCACGTGTGCCATTCCTGCCTGCTGGGTTACGCCGTGGTGGGGGCTCCCCGAGAGGAAAGCACAGTTTGTAAAATTCTTTTCTGATTTGGGACAGAGGTCTAGGGAGAGCTGAAAGGGAGAAGGGACACAGTGAGCCAGCACTGCCCCTGCGGCCTCCAGGAAGTTGTTAATAATAAGCCCTCCGTGCTGGGTGCTGGGTGCTGGGTACTGGGTGGGATGTGTGTGTTTTGGGGGTGTATAAAGATCCCCGCCAGTGCCTACGGGCTCTGTAACCCTCCCCGCGGCCTTCCCTGGGGCAGGTACCGCAGCGGTCCCGCTTCACACAGGAGGCGCTGAGACGCGGGCAAGTCCCGTCGCCGGCCTCGTGTGCGCAGCCACCAGGCGGGGAGCCGGGTGTCGGCGAAAGTCCCGCCACCCCGACTCTTCCTACCCGCGAGCCCTCCAGGGACCCGAGGCCGAGGGCGGAAACGCGGTGGGCAGAGTCCGGGTGTAGTCTGAGTTGGCCGGGCAGGGCCGGGAGGTGCTCAGGAGGCCCCGGGACCCTCGCCCCTGGCGCGGCAGCAGCGCCCCCTCGCGTCCCTGGGCGGCACACGGCGGGGTCCCGGCGACGAGAGACCGTTGCCCCCGCAGTTTCCTCACTCGAGCCACCTTTTCTTCCCTGAAACTAGGAATTCCTTCTCCCGGACCTTCCTTCGTGTCCTCTGGGCCCGGGCCCAGTTGTCCCCACTCAGTGTGGCCCTGTTCTTCGCCTGCCTTCGCGACAGTGCGGTGGGACCGCCGTCGGCCCGGGCCTCCCCTGCCACCCAGCGGCCACCTCGGGCACAGGAGAGGGGCATAGCGGCTTCAAGTAGGGGTAGCCCGGAGGCCCGGAGCTTTGGAGGAGCACCCTTTGAGTCCAGAAACTTTTTAACTTGTCCTCTATGCCAGCATGTTCAGCAAACGTCTTGTTGTTATTGTTGTCGTTGTTGTTGTTGTAAGGGGAGGAATAAACCTTCCACTTATCCGCCTCCAAGATGGAAGGTCTGTTTTCTGATCATTAATTCCAGATTATTTTGCGAGTATTAAGAAGGATAATTATATTGGCAAGAGCAAGGGGAAAGGAACCTTTACATACGTTCCTACTGGCAGTGAGATTGGTAAACAATGTATTTTAAAGTGTTTAAATGTGCATGCTCTGTGACTCACCAATTCTACTTATAGGAGGAATTAGTCCTAAGGAGAGAAGATGATGAGGACTGTTACAATAGTGACAATTTGGAAACAATTGCAGTGTCACTAATAGAATACATAAATCATGGTATATTCATAAAAACATGAAATATGTCACTATATATCTATTGACATGGAAAACAGGAACTAAAAGGTATGATTCCATTTTTGTACATATATATTTATATATGCATAGAAAAAAGTCTTGAAGGATACACTTCAAAATATCAAAGGTAATTTTTCACTTTCTTCACATATTATCTGTATTTTTAACAATAACAATTATGCTTTACTTTTACAGTCAGGAAAGAGGTTTTTTTGTTTGTTTGTTTGTTGTTTGTTTTTGAGACGGAGTTTTGCTCTTATTGCCCAGGCTGGAGCAATGGCGTGATCTCGGCTCACTGCAACTTCCGCCTCTCGGGTTCAAGCCATTCTCCTGCCTCAGCCTCCCGAGTAGCTGGGATTACAGGCTTGTGCCACCGCGTCTGGCTAATTTTGTATTTTTAGTAAAGACGGGGTTTCTCCATGTTGGTCACGCTGGTGTCTAACTCCCGACTTCAGGTGATCTGCTTGCCTCAGCCTCCCAAAGTGCTAGGATTACAGGCGTGAGCCACCGCGTCCGGCCAGGAAAGAGTCTTTTTTAAAAATCTACTCATAAGGATTAAATAACATCATTAAAAACATTATATAATGCTAAGTTTTAAAACAACATAATTCTGCCGGGTGCGGTGGCTCACACCTATAATCGCAGCAGTTTGAGAGGCCGAGGTGGGTGGGTCACCTGAGATCAGGAGTTTGAGACCAGCCTGGCCAACATGGCAAAACCCTCTACTAAAACTCTCTACTATTTTTAGTCTCTACTAAAAATACAAAATAAAATAAAGTAAAACAAAATAAATAAAATAAAACAAAACAAATAAAATAAAATAAAATAAAATAAACAAAATAAATAAAATAAAAATAAAAATACTAAAAATACAAAAATTAGCCAGGCGCGGTGGTGCATGCCTGTAATCCCAGCTACTCAGGAGGCTGAGGCAGGAGAATCGCTTGAACTCGGGAGGCAGAGGTTGCAGTGAGCCAAGACCATGCCCCTGCACTCCAGCTAGAGCAACAGAGCAAGACTCCGACTCAAATAATAATAATAAAATAATAATAATAATAATAATAATAATAATAATAATAATAATAATTTTTTTTAACCTTGAGTTGCAGGTTTGTTATATAGATAAACCTGTGTCATGGGGGTTTGTTGCACAGAATTTTTTTTTTTTTTTTGAGATGGTGTCTCGCTGTGTCACCCAGGCTGGAATGCAGTGGCGCCATCTCTGCTCACTGCAAGCTCCGCCTCCCGGGTTCACGCCATTCTCTTGCCTCAGCCTCCCGAGTAGCTGGGACTACAGGCCCCTGCCACCACGCCCGGCTAATTTTTTTGTATTTCTAGTAGAGACGGGGTTTCACTGTGTTAGCCAGGATGGCCTCCATCTCCTGACCTCGTGATCCACCTCAGCCTCCCAAAGTGCTGGGATTACAGGCATGAGCCACCGTGCCCAGCCTGTTGCACAGATTATTTTGTTACCCAGGTATTAAGCCTAGTACCCATTAGTTATTTTTCCTGATCCTCTCACTTCTCCCACCCTCCACTCTCTGGTAGGCCCCAGTGTGTGTTGTTCCCCTCTACGTGTTCATGTGTTCTCATCATTTAGCTCCTACTTATAAGTGAGAACATGCGGTATTTGGTTTTCTGTTCCTATGTTAGTTTTCTAAGGATAATGGCCTTCAGCTCCATCAATGTTCCTGCAAGGGACATGATCTCGTTCTTTTTTATGGCTGTATAGTATTCCATGATGGATATTACCACATTTTCTTTATTCAGTCTACCATTGATGGGCATTTAGGTTGATTCCATGTCTTTGCTATTGTGAATAGTGCTGTAATAAATATACGAGTGCATGTGTCTTTATGGTAGAATGATTTATATTCCTTTGGGTATATATCCAGTAACAGGATTGCTGGGTTGAATGGTAGTTCTGTTTTTAGCTCTTTGAGGATTCACCACACTACTTTCCGCTATGGTTGAACTAATTTACACTCCTACCAACAGTGTAGAAGTGTTTCTTTTTCTCTGCAACCTTGCCAGCATTTGTTATTTTTTGACTTTTTAATCATCATCATTCTGACTGGTGTGAGGTGGTATCTCACTGTGGTTTTGATTTGCATTTCTTTAATGACCAGTGATGTTGAGCTTTTTTTCATATGCTTATTGGTTGCATGTATATTTTCTTTTGAAAAGTGTCTGTTCATGTCCTTTGATGGCTTTTTAATGGGGTTGTTTGTTTTTATTCTTGTAAATGTATTTAAGTTCCTTTCAGATGCTGGATATTAGACCTTTGTAGGATGCATAGTTTGCAAAATTTTTCTCCCATTTTGTAGGTTGTCTGTTTACTCTATTGATAATTTATTTTGCTGTGCAGAAGCTCTTTAGTTTAATTAGATCCCATTAGTCACTTTTTGCTTTTGTTGAAACTGCTTTTGGTGACAGAACACAATTCTGAGAAGATGCAGTAGAATACAAAAAAGGAAAAGTTAATAGTAAAAAAAAAAAAAAAAAAAACAGAGGCCAGGCACGGTGGCTCACACCTGTAATCCCAGCACTTTGGGAGGCCAAAGCGGGTGGATTGCCTGAGGTCAGGAGTTTGAGACTAGCCTGGCCAAGATGGTGAAATGCTGTCTCTACTAAAAATACAAAAATTAGCCAGGCGAGGGGTCTCACGCCTGTAATCCCAGCACTTTGGGAGGCTGAGGCAGGCAGATCACCTGAGGTCGGGAGTTTGAGACCAGCCTGACTGACATGGAGAAACCCCGTCTCTACTAAAAATACAAAATTAGCTGGGCGTGGTAGCACATGCCTATAATCCCAGCTACTAGGGAGGCTGAGGCAGGAGAATCGCTTGAACCTGGGAGGCAGAGGTTGTGGTGAGCCGAGATCGTGCCATTGCACTCCAGCCTGGGTAACAAGAGTGAAACTCCGTCTCAAAAAAAAAAAAAAAAAGATTAGCCGGACGTGGTGGTGGACGCCTGTAGCCCCAGCTACTCAGGAGGCTGAGGCAGGAGAATCGCTTGAACCCAGGAGGCAGAGGTTGCAGTGAGCTTCGATTGTGCCACTGCCCTCCAGCCTGGGCGACACAGCAAGACTCTGTCTCAAAATAAAAATAAAAATAAAAATAAATAAATACATAAAAATTTTAAAAATCAGGCTGGGCACAATGGCTCAAGCCTGTAATCCCAGCACACTTTGGGAGGCTGAGGCAGGCGGATCACTTGAGGTCAGGAGTTCGAGACCAGCCTGGCCAACATGGCGAAATCCTGTCTTTACTAAAAATACAAAAATTAGCTGGGTGTGGTGGCAGGCACCTGTAATCCCAGCTACTCAGGAGGCTGAGGCAGGAGAAACGCTTGAACCTGGGAGGCAGATGTTGTAGTGAGCCGAGATCATGGCACTGCACTCCAGCCTGGGCGACAAGAGCGAGACTCTGTCACAAAAAAAAAAAAAAAAATTAAAAATCAGCTGGGCATGTGGCTTATGCTTGTATTCTCAGCACTTTGGGAGGCCAAGGCAAGAGGATCTTTTGAGCCTAGGAGTTAGAGACCAGCATGGGCAACATAGAGAGACTCCCCACCAAAAATACAGAACATAAAAGGGTATGTATGCTACACTTCATAAGTGGACACAAATATGGATCAAGACTGGAAGAAAATACAGTTAAAATAAAAAGAAAGAAAGAAAGAAATTTGCTGGGCACAGTGGTTCACACCTGTAATCCCAGCACTTTGGGAGGCTGAGGTGGGTGGATCACCTGAGGTCAGGAGTTCGAGACCAGCCTGGCCAACACGGTTAAAACCAGTCTCTACTAAAAATATAAAAATTAACTGGGTGTGGTGGTGCATACCTGTAATCCCAGCTATTTAGGAGGCTGAGGCAGGAGAATGGCTTGAACCCAAGAGGGGGAGGTTGCAGTGAGCCGAGATCACACCACTGTACTCCAACCTGCGTGACAGATTGAGACTCTGTCTCAAAAAAAAAAAAAAAGGAATTGGATATATACATACATATATAAATACATGAATATATGTGTGTGTGTGCATGTGTGTGTATATATATCCCCAGTTCAATTCAGAAGGAGGAAATAACTGTTAGTACCTCAAAGCTTAGCTGTCCCTTCCTGTTCCCTAATCCCAAACTACCATTTTCCCTGCCAGAGCTTTCAGCAAGCCCTAGGCTTTGGATGACTGCCCTATTCTCATAATGGTTTTATTATCAACCATGGGGAGTAGCCTGAAGAGACAATTGAACCTAACAGCAGCCAGGAATAATGGCTCAACATTAACTAAGACAAAACAAAAATCCATTGCCTTTGGGAGCATTCTTCAAAATTCCATTGGTCGGCATAAAATGACTCTATAGGGCAAATCAAGTCATTCAACAAAGTCATCCCTCCACCACATTTTTTTTAATCCAAATATGTGCCATATACTTTAGGCATCTGGCAGGTGAGGGGGTTGTGGGTTGTTAATTTGCCCACCCCCCTCTTTATGCAGGTTGGCATGCTCTTTGATGGCATACGCCTGTTTCATAATCATCATGCTTTACCTCCATCCCCTAGTATATGTGATGGAACTCACGAAATTCTTGTTGTATGTCCTGAATTAAGCATACATAGAAAATAACTCTTAGCATCTACTGCTTACGCTTTCCCTCATAGATATGAAATCTGCCCATCTCTCTTTCTGGGTTGACCAGTGATGTAGAATCCTTGTATTACCCTAAAGAACTCTCCTCTATCCTCTTTTCTTTGTAAGAAACCCAAGAGTAAGCCAGGCGCAGTGGGTCACACCTGTAATCCCAGCACTTTGGGAGGCCGACGCGGGCAGATCATGAGGTCAAGAGATCGAGACCATTCTGGCCAACATGCTGAAACCCTGTCTCTACTAAAAATACAAAAATTAGCTGGGCGTGGTGGCACGTGCCTGTAGTCATAGCTACTCAGGAGGCTGAGGCAGGAGAATTGCTTGAACCTGGGAGGCAGAGGTTGCAGTGAGCCGAGATCATGCCACTGCACTCCAGCCTGGGCAACAGAGTGAGACTCAATCTCAAAAAAACAAACAAATAAACAAAAAAAACACCACCAAGCATATCTTAAAATTACCAAAAGAGGATTTTTGTTCTTGCTCCAAATTATCCAATTAGAATTGTATAAAGACTCCAAGAAAAGGAAGGCCATTGAAATCCCTGTCATAGCTGGAGTGCTGGGTCTGAAGAGCATGCCAGCACCTCCCAGCTAAGCCAAGTTGTCCCTACTCCAAGGCCACCTGGATCCGAATCATTACCTAGACACTGTCTTAATCCACCAATGGGCTTAAGGGAGTCAACAAACCTTTGAAGTGCTATCCAGTGAATTGTATGCAAAGACTCATCAAAGAGGTCTAGCCCCAAAGATATTAGGAACTAAGGATCTAACAAGTCTAACCTAAGCTTGTGGACCTTCTCGGCAGTGATTCTGGAAGTTAGATGGGTCTTTAACCCATGGAAGCCTTCAAATGGAGACACTGTGACAAACACCAGACACAGGGCTACTCTTGAGAGCAAAAAGGCAGAGGAAGAAGGCAAGGGGGTTTAAAGCCCAATTAACCACATTCCAGGCCCAAGCCAAGGAACCAGGGAGTAAACAGAAGGCCAGTAAGATATTTGACCATGTACAGTGAAGTCCTGTGTCTTCCCTGCCAGCAGCCTACATCCAGCCCTCCCCAGTGGATAGGAATCTCCTCTTGTGCTAATACAAGGCATCAGGACCTTCCAAGACAGGCTGCAAGTGAGACTAAGCAAGGACCCTTCTTAGGGACCTGCTGGATACCACCCTCCCCAAGCATGAAAATAACGAAAAATTTATTTTCTTTATAGAGGACTATAAACAGAGGACTGAACTCCAACCACCCATTCTTTGTTTTAAATTTCTTCCTGTAATCCCAGCTACTCAGGAGGCTGAGGTAGAATTATTGCTTGAACCCGGGAGACCGTAGGTTGCAGCTAGCTGAGATTGCACCACTGCACTCCAGCCTGGGCAACAGAGCAAGACTCCATCTAAAAAAAAAAAAAAGAAAGAAAGAAAAGAAAAATAAAAATCTGGTGTTCCTTCTAGGGAAATTCCAGGCACCTAGCTAGCCTGGAGAAGTAAATGAGCAACTTGATGAACAAGAAGGCAATAGTAGTTTAAAACAATAACTGGCTGGGCGTGGTGGCTCATGCCTGTAATCCCAGCTCTTCTGGAGGCCAAGGCGGGTGGATCTCCTGAGGTCAGGAGTTCGAGGCCAACCTGACCAACATGGCAAAACCCCGTCTCTACTAAAAATACAAAAATTAGCCGGGCCTGGTGGTGGGCGCCTGTAATCTCTGCTACTCAGGAGGCTGAGACATGAGAATAGCTTGAACCTGGGAGGCAGAGGTTGCAGTGAGCCGAGATTATGCCACTGCACTCCAGCCTGGGCAACAGAGCGAGACTCTGTCTCAAAAAATAAACAAATAAATCAATAAAACAATCACCAAGGAAGTTAGAGTCAGGAGATATTTTATTCCCTATAGAAACTAAAGATAACATCTTGTCTTGCTCTGTCACCTAAGCTGGAGTGCAGTGGCATGATCTCAGCTCACTGCAACCTCTGCCTCCCAGGTTCAAGCAATTCTCCTGCCACAGCCTCCCGAGTAGCTGGGATTACAGGCTTATGCCACCATGCCTAGCTAATTTTTGTATTTTTAGTAGAGATGAGGTTTTGCCATGTTGGCCAGGCTGGTCTCGAACTCCTGACCTCAAGTGATCTGCCCACCATGGCCTCCCAAAGCGCTGGGATTATAGGCGTGAGCCACCACGCCCAGCCGATAACATCTTAATATGTGTCCCTGAGTTGTTTTTCAGAAACCCGGACCCACATCCTACTCTGCTAGCACATGGACCTCAGATAAGGGGGAACAGAGGACTGTTCCCAAACCAACCATTCTTTTTTAAAAATTTCTTCCTGAGGAGCCTGGAGAAGGTCACACTCATGAACCACAGGTAACATTCTTTTTTTTTTTTTTTTTTTCTTTTTTTTTTTTTTGAGACAGAATCTAGCTGTCGCCAGGCTGGAGTGCAGCGGTGCGATCTCAGCTCACTGCAACCTCCGCCTCCTGGGTTCAAGTGATTCTCCTGCCTTAGCCTCCCAAGTAGCTGGGATTACAGGCACACGCTGCCATGCCCAGCTGATTTTTGTATTTTTAGTAGAGACAGGGTTTCACTATTGTTGGCCAGGATGATCTCAATATCCTGACCTCGTGATCTGCTCACCTTGGCCTCCCAAAGTGCTGGGATTACAGGCATGAGCCACTGCGCCCAGCCAGTAACATTCTTTTCTGCTGATCCCAAAGTTTTAGACAAAAGCTTTGCCTCTTAACCAATTAGAAATCAAAATTTTTTTAATCCACCTGTCCTCCCTTCCTTTTTAAGTCAAAATAATATATAGCCTCCCTGTACTGGTTTATGACTTAGCCTAGCACATCTGTCTCCCTGCCTTTAAAAACCCTTACCTGTAAGCCATCTGGGAGGTCAGGTCTTAAGTATGAGCTGCCAGCTCTCCTTGTTTGGCACCCTGCAACAAAGTCCTCACTTTCTTTCACTGCTATCCTGACATCAGCATTCTTTTTGCTGGGCCAGGTGAGTGGACCCCAGTTCTATAACACAGGGATAAGGTCTTTCCCTCCCCCACTGGCAGGATACAGAACACATCTCTGCACATAAGTCATGAGCATCTCTCCAACTCCTGCTTCTCCCAAAATAGTTTTCAAAAATGTTTTGTACTATTTTCTTCACTCTTATCTGATATTTACTGTAGTTTTCCATTTAATAGACCCCTGGTTGGATTTCACTTTTTTTTTCCTGTAGCAATGTTTTAATTTGGGCTTCATGTGCTCTAAAAATATCTTGTCAGGGTATCAAAATAACACTGCAGAATGGCAACCTCGGAACTTTAGAGCGTGTTTCTAAATAGTCTAATGATATGCAAGCGTCTGTGATCTTGTCAAAATTGCTGGGGCCTAATGATTTCCTCTTGGCTCTTTCTGGAAGGTTTTCTTTGCTAAGACAGAATTCAGGGAGATAAGCAGGAGAGAACTGAATGAATGTCAATGAATGTTGGAGCTGGGAATGATTTTGGAGAGGAAAAAAATGCATCTCAAATTTTGCAGCAATTTCTCCCCAAAGGACTCACTCTCACCACCTTTCTTCCAGGGCACCGTATTTGTACCCCACTCCCTCCCTTCAGGCCCAGATTTGGTGAGACTGGGGACTAATATTAGAGTTTTTCAGACAGAAAAATCACCTTGCCTTAGATCTTCAGAATCAGAATGTCCCAAGAGGGTCTGGAAATCACTATTTTTTTTTTTTTTTTTGAAACAGGGTATCACTCTGTCACCCAAGCTGGAGTGCAGTGGTGCAATCATAGCTCACTGAAGCCTTGACCTCTCAGACTCAGGTGATCTTCCTGCCTCAGCCACCTGCTCCCCCGCCCCACCGCCCCCATTCCCCACTAGTAGCTGGGACTACAGGTTCACATCACATACCCGGCCAATTTTTGTATTTTTTGTAGAGATGGGATTTCACCATGTTGCCCAGGCTGGTCTCAAACTCCTGGGCTCAAGCAATCTTCTCTGTCTTGGCCTCCCAAAGTGCTGGGATTATAGGCATGAGCCACCACACCTGGCTTGGGGATCAGTATTTTCATAAATATCCTAGGCAATTATCATCATCGGGCAAATTTGGAAAATACCGGTGTGGTGAGCTTGAATTCCAAGTTGGGCTTGTTGGGTCCAGTCAGGTAAATTACAGATTCTCTGATATTGTGCTAGAGCTGGCTCTAACAGGCTCATCAGAGCTGATTATTAAGTTTTTGCAATTTTGCCAGCTGTTTGCTAAACAGAAGCATTATTAAATATTAAATTATATTGAATGCAGGGACTCAAACAGATACTTATATACCAATGTTCACAGCAGCATTGTTCACAATAGCCAAAAAGTGGAAACAACCCAAGTGTCCATCAATAGATGAATGGATAAAAAAATGTGGTATATGCATGCAATAGAATATTATTCAACCACAGAAAGAATGAAATCCTCATATATACTACAACATAAATGAATCTTAAAAACTCTACTAAGTGAAATAAGCGAGACACAAATGAACAAATATATAATTCCACTTATATGAAATATCTAAAATAGGCAAATTCATAGAGACAGAAAGTAGAATAGGAGCTGTACATGGTGGTGCATGCCTGTAATCTCAGCTACTCTGGAGGCTGAGGTGGGAGGATCACTTGAGCCCATTAGTTTGAGACCAGCCAGGGGAACATAGTGAGACCTCTCTCTCTAAAACAAATAAATAAATACAAATTAAAATTAAATTTAAAAAATAGTGACAGACTCTCACTTTGTCACCGAGGCTAGAGTGTAATGGTACAATCACGGCTCAAACTGAAGCCTTGACTCCTGGGCTCAAGTGATCCTCCCACCTCAGCCTCCTGAGTAGCTGGGACTGCAGGCATGCACCACCATGGCTGGCTAATTATTTATTTATTTATTTATTTATTTATTTATTTATTTTTGAGACAGTTTTGCTTTTATTGCCCAGGCTGGAGTGCAATCGGGCAATCTCGGCTCACCGCAACCTCCACCTCCTGGGTTCAAGCGATTCTCCTGCCTCAGCCCCCAAATAGCTGGGATTACAGGCATGCACCATGCTCTGCTAATTTTGTATTTTTAGCAGAGACAGGGTTTCTCCATGTTGGTCAGGCTGGTCTTGAACTCCCAACCTCAGGTGATCCGCCTGCCTCGGCCTCCCAAAGTGCTGAGATTACAGGTGTGAGCCACCGTGCCTGGCCTGGCTGGCTAACTTTAAAAACTTTTTTTTTTTTGTAGAGGTGAAGGTCTCATTATGTTGTCCAGGCTGGTCTCCTAAGTAGCTGGGACTACAGGCACGTGCCACCATGCCTGGCTAATTTTTGTATTTTTAGTAGAAACGGGGCTTCACCATGTTGGCTAGGATGGTCTCAATCTCTTGACCTTGTGATCCCCCCACCTCAGCCTCCCAAAGTGCTGAGATTATAGGCGTGAGCCACCGCACCCAGCCGACAGTTTCTATTTCTAACCTATGTTATGTGCTTTTGACTCTTGTGATTTATATAGCATTATATAGTATAGACTGCATTTGTTTTTGTTTGCTCTTGCTTCTCTAGTTCTTTCTTTCTTTATTTATTTTTTGAGACAGTGTTTCACTCTGTGGCCCAGGCTGGCGTGCAGTGGTGCAATCTCGGCTCACTGCAAGCTCCGCCTCCCAGGTTCACACCATTCTCCTGCCTCAGCCTCCTGAGTAGCTGGGACTACAGGTGCCTGCCACCACGCCCAGCTAATTTTTTGTATTTTTAGTAGAGACAGGGTTTCACCGTGTTAGCCAAGATGGTCTCAATCTCCTGACCTTGTGATCTGCCCGCCTCAGCCTCCCAAAGTGCTGGGATTACAGGCATGAGCCACCGCGCCCACCGAGGCTAGGGTTTTTAAAGGATAGTTTGGAGGGCAGGAGACTAGGGAATGGGGTATGCTGATTGGTTGGGTCAGGGATGAAATCATAGGGGGTCAAAGCTGTCTTCCTGCACTGAGTCAGTTTCTGGGTGGAGGTTACAAGACCAGATGAGCCAGTTTCTTCCTATGTGTTGCTGGGGGTTACAAGACCAGATAGCCCATCAGAATGCAGGGTCTGGAAAATACCTCAAACATCAATCTTAGATTTTACAATAGTGATGTTATCTATAGGAGCAACTGGGGAGATTACAAATCTTGTGCCCTCTGGCTACAAGACTTCTGAACCATAATTTTAACTTTGTAGCTAGTTTGTTAGTTTTTCAAAGGCAGTTTTAGTCGCTGAACAAGGAGATTGTTAGTTTTGGGAAGGGGCTATTTTCATCTTTGTTTTAAACCAAGCTTGTCCAACCCTTGACCCATGGGCTGCATACCATCCAGGACAGCTTTGAATGTGGTCCAACACAAATTCATAAACTTTCTTAAAATATTGAGGGTTTTTTTGTGATTTTTTTAAGCTTATGAGCTATCATTAGTGTTAGTGTATTTTATGTGTGGTCCAAGACAATTCTTCCTCTTCCAATGTGACCCAGGGAAGCCAAAAGATTGGACACCCCTCTTTCAAACTATAAATTCCTCCCATAGTTAGTTTGGCCTATGCTGGGAAATGAACAAGGGTGGCTTTGAGGTTAGAAGCAAAATGGAGTCAGTTAGGTCAGACTTTTTTTCACTATCATACTTTTTCTATGTCAGATTTATCTCACTTGTAATTTTTGCAAGGGTGGTTTCAGAGCCACTAAGCTTGTGGTAATTTTTTACTGCAATAGAAAACTAATGCATTAGGTAACCCTCTTTTTTTCCCTCTGATTGCTTGCTCTGGGGTAAGCCAGCTGCCATGTTGAATTTTTCATTTTGTTACTGAGCAATCAATGGGCTCACTGCCCGACGTGCATAGAGGCCAATACTGTGGCACTAGTTTTTGAGAAAAGTTTTGTTTTTGTTTTTGAGACGGAGTCTCGCTCTGTTGCATAGGCTGGAATGCTGTGGCATGATTTCGGCTCACTGCAACCTCCGCCTCCTAGGTTCAAGTGATCCTCCTGCCTCAGCCCCTCTAGCAGCGGGGATTACAGGCATGTGCCACCATGCCCAGCTAATTTTTGTATTTTTAGTAGAGACAGGGTTTCGCCATGTTGCTCAGGGTGGTCTTGAAGTCCTGGCCTCAGGTGATCCGTGCACCTCGGCCTCCCAAAGTGCTGGGATTACAGGCATGAGCCACTGTGCCCGGCTGAGAAAAGTTTTACTGTGAGTCAGCTGGCAAGGAAATAGGAGGAAATGCTCAGCTGTGTCTCCCCAAGCTGGGGTCTGGGTCATGTTTTATAAGCATAGGGTAGCAAGGTATTATCTGATTGGATCTTGCAATGAGGTGATGCCAGAAGGCATGATCTGACTGGATCCTGGCATGGGGTGATGTCAGAGTTTGATCTGATTGGATCCTGGATCAAACTATGTGGTGTCCACTTAGTTCCGTCTCTGCTCCTTGGTCTGAGCACTTAGATTCCCCCTATCGTTGCATGCTTGCTTCATCTGGGCATGCTCAGGTTACATAACCTTCAACCTGGGGAATCCATAGCAACTGAAAACTCACAACTTTGTTATATAAAAGTTGAGCCAGATTGGCCGGGCATGGTGGCTCATGCCTGTAATCCCAGCACTTTGGGAGGGTGAGGTGGGCAGATCATTTGAGGTCAGGAGTTGAAGACCAGCCTGGCCAACATGGTGAAACCCCATCTCTACTAAAAATACAAAAATTAGCTGGGCATGGTGGCATGCACCTATAATCCCAGCTACTTGGGAGGCGGAGGCAGGAAAATCGATTGAACCCGGGAGGCAGAGCTTGCAGTGAGCCAAGATCGTGCCACTGCACTCCAGCCTGGGGGACAGAGCGAGACTCTGTCTCAAAAAAAAAAGTTGAGCCAGATTGATACGATGTGGTTACAAGTTCAGATACTGTATTTTTCACCACTAGAAGTTCCATCTGGTTCTTTTTTCTTCTTTCCTCATTATATTCATGTTTTTCTTTAAATATAGTTATAATAGCTGTTTCATCATTCTTATCTGCTAATTCCATAATTTCTGTCATTTCTGGGTCCATGTCTGTCACCTGATTTTTCCCCCCTGCTTCTTGGTATAAATAGTAATTTTTTATTGGATCTCAGGATGTCACATTGTTTTTCTTTTTCTTTCTTTTTCTTTTTGAGATGGAGTCTCGCTCTGTACCCCAGGCTGGAGTGCAGTGGCGACATCTCAGCTCACTGCAATCTCCACCTCCCAGGTTCAAGCAATTATCCTGCCTTAGCCTTCCCAGTAGCTGGGACTATAGGCGCTCACCCCCACGCCCAGCTGATTTTTATATTTTTAGTAGAGACGAGGTTTCACCATGTTGGCCAGGCTGGTCTCGAACTCCTGACCTCAGGCAATCCGCCTGCCTTGGCCTCCCAAAGTGCTGGAATTACATGCGTGAGCCACTGCACCCGGCCTGTTTCTGCTTTTTTTTTTTTTTTTTTTTTTTTTGAGACAGAGGCTTGCTCTGTCGCCCAGGCTGGAGCACAGTGGCTTAATCTCGGCTCACTGTAACCTCCGCCTCCTGGGTTCAAGCAATTCTTCTGCCTCAGCCTCCTGAGTAGCTGGGATTACAGGCATGGACCACCACACCTGGCTAATGTGGATGTCACATTGTTGAATGTCTGTATTTTGTAGTCTTCCCTTAAAGAGTATAGGTCTTTGTTGTACCAGATTGTTAACTTACTTTTGGATTAGTTTGATGTTTTTGAGGCTAGTTTTTAAGCTTCATTAAGCAGTTCTAGCGTGTACTTTACTCTAGACCTAGTTTAGACCTTTTAGTAAGGTTTACCTCTGCTGCAGTCTCTCCTGAACATCTTGGGAGGTCACTAAGTTATTTCTACTCCAATTGGTCATAATTTGTATGTTTCCTAGCTCTGGGAATTGTTCAGTTACATCTCTTCAATTGTTCTTTGCTCAGTCTCCTGGAACTTAGCTCTACTTATGGCTACCTTAATATTCAGAAAAAACTCAAGATCCTATGCAAATTTCTGAAGGTTTTTGCATACCTTCTTCCTTTTTGGAATTTTGCACAGCAACTTCCACAGCTGCCTCAGGTTCCATGAACTCCAATCTGTGCGTCCTCAGTGAGATTGCCACATTCTGATTTTATGATCCAGATTGCACCCCTAGGCAAAAAGCTAGGAAAATCACAGAATTTACCTCATTTGTTTTCTTTATCTCAATGACGTCAGTTCTGCACTGCCAATTGTCCAACATCTGAAAACGGTTGTTCTGTATGTTTTGTCTAGCTTCCTAGGTGTGTATGGCAGAAGGGTTAATCTGGTCCCTTTTAACTCCATCATGATCAGAAACAAAAGTCCTCTGTTTCACTGAAATTTGATTAGCATGTCAGTCTTTGAGCAACTGATCAACCTTACAAAATGGAGTTTGAAAAAAGAAAGAAAGAAAGAAAGAAAGGCCAGGCGCAGTGGCTCATGTCTGTAATCCCAGTACTTTGGGAGGCTGAGGCAGGTGGATCACGAGGTCAGGAGTTTAAGACCAGCTTGATCAACATGGTGAAACCCTGTCTCTACTAAAAATACAAAAATTAGCTGGGCGTGGTGGCGCGTGCCTGTAATCACAGCTACTCAGGAGGCTGAGGCAGGAGAATCGCTTGAACCTGGGAGGTGGAGATTACAGTGAGCCGAGGTCATGCCATTGCACTCCAGCCTGGGTGACAGAGCAAGTCTCTGTCTCAAAAAAGAGAAAAAAAAGCAAAAGAAGAACTTCAATGTAGAATTTCAGAATAATGGGCCAGGTGCAGTGGCACACGCCTGTGATCCCAGCACTTTAGGAGGCTGAGGAGGGTGGATCACTTGAGGCCAGGAGTTTGAGACCAGCTTGAGCAACATGGCAAAACCCTTTCTCTACTAAACATACAACAATTAGCTGGGCATGGTGGCATGGGCCTGTAGTCCCAGCTATTTGGGAGGCTGAGGCAGGAGAATCGCTTGAACCCAGGAGGCGGAGGTTGCAGTGAGCTGAGATGGTCCCTGGATGACAAGAACAAGACTGTCTCCAAAAAAAAATTTTTTTTTTCAGAATAATAAGCTTTTTTTTTTTTTTTTTTTTTTGAGACAAGGTCTTGCACTGTCACCCAGGCTGGGGTACAGTGGTATGATCACGGCTCTCTGCAGCCTTGACCTCCTGGACTCAAGTGATCCTCCCAACTCAGCCTCCCAAGTAGCTGAGAATACAGGTGTGCACCAGTACACCTAGCTAAATTTAAAAAAGACATTTTGGAGAGGTGGCGTCTAACTATGTTTCCCAGGCTGGTCTCAACTCTGGGGCTCAAGCAATCCTCCCACACTGGCCTCCCAAAGTGCTGGATTACAGGAGTGAGCTTCTGCACCCAGCCAAATAATAACCTTTGAAAGAATAAAATTCTATGCACGATGGTTACGGATGAATTTATTAAATGGCCCTGAGGTGCCTTTTATTTATTTATTTAATTTTATTTTATGTTTTGAGACAGGATCTCACTCTGTTGCCCAGGCAGGAATGCAGTGGTGTGATCATGATTCACTGCAGCCTCCACCTCCCCAGGCTCAGGTGATCCTCCCACCTTAGCCTCTTGAGCAGCTGGGACTATAGGCAACATGCCACTAGGCCTGGCTAATTTTTGTATTTTTGTAGCGATGGGGTTTTGATATGTTGCCCATGCTGGTCTCGAATTCTTGGGCTCAAGCAATTCAACCGCATGATTTTAAAAATACTAACAGCTTCAGCCAGGCACAGTGGCTCATGCCTGTAATCCTAGCACTTTGGGAGGTTGAGGCGGGTGGACTGTCTGAGCTCAGGAGTTCGAGACCAGCCTGGGCAACACGGTGAAACCCCATCTCTACTACAATACAAAAAAAATTAGGTTGGCTTGGAGGTGTGTGCCTGTAATCCCAGCTACTTGGGAGGCTGAGACAGGAGAGTTGCTTGAACCCAGGAGGTGGAAGCTGTGGTGAGCCGAGATTGAGCCACTGCACTCCAGCCTGGGTGACAGAGCGAAACTCTGTCTCAAAAACAAAAACAAAAACAAAAAACTAACAGCTTCTATTTTTTGTTCTTTTTATTTTTGAAACAGTTTTGCTCTGTCGCCTAGGCTGGAGTGCAGTGGCATGATCGTGGGTCACTGCAGCCTCTACCTCCCTGGTTCAGGCAATTCTTGTGCTTCAGCCTCCCGAGTAGCTGTGCAGCACCATACCGGCTAATTTTTGTATTTTTAGTAGAGACGAGGGTTTCACCAAGTTGGCCAGACTGGTCTCCAATTCCTCACCTCAAGAGATCCGCCTGCCTCGGCCTCCCAAAGTGCTGGGATTACAGGCGTGGAGTCATCGCACCCACCCAAACAGCTTCTAAAATGGGACATTTAGTAGTGATTACTCCTTGGTTGTTTGGAGATTGTGACACTGTTAAGTAAAAAGACCAGCCTTCTATTTAAGTGTCCTTTTCATACAGGAAAGATGAGAAGGTTGTTTCTCAGCAGCCACTATTTTTAGAATTTGAACTCTGGGAACACAATGATGGTTCTTCAAGGCAGCTAATCCCAGTCTCTTTTGTTCCAAGGAGGCTGAGGTGCACTCTTCTACAATTTCCCTATAAACCATACATAGCTTCAAGATGCCTTTAGTGTAGTAGGTCATACAAAGATAATTGAAAAGTTGAGTCTCATTATGCCAAATCTCCTCTCTCAAAGACGGTTTCTCCTAGAACTAGTTCTTTTAGGAAACGAGATTGTCTTCTTGTAGAAATCTGGGCAAAGGAGGAACTAAAGGTTTGGTATAAAAATCAAGTTGGGATTTGCCCTGGAATTAAAAATATCAAAATATTTAAAGCTCAGGACCTCTTCCATGTGCATCACATTAAAAAAAAACTTTTTATTTGGAAATAATTTCAAGCTTACAGAAAAGTTGCAAACACAAGAATAGCACAAAGAACACTTGCATATACCCTTTATTCAGATTCACCTATTAACATCTGCTCAATTTGCTTTATTATTTGCATTCTCTCTCCCTCTCCCCCACCTCTCTCTCTAAAACCTAGCCTCAAATGTAACAGTATCACTTCTGCTACATTCCATCATTTAAGCAGTCATACAGTTCCGCCCAAGCTCAAGGGATGGGAAGTAATCCCCAGAAATATGTGTGTGTGCGCATATTTCTTTTTCTTTCTTTTTTTCTTTTCCTTTTTTTTTTTTTTTGAGGCAGGGTCTCGCCCTGTCACCCAGGCTGGAGTGCAGTGGTGTGATCGCGGCTCACTGCGGCCTTGACTCCCAAGCTCAAGCAATCCTCTTACTTCAGCTGCCCAAGTAGCTGGGACCCACAGGCGTGTGCCAAACTGCCTGGCTAATTTTTTAATTTTTTGTAGACATAGAGTCTCACTATGTTACCCAGACTGGTCTTGAACTCCTGGGCTCAATCAATACTCCCGCCTTGGCCTCCCAAAGTGCTGGGATTACAGGTGGGAGCCATTGCTCCCGGCCCATGTTTCTGTATGTATATAGTCTTCAAATATATATGTGTGAAAAAATATATAGTTTGTCCCTGAAGCATTTAAAAGTAAGTTCAATACATCACGACCCCCTTTCCTTAAATAAACTCATTGTATACTAACTAAGAGCAGGTGTTCAAGTCAAAAGGCATTGTATTTGAGGAACCACACCTGAGGAGCGTTAGTCCCCCTGGACCTGATCTAGATGATGAGATCCTAGACCTCAAGGCTGTTTTAGAAGAAACGGTGTATGCATCTTACAAATGGGAGGAATCTGAATTGTAACCCGAGGGCAGACTGTGGCATGACAACATTTCTGGATATTATTTCACCTCCCCTTAAACCTGGGCAGAACTTTGTGGCTACTTCAATGACTAAAATGCAGCAGAAGTGACACTGCGTTACATCTGAGGCTAGGTCATAAGATACAGCTTGGCTGGGCGCAGTGGCTCATGCCTGTAATCCCAGCACTTTGGGAGGCCGAGGCCGGCAGATCACGAGGTCAAGAGATCAAGACCATCCTGGCCAACATGGTGAAACCCTGTCCCTGTCTCTACTAAAAATACAAAAATTAGCTGGGCGTGGTGGCGCGCGCCTGTAGACCCAGCTACTCAGGAGGCTGAGGCAGGAGAATCATTTAAACCCGGGAGGTGGAGGTTGCAGTGAGCCGAGATCGTGACACTGCACTCCAGCCTGGCAACAGAGCGAGACTCCGTCTCAAAAAAAAAACAGAGATACGGCTTACCCGCCCACTACACCAGCCCCCTTCTCTCCCCTCCTCTTTTCAGGATGCTCACCTTTGGAACCTAACCACAATGTTGTCAGGAAAGAGGAAGCACAGTGGGCTGTTTTTATGACAACTCCAGCTAAGGCCTTAGCTGACAACAAGCATCAACTGGCAGACATGAGTGAGAAAGCCTTCAGAGGATTCCAGTCCCTAGCTTTCAGGCCACTGCAGCTGACACTAAATGGCGTACAGATTAGCTCTCCCCATTGAGCTTTGCTCATTGCAGTTTCATAAGCAAAATAAATGTTGTCATTGTTTTATGCTACTCAGTGTTTGGAATAATTTCTTATGAAGCAATGACAACCCAGAATCACAGTAGCACAGGTATACTCATGTAAGCAAAGTAATGCATACTGTGCTGGAACGTGATTCTGATTACTAATTTAGCGTTTCAGAAGAATAACTGATCAATAAGGACCAGGCACAGTGGCTTATGCCTGTAATCCCAGCACTTTGGGAGGCCAAAGAGGTAGGATCACTTGAACCAAGTTCAAGACCAGTCTGGGCAACGTGGTGAAGCCCTGTCTCTACAAAAAATAAACAAATTAGCCAGGTGTGGTGGTGTGTGCCTGTGGTCCCAGCTACTCAGGAGGCTGAGGTGGGAGAATCACTTGAGCCTGGGAGGTCGAGGCTGCAATGAGCCATGATTGCACCACTGCACTCCAGCCTGGGCAACAGAGTGAGACTCTGTATTAAAAAAAAAAAAAAAAAAAAAAGATAAATGAGGGATGGAATATTGAGGATGGAGAAAATACTGTTCCCCTACCAGGCTTTCTCTTTTGAAGGGACAACCACTAGAATGAAAGATCCTTATATTAGTGCTTGTACAATGCAAAATTGGGTGCAGCTAATACATGCACACAGTGACCTATTAACTAGAATTTCACTTTGCCCACCTTTGTTTTCATTTCACTCAGACAAAAACTAGAAGATCTGGGATAAGTTAGCACCCTTTTCCAGAAAGGTTGCCCATGAGGCTAGCACACAGTGTGAGCTACTATAAGAGTTAGGGGAGAGTTTGTCTCAGTGGGGGAAATTTGAACCCTTTCTCCATGGGTTTTCTGGGAACAACTTTGTATCTACTGGCTGCTCCCTTAGATTTTTGCATGAATTGATTTGTTTGTTAATATTATCTACAAATGTGCACAAAAGTTTGGGCCCCAGTAATCTCTGAGTGACAACCAGGCTGAAGTTCATGCATAGGCAGAGATCTACTTTCTTTCTTTTTTTTTTTTTCTTTTTTTTATAGAGATGGGGTTTCACCATGTTGGCCAGGCTGGTCTCAAACTCCTGACCTCAAGTGATCCACCTGCCTCAGCCTCCCAAAGTGCTGGGATAACTACAGGTGTGAGCCACTGCACCCAGCCCCCAGAGGTCTACTTTTAACCCTTGATTATCATACTTTAACCAAACACATTCTTTTAGAACAAATTTTGAGGGTGCCCAGAACTTCCTGTCAAGTATTGCACATTGATAGCCCCCAAATTACAGTAAAACAGAAACCTGACAAAAACCAATAAAGCTCCTAAGATCTATCTACCTGAAAGCATTCGTCAACTGCTTATAATTCTTTCTTTCTTTCTCTTTTTAATTGAGACGGAGTCTCACTCTGTCGCCCAGGCTGGAGTGCAGTGGCGCGATCTCGGCTCACTGCAAGCTCCGCCTCCCTGGTTCACGCTATTCTCCTGCCTCAGCCTCCTGAGTAGCTGGGACTACAGGCGCCCACCACCACGCCCACCTTGGCCCCCCAAAGTGCTGGGATTACAGGTGTGAGCCATTGCGCCCGGTCTTTTTTTTTTTTTAGACAGGGTCTGGCTCTGTTTCTGTCACCCAGGTTGGAGTGCAGTGGCATGATCTCAGCTCACTGCAACCTCTACCTCCCCGGTTCAAGCCATCCTCTCACCACAGCCTCCTAAGTAGCTGGGACTATAGGCACATGCCACCATGCCAGCTTTTTAAAATCTTTTTGTAGAGATGGGGTTTTGCTATGTTGGCCAGGCTGGTCTCGAACTGCTGGGCTCAAGCAATCCTCCTGCCTCAGCATCCCAAAGAGCTGGGATCACAGGTGGCACCATATCAAGCTAATTTTTAAACTCTTATTTCTTGTAGAGACTAGGTCTACCAATGTTGCCTAGGCTGGTCTCAAACCCCTGGCCACAAGTGATCCCCCCGACTCAGCATCCCAAATAGCTGGGATTACAGGCATGAGCCACTGCACCCATCTTGGTCTTACAGCTTTCAATACCATCAATCTCTAATGACTCCTCAACCTATGTCTCCAGCCTGTACCTTTTCTAACTTCAGAGTTAAATATCTAACTCTCTATTTAACCTATCCACTTGGATGTCTAATAGACATCTCAAATGTAATATGTCCAAAGCTCTGCTTCTGATCTTGACCCACAAATCTCCTTCTCCTGTTGTATTCCTCATCTCAGTGAGTAGCAATTCTGAACTACTTAGGTCACTAAGTTTGGAGTCATCTTTAAATATTCTCTCATCCATCCCAATCTAATCCTGTTGGCTGTTCTTTCAAAATAATATCTGGGATCTAACCTCTCACCGCCTAACCCTCACGCCTGGATTAATGCAGTCGCCCCCTAATTGGTCTCCCTGTGTTTGCCCTTTTGTCCCTTCTCCTCTCACTCCAGTCCACTTTCAACACAGCAGTCAGAGATATCTTTTTTAAATGGATGACAGGCTGGGCTTGGTGGCTCACGCCTGTAATCTCAGAATTTCTGGAGGCCGAGGCAGGTGGATCACCTGAGGTCAGGAGTTCAAGACCAGCCTGGCCAACGTGGTGAAACCCCGTTTCTACTAAAAATACAAAAATTAGCCAGGCATGGTGGCGCATGCCTATAATCCCAGCTACTCAGGAGGCTGAGATGGGAAAATTGCTTGAACCTGGGAGGTGGAGGTTGCAGTGAGCCGAGATCACACTACTGCACTCCAGGGTCAACAACAGAGCAAGACTCCATCTCAAAAAAAAAAGATGACAGATCTCTTCTCCATTCCAAAACCTGTGACAGCTTCTGATTTTACGAGCAAGAGCCAAAGTCTGTAAAGAGGATTTGATCCCATCCCCTTCTCTCACTGTTGCAGGCACACTTGCTTCCTTGCTGGCCCTTAGAGCTGGCAGATGTGCTCTTGCCTCATTCCTTGGACAATCTTCCCTTGGATATCCACAAAGTCTGCTTCATTCTCTCCTTCCAATTTTGGCTTAAATATCACCCTTTTTGCTTCTCTCTGACCATTCTATTTGTATTTTTATATTTTACTTTTACTTATTTATTTATTTATTTTGACAGGGTCTTGCTCTGTCATCCAGGCTGGAGTGCAGTGGTGTGATCATGGCCTACTGGAGCCTCCACTTCCTGGGCTCAGGCAATCCTCCCATCTCAGCCTCCCAAGCATCTGGGACTACAGGCACATGCCACCACACCCAGCTAAATTTTTTTTTTTAAATTTTTTTGTAGAGACAGGCTCTTGCTATGTTTCCCAGGCTGGTCTCAAACTCCTGGACTCAAGCAATCCTCCCGCCTTGGCCTCCCAAAGTGTTGGCATTACAAGTATGAGCCACCATGCCCAGCCCCATTCTAGTTTTAAATTATAATCTTCATCTCAGCACTTCTTGCCTCCTTCCTCTGCATTTTTTTTCTGTAGAACAACTGATGTACTATTATACTTATTTTGTCTCTTTTCCTACTAGAATATAAATTCCATGAGAGCAGGAGCTTTTACTTTGCTCAATTCTGTATCTTCAGCGCCTAGAACAATGCTTGCCACAGAGTAGGCACAGTGGATTTGTTAAGAGTAAATGAATGTCTGCTTTCTTATTTATCTTTCGAGATTCACATTCCCTAGGCTTCCTGCCCTCTTCCCACTCCTTCAATCTGGACTAATACCTCTCCCTACTCTAGGTTCCCATAACATCCTGTATTGTAGGACTTTCTAGAGATTTTTCTTTTTATTATTTTATTTTTTAAAGACAGTCTCACTCTGTCACCCAGGCTGGAGTGCACTGGCATGATCATAGCTCACTGCAGCCTCAAATTCCTGGATTCAAGTGCTCTCCCCAGTTTAGCCTCCCAAGTAGCTGGGACCGAAGGCACACACCACTACACCCAGCTAATTAAATTTTTTTTTTTTGTAGAGACAGGGTCTTGCAATGTTGCCCAGGCTGTTCTTGAACTCCTGACCTCAATCAATCCTCTTGCCTCAGCCTCCCAAAGTGCTAGGATTACATACAGGAGTTTAATTTCTGAGCCAGCCACTGTACCTAGCTAAGCAACTTAAAAAAAAATCATCTTTGTATTCCTCAGGATTTAGCACACAAAAAGTGCTTTATGAATATTAAAATGAACTATTTGCAACATTTATACTCAATTGTTAGGGTAGTGGGAAGATGTTAAATAGGCATGAGGGGCTTGCCAACTTCCTCTTTCTTACATGAATTTCCTTCCTCTTTCTAAGAAACCCAGATTTGATTCTCTTTGCTTCCCTCCGGCCAGAACACCAGTGACTAAACAGGGTTGCCAAAACACCTTTTTTTTTCTTTTTTCTTTTTTTGAGGCAAGGTCTCACTCTGTTGCCCAGGCTTGAGTGCAGTGACGCAGTCATGGGTAACTGTAGCTCTACTTTTCAGGCCCAAGTGATCCTCCCACCTCAGGTTCCTGAGTAGCTGAGACTACAGAGGTACACCACTGTGCCTAGCTAATTTTTAAGATTTTTTGAGATGGCTAGTAATTTAATTTTTATTTTTGTAGAGACAGAGTCTCCGTATGTTGCCCAAGCTGGTCTCAAACTCCTTGGCCCAAGCAATCCTACTGCCTTGGCTGCCCAAAGTGCTTGGATTACAGGCACGAAGCACCCTGCCTGGCCTGCCAAAACAATTTTAACTAAATGCTATTTTATAGCTTTCAAATCCATTTGGAAGAAAATATTGGGACTTTTAAAGATGTTAATTGTTGGGTTAGTACCACCATGTGAAAAAGTTTTATCTTAACCTAGAATCATAAATCACATGGTACATTTCCTAGGTCCTTTTAAGACTCTAATGATTAACCCCATCCTCACTCCCACTGTAAAACTCTTAAAAGAGTTTTCAAATTATACCACAATTACTATTAAATACCTATACGTAGGCAGGCCCATCTCTGTCTCAGAATTTTTTTTGAGTATCAGGATAATAGTTATTGATCAAAAGGAGGCCTGGGGTCCAAAATGGAGGACAATTGGAAAAACAGCAGACCAGTATTTCAGCAAAAGGTGCAAAACAGAATGGAAGCACTGTACTAATAGGTAGTGGGGTGACTATGCATGGTGTCTCATCCCAGCACTTTGGGAGGCCTAGGCGGGAGGATCACTTGAGTCCAGGAGTTTGAGACCAGCCTGGGCAACAAAACAACACCCCATCTCTATAAAAAATTAAAAAATTAGCCAGGTGTGGTGGTGTGCACCTGTAGTTCCAGCTACTCTGGAGGCTCAGGCAGGAGTATTTCTTGAGCCCAGGGTTTGAGGTTACAGTGAGTTATGATCACACCACTGCACTCCAGCCTGAGTGATAGAGAGAGACGCTGTGTCTTAAACAACAACAACAACTGGAAAAAGCCTGATTGAGTTTAAATCTCTCATCCACAAGATGAAGAAATCAAAGCCAAAGGTACACAGCTGGAGCTGGTATTTCTCAAATATCTAAGAAAGCATATTAAGGTGATAAGCTGGACTTAGGTGACTTGACAAAGTTATTATTATCTAGAAACTGAAGTAAGGTATATCCTATATGTTCAAAGTTGGAGTCCATATTATTCTATGCATTTTAATTGCTGATTAGAATTCAACTGGTGTACTTATTCTCAAGCTTGTAGTTTGTATTTTGCTGAAAGAGACTGGCCTAAATGTACAGTCCAGCTGCCACATGGGAAGAAGTAAAGAGATCAAGGAGAACTAAAAGGATGCTACTTGATTTTTTCAGGAGCTTAGGAAGAAAAAGCAGCCACTGGTGGTACTATCCATAAGACCCTTCTCCTAACCTTTGTAAACTATTAATTTGAAGGAGATACGAATATAACTTCATTGCAGTTGGAGTAGAGAAGGGCGAGACAGGAGTATAACATAGGGTAAACTTTAATTCACACAATCAGTGAGTAGTCTGTTTGCCAAACATAGATTGTAGTAAAACAAAAAGAGAACCTCCAAGGTAGATCTAAGTTAAAGGTCGTTATCTTAATGTTTTCTTTCCTAGTCATAGTTTTAATTTAGGAATCCTGTGTGTCTTAAACTCTTAGGAGATGGCTCCTGTTGAAATGTTGCCAATTTTAGGCACTCTTTATCTCAAACTCCTGGCCTCAACAATACTCTTGTCTTGACTTCCCAAAGCACTGGAATTACAGTTCGGGTGTGAGCTACTGTGACCAGCCAGCATTTTTAAAAGAATGATCAACAGAGAGGAGAAATTTCTTTAACTGCAGATTAGAGAATGACGTATTTTTAGTCATTCTTTCAATATTTTGGAAGTGATCTTTTACATTATATACTTGTGTACTGATGGAAAATGAGCATGTATTACTTGTACAAAAATAGCTTCGGGACAGGCGTGGTGGCTCACACCTATAATCCCAGCACTTTGGGAGACTAAGGCAGGCGGATTACTTGAGCCCAGGAATTCGAGACCAGCCTGGGCTCTCTACAGAAACTCTGTCTCTACAGAAAATAAAAAATTAGTCAGGTGTGGTGGCGCATGCCTGTAGTCCCAGCTACTTGGGAGGCTGAGGTGGGAGGATTGCTTGAGTCCGGCAGGTAAAGACTGCAGTGAGCTCTGATTGTGCTACTGCACTCCAGCTTGGGTGACAAAGCAAGACCCTGTCTCAAAAAAAAAAAAAAAAAAAAAAAAAAGCTTCAAGTGCTTTAGTGTACATAAAAATACAATACACGTGACCACATCCTCATATTGTTTGACTGTAAGGTAACAAGTCCATAATACTGAAAAATCAATTCTCTTAATGTGTTGGTGTCACGTTGTAGCAATGAAGTTATACATAAATTAGGTGCTTTTCCACTTCTATTGTATTGACCTCCCTCTCTCTAGCTTACCTAAGGTTCTTTGGCAAGTACTAAAATGACTGTCCTATTCTTATGTCATTTCTCTGTGAGTACAGACTGGGGAAAACACTTGTCATTTCTGTTGCCCAACTGGAAGTAGAAATTACATGCCAATCTCCTGTGCTTTAAATCTTTATATGGATAACCCTTTTGCAGGCATGTAATTATAGTTAAAGCAATGGTTTCCTAAGTACAACTGACTACTTAAAAGTGAGGTGGCTGGCCAACTCTTCAATGGATTAAGTTAATTATAATGAAATTGAACAAACTAAACGATTAATAGAATTCCTTTCAGCATGACAAGCAGACTTCAGACTTTCTACGTTATTAGACTTAAGTACTGCATCAATTTTAAGTTTTAGAGGGATGTTTAACATTTGACTCCCTGCTACTGTGTAATACAAACCAAAATGCAGGTTTTAATCTGGGTTTAACACTTAAAATTCCCATCAGACACAACTATCTGCTTCACTGGCTACAATAATATGCTTAATTTAACTCAGACAAAGGAGAAATAGTATTTCTTAATCTGCTATCTCAACTCACAATTTTTAGAAGTGCTTAATCCATGGAGTGGAAATTTTTATGACCTTAGGGGATGCCAGGCCTGAAACTTAAAGAGGAAATCTTAAAAGTTCATGTTAGTACTGCTGTAAATCTTACTTTACAATAAGTTCATACAGTCATGAGCTACAGTCGTGTTTCAGTCAAAGGAGAACCACATATATGATGGTGGTCATGTAAGATTACACTGCTTTTTAAACTGTACCTTTTCTATGTTTAGATACACAAATACCATTGTTAAAATTACCTACTGTAGCCCAGGCGTGGTGGCTCGTGCCTCTAATCCCAGTACTTTGGGAGGCCGAGGTTGGTGGATCACCTCAGGTCAGGAGTTCGAGACCAGCCTGGCCAACATGGTGAAACCCCATCTCTACTAAAAATACAAAAATTAGCCGGGCGGGATGGTGTGCGCCTATAATCCCAGCTACCCAGGAGGCTGAGGCAGGAGAATCACTGGAACCTGGGAGGCAGAGGCTGCAGTGAACCGAGATTGCGCCACTGCATTCCAGCCTGGGCGACAGAGCAAGACTCCGTCTCAAAAAAATAAATAAATAAATAAATAAAAAATTACCTACAGTATTCAGTACAGTAACATGCTATACAGGTTTGTAGCCTAGGAGCAATAGGCCTAGGTGTGCTGCAGGATATACCATTTAGGTTTGTGTAAGTAATCTATGATATTTGCACCACAACAATGTATCTCTTAGAATGCACCCCATTGGAAAACGACACATGCGGTCATATTCTATTAATTCCTGAGTATTTTGTAAATCATTTACCATCTCATGAAAGCAGCTAAACTGCAACTCTAGTCCTGTCTTTCAAGTGGGGCAAGTGCCACAAAGAGATACATTAATTTGCTCCCAACTCCACTGCAAATCAAGTGGGTAGATAAATACCCAAGCCTATCCCTTGTATAGCAAGGCCATCTGTAGGTACTGACGGTTTAGGACAGTAATAATAGTAGTATATGTTGCAATTGAACTCTTGAGGGTTTTTCTCCCTCACAGCTGGGCCCTTTCATAAAATTCACTTCCCATTAATTACGATAATCTAACTCGGAACTCGCACTCTGCAGGCTGAAGATGACTGAGGTGTTTTGCCTGATGTCTCTCTATACCGAACTAATGACCTGGAAATTAAAGGCTTTGAAATGTATTCCCAACCCCCTGATTCATGGCCTTTCAGTAATGCAGCTAATCTGAGGTCTTAAAATTAACCACCTCACAGTGAACTGGAAAGGGCAGCGCTGTGACTAATGCCACGCTGCTGATCTGGTTTGCCAGGAAAGGTGAGTAGAAAAACACGAAATATTGGTGGGGCGCGGTGGCTCACGCCTGTAATCCCAGCACTCTGGGAGGCTGAGGCGGGCGGATCATCTGAGGTTGCGAGTTCGAGAACAGCCTGACCAACATGGAGAAACCCTGTCTCTACTGAAAATACAAAATTAGCCAGGCATGGTGGCGCATGCCTGTAATCCCAACTACTCGGGAGGCTGAGGCAGGAGAGTCGCTTGAACCAGAGAGGCAGAGGTTGCGGTGAGTCGAGATCGCGCCATTGCACTCCAGCCTGGGCAACAGGGGTGAAACTCCGTCTCAAAAAAAAAAAAAAGAAAAACACAGAATATTACCTTCTTTCTCTAGCAGGGTATATTAGAATCTGTTGGTTTTAGGAACTAATAACCTTTCCCTGGCCCTAAATTACCTAACCGGCACCTTGGGTCCAATCTAATCCAAATGGTTACTTTTTCAATATTGCTTCCTTTTCCAGAAGCTTTATTCCGTGACTTTTAGGTTGAAGACGCAAACTAAATAAGAGTTGAAAATCAAGGAACTAAATAATAATTCCACTGTACATATACACCCCATTTGGTTTCTCCATTTATGGTTTCCTATAGGTTGTGTTCACCTTTTGGCTCTCGTGAATAATGCTGCTATAAACACGGGGGCACAAATACCTGTTCACATCCCTGCTTTTCATTCTTTGGGAAATGGAGAGGTGGAGTGGGAGAGTCAGTCACATGCTGCCACACCATGAACCTGGAAGGCACGATGCCAAGTGAAATAAGCCAGTCACAAAAGAGAAAGTCTGCAGAGTTCCACTCAGAGGAAATACTTAAGAGTAGTGAAATTGATAGTAGGACAGCGGTTGCCACGGACCAGTGGGAGGGGGATTGGGGAGTTACCGTTTAATAGGCACAGAGTTTCCCTTTTGCAAGATGAAAAACGGTGGGAAATGGGACGTGGCAATGGATGCAAAACAATATCAATGTTCTTAACGCCACTGAACTCACTTAGAAATTGTGAAAATGGTACATTTTGTTACGTATATTTTACCACAGATTAAAACGACTCCACGCTAAGCCTTGTAGCCCTCATGTTTCTCGGGGAGAAACTCTGGGAGAGAGGATAAGCCTTTTGCACAGCGCTTTCCAGAGAATGTGTACAAGAGGCATGGTCAGGAGGAGAAGGTGGGCCGGGCAGGCGAGATGACCCGAAAAGGCAGATCCACTTCGTTAACAAGGTCCACTTTCCTCAGGGATCTCCCGCTAGGTGTGAGCATTCTTTTGTCACAGGAAAGCCTTGAGATTCTCCTTTCCTTTCACAACGCCCTCCCAGTCAAAGACGTCCCTAAGGTTGGGAGCTCCCTGCCTACCCACTCCTTTCTCTTCTGAGCCATATGCCGCATCCCTCAGAACCCCATTCCCTAAGATTCTGCGGTCTTCCATGTTAGGTCCCGGCAACTGCCACACTAACCGTCAGCTGCTCGGACCCCACCCGCCGAACGCCAGAACATGTGGGCGCGGGGGCGGGGGGGGTCGTCCTCAAGCGCCCCGGAAGTCACCACCCCCCGTCGCCAGCGGAGGCGCCCGGGCGGGGCGCGCGGCTGCGATTGGCGGGAAGATGGGACGATGCGTTACGTGCGGAGATGCGTCCCCCTCCCCGGCGCTCCTGCGCGCGGTTAGCTTGGGGAGGGGCGGAGCGTGCGGCCCTGGGCGGCCGTTACCGGGAACAGTGTCTGGCCTCGGGTCCCGTGACCCTCGGCGGAGCTGGCGGGAGGGGGCGGAAGTGGCAAGAGGGCGTGAGGAGGGAAGGAGAGGGAGGAGAGAGAGGAGAGAGAAGGGCGGAGTAGGAGGCAGGGGAAGGGGGCGGGGCGGAAGAGTCACGTGATCCGGCATGGAGGCGGTGGCGGCGACCGGGAGGAGCCGCCGGGGCAGAAGCCGCACTTGTTAGTGTGGGGGGAGGTGGGGGCGGGGGACGCCGACACCGTCACCGTCACCCAGGGACGCCGAGGAGAAGGCGGGAGGGGGGTGGGGGCGAGATCAGGCTCCGACCCCCCGCCGAGGGGATGAGGGGAGCATGGGTGCCAAGGAGTCACGGATCGGATTCCTCAGCTACGAGGAGGCGCTGAGGAGAGGTGAGGGGGGAGGGGTCTGGGCGAGCTGCCTGGGAGGCCCGCGACGGGCAGCCTGGAGGGTGGGTAACCGGGAGGGAGAGGGGAGATTGAGGGCGTGGGGCGCCTGAGGCGGAAGGGAAAGGCGGCCGGCCTTGGGGAGTGTGGTGGAGGAGAGAGGTCGGGTGGGAAGCAGCGTTTGGGAATTAGGGCCGTTTGGAAAGGGGCTTGTCCTGAGAGAGGGGGATCGGCGCTGGCAGGGCAGTGCCCGTGCTCGCTGGTGGCGTTGTGATCCTGGATGTGTCCAGGGAAGTCCTCTCCCCGTTTTCTTGGGCGGCTCCAGCCCATCCAGCCCCCCTCATCCTTCATTGCCATTTTCTCCTATCATTCCTTCATAAAAACCTCAAATAACATCCTAACCTCGTTCCTAACAGCCTTAGCTGGAAGGGGACGAGGAGGCGGCTGCAAAGCGCTCCTCTCTGCTACTGGAAGCCCCTTCGTATCTGGGGAGTCCCTGCCTTTTCCCAGAGCCTATGCCTGTCTCTTGAGGGCTGTGGCCATCCGCTTCTGCCACCCTTCACCGTTTGAGCGGCTGACTTTGATAAGAACGATCTGAAATGAAGTTGTGTTTGAGGTGAGATGAGACTGGACAGCTGGCGTTGGCACCAGACCTTGTCTTAGGTTTCATCTCCTCCGACGTTGACCAAAGCCTTTGACTGCACTTGATGCCCAGTTCTCGCTCCATCCCTCTCCATGAAATGGCATTGGGAAGTCCAGCATTCAGATATTGTGTTAAATCTCCCTTTAGAGACTGGCCTGGCTGCCAGTCCCGGCCTGCTGCTTATTGGCTCTGAGGCACAGTATATTGTTGGCAGCCCCAACCCCCTACCACTCACTCTGATACCGCTGTCCATGATCACTAAAGCACACACTAACTGGAAGTGTCTTGTTGCACAGTTTATGGCCGGAATGTCTTAATTTTTCATGACTGGGATTTCAGTGTGTGTAGATCTGTGTATGCTTGTATTTCTTTTAGACATTTAATGGATATTCTTGGTAAGAAGTGAAAAAACATTAAGAAGATTAGGAGCTAGGCATTATTGTTAACAGGTTTCCAAGTCAAGAAATCAGCCATGCTCCAGGTGGTTTTAGTAGCTAAGGATATAAAATGGTAATTAGATTAAAAGACGGGTATTCAAAATGAGGCTTGAGAAGTGAACTCTTGTTCGTATATAGGAAGAAGAGGGGTAAGTGGGTAAGTTCAGTTGACCATCACCTGACAGTAAGATACAGAATTGAGATGTATTGGTGGTGGTGGATTTACCAGAATAACACAGATATGCCTTTTATGTCTTTCTTTCTTTTTCCCTTGTGGAACAGTATAATAATTGTTTTTATGGACAATCTCATTTGAACTTTTTTTGTCTGCCCCAATATGAGAAATATTCCAAATTCTTGATGTGTTTCCAGCCCTAGTAGGCTAGTCATTTCCGGGATGCTGTTGAGCCTGACAGGTCTGGCCTCAATTAGGCAATGGCTTACATGGCATGAAAGAGGACATTAGTCAAACTGATTTACAGCTTCAAGGTTCAGAAGTGTTTCTTAAGTTTGAGGGTGTGAATACTAGTGATGTACCTGGCATTGAGAAATTCCAAAATTAAACTTGTATTCAGCTCTAGCCTGCTTAATCTCCTATCAAACTAAGATGGTACGTTTGTAAATACAAATGAAGTTAATTGCATTTTAAACTGATCTGACTGGAAGGTTTTTGTTTAATTTCTTATACAGTGTCTGCCTGTTGAATTTTAAAACACATGTATTTGAAGAGATAGCAAAATCTTTGTTAAGAGCTTATTTGTAACTATTGGAATGAATTTATGTTTTTTTTTTGAGACGAGTCTTGCTCTGTTGCCCAGGCTGGAGTGCAGTGGCGCGATCTCGGCTCACTGCAAGCCCCGCCTCCCGGGTTCACGCCATTCTCCTGCCTCAGCCTCCCCAGCAGCTGGGACTATAGGTGCCCGCCACCACGCCCGGCTAATTTTTTTGTATTTTTAGTAGAGACGGGGTTTCACCGTGTTAGCCGGGATGGTCTGGATCTCCTGACCTTGTGATCTGCCCGCCTCGGCCTCCCAAAGTGCTGGGATTACAGGCATGAGCCACCGCGCCCGGCCGGCATGAATTTATGTTTTACCAGTTTGCTTTAGAGGAAAATTAAAGCAAAAGAGAGCAGCAAGTTGATAAAATTGTATTTCTAAATGTAAACCAGAAGCCCCCTTCTTTAAGCATGGTCCATTTAGTAAATGTCAGACTTTAATATAGAATTTAAGATTACAAAAAAAGTTTATGAAGCTTTTTTTTTTCTCGAGACAGAGTCTCGCTCTGTCGCCCAGGCTGGAGTGCAGTGGCGTGATCTTGGCTCACTGCAACCTCCGCCTCCCGGGTTCAAGCCATTCTCCTGCCTCAGCCTCCCGAGTAGCTGGGACTACAGGCGCATGCCACCACTCCTGGCTTATTTTTTGTATTTTTAGTAGAGATGGGGTTTCATCATGTTAGCCAGGATGGTCTCAAACTCTCAACCACAGGTGATCCACCAGCCTCGGCCTTCCAAAGTGCTGGGATTACAGGTGAGCCACTGCGGCTGTCCCCAGAATCTTTTGATAGAGCTAAAAATGTCTTGGAACCTCTTTTGGGCACTTGAATAATATAAACAGTTGGTAAAACCTGCATTCATTGGTTTCATCTACTTGTTTATATTGTATAAAATGAATGGGGGAAAGGGTAGATAGGATTTGACAAACACACATTAGTCCAGTGTGTGCAAAACAAGCTTGACAAAACTACAGAAATACTTGCCTCCTTGGCTTTACTTAAAATTATTGAATGCTAAATAATGCCTAGACACAGGTAGTATTTAAAAAAATAGGCATATATTACCACATACAAACATGGAATTGCAGGCAGTTTATCTTGCAAAGCGGGGCCTTGGAAACGAAGTGTTATGTTAATGACAGATAACACTTACTGGGCCTGAGTGGAAGGGCAGTCTAGTGACTTCAGTTACATTTTAGAAGCACCTAGAAATTAGGAAGATTGGTTTTTGCACACTATTTTAGCTAGACTGTTTGTCAGTTGTCTAAACCTTAACGTTTTCTAAAAGTGTACATTTAAACACTGTTAGGGAGATGTATTACTGGTAGCTTTTATTTTTTGGCTTGAATCTATCTTTCTTAAATATTTTGAGTAAAACACAAGGAAAGCCTTGACTCTTGTTTATATTGCGTGTGTTTTCTAAGGAAGTACACTTGTACTTCATGGATACTGGAAATTTGAGCAGCACATTCTTCATCTCTTTATTTCACCTCCTTGTTGCATCTAAGTTTGTGGCTTGTGTATTCTTAAAAACGTGTTTTAAATGCTTGGAACACAGCATTCAAAAACCGTTCGGTGAAAGATGAGTTGCATTTTAGATCCTTTTAGAACTCTAAGACATCTTAAAAATCTTCACCAGTTTTTTAATTCTTCTGTCTTATCTGCTTCTCTGTCCTTCCTTTCATCTTTCTGGAAACAGGATTATAAGGCGATGTGTGTGTGTGTGTGTGTGTGTGTGTGTGTGTGTAAGAATCGGCTGAATTAAAATGATTCTTAACTTTTAAATTGTAGTAATAAAATACAGTGGGTGAATTTCTTCTAATCCCTTTCTTTAAAATCTGGCATTTATATTGCTCTTAGTAGCTGAGTGATGAACTATAGTGTGTCAAAAAGTTATGTTATGGATTCATATTTTAAAATGTCCTTTTGCTCATTAATTCAGCAGATTTTTACTGAAGGCTGGGTATGAATTAGGCACTAAGGAAATGGATAACCAAGACCCCTCTCTCTAGGATCATATAGCTTGGGTCAGTGATCTCCACTAAGTGTATATAGACAATCCCCGACTTACAATTTAACTTTACGATGGTGCAGAAGCTATATGCGTTCAGTAGAAATCATATTTCAGTAAAGTATTAATATTTAGTATTAATAACCATAGTATTAATATTTCAGTACACTAATAAATTACATGAGATTTTCAATGCATTACTGTGTTATTTTGTCCAACAGTATGCTAATGTAAGTGTTCTAAGCATGTTTAAGGTAGGCTAAGTTATGTTCAGTAAATTTGGTGTATTAAATACATTTTTGACTTAATGATATTTTCAACTTATGATGGGTTTATTGGGAGGTAATCTCATTGTAAGTTGTATCAAAGAATGTAAGCCTATTCATAGAGGATGCGAATAAAATACTAGAAATTCTGTTTATAGTTCTAACTTGTGTATGTTTAATAATGCACATAATATGTTCAAAAGTAGTATATATGCATATCATTTATAAATGATTAGCTTATGGTATATTAAGTGCTGCAGTGCTATAGGAGAAAGTGCTACGGAAATACAGAGTGTGTATGGGTGTCTCTGATGGCCTAGAAGTGCTGCTAGCACTGTGCTCATTTTATAGTATATGCTCAATAATTGAGTGTTAAAGGATTTAATTTCCTAGTCACTTATAGGTAGTTGTGTTTGCTAGTGGAATAATTAAGCATGTAACAGTTGATAATTCAGTACTTTTCATTTTGCTTATCCACCAAATCTAAGATGCTTTAAAACATTGACTCCCAACTAAGATTTTGTTCACCAATTTCTCAGTATTAATCTTAAAATTTCGTTAGATTTATACTACCTATGATGTGATGTTAGTTCGTTTAGCATAATGTATCATTCTATACACGGAAATTGAATTTCACAGTCAGTACCTTCTGGGATGCGTATTTATCTCCCTTATTAAAGCACTTATTTGCCTTCCTATGAATTTTTAAAATTCACCAGTGAACTTTCTAGCATTAGTTTGGAATTGTTGGTTTCGGTTAAGCCTTTTAAAAGTATACCAGATCTTACTATTTGTAAAGGAGAAAAATGGGGCAGTTTTTAAGTAGTCTGCTTATATGTAGTCACCTGAGTGATTACAAAGGTGCTGTTTTCACTAATCTCACTGTTTCACTAATTTCACTGTTTTCACCTCACTAATCTTTAGTTCGTAGGTTTGGTGTGTCTCTGACAAGAGGAGATAAATATATTGATGAACTCTGGATTTTGGGGGATGAGCAAAATGAGGGGACATCACTTGCTGGTTAGTGAGCTCCCCATTTACCAAACTGGACAGCTCTTGTTTGTTTTTCCTTGTTCATTGTCTCTCTTTGTGCTTAGTGAGACTTTACAGTGACAGCACTCAGGGTTGCCTTCCAGAAAGATGTGTAAGGAAGTTAGAGTTGGGATTGTGATGCCCAACCCATAGCCAGATATTTTCTCAGGACGAGAAAAGGAAGATTTTTGGCACTGGATTACATGCTTGGATCATTGGAAAAGTTAGAGAAGTGATTATTATTTTTGTTGTCACTAGAGAAAAATCTGTTTTTGCAGCACCAGAGTAATGCTGAGAGTTTGAATTAGAAGCTTTAATGTTAAACAGCTGCAGTGGTGGAGGGATTTTTTTTTTTTTTTTTTTAATTTATGAACTAAAAATTAGTAGTTGGATAGTGTACTGAGAAGATTAAGGTGGGACTGACAGTTCTTTTTATACTGTATCCGGGAAGCATGGCTTCTCCTTTCAGAGCTTGTTTATGCTTCTGCTTTTGCTTTTTGGGCCTCATGACATATTTGTGTTTAAGTTGAGCAGTTTAATGTCTTTCTGCATTCCAATAAGTCCTCTCATTTAATAATAAAGAACTCTTGGAAGTTAGAGGTATGTAGTTAATTATTGGCACAAAAGCCTGGTAAAAACTAGCTTTTCAAGTGTTTCCTTTATTGTTCTTTCCGTTTGTTTCTTTTGTGTTGTGTGTGTGTGTGTGTGTTATGCAGCAATAGAATAGAATTTTCTTTTATAGTCAGAGATGTATCCTAAGATGTATCTATTCAAAGATGACCAGAATTCAAGACCTTTCCTTAACACCCCTCTTTATTAGGGACTTAGTATTCATTAACATAAGGCTCTTTTTAATTTTTTTTAATTATCTTTTTCTTTTTTTTTTTTTGAGACAGAGTCTCTATTGCTCAGGCTGGAGTGCAAGTGGCGTGATCTTGGCTCACTGCAACCTCTGCCTCCCGGGTTCAAGCTATTCTCATGCGTCAGCCTTCCAAGTAGCTGGGATTACAGGCACCCACCACCATGCCCGGCTCATTTTTGTATTTTTAGTAGAGACAGGGTTTTACTATGTTGGCCAGGCTGGTCTGGAAGTCCTGACCTCAAGTTATCCACCTACGCTGGCCTCCCAAAGTGCTGAGATTATAGGCGTGAGCCACTGCTTCTGGCCTATTTATTTATTTTTGAGACAGAGTCTTGCTCTGTCACCCAGGTTGGAGTGTAGTGGCGCAATCTTGGCTCACTGCAACCTCTGTCTCCTGGTTCAAGCGATTCTCTTGCCTCAGACTCCAAAGTAGCTGGGACTACAGGCGTGTGCCACCACACTGTCATGCGCGTCCATGTGAAGAGACCACCAAACAGACTTTGTGTGAGCAATGAAGGTTTTTAATCACCTGGGTGCAGGCGGGCTGAGTCCAAAAAGAAAGTCAGCGAAGGGAGATAGGGATGGGGCTGTTTTATAGGATTTGGGTGGGTAGTGGAAAATTACAGTCAAAGGGGGTTTTTCTCTTGCAGGCAGGGGCGGGGGTCACGAGGTGCCCAGTGGGGGAGCTTCTGAGCCAGGAGAAGGAATTTCACAAAGTTAATCGCTCAGTTAAGGTGGGACAGGAATAAATCACAATGGTGGAATGTCATCGGTTAAGGCAGGAACCTGCCATTTTCACTTCTTTTGTGATTCTTCAGTTGCTTCAGGCCATCTGAATGTATTGTGCAGGTCACAGGGGATGTGATGGCTTAGCTTGGGCTCAGAGGCCTGACAACACCTGGCTAATTTTTGTATTTTGTAGTAGAGATGGGGTTTCGCCGTGTTGTCCAGGCTGGTGTTGAACTCCTGGCCTTAAATGATCCACCCGCCTCCACCTCCCAAAATGCTGGAATTACAGGCGTGAGCCACCACGCCCAGCCAGGCTCTTTATTTTAGGGATTTTTTTTTTTTTTTGGACGGAGTTTTGCTCTTGTTGCCTAGGCTGGAGTGCAATGGCACAGTCTCGGCTCACTGCAACCTCCGCCTCCCGAATTCAAGCAATTCTCCTGCCTCAGCCCTCCGAGTAGCTGGGATTACAGGCACGGTGCCACCATGCCCGACTAATTTTGTATTTTCAGTAGAGACGGAGTTTCTTCATATTGGTCAGGCTGTTCTCCAACTCCCGACCTCAGGTGATCCGCCCGCCTCGGCCTCCCAAAGTGCTGGGATTACAAGCATGAGCCACCGTGCCTGGCCTAGGGCGGCGCTCATCACTATCTTGTGAATAAGATTCAGGAAAACTGATGTTTTGAAACCTTGCCTATAACATGTTTGTTGGGGTACTAGACACTGGACCGCATTAAAAGCAAAACTATGCTAAAGTGGGATTTTACAGAGGAAGTTGTCCAGTGTCTTTCATTTCTGTAAAGAAGCTTGGTTGCCCCAGCATCTTATCCCTGTGGCAAAAGCCTTTTAACATTTGCTATGGTTGCCTTTTGGTGATGACTCGTGAAAGGGTCTGGAGAGATTACATTATGAAAAGGATCTTTCTAACAAGATAGGCCTCCACTAGTCTTTCCCATGACAGCAAATGGCATCACTATTGCAACACAAGTACTAAACTGAAAAATCTAGACATATCCTCAGTTCCTCCCTTTCTCTCACTTTCTGACCATATCCCCTTATCTCCAGTTAGAATCTGTCACCAAGTTTTATTAGTTTGGTATTGAGTTTAGTCTGTTAGCTTCTGCTTAATTGCCTCCACTTTAGTCCCCACTGCCATCATCTTTTGCTCCAAGACACTGTGCAGTAGTTTCCTAGTTTCACACAGTCAGTGTATTCTTAAAATCCAAACCAGATCTTGTTATTCCTTTCTTTAAAGTCTATAATTAATTTTTAAAAATGTAGTCTTTATAGTGGTCTACAAGGCTGTAAATAATTTGGTTCCTGCTTAAAACTCCAACCTCAATTGTAGTAATTTACCCCTTGCCTCCTGTACACTAGCTACACTAGCCATCTTCTTGTTCTTGGAACCTATTCTGGCTTGCAGCCTTTGCATTTGCTACTTTCTCTCATCCTGGAAAGACTATTTATGAATTTTTACATGTCTGGCTCATTCTCATATCTGATGGCCACAGCTCAGATGGCCTCAAGGACGCCTTCCTTTATCACCTCATATGAAGTGGTATTTGTCTATCACTATTGTGCAATATTCTGAACAGTTTGTGTACAGCCTTTATCATAATACGTAATTATCACGTTTATTGTCAGGTCTGTTGCTGAATCCCCAGTGTCAGGATAGGTGCAGTGCCTAATGTATTTTAAGTGCTCAGTAAATATTGGATGTCTGGATGAATGTATAAATGTATAAATAATGGAGAGAAGTTGTGGAGAGCTTTCATGTTTGTCAGATCGGGGGGTAAAAAATAAAGACAGGAATCGAGTTATACTATATGTATCCACCTCAAAATTTCTTTTCCTTTCAGCAGCTTTTAAAAAGTTTGTGCTTAAAGTTTTTTTTTTTTTTTTTTGGGACGATGTCTGTCGCTTCCCAGGCTGGAGTGCGACCTTGGGATCACTGCAACCTCTACCTCCTGGGTTGAGGCGATTCTCCTGCTTCAGCCTCCTGAGTAGCTAGGACTACAGGCACAAGCCACCACGCCCAGCTAATTTTTGTATTTTTAATATAGACGGGGTTTCAGCATGTTGGCCAGGATGGTCTTCATTTCTTGACCTCGTGATCCACCTGCCTCGGCCTCCCAAAGTGCTGGGATTACAGGAGTGAACCACCGCGCCCGGCCTGTGCTTAAAGTTTTAAATGATAGTTAAAAATAAATAGTCCTAAATATAGTATGTAGTTTTGTCTGTTTAGTTCAAATATTTGAAGCTGATAAATAAATTCCTGTGAGATTAGTATGGGGTAAGTATTGTACTTATGAACACTTGAGAATGTCTTTTGGTTATGTATAAAATTTAATAATTTTATTCCTGAAATAATCATTTTTATATGATGACCTTCATGTACTTTTCATTTATGATGACAAGTATTATCCTACTGCCATATATGAAGTTAGAGTTAGAAAGTTATTTGCTTAAAGTGTTATACAGAGTTATATAAAATTCAACACACAGAGCTCTCTCTTGGTTCTAAATAATCCAGGTGATTTTAAATTAAATTTTATGATTAACTTTTTTTTTCTTGGTCTAAGACTCTTTTTCTCTTATATTCCATGGCTAATGCTTCCCTCCCTCTTTTCTTAGTCTTTTGTTTTTGTTTTTATTACAATGGTATATGCACATAGTTTAGAATCAGATGGGAATACAGGGCTTGTTATGAAAATGGTACTGTTAGCTGGGCATGGTGGTTCAGGTCTCCCGAATTGTGGGGACTACAGGTGTGCACCACCACACCTGGCTAATTTTTTTAAATTTTGCAGAGACGAAGCCTCACTGTGTTGCTGGTCTGAAACTCCTGGCCTCAAGCCTCAGCCTCCCAAAGCACTGGGATCATAGGCATGAGCCACTGTGCTGGCTGGCGGAGGCCTCTGAGAGAACTTGACATCTGGGCTTAGTTTTGACAGATAAGGATCTGGCAAGGCAGGTAGTTCGAGGGGAAAGATACATGGCAGTTTGCCGGTGAGCTTATCTCACTATGCCAGCCTCTGGAAATAGAAATCATACACTGGCCCTAATTTCAAGACACTAAATCTTGTCAGGGTTTTGCTTCACAGAGAAGATGCATAAAATTTGGTCTTAAAAATGAGTTCACCATGCACACATACACACAAAAAAAGTAAATATTGCATTACTGTATATATGAGGTTCCAAAATAGGCAAAACTAATTTATGGTGACAGAATAGTGGTGACCTCTGAGGGTCGGTATCGACTGGGAGAGAACAGGAGAGAGCCTACTGGGGTGCTGGAAATGTTCTGTATCTTAATTTTGCAGGATAATTCCTTGGATGCATCCCTAAAAATTCAGTCAAGCTATATAGTAAGATTTGTACAGTTTACGTAAGTAATAGGAGAGATAAGAGGGGGAACCTGTGGAAATGCAGAACATTTCAAGATCTAGAAAGCAACATTTGCAAGGGTACACAGTGTTCAGACAGGGACCAAATCATAGAAACTACTAGGGCTTGCCATGCTGAAACGACTGACTTCAAACCATAGGGCATACGTACCTTCCACTGAAGAAGAGCACCTGAGTAAAATGACTAGAGGTGCATTTCAAAGATTATTCTATTGGAAATACAAAGAATGAATTGGAGGAGTAGGAGGCAAATAGTCCAAGGGACAGATAAAAACCTTTTTTTTTTTTTTTTGAGACAGGGTCTCCCTCTGTCACCCTAGCTGGAGTGCAGTTGTGCGATCATGGCTCACTGCAGCCTCTACTTCCTGCGCTCATGCAATCCTTCCATCTCAGCCTCCCAAGTGTCTGGGACTCCAGATGTGTGGACCACACCTGGCTAATTTTTTTATTTTGTTGTAGTGACGGGAATCTCACTGTTGTTTCCCAGGCTGGTCTTGAACTCCTGAACTCAGGCAATCTTCTGGCCTTGACCTCTCAAAGTGCTGGGATTACAGGTGTGGGCTACAGTGCCTGGCCTTATTAAAATGTTGACGTAATAAATGGGACTACCTAGTGCTGCTGTGCTTTCTCCTTAAAGGAGAAAGCTGACAGAATACAACTAGCAGCAGTAATCTGGTAAATTGTGCTTTCTAGAGTAAATTTTGTCTCATGACATTTATGCAAATATTCAAATGTTTCAGGAATATAAACATTTAAAATTTGGGTTATAAATAATGCCTCCTGGCTCTGAAATTATCTGAATTCATGAAGCAATCAGTAGTAAATATGAAGGAAAAATGAAACACAGCCTTATATGCAAGGACAAGCACAAATTTCTAATTCTTATTATAATTTGGGTGCCCACCTGGTTTTGAAGGTGAGCCTTGGTTTGACTGGTTCTGAGACATTTCTCTCAAATAGCAAATGAGTAGTGGGTATGAATAGGGTACATTGGAAAGTCATGTCAAAATTCCATGCAATTTTAGGAGCTTTTTTTCTCCCATGTAATTTATATAATTTGACATGTGTATTCCTATGTAAAATATTTAACCACTTCTCTACAATAAGCATTAAGTGGGCTAATTATTATGCTCTTCTTATTTCATATTTCTGTGATTTCTCTTATCTGGAATGACTTTTTTATGCCACCCAGGCTGGAGTGCAGTGGCACATTTACTGCTCACTGCAGCCTCAACTCCCCAGGGTCAAGCCATCCTCCTATTTCAGCTTCCCTAGCAGCTGGGACTACAGGTGTGCACCACTATGCCCTGCTAATTTTTGTGTTTTTTTGTAGAGACGGGGTTTTGCTATGTTGCCCCGGCTGGTCTTGAACTCCTGAGCTCAAGAGATCCACCCACCACAGCCTCCCAAAGTGTTGGGATTACAGGCGTGAGCCACTGCACCTAGCTTCTTTTCTAATTTGTTTTTATTCTGAGATCAGATGAGATTGGCATGTTCAGGTTGGTATGGCCATAGACTGCTTTTATCTATTCTAATAATTTTGTATTGTACAATGTGTTGGAAAGGCAAGATGAAGTTAGATTATGAAGGGTTCATTTCCATTCAATTCTGTCTATCCTTCTGGACTTTGCCTAAATCTTACCTTCTTTGGAGCTTTCCTGAACTTACTTATCTCCTTTGAATTCTTACATTTGGATCCTTTGTATTTGAGTATTTTTACATATATATGTACATAAATAACACATGTTTTATGTGTATTAATTTACTCTCCCAACTAGATTGAAAGCTGCTGAAGAGTAACCTTTTTTTAAAACCACATTGGACTGTTTTAAGCACAAATTTAGCATATGCTTGATGATTGAGAGAACCATATGGTTACAGTCATTGGTGTGTCTGTATGATTGTGATATGTTGCTATTTAAAAATCAATAGTTATTTCTTATTTAGTTTTCTGTTAAGCCATAACCTTTTGCTCTCATTTATACGTCTTCTGAACGTTAAGTAACATGTGGCTCATATTTCAAACTCCCAATTTGGAATTTTATAGCAATGTGACTGAAGTTTATAATTACAGGTCTCAGAGGACTGCACTACACAGAAGTTCTCTATGTGTTAGAAGAATTTATTAGAAGATAGACAATTGTAGGTTACACTGTAATTTAGAAGACTTTTGCGCATCTCATGTATTTGTGTCAGTTTGAGAATTTGAAAATGCCCCCAAAATGTCTGTTCTTCACTAGTGCCTCTTGTGATCCTGGCAGAGATAAGCTAAACTTTTGAAAGGGTAGACTTTTTCTGTTTATCTTAGTATCCTGAGTCCCTAAATCTGGAATGTAGTAGATGTTTGTGCATTTCCCTATGTCAGTGAAGTCAAAATACTACAGGTGGATTTTTCAGCTTTTCAAAGTTTTCACATTTACTAAGTCCTTCACAGTTATCTCCTACTAGTTAAAAAACTATTTGCCTCAATTTATGCCAGTGCTACTTTGACATTTGCATTGCTGTAAAACCCTTACTAAAAGGTATGTTTTTCTAGTATACAAATACATGTATGCAGCTTTTCTCATATCTTTGAGAAAGCAAAAAATTGTACTAAATTATGATTTTGACTGCAATAGGATTATGGCTTAGTCATGATCAGTATTATATTTTCAACTATGTCTTACTAGGATTATTGTAAAAGACTTTCAAAATAGTTCATGTGAATTTTTGTCTGATCTTCACAAACTCAGGTATGTACATAGCTCTCCCCCACCTTCTCCTGGCTTTGCCAATTTATTTTATTTTTATTGTGAATATATATATATATAGAACATACCATTTACCATTTGAACTATTTTAAAAAATGTACAATTAGTGGCATGAAGTACATTCACAATATTGTATAACCATCACCACTATCCATTTCCAGAACTTGTTCATCATCCCAAACAGAAATTCTCTATCCCTTTTTTTCCCCAGCCCCTGGTAACCTCTATTCTACTTTCTGTTTTTATGAATTTGCCTATTCTAGATACTTCATGTAAATAGAATCGTACAATATTTGACCTTTCTTATTTCACTTAGGATAATGTTTTCAAGGTTTATCCATGTTGTAGTACATAGCAGAATTTAATTTCTTTTTTTGACTGAATAATTTGTATATACTACATCTTGTTTGTACATCCATCTGTTGATGGGACATATTTGAGTTGTTTCCACCTTTTGGCTATTGTGAATAATGTTGTTGTGAACATTGGTGTACAAATATCTGTCTGAGTCCTGCTTTCACTTCTTTTGGATATAAACCTAGGAATGGAATTGCTGGGTCATATGGTAATTCTATATTTAACCCTTTAAGGAACAGCTAAACTGGTTTCCACAGCTTCTGTACCGTTTTATATTTCCACCAGCAATGCACAAGTGCTCCTTCCATTTTCTCCATATCTACCCAATACTTGTTATTTTGTTTTCTTTCAATTAATAACCATCCTAATGGGTGTGACATAGTATTGTCATTTTGATTTTTAGTTTCCTAATGGCTAGTGCTAATGAGCATTTTTTTAATGTGCTATTGGTCATTTGTATGTCTTTTTTGGAGACATGTCTATTCAATCCTTTGCCCATTTTTGAATTGAGATGTGTGCTTTTTTGTTGTTGAGTTGTAGTTCTGTAGTTCTTTATACATTCTGGATATTATTCTCACATCAGATATATGATTTACAAATATTTTCTCCCAAATATTTCTGTGGGTTACAGATATATTAATATCTGTGGATTGTCTTTCATGGTCTTGATAGGATCTTTTAATGCCCAAAAGTTTTTAATTTTGATGAAATAATGTATGTAGTTTTGAACTTAAACAATGTTACAGATTGTGCAAAGGGTATAACCATGAAATTCTGATAGAGTGACCCCACAGCTGCAGAAAACCAGAATAGAAAGAACCCTACTCTAAAACCCAAAAGACTTCCCTAGATAGAGTCCTTTGAAAATAATTTTCTAAATTATTCACACAGCCTGTGGATAAATTAAGAGGAAATGATATCTGTAACAGTGCTGCTTGTGATGAAAACACGGAAGAGTCAATTATATTATCAAATCTTAGCTGGAATGGAAAATCAGGAGGATATTTATTAGCAAACATTAATAAAAGGTTGGCCTTTATTATTGTAAGCATGTACACAGACGACAGCAGGTAGTCTCTACCATAAGAATGAGAAATGCCTCCTATCTTTATGAATTCTGAAATTTAACCTTTCTTAGCCCAATTGCTGTAAGGGCCTAGGGTTTATTTGTTATGTGTGTTATTGGAGTAGAGACTGTTCGAAGGTTAAGTGGGTATTTAGTGATGCAAGTGACATTTATATGTTTTAAAATCTTCTGCTTTTGTAGGCACTTTTAAAAATGAAATGCTATATTTTTAAACTTTTAAAAATTATTTTTTATTATTTTTTGCAGAGATGAGGTCTTGCTGTGTTGCCCAGGCTGGTCTCAAACTCTTGGCCTCAAGAGATCCTCCTGCCTTGGCCTCCCAAAGTGCTGGGATTACAGACGTGAACCACGTGCCTGGCCCAAACTTTTTAAAGACTTTATTTCTGGAGGCAGGTTCTCAGAAGATATCCTATCTTAATGGGCATATATATAGAGAGAGTAGTAGGTGAGTTTAAGGGGGATGTAAATATTGGCCGAAAAAGGTTTCTTTTAGGTATATAACCCCTCAAATGTAGCCCTTTGGATATCAAAAGTTTATTATGACAATGTTCTTTGTGCGTTTTTATTCGATGTTGTCAGCCATTCATCTAATACCTCTTCAGAAGATTTTTGTCTCTGGGCAGTGGCATTTTATAACTTCATATATAGAAGAAAACTTTTATCCAACTGATAACTGATATGCCAATGTGTTAGTATGAAAAAATTTTCCCAACATTCTTACCAGGTGTGGTGGCTCAACCTGTAATCCCAGCACTTTGGGAGGTGGAGTCGGGCGGATCACTTGAAGTCAGGAGTTCGAGACCAGCCTGGCCAACATGGTGAAACCCTGTCTACTAAAAATACAAAAATTAGCTGGGCGTGATGGCAGGCACCTGTAATCCCAGCTACTTGGGAGGCTAAGGCAGGAGAATTGCTTGAATCCGGGAGGCAGAGGTTGCAATGAGCCAAGATTGCCTCACTGCACTCTAGCCTGAGCGACAGAGTGAGACTCTGTCTCAAAAAAAAAAGAAAAGGAAAAAAAAAGAAAATTTCCCAAAATTCAAATGTCATTTCACTGCGTGGCTTTGTTTGATTATTAATACTTTAATACTGTGTTTAAAATTAATATTTATTATTTTTAAAAATCAGCTTCCTTAGGTCGAAGAAACATTAATGTTTAATATTAAGCTATTATTGTAGCTTAGTGTAGTTATAATAAGATACTGGAACTCATGGAAGGGGTTAGATTTTCTTCATCTTAGAAACCGTTACTTTTCATAAAATATATATTGTGCAATTATATATAAAATTATTTAATAATTAGATATACAAATAAAAAATCGGATTATAGTTGGGCTCAGTGGCTCGCATTTGTAATCTCAGCTCCTTGGGAAGCTTAGACTGGAGGATTTCTTGAGTCCAGAAATTTGAGGCTGTAGTGAGCCATGATTGTGCCACTGCATTCCAGCCTGGGCGACAGGAGTGAGACCCCGTCTCTAAAAACAAAAACTAAAAAAAATTAGATTATAATTGGCAAAAGATTGAGTGACAGTGAAAATGCAATGAATATTTTGACTACTATTTTTTGATTACACACATAGGAAGATACAAATTTTTCTGTCTTTCCAAATTAGTTTAGAAATTAAAGATTTGGCCGGGCATAGTGGCTCACCCCTGTAATCCGAGCACTTTGGGAGGCTGAGACAGGCAGATCACCTGAGGTCAAGAGTTTGAGACCACCCTGGCCAACATGGTGAAACCTCGTCTCTACTAAAAATACAATAAAAATTAGCTGGGCATGGTGGCATGCACCTGTAGTCCCAGCTACTTGGGGAGACTGAGGCAGGAGACTCACTTGAACCCAGGAGGCGGAGGTTGCAGTGAGCCAAGATCGTGCCACTGCACTCCAGCCTGAGCGACAGAGCGAGACTCCATCACAAAAACAAACAAACAAACAACAACAAAACACCAGAAAAAGGAAAAATAGTGTTAAGAGATAATTTAGTATGTATTGTTTGTACACTTCATGGGTGTGCATATATGACGTGTTTGGTTTTATAGTGAAAATTCTAACATTCTGCTGTATGGTTTATGGTGCATTGTAGACGTTCCTTTAAGTACTCAATGATAAAGATGAAAATTACTAAGATAGAGAGTAAATCTATATTATATGTAGTCATTTCTCAGTTTGCATAGTAGTATGGGACTGTAAAAATGACCATGCAAGCTGAGACTATTCAAAGGGATCATAGTAATCAGTGGAAAAGATTATGATTGTTCTGTGTGACCTTTAAAATTTTTTGTCAAAACATTAAAAACTCTCTCACAGTTGGTTATAGATATATAGGGTAAGAAGAAGCGTGGTATCCACAGAGAAGGAGGGAGCTTCATAAACAAAGACAAACAGGAATATCAACTACCAGCCACCAACAGCACTTTTGTAAAACTTATTTAAATATTACAAAAAACAATATACAAGATTACTAAGAGATTGGAAGATAAAGGGAGAAAATTTCACTAATGATCTCATCACCAAACACAGCTAATTATTTGCTGTTACTCTTTTTTCAAATTAGTGTTTAGTATTGTTTTAATCATAATGTACATAAAATTTTGTATCTTGCTTTTTCTGAGATGTCTGTTTCTGTCCATGTTATACATACCTATACAGTCATGTGCTGCATGATGATGTTTTGGTTAACGATGGACTGCATACACAACTGTGATCCCATAAGATAATAGTAGAGCTGAAAAATTCCTATTGCCTAGTGACATCGTAGCCATTTACTTGTTTTTGCTTTTTGCTTTTTTTATGTAGTCATTTACTATACTATACCTTTAATCATTATTTTAGAGTATACTCCTTCTATTTATTTAAATAAAAGTTGGCTGAACGTGGTGGCTCCCACCTGTAATCCCAGCATTTTGGGTGGGTTGCTTGAGCCCAGGAGTTTGAGACCAGCCTGGGCAACATGGTGAAAACCTGTCTCTACAAAAAATACAAAAATTAGGCACACGCCTGTGGTCCTAGCTACTCAGGAGGCTGGAGTGGGAGGATCACTTGAGCCTAGGAGGTTCAGGCTGGGGTGAGCCTTGATCACGCCAGTGCACTCTTCCAGCCTGGGAGACAGAGTAAGACTCTGTCTCAAAAAAAAAAAAACAAAACTTAACTGTAACAGCCTTAGGCAAGTCCTTCAGGAGGTATTTCAGAAGAAGGCATTATTGTCATAGAAGATGACAGCTCCATGTGTGTTATTGCCCTGAAGACTTTCCAGTGGGACAATACGTGAAGGTGGAAGACAGTGATATTGATGATCTTGATGCTGTGTAGGCCTAGGCTAAGGTGTGTGTTTATGTCTTTTTTCTTTTTTTTTTGGAGACAGAGTCTCACTCTGTCCCTGAGGCTAGAGTGCAGTGGTGTGATCTCTGCACACTGCAACCTCCGCCTCCCTGGTTCAAGCGATTCTCTTGCCTCAGCCTCCCAAATAGCTGGGATTACAGGTGCATGCCACCACACCCAGCTAATTTTTGTATTTTTAGTAGAGATGGGTTTTGCCATGTTGGCCAGGCTGGTCTTGAACTCCTGACCTCAGGTGATACGCCCACCTCGGCCTCCCAAAGTGTATGTCTTCATTTTTAGCAAGAAAGCTTAAAAAGGAAAATAAAACATGAATAGTAAAAACTTTTTAAATAAAGATATAAAGAAAAAATATTTTTGGACACTGTACAATGTGTTTTAAGGTAAGGGTTATTATAAGAGCCAACAAGTTAAATTTAAAAGTTTATGAAGTAAAAAAGTTACAGTAAGCTGGCTGGGCATGGTGGCTCACGCTTGTAACCCAACACTGTGGGAGGACGAGGCGGGTGGATCATTTGAGGCCAGGAGTTTGAGACCAGCCAGGCTAACATGGTGAAACCCTGTCTCTCCTAAAATATACAAAAATTAGCCGGTTGTGGTGGTGCACGCCTGTAATCCTAGCTACTCAGGAGGCTGAGGCTGAGGCACGAGAATTGCTTGAACCCAGGAGGTGCAGGTTGCAGTGAGCCAAGATCGTGCCACTGCACTCTAGCCTGGGTGTCAAAGCAAGACTTGGTCTCAAAAAAAAAAAAAAAAAATTACAGTAAGCTAAAATTAATTTATTATTGAAGAAAAAATTAGTAAATTTGGTGTAACCGAATTGCACAGTGTTTATAAAATCTACTGCAGTACTCCATGGTAATGTCCTAGGGCTAGGACTTCAACATTGACTCACCCCTAAGTCTCTCACTGACTCACCCAGAACAACTTCTCATCCTGCAAGCTCTATTCATGGTAAGTGCCCTATATAGGTGTACCTTTTTTAAAAAAAGATTTTTAGTTTTGTCTCGAGACAGGGTCTTGTTCAGTCACCCAGGGTAGATTGAAGTGGCGTGATCATGGCTTACTGTAGCCTCGAGCTCCTGGGCTCAAGAGATTGTCTCCCACTTTAGCCTCTAGCTATCCTCCCACCTTAGCCTATAGAGTAGCTGCGACTATGGGTGCATGCCACCATACCTGGCTGATTTTTTTGTTTTTTATGTTTTGTAGAGACCTCGCTATGTTAGCCAGGCTATTCTTGAACTCCTGGGCTCAAGTCTCCTGCCTTGGCCTCCCAGAGCTCTGAGATTACAGATGTGAGTCACCAAGCCCAGCCTAGGTGAACCATTTTTTTGTCTTTTTTTTTTTTTTTTTTTTAGACAGGGTCTCACTCTGTCACCCAGGCTGGAGTGGCATGATCATAGCTCACTGCAGCCTGGACCTCTTGGGCTCAAGGGCTCAAGTTATCCTCCTGCCTCAATGTCTTCAGTAGCTTGGAGGCACATGCCACCAAGCCTGGGAAATTTTTCTTTTTTTTTTTTTAATGTAGAGAACGGGGTCTTACTGTGTTACCCAGACTGGTCTCAAACCCCTGGCCTCAAGTGATTCTCCCACCTCAGTCTTCCAAAGTGCTGGGATTACAGGAGTGAGCCACCGTGCCTGGACTTTTTTTTTTTTTTATCTTTAAGGCTATATTTTTACTATACCTTTTCTATGTTTAGATATGTTTAGATACACAAATACTGTGTTACAGTTGCCTCCAATATTCAGTACAGTAATATGCTGTGTAGGTTTGTAGCCTAGGAGTAATAGGCCATCCCATATAGCCTAGGTGTGTAGTAGTCTATACCATCTAAGTTTGTGTAAGCACGCTGATGTCTGCACAATGATGAAATCACCTAACGATGCATTCCTGTCATTTGTGATGCATAACTGTAGTTTAAAGTGTTAATAGCTTGACCAGGATTTGTTAAATGACAACCAGCTCCTTAATTTTCCTTGGCATTTTCCTTCTCTTAGAGGAGACCACTTTGTATTCTTTTAGTTGATCTTTGGTATTTGGTATTGATTTTTCAGTTTCAGCATTATCTGTTGACTTCCCACTTCTGAGCATGAGAATTTAGTTGTCTCTCCCTTCCTTCCACCTTAGCCACTTCCCCTTCCCCTCTCCCTGTTACTTAATCCTACCGCAATAGTTATATGGTAATTTTAGATAACTGTTAAATGTTTACCTTATGAGCATATGCGTAGGATTCACAGCTGAAATTAGGTAGTAAGTTTTGATTACTTTTCTAGCACAATGTTTGTTTTCCTTGGAGCTGATGACTGATTTTATTTGTGTTTGCTTAGTATTCTAAGTATTTATCACTAATTCAACCCTGAACACTGTCACTTGCCTAAGTCTCCTTTCAAGACTATGAGTTGTTGGCAGTTTATTCTTCTAATGTCTCATGTGGCCTTTTTACTTACATGAAAGGAGCTTGCAGGACTGGTGCTTCATATTGTCAGTCTTTCAGTTTAGCCATCCTGATTGTTGGAAAGTAGTATCTCAATGTGGATTAATCTGCATTTCCTTGACTAAGTGATGTTGAACACCCTTTATATGTGCATGTTGGCCATTTATACATGTGTTTCATTTAATTTTTTTTTTTTTTGAGACAGAATCTTGCTCTGTTGCCCAGGCTGGAGTGCAGTAGTGCAGTCTTGGCTTATTGCAACCTCCACCTCCCAAGTTCAAGCGATTCTCCTGCCTCAGCTTCCTGAGTAGCTGGGATTATATAGGCGTGTGCCACCGCACCTGGCTGATTTTTGTATTTTTAGTAGAGACGGGGTTTCACCACATTGGCCAGGCTGGTCTTGAAATCCTGACCTCAGGTGATCCACCCGCCTTGGCCTCCCAAAGTGCTGGGATTATACGTGTGAGCCACTGCGCCCGGCCATTTAATTTTTTTTTTTTTTTTTTTTTTTTTAATTTTTAGAGACAGAGTCTTCCCCTGTTGCTCAGGCTGAAGTGCAGTGGTGCTCACTGCAGCCTTGGAACTCTTGGGCTCAAGCAATCCTCCTGCCTCTGCCTCTGGAACAGCTGGGACTATGAGTTCACACCACCATACCCAGCTAATTGTTTTTAATTAATTAATTTATTATTTTTATTTTTATTGTAGAGATGGGGGTCTCACTGTGTTGTCTAAGATAGTCTCAACCTCCTGGTCTCAAGCAATCTTCCAGCCTTGGCCTCTCAAAGTGCTGGGATTATAGGCATGAGCCACCATGCCTTGCTACTTTTAATTTTTTTAGAGATGGGATCTTGCTATGTTGCTCAGGCTGGTCCCAAACTCCTGGCCTCAAGAGACACTCTTGCCTCAGCCTCCCAGTTGCTGGGATTACAAGCATTGAGCCACCACAACTTGCTGCTCAAAATGTATTTTTTTCTCTTTTCTTCTTTTTTTTTTTTTTTTTTTGAGACAGTAGCATTTCACTCTGTCACTCAGGCTGGAGTATAGTGGTGTGATCACAACTCACTGTAGCCTCGACCTCTCGGGCTTAAGGGATCCTTCTACCTCAGCCTCCTCCTGAGTGGTTGGGTGGGCACCACCATGCCCAGCTAATTTTTTTTGTATTTTTTTTTGTAGAGGCAGGGTTTTGCCATGTTGCCCATGCTGGTCTTGAACTTCTGACCTCAAGTGATCCTCCCGCCTCGGCCTCCCAAAGTGTTGGGATTACAGGTGTGAGCCATTGCATCCAGCCTCAAATAATTTTTTGAAAGTGGAATCTGAGTGTTAATTTACTAAAACCCTTTCAGCATTTGGTATTATCATTTGCAAAAAATTCTTTGCTAATTGAGTAATCTAAAATGGTAGCTTGTTTTAATTGGTTTTTTTTGGATTGGTGTCAAAGTAGAACCTTTCCCATTTTTGGTAGTTGTATTTCTTCATTATTTTCATTGTCTTTTTGTCCTTTGTTGTTGTCATCATTTTAGTTCTTAAAGATGTGTTTGTTTAAACATTTAAAAAAATTCTTTTTATTTTTATAATTTTTTCTTTTACTTTTCTGGCTAGAGGCTGAGACAGGAGAATTGCTTGAACCCAGGAGGTGGAGGATGCAGTGAGCTGAGATGGGGCCATTGCAATCCAGCCTGGGCAACAAGAGTGAAACTCTGTCTCAAAAAAAAAAAAAATTATTTTGTAGGCTGTGCACGCTGGCTTACACCTGTAATCCCAGGAGTTTGGGAGGCCAAGGTGGGAGGATTACTTGAGGCAGGAGTTCGAGACTAGCCTAGGCAACATAGTGAGACCTTGTCTCTACAAAATCTTTTTTTTAATTAGCTGAGCATGGTAGCAAGTGCATGTAGTCCTAGCTGCTTGAGAGGCTGAGGCAGGAGAATCACTTGAGCCAGGGAGTTCAAGTCTGCAGTGAGTTATGATTACTGCACTCCAGCCTGGGTGACAGCAAGAACCTGTCTCTTAAAAAAAAATCATTGTGTAGAACTTAATAAGTACCTTGAATTTAATCAACTATTTCACTAATTTGCTGCAAGTATTTTCTCCAGTTAGTTTAACATTGCTATTTGTTTTGTATTGCTACTTTTAATGTGTATGAGTTAAAATTTTGTATATGTCAGATCTGCCAATTGTTGTGTTTCTGTTTCACTTCTGAAGTTTTACATTTTTACTCTTACATATATCTGAAAAACAATTCTAATTTATGACTTCATATTTCTAGTGTTTAACTTTTTAAAATTCACCCAAAATTTATCTTGGAGTGTAGTAAAAAGTTAGGATTTTTTTTTTTTTTTTTTTTTTAGGTAGGGGTCTTGCTATGTTGCTTAGGGTGTCTTGAACTTCTGGGTTCAAGTGATCCTCCCACCTCAGCCTCCCAAGTAGCTGGGATTACAGGCAGATGTCACCATGCCTGGCTTAAAAAATATCTTTTGGCCGGGCGCGGTGGCTCACGCCTGTAATCCCAGCACTTTGGGAGGCCGAGGCGGGCGGATCACGAGGTCAGGAGATCGAGACCATCCCAGCTAAAACGGTGAAACCCCGTCTCTACTAAAAATACAAAAAATTAGCCGGGCGTAGTGGCGGGCGCCTGTAGTCCCAGCTACTTGGGAGGCTGAGGCAGGAGAATGGCGTGAACCCGGGAGGCGGAGCTTGCAGTGAGCCGAGATCCCGCCACTGCACTCCAGCCTGGGCGACAGAGCGAGACTCCGTCTCAAAAAAAAAAAAAAAAAAAAATCTTTTAAAAAATAATTCGTGTATGTGTACTAACTCCTTTTCTGCCTCATATGTTTTGTTTTAATTTTCTCCATGTTGTCTTGCATCAGAAACTTTTTCATTTTCTCAGAGAAACTTGGATTGCATTATATGAAGTCCAGACTTTTATTTGTTTTGGTTTGGTTGTTTGGGAAATGTTTGTACACTTTCGCTTATATGTATTAAAACTTAATAATGTTGCCATTTCGAGGTTGTGTATAGAACCATGTATGATTATTAGGAAATTGCTGACAACTGTGAAGTGCTTACTATGTGCAGTAGAAACATAAACCCCTGGACTTACTTTATGTTTACTATTTTTTGATGGGTAGATTTAATTCTTAGTTTTAATAGTTTTTGTGTGTATGTGGGTTTTTTTTTGGTAATATTCTTGGTTTTTCACTAGGACCTCAGTTTAAATATATTTTCCCCTCGTTTCCCCCGCCCCCCAACCGCAATGGCCCTGTAACTAGTAGTCTTGTTTTGTTTGAAGCAGAGTCTTTTGTTGAAAAGATTTTCCTCTAGTAGAGAAGCTCTTTTAAATGTTTATATTGGGATTTCTTACTAACTATAACAATAGAACACTTTTCCCTGTTGACTTCTATGAAGTGAAAATATTTACTACATAGTGAAATAAAAAGCAATCTAATGTGTATTTCATTCTATTGCGTTAAAAAATTACATTAAAATAAACAGGAAGCATTATACTATCCAGTGCTGTTGTACAGTGTGAAATGCTTCAGTATCTCTAAATACTGTATTTCTCTTTCTGCGGGAAGGTTGGAATTGTATGAAACAGGGTGAAGTTGATTAGGTGGAATTTTGTTTTGTTGTTGTTGCTGGTTAGCTTATATGGCTCTTTGAAGGACAGGAGTCCCTTGGTGTCTGTGGGGAATTGGTTCTAGGGCCCCCTGCAGATACTGAAATCCAAGGATGCTCATGTTTCTTATATAAAATGGTGTAGTATTTGCATGTAACCTAAGCAGAGCCTCCTGTTATCTCTAGATTACTTATAATTCCTAATACAGTGTAAGTGCCGTGTAAATGGCTGTTACACTGTATTGTTTAGGGAATGATGACAAAAAAAGAAAAAAAAAAGCCTGTACGTGTTTGGTACAGAGGTAGCCATCCATTATTTTTTCTGCATATTTGGTTTTGTTTTGTTTTAGACAGGGTCTCACTCTGTCACCCAGGCTGGAGTACAGTGGGGCCATGTCAGTTCACTGCAACCTCTGCCTCCCAGGTTCAAGTGATTCTCATGCCCCAACCTCCCAAGTAGCTATAAGTATAGGCATGTGCCACCACACCTGGCTCATTTTTGTATTTTTGGTAGAGATGGGGTTTTGCCATGGTGGCCAAGCTGGTCTTGAACTGACGTCAAGTGATCCACCCACCTCAGCCTGCCAAAGTGCTGGGATTACAGGTTTGAGCCTCCATGCCCAGCCTGAATATTTTCTTTCTTTCTGTTTTGTGAGACACGTTCTGTTGCCCAGCTAGAGTGCAGTGGCATGATTCGGACTCACTGCAGCCTCAGCCTCCTGGGCTCAAGTGATCCTCCCACCTCAGCCCTCTGGTAGCTGGGACTACAAGCATGAGCCATCACGCCCTGCCAATTGTTTTTGAATTTTAGTAGAGACAAGGTCTCATTATATTGCCTAAGCTGTCTTGAACTCCTGAGTTCAAGCAACCCTCCTGCCTTGGCCTCCCAAAGTCGTAGGGTTACCAGCTTGAGCAACCACTCCCGACCTCTGAATATTTTGTATCCTCGGTTGGTTGAATCTCTGGGTATGGAACCCATGGATATGAAGGAGCAACTGTAGGTGAGATTCTTTTCAAAAGTGGGCTTAGGCTAGGCGCGGTGGCTCACGCCTGTAATCCCAGCACTTTGGGAGGCCAAGGGGGGCGGATCACAAGGTCAGGAGATTGAGACCATCCTGGCTAACACGGTGAAACCCCGTCTCTACTAAAACTATAAAAACAAAATTAGCTGGGTGTGGTGGCGGGCTCCTGTAGTCCCAGCTACTCGGGAGGCTTAGACGAGGAGAATGGCGTGAACCTGGGAGGCGGAGCTTGCAGTGAGCCGAGATCGCACCCTGGCACTCCAGCCTGGGTGACAGAGCAAGACTCCCTCTCAAAAGAAAAAAAAGAGTGGGCTTAAAATCTTTATATACTTTAGTAATAGCGTGTCTCTGTTTCTTCAAGAAAAGCAGCATGAAAAAAAAAAAACCAACTTTTTTTTGAGACGATGTCTTGCTGTGTTTCCCAGGATGGTCTCAAGCTCTTGGGCTCAAGTGATCCTCCTGCCTCAGCCTCCTGACTATCTAGGATTACAGGTCTGGGCCACAGCACCTGGCTTATTTTAGTTCTAAATGTCATAGTCCAAGAACTATTACCATTAAAAAATGGCGGGCTGGGTGCAGTGGCTCACACCTGTAACCCTAGCACTTTGGTAGGCTGAGGTGGGTGGATCACCTGAGGTTGGAAGTTCGAGACCAGCCTGACCAACATGGAGAAACCCCGTCTCTACTGTGGCTCATGCCTGTAATCCCAGCACTTTGGGAGGCCGAGGCAGGTAGATCACGAGGTCAGGAGTTCAAGACCAGCCTGGCCAACATAGTGAAACCCCGTCTCTACTGAAAATACAAAAATTAGCTGGGCCTGGTGGCATGTGTCTGTAATCCCAGCTACTTGGGAGGCTGAGGCAGGAGAATCGCTTGAACTCCTGAGGCAGAGGTTTCAGTGAGCCGAGATCGCGCCACTGCACTCCAGCCTAGGCGACAGAGCAAGACTCCGTCTCAAAAAAAAGAAAAAAGAAAAAAGAAAAAAAACTTAGCCCGGCGTGGTGTCACATGCCTGTAATCCCAGCTACTGGAGAGGCTGAGTCAGGTGAATCTCTTGAACCTGGGAGGCAGAGGTTGCGGTGAGCCGAGATCGCGCCATTGCACTCCAGCCTGGGCAACAAGAGCGAAACTCCGTCTCAAAAAACAACAACAACAACAAGAAAAAGGGAGCGAGACCCTCTCTCTAAACCAAAAATGAACCGAAAAACCCCACATAGCCCTCCAAATGGATTAATTTCTCATGTCAGTTTGGAGTTGACACTTTGCAGAAGTTTGTATTCAAGGCCAAACTCTTTGGTAGATTTATTCTGGTTTTTCTCTTATATATTTGTTCTGGGCATTATTTTTGGTATTTTAATAAAATTACATACAAAATTTTATTTATAAAAATGGTTTATCTTAATGCATTCTTTTAATAATTACTTTGTTTCTGACAACTTCGTAACTATTACCATGAAGTCACAATATAGACTAATGAAAAAAGTAATAAAAGTTTTGTACTTAAGGAGGACAAGAGTTCCTTGGGGAAATACTGAGTGAATGCTTACAGGGAAGATAATTCTTTAGTTACAGATTAATTCCTTGAAAGTTAAATTCAACTTTAAAACATGGTCATTTATATTTTATTTATTTATTTATTTATTTATTTTTTGAGATGGAGTCTCGCTCTGTCACCCAGGCTGGATTGCAAGTGGCCTGATCTTGGCTCACTGCAACCTTCACCTTCTGTGTTCAAGCGATTATCCTACCTCAGCCTCCTGAGTAGCTGGGATTACAGGCACGTGCCACCATGCCTGGCTAATTTTTATATTTTTTCATTAGAGACAAGGTTTCACCACGTTGGCCAGGCTGGTCTCTAACTCCTAACCTCATGATCCACCCGCCTCGGCCTCCCAAAGTACTGGGATTACAGGTATGAGCCACCGCACCCGGCTAAAACATGGTCATTTTTAAAGAAATAAGCTTATTTATGAAATCAGATTAACTGAATAGAGCTTAGTTGATAATGAAGACTGGAAAACAATGAACATTTTCTTCATTTAAAAAAAACTTTCCCTTTTTGAAATAACATGATTTCTTAACTAAAAGGCATAAGGAATTTACTTTCAACTTGAGTATTATGGGTTTAGATAGTACTAGTAGTAATGTATAACATCTGACCTTTTTGTAATCATTTGATGAAGATGTAAATCCATGTTGTTATTTGTGGCTTTCTTTACAAATATAAAATTTGGGTCTAAAATATAAGGTTTGACTTGTATATAGAAGATGAATCTCATTAGAGGATTAGGTTTTTGTTTCTTCACAAACATTAGTGAACAATGGAATTTATGGATAAATTATGGATAAATTATGTTGGCCTTTATTATGTTGTAAAAGACTGCTAATAAAAGTGAAATAGAATGGACATAGTAAATGATTGTAAATTCATGAATGTTAAATATGATTGGCTTGGGCTGCTGAGTGTGGTGGCTCTCGCCCATAATCCCGGCACTTTGGGAGGCAAGGCAGGCAGATCACTTGAGGCCAGGAGTTTGAGACCAGTCTGGCCAACATGGTGAAACCCTGTCTCTACTAAAAATAGAAAAATTAGCCAGGCATGGTGGCGCGCACCTATCTGAGCTACTTGGGAGGCTGAGGCACGAAAGTTACTTGAACTTGGGAGGCAAAGGTTGCGGTGAGTGGACATCGCGCCACCGCACTCTAGCCTGGGTGATGGAGTGAGCTTCTGTCTGAAACAAACAGACAACCCCTCAAAAACCAAATAAATATGATTGGCTTAGCAGGTGCTGTGATCTGAGTGTTTGTTCCCTTATACCACCAAATTCATATGTTGAAACCTAATTCCCAATGTGATTGTATGAAGAAGTGGGGCCTTCAGGAATGATTACTTCATGAGGGCTCTGCCCTCATGAATGGGATTAGTGCCCTTCTAAAAGAGGCCTGAGAGAACTTGCTTTGCCCCACCATGTCAGGACACAGAAGGTACCATTTATGAGGAAAAGGCTCTCACCAGACACTGAATCTGCTGGTACTTTGATCTTGGACTTCTCAGGTTCCAGAGCTGTGAGCAGTAAATTTCCCTGGTTTATAAATTATCTAATCTGAGATATTTTGTTGTAGCAGCCTGAACAGATTAAGCATGTTTTGGGGGAATAATAGTGCACGAGAATCATCACTGATTACTTTAGGGAAGCTGAAAACTTGTAACCTTGTCTGTAAGGTGCCCCCCCAACACTTCCTTCTTTCTCCCTCCCTTCCTCCTTCCTTCTCCCAAAAACAAAGGAACCAACACAGAGTTGATAAATTACAAGAATTTTATGAAATTATACCTATTCAGGCACAGTGGCTCACGTGTATAATCTCAGCATTTTGGGAGGCTGAGGTGGGAGGATTGCTTGAGCCCAGGTGTTTGAGACTAGCCTGGGCAACGTAGGGAGACTCCATCTCCACCAAAAAACCCTGAAAAAAACAAAAAATTAGCTGGGCATGGTGGCATGGACCTATGGTCCCAGCTACTAAGGAGGGTGAGAGTGGGAAGTCAAGCCTACAGTGCACTACTGTACTCCAGCCTTGGCGACAGAGTGAGACCCTGTCTCAAATTTTTTTTTTTTTGAGACAGAGTCTTGCTCTGTCACCCAGGCTGGAGTGCAGTGGCGCTTTTTTTTTTTTTTTTTTGAGACAGAGTCTCGCTCTGTCACCCAGGCCGAAGTGCAGTGGCGCAATCTTGGTTCACTGCAACCTCCACCTCCCGGGTTCAAGCAATTCTCCTGCCTCAGCCTCCTGAGTAGTTGGGACTACAGGTGCACGCCGCTACGCCCAGCTAATTTTTTGTATTTTAGTAGAGACGGGGTTTCATCGTGTTGCCTAGGCTGGTTGCGAACTCCTGAGCTCAGGCAATCTGCCCGCCTCAGCCTCCCAAAGTGCTGGGATTACAGGTGTGAGCCACCGCGCCTGGCCTCAAAAAATTTTTTTTTAATTTAAAAAATTTAATATTTTTTAAAAAATAGAGATGGGGTCTCACTGTGTTGCCCAGGCTGATCTTGAACTCTTGGTCTCATGTGATCTTCCCTCCTTGGTCTCCCAAATGCTAGGATTATAGACCTGAGCCACTGTGCCTGGCCAAAAATTCTTTTTAAAGAGTAAAATGCTGGATTAGATGCAACATTTATTATTAATCTTATTTTGTTTAATGAGTTAAAGACAATCAGTTATTACAATTTGGTTAGATTTGTAAAGGAAATTGGACTATTAGCTGCCTTTTGACTAAGGTGTTTTTTGTTTTTTTTTTTCCTCTCCTGAGGGAAAGAAGGATACTTGGAAACATTTTTTAATATAGTTGAACTAATGAGTACCACATTTTTGATAGCTTCAGAAGTTTGTGAACCAGGAGAATGATAAATTGTGTATTTGATTCGAGAAACTGCTGGAAGCAAATGAATAAACTAGAACATTTGTCATCAACATATGTTAAATAGTCATTTTGTTATATTATGGAAACGAAAAAAACTAATGAATACTTAAGGACATTCTCTCCATGATATGTTTAAGACTCTCCTGCAGCGTTTAAGTATACAACAGATTTCCTGTGACAATAAACTAAGTGATGTCTTTCTAAATTTATGTTCTGTTCTTGTGGGCAGTTTTCAAAGACACATTCCTCCTCAGAAATTAATTTAAATTGTTAATTTTATAGTGGCATATTTTACATGTTTCAGAATGGGAGCATTCATTCTTAGTAGAGGAAAACCCATCCAACTTGCGTATTTCTCCATTTGTCCTCTAAAGTTTATAAATTGTTACTGGTTGATTCATGGACAAAGAGCTTTGTTGTACAACATACAGATTTCATTCTATATTTTTCTTCACATTTTTATGCTTGTTAATACGAACTTTCTGTTAGAAAAGAGCAGAATTTTCTCAGACTACGATTTTTTTTAATGTGATGTATTCAAGCTCAGGGATGCTGGGGGAACAGAAGTAGTGGCAGATGGGGCAACCTGATGCTTTGCAAAGATGGGGTGGTTCATTTTGATTACAGACACTGGCAGTCTGTGAAGTAAAGATATGGAGCCACCATCCATTCTACAGTCTGTACTAACCATGTGTATTGTGGTAAAGCCAAGAACAACTTTGTATGGACATAGTAGAAGGGAAGAGTGGATCCACTTTTAGTTTCCAGGCACATACCCACATATAGTAATACTGTTAACACTATATCTTTGTGTTAACATTGAGCATTGAGGCCAAATGGCATATATATATATACATGTATCTTTCTCTCTCCACACTGTTTTCTACTTTGAATTACAGATGGTCTGCTTGGGAATAGAAATGAGGACATAATAGCAGGGTGCCAGATTTATACCTTCTGAATGACAGGATAAGTGGATATTGATTTTTCTTCATTATTTAAACAGCTACCCTTAGATAGGCTATACAGGATAGGTTCTTCTATAATTTTTAAAAAGTTGAATTGTAGAAACTACTAAGCAATAGTGAACAAGAGGCTAGGAAAAGCACAATTGTGGGAATGTAAATTGGTAGAGCCACTTGGAAGGAAGTCTGGCAATGACCAAAAAACTGGGAATGACCCTAGTGCTCACTGGAGAAGCACTCTCTGTATGTATCTAAGGAGGCATGTATATGGTTTTTCATGACGGGTAACAGCCTAAATATGAACAGTAAGTGAATACCTGTATATTACTAATGTTATATAATGAAAAACTATACAGCACATAAGGAATGAACTAAATCTATATGTAGTAAGTTGCATTATAATATGTATTATATGCTAACCGCTGTAAGTTTCTGTGGGGGTACATCTTATAAAAGCATGGAAAAAGATCTGAAAGGAGACAAACCAAACTGATTATCTCTTGGGGAAGACTGAATGGGCACGGGAGGGATTAGGACTGAGGGGAGGAAGTAAGTAGGATTTTATGGTAGTGGTATGTTTAGCTTTATATATACCGGGTTTTTGTTGTTGTTGTTTGTTTGTTCTGAGGCAGAGTGTTGCTCTGTTGCCCAGGCTGGAGTGCAGTGGCATGTTCTCAGCTCACTTCAATCTCCGCCTCTCAGGTTCAAGCAATTTTCCTGCCTCAGTCTCCCCTGTAGCTGGAATTACAGGCATGTGCCACCACACCTGGCTAATTTTTGTATTTTTAGTAGAGATGGGGTTTCGCCATGTTGGCCAGGCTGGTCTCGAACTCCTGACTTCAAGCGATCTGCCTGCCTTGGCCTCCCAAAGTGCTGGGATTATAGGTGTGAGCCACCGCGCCCGGCCTACTTTATGTATACTGTTTGAATTTAGAAGAAGAATGCATTCACTTACTGCTTGTGTAATGAAAAACTAATTTAAAAAATTAATCCCAGCACAACAACCACATTTTTTTCACATTATCATCTACTTCTGCATGTATTTTGTATAGTTTTAGTTTTTGTTTGTTTGTTTTTTTGCGATGGAGTCTTACTCTGTTGCCCAGGCTGGAGTGCAGTGGTGCAATCTCAGCTCACTGCAACCTCTGCCTCCCTGCAACCTCCACCTCCAGGCTCAAGCAATTCTCCTGCCTCAGCCTCCCAAGTAACTGGGACTACAGGCATGTGCCACCACGCCTGGCTAACTTTTGTATTTTTAGTAGATACGGGGTTTCTCCATGTTTGCCAGGCTGGTCTCGAACTCCTGACTTCAGGTGATCCACCCACCTTGGCCTCCCAAAGTGCTGGGATTACAGGCATGAGCCACTGCGCCTGTAATACAAAATACAAATACAAAAATTTTTTGTATTTGTAAAAATACAAAAAATAATTTTTGTATTTTTAGTAGAGACGGGGTTTTGCCATGGTGGCCAGGCTGGTGTCAAACTCCTGACCTCAAGTCAGAAGGCCACCTCGCATCCCAAAGTGCTGGGATTACAGGTGTGAGCCACTGTGCCTGGCCAGGTTTAAGGATCTTTGTCTTACAGGGCCGGGCGCGGTGGCTCACGCTTGTAATCCCAGCACTTTAGGAGGCTGAGGCAGGTGGATCACGAGGTCAGGAGATCAAGACCATCCTGGCTAACATGGTGAAACCCCGTTTCTACTAAAAATACAAAAAAATTAGCCAGGTGTGGTGGTGGGCGCCTGTAGTCCCAGCTACTCGGGGGGCTGAGGCAGGAGAATGGTGTGAACCTGGGAGGTGGAGCTTGCTGTGAGCCGAGACTGCGCCACTGTACTCCAGCCTGGGCAACAAAGCAAGACTCCATCTCAAAAAAAAAAAAAAAATCTTTGTCTTACAAACATTGTCATGTTTCTATGAACTCTTTATTTATCTATTATTTTCAGAGACAAGGTCTCATTCTTTATGGAATGCTGGAGTATAGTGGTTCAATCATAGGTCACTGCAGTCTCCAATCCTGGGCTTAAGTGATCCTCCCACCTGAGTAGCTCCCAGCTCCTGAGTAGCTGGTACAGGTGCACACCACCATGCTAATATTTTTGCTTTTTGTAGAGACAGGGTCTCCCTGTGTGGCTCAAGCTGGTCTCAAACTCCTGGGCTCAAGTGATCCTCTCATCTCAGCCTCCCAAAGTTCTGGAATTACAGGTTTGAGCCACTGTGTCCTGCTTGAAAAAACATTTTTTCTGAGTTCTTACTGTGTGTCAGAAGTTGTTCTAGATGCTGAGGTTTAGTAATAAGCATAGGCCTTGGACAAGAGAATAGATAGCACATTTATTTGATCATTTAAAAAATTCTGTCTTTATCCAAAAATATCAATAATATTTAAGGTTCTTTGCTGGGTGTTGGGGATACATATAAATAAGGCAGTTTCTTTGTTCTTAAAGAGCAGAGGGGAGATATACAATTCAATAAACATACAATATAAGCTGTGTTATTTTAAAGTTAAAGCATTGAGAATTTGATATTGAATAAGTGATTATAAGGAAAGTTATTTTGTAGGAGGGACACCTAACATTTTAGGTGGTGGGGCATGGAAGCAATTAGAATAGGCTTCCAAAAAATAAAGGAGGGACATTAAGCCAAGCCTTGAAGGATGTTGGATTGTTCAGAGTATGATTGGAGCTCATAGGCAGAGGACACTGCAAGGACAGTAGCAGTGAACATAATGTGGTTAGGGAATGAGAAGTAGTTTGCAGCAGCTGGAACCTCTCGTGTGTCTCTACCTTCTGGTTCTAAGGTTTGCATTTTAAATTTTTATCAATTTATTGTGTGTTATAACATTTTAAATCTTTTTGGCCTAAGCCAGAGATTCTCAATCTTGGCAAGTGACATCCCTGTTGGCCCTGTAATCATAGACTAAGCTATATTTTCTTAGTTGTCAGTGGTGCCCCATGATGTAATATCAAAACCTTGCGAAGCACCGTCATCCTCAATATCCTGGTCTCATCTAGTTTCTCAAAATTAGATCTATGATAAACTCCTTCTGTAAGAATAATGTTCATTTTTTAATCTCATTTTTAGATGTTAAAAACTTACTTGACCTTCTGTTTTCCTAGTGGTCTTTTATATTCTTGAAGCACAGAGGACTATTACCTTTATTTTTATTTTTATTATGTTTTTTTGAGACAGAGTCTCCCTCTGTTACCCAGGCTGTAGTGCAGTGGCATGATCTCGGCTCACTGCAGCCTCTACCTACTGGGTTCAATGATTCTCCCACCTCAGCCTAGCAGGTAGCTGGGACTACAGGTACCCGCCACCACACCTGGCTAATTTTTGTATTTTTGGTAGAGATGGGGTTTTACCATGTTGGCCAGGCTGGCCTCGAACTCCTGACCTCAAGTGATCCACCTGCCTCAGCCTCCCAAAGTGCTGGGATTACAGGTGTGAGGTACCATGCCCAGCCTGGATTGTGTTCAAAAGTTCATCTGGAATTTAAAACTTATTTTTCCGTAGAAACAATGTTATAAGTGATGATTAGGTTCATAGGGTGGTGGCTTACAGAAAATTAAGTCATAGTATAGCTGAAATACTCTATATTTGCAATAAAAAAGTAGTAGAAACAATACTATGGGAATGCTAGATGAAGCAGACAATTAAATGGAAAAAGTCATTTAAAAATGTATCTAGGGCTGGGTGTGGTGGCTCACACCTGTAATCTCAGCACTTTAGGAGGTGGAGGCGGGTGGATCACCTGAGGTCAGGAGTTCGAGACCAGCCTGACCAACATGGTGAAAACCCCATCTCTACTAAAAATACAAAATTAGCTGGGTGTGGTGGCACATGCCTGTAATCCCAGTTACTTGGGATGCTGAGGCAGGAGAACTGCTTGAACCTGGGAGGTGGAAGTTGCAGTGAGTTGAGATTGCGCCATTGCACTCCAGCCTGGGCAACAAGAGTGAAACTCCGTCTCAAAAAAAAAAAAGTATCTAAATGCCAATGCTTGAGAATATGAATACTCTTCACTGCTGAGTCATCCAGTCCTTTCCAGAGATTAATTCAGCTTCAGCCTGAGAATGTTTAATGATATTAACTACTATTAATCACTTGGAAAGATAAAGGTACCCTTAGGACATTTTTGTCCTTTTGTATAAGGAATTGGGAGTTGTCAGCAAGAGATGTATGACTATGAATGTACTGATATATCTACATATATATATTTTTATTTTTATTTTTTAAGAGACAGGGTCTTGCTCTGTTGCTTGCTTGGTCTACATATCATATATATATTTATTTTTATTTTTAAGAGACAGGGTCTTGCTCTGTTGCCCAGGCTGGAGTGCAGGGGTTCAATCATAGCTCACTGCAGCCTCCAACTCCTGGGCTCAAGCAGTCCTCCTGCCTTGGCTTCCCGTGTAGCTGGAACCATAGGCGTGTATCACCATGCCTGCCTAATTATTATTTATTTTTTGTAGAGATGGGGTCTCCCTCTGTTGCCCAGGCTGGTCTTGAACTCCTGGTCTCAAGCTGTCCTCCCACCTGGACCACTCAGAGTTCTGGGATTAGAGGTGTGAGCCAGTGCCTGGCCTCTTCATTTGTTGTTCTTTCTGTTCCTCAGACTGGATAATCAAAATTGACTGTCTTCAAATTTTGCAATTGTTTTGTTTTTTTGAGATAAGGTCTTACTCTGTTGTCCCAGCTGGAGTGCAGTGATGCAATCATAGTTCACTGCAACCTCATACTTCTCAACTCCAGAATTGCTAATTGGTTTCTTTTTATAATATCCATCTCATCTCACTATTGATATTCTCCATTTGGTGAGACAGTGTTCTCATACTTGAAGTCATTAGGCATGTTTTTTTTTCTTCTTTGAACTTGTTTATAAATAGTTCATTAAAGTGTTTACCTAGTAAATCAAATGTCTGGACTTGCCTACAGACAGTTTCTATTTAATGCCCTTTTTCCTGTGTATGGGCTTCATTTTCTTACTTAAATGCTTTGCAATTTTTTGTTGAAAATGAGACATTTTAAGTACTGTAGTGTGGCAGCTCTGGAAATTGGATTCCCTACCTTAAGGTTTGTTACTGCTATTTGTTGTTGTTCCTGCTATTATTTATTTGCTTAGTGACTTTCTTGGTCTGATTTTATAAAGTGTGTATTCTTTTTTGTGTGTGCTTATTTAGCTTAGTGGTCAGCTAAGATTGGACAGAGACTTTTAAAAATGCCTTGAACCTATAAGTTCAGCCTTGGCGGAGGGGTTCTATACTACTCGGGTGTGTGTTCAAATGTTGTACAGTCAGTTTGCAACTCTGCTTTAGCCTTCACTTCCTGCTTGTGTGGAGGTTTAAGGTCAGCCAAAGTGAGAGATATGGGAATTTTGGGGCACATGCACAGCTCTCCATATGCAGGTGGCCTTTTGGATTTCCAGGAATATGTCAGAGCCTTTCAAAGCCCTTGTGGGCTTGCTGTTTTCCAGGTTTTCCTTTCATGTTTTTTGGTTAACCTCTTGTTAGCCCCATCTGCCACTGCTTTCTCAGGCAGCTGTGAAGTTATATAGTTGCCACTGATTGTTTTTGAAGAATGCCAGGGGAAAAAGTTTTATTTGTAGAGTGAACTCAAAGCCAGATCAAATAAAGACAAAGCTTGAGAATGGAACTTTTTAATGAGCTACCAGATAGGTCAAATATTGACACTTCTTTTGAGAAGCTCTAAACCCATTCTGCCTCCTTCAGTGGCTGTTTGACTGTTGGTTTTTACAGCTTAGGGAGATTTTTGGTTTTCAAAGCTATTGCATAGCTGGGGAGAAGGTGATGGGAATAGAACATGTTAAAACACCACAAATACTGCTTTTTTTTTTTTTTTTTTTTTTTTACAGAGGTTCAGCCATTCTTTTTTTTTTTTCTTTCTCTCTCTTTTTTTTTTTTTTTTGAGAGAGTGAGCTGTCACTCAGCCTGGAGTGCAGTGGCATGATCATGGCTGACTGCAGCCTTGACCTCCCAGGCGCTAGTGATCCTCCCACCTTAGTCTCCTGAGTAGTTGAGACTACAGGCGTGTGCCACCAATTTTTGTAGTTTTTGTAGAGACAGTGTTTGCCATGTTGCCCAGGCTGGTCTTAAACTCTTAGGCTCAAACAATTCATCTGCTTCAGTCACCCAAAGTGCTGGGATTGCCACCGCACTCAGCTCAGTCATTTTTCTGGAATAAAGCTCTTTGGATTATTGCAAGCATTTGGTTGATTTCTAGAGTTCTGAAAAAGTTGGATTTTGACAGTTTTTGATAGTGTTCTTGCTGCTTTTTTAGAAGAATGGATTTTCAGAGGTCTTTACCATTCCGGCAATCGGTCTCCTTACAGGTTTTTTTGGAGGGAAAATTTTTATATCCTAAAATACAAAAGTCATGTGTCCTTGCATTTTGACAAGATACAGAACATTTCTATCACCTATGAAAGTTGACTTGTTCCTCTTACCAGTAAATTTACCACATCCTCAGAGGCAATAACTGTTCTGACCTGTCATCATTGATGAGTTGTTCCTGTTCTAGAACTTGGGGAATCACAGAGTATCTGCTCTTTTTTTTAATCAGCCTTCTTTTACTTAGTATAATATCTGTGAGCATCATCCATGTTGTTGCATATATCAGCACTTTCGTTTTCTCCTTTTTATGCTGAAAAGTATTCTATAATAAGAATGTATCATAGTTTTATGTTTTTGTTTTTGAGGCAGAGCCTCATTATGTTGCCCAGGCTGGGGTGCGGTGGCGCTATCTCGGCTCACTGCAACTTCCACCTCCTGGGTTCAAGTGATTCTCCTGCCTCAGTCTCCTGAGTAGCTGGGACTACAGGCACCGCCACTATGCCCAGCTAACTTTTGTATTTTTAGTAGAGAGGGAGCAAACTCTGTTGGCCAGGTTGGTTTCGAACTCCTGACCTTAAGCGATCTGCCTGCCTCAGCCTCCCAAAGTGCTGGGATTACAGGCGTGAGCCACACACCTGGCCTTATATCATACTTTTTTGGATTCATTTGTTCATGGACATTTGGCACAAAGTCACCAGTAGCAAAAAAAATTGCTAGTTGTAGGCCCCCTCTTGCCTGAGATGTCCCATCTGGGTTTTATCATCTACCTGAAGTGGCTCTGCAGTAGCTTTTTTTAGCAGGGACCCTACCAAAGTGACTTTTGATAGGTTAATTTACTTCAGATCAGCTGCACCAAGCAGATTTACAAATATGTTGGTTGTGTTTTCTTTGCTGCATTATACAATTTCTTCTTGTCCTAGGTTTGTAAATTCTTAGCCCACTTTGGCAGTGAAAGGCATATTTCCCAATGTTTATTTATCTCTGTGGTTATCCTCTGATTCAGATGTTGTTAAATTTTCCTCTTTGCCTTTGGAACCAAACTGTTAAAACGGAAACTCCTATCCTATAACAGAAATCAGAATGCATGGTCCTGCCTTGGCTGTCTTAAAGAAATAGAGATGAAGAATAGACTTGGTCTTTGCTCTCAAGAGACTTAAAATATACTTGGAGAGATAAGACAAATATTACCTTTGAAAAAAAGTTATAATATAAAGCAGTATATAATAGGGGAATAGAACACCAGTATTGTGGTTTATTGTGAAATATTTTATACCATGTAATGAGTAATAATAAAGTATTGAACTTCAAGAAAAAAGCTTACCTTTACAAAAATGGATTTAATTTCATGCATTTCACACATGCATGTGATTTCTTGACTGGAAGTAAAGAGTATAGTTGCAGCTAGAATTTACGGAATGCTCATGGTAATGACAACATCCATTCTGTGTCACTGCAGAAAAGGTTAATAACTACTGGTGTAGACACGGTAACCTCTAAAAGTTTAGAGCATGACAATGAGCGTTGTGCTGCTCTCTTATGTTTGTTTTGTGCAATTGTTAATTACATAATTTTATTTTCCTTTCATGGACAGTGAGTTCTGATCTCTTCATATGACTTTGTAAAAGCGATTTACATAGATTATCTAAATTATTTTTTATTTGTTTTTAGACAGAGTCTCACTCTGTCTCCCAGGCTGGGGTGCAGTGGTGCAATCTCTGCTCACCACAACCTCTGCCTCCCAGGTTCGAACGATTCTCCTGCCTCAGCCTCCTGAGTGGCTGGGATTACAGGTGTGCACCACCATCCCTGGCTAATTTTTGTATTTTTAGTAGAGATGGTGTTTCTCCGTGTTGGCCAAGCTGGTCTCGAACTCCTGGCCTTAAGTGATCCACCTGCTTCGGCCTCCCAAAGTGCTGGGATTACAGGTGTGAGCCACCGCACTGGCCTCTATCTAAATTAAAATGGAGGAGTTGGTCTATTTACCATTGGTACTATAGAAATGATAGTAGTCAGCTTGGGCTACCATCACAAAATACCAAAGACTGGATGATTAAACGACAGAAATGTTATTTCCCATTGGAAATAACGTTGGGTTCCAGCAAGGTTTTGTTTTTGGTGAGGGCTCTCTTCCTGGCCTGCAGAAGAGAGCCTTTCCTGCTCGTTGCATCCATACATGCTCTTTCCTCTGTGCCTATGTTGCGCTTGAGCCCTTTGGTGTCTCTTCTTCTATGAACACTAATCCTGTAAGTTCAGCGTCCTATCCTTATAAGCTTATTTAACAATAATTGCTTCCTTACTCCAAAACCAGCCACACTGTGTGTTAGGGCTTCAACATATGAATTTGAGGGGAGGACACATACATTCATTTCATAACAGAAATGTAAATACAATGTAATATATTCAAATTCTCCCCTAGACTAATCTTCATCAGTAGCACTGAGTATATCTTAGAAACAGGCAGACACTTTGAAATCATCAAAGATCATTTTTTTCTTTCTAGTCCTTTGACAGCTAATTATTCAGTGAACCCTGTTCAGTTGAGTTTATCTCTTGAATCTGCCTTCTTACCTCCCTTTTTACTTTATGCCTTAGGCCTGTAATCCCAGCACTTTGGAGACAGAGGTGGCAGGATCGCTTGAGGCTGTGCCTTCGAGTTCTTTTGTTGAGTTCATCTCTTGTCTGAACAAATGCAGTAACCGCTCAACTGGTCTTTATACCTCCATTCTGACCTTTTCCCAGTCTTGTTTATTGCATCGACACCAATGTGCATGTAAACCTGATTGTTACTTCTTTGTTTAAAGCCAGGAAAGGATTTTTAACATGGCTTAGAATGGCCTTCCATAAACTTGTACCTGATACCTTTATCAGTTAGGTTTAAGTTTGGATGTATATTAAACAAAATAATAGTTTAAATAAGATATAAGGGTTTATTTTTCTCACACGTAAATCTGGAGGTAGGATATCCAAGGGTCATATGGCAGTTCCATGGTCATCTAGGCTTTTAAAAATCTTTTTGACCTCGCCATCCTTACTGTATGGCTTATAACTTTGACGTTCACTCAAAAATAGGTGTGTAAAATGGCTGCTGGAGATGCAGCCATTGTATATCTAAGTGCCAGGTGGGAAGAAGAGATAAGGGCAAAAGGATATTTGCCAGCTGTTACCTTTTAAGAAGCCTTCATGGAGGTCCCCCCAGTCATTTCTACTGCATTTCATTGGCCATTTCTAGTTGCAAGGGAAACTGAAAAATATAGTCATTTAGCTAAGGACATTATCATCTTGAATAAAGTCAGGGTTCTGTTTTGTCTGCCCATTATCATTCTAACCTCATTTCTGACAACTCTGCTTCTTATACCCTGTACTCCATTTATATCATACTACTTGCAATTCTTTGATTATCCATGCCACTTTATTCTTTTATATGTGTTTTCCCTGCATAGAATAGCCCTTTGCGTTTTTTTTTGCCAGGTGAACCCCTACTCTTTAGGAATTACCACTTCCTAATTATTCCCTATTTTGGAACTCCATTGAATACCTCCAGTTTAATATTTCATATTTGGTATTATAGTTATTTTTGTTGTGTCCTGTCTTTTCTACTAAATTTTGAAGTATTAGAATATGGAGACTATGTATTACTCATCTTGACTGAGATAAGTAGACATTTAATAAATGCCTGACAGCTGGGCTTGGTGGCTCACGCCTGTAATCCCAGCACTTTGCGAGGCCGAGGGAGGTGGATCACCTGAGGTCAGGAGTTCAAGACCAGCCTGGCCAGCATGGCGAAACCCCGCCTCTACTAAAAATACAAGAATTAGCCAGGCACGGTGGTGCGTGCCTGTACTCCCAGCTACTTGGGAGGCTGGGCAGGAGAATTGCTTGAACCCGGGAGACAGAGGTTGCAGTGAGCTGAGATCATGCATTCCAGCCTGGGGGACGGAGTGAGACTCCATCTCGAAAAAAAAAAAGAAGCCTGGCATAGTAGACATTTCATAAATGCTTGTTGAAAAAAATCAGCTAAAGGTACAAATTAAAAATAGCTAGGAAGGGCCTGACATAGTGGTGCATGCCTGTAGTCCCAGCTACTTGGGCAGCTGAGGTGGGAGGATCACTTGAGCCCGGGAGTTGCTAAAAGGTTGGTGTGAAAGTGATGGGGGTTTGGGTAGGTGGTAGATTGGTGCCTGATTGCCTTGTGCTGCAAGGGTCCAGAGAGTCTAACTACTCCTCATAGACTTTGAACCAATCTCTATTTTTTTTTCTCAGCCTCACCTTTTACCCCCCTGACTTTTGTGGTAATTGGTACCATCCATTTCTGAGCCTTTTGGGGCTATGGACAGGGTAAATTCGTTTGCTTCTTGTTTGAATTTCTCAGCTGCTAGGTTTTAACTTTCTTGGGTTGGCTTAGGTCAGTGACCACTCCAGATACTTAATGTGCACCAGAAAAATTTGACTGTCTCTTAGGTTCTCGTGTCTCTCTTGTCCTATTTTTGTCTTTGTGAGTTAAAAAAAAAAATTCAATAGCTTTTGGGGTACAGGTGGTTTTTCGTTACGTGGATGAAGTGTGCAGTGGTGAAATCTGAGATTTTTAATGCACCCATCACCCGAGTAGGGTACATTATACCTATTATGTAGTTTTTTATCCCTCTGTCCTTGTGAGTTTATATCTTCTTTTATTCTCACTGTAATTTTACTGAGAGAGGGATAGAGGGAGAGAGAGAAGATTTAAGAAAAGTCCCTTTGTCCTTTTCTGAAGCTACTTTTTCTTTCTAATACGAAGATAACTAATATCATTTTCTTATTTAAAAAATTTACCACACCTGGGCCGGGCACGGTGGCCCATGCTTGTAATCCCAGCAATTTGGGAGGCCTAGGCTGGCAGATCACTTGAGGTCAGGAGTTTGAGACCAGCCTGGCCAACGTGGTGAAACCTCATCTCTACTAAAAATATAAAACTTACCCAGGTGTTATGGTAGGTGCCTGTAATCCCAGCTACTGGGGAGGCTGAGGCAGGAGAATCACTTGAACCTGGGAGGTGGAGGTTGCAGTGAGCCAAGATCATGCCACTGCACTCCAGCCTGGGCTACAGAGCGAGACTCAGTCTCAAAAATTACCACATCTGTAATCCCAGTACTTTGAGAGGCCAAGGCGAGTGGATTGCTTGAGCTCAGGAGTTTGAGACCAGTCTGGGCAACATGGCAAAACCCCATCGCTATTTAAAAATTCAAAAAATTATCCACGTGTGGCAGTGGGAGCCTGTGGTCCCACCTACTTGGGAGGCTGAGGTGGGAGGATTGCTTGAGCCTGGGAGGCAGAGGTTGCAGTGGCTGAGATCATGCCACTGCATTCCAGCCTGGGTGACAGAGTGAGATCCCGTCTCAAAATAAAAAAAAAAACAAAAACCAACAACAACGAAAAAACCACAGAGCAGAACTTAGGCTTGATTCTATTATATTTTCTGTCTTGCTTAAATTTTTATTTTCAAAATTTTCAACATTTCACTGTATGGTGAACATTTTTATGTATTTATTTTCAGTAAATATGGATCTGTAGGAACATTTCAGTGTCTGTATGATATTCTAAATGTATACAATAATTTATTCAATCTGTCCTTTGTTGATGGACATTGTTTGCTTCTTATAAATGCTTTAAAAGCTTATTTATATGTACATTTCCCTACAGTTTAAGTGAATAAATTCATTAGTCATCAGATTGCTATATATATATATGTGTGTATATATATATGTGTATATATATGTATATATATAATATATATATATATATATAATATATATATATATATATATATATATATTTTTTTTTTTTTTTTTTTCTTTTGAGACAGAGTCTCACTCTGTCATTGTCCAGGCTGGAATGTAGTGGGGCTATCTCAGCTCACTGCAACCTTTGCCTCCTCAATCCTCCTGCCTCAGCCACCTGAGTAACTGGGATTACAGGCACCCACCGCCACGGCTGGCTAATTTTTGTATTTTTAGTAGAGATGGGATTTCACCATGTTGGCCAGGCTGGTCTCGAACTCCTGGCCTCAAGGGATCCACCTGCCTCAGTCTCCCAAAGTCCTGGCATTACAGGTGTGAACTATCGTGCCCAGCCACCAGATTATATTTTTAAAAAACATATTACCAAGTAGTTCTTCAAATAATCTGTAACCAACACTATAGGAGATTACCTATACTGTTATACAGGTAGTCTATTAGATTAATATATAATTAATATATTAGATTAATTATATTGTAATATATTCTAATACTATGTTATTCTAATATTTAGTCATATATTATTCTAATATTATTTGAATGTTTAATTTTCTTGTCTCCTCCACTAGACTGTGAACAACCTAATTTGTTACTAAAGCCATTAATGAAAATTAGGCATCTTGAAGAAATACATATTCCGCAGCCAAAGTTACCTCCTTCAATTGCAAATGTTAATATTATAAATCCAATTTTAAATAAAGTACCTAATAGTCATACTTTTCTCTAGCTACTTATTCAACTAGTGGTTCTTATTGTTTTATCATTACTCTATGTTGCTGAACCATGAACCCCCCCTTCCTACCACAAGCATTTATCAAAGTGATTAACTGTGTGCCAAGCACTCTTTAGTCTTTATCTTTTTTTTTTTTAAGACAGTCTCGCTCTGTCACCCAGGCTAGAGTGCAGTGGCACGATCATGGCCCACTGCAGCCTTGACTTCCCGGGCTCAAGTGATCCTCCCATCTCAGCCTCCTGAGTAGCTATAGGCACGTGCCACCAAGTGTGGCTAATTTTTCTGTTTTTGTAGAGACAGGGTCTCACTATGTTGCCTAGGGTGGTCTCTAACTCCTGGTCTCAAGCCATCCTCCTGCCTTGGCCTCCCAAAGTGCTAGGATTATAGGTATGAGCCACTGCACCTGGCCTAGTCTTTATCTTGCTGGTCCTTTCTGCCTTAACTTGATAAGTCCCCTTTTCCTGGCCTTTGGAGAGCATACTCTTCTACTTCTCCTTCTTTTCTCCTGACTATTCCATATCAATTTTCTTTCTCTTTCTTAGTTTTTCCCTCTGTTTCCTTCCTCTTGGAAACACTGGCTTCTTCTAGTTTTGGTGTGTCTCATTATGCTTCTTCCTCATGGTTTTAATTACTACCTCTATACTGATGACTCCTATCAACCTCTCTTAAGCTTTACATTTAAAATTCTAAAACCCCATTGCATTTTCCAAGGTTTCCCATATTCAGTATCCTTAAAAAAGTTTATCATCTTTTTTCCTGACTTACTCTTTTTTTTTTTTTGAGACGGGGTCTCGCTCTGTTGCCCAGGCTGGAGTGCAGTGGCGCTATCTTGGCTCACTGCGAGCTCCGCCTCCCGAGTTCACGCCATTCTCCTGCCTCAGCCTCCCAAGTAGCTGGGACTACAGGTGCCCGCCACCAGGCCTGGCTAATTTTTTGTATTTTTAGTAGAGACGGGGTTTCATTGTGCTAGCCAGGATGGTCTGGATCTCCTGACCTCGTGATCCGCCCGCCTCAGCCTCCCAAAGTGCTGGGATTACAGGCGTGAGCCACTGCGCCCAGCCTTTCCTGACTTATTCTTACATTCTCTGTCTACATAATAACATAATCCTTGAAGTTTCTCGGTACTGGCTGTGTGCGGTGGCTCAAGCCTGTAATCCCAGTCAAGGTGGGCAGATCACTTGAGGTCAGGAGATCAAGACCAGCCTGGCCAACATGGTGAAACTAAAAATACAAAAATTAGCCAGGTGTAGGCCGGGCGCGGTGGCTCACGCCTGTAATCCCAGCACTTTGGGAGGCTGAGGCGGGTGGATCACGAGGTTAGGAGATCGAGACCATCCTGGCTAACACAGTGAAACCCTGTCTCTACTAAAAATACAAAAAATTAGCTGGGCGTGGTGGCGGGCGCCTGTAGTCCCAGCTACTCGGGAGGCTGAGGCGGGAGAATGGCATGAACCTGGGAGGCGGAGCTTGCAGTGAGCAGAAATCGTGCCACTGCACTCCTGCCTGGGCGACAGAGCAAGATGCCGTCTCATAAAAAAAAAAAAAAAAAATGAGCCAGGTGTGGTGGTGCGCACCTGTATTCCCAGGTACTTGGGAGGATGAGGCAGGCAAATTGCTTGAACCTGGGAGACAGAGGTTGCAGTGACCTGAGATCATGCCACTGCACTCCAGCCTGGGTGACAGAGTGAGACTCTGTCTCAAAAAAAGAAAAAAAAAAGCTTCCCAGTACTGCTTCTACTCTCAGTCTAGCTTCAAGTTCTACTGACCCTCTGGATATTTCCCAAATTTAGCTCCTTTTCTTGTAGTAGCAGGCTATTGCTTCCAGATTTGTTCTGTTCTCTTTGTTATTGGTAGAGTGAGCTATCTGAATTATATCTCACTGTGTTTTTTTCTCGTCTGCCTGCAGTTTTTATCTGAGTTGTATCTGACTGTGTCCCTTCCTTATGACAGGACAGAGTCTCTGTGACTTGGTCTTGCTGCCTCTCTAGGTTTATCGTTTGCTACTCCGTGCTTTGCTGTAGTAAGATACTTTTATGATACATTTTTATACTTCATTGTACTTTGAAGCAAACTGTAATTTCTGACCAGCATATCCTTGTTCATTTTGCTTGGTTTAGCCTTTAAAATTTAATGTAATTATCTTCATCTGGAAGAATTCTCTGTTTTCTCTAGCATGGGTCAAAGGTACCATTTCTGTGCCTCTATTGTGATTGTGGTACTGATCATGTAATAGTAAAGGGTGTTTATTTCTTTGTTCTTGTAGATAGAGATTGTTCCATATAGTGAAAAAAAGTTTTCAATGCATAAAATAAAGTAATGGCTCAGTAATTTTTTTGTTTTTGATAATAAGTATCTAAAAATTTTAGTTTGTTAATATCATCTGTTTATGAACTATTTTCTTTTTAAATAATGACAAAATCCAAGCTAAACTTGAAGACTGTTCTCCATATGGATAGAGATGTGCTCAAGGAGTACAAATAATATAATTTTTATCACAAAGGAGATTAATGTATTGCTGCTGAAAACATTAATGCCAGAATCCAGTGGCATTTAGCTTACCTGCTAATTTGAAATATTTGTTACTTCTTTGCCCCTGCCTAAAATTTGTATGCCTATATTAAAGTTTTGTCTTTTGAAAATTGAATGTTAAGAATTTTGGCTTGGCGTGCTGGCTCATGCTTTTAATCTCAGCATTTCTGGAGGCCAAGGTGGGAGGACTGCCTGAGCCCAGGAGTTCAAGACCAGCCTGGGCAACATGGCGAGACCCATCTCTTAAAAAAAAAAAATTATACTTATTTTCTAAATTAGATTTGAAAATATTAGAATTATGACTAAATGTCATAGAGTTTTATTTAACCAAAAAAGAAGTGTAATGCTTGCCAATTTTTCTTTTTTTTTCTTTTTATTTATTTATTTTTTTGAGACAGAGTTTCGCTCTGTTGTCCATGCTGGAGTGCGGCGGCATGGTCTTGGCTCAGTGCAACCTCCATCTCCCAGGTTCAAGTGATTATCGTGTCTCAGCCTCCCAAGTAGCTGGGATTATAGGCATGCACCACCATGCCCAGCTAATTTTTGTTTTTTTTGTAGAGATGGGGTTTCGCCACATTGTCCAGGCTGATCTTGAACTCCTGGCCTTAAGTGATCCGCCTGCCTTGGCCTTCCAAAGTACTGGGATTATAGGCGTGAGCCACTGTGCCTAGCCTCAATTTTTCTTAGGAGCCAGGTTGAAAAAAATTATGAGACACCTCTTTTCTCTCCTGATTTCTTACCCATCTTCTGTTTCTGAATTGCAGTTACAGATGTAGAGCTAAAACGACTGAAGGATGCTTTCAAGAGGACCTGTGGACTCTCATATTACATGGGCCAGCACTGCTTCATCCGGGAAGTGCTTGGGGATGGAGTGCCTCCAAAGGTTGCTGAGGTAATCTTTTTGTTCTAAGTTTTCCTTTGAGGTAGTTATCCACCTCCACCAGCCTAAATTCCTGAGGGGCCTTCTGCTCTTAACAGATTTAATCTTACCTGTAGTTATTTTTCTTCCTGAGTGGGTAAACAATGTTTTGTTTTAGATGTCAACGTGGCTGTGTTCTTAGAGGTCAAGTGGGAGTACTACAGAGCTGTAATTCTGTTTCTTTTGTACTTTAGAGCTTTAATAGCCACTGATTATGATCATAGGAACATTTCCATGATTGGCTTCTTATTCTTAGAAAGTTAATCTCTGTGACATAAAAATTTTTATGTTGCAAATATGTTTTATAAATTTTATGTTAAAGAAAATTTTCTGTATAGTAAAACATAGTTAATTCTATAAAATTAAATGTTGTAAATGAAATACTAACTTATTGGGACTTAATTAAATTTTTATTTAAGTTCTACTAAAATGTTTAGGTAGAAATAAAATGTGCTAAGTTGATATATTCTGTTTCTAAAAATAATATGTTTAACCGGCGCCACTGTGCGTCCCTGTAGTCCCAGCTACTCAGGAGGCTGAAATAGGAGGCTTGCTTAAGCCCAAGAACTCGAGTCCAGTCTAGGCAACATAGTGAGACACTGTCTCTAAAAAAAATAAAATAAAAGTTTACTATTTTGTAGTTATGTACACAGATGTACATTTTGTCATTCTAAATGAGAAATAAGAATAAAATTTATTGGCTGGGTATGTTGGCTTATGCCTATAATCTCAGCACTTTGGGAGATCGAGGCAGGAGGATCACTTGAGCTCAGGAGTTCCAGGCCAGCCTGGGCATAGTGAGACCTCATCTCTACTTAAAAACAGCAACCAAAAAAATTAGCAGACATGATGGTGTGTGCCTGTAAGTCCCAGGTACTCAGGAGGCTGAAGTAGGAGGATTGCTTGAGTCCAGGAGTTTGAGGCTAGAGTGAGCTATGATTGCACCACTGCACTCCAGCCTGGGTGACAGTGAGACCCTGTCTCAAAAGAAAAAAAGAATAAATTTTATAAGATAATAAAAACTATGGCTGGGCAAGGTGTCTCACACCTGTAATCCCCGCACTTTGGGAGGCCGAGGCGGGTGAATCACGAGGTCAGGAATTCGAGACCAGCCTGGCCAACATGGTAAAACACCATTTCTACTAAAAATACAAAAAATTAGCTGGGCTTAGTGGCGGGTGCCTGTAATCCCAGCTACTCGGGAGGCTGAGGCAGGAGAATTGCTTGAACCCAGGAGGCGGAGGTTGCAGTGAGTTGAGACTGTGCCACTGCACTCCAGCCCGGGCAACAGAATGAGACTCTGACTCAAAAAAAAAAAAAAAAAATAGGAATTTTAGGCTTGGTATATTATATAGAACCATTCTTTGCCATTTTTAATTAACCCTAGTTTCTATTTCTTTTTATTTTCTTTTTTTCTTTGAGACAGAGGTTTGCTCTTGTTGCCCAGGCTGGAGTGCAATGGCATGGTCTTGGCTCATGGCAAGTTTCGCCTCCCAGGTTCAAGCGATTCTCCTGCCTCAGCCTCCTGAGTAGCTGGGATTACAGGCTCCCACCACCATGCCCAGCTAATTTTTTGGTATTTTTAGTAGAGACGAGGTTTCACCATGTTGGCCAGGCTGGTCTTGAACTCCTGACCGCAGGTGACCTACCCGCCTTGGCCTCCCAAAGTGCTGGGATTGCAGGCGTGAGCCACCATGCCTGGCCTTCTCTAGTTCTTTTAATTGTGATGTTAGAGTGTTGATTTTAGATCTTTCCTGCTTTCTCTTGTGGGCATTTAGTGCTATAAATTTCCCTCTACACACTGCTTTAAATGTGTCCCAGAGATTCTGGTATGTTGTGTCTTTGTTCTCATTGGTTTCAAAGAACATCTTTATTTCTGCCTTCATTTCGTTATTTACCCAGTAGTCATTCAGGAGCAGGTTGTTCAATTTCCATGTAGTTTTGCAGTTTTGAGTGAGTTTCTTAATCCTGAGTTCTAATTTGATTGCACTGTGGTCTCAGAGACAGTTTGTTGTGATTTCTATTCTTTTACATTTCTGAGGAGTGCTTTACTTCTAATTATGTGGTCAATTTTAGAATAAATGCGATGTGGTGCTGAGAAGAATGTATGTTCTGTTGATTTGGGGTGGAGAGTTCTGTAGATTTCTATTAGGTCTGCTTGGTGTAGAGCTAAGTTCAAGTCCCGGATATCCTTGTTAACCTTCTGTCTCGTTGATCTGTCTAATATTGTCAGTGGGGTGTTAAAGTCTCCCATTATTATTGTGTGGGAGTCCAAGTCTCTTTGTAGGTCTCTAAGGACCTGCTTTATGAATCTGGGTGCTCCTGTATTGGGTGCATATATATTTAGGATAGATAGCTCTTCTTGTTGAATTGATCCCTTTACCATTACGTAATGGCCCAAGATGGCCGAATAGGAACAGCTCTGGTCTGCAGCTCCCAGCGTGATCGATGCAGAAGACGGATGATTTCTGCATTTCCAACTGAGGTACCTGGTTCATCTCATTGGGACTGGTTGGACAATGGGTGCAGCCCACGGAGGGCGAGGTGAAGCAGGGTGGGGCGTTGCCTCACCCAGGAAGCGCAAGGGGTTAGGGGATTTCCCTTTCCTAGCCACGGGAATCCATGTCAGACTGTAACTAGAAAAACGGGACACTCCTGCCCAAATACTGCACTTTCCCCAAGGTCTTAGCAACCAGCAGAGGAGATTCTCTCCCGTGCCTGACTCAGCGGGTCCCATGCCCACGGAGCCTTGCTCACTGTTAGCGCAGCAGTCTGAGATCAAACTGTGAGGTGGCAGCCTGGCTGAGGGAGGGGCATCCACCATTGCTGAGGCTTGAGTAGGTAAACAAAGCTGCCAGGAAGCTTGAACTGGGAGGAGCCCACTGCAGCTCAGCAAGGCCTACTGCCTCTAGACTCCACTTCTGTGGGCAGGGCATAGCTGAACAAAATGCAGCAGACAACTTCTGCAGACTTAAACGTCCCTGTCTGACAGCTCCGAAGAGAGCAGTGGCTCTCCCGGCATGGCATTTGAGCTCTGAGAACGGACAGACTGTCTCCTCAAGTGGGTTCCTGACCCCTGTGTAGCCTAACTGGGAAACACTTCTGAGTAGGGGCCTACAGACACCTCATATAGGCAGGTGCCCCTTTGGGAAGAAGCTTCCAGAGGAAGGATCGGGCAGCAATATTTGCTGTTCTGCAATATTTGCTGTTCTGCAGCCTCTACTGGTGATACCCAGGCAAACAAGGTCTTGAGTGGACCTCCAGCAAATTCCAACAGACCTGCAGCTGAGAGACCTGAGTGTTAGAAGGAAAATGAACAAACAGAAAGGAATAGCATCATCATCAACAAAAAGGACATCTACACCAAAATCCCATCTGGGGGTCACCAACATCAAAGACCAAAGATAGATAAAAACCACAAAGATGGGGAGAAACCAGAGCAGAAAAGCTGAAAATTCTAAAAATCAGAGTACCTCATCTCCTCCAAAGGATCGCAGCTCCTCGCCAGCAACAGAACAAAGCAGGATGGAGAATCACTTGACGAGTTGACAGAAGTAGGCTTCAGAAGGTTGGTAATAACAAACTTCTCCGAGCTAAAGGAGTATGTTCGAACCCATCGCAAGGAAGCTAAAAAACCTTGAAAAAAGGTTAGACGAATGGCTAACTAGAATAAACAGTGTAGAGAAGACCCTAAATGACCTGATGGAGCTGAAAACCATGGCGCGAGAACTTCGTGATGCATGCACAAGTTTCAATAGCGGATTCAATCAAGTGGAAGAAAGGGTATCAGTGATCGAATATCAAATCAATGAAATAAAGCAAGAAGACAAGGTTAGAGAAAAAAGAGTAAAAAGAAATGAACAAAGCCGCCAAGAAATATGAGACTATGTGAAAAGACCAAATCTACGTTTGATTGGTGTTCTCTTGGCAAAAGCCCTACAAGCCAGAAGAGAGTGGGGGCCAATATTCAACATTCCTAAAGAATTTTCAACCCGGAATTTCATATCCAGCCAAACTAAGCTTCATAAGTGAAGGAGAAATAAAATCCTTTACAGACAAGCAAATGCTGAGAGATTTTGTCACCACCAGGCCTGCCTTACAAGAGCTCCTGAAGGAAGCATTAAACATGGAAAGAAACAACTGCTACCAGCCACTGCAAAAAGTGATGGGGAGAATGGAACCAAGCTGGAAAACACTCTTTAGGATATTATCCAGGAGAACTTCCCCAACCTAGCAAGGCAGGCCAACATTCAAATTCAGGAACAGAGAACACCACAAAGATACTCCTCAAGAAGAGCAACCCCAAGACACATAGTTGTCAGATTCACTAAGGTTGAAATGAAGGAAAAAATGTTAAGGGCAGCCAGAGAGAAAGGTCGAGTTACCCACAAAGGGAAGCCCATCAGACTAACAGTGGGTCTCTAGGCAAAAGCCCTACAAGCCAGAAGAGAGTGGGGGCCAATATTCAACATTCTTAAAGAAAAGAATTTTCAACCCAGAATTTCATATCTAGCCAAACTGAGCTTCATAAGTGAAGGAGAAATAAAATCCTTTACAGACAAGCAAATGGTGAGAGATTTTGTCACCACCAGGCCTGCCTTACAAGAGCTCCTGACAGAAGCACTAAACATGGAAAGAAACAACCGGTACCAGCCACTGCAAAAACATGCCAAATTGTCAAGATCATTGATGCTATGAAGAAACTGCATCAATTAATGGGCAAAATAACCAGCTAACATCATAATGACAGGATCAAATTCACATGTAACAATATTAACCTTAAATGTAAATGGGCTAAATGCCCCAATTAAAAGGCACAGATTGGCAAATTGGATAAAGAGTCAAGACCCATCAGTGTGCTGTATTCAGGAGACCCATCTCACGTGCAAAGTCGTACATAGGCTCAAAATAAAGGGATGGAGAAAGATCTACCAAGCAAATGGAAAGCCAAAAAAAGCAGGGGTTGTAATCCTAGTCTCTGATAAAACAGACTTTAAACCAACAACGATCAAAAGAGACAAAGAATTTTTGTATTTTTTGTAGAATCGTGGTTTTGCCATCTTGCCCAGGCTGGTTTTGAACTCCTGAGCTCAAATGATCCTCTCCCACCTTGGCCTCCCAAAGTGTCAGGATTACAGGTGTGAGCCACTGAGCTTGGCAGGGCTGGTAATTTTGAAGCTTGAATTTAGTTTTAGTGGGTGGATAGACTCATGGAATGGATGATCTATATTCCACAACTGCAGGGAGGTCAAGTTAAATAATGGGATTTATAAACAAGGTAATTAGTTGCAAAGCTAGGGAAGGGTCAGTGCATATGACCCTTGTGAGTTCTTTTTCAAAATCCTATGGAGAAAAAAAAATCCTATGGAGAGCTTGGACCTTTAAGTCTGAGTAAACAGAGCATCATTATTCTTGGTGAGATTCTGAAATTAATGTTTTGAGATATCATAGCAGTATTTTAACATCAGTATATCTATAAAGAAAGCTACAGGACTACACAAGCTGCCAGTTGTAGATGGAAAGAACTTTATTCCCTAGCTAATAATGTTTTGTTTTAATAGTAAAAGTAATAACATATATTTTTTAAGAGCAAGGAACGATATTTTTGGGATTTTATTATAAAAGGTTCATGCACTTAAAAAGGATAACCACTTTAGAATATATTATATAAGGAAGCAATGTAAATTTCTAAATTATTTTCCTGAAAACAGTAGCTTTATATTTTTAGAGCAAAAGAGAGATTTATCTAGGATTAATGGAGCTCCAATTTTTACTTCCGAAGACTTACTGTTATACATTCCAATGCAGAGAATATTTTAGGTGAGGAATAAGAACTCATGGCAGTTTATACTTTTTTTTTTTTTTTTTTTGAGATGGAGTTTTGCTCTTGTTGCCCAGGGTGGAGTGCAACAGCATGATCTCAGCTCACTGCAAACTCCGCCTCCCAGTTTCAAGCAATTCTCCTGCCTCAGCCTCCCAAGTAGCTGGGATTGCAGGTGCCCACCACCACGCCTGGCTAATTTTTGTATTTTTAGTAGAGACGAGGTTTTACCATGTTGGCCAGGCTGGTTTCAAACTCCTGACCTCAGGTAATCCACCTGTCTCAGCCTCCTAAAGTGCTGGGATTACAGGTGTAAGCCACCATGCTCGGCCATTTATACCTTTTAGCACTTATGTGCATATCTCATTAGACATACTGTTTTGAGGATAGATTAGTGTACTTAATATTTTTATGTTCTTCTAGGCTGGGCGCGGTGGCTCATGCCTGCAATCCCAGCACTTTGGGAGGCTGAGACGGGCAGATCACCTGAGGTCAGGAGTTTGTGACCAGCCTGGCCAACATGGTGAAACCCCCATCTGTACTAAAAATGCAAAAATTAGCTGGGCGTGGTGGCGGGCTCCTGTAATCCCAGCTACTTGGGAGGCCAAGGTAGGAGAATTGCTTGAACCCAGGAGACAGAGGTTGCAATCAGCCAAGATCACGTCACTGCTCTCCAGCCTGGGCAACAGAGCAAGACTCCGTCTCAAAAAAAGAAAGAAAGAAACAAAGAAAATATTTTTATGTACTTCTAATCTTGCTTATAATCGTAACCATGTATTACTTGAATAAAATAATGAACAGAATTTGAGGGGATTGAGAAAACAAGGTAAATGGAAAATAAATGAAAAATGTATTCTACTTGAGATTAGTCTTTTTCTGAACCAAGGCCACTATGTTTTTTTTGAGACAGGGTCTCACTCTGCCACCAAGGCTAGAGTGCAGTGGTGCAATTTCGGCTCACTGCATCCTCGACCTCCTGAAGTCAAGCAATCCTCTCACCTCAGCCTCTCAAGTAGCTGGGAATACAGGTGCGTGTCACCACGCCCAGCTAATTTTTGTGTTTTTTGTAGGGATGGGGTTTCACCATGTTGCCCAGGTGGTCTTGAACTCCAGAGCTCAGGTGATCACCCTGCCTCGACTTCCCAAATTGCTGGGATTACAGATGTGCGCTACCATGCCTGGCCTCACCAACTCTGAATTGTCTAGTGTTTTTATTTTCTTTAGGGTGCCACCTCCTCAGAACATCTACTCCTCTCAAACAAATTTAATAACAAAACATTTCTATGTAGTATTTTTTTTTTTTTTTTTGAGATAGAGTCTTGCTCTGTCACCCAGGCTGGAGTGCAGTGGCGCAATCTTGGCTCACTGCGACCTCCAGTTCCCAGGTTCAAGAGATTCTCCTGCCTCTGCCTCCCAAGTAGCTGGGATTATAGGCATGTACCACCATGCCCAGCTAATTTTTTGTATTTTTTGTAGAGATGCAGTTTCGCCATGTTGCCCAGGCTGGGCTTGATCTTTTGGGCTCAAGCTATCTGCCTGTCCTAGCCTCCCAGGGGACTGGATTACAAGGCATGAGCCACCACGCCTTGCCTGCGTCCAACAATTTTAGCCAACATTGTTTTTCTCTTATCCTAAACTCTCTTTCAAGCATTAAAGCCTGAATCTGTAGTACATAGCACAACATTTTATTAGATAATGGCCCATTCACTAATTGTTCATGTACGTCTTGTCTAATCTTATTCATGTAAATCTTGAGACCGTCTCATTTCTGTCTCCCAGGCTGGAGTGCAGTGGCCCGATCATGGCTCATTGTAGCCTCGACCTCCCAGGCTCAAGCGATTTTTCCCACCTCAGCCTCCCAAGTAGGTGGGACACAGGCATGTGCCACCATGCCCAGTTAATCAGTTTATTTATTTTTTGTGGAGACGGGGTCTCACCATATTGCCTAGGCTGGTCACAAACTCTTAGGCTCAAGCAGTCCTCCCTCATCAGCCTCCCAAAGAGCTGAGATTACAGGCATGAGCTACTATGCCCAGCCAAAATTGTTATTCTTGATGGGCAGACTTTATGACTTAAAAAAAACATATGCCCCAGAGTGCTGTGCATATTGTATATACTTAGCGAATATTTGATTTATTAATACTTTCTTTTTAGTAGTTGTTATTATTCTGCAAAATCCTATTAAAAGAATGACCAAAACAATAACCAAGAGACGAGGAGACCTGAAGGTAGTTAGCTTTGCTAACTTTGCAAGCTTTGAACACTTAACCTTTTTCTAGATTAGAGGAAACTGTGTATATTAATCAAAAGCCGTATTAGATTCCGGAGTGTTTTTAGACATAGTGATCAACATGTGAAAACAAACAGCTGATTAGTAGGATATTTTCCTATTAGTGCTGGTGAATTTATGCTGAAGTAGTCTTGTTGCATTTAGATGTCCTCTGAGTTGGGGGGCCTGCATATTTACCAGATAGTCTAGGTTTAGGGAGAGTATCACAGAATAGTGATTTGTATTTGGTTTCTTTGATGATAGTTGATCTATATTATTGATTAAATCCCTTTATGTTGGACTTACCAGCATTAAGGGCTAACAACTTTCTTGACAACTCTAGTCATTGATAACTCTTGATACTGTTGGTCACTGACTGTTGTAATAGTAAAATGATTAACTTGTTTATATTAACTAGAGAAAAGCAGCTAACATTTTTGTTACGGTATATCTTGATCTTGACATCATAGCTGACAGAACAACCAGCAGGATACTGGTTTGAAATCTTTCCCTGTAACTAGAATCTGTGAAATATTCCCTAGTACATTATGTTGATTGCCTCTCTTTTTGTTCATAGTGTAACATTCATACTAGTTCTTAAATTTCATTGTCTTAATTCATTTCTTTTTTTTCTTTTTTTTTTTTTTTGAGATGGAGTCTCGCTCTGTCTCCCAGGCTGGAGTGCAGTGGCGGGATCTCGGCTCACTGCAAGCTCCGCCTCCCGGGTTCACGCCATTCTCCTGCCTCAGCCTCCCAAGTAGCTGGGACTACAGGCGCCCGCCACTACGCCCGGCTAATTTTTTTGTATTTTTAGTAGAGACGGGGTTTCACCGTTTTAGCCGGGATGGTCTCGATCTCTTGACCTCGTGATCCGCCCGCCTCGGCCTCCCAAAGTGCTGGGATTACAGGCGTGAGCCACCGCGCCCGGCCAATTCATTTCTTTTTGTAAGACAGGACAAAAAAGATTTCAAGGCTTCTGTAAGATGACAGTACAACAGAGTATATCACTCTCTTCTGGTAAACATATATGAACTTTAAAAAATATGTGCATTATTATCTTGATGGTCCTTAGTTGTCAAGTTTTAAGCTAGAGCAAATTTAAACAGCTTCATAAGCTATTGAAAAACAGAGTTCACAATAGAAGATCTAACATATAGTTAAGCGTAATGGGACTAGTGAACTCCTTGTAGAAAACTTTACATCAAGAACATTACATAGATTATGGATGTTCTAAGTGGTATGCCAGATGTTAAAGAAGTAATTCATACTAAAAAACACTCTTACAGAAAATACCTTATGTATAATTACTTATTTCAAATTCTTGGTGTATTAACCGAGCTACTGACATGACTAGTGTAGTAGACGATAAAAACAGTTGGGATCCTATCCAAGTGAGTCTTTATGAGAAACTTCTATCCTTAATAGGTATTATAAAGGAAAATAAGGTTAAGTTTATAACTGGCAGTGTTACAGACTCTGCCAAAATTTAGCTGATAAAACTTAATCAGAATTTGGTTATACATGTTGCAAAATTCAATGCAACAACAAGATCTGTGTAACCTTCAACAAAAGCACATGACCCATTGCCCACTTCTTGAAAAATAATTGCTAAGGAATAAGGCTAAGGGCCAGGGAGGGCTATAGACAGGGTTTTTGTCTCAGGGAACAAAACCTGGACTTGTAACTGGGCTGACCAATGAACGTACTCTCTTGCCCTGGCAGTTTACCTTCATGACTACCGTATGTTTTCCACTTTTCCCTTTTCTGAATGGAAATTTCTATTGTAGATATATTTTTTTCTACTTCACCATTCATAATACAAGTAAAAGAAGAGGTACAACTTGTGTTTTAGTTTATAGGTCACCAGACCACAATGAATCACCTTTAGAGTTAGTGGAAAGAATTGAAAATCACATAGAGACCTTGGACCTGAATGTAGGAACTGGATAGGACTTTGTGGAAGTCTTTGTTAGGAATGGAGTTGTTTTATGCATAGAAGAAAGATTTTATGTGTAGGAATAAGTGGGTGTTTGGATGAAGAAAGACAGACACATACTTAATATTTGCAGGGACTCAGGCAAGGATACAAATGGAGGGCCGGGTGTGGTGGTTCACACCTGTAATCCCACCACTTTTCGGAATCTCAAGGATTGCTTGAGCCCAGGAGTTTAAGACCAGCCCTGACAACATAGTGAGACCTCCTCTCTACAAAAAATAAAAAAAATTAGCTGGGTGTCTTGCACGCCTGTAGTCTCAGCTACTTGGGAAGCTAAGATGGGAGGATCACTTGAGGCTGGGAGATTGAGGCTGCAGTGATCATGCCACTGCACTCCAGCCTGGGCAATAGAGACCCTGTCTCTTAAAAAATAACAAGAAACATCAGCAACTGTTAAATAAAAAAACGTGGCTGGGCGCGGTGGCTCACGCCTGTAATCCCAGCACTTTGGGAGGCCGAGGCAGGTGGATCACGAGGTCAGGAGTTTGAGACCAGTCTGACCAACATGGTGAAACCCCATCTCTGTATATATATTGAGCTGCTAAAGCTAGACACAGTTGACCCTTGAACAATATGGATTTGAATAGCGCAGGTCTACTTATACACAGAATACACTGTGGAAGGCATATAATATGTGTTATCAACTGTTTATGTTTCTTTTCTTTTCTTTTTTTTTGAGACGGAGTCTCGCTTTGTTGCCCAGGCTGGAGTGCAGTGGCGCGATCTCGGCTCACTGCAAGCTCCGCCTCCCGGGTTCAGGCCATTCTCCTGCCTCAGCCTCCCAAGTAGCTGGGACTACAGGCGCCTGCAACCACGCCCGGCTAATTTTTTGTATTTTTAGTAGAGACGAGGTTTCACTTATACACAGATTTTTTTCAATGAATATATTGGAAAAATTTTTGGAGATTTGCAACAATTTGAAAAAGCCACAGATGAGCCGCATGGCTTAGAAACATCAAAAAATTGAGAGAGATATGTTGTGAATGCATAAAATACAAGTAGATACTAGTTTATTTTATCAGGTACTACCATAAAATTTATACATCTATTATTAAAAGTTAAAATTTATCAAACCTTATGCATACAAACACAGATCGTACATGGCCTCATTTGCAGTCCAGAAAAATGCAAACAGAAAATGCAATATTAAACCATAACTGCATAAAATTAACTGTAATATATATTATAATACTATAGTAATTGCATGGCCACCTCTTGTTGCTTTTTTACAGTAAACTCAAGTACTGTAAGTATTCGAGGTGCTAATCATCTCCATATGAGCACTTCATCTTTCCAGTAAATGGCATATTACAGTAAAAGTGATCTCTTGTGTTTCTCACATATTTTTTATTGTGTTTAGTGCAGTACCCTAAACCTTGAATAACACCATGTGACCCATATCAAGTGCCACTTGTGATCCTGGAAGTGTTCCCAAGAAGCAGAGAAAATCATGACATTATAGGAAAAAATTGAATTGTTTGATACGTAAAGTAGATTGAGGTCTGCAGCTGTGGTTGCCTGCCACTTCAGACAGATGATTCTTGCTGTAAACAGATGACATAAACTTATGATAAAAACAGTACAGTACTGAAAATGTATTTTCTCTTCTTTACGATTTTCTTTCCTTTCCTTTTACTTCCCTCTCCTCTTCTTCCCCCTCCCCTCTCCTCTCCTCTCTTTTCTTTCCCTCCCTCCCTCCTTCCCTTCTCTCCCTCCCTTTCTTTCTTCCTTCTTTCTTTCTTACCTTTATTTATTTATTTTTTGTTTTTGAGATGGAGTCTCAGTCTGTCACCCAGGTGGAGTGCAGTGGCACAATCTTGGCTCACTGTAACCTCCACCTCCCGGGTTCAAGTGACTCTCCTGCCTTAGTGTCCCAAGTAGCTGGGACTACAGGAGCATGCCACCATGCCCGGCTAATTTTTGTATTTGTAGTAGAGATGGGGGTTTCACCATGTTGGCCAGGCTGGTCTCAAACTCCTGACCTCAAGTGATCTGCCTGCCTTGAGTCCCAAAGTGCTGGGATTACAGGCATGAGCCATCATGCCCTGCCTTTATGATTTTCTTAATAACATTTTTCTTCTCTGCTTACTTTATTGTAAGAATACACTGTGGAAGGCATATAATATGTGTTATCAACTGTTTATGTTTTTGGTAAGGCTTGTGATTGTCAGGCTATTAGTAAAGCTTTTCTGGAGTCCAAAGTTATACTCAGATTTTCAACCTTGCGGGGAGTTGTGCCCCAGCTTCTGTGTTGTTCAAGGGTCAACTGTAATTGAAGTCTTTAATTTGTTTTTATTTTTCCTTAAAGATTATGATACCAGTAATTTTTTTTCATTGAGTAGTCTTTCTTTGACATTCTCTCTTTCAAAATAGAAATATCTTGAAAATGTAAGTTCTGTGTACTATACATAGAGTAAGATGTTTTCACAATGAGGATTTTCTTTTTACTTCTTTGTAAAATTTTATTAGATGATTCAGTGATAAAAAGGAAGCTCTATTGGTATATGCAACAACATGAATGAATCTCAGAAGCATTATGCTGAATAAATTAAGCCAGGAAAAAATAGCATGCATGTTTAAGATTACATTCATATAAAATTCCAGGAAATGCAAACTAATCTATTGTGAAAGGAAGCTTGCCTGGAGACTGGGTGCCGATATTGGTGCAGGAGAAAAGGGAAAGCATAGGTTATATAGGGGCAGAGTAAACTTTTTTTTTAAGACAGAGTTTCTCTCTTGTTGCCCAGGCTGGAGTGCAATGGCATGATCTTGGCTCACTGCAGTCTCCGCCTCCTGGGTTCAAGCGATTCTCCTGCTTCAGCTTCCCGAGTAGCTGGGATCACAGGCGCCCACCACCACGCCCAGCTAATTTTTTTATTTTTAGTAGAGTCGTGGTTTCACTATGTTGGCCAGGCTGGTCTCAAACTCCTGACCTCAGGTGATCCACCCGCCTCAGCCTCCCAAAGTGCTGGGATTACAGGCTTGAGCCACCGCGTCCGGCCCAGAGTAAACTTTTGAGGCGATAGAAATGTTTGGTTTTTGTTTTCTTCATTGTGTTTAGTGATTGGTATATATGCATGACAAAACCGATTGACTGTACACTTTTTTCTTTCTTGAGACAGCATCTCGCTCTGTCACCCAGGCTGGAGTGGCGTGATCTCTGCTCACCTCAACCTCCACCTCCCAGGTTCAAGCGAGTCTCGTGCCTCAGCCTCCCGAGTATCTGGGACTACAGGCATGCACCACCATGCCCAGCTAATTTTTTGTATTTTATTTTATTTTTGTTTTGTAGAGATGGGGTTTCGCTATGTTGCCAAAACTGATCTTGAACTCCTGAGCTCAAGCAATCCTCCCACCTTGGCCTCCCAAAGTGCTAGGTTTACAGGTGTGAGCCACTGTGCCTGACCTCAATTGTATACTTTAAATGTGTGCAGATTTTTTAATATTAAAGTTTATTTTATTTTTTTTTGAGATGGGGTCTTACTCTGGTGGCCAGGCTGGAGTACAGTGGCATGATCACAGCTCACTGCAGCGTTGACCTCCCCAAGCTCAAGTGATCCTCCAGCCTCAGCCTCCTGAGAAGCTGGGACTACAAGTGCATGCCACTATGCCTGGCTAACTTGTATTTTTTTGTTTTGCTGTGTTCCCCAGGCTGGTCTTGAACTCCTGGACTCAAGCAATCCTCCCACCTTGGCCTCCCAAAGTGCTAGGTTTACAGGTGTGAGCCACTGTGCCTGACCTCAATTGTATACTTTAAATGTGTGCAGATTTTTTAATATTAAAGTTTATTTTATTTTTTTTTGAGATGGGGTCTTACTCTGGTGGCCAGGCTGGAGTACAGTGGCATGATCACAGCTCACTGCAGCATTGACCTCCCCAGGCTCAAGTGATCCTCCAGCCTCAGCCTCCTGAGAAGCTGGGACTACAAGTGCATGCCACTATGCCTGGCTAACTTGTATTTTTTTGTAGAGATAGGGTTTTGCCATGTTCCCCAGGCTGGTCTTGAACTCCTGGACTCAAGCAGTCCGCCTGCCTTGGCCTCCCAAAGTGCTGGGATTACAGGTGTGAGTCACCACACCCAGTCTAAGTATATGCAGTTTTATTGTACTTCAGTTGTTTCACAAAAGTTGGTAAAATGTTAAATTAAATATACTTTTTGGGTTTTTCAGGAAGAATACTTAACACTATTTAGGAAAGTGAGCCTGGAATATAAAAGTTGACTATTGGACAGAACTATCATTTCCTTTTCTATCTTTGTTAGGGCATTTGTATTTTGGTTGAACTTTATTATTTACTTAATGATCTTTTCCTAGTCACTTAAGTTCTGAGACAAAAGAACTTCCAAAACTTTGATCAGAATTGTAGGAATTTAGGTATATGACTAGCTTGAGTGAAATTGGAAAAGTTACAAGTACAGTTAACTTGTGATGTTCTACCATTGACTTGGAAACTTGCCTGGAATGGAGGGGAGAAGGGTGAGGGCTGGGTTAGGCTGGGAAAGTTGGGATAGTGAAAAGAAGAAATGCCCAGTGATAAATTTGGAACTCTGTCTTTTCCTTATGATATGAAGTTATATTTGGGTTTAACTAAGCTTTTAGAAAATCTCCAGCCTGGCCAACACAGCGAGACCCCATCTCTACAAAAAATACAAATATTAGCCAGGTGTGATGATATGTGTCTGTAGTCCCAGCTACTCGGGAGGCTGAGGCTGGAGGATTGATTAAGCCTGGGAGGTTGAGGCTACAGTGAACCATGATTGCACCACTGCACTCCGACCTGGGTGACAGAGTGAGAACCTGTCTTTAAAAAAAAGAGAGAGAGAGAGAAAGAGAGAAAGGAGGGAGGGGGGGAGAGAGAGAGAGAAAGAGAGAAAGAAAAAGGAAAGGAAAAGAAAAGAAAGAAGGAAGGAAGGAAGAAAAGAAAAGAAAGAAATCTAAGTTAAAGCAAGGAGACTCCAGAATGAGATTACTGAGAATAGAAGATCCAGGATAATTCACTTCCATGAAAAATATGGATAATAAAGTAGAATAAGGACAGACAGGAGGAGCCACTTGTGAGGACAAGGAGGCCAATTTTAAGATCATGGATGAAAAGCGTAGAACAGCAAAGAAAAAAGCTACTCAGGAAGTCTCAATAGGCAAAATTCAGAGCTACTAATTTTAAAGAGAGCAATTTTGACTTGAAACCTAGTAATTGAACCAGAAGCTTTAATAGGCATTTTTGGGCACCAGCGGACCTGAGGAGGATTCAGTTTCTTCCTTGGGTTAGGAATAGATCAGCTATTGAGTAGGGACAAATATTGCTTTAAAGGAAGCTAGTGAGTGGAAAGGGAGTTACAACCCAGAACTTCAAAGAAATTATTTAATTATTTTAAACCAGTGTGAAGCTAATTGCAAGGGCATACGAATAACTTACCTCATTGATCTCTAGTAATACTGCTTATGCTCTGAGTATCTCTTGTAGTTGTGTATTTAAATAGACCTAAATAGACAAGGTATGTTCAGAGGCAAGAAAAGGAGACTGAGTCGCAGGAGTTGGTATTCTATGTGTTGGCAGCATGAAGTTGCCTAAGGCAGAGTGGTAATCTGGTTTGTGGAATCAGTCCTAGAATTAGTTATTGGTCTGACAGTCTGTCAGATATAAGTAGGTAATATTCTGAGGTATTCTAGATATTTTGCATAGAAAAGGCTCCTTTGCTTTTAAGAGTTGAGGAAGGGAGAAAAGTAATAAGGAGTGTTCTATTCTATAAATTTAAGAAGAGGCTGGGCATGGTGGCTTATGCCTGTATCCTAGCACTTTGGGAGGCTGAAGTGGGAGGAATGCTTGAGGCCAGGAGTTCAAGGCCAGCCTGGGCAACATAGTGAGACCTCATCTCAAAAAAAAAAAATAAATAAAAACAAATTATAATGATAATAAATTTAAGCAGAGTATTAGTAACTTTCTGATTCTCATGTTCTATAAACATTTTATGGTCTGGGCTCATACCTAGCATATAATAGTCAACAATTCTGTGGGATATATTATCTGACACAGTCCTATCCTAAGACCCCTCTGGAACTCTTAGGACAATTCTTACATGAAAAAAAAAACACACACACACATTGTCAGGCAAAAACAATAAAATATACCAAGAAGATGGAGCAACTAACATCTTTTTGTTTTTTTCTGGAAGTATTATTTAACACTTTCTTTTTACGAATAAACAGTTTCCTTTTTCTTTTGTTATATTAATTTACTTAATAATTATACATATTTATGGAGTACAGTGTTGTTACAGCATCTTTAGGGTGTCTCCTTTCTGGCCAGAAACGTGTGGCTGGTGGCGCCTTTGTCTGGGCCCGCTGGGCTTTTTCCATCCACTTGGCCTGGCAGGCTCACACTACCAGCCTGGATCTCATGCCTCCAAGGGAGACTGCGTGAGTCAGGCGTGGAGCTGGGGAGGGGTGTGTGAGCTAGAGTGGGGTACAGCCAGTGTGCAGTCAAGACACACTGGCTGCTGCCACAGAGCAGGTAGCTCCAGGTGCTGGCATGGGCGTTGCCTTCCTGCAAGGCTGCAGCTGGACCAGGTGCACTTCAAGCAGCTTCTCTGGCTGCTCCCGGGGAGTGTGATGGCGTCTGGAAGCTTGGAGACATCAGGAACCGCAGGGCCCCAAAGAGGGACTCATAGCCCTGGCTCAGGGAGCTCCCAGGTCTGGCCTTCTGGAAGGGCTGCAGCTCTTCTCTCCTTCTCTTTGCCCACAATGTGGCAAGAATGTTTCAGCTCTGTTTATGTTATAGCTCTTTTAGCCTTGCCATTTAGTGGATCCCAAGCTTTTGTCCTGCACCCAGGAAGAATGAGGTATGCAGATGGAGGGTGAGGAAGATGAAGAGGAGCTTTATTGAGCAATAGAACAGCTTAGAGGAGACCTGCAGTGGGCAGCTCCTCTCTGTAGCCAGGGTATCCTGAAGAGTGTTCAGCTCTCAGCAGAAGGGGTAGCTTTTCTCTTCAGCTGGTCATCCCATCCTCGGTCCAGCTCTCAGCAGAGAGGGTAGCTCCTCTCTGCACCTGGTGGTCCCATCATCTGTCCAGCTCTCAGCAGAGAAGGTAATTCCTCCCTGCAGCTGGTTGTTCCATCATCTGTACAGCTCTGGCTGATCCTGGGGCTTTTATGGGCCTCAGAGGGGAGGAAGTATGCACTGATTGGTCTATGGATTGCTGTGCCTGGAAAAGGCACCACAAGTTCCCACTCCAGTCCACAGGACTAGCAGCCTGGCCCCCAGCCTTCAGGCCCTCCCTGGCCCGGAAGGTGGGGCCTCAGTGGGGACCTGCCCCCTTCTGCCCAGGAGCCTGTCTGCTGCCTGCCGCCATCCATGGCTCCCAGGCTGCTCCTGCCAAGGGGCACCTGCAGGCCAGCACCGAGCTGCACTAATCTCCCCTTGATTCCCCCATCTTGCTTTTTGGTGCCCAAAGTCCAAAGCGGGCTGAGGTGGCAGGCAGCTAGCACGTCAGCACCGCCCTGAGTGTCCACATACCTGGCCGGGCTGTGACAGTTACCTGGCTTGGCTTCAGCCCTGCTCCAAGATTGGAGCAGGGGCTGGGAGTCGGGAGAGGCCAGGCAGCAGGAGCAGACATTCCTGAGCCTGCAGGGGCAGGGGGACTTCCCCGGACCCCTGAGGGTGCAGAATCCAGAGATGTCCAGGTCCTGCATCTGAGAGGGCGGGGCTTTCGCTCACTGCCTGGAGCATGTCGGCAGCCCTGGCCGCATCTCCTTGCAGCCTGGTGTGGGGGCTCCATGTCCTCGCTGGGCCCCTCTCTGCCTGCCCCTCCTGCCCAACCGTGCTGCTCTTCTGCTGGCGGGCGGGCTCAGCCTGGCTCCTGAGGTGGGGTGGGGTGGGCGGGCCCCGCTTGTCCCTGGGTCCCGCTGCCTTTGTGGAGTGGGGCACCGCCCCAGGCCCAGCTCCGCCTCCCCCCCGCCCCCCACCAACCCACATTGACAGCTGTGCCATGGGCTGCTTCGGTGACGTGGAGCACAGGGGACCCACTGCCACTATTGCTGCTCTTGAAGCCAATCCTGCCACCACTGCCTGTGTCTCCCTGCTGCAGCTGGCGTGACGTCAGCGGCCACTCCAGAAGGCTCGCCGTTGCCATCAGTGTGATGTTTAGATACGTGTATATAATGTCAAATAGGCCATTACACATGGCCATTAGCATATCCATCATCTCAAACATTTGTCATTTCTTTGTGTTGGGAACATTAAAAAATCTGGTCGTCTAGCTATTTGAAAATATACAACCAATTGTTGTTAATTATAGTCACCCTATAGTGCTGTAGCATGCTACAACTTTTCCCTCCTATCTGGCTGTACTTTTCTATACATAACCAACTTTCAGCTATCACTTCCTCCCCCTCCCTTTCCTCGCCTCTAGTAACCACTATTCTACTCTCTACTTCTATGAGATCAACTTTTTTAGCATCTACGTAAGACTGAGAACTGTTTACCTTTCATGAAGTGTTTATTTTTTAACAATAAAATAACTTGGCAGGATAGTAATCTATATAAATATAACTCAGAACATCTTGTGGAAATAACTAGTTTTATTTTCATAAAACTTAGTAAGTCTCTTTGGGGGGAATATTTTATACTCTGTGCATGAATTTTCCTTTGGTGATTCTCTAAGGGAATCTAAAAGAAAGAAACATCTTACAGAGTGTCTCATACTGAGATCCACAAATTCCATGTGCTGCTGCTATAAGTATTAAGTCCCAGTAGAATGAGAAAATAAACCATGGCCGGGCACAGTGGCTCATGCCTTTAATCCCAGCACTTTGGGAGGCCAAGGTGGGTGGATCACCCAAGGTTAGGAGTTCAAGACCAGCCTGGCCAACAGTCCCTACCAAAAATACAAAAATTAGCCGAGCATGGTTGTCGGTGCCTGTAATCCCAGCTACTTGCGAGGCTGAGGCAGGAGAATCGCTTGAACCTAGGAGGCGGAGGTTGCAGTGAGCCGAGATTGCGCCATTCCACTCGAGCCGGGGCGACGAGAGCGAAACTCTGTCTCAAAAGGAAAAAAAAAAAAGAAAACAAACCATGGTGTCAAATAAGGACCCGAAATCAGGTTACTAGGGCAGAGGGTGTGATGAAATGCAATCTTTGATTTATGATGAATCTATGTATCAGTAGGAAATGCATCACCTGTTTTGCAAGTAAATCTTACTTATTTACTTATTTTATCAAAGTGACATATGCACATAGTTAAAATAGAATAAAAAAAGAGTTAGTGAAAACAAGAGTTCCTATCCTTACCTAGCTCAATTTTATCAGGGTTCCAGAAGCAACCAGTTTCTAGTAGTTGCTTCTGGTACATACCACCATTTAGTTCTAAATATTTTTACTTTTTTTTTTTTTTTTTTTTTGAGACAGAGTCTTACTCTGTCACCCAGGCTAAAGTCCAATGACTTAATCTCAACTCACTGCAATCACCTAGGCTGGAGTGCAATGGTGGGATCTCAACTCACTGCAACTTCTGCCTCCTGGGCTCAAGCAATCTTCCTGCCTCAGCCTCCCAAGTAGCTGGGACTACAGACATGTGCCACAAATGCCTGGCTAATTTTTGTATTTTTTTGTAGAGACAGGGTTTTGCTGTGTTGCCCAGGCTGGTGTTGAACTGCTGGGCTCAAGCGATCTGCCAGCCTCAACTTCCAAAAGTGCTGGGGTTATAGGTGTGAGCCACCGCGCCTGGCCCTTTACTGTTATTTTAAAATAATTTTAAACTTATCTTTTGCTTTGCATTTGTAGAAGAGATACGTATTTAACTTTCTTACATCCCTCCCTGACAAAATCCAGTGAAATTATATCACAATTTTTGGTTAAATCAGTGTTATTTACAATATTATGACTATGTAAATATTCCTTGCAACATAGTGTACTATGATATAGTTTTCTTTCTTTTTCTCTTTTTTTTGTATTTTGAGACAGGGTCTTGCGCTGTCACCCAGGCTGAAGTGCAGTGGCACAACCTTGGCTCACTGCAACCTCTGCCTCCCAGGTTCAAGAGATTCTCCCTCCCACCTCAGCCTTCCAAGTAGCTGGGATTACAGGTGCACACTGCCACACCTGGGTAATTTTTGTATTTTTTGTAGAGACAGGGTTTCACCATGTTGGCCAGGCTATTCTCGAACTGCTGACTTCAAGTGATCTGCCCTCCTCAGGCTCCCAAAATGCTGGGATTACAAGTGTGAGCCACCGTGGCAGCTAGGTTTCTTTCTTATTCAATATTTTGTTTTTCCTTGTTTTAAAAATTGCCTTATTTTTTCCTATGCTTAGTTTTCATAACACCTGTAGCTAAATCATTTTAAACCTTCCAACAGTTTTTTGTTTTTTTTGAGATGGAGTTTCGCTCTTGTTGCCCAGACTGGGGTGCAATGGCATGATCTCGGCTCACCGCAAATTCTGCCTCCTTGGTTCAAGCCATTTTCCTGCCTCAGCCTCCTGAGTAGCTGGGATTACAGGCATGCGCCACCACACCTGGCTAATTTTGTATTTTTAGTAGAGAGGGGGTTTTCTCCGTGTTGGTCAGGCTGGTCTCGAACTCCCGACCTCAGATAATCTGTGGGCCTCAGCCTCCCAAAATGCTGGGATTACAGATGTGAGCCACCATGCCTGGCCTATAACAGTTTTTTAGTATAATTTTCTGAGACAAAGTTTAATTTTTTACATTGCTTTTCAAAATGTATTTTTTATTTCTGTTGAAGTAATGTGAGACATCAAGATAAGGTATCAATGCATTGAAACAAAGAAAAGATAAAGTATCAAAGGTGAAATGAGGGTGACTTTTAACCATACCATTTACATGTTGTTAATTACCATTAATAACAATGGGAAAATATAAATATAAAATTCTATCTATAGGAACCCATTGATCTCAGGGGTAGGGGAAATGAGGTTTAAGAATTGGTTTCTTCTCCTGCCTCATGTGGAAGACACTGAGATAGTCTTTTTCGAATCAAGTTAGTAGCATTTTTGAAAATGTGTTTTCACTTTTTTCTAGAATCTGGTTAGTTTTAAAAATAGTTTTTAATTAAAATATATATATATATATATATTTGAAACACGGTCTTGCTGTGTCACCCAGGGTGGAGTGCAGTGGTGCAATCATAGCTGATTGCAACCTCGAACTCCTGGGTTCAACCAATCTTCCCGCTTTAGCCTCCCAAGTAGCTGGGACCACAAGTGCACCACCATGCCCAGCTAACTTTTAAAAATGTTTTTGTAGAGACAAGGTCTCACTGTGTTGCCCAGGTTGGTCTTGAACTCCTGGCCTCAAGCAATCTTCTTACCTTGGCCTTCCAAAGTGCTGGTTTTACAGGCATGAGCTACTGCACCTGGCCTGGTTTATGCTTTTAAAAAATCATTTTATAGTTTGCACTGCTGATTGCTTAAGCTATTTTATGCATGGGTGGCAACTTTACTAGTATTCCATCTTTGAAGAAGAATTTCTTAATTTCCAAATGGCAGAAGCTGTAGAGATGTTTTGACGCTTTTTAGAAAACAGTAAAGCATATAATACTTCACATGAAGGTTTATCTTGAACTACTTTTCCAGTCTTCCTTCTTTCTTGTTATATTTGACTTTCAGAAATTTTAGGTGAGATATAAAAAGCCTTATAGGAGCAGTATTCAGCAAAGTGTGTTTAACCAACTTTGTTACATACACCAGTTCTTTGCTTTAAAAGAAATAGTGTTTTGTTTTTCTTAAAAGCTTTTATTGAGCTATAATTTACATGTCACACTATTCACACATTTAAAGTATACAATTCAGTGGCTTTTACTATGTTCATAGAGTTGTGTACCCATTACCACAGTTTCATCTCCCCAAAAAGAAACCTTACTTTAACAGTCATCCCTGTTTTCTTCATCCTCTCCTCTCACAGCCTTTGGCCAACTAATATACTAATCTACTTTCTGTCTATATAGATTTCACTATTCTAGTAATTTCATATAAATGAAATCATGATTTTCTGTGATTGGCCTCTTAGATGAATCTTGAAAACATGTATCAGTCCTTTATTCCTTTTTATTGTTGAATAATATTTCATTGTATGCATATATATATAACATTTTGTTTATTTCATCAGTTAATGAATATTTGGGTTATTTCCACTTTTTTGTTATTATAAATAATGCTGCTGTGAACATTTGTATACCTTTGCGTGGATATATATTTCCATTTCTTTGGATATATACCTTGCATGGAATTTCTGGGTCATATGGAACTCTTCATTTAACTTTTTGAGGAACTGCCAGACTATTTTCCAAAGTGGCTGCCCATTTTACATTTCTACCAATAGTATATGTGGGTTCCAATTTCCCTATATCCTTGGAGTTTAATTAATCTGTGTTTTTTATTATAGCTGTCCTAGTGGGTATGAAGTTGTGTCTCATTGTGGTTTTGATTTGCATTTTCCTGATCTCCAGATGTTCAAATTTCTTGATCAAATGGACTAGTAAATCTGAAATGAAAATATTTATACATTCATGTGGTGTATATGTATATGGAAATTTGTAATTGGCATAATTGGCTCAATCCATTTTAGTGCTTTGAAGAATGTTAAAGTTTTCTGTTTTTTAGCAATAAATATCTTTAAAATGTTAAAGTAATTGTTAACCAAATTTAATGTTGATATATGGTATTTATATTTTATATGGTGGTTCTATAAATGTAACTCCAAGTCTAGAACCCAGGGACTATCTCCTTTTTTTGAACCCTGAGTCAGTTAATTTTCGTGTTTTCTAATCTTGACCCTTTTTTGAAATTCTATTTTTTTAGTGTGTAGAACAAACATCAGAACTTTTCTGAAATTACATCTATTTATTACAATCTATTTTTAAAATACCAATTAAGTTATTAATTTTGTATAAATAAATTTTTGTGAAGATTTACTAATACAGAGAGCCAAAATGAAATCCATGTGGATTTCAAGTTGTATATGCCATGCTTTTTCTTGGCTTTTAGTATAATGCTTATTAAATTCATTGATTTAAGAACAATATCTTAAACACTTAAATATGATTTAGGGAGCCAGGCATAGTGGTATGTTCGTGTAGTCCCAGCTACTGAGGAGGCTGAGGTGGGAGGATCCCTTGAGCCTAGGAGTTCGAGGCAAGCCTGGGCAACATGGCAAGAACTCATCTTAAAATAACCTTAAAAAAAAGTTTGGCCTATAGAGTTACCTACTCAGTTCACTTTAAAGAACCAGCATGTTGAGTCTTATGTTAAACACATCTTATAAAACAGTGGGCCTATTTTGTATCTAGTTGTCACATTTTACTTAACTTTTTTTCTCTGTCTCATAAAGACATGCTTTTATTCTATTTATTTCTGTTTATTAAGTTTTCTCAACAGTCATTGAATGCCAGCTATGGGCACTTTATTGCAAAGGGATGACTAAAGTTGTGGCAAAGGTCAAAGACAATTTCTTTTTCAGTTAGTATCACTAGGGCTAAAAAAAAAAAAAAGCCATCTGATTAAAATAGTTACCACTGAGGTGTTAATGATTAATAGAGTTGACCATCACAACGAATGGTCACTGTTAAAAGAGAAGCTTGTCTTTCCAGATTTCCAATTGATAGATTTAGGGAAGTGGCTTAAAATTTTTTTGTTGTTGTTACTGTATTTTTCATTGTAAAATTTTCATTTGGTCTTCTGTATTTTCTGTTACTATGTTTAAACTGTTGTGTTTCCATTCATTTCAAGAATGTTTGCCCTCATTTCTTTGGGAATTTTTGTAATAGCTGTTCTAAAGCCTTTGTCTATATCCAATGTGTCTCACCTGATTGATGGTACCTGTTGATTGATTGTCGTTTCCTAATTGAGATGATAATTTCCTGGTTCTTTATGTGCTGAGTGATTTCAGATTATATTCTGGACATTTGGAATATTGTGTTATGAGATTCTGATTGTTGCTTTGGAGATGTCGGTATATTTGTTTTATCAGATCCTTGATAATGATGGGCTCAGGGCATCAGTTCCCACCAGTCTTACGTTGGTTGTAGTTCCAATGTCAGTTAAGTTTTTAGAGTCTTTGCAGTGGTATTTGTATCTGTCCCATATGTGTACCACCCAGTGGCTAGACTGGGACCTGGGTTTTGGTCTATGCTGAATTTTAATTCTTAGACTTTGATAAGCAATTTAGGCTTATATCCATTCATATACAGCTGGGAGGTATACCCAGGAGTTCAAAAGACAACTTTCCTGAGCTTCTTCCTCTCCTCAATATTCTTTTTACTTTCTATTTCCCTGGATCTCCGATTTTCAGTCCTCTGGTTAGAGAGTTAGGGTTTTTAGTTATACTACTGTGCCATATACTTTGTGCTACTGCGTCTGTATCCGGAGCCAAGCTGTAGGAGGTAAGAGGACAGAGATGGGGGAAAAAAAGCAATGAGAATTTGTCCCATTCTCCTAGGACCATAGCTACTCTGGAGAGGGTTGTAGGCTAAATAATGGCTTCAAAGATCTCCAGGTCCTAGTTCCTGGAACCTGCATGTGACATTTGCCTGGAATTCTGGTAATCATTGTACATGTTCTAAAATGCTAGTTTTATTGCTTATTACCCTTTCTGAAAATATTTTTATTTATTAGGGAAACTCTTCCTTGATTACTAAATAGGTTTATATAACTGTGTGCAGCACATCCTCAAATAATGTCATCTCATCACTCATTCGGTGTTGTTTTTCATTATAATGTTGATGAAAAAAACATCAATTTCTGGCCAGGGCCACTGTGTGGTTTGCATGCTCCCCCACATGTCTGTGTGGGTTTTCTCCAGGTACCCCGGTTTCTTCCCTCATCCCAACGGTGTGCACGTTTGATGACTTGGCATGTCTAAGTTGTCCCAGTCTGAGTGAGTGTGGATGTCTGCGTGAGTGTGCCGTGTGATGGGATGGTGCCCTTGAGCTGCTGACATAGGCTCTGATTACCTGTGACACTGAACAGTAATAATTGGGTAGATATAGTAATTTATCTTACTTGTTTTTATTAATTTTCCTCAAATGTATGTACAGCTTACATTTATTTCAATGTTTAATATTAGAAATGTTTTGGGGTATTTATTTAGAAGTTTGGTGATATTTTTGTGACCAGAAACATACCTCAGGAACTTGACTCTTGTTTATATCAATTAACCTGTGGTAAAATTGGTTTCATTCTACCTGGTGTCATTTGAAGTTGCAGTTTCCAAGAACCTATCCATGATGTTAAATGAGGACTTAATTGTATTCTTGGTAGTTTGTTTAAATAACAGTTTGGGATTTTCAACAGATTACTCCCTGAAAATATATTGTGTGAGAGAAGAGTTCCAATGCTGATATTGAAGATACTTACGCAGTCATCCTTGGTGTCTGTTGGGGATTGATTCTAGGCCCACCAGGATACCAAAATCTGCAAATGCTCAAGTCCCTTAAATAAAATGTTTAGTATGCACACACCCCTCACCCCCGTATACTTTAAATCATCTCTAGATTATTTATAATACCTATTGCAATGTAAATACTACGTGAATAGTTGTTATAGTGTATTTTTAAATTTTGTATTATTTTTATTTTTATTTTTGAGATGGGGTCTCACTCTGTCATCCAGGCTGGAGTGCAGTGGCGCTATCTTGGCTCACTGCAACCTCTGCCTCCTGGGCTCAAGCAATCCTCCTACCTCAGCCACTTGAGTAGTTGGGACTACAGGTGCGCACCACCACTTCTGCCTAATTTTTATATTTTTTTGGTAGAGATGGGGTTTCACCATGTTGCCCAGGCTGGTCTCAAACTCCTGGGCTCAAGCAATCTGCCCGCCTCAGCCTCCCAGAGTGCTGGGATTACAGGCATGAGCTACTGTGCCTAGCTCGCAGAAGTACTTTCTATCTAAGTGTTTATTATACTCGTATTTATTATCTGAATATTCTTAATCTGAGTCCCTGTATTTTACTATGTTTTAAAATTTTTGTTGTGGCAAGAGCTACTGTGCCTAGCTCACAGAAGTACTTTCTATCTAAGTGTTTATTATACTCGTATTTATTATCTGAATATTCTTAATCTGAGTCCCTGTATTTTACTATGTTTTAAAATTTTTGTTGTGGCAAAATATATAAAACATAATATTTGCCATTTTAACCATTTTAAAGTGTACAGTTCACAGACACTAACTACATTCACAATATTTTGCAGCCATCACCACTATCTTTTTCTAAAACCTTTTCATCATCCCAAACAGAAACTCGGCTCATTAACCATTAATGCTCCCAACCCCTTCCCCTAAACCCTCATAACACGCAGTCAACTTTTAGTCTTTATGAATTTGCCGATTCAAATTACTTTACGTAAGTGGTATCATATAATATGTGTCCTTTTGTAGCTGGCTTATTTCACTTAGCATAATGTTTTCAAAGTTCATTCATGTTGTAACATGTATCAGAACTTCATTCCTTTTTATGACTGAATAATATCCCATTGTAACGAATAACTTATTTTAAAAAGTGGTCAATTTTTCACTCACATCCTTCTCTAACATTTCTCTTACAAGGTTACCGTTTTTGTATCTTGCTAAATGTTGGATGTTATAAATTGATGTAGCACACCAGCTTGAAAATGATGTAGGATATCATTAATTCAGTAAAATTTTTGTGTTTTGGTTCTACTCCATTTAAGTTTGGGGGCAGTAAAACAATTCTGTAAATTCACCTGACCTAGTCCCAGCCTTGTTTTCTGGGTTTGGAGGTGGGGGTGCAGCTAAAAGCCACTAATGATTTTGTCACAGTTTCATAATCCTGAAATTTTTGTTGTCTTTACTTGAGTCTCAACTGGAAATCCTCTGCTTCATGGAGGTAGAGTTCAGCTGTTTGAATTGGGAAACTGGAACTTTCCCTTCTAGAGATGTGAACAAGTCCTTTTCCCTGCTGCTTCTTAACCACAGTTAATATGCATAATGGTTAATCCCATGCTGTTCTCTAGATGGAATTAGATTAGTGAACAGGAGAATATATAATTCTTTAATCACTACCATTCAGCATAAAATTGTATTAGCCTAAACAAGCCAAAAGGTCATCACTTTGTTGGCTAAAAATTTCAAGCTTGATCTTCTTCTATATCTTTATATATGCTGAGTTTATAAGGAAACTGCAGTTTAAATAGATTAAATTTAATTTTGTTGCTTTTAGCCTAGTGTCACAGCCTAAGATGAATTTGATTTAATTCTGTTAACCTTTTAGCCATCCCTACCAACTTTGTCATTTACAAAACTGATACACATGCTTTCTATGTCACAATTTGTACCACTGATTTTAAAAATGTTTAACAGTCATGATCAATAACAAAAGCCAGTTGGCTGTTTTTTTTGTTTGTTTGTTTTCTGTTTTCTTGAGACGGAGTCTGGCTCTGTCGCCGAGGCTGGAGTGCAGTGGCACCATCTCAGCTTACTGCAATCTCTGCCTCCTGGGTTCCAGTGATTCTCCTGCCTCAGCCTCCCAGGTAGCTGGGACTATAGGCGCATGCCACCATGCACAGATAATTTTGTATTTTTAGTAGAGACGGGTTTTTACCATTTTGGCCAGGCTGGTCTCACTGTGTTGCCCAGGCTGGAATGCAGTGGTACCTCAATCTCCCAGGCCCAAGCAATCCTCCCTCTTTAGCCTCCTGTGTAGCTGGAACTATGGGTGCATGGCACTACACCTAGCTAATTCTTGAATATTTTGTAGCGGTGAGGGTCTCGCTATTTTGCCCAGGCTGGTCTCAAACTCCTGGCATTAAGCGATCTTCCTGCATTGGCCTCCCAAAGTATTGGGATTTATAACATAAAATTAACCATTTTAACTTTTTTTTTTTTTTTTTTAGACAGGGTCTCACTCTGTCACCCAGGCTGGAGTGCAGTGGCTTGATCATGGTTCACTGTAGCCTTGACCTCCTTGGCTCAAGTAATCCTCCCAGCTCAGCCTCCCGAGTCGCTGGTACTACAGGCATGCATCACCATGCCTGGCTTATTTTTAAGTTTTTTTAATAGAGATGAGGTCTCACTATGTTGCCCAGGCTGGTCTCAAACTCCTGGGCTCAAGTGATCCTTGTGCCTTGGCCTCCCAAAGTGCTGGGGTTATAGGCATGAGCCACTGTGCCTGGCCCATTTTAATCACCTTTAAGTGAACATTTCAGTAGTATTAATTACATTCACAATGTTGCCCAATCACCATGCCTATCTACTTTCAACATTTTTCATCACTCCATTTTTCTCAAATTTACATGGAAAAATAATTTTTCTTTCATCACACCAAACAGAAATACTGTACCTGTTAAGCAATTATTTCCCATTCTTCTTCCTCCCCAGCCCCTGATAACCTCCAGTCTACTTTCTACTTCTATGAATTTGCTTGTTCTAAATATTTCATATAGTGGAATCATACAATATTTGCCATTTTGTGTCTGGCTTATTTCACTTAGCATAATGTTTTCAAGGTTCATCCATTTGTAGCGTATATCAGAACTTCATTCCTTTGTTTGTTTGTTTGTTTTTATGAGTCAAAGTCTCGCTCTTTTGCCCAGGCTGGAGTGCAATAGTGTGATTTCTGCTCACTGCAACCTCCACCTCCCAGGCTGAAGCAATTATCCTGCCTCAGCCACCCGAGTAGCTGGGACTACAGGCGCCCACCACCACACCCGACTCATTTTTGTATTTTTAGTAGAGACGGGATTTCACCATGTTGGCCAGTCTGGTTTCGAACTCCTGACCTCAAGTGCTCCCCCTGTCTCAGCCTCCCAAAGTGTTGAGATTACAGGCATGAGCCACCGTGCCTGGCCCATTCCTTTTTTTGTAGTTACAGGAACAACACAGAAGAGAGACAATATTAAAAATACGTACTTACTAGTTGAACTGCGGAAACGTGCTCACTGAAGCACTTTGACTTGCATTAATGCTTTACATACCCATATTTATATTAAAAATTCTCTTGCAACATGAAAATAGAAAAACTCCCTATACCTGATTTCCGTTCCCCATTTTCCCACTTGCAGTCATTTACTTAGGTAGCTTTTCACCCCATGGGGAAAAAAAAATCTAGGGTTCAGAACTACCAGTAACAGGGAAGAGAGAATTTTTTTTTTTTTTTGAGAATGAAATGTTACTCATCATAGCATATTCTTAAGCATGTGCTCCATATATGCGGCAAGGTAGCTGAATGTCTTTTGGCATAATTGTTACATGTTTGGCATGGATAGCAGAGTGGTTGATGTCTTCAAAAAGGCCAACCATCATTTGCCTCCTGCAGAGCACCAGTAACTGTATTCTGGAAGCACAGATCTGTTTTGAAGTCCCATATCAGATGCTGGAAGGGAGGTTTGTGAATCAGAAGTTCAGTGGACTTGTGATAAGGTTCAGTGTCACAGAGTACCAGACCAGGCCTGTAATGATGACGTTTCTTTACCCCTCCAATAGAGGGTGCACTCTTGTGAATGGCTTTTGTGGCTAGTTACTTCGTGGGTGCTTTACCATGGTCAGTTTGCAGGCAATCTGTTTTGTACAGGCCATGCTATAGAGACTTATTTACTTATTCTTCAGCTCCCTCTGCAGGAGCTCAGTGAGCTAAAGGTGCTAGAGAGCTGTAATGGCTGCAAACACCCATTCTTTTTTATGGCTAAATAATACTTCACTGTGTGTATATACCACATTTTTTTCATCTTTTTATGGGTTGTTTCCACCTTTCTTCTATTGTCAATAATGCTGCTGTGAATATTGGCATACAAGTATCTGTTTGAATCTCTGTTTTCAATTCTTTTTGGAACAGAATTGTCAGGTCATATGGTAATTCTATGTTTACCTTTTTGAAGAACCACCAGGCTGTTTTCCAGAACAGCTGTACCCTTTTACATTTCCATCAACAGTGTATAGATGTTGCAGGGGTTTTTTTACATTCTTGTTATTTATTCATTTTATTTTATTTATTTTTATTTTTTGAGATGGAGTCTCACTCTGTCGCCCAGGCTGGAGTGTGGAGTGCAGTGGCGTGATCTCGGCTCACTGCAACCTCTGCCTTCCGGGTTCAAGCCATTCTCCTGCCTCAGCCTCCTGAGTAGCTGGGACTACAGGCGCACACCGCCACGCCTGGCTAATTTTTTTGTATTTTAAGTAGAGATGGGGTTTCACTGTGTTGCCCAGGCTGGTTTTGAACTCCTGAGCTCAGGCATTCCGCCCACCTCGGCCTCCCAAAGTGCTAGGATTACAGGCGTGAGCCACCACACCCGGCCTCATTCATTTTATTATAGCCGTTCTTGTAGGTGTGAAGTGGTATGTCATTGTGGTTTTGATTTGCATTTCCCTAATGACTAAAGACATTGCATCTTTTTATTTAAGTCATTTGCCCTGTTTAAAATTGAGTGGTCATTTTGTTGTTGGATATATAATCCTAGGCTGTTTTTTTCTTCTTTCAGTATAGTAAAATTGTTTCTTCTGTTGTCTTGTGGCTTGCATTGTTTCTGATTACAAGTCAGTGATTATTCTTATTTTTGTTTCACTTTATACCTTTTTCCCTCTCAGTGCTTTCAAGATTTTCTGTATTACTATTTTTCAGGAATGTATTATATACCTTTGTTTGGTTTTGTTTATCTTACATATGAGTTTCTTTGAGCATTTTGGATTGGTAGGTTTATCATCAAATTTGGAAGGTGTTTCAGTACTGTTCTTCAAATATGTTTCTGTTCACCCTTCCCTTTTCTTTGTCTCTAAGTACAGGTATGTAAAAAGCTTGGTGGTTTTTCACAGGTTACTGAGACTGATTATTTTCTCTCCTTTCCTCCCCCCACCCCCAGTTCTAGCTCTTTTTCTTCACCGTACTTCAGATTGGATAGTTCCTATTCCTGTTTCTTCAAGTTCACTGCTCTTTTATTCAGTAGTGTTTAATATGCTTTTAAGGCTACACAGGGCCAGGCACAGTGACTCACCCCTGTAATCCCAGCACTTTGGGAGGCCTAAGCAAGTGGATCACTGGAGCCCAGGAGTTCAAGACCAGCCTGGGCAACATGGTGAAACCCTTCCTTTACAGAAAATACTCAAAATTAGCCAGGAGTAGTGGTATACACCTGTAGCCCCAGCTACTTGGGAGGCTGAGGTGGGACGATTGCTTGAGCCCGGGAGGCAGAGGTTGCAGTGAGCCAAGATCAATGCCACTGTATTCTCCAGCCTGGGCAACAACAGAGAAAGACCCTGTCTCAAAAAAAAAAAAAAAAAAAAAAAAAGCCACACAATAACTTTTTAGTTCAGATATTATATTTTTCACTCTAAAGTTTCATGTTTCTTTTTAAAATATAGTTTCTATTTCCATGTTTTTATTTTTGTTTAAATTCTTGAGCATATTTATAATAGCTGTTTTAAACTTCTTGTATACCAGTTTTTATCATCTCTGTCATTCTTTTGCCTCATAATTTTCTGGTGATTGGTTACAATTTTCTGTTTCTTGTATCTAGTAACTTTTTGATATCTAGTAAACATTGTAAACCTTATGTTATAAGTACCTGAATTTGTTGTCTTTGTTTTTAAAATGTTGGATTTTATTCTAGCACACACTTAATCACAGATTAGCTAATCCTCTTTAATCCTGTGTTAAAGCTTTGTAATGGTGAGTCTTGAATAGACTTTAGTATAAGTATGGTTTACCTCTAATACTAAGGATTAACTCTTGGGGTCTCTCCTCAATGCTCTGGATGTTCAATGAGGTGTCTCTTCTGCTTGACTGATAAACTCAATGTGAGCTTTGGGTACTATTCCGCTTTCTAATCCCTGGTAGTTGTTTCCTCAGTATATGTTCTTTGCTTAGACTTCAGGAATTTATACTTTGCATTTGTATGTTGTTATTTATTCAGAATTTCAAGGGGCCCTTTATTTTTTTTGGAGCTAAGCATGACTCTACCTTATGATATTTACTTCCAGGAAAGACATGGTTAGTATTATGAAACACATTTGAAGAAAAGAAACATTTTGTTCTATTGGACTCTGCACTAAAGAAACAGTAATGTGAACACACATAATTTTTAGTTTTAGAAGGAAAAGTTTTTCAAAACACACACATATAGGAACAGAGCTTGCATTTTTTTAATCTTACTTTATTTTATTTTTTGAGACAGAGTCTCACTCTGTCACCCAGGCTGGAATGCAGTGGTGCGATCTTGGCTCACTGCAACCTCTGCCTCCCAGGTTCAAGCGATTCTCCTTACTCAGCCTCCCGAGTAGCTGGGATTACAGGTGCCTGCCACCATGACTGGCTAATTTTTGTATTTTTAGTAGAGACGAGGTTTCACCATGTTGGCCAGGCTGGTTTCAAACTCCTGACCTCAGGTGATCCACCCAGCTTAGCCTCCTAAAGTGCTGGGATCTGGGATTACAGGCATGAGCCACCGTGCCCAGCCACAGAGCTTGCATTAAATGTTAACATTTGAAATTTTATCAGTAGTAAGTATGTTTTATGCAAATGAGTACTTAATGTATTCATATACCATGGGCCTTATGTTGTGTTTGAGTTATTCTTCGAAGCTCACCAACATACAGCATGACTTATTTTGTGAATTCATGTTTCATCTTTGTCATTACCTAAAGATGGCTTTTAAGCATGTAGGTTGGTGACATCAAGTTCTTTGGAAAGGTATATATTTTTTGCCTTTTTAACTTATGTATACTTTCCTTTTTAACTCTGTGTCAGTCAGGATAAATTTTTTAGCCTGGGCAACATAGTAAGATCCCATCTTTACAAAAAAATGAAAAAATTAGCAAGGTGTGATGGCATGTTCCTGTGCGCTCAGCTACTTGGGAGTCCTCAGACTCCCAAGGACTCTTGGGAGGATCACTTGAGCCTGGGAGGTCAAGGCTGCGATGAGCTGTGGTTATGCCACTGCACTACAGCCTGGGCAATAGAATGAGACCCTGTCTCAACAACAACGACAACGACAACAACAACAACAACAAATGGAAAAGTATTGATCCTCATGAGAATTATATAAAATGAAAATTTGAAAACATTAATTTGGTTCTGTTGATGAATTAATCAAGCAGTTAGATTGGTGTACTAGAGTTTACTCTGGAAAAATATTTTCAAGCAAAAGTTATGAGCTCATCAGTGCTGAATTCTTACTAGTTAACAAAGTGACTTCAAACTCTGGTTTCCGCCTTCTGTCCTGAGATAGTATTTCCCACCCAGGGGCTGCTTTCCAGCTTAGGTCCTGGAATGAGACGACTTGGCACATTGCTTCAACATATGTGTCATGGACTGCAACTAAGGCCCAGAAAGTTAAGTGATTTGCTTAAGACCACATAGTTGGTATATTAATAAAGCCTGGCTTCAATGTCAGGCCTTTCTGACTCTAAAAGCCATGATAAAACAGTATCTGTCACTTAACTATTTCCCCTAAGGAACTGTGGGATAACCCTTTACCTTATATCCATTAGACAGTGGAATGACCAGGACCAGAAAGCAGCAGTTGAAACATGCTACAACTGTTTCTAAACTCTGGAGACCTACACATATCTACCGTTTTTTTTTGTTTTGTTTGAGGTGGAATTTCGCTCTTGTTGCCCAGGCTGGAGTGCAATGGTGCAGTCTCAGCTCACTGCAACGTGCGCCTCCTGGGTTTAAGGGATTCTTCTGCCTCAGCCTCCTGAGTAGCTGGGATTACAAGTGCCTGCCACCACAACTGGCTAATTTTTTTGTATTTTTAGTAGAGACAGGGTTTCACCATGTTGGCCAGGCTGGTTTCTAACTTCTGATCTCAGGTGATCCACCATCCTCGGCCTCCCAAAGTGTTGGGATTACAGGCGTGAGCCACTGTGCCCGGCCTACATCTACCCTTTTTTGACCTCTTAACTGTTAGACAAGAGGTAGGTTTTTGGTATGTTATAAGTCTTTTTCTTTGACAATACAGACAAATTTCCCTCTCTTCAGAGTTAATCATATTATTTACTGGGATGACATCATTGTCTGAAAGGAGGCTAGTGAGATCATTACCACATACATCAATTTTATATATTAGTATAACAGTGTATTAAGTCTTTGACTGGATAGTCATGGCTACAAAATGTTTAAGAGTGTTTTTCTTTTCCTTTAGGGTTGCATAATAGATACATTTTTTGGGGGGTACATGTGATCACTAATCCATTCATAATTTGGAAATATAAAATCTCAGTGTACTTGGAATATTCATTACCTTAAATGTTTGTCCTTTATGCTAGAAACATTTGAATTAATTTTTTCTAGTTATTTTGAAATGTACACTAGATTATTATAATCACCTTACTAACACTACATTTTATTTCTTCTGTCAAACCATGTATTTGGGCCCATTAATCAACTTATCTGTATTCCCCCCTCCTCCCCACTACTCTTCCTATCCTCTGGTAACCACCAATCTACTCTCATCTTCATGAGATCTACTTTTTTTAGCTCCTACATATGAGTGAGAACATGTGATATTTGTCTCTCTGTGCTTGGCTTATTTTTGTTTTTTGGTAGTGATGAGGTCTCACCATGTTGCCCAGGTTGGTTTCAAACTCTTGAGCTCAAGTGATCCTCTTGCCTTGGCCTCCCAAAGTGCTAGGATTACAGGCGTGAACCACCACACCTGGCCTGCTTGATTTATTTCACTTAACATGTTGCTGCAAATGACAGCATTTCTTTTTTTTTTGGATGGAATCTTGCTTTGTCCCCAGGCTGGAGTGCAGTGGGTCGATCTTGGCTCACTGCAACCTCCGCCTCCCGGGTTCAAGTGATTCTCCTGCCTCAGCCTCCCAAGTAGCTGGGACTATAGGCGCGTGCCACCACGCCCAGCTAATTTTTGTATTTTTAGTAGAGACAGAGTTTTGCCTCATTGGACAGGAAGGTCTTAATCTCTTCGCCTCATGATCTGCCCACCTCAGCCTCCCAAAGTGCTGGGATTACAGGCGTGAACCACCGCACCCAGCCTCTTTTTTCTGGCTGAATAATGTTCCATTGTGTGTATATACCACATTTTCTTTATCCATTCATCTGTTGATGGGCACTTAGGTTAATTCCAAACTTCGACTATTATGAATGGTGCTGCAATAAACATTAGTACAGGTATCTTTTTGATACATTGATTTCCTTTCTTTTGGATATATACCCAGTAGCAATTTGCTGGATCATATGGTAATTCTATTTTTAGTCTTTTGAGGAACAGCCATAGCTGTTCTAATTTACACAATGGCTGTACTAGTTTACATTCCTGCAAATGGTGTACAAGAGTTTCCCTTTCTCCACATCCTCACCAGCATTTGTTATTGCCTGCTTTTCTTTTCTTTTTCTTTCTTTTTTTTTTCCTTGATGGAGTCTTGCTCTGTCACCCAGGCTGGAGTGCAGTGGCACAATCTCGGCTCACTGCAACCTCCACCTCCCAGGTTCAAACAGTTCTCCTGCCTCAGACTTCCGACTAGCTTGGATTACAGGCACATGCCACCATGCCCGGCTAATTTTTATATTTTTAGTAGAGGCGGGGTTTCACCATGTTGCCCAGGCTGGTCTTGAACTCCTGACCTTGTGATCCACCTGCCTTGGCCTCTGAAGGTGCTGGGATTACAGGTATGTGCCACTGTGCCCAGTCTGCCTGCTTTTCGATATAATGGGTGAGATTTTAACTCATTATAGTATTGATTTGCCTTTCTCTGATGATTAGTGATGCTGAACATTTTTTCATGTACCTGTTGGTCATTTATATGTCTTCTTTTGAAGATTTCAGATCATTTGCCCATTTCTTTATTTTTTTTAGAAAGTGTCTCACTTCATTGCCCACACTGGAGAGCAGTAGTGCAGTCTTGGCCCACTGCAACATCGGCCTCCTGGACTCAGGTGATTCTCCCACCTCAGCCTCCCGAGTAACTGTGATTACAAGTGCGTGCCACCACACCCAGCTAATTTTTGTATTTTTTGTAGAGACAGGGGTTTCTGCCATGTTGCCCAGGCTGGTCTCGAACTCCTGAGCTCAAGTTATCCGCCTGTGTCAGCCTCCCAAAATGCTGGGAATTTCCCCATTTAGAAATGTAATTTTTTGTGGGTTTGTTTTTGTTTTGTTTTTTTGCTAGTAAGTTGTTTGAGCTCCTTATACAGTCTGATTATTAATCCCTTGTAAGATGGGTATTTTGCAAATATTTTCTCCCATTCTACAGGTTGTCTCTTAATTTTATTGATTGTTGCCTTTGCTGAGCAGAAGTTTTTAGCTTGATCAAATCCCATTTGTCTATTTTTGCTTTTGTTATTTGCCCTTTTGAAGTATTACACAAAAATTTTTTTCCCCAGAACAATCTCCTGGAGCATTTCCCCCAATGTTTTTTTCTAGTAGTTTCATAGTTTCAGGGTTTGGATTTAGGTCTTCAGTCCATTTTGATTTGATTTTTTGTGTATGCTGAAAGATGAGGAGTCTAGTTTCTTGTTTTTTATTTTGAGACAGAGTCTTGCTCTGTCACCAGGCTAGAGTGCAGTGGCACAGTCTCGGCTCACTGCAACCTCCGCCTCCTGGGTTTAGAGCAATTCTCCTGTCTCAGCCTCCTGAGTAGCTGGGATTACAGGCATGCGCCACCACGCTCAGCTAATTTTTGTACTTTTAGTAGAGACAGGGTTTTGCCATGTTGGCCAGGCTGGTCTTGAACTCCTGACCTCAAGTGATCCACTTGCCTCAGCCTCCCAAAGTGCTGGGATTCCAGACATGAGCCACCGCATCCAGCCTAGTTTTATTTTTCTGCGTATAGTTATCCAGTTTTCTCAGCACCATTTATTGAAAAGACTGTTCTTTCCCCCATTGTATTTTCTTTGTGCTTTTTCGTGAAGATGAGTGGATTGTAAATTTTTGGATTTATATCTGGGTTCTCTGTCGTCCATTGGTCTGTGTGTCTGCTTTTATGCCAGTATTGATACTGGAAAGGTTCCCTTGTCCCCCTCACAGGGTGTGTGATGGGGGTGTGGCTCCCTTCTTCAGTGCCCTGCTGTTCAAACCTTTAGGGAAACATACAGATGGGCAGGTTATGGGTCTCTGACACCAGGGGCAGCATCTAGGGGTGACTGTTTACAGCTCCTGAAGCCCCAGTGCGTTTGTGTTAATGTGTGCTCTTTTAGTTTTGCTGTCTCTAGGTGGCTTGTATTTATCAGCTCAATTAGACCCTCTGCATTATCGCAAGGGTTTTCTGTATCCCGGATTCTTGCCTTGATGTACCAGAAAAGTCGGATCACATGTGGGCTTGGAGAATGAGTGCAAGATTTTACTGAATGGTAGAAGTAGCTCTCAGCAGCTGGACGGTGAGCCAGAAGGGGATTGGGAAGGCAGTTTTCCCCTGGAGTCGGGCCTCTCAGCGGCCGTACTTTCCTCTGACTGCCCCACCCTAACTCCGCATCGTTCTGCTGGTCAGTGGCCTGCCGGCATCTGCCAGTGCCTGTCAGTGTGCTCTTCAACTGATGTGTTCCTCTGGACGTCCAGCCACTTGTGCGTTCTTCTGCTGATATGTTCCTCTCAACGTCCAGCCAATTGTATGTCTCTGCTTGCTGGGGTCTTGGGATTTTTATAGGCACACCTTGGGGGCGTGGCAGGCCAGGGTGGTCTTGGAAAATGCAACATTTGGGCACCAAGGCAGGAGTGCCTGTCCTCACCTAGGTCTGTGGGCACAGGCCTGAGGGTGGAGCCCTAGCCAGGCACCTGCCTTTCTCTACCCAGCACTTCCCTGCCCTGCTCCTGTATCAGTACCATGCTGTTGTGGTTACTATAGGTTTTTAGTAAGTTTGAAGTCAGGTAGTATGATGCTGCCAGTTTTGTTATTTGCTCAGGATTTTTTGGCTATTTGGGGTCTTTTGAGGTTCCATGTATGTTTTAGGATTCTCTTTTTCTTTCTCTATGAAGAATGTCATTGATATTTTGATAGGGATTGCATCGAATTTGTAAATTGCTGTGGATAGTATTGTCATTTCAACAAAATGAATTCTGGCTGGGTGTGGTGGCTCACGCCTGTAATCCCAGCACTTTGGGAGACCAAGGCAGGCAGATCACTTGAGGCCAGGAGTTCAAGACCAGCCTGGCCATCATAGTGAAACCCCATCTCTACTAAAAATACAAAAAATTAGCTGGGTATTGTGGTGCGTGCCTGTAATCCCAGCTACTCGGGAGGCTGAGGCAGGAGAATTGCTTGAACCTGGGAGGTTGAGTTTGCAGAGAGCCAAGATCGAGCCACTGCACTCCAGCCTGGGTGACACAGCAAGACTGTCTCAAAAGAAAAAAAAAAAAAGAAAGGAAAAAAAATTAATTATTCCAATCCATGAACATAGAATACCTTTCCATTTTGTGTGTGTGTCCTCTTCAATTTCTTTCATCAGTATTTTATAGTTTTCCTTTTATAGATCTTTCACATCTCTGGCTAAACTGATTCCTAGGTATTTTATATTCTTTGTAGCTATTTTAACTTGGATTACTCACTTGGGATTTCTTTTTTAGATTGTTTACTGTTGATGTATATAAATTGTATTGATTTTTGTATTTTGATTTTCTATCCTGCAATCTTTCCTCAATTTATCAGTTCTAACAGTTTTTTGGTGGAATCTTTAGGTTTTTCTAAATATAAGGTCATGTTATCTGGTAACAAGGCTAATTTGACGACCTCCTTTCCAATTTGGAGACCCTTTATTTCTTTCTCTTGCCTGATTGCTCTGGCCTTTCCTTTTTTAATAGCTAAAGACATTTTTTTTTTCTTTCGAGACGGAGTCTTGCTCTGTTGCCCAGGCTGGAGTGCAGTGGTGCAATCTTGGCTCATTGTAACCTCTGCCTTCCGGGTTCAAGTGATTCTCCTGCCTCAGCCTCTCAAGTAGCTGGGATTATAGGCGCCCACCACAACGCCCAGCTAATTTTTGTATTTTTAGTAGAGACAAGGTTTTACCACATTGGCCAGGCAGCTCTCGAACTCCTGACCTCAAATGATCCACCCCCCTCGGCTTTCCAAAGTGCTGGGATTACAGGCATGAGCCACTGCGCCCGGCCAGAAAATTATTATAGGGATTTTAAAACAAAAGTCTTGCAACAAATTATATAAATAACACTTTACCTTTATTAAGTGCTTTTCAAAAAATGACATCAAGACCACCCTGGACTGCCAGCATCCTTGCTATCCTATTCACACTCCGTCTTCTAAATCCGAAAATGAAAGCTAATTAGTAATGAGTGTGGCACTTAATATTCTCTAAATGTTAAAGGACTGCCTATTATAAGGTGACCATTTAAATAGTTGTTCTTTTTTTTCCTTTTTTTTTCTTTTTGAGTGAAAAAAGGGTACTTAGACATTAGAGGTGTTAGATGCATACTGCTTTCTGAAACATTGATTAAAGGCGGAAAATATGTACATCCTAGAACTTAGGAAATGGTGATTTTTGGGGGCTTCCTCTTAATCATTTGTCAAATGAACTGGATGATTCTAGGTTATTGCTGTACTTGTATTTTGGGAGCGATAGGGAGGTAGCAGTATATTCCAAACAAATTTATTCCATACAAAATCTGTTACATTTTACAAGTACTTGCAAAACTGAAAGTCATACCTTACTCAAAATTTCTTCCTTAATTTTACCCTCACTGCTTTACTCTTTGTATTAAAGTCAGTGAAATTGTCAAAAGTGAAGAGACTGGATTATCAAGATACAGTGAATGGAAAGGGATGCCAAAAACTCAGTGTTTATAAATTGAATTTGTTACCATTTGAAATTTCTTTGTTTAATCTTCAGGAGATTTCACCAAAATGATGTATGTCTTGCTGATGATGTCTTTCATATAATTCTAGACAAATTAACTAGAAATGAATGTATATAATTGATATAGTTTGGATATTTGTCCCCTCCAAATCTTATATTGAAATGTGATCCCCAATGTTGGAGGTGGGGCCTCGTGGGAGGTGTTTGGATCATGGGGGCAGATCCCCACGAGTGCCTGGGTGCTTTCCCCACAGTAATGAGTGCGCTGTCACTCTATTAGTTCATGAAAGAGCTGGTTGTTTAAAGGAGCCTGGTACTTCCTCCTCTCTCTCATGCTTCCTCTCTCACCATGTGACATGCTTGTTCTCTGCTCCCCCTTCACTTTCTGTCACAAGTGAAAGCTTTCTGAGGCCTCATGAGAAGCTGAGCAGATGCTGGTGCCATGCTTATACAGGCTGCAGAACCGTGAGCCAAAAAAACCTCTTTTCTTTATAAAAATTACCCAGCCTCAGGTATTCCTTTATAGCAATGCAAAACAGACTAACATATTAATTGTACTATAGAACTAAAAGTTGGTTAAAAATTCAGTTTCAGAAGCCTGTCTTTCCTAGGTTAAAATTCTGACTCTGCTGCTTCATTGATGTATGACTTTGGACAAGTTACTTAATCTCTTTGGGCTCTGGTTTCCCCCAGCCCTAAAATGAGGATACCAGTATTCCTTGTGGAGTCATCTAAAGGCTTAATACTGGTAAATAACTTACAGTAGTAAAATGCCACATAACAAGCATTTAAATATTAGCTATTGCTTTTATTATAAAAATAAGAGTTTATTAATGAGGTCAATGTTAGGCTTAAACACTAGATTACTAAGGTCACGTAATTTCCTGGTGACTGGCAGTTTAAAGATGAGATATACCACATGTGAATTGGTATAATAAACCATTTAATGGTGTATAGACAACATTTATGTGTACTATACAACAGTATACTTCCAATTCCTTTCTCCCATCCTCTGTGCTATTGTTACGTGTTTTACTTTTACATATTCTATAAAGACACTTTACATTTCTTCTCTTACTGATGTAGACTGCTAGTTAATCTTTCACAGTGATTAAAAATAAGAAAAATGCTTTTATATTTACCTTCATTTATGCCATTTCCAGTATTCTTATTTCTTTATGGAGGTACATGTATCTCTAATGGCATAATATTTCCTCCAGCCTGAGGTACTTTCTTGTACCCCTTTTTGCTGGTAATGACTTCTCTGTTTTTGTTTCCGTAAAAAAAAAAAATAAAAAAATAAAGGGAAGCAAAATATCTTTTCTTTTTGAAAGATATTTTCACCAGGTACAGAACTTATGGTTGAGTTTTTTTCCTTTAGTGCTTTCAATATTTCACACCATTGATTTCTGGCTTACATAATTTTTGATGATAATCCAGCTATAATTTTTGGGTTTTTTTTAATGTAATTTTGTTTTTCTTCTGGCTGCCTTAAACATTTTCTTTTTATCTTTGGTTTTGAGAAGTTTCAATGTGATTTGTCTAGTTGGTTTTTGGGATTATAGGTGTGATCTATTCTGCTTGTTCTCTGAACTTCTTAATATCTGTGGTTTTGTGTCTATTCATTTTGAAAATCCCCAACCTTATCTCCTCAGATATTTATTTTGCCCCATTCTCTTTTTTTTGTAGGATATCAGGATTACTTGAATGTTACATCATTGATATGATCTCACAGCTCTTGGGTTTTCTGTTCTGTCTACCTTCCCCTGCCCGCTCTCCTCACATTTTCCCCCTTTTGTTTCGTTTTGGATAATCTCTTATGCAACTCTGTTGAGTTTATTCTTGAGCCATTCCAAAGCATTCTTCAAACTCCATTAGCATATTTTTCCTTCGTCTCTGACAATATATTGGGTTTTTCCTTCTTTCTGTGACTTAAAATTTATGGTTGAAACATAAGTGCTTCATATAGGACAGAAGAGACTGAGCCAAGTAGTATCTTCCTTCAGCTTGGGAAGTTGAGTCAATATAGTCTATAGTTTAGCTTAATTTTGGTCTTGTTGCTATGGTTACCCTAAGTGCTATAGAGACTTCAATTTCCATTCTAGGGTTACTTTTTTTTTTTTAGGGGTTAGGGCTCTTTCTTAGAGGTTTTTTCTAATGTTTGCTCTACCTTCAACTTTTGATGTTACCTTCTATTTGTTATCACACCTCAAAGACATTCTCTGTAGTCCTATTTCTGTCTCAGTTTTAGGCAGGTGCTGTGTCCCTGGATATTAGGGGTGACACTTTTACATTGATCTTCCTTCTTCCCAGTGATAGGGGATCTGTAAGGTCTGGGGCCATTATGTTTTCCTGCCCTTCCCCAGGGATAAAGGTGTTTTTGTTTTTGTTTTTCCCTGTTATTTTCTTCTAGTTGGGAGTGGGAGATGGGGCAACTAAAAATAGTTATTTTACAAAGTGTATTAGTTCTGTTTATTTGGTTTTTTAAAAAATACTTTTAATGTTCTGTAGCTATTTCCTTTGGCTAGTTTTTGCTGGGTTGAGTTATCACTGGCACTAGAGATAGATAGTTTTTGACATCAGTTGTCAGGTGTTATTAAATATATTTATAAATATAATTTGGTGACTAATATATATTTTCAGTTTTCATATTGACTAACTTCTCGAATTATTGTTTAATCATGCATTTTTATTGACAAAAACTTTGCCTGGCAGATAGTAGGCACTCAACAAAGAACTGTTGAATGAGTGAATTTATTGTGATTTCTGTTGTCCCTTTCCTATGCATAGTTTTTCTTCTTTATTTCTGATTACTATAATACTTATTTCTGAGAGTGTTAAAAAATATTTTTTTGAGTCTCTTTGAATTTCTGAACATTCAGTTAGAGAGTATCTTTTTTTCCAATCAAAGTAATGTGCGTAAGTTTTCCCAGGTTTGAAGGAAGTTGTGTAATTGCACAAAATTCTTATCACATTATTGTGGCTATTGGAGGACCTTTGTACTCTTGGACCTTGATAAGGACTCCCAAGAGAAAGAATAAATAATTCAGTTGTGTGGGTCTGTAATATGCAGATACTCCTCTACTTACCTGGGATTACAGCCCGATAAACCCATTGTAAGTTGGGAATATTGTGAGTTGAAAAGGCATTTCATACACCTAACCTACCAAACATCAGAGCTTAGCCTAGACTGTTTTAAATGTGCTCAGGCCAGGCGCGGTGGCTCATGCCTATAATGCCGGCACTTTGGGAGGCCAAGGTGGGCAGATCATTTGAGGCCAGGAGTTCGAGACCAGCCTGGCCAACATGGTGAAATGCCATCTCTACTAAAAATACAAAGTTAGCCTGGCATGGTGGCACATGTAATCCCAAGTGGCCTGTAATCCCAGCTACTTGGGAGACTGAGGCAGGAGAATTGCTTGAACTGGGAGGTGGAGGTTGCAGTGAGCCAAGATGACGCCATTGCACTCCAGCCTGGGCGACAGGAGCAAAACTCCATCTCAAATAAATAAATAAATAAATAAATAAATAAATAAATAAACAAACAAAATATTTATATATATGTGCTCAGAACACTTACATTAGCCTTCAGTTGGGCAAAATCATCTAGTGCAAATCAGATTTTATAATAAAGTGTTAAATATCTTATGTAATTTATGGAGTACTGTATGGTTTCTACTGAATGTGTATCACTTTCACACCATTGTAAAGTTGAAAAATCAAGCTGAGGACCATCTGTACGTATTTTACAGTAGTCACAGTCTATTCTAGGCTGAGTGCAATAATAAGGTCCAAAAGAGGAAGAAGAGGGAGAAACTTAACATGATTTCACTAAAATTTACCAGGGCCTGTTGTGGAGGTGGAGATAAAATTTGTTAAAGATGATAGCTGCCTCAGATTCCTCAACAACTGAAATGCCTCCTAAGGTTGGCTTTATCATCTTTTTCCAGGTGATTTACTGTTCTTTTGGTGGAACATCCAAAGGGCTGCACTTCAATAATTTAATAGTTGGACTTGTCCTCCTTACAAGAGGCAAAGATGAAGAGAAAGCAAAATGTAAGTACTTTTATTATCTCAAAAATAATTCGTCTATGTACAGAATAATTTATCTCAAAATTCTGATGACAGGTAGAGGATTTGAATTGACATTTTCCCAAAGAAGATATACAAGTGGTAAATAAACACCTAAAAAATGTGCAACATAATTAGTCATTAGAGAAATATAAATTAAAATTACAGTGAGATACTACTTCACACCTACTAGAGTGGCTAAAAGTAAAAAGCCTGATAATAAGTGTTGAGGAAGATGTGGAAAAATTGTAACCCACATCATACATTGCTGATGGGAGTATAAAGTAGTGCAGCAACTTTGGAAACCAGCCTGGTGGCTCCTCAAATTGTTAAACGTTGTTACTGTGTGTCCCAGCAATTCCACTCCTAAGTTTGTACCCAAGAAAATTTAATACATATGTTTACCACACACACACAAAAAAACTTGTACAGAAATAGTCATAGCATCATTGTTCATAATAGAAAATGGAAACAACCCTAATGTCCACCAGCTGGTAAATGGATAAACAAAACATGATATATCCACATGCTGGAAATTATTCTGGTATAAAAAGGAATAAAGTACTGATTCATGCTACAGTATGGATGAACTTGAAAACATTTTGCTTAGTGATAGATGTCAGTCCCAATAGGCCATATATTATGATTCCATTTATATGAAATTTCAAGATTAGGCAAATCTACAGTGGCAGAAAATGATAGATTAGTGGTTGCTGGAGGTATCAGGTGAGAGGGAAATGGAGAACAACTGCTAATGGGTACAGGGTTTCCTTTTGGGTTGGCGAAAATGTTCTGGAATTACATAGGAGTGACAGTTGCACAACCTTATAAATATACTTTAAAAATCACTGAAATGTTTATTTTAAAAGGGTGAATTTTATGGGATGTGAATTATGTCTCAATAGAACTTATTTTTTAAAATTCTGATGACATAGACATAGTAGTCTATTTGTTTCACAAACAAAACCAAAGTTTACTTACCTGATAACATTTTATATACGTTATTTGTAAAAGGTTTAATTTTTTTAATGTTTTACTTTTAACTTCAGAAATTAATTTTATTAGGTGAATTATCTAAGCAGAGAAAAGAGTGGCACCTTATTCATTACCTTTAAATCCTGCTGATCAGGGAAATGCTATAATGAGAGGACACCATTTCCCCTGCTAAATGTGAAAGGGAAGATAATCTTAGTTGCTTAGTGTCCGTCTGTTTCGTGGGATATAGATTTATTTACTTTTAAAAAGTTCATTCATTTAATTATTTATAAGGTCTTCTGTCCCCTCATTCTTTTCTTTGAACTCCCCAAAGACAGATCTGCCTTACCAAAAGCATTCATAAGCCCTGCATATTTTATTGAAGATTTCCCAGGGGAAGTATGGCAGCTGTTTATATTACACAGAATGTAACATTTTGTACCCAAAATTCCTTTGCTTTTATTCTTGAACACCATATGCTGGGTCTTTCTCTCTTCCTTCTTCCTTTTCTAATCTGCCTACTATGGTCTGAATATTTGTGTCTCCCTCAAAATTCATATATTGAAATCCTAACCACCAAGGTGATGGTATTAGGGGATGGGGCCTGTGGGAGGTGATTAGGTCATGAGGGTTAATCATAAGTATCTTATGAGTGAGATTAAGTGCCCTAATAAAAGAGGCCCCAGAGAGACCCTTTATATTTTCCCCTGTGTGAGGATACAATGAGAAGGTGGCTGTCTATGAACTAGGAAGTGGTCCTTCACCAGACACCGAATTGATGGTGTACTTCCCAGCCTCTAGAACTGTGAGAAATAAATCTGTTATTTATAAGCACCCAGTTTATGGTATTTTGTTACAGCAGCCTCAACAGACTAAGCTGCTGCCCTGAGACTGCTTCTAAATTTCTCAGAATCCCCTCCTATTCTTGAATCTAGACCATTATTTTTAATTCTTGCTATGGTTTGAACACGTTACCCAAAGTTCATGTGTGGAAACTTAATCCCCAGTGCAACAGTGTTGAGAGGTGGGACCTTTAAGAGATGATTAGATCATGAGGGGTCCACACCCATGAATGAATGAATGCTGTTATCTCAGGAGTGAGCTTCTTATCACAGGAGTGCCATCCTTATAAAGGAAGAATTCAGCCTCCTTCTCTCTCCCTCTTGCATGTGTTCTCTTGCTCTTCTGCTTTCCGCTATGGGATGATGGAAGAGCAAGAAGGTCCTTTTGCCGGATGCAGGTGCCTTGACCTTGGACTTCTTAGCCTCCCGAATTGTAAGAAATAAATCTCTGTTCATTATAATAAGTTGCTAGATCTGTGGTATTTTATTATAGCAGCACAAAATGGACAAAGAGATCATTTTTAAGAAAAGTTTTATTGAGGTATAATTGTCATACAATAATATGCACATATATAAAGTATATATTTTGATACGTGGTTTTGTTTTTGTTTTTGGAGGGGATAGGGGACAGAGGAGAGAGCCTTACTCTGTAGCCCAGGCTAGAGTATAGTGGCACAGTGGCACATAGCTCACTGCAGCCCTTAACTCCTGGGCTCAAGTGATCCACCTACCTCAACCTCCCAAGTAGCTAGGACTATAGGTGCATGCCACCATGCCTAGCTAATTTATTTTCTTTATTTTGTTTTTGTAGAGATAGGGTCTTGCTAGGTTGCCCAGGCTGGACTCTAACTGCTGGCCTCAACTGATCCTTCTGCCTCTGTCTTCCAAAGTGCTAGGATTACAAACATGAGCTAGCATACTTAGTTACACATTTGTATATGTTTTGACACGTGTATATGCCCAGTAAACCATTACCATAATCAAGATAATGAATGTATCCATAAACCCAGTTTTATGTATTGGAATATAATTGTGATCCTGATTTTTGCAAATTAGCATTTCTTCACCAGCAGAAATATAAATTGGCCCCAGGCAGCAATAATTAAAAATACAGGACAGGTATGGTAGTGCATGCCTGTAATCCTAGTTATTTGGGAGGCTGAGGCAGGGGGATCTTTTTAAGGCTAGGAGCTTAAGGTAACAGTACAGCAAAAAAAATAATACAAATAAGAAACAATACACTATAACAACTATTTACATAGTATTCACATTGTTTTAGGTATTATAAATAACCTAATGATGATTTAAAATATATGGGAGGATGTGGATAGGTTATATGTGTCAACTGAAAAAAATTATGATATCTATAAATTTGGAAAAGAAACTTTATTTCTTATAAAGGGTTATAGCCTGCAAGTTGGCCATTTTGACAGGCTGAGAAACATAGCCTCCAGCAGATACCCCAAACAGGTACTGTGCAAGGGAGAATAGAACAGAGATTTATGCTGAAGAGGTTGGCCAGTTGTACATATTCAACAGCTTATCGGAGGGGCCATGAATATTCATGAAGTGGTTCCTGACACATGCATACTGTTATATGTGTCCCATGTTTACTTTGGGGTGGAAACTTAATATTTAAATGCATTACAGTTAGGCCCGATGTTTACTTTGGGGTGGAGACTTAATATTTAAATGCATTACAGTTAGGCCCTATAAGTCAAAAGGTGAAACAAGGACAGCAAGGCAGTCAAGTGAGCAGCCTCTGTAAACCAGCCAGAACCAGTCCATGGTCAGTGGTCTTCTTATCAGGAGACCACTAACTTGTTGATAGCTACTGAAATAGCTCTCTTGTCCAGTCAAAGCTGTAGTTACGGCTTGTGGAACAGGAATCAGTAGGTTAGCATTTGGTGGTGAATGAGCTGCAACTGTTTTCAATATTGCTTATCTCAAGGCCAGTGCTTATTCAATAACTGCTAGAGAAAAAGAAAAATGGCCAGGCACGGTGGCTCATGCCATGATATTTTGAGGTGGGTTGTGATGGCTCACACCTGTAATCCCAGCACTTTGGGAGGCTGAGGCATGTGGATCACCTGAGGTCAGGAGTTTGAGACCAGCCTGACTAATATGGTGAAACCCCGTCTCTACTAAAAATACAAAAATTAGCTGGGCGTGTGACTGTAATCCCAGCTACTAGGGAGGCTGAGACAGGAGAATTGCTTGAATCCAGGAGGTGGAGGTTGCAGTGAGCCGAGATTGCGCCACTGCACTCCAACCTGGGCGACAGGGCAAGACTCTGTCTCAAAAAGAAAAAAAAAAAAAGAAAAGGAAAAACATTGTAGCAGTTAGAACATAGTTTATTGATTGATTGATTGAGACAGGGTTTTATTCTGTCTCCCAGTCTGCAGTACAGTGGCAAGATAGCTCACTGCAGCCTTGAACTCCTGGGCTCAAGTGATCCTCCTGTTTCAGCCTTCTGAGTAGCTGGGACTAGAGGCACGTACCACAATGCCCAGCTAATTTTTAAATTTTTTGTAGAGATAGGGGTCTCGCTATGTTGCCCAGGCTGGTCTCGAACTCCTGGCCTCAAATGATTCTCTCGTCTTGGCATCCCAAGGTGCTGGGATTACCAATATGAGCCACCATACCTGGCAGTTTATTCTTTAAGTGTAGGGGTACATGACTTAATGCCTTGCCTGGCATAGCTTAGGTTTTGTTTACAATTTGGGATTTTTCTGCCACAAAGAGTCTGTCAGTCTTCTGATCTTTATTTTTAATGCTGGTTAGTTGTTGCATCTCTAAACTGCAAAAGGGATTGGATATAATGAGATGTGTCTGACTGCCCATCCCCTCATGACCAGTATCTGTTTTTAAGGATTTTCTGGGGTCCCCTTGGCCAAGACAGGGAGTCTGTTCAGTTGGTTGGGGTGCTTAGGATTTTCTTTTTTAGTTTTTATGTACAAAATACCATGCCATTTTATATGAGGCTTGAGCACCTGCAGATTTTGGTGTCCTTGGGGGTTCTGTAACTAATCCCCTACAGATACTGAGGTACAACTGGTAACAATTTTTTAAGTCACAAACACATATTTTTAAAGTTTCTTCATTTTTTAAAATGTGATTGTATTAGTTTTCTAGGGCTGCCATAACAAAGCACCACAAACTGGGTAGCTTAGAACAACAGATATTTACCGTCTCATAGTTCTGAAGGCTAGAAGTCCAAAATCAAAGTGTCAGCAGGGCCATGCTTTCTCTGAAACCTGTAGGGGAAAATTCTTTCTTCTCTGTTGCTTCTAGGATGACTGACAATCCTTGGGGTTCCTTGGCCTGCAGCTATATCGTTCTAATCCCTGCCTTTCTTACACATGGCTTTATTTTTCTGTTTGTGCTTTTCTTCTTATAAGGGCACCAGTCATATTATATTGGGTCCCACCCTAATGACCTCATCTTAACTTGATTATATCTACAAAGACTCTGTTTCCAGATAATCTCACATACACAGGGACTTCAAGGTTAGGACTTCAGTATATCTTTAGGGGGATAAAGTTCAGCCTATAACAACAATATTTCAAACATATATCTAATACGTACCTCCACCTAGCTTAACTATTTCTTAACATTGTATCATATGTCCCTGATTTGATTTTTTAAAAATATTAAAACTAAGGTGAGGTTTTCTTTGTATCCCTTCATGATCCCATTCTGTTCTTCCCTCTACAGAGGTTACCACTTTCATGAATTTGGTGATTTTTTTCTCATGCTGGTTTTTATACAACATGTTTATGTGTCCTTAAACATTGTCAACTACTTTGCAGGTTTAAAGTTTTAAATAAATGGTACACATTAGTTCCCCCCTTATCTGCACAGATCTGTTCCAAGACCCTCCCAGTGGATGTCTGAAACCATAGATAGTCCCAAACCCTATATATACCGTTTCTTCCTATACATATGTATCTATGATAAAGATTAATTTAAAAATTAGGCACAGTAAGATATTAACAATAATAAAATAGTAATATTATAACAATATACTATAATAAAAGTTTTATGTGAATCTGGTCACTCTCTCTGTTAAAATATCTTCCTGTACTCACCCTTCTTGTGATCTGTAAGTCTGATAACCAAAATGGCCACTAAGTGACTAACAGGCGAGTAGCATGTGGATACACTGGACAACAGGATCATTCAGGTCCCAGGTGGGATAAAGAGGGAGGCAAGAGATTTTATCACGTTACTCAGAACAGTGTGCAATTTAAAGTTTATGAATTGTTCATTTCTGGAAATTTCCATTTAATATTTTTGGACCTCTGTTAACCACAGGTGACTGAAACCTTGGAAAGCAAAACCATGGATAAGGGGGTACTACTGTACTATACAGATGATTTTGTCATTTGCTTTTCCTCTGAATATTATATCTTTTGATATTTATCCATCTTGAAACACATATTTTAACTTCTATGTAGTATTTCATTGTGTGTATCTCATTTTACCTGTTCTCTTGTTGACAGACATTTATCTTTTTTTTTTTTCGAAGTTTTGCTCTTACAAACAGTATTTCAGTGAACATCTTGTATTTTGTACGCAGGTTTCAGAGTTTTTCAAAGATGGAAGTGGAGTTTCTGGAATGTCTCTTGACCTTTACTAGATTTTGCCAAATTACTCATGAAAATGGTTGCAATAATTTGTGCTCCTATTAACAGTGTATAAGAGGTCCTGTTTCTCCTAGTCTTTGCTAACACTTTGTATTGTAATACCTAAAGATTTTTGCAAATTTGGCATGTTTGAAAAGATACTACACTGCTGTTTTAAATTTTTGTTGCTGGATTATTTTAAGGAATAAACTATATTTATAAGGTGCTTGGCCCTAGTAATCACTCAGTTATTGTAGCTTTGTCTTTTCTCCCTACTTCCACCAACGTATATTTGGTCTTTGTTAAGATTAATTTATTCTATCTTTCTTTTTCTTAGACATTTTTAGTCTTTTTTCAAGTGAATCTGGGAACTATGTTATACGGGAAGAAATGGAAAGAATGCTCCACGTGGTGGATGGTAAAGTCCCAGATACACTCAGGAAGTGTTTCTCAGAGGTATAGTTAAAGATTTACATTTTATCCCTTTTCATTGACAAAGTATTAACTCTTAGTTGTGTAATAAGTTTTAAGTATGACAAACAGATGTTTATGTGCAGATTACTCTTGGCATTTTTATATTTATTGATGTTTCCATTTATGTGCTATTGCATGACTCTCATTACTGTTACATTTGTAAATCTGAAAATTTTCAATTCTACTGTAAAGGCAACTATTCATACTTAGAGTATAATGAAACACAATTCTATATACTCACACTAACACAGTAATACACACACACACACACACACACACACTCCTGCAGGAACCTGAAACAGTGCTCATGTTGTAGTGTCTTTGCTTTTCATCACGGATATCATTCATTCATTAGCCTTGAGCCATCTGTGACCTGTTTTATCAAAGCCTATTTTGTCATTTATTTCACCTAGTTGATTTGCATAGTGAAATATTTGTGTTAAAAAATTGTCATCTTTGGGCCAGGCAAGGTGGCTCACACCTGTAATCCAAGTACTTTGGGTGACCCAGGTGAGAAGATCTCTTGAGCCCAGGAGTTCAAGACCAGCCTGGACAATGTAGCAAGACCCCGACTCTACCAGAGGGTGGGGAAAGTCATTTTTTCTGTTTTCAAAAATAATATATTTTCATTGTGTCTTTATAGAAAAATTAAACAATAGAAAATTCAGCAATAGAAAAAGTATATCTTTAACAGAGAGAATTATTTTATTTTTCTTTTCAGAGGTCTGCTAGTATGTGACAAGTCCTTAGTGATTGTAGAGTAAAAATCCCTTTAGAAGTTCTGATTCTTTCATGCAGCACTCAGTGCTGCCCATTTTCTTTTGGGTGGCTTTTTGACACAATTCCATTTCACCAGTATGACAGTCCTCCATTGTTCTTTGTTTTATTTGGGGAGTTAGCTCTGCCTTCCTGACTGTATAGACATTGATTGTCCATATTTCAGCCTTTGCATGTATCTGGTTCTGATATATCTTTGGACTGCCTATCATTAGTTTCTTACCACTCTGGTTTTGAATATCTCCTGTGTTGATAGCACCTGGTGATATCTCTTTCTTGCTTTTGAGCCTAGCATGCAGTTTTTGGCGGTGGTTATGGTGCTAACGTTTTATCCAGCATTTCCAAGTGTCAGGTGCAAAAGGATGTGCTTCCTGTGTTTTTGGTTCTGACATATTGACTGGAAGTTGCTGTGATAGTAATTTACTACTTCAGGACGAACTGAGCTATGATTTGTTTGTTTTTTTCCCCCATAATAAAATTTGCTTGTAAGAAAAAAAGATAATCTAGCAAACTTGACTGATTGGATTTTTGACATAGATGTCCAAAACATTAATACTCTTTTCTTTTTCAGGAAGTATGATATTTTTTCATTTTAATACGGTTTATGCAGACATTCTCATTTTTGTAGATGGAAACTAAGGGTGGTTGGCTACCCAGTACTCTAAAAACTTAAACACAATAGCAGGCACATGTATTAGCTGATAATTAGTGCTATAGGGGAAAATAAAGTAGAATAAAGGAAGAAGGTGGTAATAGAGAAAATCTGAATCTTGTTATTTTATATAGAATGCTTAGGTCTATCAGATAACTAAGATTTGAGTAAATAATTTATAGCAAGTGAGAAAGAAAACCATGAAGATATCTGGAGGACCACTTTTCATCAAGAGAATATAGCAAAGGCCTTGAGGTGGGGGTGTACTTGTATGTCCAAGGAACAATAAAAAGGCCAATTTAGTTGGAATGGTGTGAACAAGGGAGTGGTAGGAAATGATTATATATTGTCCTATAGGACAGCGTGAGTCCTTTGACTTTTACCCTGAGTGAGATAGAAACCACTGGAAGGTTTTGAGTAGAGGAGTAACAAAATATGAGGCTTTTTTTTTTTTTTTACACACATGATCACTTTGGATCTTATGTGGGAAGTAGGCTGAACTGAGTCCAATTGAGGTATCTGAATAATCCAGGCATGAGGGTCATGATTACCAATGGTCAGTGATTTAATCAGTCATTTAGAACATGGTGTAGCAGTGAGGTAGTGAGAAGTTTTCAGATTCTGCATTTATTTCAAAGGTAGAGTTGGCCTAGAATTTTTTCTCGTATTGATTATGGACTATGTGACAGAATGAGTAGGGGGAAGATGATTAGTATTTAGCCTGATTCAGTAAATGAATGGAATTACCACTAACTGAGATGGCTAAGAGTAATGGAGAAGCAGGTTAGGGGGTTGGATATCAAGAAAGTTGTAATTACACTTGAGAATCCTATTAGACACTCAAGTGGAGTTGTCAGATGTGATTTTTGATATATAAATCTGTTGTTGAGGAGTAAAGGATTTGTTGTTGGCTTACAGGTGAGGATGAGATCATCTAGGAGTAAGTTTAGATAGAAAACAGGTTGGAAGAATGAGTCCTGTCATCCAGTGTTTAGAGTTTGGAGAGATGAAGAGGACTCAAAACAGACCACTAAGAAATAGCCTGCAAGAAAAGAGGATTAATAAAAGAGAATAGTGTCCTGGAAGCCAACTGAGGACAATGTTTCAAGAAGGAAGGAGAACTCAACTATGTCAAATACCCTGGAAGGTCTAGTGAGTTGACCTTTGATCACTGAGAAGTGATCATTAAATTTGGTGATCTGCAGGTAGGTCATTGGTGTAGGTCCTGTGGAATTAAAAAATTGCTGGTGTAGGATACTAGATGAAATGTACTCATAAGAGGAAATGGTGATAGGAAGAGTGGAATGCTTAAATTTTCAATTATGGGAAGAGGAAGTTACTACAATAAAGACATCATAAGACTGTGGTAGTTAATGCCTGAGTTGGTGGTGTTTTTAATAAGATCTTTAGAGGAGAAAAGATCAAAGAAATGTGAAGCTCATGTATATGGCTATTTGAACTATTAGATACCTCTAGTTGGTATAAAACCAACATTGTAAATGGGCTATTGGTATTTGATTCAACTATTTGATTTATTTGCCTGCTGTAATATCTGAGTAGTGTGTCGATGATTGCATGTAGAACATTGCTATCCAAGTATTTATATTAGAATAGGTTAATTCAGACCTTCAATAACAATGCTTTGTGTTGTTTTTGTGTTTATACACACACACACACACACACACACACACACACACATACACACACAGAGAGAGAAGCACTTTAGCTAAAATATAAGGACCTAGTGCTTAGATTTAAGTGATATGGGTCTCAGCTTTTTCTATCTTGTGCTTTATTATTAGCCTTGACAGATGAAGTTATAAAGGAATCTACCTAGGTGTTGTATGAAGTTTTTTTCTCACTGACTTATTTTAGGTTGTTGACTCTTAAAATGGAAATTTATATTTTATGCTATTCTTCTCTTTTTAGAAGAGATCCATGACTCAGAAACATAAAAAATCAGATTTGACTGTATAATTTTTGGTCTACCAGTTATGTGGAATGATTCCCAATGGGCAAGTGAATTTCAGAGATTACTTTGTATTTCACTTAGACAGGCAGTGTGCTAACTTTGGAGCCTGGACTACCTGAGTTCAGTCCTCTTTCTTCCACTGTATAACAGTAGGCAAATTCCTTAACCTTTTGGTGTCTTGGTTTTCTCATGATAAAATGGGGATAATAATAGTGTCTTCTGTAGAGAGTGTTTTGAAGATTAAATTAGTATTTGAAATATTTAGAGCAGTTCTTAGGACATTGTAAACATTTGGTATTAGCTCTGTATGAAGGTGGTAGAAGGGTCTACCTGGAGATAGCATCAGATCCCACAGCTTGAGGGATTAGTTCCACAAAACTGACCCCTAGACATCTTCGCTAGCGATCATGATTGATTAAATCATTGACCATTGGTAATCAGCTCAACTTTAAGCCCTCTCCCCTCCCTCCCTAGAGGTTAATCATTGTGGTTTTCTTTTTTTTTTTCCCAGTGGCCAGCCCCCATCCTGAGGCTATCTAGCAGCCCCCCACCCAGCTGTGGGGTCCATTCATTAGCATGCAGAGTCATTTATCACTTTGGAGATTACAAGAATTTTAGGAGTTGCATGCCAGAAAAAGAGATGAAGACCAAATATATATTTAACAATATCGCAACCACTAAGAAATTACAATTAAAGGATGCTATTGATTTTAAGACTTATCCCAATGTCAGAGATGTTAATGTGTGTAAAAATGTGCATCAGCTTGTAGAATTTATACTAAGCTTCTTTCTAGACTAAACATGGGATACAGAAAGAATATGGGTAGGAACTCTCATCTCTAAACATGTTGGCAGTGTACTCATATGTCCCTGCAACATGTCTGAATGTCATTGTCAATGTCAAAATAAAAATGTATAGGGCATACATGAAGACTGGGTGATCTTCAATATGTCCAAAGAACAAAGAGAAGGTTGGGAGTTTTCTAAAAATGGGAGTGTTACATATGGTCCTGAGAGAAAGTTCATTGGTATTAGTAAAGCTTTAGGGAGCTGGCAAACTTCAGTTGGTGGGCGATGGTGGTGGGCAAAATTAGTTGCAGCAAGTCATCTCAGCAGCTGGACTTACAGAGAATTACATTTCGAGAGCAATGTATCGTGAATGCTTTCTACCCCGGGCCTGTTGACTCTGATTTAGTTATGACAAGAATGACCCAATTTGTATGATCCACTTTCACACCATATTCTTCCATTCAGAAAAACAAGACTGTCAATGTCTTGATTGCTTGGATTGCAGTCACGTTAAATGTTCTGAAAGTACCGGGCTAAAAGTATCGCCTCACTTAATGGGATGCTACTAAACAATGTAGATATGTTTCTACCATATTTCTTTTAGGTAACTAATTATTCGTATTCTTTAGCATGTCTATTAGGATTAGAGCTGCTCCAATCTTGACTGTCATTATTCAATGTATTTCTTTCTTTTTTTTCCTGATCAAATAGTTCAGGTTGTAGCTTCATTGTATTTCCTTGTGAATTGCTTCTCCCTTTTTCTGCTTAGAAATACCTGGCTCCCACTAAACCTAGGATCTCTTGTCTTCCAAGCAAAGGGATTGGCGTGAACAACCATATGATGCTCTTTTTCAGCCTGGATACTTTTCTCCAGAGATTTATCAAGAAAAATACCTGGAAAGAAAGCAAAGAAACAGAAATCAACTTGCTTCTTTTTGTTCTCTGTGTACATACATGTTTTCAGTGATGCCTTCTGGGATCCTGAATGTCTACTCTAGGAGGACACCTGGATAGTTGTTTTTAATTCACAAATGAAATTTAAAGAGTATTTTAATTCCATACAGATTTAATTAAGATATAGTAACTCAGGCAGATTGAAGAGTGCTAAAGAAGAGGGATAAGGCAAGTGAAAAATTGGATTTATTAAATGTTTAAAGAAATGCAGATGGCCGGGCACGGTGGCTCATGCCTGTAATCCCAGCACTTTGGGAGGCCGAGGCGGGCAGATCACAAGGTCAGGAGATCAAGACCATCCTGGCTAACACGGTGAAACCTCATCTTTACTAAAAAATACAAAAAATTAGCCGGGCGTGGTGGTGGGTGCCTGTAGTCCCAGCTACTCAGGAGGCTGAGGCAGGAGAATGGCGTGAACCCGGGAGGCAGAGCTTGCAGTGAGCCGAGATCGCGCCACTGCACTCCAGCCTGGGCGACAAAGTGAGACTCCGTCTCAAACAAACAAACAAAAACAAAAAACAAAATGCAGTTTACTGGTTTTGGGATATACTTAGCAAACAAAATCTGGCTTATTGGCAGTGTACTGCTTTACTGAATTGATGAAATAATTTGTAGTTAACATACAGATTTTATGCAAGTAGAAGTTATGAAGCACAAGTATTTTTGAAAAGTTTGATTTCCAAATATGTATATACACCCTGCAGTGTTATTAGATAATCCTTCCTTTGTAGACAGCAGAAAGGTAATTGCCAACTAATTGCAAATTTCAGGTTGTGCAGGTTCCAAGTAAGATACCTTAAAATTTGACTAAACTTATGTTTTCTTGTTTTAATTTTAGGGTGAAAAGGTAAACTATGAAAAGTTTAGAAATTGGCTTTTTCTAAACAAAGATGCTTTTACTTTCTCTCGATGGCTTCTATCTGGAGGTGTGTATGTTACCCTCACTGATGATAGTGATACTCCTACTTTCTACCAAACTCTGGCTGGAGTCACACATTGTAAGTAATGACATTTCATTGTTTTCTGTTTGCCTTTTTTTATATATATAATTGGCTGGTAATATGAGAATATGCTTATAAAGGAGAAATTTATTTAAATTCTGTCCCAGGCTGGAGTGCAGTGGCACCATCGTGGCTTACGGCAGTCTCAACTTCCTGGGCTCAAGCAGTCCTCTCACCTCATCCTCCCAAGCAGCTGGGACTACAGGCACTCGCCACCATGCCTGGCTAATTTTTTTATCTTTTGTAGAGACTGCAGGGGTCTATATTGCCTATGCTGGTCTTGAACTCTTGGGCTCAAGTAATCCTCCCACCTCAGTTTCCCAAAGTCCTGAGTCTTGAGTCACGATTACAGTTGTGAGTCACTGTGCCCAGCCAAGACTTTTTTTTTTTTTTTTTTTTTTTTTTTGAGACGAAGTCTCCCTCTGTTGCCCAGCCTCGAGTACAGTGGTGTGATCTCGGCTCACTGCAATCTCCACCTCCCGGGTTCACGCCATTCTCCTGCCTCAGCCTCCCGAGTAGCTGGGACTACAGGCGCCCACCACCATGCCTGGCTAATTTTTTTGTATTTTTAGTAGAGTCAGGGTTTCACCATGTTAGCCAGGATGGTCTCGATTTCCTGACCTCGTGATCCACACGCCTCGGCCTCCCGAAGTGCTGGAATTATAGGCGTGAGCCACCATGCCCGGCCTGAGAAATTTTTTTTTTGTCAGTGTTTTGTTTTTTTCAAAATGTAATAAAAAGAAATGCTGGGCATGGAAAATATAGGCCTCTGTGAATTGTCCTTAATGAAGCTATATTAGTTTCCTAGGGTTGCTGTAACAAATTACCACAATTCATAAACTGAAATGAGACATTTACTCAGTTTTAGCAGCTGAAATCAAGATGTTTATAGGGCTGTGCTCCCTCTGAAGTCCTGTTATAGAATCGCAATTGGGTCTGCTTACCTGGCTCAGTAAAAATCACATATCTACACCAGAGTTTCTGTAGCAGTAGAAAGGAAGACATTTATAGGGCATTAAGCAAAGAGGACCAGGTAAATGCTCAAAGCCCAACCTCCCCAAGGCTCATGGGTAAGGGTTTTTAAAGGCAAGGGTAACTTTCAGGAATATAGAAGCTACAGGCAAAAATCGTAAATCAATACATGGAGGATACTCATTGGTTTTGGCCTAAAAGGGCCAGATATCTTGAAAGGGGAGCTTACAAGTAGGTCATAGATAGGTAGACAGATTTAAAAATTTTCTGATTTGCAATTGGTTAAGGAAGAGAACCATCTTTTAAAAATTTGAGGTCAGCAGAAAAGAACGTTAACTGGCTCACGGGTGTGACTCCCTCCAGGCCCTTCAGGAAGAAATTAATTAATTAATTAATTTGAGACGAAGTATTGCTGTGTCGCCCAGGCTGGAGTGCAGTGGCGCGATCTCGGCTCACTGCAACCTCCACCTCCCAGGTTCAAGCGATTCTTCTGCCTCAGCCTCCTGAGTAGCTGGGATTATAGGTGCCTGCCACCATGTGCAGCTAAATTTTTTGTATTTTTATCAGAGAAGGGGTTTCACCATGTTGGCCAGGCTGGTTTCAAACTCCTGACCTCAAGTGATCCACCCGCCTCAGCCTCCCAAAGTGCTAGGATTACTGGCATGAGCCACCACACCCAGGCTGGGAAGAAATTTAGAACAAAGAAGGATGGTGAGCATTGAGTCTTTAGTTCCCCTGTGGTCTAAGGTCTGATCAGCTCAGTGGGAGTTCTTGGTGAGGGAGGGGGTCTGTGCTTCTGAATGACAACTCAGGGACACATATTAAGATGTTATCTTTAGTTGCTATAGGGAAATCAAACATCTTCTTTTAGGCTACTATTACTTTCTGGCTTAACACATTACTTATTTCTCAGGGCTGGCTAGATAGATGCCTAGAGTTTCACTTGAAGGAACTCAGGAGTATCCTTTATTTCCATGCATGCAGGGACCCCTAGGCCCCTCGGCCCCTCAAAAGGTGCCTCCTGCTCTGCCTCAGTCCCTAGAAAAGAATTATTCCTTGCCTCTTCCATTTTTTGGTGACCCCAAGCATTCCTTGGTTTGTGGCAGCATCTCCCATTCTTTGCCTCTGTCTTCACATGGCCTTCTCTGTGTGTTTCTGTGTCCTTTCCTCTTTGGATTCAGGGCCCAGGCTAAATCCAGGATAATTTTACCTCAAGATCCTTAATTCATTACATCCGCAAAGACCCTATTTCCAAATAAGGCCATATTCTGAGGTTCCAGATAATCATGAATGTTTGGGAGACAGTATTCAATTCACTACACAGGCCTAAGTGTTAATTTCTACTGTTCTTCTTTCCATTGGATACAGAAAACTGTTAATACACTCTGCTTTTCCTTTTTTTTTTTTTTTTGGACACACTGTCTCACTCTTTTGCCTGGGCTGGAGTGCAGTGATGTGATCTCAGCTCACTGCAGCCTCCGCCTCCTGGATTCAAGTGATTCTCTTGCCTTAGCCTCCCAAGTAGCTGTGATTACAGGCATGCACTACCATGCCAGCTAATTTTTGTATTTTTATTAGAGACGGGGCTTCACTGTGTTGGCCAGGCTGGTCTTGAACTCCTGACCTCAGGTGATCCACCTGCCTTGGCCTCTCAAAGTGCTGGGATTACAGGCGTGAGCCACTGTGCCTGGGCTGCTTTTTCTTATGCTTCTTTCTATCACTAAAATGCCTTCTCTTTTTCTTCTACGTGTTAAATCCTAATAATCATCCATGAAGACTTAAATCACATACCCTCTTTTTCATGAAACCTTTTCTTGCCTTCTTATCAGAAATTATCTCTCATTCCTCTGAACTCTGATAACACCTTACTTGTACCCTTTTTGAATTAATTTATCCTATTCATCTTTGTATTATAACTACTTATAGCATTCTGCTTATTTGTACATGTCATGTCTCCTAACTCATAGGATCCTTTCCGGCAGAGGGGGTCTGCAGTATTATCCTATCTTTCCAATCTTGGGCCAAGCCTGAATAAGTATTTGTTGACTGAATAGAGGAATTTGGGTGTCAAGTGCTATTTGTATCCATTACTTTATATGACATATAACTTGACTACAGATTACACACCAGCTACTTTCTCCCATTTTCATTCTGTTATTATTAAAAGTTCTGACTGGTAAGTTCTGGCATGAATGGGCAGTAAGCTTGATTCTACTACTTTTCAGTGCCCTTATCTTTGTTTTAAATAGGAAAGCCTTTTAAAAAATTATTTTGCTTAAAATATTGAGGGAACCTTTTTATACTCACTGTGTAAACTCTAACTTACCTTAATATTTATATTGTTACTCATATGGATATTCTGTTGAACTTTCACTTTTACTTGTGATTGTATGGTAAATTAGTTTTCTGTTAATATCGAAAAGAGTGTGACTGCTTTCCTTAAATGCCTTGTTGTGTTAAAGAAAAAATTATTCTGATATTTGTTAAAACTGTGAGGAAGACATTATTCAAGACTACTGCAATTAAGGGTATTGCAGTAGGGGAGAGAGATAAGCTCAGCTCTCAATATAACAACGACAAGTGGGGATTTATAGCCAAGGATTAAGGTGAGGTGGTCAGTGGATAGAAAAATTACAAAGAGGAGACATCAAAGGTAGGGGATTCTTGCTAAAGCAGTCCAAGGTGAGGGGAATGACTATTGCTGGATTCTTATCTAAAACTGGTCTAGGATAGACCAATGACAGGAAGGGAACCAAGAATGAAACTTAGTAGAAGTGAGCTTAGAGGAACCTAAAAAATTTGGTCAAGGAGCTTTGTCAGTTGATTAAAAAATTACTTTGAAAGCAGAAGCTGCTTATTTACTGTTTTTGAAAACACTGTATTATTAGAGAAAACAAATTTATTTAATCAGTCAAATAATTTTCAATATGTTAAAAATGGCTCCGTTTTATTTGAAAATCATCTTTTTTTGGATTTTTAGTAGTATCTAAAAGTTAAAAATACTTTTGCCTTAAGAAATCTTGAATTAGGCTGGGCGTGGTGGCTCATGCCTGTAATCCCAGCACTTTGGGAGGCCAAGGCGGGCGGATCACAAGGTTAGGAGTTCGAGACCAGCCTGGTCAATATGGTGAAACCCCTGTCTCTACTAAAAAAAAAAAATACAAAAATTAGCCAACCATGGTGGCAGACCCCTGTAGTCCCAGCTACTTGGGAGGCAGAGGCAGGAGAATCACTTGAACCTGGGAGGCGGGGGTTGCAGTGAGCCAAGATCATGCCACTACACTCCAGCCTGGGCGACAGGGCGAGACTTGGTCTCAAAAAAAAAAAAAAAAAGAAAAGAAAAAATCTTGAATTATTTGAAACAAATATTCCTGTACATTGATTGTTTCACCTACAATAATGACCTTCTAATTCCTAATGATTGTTTTCTTTTTAGTTTCATGTACCTCCTAACATCTCTGCAGCATTTTAACACTGTTGACCAATCAGTTTTCTTCAAACTCTCTTCTCCTTTGGCTTTTGAAACATTGTAGTTTCCTAATATTCTTCTTATTTCTTACGAGTTTTACTGTTCCCCTTTTACCACCTACTTTTAAAATAAAAGTTATTTCCAGTGGATCAGCCCTTCGCTCTAGTTTGTTCTCGGATGATGTACATTCTTTGCTTCATCACAGCCATTTCCATGCTTCACCTATCCTTCCTATCTTTGTAGGTGATACCTAGATGAACTTTTCTGCTCTTGAGGTATTTCTGAAACCTCAGATTCATTTTAATAAATGCCTCTTGGTTATACTTTCTAGCACCTAAATCTTATATCTAAAGTGAATTCATCTTTCCCTGCCATGATCCACCTAAAGGTATTAAAAAAAAAAAAAGGCAAACTTGTTCTTCCTTCTGTGTTTTATATCCTGGTTGATAGTATTTTTAATTCCAGTGTCTAACTTGACTAACCTTTGACTTTTCCTTGTCAAGCTTCATATTAGATTCTATCCATCTTAACTCAGACATATTTCTTGCATCTTTCTTTCTTGGTGCCATCATTATAAGTTTCTTATCTTTCTTATTTTACTTCCTCTCAATGATACGAAAGGATGAAGGACAATTTTTTAAATGTATTTTTAATTCACATTAAATTGACATTAAATTTCTTTTAATTACTTCACTTCTCTGCTTAGAAACCTTTGTTTAAATTCCTTAGCATGGCTTCAGAGTCTCTTAGTTTCCTATCCTTGACTTAATTTCCCATGCTCATTTCTCCTCACGTGTGTTCTTTGCCTCAACTACAGAGCACTGGTCAATATACCGTGACCACACCATGAACTTTTATATTATAGCTACACTATATACATCACTCCTAATCTTCCTTCATTTAAGAATGTACTTCATCTTTCAGCCCTTGACAATTGAGATGATTGTTTGTCATCAAAGCCCAATTCAGATGCTGCCTTTTCTGTCATGCTTGTCCATTTCTCTTTGAGTTAATTTATTTTACTATTTGCATTTCTGCAACACTTTATATTTCAATTGAAGCAATTAATTTGCTTTTTGCCCTATCTCTAAGTCTGTTGGAAATGATTTTGTTTACCCCCACAAGTTGCAAGCCCCTTGGGAATATGGCTCAGGTCCTATTCCTTTGAGTTTTTCTTAGTTTAGTGGACGAAATGCATTTTGTTGGATTGAACTGGATTGAAAATTTTTCAGCCTCTTAAAGTGTACATTCTAAGTCTTGATTTAAACATTTGATTGCCTCCAGAGTGAGCAGAAGGGATGTGTCCTCTTAGGACTGTAAGGCTAAAGCCATACCAAGGGGAGAAGGACCAAGATAAATCATCATGTTTAAATAAGGTTTAACAACTTCATAGCATGGGGATGTTCTCATAAAAGTAGACTATGTTTGGCTGGGTGCGGTGGCTCATGCCTGTAATCCCAGCACTTTGGGAGGCCGAGATGGGTGGATCACGAGGTCAAGAGATCAAGACCATCCTGGCCAACATGAGGAAACCCTGTCTCTACTAAAAGTACAAAAATTAGCCGGGTGTAGTGGCATGTGCCTGTAGTCCCAGCTACCTTGGACGCTGAGGCAGGAGAATAGCTTGAACCTGGGAGGCAGAGGTTGCAGTGAGCCGAGATTGCACCACTGCACTCCAGTCTGGCAATAGAGCGAGACCCCGTCTCAATAAAAAAAAAGAGTATACTATGTTTTTAGGGGGAAATGAATTATGATACTTACACACTTAAAGAACTGTTGAAAGTTGCAAAGTTCTAAGGTCTTCCTTCTAAAACTTTTGGTTAGCTAAATGATATCAGATATAGAACATTGATTAGCATTCAGTTTAGGCACATGAAGAGTCAGTTTGCTTTAAATACATGTAATGATTTTAACTGCTCTTACAATGTGCGCATTGATTTCCGTGGTAGTCATTGAAATAAATCAGTACTGTGTGGTAAAAGCCTGAAGAAATATTATGCTGTTTTCTCAGTTATTTATAACATTCTTATTTGCTGGCATCTTAGTTGAGTTTTGTCCTATCCTTATTTCTTGTAAGAGAAATAACCCCAAATTAAAAACAAGTCAGCCGTAAGTCTACTATGGCATATTGATAGTTACCAGCTATATTGAGCATTGGAATTATTTGGAGAAATTATTGAAAGTGCAGGTTACTGGCTCTGTCGGCAAAGATTTTGATTTAGTGGGCCCTAGGACTTTGTACTTTACAGACCTCCAGGGTGATTTTGATGTAGATGGACCATGAACTGCATTTTGAGAAACACTGATAAAATATTTAGTAGTTCTTCAACCTCTGTGTCACACAGACTACCCCTGCCACTTACTATTGCTGTGGGAAATAGATTTAACCTCTTTGAACTTCTTTTTCCTCCTTTGTAAAACAGGGATAATGATACAATTTACCTTATAAGGCTGTTTCAAGGAGTAAATTAGGTAATACCTTTTGTTATTATTAATAAAAGGACTCAGCCTGCGTCTGGTATACAGCATTTTTTTTTTTTTTTGAGACGGAGTCTCACTCTTGCCCAGGCTGGAGTGCAGTGGCATGATCTCAGCTCACTGCAACCTCCATCCTCCGAGTTCCAGCAATTCTCCTGCCTCAGCCTCCCGAGTAGCTGGGATTACAGGCGCCTGCTACCGCGCCTGGCTAATTTTTTGTATTTTTAGTAGAGATGGGGTTTCACCATATTGGCCAGGCTGCTCTTGAACTCCTGACCTCATGATCCATCCGCCTCGGCCTCCCGAAGTGCTGGGATTACAGGCGTGAGCCACTGCACCCGGCCAGAGCATGTGTTTTATAATGAATATGCATCCTCTTATATTTGTGAACACTTGGCTTTGTGAATGTCAGTGGTTTTTACCCCTCTGTCTTCAGAGAATAATTGTTTTGGGATCAAGCAAATTTTCAAATAGAGGGCTGTAGATCAGTATAAAAATTAACTTGCCCAGATTTGTGGAAAGACAGTGTTTTTCTTACCAGTTTGTTTACTTTTATTTTATAATCTATAAAAACAAAGAACCAACAAATTTATTCAACAGACAACTGAATTGCTGCTGGCTTCTGGCAAGCAGCTACTTTCTTAGTGAGTCTTACTATGAAAAGCATTATCACAAAGTCAGAATTACTGCTAAGTTTCTTAGAGAAATTCTGACATGGTTAGGTTTACAATTTGATGACTATGATTTATATTACCTATAAATTCTCAGTCTGATTCTGGCTAAACAATTCACTATTGATGTCTTTGCAGGCTCTTCTACTCAAATAATATTTGGTACATTGAACTGTTCTAATAATGTGTTAGGAATGTGGAAACTTGTGATAAAAATAGGGAATGTTATTAACTGATTTATAAGTAGACATTTATTTTAAAGCATCAGTGACTCCATTTAAATTTGTGTAATGAGCCAAGGTATCTAGGAAACAAAAAGGAATTACAATTTTTAACTTCTAAATAACATGTTAACATGCAGATGCCTTTAATTACTTTTTCATACACAAATATATAGTAAAATTTGAAGTCACAGTAAGTTGAACACACTGCCACGTTTAATCATATTTTGTTCTCTTTGATGTGAATCACAAAGGAAACTGTGGAGCTATTTGTATTCAGTACAGACTTAGAATAATTAACTTACTTGATTTGGCCAGGTGCAGTAGCCCGAGCCTGTAATCCCACCACTTTGGGAGGCTGAGGTGGGTGGATTACCTGAGGTCAGGAGTTCAAGACCAGCCTGGGCAACATGGTGAAACCCCGTCTCTACTAAAAATACAAAAGTTAGCTGGGTGTGGTGGTGGACGCCTGTAATCCCAGCTACTCGGGAGGCTGAGGCAGGAGAATCGCTTGAACCCAGGAGGTGGAGGTTGCAGTGAGCCAAGACCGTGCCATTGCACTCCAGCCTGGGTAACAAGAGTGAAACTCCATCTCAAAAAATAATAATAATAATAATAACTTACTCAATTTACCCAAGATTTTAGATTTTGTCATGGTAATTACATTTTTCTGAAGTGTAAATTCCAAACTATTATTACCTTATCTATTTAAATTAAGAAGTGGAATCAGAACTTTAGCCCAAAGTTCAAGTGTTTATGGTTTAATACATCTTAACTAATTTTTTAATCAATACCATTGTATTTTTCTATCCTAATTTGCTGTTTAAACATTTTATTATTATTATTATTATTATTAATTATTATTATTATTTGAGACAGGCTCTGGCTCTGTTGCCCAGGCTGGAGTGCAGTGGCCCTATCTAGGCTCATTGCAACCTCCGCCTCCTAGGCTTAAGTGATCCCCCCACCTCAGCCTCCCAACTTGCTGGGACTACAGGCGCACACCACCAGGCCTGGCTAAGTTTTGTATTTTTTGTAGAGAAGGGGTTTTACCATGTTGCCCGGGCTGGCCTCAAACTCCTGGGCTCTAGTGATCTACCTGCCTCAGCCTCCCAAAGTGATAGGATTACAGGTGTGAGCCAGCATGCCTGGCTATTTAAATACTTCAGATTTTATTTGTAAAATTACTTGTGAAATATAGATAAGGTTTTTTTTTTCTTTTTTTTTTTGAGACAGAGTCTTGCTCCCCAGGCAGGAGTGCAGTGGTACAATTATGGCTCAATGCCGCCTCAACCTCCCAGGCTCAAGGGATCCTCCTGCCTCAGCCTCCTGAGTAGCTGGGGCCACAGGTGCATTCACCACACCCGGCTAATTTCTAAAAATTATTTGTAGAGATGGGATCTCATCATGTTGCCCAGGCTGGTATCAATCCTCCCCTGCCACAGACTCCCAAAGTGCTGGGATTACAGGTGTGAGCCACTGTGCCCAGTCAACAGGATTAATGACAAGTTAATCTTTAAAGCCGTTTGTACTAAAGGTACAGGAGGACAGATATGATGTTTGTGATGATGCTGAGCATCTCGATGATGATGTTGAGTCAGAAAGCTTGTATAGGGAGCATAAACATTCTATGTAATTAAAAGTTTGAAATAAGTTAGTACAGTTCTTCCCTCTCCTCCTCTGATTCTACTTTGAATGATCAAACCCTAGTCATTTTTGTTTTTTCTTATAATACTCTTTCCTTTTCCATTTTGTCCATAGTTATATAATACACACAGTGTTGGAGTTTGGAGAGACAGACTATAAAGTTAAAATGTAATTAGTTTTAATTGATTAGTTTTAATCAGACTTTCACTATTTTAAATCTGTCTATGCCATCCCCTATACTGTAGTACGTGAATAGTCCTCTCCAAGCAGTCTAGCAGCTCCAAGTCATCTTCTCTTTGAAATGTCTACGTTGTGACTGAAATGCCTGCTATTCCAGGTTCAACTGTTATCTTTATACTTTTTTTGTTTTGTCATTGGAAACTAAAATTCTTTCCTGTTTTTTGCCTTTTATCTTGGGTCCATGGTATAAACCTTTCTATAGGTGATCCTTTTTCTTGTTTTTGAATTAAAACTTAACACAACTGCTTTTTTGTCTTTCTGTCCTATTACTATCTGTCTTACCTTCAGACTTTTACACATCCTGTTTTACCTCTGCTTATAATTTCCTTCTGCCACACTCCTTTTCCTTTCCCTAGTTAACCCTTAGATTCTCTTCATGTACCTCTTTAAACATCGAGACCTCCAGGGCCTACCCATGTATGTGCTCCCAGAAAACTCTCTATTTTTTCATTGTACTTTCCACACTAGATGAAAATGATCAGTTTTCACTTCTCATCTCTAAACATAATTGTCTTGTTCACAGTCATATGTGTAGTTTTTAGTACAATGTCAGGCATATAATACGTTTTTACTAAATGTTTCCAGAATATGATGTGGCTTTTAAAATTTTTATTTATTGTCTGGGTGCAGTAGCTCATGCCTGTAATCCCAGCACTTTGGAAGGCTGTGGTAGGAGGCTCACTTGAGTCCAGGAGTTCAAGGCCAGCCTGGGAAACAGCAAGGCCCGTCTCTACAAAAAATTTGAAAATTAGCTGGATGTGGTAGCACATGCGTATATTCCCAGCTACTGTGGAGGCCGAGGTGGGAGGATCACTTGAGCCCAGGAGGTTGAGGCCACATTGAGCTATGATCACTCCTGGGTGACAGAGTGAGACCCTGTCTCTTCAAAAAAAAAAAAAAAAAGGAACTATTATTAAGTTATTTTTTTAATAGTCATATTCTTTTGTAGAATTCAGCAATATTTGGAAGAAAACATATATCTATTCTGTCTTGTAAATGTTTTCCAATAAATAAAGAAAGTTTTTGGCATTTCCCCAGAATGTATCATAATGTATTCAGCTTGCTAACTGAGTGATTTCTTTGAATGGTAGAATCTGGATTCTGAAGTAGTTAAAATTCTAATTTTGGTGATGGGACTTTATAATTCATTTTGATTGTTTCTCTTTTCAGAGCTAACTCAAGAAATGTATATTGTCCTTATCTGTTTTAGCATTTATTTCAACTAACAATATGTATATTATTATGGTCCCTTACCACATTTTAGTTTACAATGTTAAAGCCTTCTGTCAATAGGGAATAAAGGACTTTGGTGATTCTTAGACCATGAACTGCCTAGTAAATCTGTGTGCCTCTCCTTCATTATCCTCTTATCCGTTAGTGATGCAAGGCTTACAGCCATTTTAAGTAGATCTCAGAAGGTCATTGCTCCTGAGAGGAGGTTGTTTTTCAAAAATGTTAAAGAAATGTGTTACTGTATGAAAATATTTGGATATGTGCCTGGCCTTTTTGATGAGGATTGACTTCTGGCATTAAAGAGTTGTTGTCTGCAGCTGGAGCCTTTGGTGAGGTGAGACCTGATTAGGATGGCCCAAAGTGCAGACCAAGAACTACTTAGAATGTTGGGAATATGGTATACTGCTGTTGTGACCCAGAAAAAATTATACCTATAGGTGGGTGATAAATTCATTCTTATTTAGCCAATAGACTAAGTTTTCATAGTGACTTATGCATTGCAAATAGAAAGAGTAACTACTGAAATTACTGCTTCAAACTTCTGTAAGTGAAAATAAGGTTAGTTAAACTCCCTCTTCCTAGTAATTTAGCTGCCAATTCATGTAAAATGTTTGGTAATTTTATATATATATATATATATATGTATATGTAATCTACTTTAGCTTGCTTTTGACAAATGTTTGATTGAGGAATGTGCAGTCTATATCCAGAAAATGAACAGATCACATACACTTAAACGTCAGCACTAAAGGATGTTTTTCACTGGTGACCATGACCAATCTGATCATTTTTTTCTTGTAAATATGTTTTACTTGTCTTTCCACATTTCTGCTTCAGCAAAGAAATTGTGTTTTTTAAGGAGATTGATTAACATAGTTTTCAAAGTAAAAAAAAGAATCACAGTTAATATGATTTTTCTGTGTTTCAATTTACTGTATTATGTAAACACCAATTAATCAGAAGTACTTATTGAACACCTATTATATTCTCAATACTGAGAAGTATAGAAATAAGAACAGTTTCTATCGTCAAGACTGCTATCTTCCTTTTGTTTCAGGGTTAGATTTTTTTGTATGCTGATCTACTACTTGGAAGAGTTTAGAACTTGAAAAAGCTAGTGTTTCTCTGGAGGAATGAAAGAGGCTTCTTTTTCTTTTTAGCATCATAAATGGAATAGACAGACATCTTATTTAGGAATCTCAATTTATATATCAGATTCCTTTGTTGTTCTCCCTATTGCTAAAATTTTAAAATACTCTCTCCTTTTAAATAAATTCAGTTATCTGGATATTTGAAGTAGATACTTCAGCATTAAAAAACGAAAACAGCATTCTTTAGTATGAGTTTTACATTTTTTATTTTATTACAAAAAAGTTGAAACAGGGTCTCACTATGTTGCCCAAGCTGGTCCTAAACCCCTAGACTTAAGCAATCCTCTTACCTCGGCTTCCCAAAGTTCTGGGATTATAGGTGTGAGCCACCACGCCCAGCCGTTATATATTTTAAAAATTAGATCCCATTCCAAAGTAATTGGACCTTTGCAAACATTGACCCATCAGGCGATTACAATCTAGTGAATTAGTTACTTAGTTTAAAAAGCAAAACTATATGACACAGTGTATATTCCTCTGTGAAAATTTTATCTTTATTGCTCCATACTTTTTTTTTTTTTTTAAATAGAGACAAGGTCTCTACTAAAAATACAAAAAATTAGCCAGGCATGGTGGCAGGTGCCTGTAATCCCAGCTACTCAGGAGGCTGAGGCAGGAGAATCGCTAGAACCTAGGAGGCAGACGTTACAGTGAGCTAAGATCACACCACTGCACTCCAGTCTGGGCAACAGAGTGAGATTCCGTCTTGGAAAAAAAATACATCAAATGCTTTGAAGGCCCTGGAAATTTAGGGAACTTTGTTCTTATCTTTCCAGGTAACTTAAGAGTTACTTTGCTAAACTGACCTAACAGGAAAAATAAATAAATAAATGAAAGTTACTAGATGCCAAGGTCATGTCTGGTACTAATTGTTATCTTTTATCACAGTTAGCATTATCCTGAAGAGGGGTGTGGGGGTATGTGTGTGTATGTATGTATAAAACAGCTCAACAAATAATTCTTTTTTGTTTGTTTGTTTTTGAGATGGAGTCTTGCTCTGTTGTCTAGGCTGGAGTGCAGTGGTGCAATCTCGGCTCACTGTAAACTCTGCCTCCCAGGTTCAAGCGATTCTTCTGCCTCAGCCTCCTGAGTAGCTGGGATTACAGGCACACGCCACCACACCTCACTAATTTTTGTATTTTTAGTAGAGATGGCGTTTCACCATGTTTCCTAGGCTGGTCTTGTACTCCTGACCTCAGGTGATCCGCCTGCCCTGGCCTCCCAAAGTGCTAGGATTACAGGCGTGAGCCACCGCGCCCGGCCAATACTTCTCATTTATTCATTAAACTTATTTATTGAGTGCTCAAAATGTGCCTGATATTATTCTGGTGTTAGACTGTAACAGGGAACAAAACATACCAGAAACTCAGCCCTCAAGCTTATGTTCTAATCAAGGGAGATGCTCAATAAACAAAACAAATGAATAAATTTTATATTAGAGTTGATAAGTATTATGGAGTAAAGTAGAGCAGGGAAGAGGGATAGAGGAGTATCTTTGAAGGTGGTGTGGTTTGGATGGTCTGAGAATGTGACATTTGAGTAAAGATCTGAAGGAGTTGTGGGTGTAAGCCATGCAGGATCATGGGGAAGTATTGAAAGGTTTTGAGGCAGAGAAGTAACATTGTTAGCCTTATTCTGTTTACATAGATACTTAACTGGTCTTCCTGCTGTCTGAAGAATGCCCTTTAATAGTCCTTTTGGTGTGGTTCTGCTAAAACACTTCATTTGTCAAAAAAAAAAATCTGTACTTTGAATTTATTTTTGAAGAATATTTTCACGTGATACAGAATTGGAGGTTGACAATTTTGTTTTCTTTTTCAGTACTTCTTCCCTGTTGCTTTCTGGGGTTTTTTTCTGGAGATAAATTATTATCTTAGTTCTTTTGTTTGTAATGTGTTTTTCCCCCATCTTGCTCCTTTTAAGATTTTTTTCTTCATCACCAGTTTGATTATGACTTGCCTTGTTAGGGTTTTGAGTTTTCTAACACAAGGTTCATTGAACTTCTGGATCTGTGGGAATATAGTTTTCATGAATTTTAGAAAGTTTTCAGCCATTATTTTTTGAGATATTTTTCTGCCTATCCCTTTCTGGGATCCCAATTGTATGTATGTTTGATATTATCTTATAGGTCACTAAGATTCTAATACGTTTTTAGCCTTTTTCCTCTTTATGCTATCATTTAGATAGTTTCTATTGCCTGTCCTTCAAGCTCACTAATCTTTCCTGTCTAGTTTATAATTGGCTGTTAAGTCCTCTAGGGAATTTTTTTAAATTTCAAATATTGTATTTTTCATCTTTAGTAGTTCCAGTTGATACTTCTTTATAGTTGCCATTTCTTTCCTTAGTATAGGCATGTTTTTCTTTAATTCCTGAGATACTTACAATAGACATTTTAAAGCTTTGCCTGTTAATTACATCATCTGTTATTTCTAGGTCTTTTTCTATTGACTAATTTTTTTTTTTTTTTTTTTTTTTTGAGACTGAGTCTCGCTCTGTTGCCCCCAGGCTGGAGTGCAGTGGCGCAATCTCGGCTCACTGCAGCCTCCACCTCCTAGGTTCAAGCGATTGTCCTGCCTCAGCCTCCGGAGTAGCTGGGACTACAGGCACCCGCCACCACGCCCAGCTAATTTTTGTATTTTTAGTAGCGATGGGGGTTTCACCATATTGGCCAGGCTGGTCTCGAACTCCTGACCTCAAGTGATCCACCCACCTTGGCCTCCCAAAGTGCTGGGATTACAGGCATGAGCCATCACATCCAGCCCTCTATTGACTAATTTTTAATCCTGATTTTGGGTCACATTTTTCTACTACTTTCATGTTTTCTTTGGATGATAGACATTGTGGATGTTACGTATCTGAGCATCTGGATTGTTGTCTCTCTTTAAAAAAGGAACTTGTGTTTTATTTTGATAGGCAGTTAAGTTACTTGTGGATCAGCACCATATTTTCCAGGATTGTTTGTAAGCTTTGTTGGGACAAGTTTAGAGTAGCCTTTACTCTAGAGTTAGTTTTTCTCTGTTTATTAAGTAGAGACCCTCTGGAGTTCACAAATGCTCCCAATGTCCAACAATGTGTTTCCACTTCAGCTGGTCACAACTCAGACATCTCCCAGCCCTGTATGAGCTCTAGGACTTTTTTAGCTTACAGTTTCCTAGCATCTGGGCTGGGTGCGGTGACTCATGCCTGTAAGTAATCCCCACACTTTCGGAGGCCGAGGCAGACAGATCACTTGAGGCCAGGAGTTTGAGACCAGCCTGGGTGATACGGCGAAACTCCATCTCTACTAAAAATACAAAAATTAGCCAGGCATGCTGGTGCATGCCTGCTATCCCAGCTACTTGGGAAGCTGAAACACAAGAATCTCTTGAACCCAGGTGGGTGGCAGAGGTTGCAGTGAGCCGAGATCACGCCACTGCACTCCAGCCTGGGCGACAGAGTGAGATTCTGTCTCAAACAACAACAAAACAAAACAAATTTCCCGGCATTTGTACATAGCCCAGCCTCATTGTATTCACTTCATGTATACACAGCTTACTATTCTGCCAAAACTCAGTAAGACACATGTGCAGATTTCTGGAGCCCTTTCTTGGCATAACTCTTTCCTCTCCAGTACTCTGTTTTGCAAATTTCAGCTACCTTACCTCCAACCTATCTTCTTAACTCAATGAAATCTCTCTGCTTACAGTACTCATCCCTTGTTTAGGTCTGGAAAGTGACTGTGGGGAAAAAATCCAGGGTAATGAAAGGGTTCACCTTATTTGTTTCCTCTCTCTCAAGGTTCACCGTTCTATGCTGCTTATTCTCTAATTTCTAGAAATAGTTTTATATATTTCATACAGTTTTCTAGTAATTTGTGGTAGGAGGTGAAGTCTGGTGCTAGTTACTCCATTATAGACAGAATTTGAAATTTCTAGATTTATATTTTAACAGGATCACTTTGGTTCCTGTGTTTAGTTGAGAATAAATGTCCTATGTACGCTTTGTAAATTTTACTTTAGTTCCTTGGAGGAAAAACAAACACAGATAAAATGGTTTAGAGCCTATTTGCGATTTTTGATGTATATTCTGAGGAATGAGGAGAGACAGGTGTTCATGCTTTCATGGCTTTGCTATTGCTATCACATAGGGACTCCTACTCCATCTTCTCTGTCAGTGCTGACTTTTTTCATTTATTCAATAAGTATTGAATGTGTAAGTCATTAATTGTATTGACAGGATGAATCAGACATAGGTCCTGCCATTATGATGTTTACAGTCTAGCCAGGAGAGAAGCTGTACATAGAAACTTTAAATCCAAGATAGAGATTGAAAATAAACAAAAATGGCTGAGCACAGTGGCTCACACCTATAATCCCAACACTTTGGGAAGCAGAGGTGAGAGGACTGCTTGAGACCAGGAGTTTGGGACCAGCCTGACCAACATAGCGAGACCCCATCTCTGCAAAAAGTTTTTAAAAAATTAGCTGGATGTGGTGGCGTACACATGTAGTCCTAGCTACTTGGGAGGCTGAGGTGGGAAGATGGCTTGAGCCCAGGAATTTGAGGCTGTAGGGAACTATGATCGTGTCACTGCACTCCAGCTTGGGAGTGACAGAGCAAAACCCTGTCTCTTAAAAAAAAAAAAAGAAGAAAAAAAATCAGTACAGGTAAAAGTGGTGTGGGAAACCCAAAAGAAATAGCTTAATTTTTATTTTAAATGTTGGATTTAACAGCCTACTTAAATGGGGAATTGTAGATTTCTTTTTTCTGTTTTAAAGCTTCATTTTGTTTATTTTGGTTTAATTTTCCTACCATTTTGGATATAATAAATTTCAGTTTTGTTTTTGGTCGTGATTATTTTTTAGCAATTGAATTGTGAAACTAAAATATATCTGTGGAAGATATATTATCAGGATGAACTGAACTCCTGAGAAGAGAATTCTGAGGTTTTATAATCTTTTTTGATTTGACCCTTAGTGGAGGAATCAGACATCATTGATCTTGAGAAACGCTATTGGTTATTGAAGGCTCAATCCCGGACTGGACGATTTGATTTAGAGACATTTGGCCCATTGGTTTCACCACCTATTCGTCCATCTCTAAGTGAAGGTAGGGATCATTCCATTTTCTACATATGTTCACTGGTAAACATACCTGAGCCCATCTCATATTTGTAACCAATACATTTTAACTCTAAGAAACCATCTTCTCATATGTTTGCAGGTTTAATGGAGTGGGGAAAAACAAATGGGAATTATTATTATAGTCTTGAGCCTGATATTCTACCTGTTATAACCTTGCATAAATCAGTTTAGCTCTCTGCACCCGAGCATGCTCATGTATAAAATGTGTTTGACCAAGGCAGTGGTTGTGATACTGTGTTCCAGTAAGGTGCATTAGTAGCTAGTGCCTGGAGTCATGTGGTGGCCACTGAATGGGCAGAGCTCCATGTTTCCACACATGACCTCGTCTCTTCCTCCAGTAGGGTGCCTCTACTTTTTTTCTTTTACATAAGAAGATTCCATTGCTGTATTCTCCCCTCCAAAAAAAGATGAAGAAACTATTGGACTAGACCATCTCCGAGGTGCTCTCTAGCTCTAAACTTAGTGCTGTTACTTTTTTTTTTTTTTTTTTTGAGGCAGAGTTTTGCTCTTGTTGCCCAGGCTGGAGTGCAGTGGCGCCATCTCGGCTCACTGCAACCTCTGCCTCCTGGGTTCAAGCGATTCTCCTATCTCAGCGCCCCAAGTAGCTGGGATTACAGGAATGTGCCACCATGCCCGGCTAATTTTGTGTTTTTAGTAGAGACAGGGTTTCTCCATATTGGTCAGGCTGGTCTTGAATCCCCGATCTCAGGTGATCTGCCCACCTCAGCCTCCCAAAGTGCTGGGATTACAGGCGTGAGCCACTGCGCCCAGTCTGCTGTTACTTTTTTAAAAATAAGGAGTCCAAATATAATTGTGAGCACATCATAAAAATCATATTTTGAATATGAATACTTGGGTTCTGCTTCCAGCTCTCACCTTTTAAAACTTATATTTGGCAAATCATGTAATTTTCTCTGAGCTTTAGTTTTCTAATCCCTAAACTGAGGGCACTGCGTTAGATTCTGGGAATATACTATCTGTATTCTTCAAATTTCTAGAGTACTTCGGAAGTACTTGTCAGGGGAGCCAGGGCAGATAGGGCTCTGGGTTTCTACCTACTTCAACAACAGTGCATTGTGTTTTTACCTTTTTAGAATTGGGATTGATGTATCATTTCATTTGAAAACAAAATTGTTTCATTTCTTTTTTTTACGAAATGTTTGAAAACCACAGGATTAGATTATAAATTCCCTTTGTGAAATTTAAAATATTCATGTATAAAAGATTCAACAGTACAAAGAGACACTGTAGTAGAGAATTTCTTTCTCTTATGTTGCATAGTGTATCTTCCTTTGCTTTATGAAAGAGCTTTATGGGAGCTTATTAATGATACCATAGTGTATCTTCGAGTATTCATTTAATAAGCAGTTCAGTTTTTCTTTCTTTTTTCCCTTTTTCTTCTTAGTCTTTCTAAGTAAGGATAATTGTTGCAATTTCTGACCTTTTTTTGGTTTTTAATTTTTATTTATTGACTTCAAAAATAGTCATTTTAGCCATTAAAAATGATGTAAGATAAATATAGATGGACATAACCAAACACTAAAGGATTGTAATGTATTTTCTGCCATGATCACAAGTTTCAATTATAATTATACCAAGAGGAAAGAGGTACTTCCTGAAACATTAGGAACTACTAATAAACTTAAAAAAAAATTCAGTCAGTTTATGGGAAAGAGTCATTCCTCCTTTTGTAAACATGTCATTATTAACATTAGGAAGCTTGGCTGTGATTTATGGCATCTCTTCCTATTTTACAGGTTTGTTTAATGCTTTTGATGAAAATCGTGACAATCACATAGATTTTAAGGAGATATCCTGTGGGTTATCAGCCTGTTGCAGGGGACCCCTGGCTGAAAGACAAAAATGTAAGTGTGTTAAACATTGTCAAAAAATTGCAAACTATGTAGAGAGAAAATCAGTTTTCATCAATGTAAAATTATCTGTGGATTAAGGCTTGAATTTTTATAACTTTGTCAGATTAACAAATATTAATCTCATGTTAGGGTTTTACTGAGGTCACTCTAAGGAATCAATCACCTCTTCTTTTTTACTATGGAATAGTTTGGGATATTTGCTATTAACAATGGAGTTGATTTTCCTGAAGAATTTGTAATTCATGATAAATGAATCAGATCAGCTATGATGTAATTGAAAATTTTAAACATTTAGGAAATATTTTTCTGGTAGAATTTTGTGTCTTACATAAGTTGAGGCATAACTCATTTTCCATCCACTGGCACAGATTAATATTTCATTGGCAAAAGAAAATTTATGGTCAAAACTAATTTTGTCAAATACTAAAATGATCTTTTTTAACCTAACTAAAATGTTGTAGCATAATTTGTAAGCATAAATACATTCCATTATTAAATCTTAACCATATTTGTAAAAATGCAGGCATTTACATTTAATTGGAACCTAACTCAAATATATTTACTGGGGTCATTATCTCCACGTCTTTCTAAAATAAATCTTCCCAAATGTTGCATATTTTGGGTGTGGTGTTCAATATTTTTATCGTATTTAGTACTGTTGTACTATGATGCGCTCAATTGATTTAATAGCCATAATTCTATTATGAAGGTATATGAAATAATTTTTCAACTAAAAATTCAAATCTCTATTTTTATTCCCTGTTGTTATACCACTATTTCAAACTGGCTTGGTTGTTTCCATTACAATTTGCTCTTAGATGAGGAAGCTAAAATCTTTTTTTTTTTTTTTTTTTTTTTGAGACAGGGTCTTGTTCTGTTGCCCAAGTTGGAGTCCAGTGCAGTGCAGTGGTGTGATCGTAGCTCACTGTAACCTTGAACTTCTGGGCTCAATGGATCCTCCCATCCTAGCCTCCTAGGTAGCTGGGACTACAGGCATGTACCACCATGCCTGGCTAATTTTTTTTTTTTTTTTAAATAGAGATAGTGTCTTGTTATGTTGCCCAGGCTAGTCTCGAACCTCTGGCCTTAAATGATCCGCCCACCTCAGCCTTCCAAAGTGTTGGGGTTATAGACATGAGCCTCCATGCCCAGCTCTGCATTTCCATTAAAGTTAATTGTTGTCTTAAAAAATTTTGTTTTAATTTCTTTTTTTGCTGATGAACTAATGGAAGTTAAACTAGAATGATTCATTTGGAGTTAAATAGCAAAGCACTGGTGTTCTAATTGTTAGCATGTTGTGTTTGAATTTCATTAAAGAGTTAAAATTGTTGGCCGGGCATGGTTGCTCACGCCTGTAATCCCAACACTTTGGGAGGCCGAGGCAGGTGGATCATCTGAGGTCAGGAGTTCAAGATCAGCCTGGCCAACATGGCGAAACATAGTCTCGGCTAAAAATACAAAAATTAACTGGGTGCAGTGGCAGGCATCTGTAATCCCAGCTACTTGAGAAGCTGAGGCAGGAGAATTGCTTGAACCTGGGAGGTGGAGGTTGCAGTGAGCCAAGATTGCGCCATTGCACTCCAGCCTGGGAGACAGCAAGACTCTGTCTCAAAAGAAAAAAAGGCCTGGCACGGTGGCTCACACCTGTAATCCCAGCACTTTGGGAGGCCAAGGCAGGCGGATCACAAGGTCAGGAGTTCAAGATCAGCCTGGCCAATATGGTGAAACCCTGTCTCTACTAGAAATACAAAAGTTAGCCGGGCGTGGTGGTGGACACCTATAGTCCCAGCTACTCGGGAGGCTGAGGCAGGAGAATCGCTTCAACCCAGGAGGCGGAGGTTGCAGTAAGCTGAGAACTGCACTCCAGCCTGGGTGACAGAGCGAGACGCCATCTCAAAAAAAAGAAAAAAAAAAGAGTTAAAATTGTTTTTGCCAAAAAAAGATTGAATGTACATTAGTTATACTGGAAAGGTAACATGGAAGTGGACTGTCTTTATATCAGCTTAAGATTCTTGATATAAATAGGATTTCTTTTTTGAGACGAAGTCTCGCACTGTTGCTTGGGCTGGAGTGCAGGGGCACGATCTTGGATCACTGCAACCTCCGCCTCCCGGGTTCAAGCAATTCTGCCTCAGCCTCCCAAGTAGCTGAGATTACAGGCGCCCGCCACTACGCCCAGCTAATTTTTTGTATTTTTAGTAGCGACGGGATTTCACCATGTTGACCAGGCTGGTCTCGAGCTCCTGACCTCGCGATTCGCCCACCTCGGCCTCCCAAAGTACTGGGATTGCAGGCGTGAGCCACCATGCCCAGCTGTAAATAGGATATTTTAAGCAAACAAACAACTCTGCTGGCCTGGCACCGTGCATCATGCCTGTAATCGTACCACTTTGGGAGGCCAAGGCCGGTGGATCACTTGAGGTTAGGAGTTTGAGACCAGCCTGGCCAACATGGTGAAATCCCGTCTCTACTAAAAATACAAAAATTGGCCGGGCACAGTGGCTCACGCCTGTAATCCCAGCACTTTGGGAGGCTGAGATGGGCTGATCACAAGGTCAGGAGATCGAGACCATCCTGGCTAACACAGTGAAACCCCGTCTCTACTAAAAATACAAAAACTTAGCCAGGCATGGTGGCACGTGTCTATAGTCCCAGCTTCTCAGAGGCTGAGACAGGAGAATTGCTTGAACCCGGGAGGCAGAGGTTGCAGTGACCTGAGATCATTCCACTGCACCACAGCCTGGGCGACAGAGTGAGACTCCATCTCAAAAAAAAAAAAAAAAAATTACCTGGGTGTTGTGGTGTGCTCCTGTAATCCCAGCTACTCGGGAGGCTGAGGCAGGAGAATTACTTGAACTCGGGAGGCAGAGGTTGCAGTGAACTGAGATCATGCCACTGCACTCTAGCCTGGGCGACAGAGCGAGACTCCATCTCCAACAAACAAAAAGAAGAACAAGAAACAACTCTGCAATGATCAGTTTTCAATATTAGAAATTAACCTAGGGGTTTGCATTACTTCCTAAAAACTTGTAAGGTATTGTAATATTTATTGTACAGTAACTTCGCCCTTTCTTGACAGTTTGTAAGGCATTTAGCTTTAGATTTGGCTGAAGGGTAGGGTCTTATATCTGAATAATGATTTAGAGATACAGATTCATGATATGCAGGAAGTCCTACAAGTTCTGAGGACTATAATGACATAATATAGTTTATTACAGATGAGAACTGTTCCAGAATACATATACTTGCTTTAAAAACTAAGTAATTATACAAGGGCAACTTCTAGTAAAATATATTATACCTCAGAATACAAAAATGATTTTCCTCCATAAGAGTTTCTTTTCATTAGTTTGCTTCAAGGTATTTGATGTTGACCGTGATGGAGTTCTCTCCAGGGTTGAACTGAGAGACATGGTGGTTGCACTTTTAGAAGTCTGGAAGGACAACCGCACTGATGATATTCCTGTAAGTTATGATTGTGTATGTCTTGTTGCGTATAAACTTCCAATGGGAAATTGGAGGGAATCATTTTCTTTAAAAGCATAAAATAATTTGTTACTGCTTTTAGTTACTACATTATGCTACTCAAAATATTTATAGCTGAAGATGCAAAATTGGAAAGAGAGTTTGGCTTAGAAAATCTTAAACTGAACTATGTAAAATAAGAATGAAACCATAGGAAAGTTATCTTAATTTTTAATCATATATGAGAATCTATGGTAATTATAAAAATACTTGAGCAAGGCCGGGCGCAGTAGTTCTTGCCTGGAATCTCCGCACTTTGGGAAGCCAGGGCTGGAGGATCACTTTAGCCCAGGAGTTTGAGATAATCCTGGGCAACGTAAGGAGACCCCATCTCTACAAGAAAAGCAAAACAAATCTTGCTTAATATACTTTAGCCATTGAATAACAAAATTAAAAGTATATTCACTGTTTTCTAATTACTCCTTTGGGTTATTTTTAAAGGAATTACATATGGATCTCTCTGATATTGTAGAAGGCATACTGAATGCACATGACACCACAAAGGTGAGTCTAGATAGAACTAATTTATCTTTTTCTAAAAATATCATGTACTCCATTTGGGATGTATCGCTTATATACATGCTTGAATCTCTTTGGCATCCTCCCTACCAAGTACTTATCTGGACCTGTGGGTAAAACACCTCCAAGTTATCTCCAAAGAGAGCCATTCCATCTTTAAGCAACTCTGAAACTGTATGTGAAAACATTTATTATAAGCTAGGCATTTTATAAGAATTATGTAGACAGAGCCCTTGGCAACTATAGCCTATCATCTGTATTTCTTCCATTTGACTAAGTTGTGGTAAGGCTAACCTTATATTGAGCAAAAGAAGTCAAACAAAAAAGAATATATACTGTATGATTCCATTTATATGAAGTCGAAGAACACAGAAGCAAAACTAACAAATAGTGATAGAAGTTGGAATAGTGATTTCAGGGGTGTGCAGATTAATTGGGAACAACCGTAAGGATATCTGAGATGATGGAAATGTTTTTTTCCTCTTAATCTGGCAGTACATATATTCTCTCTCTCTTTTTTTTTTTTTTTTTTTTTTTTTGACAGAGTCTTGCTCTGTCACCCAGCCTGGAGTGCACTGACAGGATCTCAGCTCACTGCCACCTCTGCCTCCCGGCTTCAAGTGATTTTCTTGCCTCAGCCTCCAAAGTAGCTGGGACTGCAGGTGTGTGCCACCATGCCGGCTGATTTTTTTGTATTTTTAGAGTAGAGATGGGGTTTCGTTATGTTGGCCAGGCTGATCTCAAACCCCTGGCCTCCAGTGATCTCCCTGCCTTGGCCTCCCAAAGTGCTGGGATTATAGGCGTGAGCCACTGCGCCTGGCCAGTACATCTATTCTTTCAAGAAATTTCTTTTGTTTTTTTTTTTGTCTGTTTGTTTTTTTGGAGACAGGATCTTGCTCTGTTGCCTAGGCTAGAGTGCAGTGGTGGGATCTTGGCTCACTGCAGCCTCGACCTCCTGGGTTCAAGCAATCCTGCCTCAGCCTTTCGAGTAGCTGAGACTATAGGTGTGCACCACCATGCCCAGCTAATTTTTTTTTTTTTTTGTAGAGACCAGGTCTCGCCATGTTTCCCAGGCTGGTTGCAAACTCCTGGGCTCAAGCAGTCCTGCCTCAGCCTCCCAAAGTGCTGGGATTACAGGTATGAGCCACTGTGCTGGCCTAAAAAATTTTTTTAAATGGTTGTGGTAAGGACCTCTCCTGTGTCCTTTAGTGGTAGCCAGAATAAGCATGTAATAGCAAAAATAAACATGTACTTTATAAATTAAAAAAAAATCCTTGACTTATTTAGTTTGGTAACATTTATTAGTAATGTTATCATAATAGATTTACTCCTATAGCTTGCATTACTATGATGTCTATGTGTCCCTGTGAAATTGAAAATAAATTACCTGTATGAGACACATTTGCATAAATTGGAGTCTTTCTACTGAAGCATTGACATGTACCAAGTCGCAGATTGGTAGGATCTACACCACAATGGTGTTATTAAATAGAGGTTTAGAATAAATAAAGAACGTCAGTTTTTTTTCTTTCTTCAATCACAATTTCAGAAGAAATTGTTAATGGCCCTATTAACTGATTCTCAATAGAAACAAATAATAGAAATGAGTTTCAGGCTAGAGCTTTGACAATTCAGTCCCCTTCTTTCTCCTCTCTGCCAGAAACTAAGGTATCGACTTCTATTTCGTGTGTATGAGAACAAAAACCAGGAAAAGTTTCTGTTAGAAAATGCCTTGTGTAGAGATAAAATTTTGAACACCTTTTTTCTAAGTGTTTCATAAGTATGTAGGTATTTTTGCTGTCGCCTTTTATGTTAGATGGAGTTTCTACTTCTGGCTCTTCTGTGAACATTAAACAAGATCATTTAGCTGCTTCATTTCCATGTAACCATGATAATGAAATAGTAATAGTTTGGGATAGAACTTGGGTTTTTTAACCAAGCCTATTAACCATATTCGCTGGTGACTAGATTGTACCAACATTACTCATTCTTTTTCTGACTTCCAACTCTTCTCTGTTTTATCTAATTCATCTGTTGACTATTTAATGATACTCTGTAGTGGCTCAAGAGATCTAGATGTTACCCTTGGATAGTTTGTAGTATACAGGTAAAGATAGACAAGTGTGATCAGGGCTATGTTAGAAGTTGAGGCTGGGCATGGTAGTTCTCATCTATAATCCCAGCACTTTGGAAGGCTGAGGTGGGAGAATCACTTGAGCCCAGGAGCTCTCGACCAGCCTGGGTAACATAACGAGACTCTATCTCTAAAAAAAGAAAAAACGTAGCCAGGCACAGTAGCACATGTCTATAGTTCCAGCTACAAGGGAGGCTGAGGCGAGAGGATCATTTGAGCCTGGGAGGTCAAGGCTGCAGTGTGCCATGATTACACCACTGCACTACAGGCTGAGCAACAGAATGAGAACTTGTCTGGAAAAAAAAAAAGGTTAGCACCAAGTATTACGGTGAGAGGATAGAAAGGGAACCATGTAAATTGAACTTTGAAAGTCCAGAAGATTTCTGCTGGGATGTGGCACTTTAATAATTAGTTAATTATGGTTAACAGAAGTAAAAAGTTGAAAGGTGATTCCTAAAAGAGGTAACAACTAGGGGTAGAATAGAAGACATTATTACTGTATAGGACTGTACAGTAAAACATCCTGTGTAGTCCTAGAACTGCAAATATTCTGATGTGGCTGGAATAACAGATTCATATATTGAAGGCTGTAGACCTGGATTGGAGACGTATCTTGAAGGGCCTTGGGTACAAAACTCAGGAGTTGAACTTTATACCAAACTATGGAGAAACCTCCAAAGATTCAAGTAGAACAGAGCAAGTGATCAGCTGACACTATTTTGAAAATCAGGGCCACATTTAAACGGAGGACATTTACAAATAAGTCATATAGGTTGGGCATGGTGGCTCACGCCTGTAATCCCAGCACTTTGGGAGGCCACAGTGGGCGGATCACCTGAGGTCAGGAGTTCGAGACCAGCCTGGCCAACATGGCGAAACCCTGTCTCTACTAAAAATACAAAAATTAGCCGGGCATGGTGTTGGGCATCTGTAATTCCAGCTACTCAGGAGGCTGACGCAGGAGCTTTGCTTGAACCTGGGAGGCGGAGGTTGCAGTGAGCCAAGATGACACCATTGCACTCCAGCCTGAATAACAAGAGTGAAACTCTGTCTCAAATAAATAAATACATACATACATACATAAAACAAAATAAATAAGCCATATAGTCAGTGAATTTGCTTTAGAAAAAGTTCATATGATACCTTGCTTAGCAGTAGTCCTAACTGCAGTCAGTAAAACATCCATTAAATTGGGAGAAAATAAAATCCATTTACAGTTCTAGATTTTAAGCATAATGCTCTATATGTTTTTACAGTGTGTTAATTATTACTCAGGTGTCAGTATAGCAAATGGGCTTTTGATCATCATTGTATGCATGATGATTCTGTACGGTGGTATCTATTATTTCTTTTCATGACGTTTCTTTCCTTTTGGACAGTATTAACATATCTTTGAGGTCAGTGTACCTGAAAATTGTTCCTTGAATATTTGTGGTTATATAAAAGAATCAGATTATCATCTTAAAAATACTTTTTACCATCTTGAGCATTTTATATTTTGTTCTGTTAGATATAAAAGGTTCTTATACCATGTATTAATAATTTATCACACATATCAAATTACATTTGTCCTTTTTTTGTTTTTTTGTTTTTGTTTTTGTTTTTATTTTTGTTTTTTTGAGATAGTCTTGCTCTGTCACCCAGGCTGGAGTGCAGTGGAATGATCTCGGCTCACTGGAACCTCTACGTCCTGGGTTCAAGTGATGCTCCTGCCTCAGCCTTCCAAGTAGCTGGGATTACAGGCTTGCACCACCACACCTGGCTAATTTTTGTATTTTTAGTAGAGACGGGTTTTGCCATGTTACCCAGGCTGGTCTCAAACTCCTGACCTTAAGTGATCCACCCGCCTTGGCCTCCCAAAGTGCTAGGATTACAAGTGTGAGCCACCGTGCCTGGCCTACATTTGTACTTTTTAAACAGCCTTTATTTTAGTTTTATTAGTAGCATTTTAGATTTTCAAACAATAAAATTAATAGAAGTTATTACATTTTCATATTTCACTGTGATTTTCCTATCTGTTCTAGATGCTGAGTCCTATAAAATTAAAATGGGTTTACACTAGCTGTTAATTTTGTCATCAGTGCAGAATCATTGACAATTATTACTTCAAAGATAAACAAGTAGCATTTTGAAATATAGCCTATGTTCAACATAGCTTCTCCCTCTGTTGGCATTCTTCATTTTTCTGTCCTGGAATTTTAGTCGTGACTGTTCAGTGTAAAACTCCTGAATGAGTTGAAATTTATCAGATCATATCCTCACCCGTAGAGTTCATTAAGTTATGTGACATGTTTCTCTTTTGCCTCCTCATGACTGAGATACATGATGTGGCAGAGCTTGCAGTTCTTCTGGGTTTTTTTTGTTTTGTTTTAAGAATTAAAATTTTAGTTATTCTCAATGGATGTTAGAGGGGAAGATATACTATTCTGACTACTATCAAGTGTAGGAGAAATTTATATGTATTGTGTGTGTGTTCTATATTTAAAAATTGAATAATACTGTATAAGCGATTATGCAATAATTTTTTTCTGAATTTTCCTAAATCTGTATATAATTTTCTATCTAGCATATGAAAGATGCTTAGTAAATAAATGTTTACTTCATAAACTTAGTAAAATGTTTACTAAGCATCTTTCATATGCTAGATAGAAAATTATATATAGATTAACTTAGTCTTTTTATCCTCTGCATAGTATTCCATTATGATTATGCTATGATTTATTCCTGTATTTTTTTTTTTTTTTAAAGTCTTGCTCTTGTCACCCAGGCTGGAGTGTAATAGCGTGATTTTGGCTCACTTCAACCTCCGCCTCCTGGGTTCAAATGATTCTCATGCCTCAGCCTCCTGAGTAGCTGGGATTACAGGCACCCGCCACCACACCCAGCTAATTTTTTTGTATTTTTAGTAGAGACTAGGTTTCACCATGTTGGCCAGGCTGCTCTCGAACTCCTGACCTCAGGTGATCCACCTGCCTCAGCCTCCCAAAGTGCTGGGATTACAGGCATGAGCCACCGCACCCAGCCTATTCCTGTATCTTTTAAAACCATATTGCTATAGCCAAAAAGTCATTTTCAAAGGCAAGAGGAATACTAATGATGGATGGTTATCTAGTAATTGATGGTTCTGATAGCATTGTAATATGAACAACAGGTCTCTTAAGTCAAAGATTCTTTTGTTCATAATGTATTACAGTTCCAGATGCCTTTAACTTCTTGTACAGTTAGTACTCACTTAATGTTGTCTTTAGGTTCTTGGAAACTGCAACTTTAAGTGAAAGGGTATAGAACAAAACTAATTTTACCATAGGCAAACAAGAGTTAAGTTCCTACAGCATATTTCTAGTCACAAAAATATCACCAAACTTCTAAATAAAGACCCCAAGCACTTCTAATATTAAGCTTTGAAATAAATGTGAACTATAAACAGATCTAAGAAAGATTGATAAAAACAAGATAATTATTTACCCAGTTTTTGGTGAATTAGTGAGTGACAGCAGCAGTCATAGTGGTGATGGGTTAAATCAAGGGATAAATTTGCAAAATGAAAATTATAAGGAACACCTCCTACCACCTTGCAGTTCAAAAACTAACAATAACAAATATGGGAGGCTCATTGAGTACTTTCTCAGCATATCATTTATTATCATGCATTTGTATGATCATTGCATACTTGTTATTTTATGGTAATTTGTATTCATTTCCAACCCGCTTATTCCAGTTCAGGTTAGTGGCTGGCCAGAGCCTATCCCTGCAGCTCAGGGTACAAGACAGGAACCAACCCTGGACAAGACTCCATCCCACTGAAGGGCGCGCTCACACGTATATCCACACTCACTCATACTGGGACAATTTATTTAATTTTTTCATTTTTTTGTTTTTTTACATCACAGCATTGTTACGTGAATTGTTTACAATACAAACAAAAAGGGCATATATGCTATATATGAATACAGCTCAGTGAAAAATAGTGACTTCTTCTCTTTAAAAGGCCATGATTCTTATTTCTAGTAAACTAAAGAGACCGCAGGTTGGTCTTTATCTTCTCAGTGTTTCCTAGAAGTGATCTGTAAATGCATCTTCCTCCTTCCTCCTGCTACTTACCATAAAATGTGTAAAGGGAGCTAAAGGAAAGCTTCCTTGCTGGTTCCTACCATGTGAAACATGCTATATTCTATTTTAGCTGGGCCAATATGTGGAAAATACCTAAATTTAAGTGTTATTACAAAAATGAAGCAATAATGAGATTCTGGCTAAAGGGGCCACTAAATAAGAATAATATATATTTAAAGGATTGTGTAAAAAAGTAGTTCTAGGTGCACTGTAAGCATATAGGGTTTTTTCCCATGTGTATTTTTAAAGAATGGAAAGGTCAAAAAATAGGGTCACCTGTGTTAGACTAATTTACCTTATTGTATATGCTGCATGAGATGGAACTTTGCATTATAGTTATCATAGAGAAGCATAGTTTGCCTCATATTATGGCAATTTATCTTCAATCAAAACCTTCCAGAGTCATTTCATTTTGGAATGTCCTGTAAACATTCAAACTGCCAGAATATGACTGTAAAACAGCGAAGTGTTCTCTTGCATTAAATTGAAGATATCTGTTTAATTTTTTAAAAAGGAAAAGAAAATGTAGGAAAGGTACTTAGAGCTGTTACTTTCTAAGTATACAACACCCTACAATTCAAGGCATCTTAATCTCCATCAGGATCAACAACAAAGTCACTTTTGTCACGCTGTTAAATCCATCATAATGGCTGATGCAGATTGGTCAAAGGGATCCAACAAACACTGATGTGCATAATGGCATATTGGCAACTAATATGTAACTCTTGGTCAGTAGAGAGTTTAAAAGACCTTCCCTTTCTTCTTGATCTTTGCCAAGGTTCTTGAAGAGTTCTGATGTTCTAAAATACGTTGTTGAGCTTCCCAGTTTGCTTACTCATCCTCAAACTGACAACAGTTTTTCTCTTAATTCTTTTTGCTGTGCTTCCAAATTGTTTTTTATTTGCATTAAGTGAACGTAATGTTCATTTATCATTTGCATCATTTCATGTTTTTCATTTGCATCATTTCATGTTTTTCATTTGCATCATTTCATGGCACCGTTGGAGCTCAACTTCAGAGTCCCTCAGGTTTTGAACTACTTACTCACCTTCATCTCAAATACCTGCTCTGTCTTGATCTCCATCTTCTTCATCTTATCTGCTTGCTCCCTTTTTTCTTCTTCCATTTGTGCCAGAGGAAGACTCTTAGTAAGCTGCCATTTATTTTGTTATTGAAATTGTGCCCTAAAGAGTTAAAGAAACCAATGACTATATTCTTGGGCTTACAGGATAGAGGCTACGAAAAAAAGCAACTTAGTAAGAAGCTGAAACTAAAACTGTTCCCCAAAGAGTAAGAAACTGATAACCAGCAGAACTCCTTGAGTTTGCAGAATAGCAGATTGAAGGAAAAAAAAAACACCAAAAAGCTGGCCTGTGTGGTGGCTCTCACCTGTGTAACCCCAGCACCTTGGGAGGCCAAGGTAGGAGGATTGCCTAAGGCCAGGAGTTCAAGACCAGCCTGGGCAACATAACTAGACCTTGTTTTTCTGTGTTTTTCTCTTTTTTTTAAGCCAGTTTTGGTAACCTGTGCCTGTAGTCAGGAGGCTGAGGCTGGAGGATCCCTTGAACCTAGGAGTTTGGGACTGCAGTGAGCTGTGATCACACCACTGCACTCCAGCCTGGGTGATAGAGTGAGACCCTGTGTCTTTTTTAGAAAACAAAATAAAATAAATAACAACTTGCTGAAATGCTAACCCTCTCTCCACTGTGAGATTTTAAAAACTGGCTGAATTGGCTAGAACCAATATGGCTAAGTAGAGTTTACGCAGAATGAGCTTGCTAATTCCCACTGTGTGTTTCATACTGACTCCCCCCAATTGGCACATGTGATCCACGAAGTAACATGAAGAAATAACTGTGCATGCCGAAGGACTTTCCAATCCTCTCCTTCTACCAGTCATCTGCCAATCCCAGAATCCACCCTATAAGGCTTTTTTAATAAAATTATTGCCTTAAAACAAGCACAGGGAGACAGACTTGAGCTGGACTCCCATCTCCTTTTTGGTTGGCTTATAGTGAAAACCTTTGCTTTTCTCAAAAACCCAACATCAGAGTATTGGCTTCTGTCTCATCAGGCAGCAAGCCTCCTTTGCTTGGTAACGTTATCAACTCCATTATGTCACAGCTGCCGGTTTTCTGCTTCTGTAGTTCTTCATTATTAGTAACATCTTTCAAGTTCTGCATGTGTGTTCTTATCAATATATTTCTTAGAATGATGAAATCACGTTGTTGGTCAGTGTTTTTTATTCTATGGGAAGGACCTGGATACTCTGGAGAATAGAAATCTGTGAGGAATAATAAGTTGATTAATGTTGACTGGCCCAATCCAGAATTCACCTATAAGTATGAATTCAAACCCTCTCTTCACCAGTTTTTTGTATACTTGATTTGGGAGATTGGCAGATCTTACATAGCCTTTGAAGTTCTTCTGTTGCCGTGGTGCAGGCATTGATGTTCCTTTCCTCACAGCAACAGATACCACACTACAGTGGGACAATTTAGACACTCCTGTTAACCTAACGTGTATGTCTTTGGGATGTGGGAGGAAACCGGAGTACCTGGAGAAAATTCATGCAGACATGGAAAGAATATGCAAACTCCACACAGATAGTGGCCCCAGCTGGGAATCCATTTTTTCCCCCATTAACATTATAATAAAATGATATTGAATGAAACATTATTCAAGGACCTCTGCTGTACTGATTTGGGTGGAAAAAAAACAAAAACCTTATCACAGCACTTCCTCTGCTGTAAGTGAACAGGACAATTTTTTGAAAAGTGATCATGATAAGAAAGATTCTGTGATTCAGTGTTAGTCATAATCTAGTGATTTGCCTACCCCTCTCCCTGCCTTCTACTTTTTGAATGTGAACTTTTTTGAAAAAACAAAAATGAGTTTTTGTTTTTCTTCCTTTCCCTTTAGCTTATTTCTCTATTCTGATTTGGAGGATTTTCTTTATTTTTATTATTTTTTTTTTCAAAGAGATGGTGTCTTGCTAGTTGCCCAGGCTGGACTCATGCTCCTGGGCTCAAGCGATCCTCTTGCCTCAGCCTCTGGAGTAGCTGGGACTACAGGCACATGCCACCATGCCCAGTGATTTTTCTATTAAATCTCTCACATGTCTGTTGTTTGATTATAAGACAGTTGATCTATACACTTCAGTGATTCTGCAAGTCAATGTTTTTCTCTTTAGAGAACAATATGTGTATATATTTTCCTTGTTATTAGTGCAGACTGCCACCAATATATTTGAGGCATAAAAGGAAGCGAGGACAAATAATGTTACCAGAACATCTTTGTTGATTTAGTTACCTAAACCTTTTAAAGAAAATGGGCAGTATTTCTTACTGCGTTGATAAAATTCAGAGATATTTAGTGAATTTTACCAACCATATATGATTAAACCATATATGTTTGCATTACCACAAATTGTAAAATTTTGCTATTGAATGCATTTAGGAAAACATACAGGAACGAACTTGAACTAGTTTACCTTCTGCATTGTAGGGGAGTTAGGAAAGTAAAGAGGAAGAAATTACTTTTCTGTGTTAGTCAACATTTAGATCATGGCAGATGCCTGTAATCCCGGCACTTTGGGAGGCCAAGGCGGATGGATCACGAGGTCAGGAGTTCAAGACCAGCCTGGCCAACATAGTGAAACCCCGTTTCTACTGAAAAACACAAAAACTTAGCCAGGCATGGTGGCGGGCACCTGTAATTTCAGCTACTTGGGAGACTGAGGCAGGAGAATCGCTTGCACCCAGGAGGCCGAGGTTTCAGTGAGCCAAGATCGTGCCATTGCACTCCAGCCCAGGCAACAGTATGAGACTCCGTCTCAAAAAAAAAAAAAAAAAGAAAAAAAAGATGTTCCTAACATGAGTGTCTCTGTTTCAGATGGGTCATCTTACTCTGGAAGACTATCAGATCTGGAGTGTGAAAAATGTTCTTGCCAATGAGTTTTTGAACCTCCTTTTCCAGGTATGTTTAAGGTAAATGACAGCAACAGAGGGTAGTAGTACCAGTACTTCTACATCTTTTCCATCATATAGTAGCCAGAGTTGTTGTATCTAGGCTGCAAAACCATATATTAAAAAAAAAAAAAAAGAACTACATTACTCGTCTGAAAGATGGGTGCTTGCTGAAGTTTGTCAAAATCGTGACGTGGGAAATAGGAAAGTGGGATGTAGATTATTATAACTCATTATAGAGCAGTACATAGACATATAGAGAATAAGTTGCAAAAGCCATCATAATTTGCTAGTTTCTTCATTATTGTCTTTTTAAAAGGGCTTCCTTGTAATAAGACTGACCAAGAGAATTTTTTTAAAAGAAAATAAATAAATAAAAGGCCTTCCTAATAAGTAAGGCAGTATGACCAGAAAGATGAATCATAAGGAGGTAGCTATACATTTTTCTTTTCTTTTATTATTATTATCATTATTATTTTTAATTTTGAGACAGCATCTCACTCTGTCATGCAGACTGGAGTGCTGTGGTGCAAGCATGGCTCACTGCAGCCTTGACTGCGCAGACTCAGGTCATTCTCCTTCCGCAGCCTCCCAAGTAGCTGGGACTATAGGCATGTGCCACCACGCCTGGGTAATTTTGTATTTTTTGTAGAGACAGGCCTTGCTATGTTGCCCAGGCTGGTATTAAACTCCTAGGCTCAAGTAGTTCTTCTGTCTCAGCCTCCCAAAGTGCTGCAATTACAGGAGTGAACCACCACGCCCAGCCCAAGTTTTTCAAAGTATACCATCTCTCTGGTTAAGAGATCATTGAAGGTATGAGGCTGTTTCCTAATTTTTATTCTTTAGAAGGTCCAAAAAAGATTAAGTGGGAAGGAAAGAAGGAAAGCTACCAGAAGTGAACACTAAGTCACAGAGCTTGCCAAATTTTAACTATTGTCCTAGTTAAACTAATTCCCTCGCTCTGATTTTTAAAGATAATTTATATTTTCCCATTTTTATAGTTATTCGCAAATATTTAACTTGATTTAATAGTGGTTATTTTAGTTTCTTCTTATTTTATTTTCCTTTCACCACTGTGAAGGTCAGAATGGTTTAGTATGTTTATATGTATCATGATCTACCATTTTAAACAAAGAATAACTTGTCTGCAACACGTCTGTGTTGGAATAAATGGAAATTGGTCTCTTCCTGAGAGTTAATGACTAAGTTTTATGTATTTAAAACATATATAATCTGATAGGCCTGTAAATCAATTATTTGCTTTATTACAAGTTATAATTTTCAGCATAGATTCAAGTCGATGGCTTTATAAAATATATATGAAAATAATATAGATCACCACTATAAACACAACAGAATTGCTTGGTAACATGAAAATGGGTCAACTATTTTTTATTTTTTATTTATTTATTTATTTAGAGACAGAGTCTTGCTCTGTCGCCCAGGCTGGAGTGCAGTGGTTGGGATCTGGGCTCATTGCAACCTCTATCTCTCAGGTTCAAGCGATTCTCCTGCCTCAACCTCCCGAGTAGCTGGGATTACAGGCGTGTGCCACCACCCCCAGCTAATTTTTGTATTTTTAGTAGAGACGAGGTTTCACCATGTTGGCCAGGCTGGTCTCAAACTCCTGACCTCAAGTGATCTGCCCGCCTCAGCCTCCCAAAGTGCTAGGATTATAGATATGAGCCACCAAGCCTAGCCTGGTCAACTATTTTTATCTCATTTAAAATAAGATCTTCAGTAGTAGGTTCTGTAGGCTTTTTTTTTTTTAATTAAACTATTGTTACTTTTTAAAATAACAATCACATGTTGAGTGTACGAACTTTTTGTATGAACAGTACATGAACACATTCAATGTATTGCTCATGTACAGTTGACAGTTCATATGCTGTTTGTACACGAACATATTCAGTGTACTCTTTATCTCATAATCAGTGTATGAACATTTTGGTCACTTAAGTTTGTGTCTGAGTCATCTTGTAGCTCTCACAGAGTATAGCATTTTGACTTTTGGTATTGCCTTTCCTATTTTGTCATTCTTACTAAGGACTTGGAGTGGCACTATTTTTGTGATAATGAATAAACATATACTTTATATTTGCTTATGTATGTTTCCAACATTTTATACTGAAAAGCTGAAAGTTTTTTTCAGGAAACATCCAATAATCTACTCAACACCTAAATTTTATTACATTTTACTGTATGTGCTTTGTCACATATTTGGTTATGCTCATATGTACAATTAATATATGCAATTAATATATGAATAAGCAGACAGTTATGCTAAATTGTTTTTATTTTCTATCTGTGTTTTAAAATTGATAGAGTTAATTTGTTAGGTTAATGATACAATATTGAATTATGCTTTTATTTGCCAAGATCTCACACATGGCTGAGTGTTTTGGTTATTTAAAATCTAGCATATGCAAGTGTCAGAAGAATTATTCTGAAATCTGTTCCTGAGGTAATGTCTTCCCCTTTCGCTTTTTCTTCCTTCCCTTTCTCTTCCCTTCTTACCTAGAGATTTGAAAGTTAGCTTCCATTGGAATGGCTTGTTTAAAAAAAGCAAACAAAACCCCAAAACCACAAGGCTAAAGTTAAAATTTGCTCAAGTGAATAATTGATAATTCATGAGTTGAAAACTGTTGCTAATTCAGATTCCAATTTAGGAAATGGGTCTCATGCAGATAATGTGAAATATTATGCAGTTAATAAACTTTGATTTACCATTTTTTTCCCTAGGTGTGTCACATAGTTCTGGGGTTAAGACCAGCTACTCCGGAAGAAGAAGGACAAATTATTAGGTAAATTTGTAGTTTCAATTATATAGTTGAAATTTCACATACTTGAAATATATTGGTTACTGAGGAACAGCATGTCCTATTTTAATGTAATCATTAACTATTTCTCAAAAATAGTTACATATTGAAATATTTTTGTTAAAGTACCTTCCTAGATAAGGGAAGGTACTATAGATTAATTAAGAAGGCAAATTCTATTTAACATTAAAATTGCACTGAATACTAAATTTCATTTTTTGAAATGAGATAAAAGGTAGCCAGTTTTCTTTAGTACAAAAATATGTTTATTGTTGGAAAAATTAGAAAATAGAGCTAAACAAAAAGAAGCAGAGAAAGATTTTATAGATAATTTATAGATAATTGCTGTAGACATTTTTAATATTCATATAAACATATGCCCACAGTGATATTTGTAAAATTCATATAAAAATGGGAATATTCTGAAATACCTACTTTATTCCCTGCTCCTATTTTCACTCTAGATCATATAAAATAATACTTTAATATATTAGAATAAAGCCTTCTTTGAATATAATTTTAAATGATTGGCTAGCATTCCTGTTCATTCTCTATTATTCTTTTTTAGTATAAGCATATTGGACCAATTTTGTTAATAAAATCTCTATGTCTTGGCTTAAGGATTTACTTTAGGATAAATTACTTAAGATCAAATATCCGGATTATATTTAAAAAACAAAGGTATGCATATTTTATAGCTATAGTCCAATTTTTAATAACTTGAGTGTCTTTCATTGCTTTGTGACATTGCTATTATGCTACACATTTGTGTAGATAGTTTCAGAAATAGGACTGAATTTCTAGTAAAATTTGCTTTTAAAATAAACTCTCAATAGGTACTGTCATTTGACTTTTTCTTGAAAGTATTGTGCATACAAACTTTTCAGTAGTTTCTTCTGGCTTGGGTTTCTGGATAGATGGGAGTTTACTAAAATAGAGTTGTTTGGAATACCTGAGAATAGGATTACATATTCAGCATTTAAACAGGACATGCCAATTAAGATATAGATATTTAAAGTAGTAGATATATTTTCTAAGTTTTTAAATGACAAGTTTTAAAAACGGTTATTTATTATTATTATTTTTTTTTTAAGTGAAGGCAAGTTTATTAAGAAAGTGAAGGGGCTGGGTGTAGTGGCTCATGCCTGTAATCCCAGCACTTTGGGAAGCCAAGGCAGGTGGATTGTTTGAGCTCAGGAGTTCGAGACCAGCCTGGGCAACATGGTGAGACCCTGTCTTTACAAAAAATACAAAAATTATCAAGGCTTGGTGGTACACGCCTGTGGTCCCAGCTACTTGGGAGGCTGAGGTGGGAGGATTGCTTGAGCCCAGGAGGTCAAGGCTGCAGTGAGCCAAGATTATGCCATTGCATTCCAGCCTGGGTGACAATGTGAGACTCTCTCAAAAAAAAAAAAAGAAAAGAAAGGAATAAATGGGTGGCCACTCCATATGCAAAACAGCATGGTTATTTCTTAAAGAAGATTAAGCAAAATCTATTTTTTTAAATGTTGCTTTCATAAAACTCTAGTCTCATGTAGTTTTTGTTTGTTGGTTTTATTTTCTGTCTTGGTTTTTCTTTTGAGATGGGGTCTCACTGTATTGCCCAGGCTGGTCTTGAACTCTCCTGAGTTCAAGAGATCCTTCCACTTCAGCCTCTTGAGTAGGTGGGATTACAGGTGTACACCAATGTGCCCAACTTTCATGTAGTTTTTTAAATATTCATACTCAGAAGACTCAGTCTTGATATTCTTGAGTGTTTTCTTGATTGTCTCTAGTTTTTAGCTACTAAAAGATTTTAAAATATATTAACGTAGGATTTTAAAATAATTGACATGTAGAAACCAGATATTGTAAGGACATACATAAAGGCTTTTATGTGGCTATAGTGACTTTTTTTCTTAGAATATTACAATCTAATTTATTATAGTAATATATTCTGAGGTAAATATCACTTAGCATAGGTAGAAATAATGCTTTATAGCCTATATTTATATTTATTGGCTTATTTTACAACTACTCATAGCATCCCTATTTCAAAAAATAAGGTTGATATAATCTTATATTTTCATAGAAAGTTATTCTTTGTAAAATACATGTAGTTACATTATCTCATCTGGTCCTTAGAATAACTGCATGAAATTAGTGTCTCTCATTTTGTAAAAGTGGAAACCAAGATTTATAGAAGTTGAGGACCTGAAATTACATGGGACTGGCAGAATCAAGTTTAGGACCTCTTTCATTAAAAGTACCAATAATTTGCCTTTTGTATTTTGTATTTTTTAATAAGTCTAGATTTAAAATTGTTGGTTCCAAATGGGTTCATTTCATCTGTGGGTTTTTTTTAAAATTTGTTTATTCATTTTCAGTTTTATTTTATTTTGCCTCTACTATTACTTATAAAAATTCATTTGACTGTGATAATTTTTAAAGGATGATTCAGGTTGGTTCATATGCAATGAGGTGAAACAAATATTTGTCTCTAACTTACAGTCAGTACGTTGTTAAAAAAAAAAAGTATCGTGATTTCTGGAATGGCCGAGTGAAGATCTCAGCCAACCCTTTCCCCAAAAGCACTTAAAAAACTGAACAAAATTGTCAAACAACCATTTCAGGACTCTGGAAACTGACCAAATATATACAAGAAATTGAGAAGCATTTATTCAAGAACTACTAATCCTTGGTGAGAACAATGGAAGTGTGTGGTAATTTAACCAGGAGCAGCTTTCATTTCCTCCCATCCAGCAAGTCTGCATGGGCTGTCAGTCTGATTCATGATTTGAAGGAGAGCAGGAATAAATGCCTGTCCAAGGATAATAAAATAAATACATACCATCATGGTGGTAAACAGTGAGGGAAAACTGACATCACCAGCTTGGGGATAAAATACTGGTTAGGGGAAGCAGCAGACTAACAACAGACCAGTCAAATTTTTAACAGGGAACAGGATCACCATAGTGAGCCTTAGCAAGCTTTCTCATGTCCCCAGTGATCTGTAGACTGCTTGTACAAGGCTATACACAAACTCAGGAGAAACCAAAGTGGGCTTTAGCACTTTATTCTTCCCTAGTTGAAGGTGAAGCCTTGCATGTGCAGAAAGTAAAAGCCAGGGTAGGCTTGTAACCTGCCCAAACTTTAAATGCATTCCCCAAACCATGTACAGATCCATCAGGAAAAGGGTGTGAATGTTACTGGCTAAACACAACCAGTAAACTGCTGAGAGCACAACCTCTCAGCAGTCATTGGCTGACCAGTAAGTTAGGCTCACCCCAAGAAGGCCAAGCTTAAAAATAAAAACAGATAATAAAAAAGAAAACACGAAGAAACTGAGCAGCTTCACACTGCAAGATACTGTACCGGAAGATAAACTCTACAGAATTGTTCCAGGAAGTCGTAAAACAAAACAAAACACACAGGGGTTCAGAATCCAGAGTTGCTAATATAAAGTATCAAATGTGTTCAGTTTTCAACAAGAAAAAATTATGAGACATGGAATAAAACAGGAAAATGTGACCCATATACGAGGAAAAAACAAAGAATAGTAGAAACTGTCTCAGAGGTGGCAGCAGATGTTCTCCTTAGCACACAAAGACTTCAATACAACTATTGTAAATGTTTTCAAAGAGCTAAACGAAGCTGTATTTAAAGAATTAGAGGAATGTATGATCTCACTGACTTGTCCAAATAGAAAATAGCAATAAATAAATAAAAATTTAAAACAGAATCAAATAGAAATTCTAGCAGATTTGAGTTGACAGAGAAATATTCAGCAAAACAGAATATGGATCAATAGAGATTATTTCATCAGAAAGAGAGAAAGAAGACCAAATAAATGAACAGAGTTTCACAGAAGTTGGAACATGATCAAGTCTACCAAAATATGCATAATGAAAGTCTCAGAAGGAAAGAAAGAAGCAGAAAAAAGTTTGACAAGATAATGTCTGAAAGTTCTAAAATTTCTCGAAAATTATTAATCTTAGAAGCTTAATGAACTCCAACTAGGTTAAACACAGAAAGAATCACACCTAGACATATCATTGTCAAAGTGTTGAAAACTAAAGACAAAGGAAGAAGTTGAAAGCCACAAGAGCAGAAAGACTCATCATGTAGAAGGGAACCACAATGTGATAAACAGCTGACTTTTTGAAACAATAGAGCTCAGTGTGCAGTGATATGAGAAAGTGATATAAGGAAAAAACCAAAAAAGCAAAAACTGTCAATCCAGAATTCTTTATCTAGCAGAACTGTAATTCAGAAATAAAGGTGAATTACTACCTGACTTCAAAATACACTACAAAGCTATAGTAACCAAAACAGCATGGCACTGACATAAGAACAGACAAATAGACCAATGGAACAGAACAGAGAACCCAGAAATAAATCCAGGCCAGGCGTGGTGGCTCACGCCTGTAATCCTAGTGCTTTGGGAGGCTGAGGTAGGTGGATCATGACGTCAGGAGGTTGAGACCATACTGGCTAACGCGGTGAAACCCCGTCTCTACTAAAAATACAAAACAATTATCCAGGTGTGATAGCACATGCCTGTAGTCCCAGCTACTCAGGAGGCTGAGGCAGGAGAATCGCTTGAACTGGGGAGGTGGAGGTTGCAATGAGCCAAGATCACGCCACTGCACTCCAGCCTGGGCAACAGAATGAGACTCTGTCTCAAAAACAAACAAACAAAAAAAAAACCAAAACAAACAAACAAGCAAAACCCCCCACATTTACAACCAACTCTTTTTTGACAAAGATGCCAAGAGCATACATTAGAGAAAGGACAATCTCTTCAATAAATGGTGCTGGAAAAATTGGATATCCACGTGCAGAAGAATGAAACCAGTTCCCAATTTCTTACCATACACTAAAATCAAATCAAAATGGATTAAAGAGGCTGGGCGAGGTGGCTCATGCCTGTAATCCCAGCACTTTGGGAGGCCGAGACGGCTGGATCACCTGAGGCCAGGAGTTCGAGACCAGCCTGACCAACATGGTGAAACCCTATCTCTACTCAAAGTACAAAAACTAGTTGGGTATGGTGGCAGGCGCCTGTAATCCCAGCTACTCAGGAGGCTGAGGTGGGAAAACTGCTTGAAACCGGGAGGTGGAGGTTGCAGTGAGCCGAGATTGCCCCACTGCACTCCAGCCTGGGCTACACAGGGAGACTCCGCCTCAAAAAAAAAAGAAAAGAAAATGGATTCAAAGACTTAAATCTAAGACCTAAACTACTAGACGAAATTGGGGAAATGCTGTAGGACATTTGTCTGAGTGGTATGACACTGTATAATACCTCAAAAGCACAGTCAGCCAAAGCAAAAATGGACAAACAGGATTTCATCAAGTTAAAAAGCTTTACAGCAAAGGAAACAGTCAACAGAGTGAAGAGACAACCAACAGAATAGGAGAAAATATTTGCAAACTATCCATTCATCAAGGTTTTAATAACCAGAATGTATAAAGGCCTCAACTCAATAACAAAAAACCAAATAACCCAATTTAAAAATGGGCAAGTGATCTGAATAGACATTGCTCAAAAAAAGACATACAAATGGCCAGCAGATATATGAAAAAATGCTCAACATCACTAATCATAATCGAAATATCAAAACCACAATGAAATATTATCTCCCAGTTAAAATGGCTATTATAAAAAAGACAAAGAATAACTGATTCTGATGAGGATGTGAAGAAAGGGAAGTGCTAGTACACTATTGATGGGAATGTAAATTAGTACAGTCAATATGGAAAACAGTATGGAGGTGCCCCAATAAACTAAAAATAGATCCACCATATTATCCAGCGATCCCACTGCTGGGTATATATTCAGAAGAAAGGAAATCAGTAAAGCAAAGAGCTATCTACACCCCTGTGTTTATTGCAGCACTACTTACAATAGCCAAGATACAGAATCAACTTAAGTGTCCATCAGTTGATGAATGGATAAAGAAAAAAAAAAAATATATATATATATACACACACACATACACAATAAAATGTTATTCAGCCATAAAATGAATGCAATCCTGTCATCTGCAGCAACATGGATAAAACCGGAGGTCATTACGTTAAGTGAGATAGGCCAAGCATAGAAAGACAAATATCACGTGTTCTCACTTTTAAGTGGGAGCTAAAAAAGTTGATCTCGTGGAATTAGAGAGTATTATGATGGTTATCAGAGGCTGGCAAGGGCAGGAGGGATAATATTGAAGAGAGGTTAGTTAATGACTGTAAAAATACAGTTGGATAGAATGAATGACTTCTAGTGTTTAATAGCACAGTAGGGTAACTATAGTTAAAAATAATTTATTGTATATTTCAAATTAGCTAGAAGATTCGGAATATTCCCAACCCAAAAAAATGATAAATATTTGAGGTGATGAATATCCTAATTACCATATTTGATCATTACGCATTGTATGCATATATCAGAATATCACATGTACCCCAAAAACATATACTATTATTATATATAATTTTTTAATAGAAATATTTTTAAAGCTTTTTAAAAAAAAACACATTAAAAAAAAAAGAAGGTGAACTAAAGACATTCCTATATGAACACTGAAAATTTGTTACCAGGAAATCTGTCTTTAAATACTGAAGGAAGTTCTTCAAGCTGAAAATAAGTGACACCAGACGGTTATTAACATCCACATGAACAAATAAAGAGGCTCTCTTCCTTGGCGCTGCCTACGGAGGTGGCAGCCATCTCCTACTTGGCATCATAGCTGCCCTCAGACCCCTTGTGAAGTCCAAGATCATCAAAAAGAGAACCAAGAATTTCATCCAGCACCAGTTACACTGATATGTCAAAACTAAGTGTAACTGACAGAAACCCAGAGGTATTGACAACAGAGTTTGTAGAAGGTTCAGCAACAAAAAACAAACCACATGCTGCCCAGTGGCTTCCAGAATTTCCTGGTCCGCAATGTCAAGGAGCTGGAAGTGCTGCTGACGTGCAACAAGTGTGCTGAGATTGCCCACAGTGTTTCCTCCAAGAACTGCAAAGACATTGTGGAAAGAGCAGCCCAGCTGGCCATCAGAGTCACCAATCCCAATGCCAGCCTGTGAAGAAAATGAATAGACAGCTCATATGCATGTTTTATGTTTAAATAAAACCATAAAAACTGCCAAAAAAAAAAATAAAGAGCACCAATAGTAGAAATTACATAGGTAATAATAAAAGACAGTATAAATATACCATTCTGTTTATTTTATTTTTTACTGGTTTAAAAGACATTTTTACATGACAATAATTATAAAACCATGTTGTTCCCATTACATATAACGATCTTATATGAGTGACAACAATAGCACAAAGGTGAGAGTAGAAGGGGAGCTATATTTGAGCAAAGTTTCTATGTTTTAGTTTCTACACTTTTTTAGTTTCTATACTTTACTGGAATAAATTAGTATCAATCAAACATAGTAGACTATGTTGGCTGGGTGCCATGGCTCACGCCTGTAATCCCAGCTCTTTGGGAGGCCAAGGCAGGCGGATCTCTTGAAGCCAGGAGTTCGATACCAGCCTGGCCAACATGGCAAAACCTCGTCTCTACTCAAAGTACAAAAATTAGCCTGGCGTGGTGGTGCGTGCCTGTAACCCTATCTATTCATGAGGCTGAGGTGGGAGAATCACTTGAACCCAGGAGGCAGAGGTTGCAGTAAGCTGAGATGGAACGCCTGCTCTCCAGCCTGGGCGACAGAGCAAGATGACATCTCAAAAACATAAAGTAAAATAAACAATAAAGTAGACTATGTTAAGATCCATATTGTAAACCCTACAACAATCTCTAAGAAAATGATCCCCCAAAATAGTTTTATTTAAAAAGGCATTAAAATGTTACCTATTTAAATTCCTAGAAAATACCTATTTACCACAAAAGAAAGAACTAGAGGAATAGAGGAACAAATAGACTTGATACATAGAAAACAAAAAACTAAATAGCAGACATAAATCCACATCTGTTTTTACCTTAAATATAAACAGATTGAACAGATAATCAAAAGCCAAAGATTTAGACTGACTTGTTTTTTGAAAAATCTAGCTACTTGGCTGGGCACGGTGGCTCATGCCTGTAATCCTAGCACTTTGGGAGGCCGAGGTGGGTGGATTGCAAGGTGAGGAGATTGAGACCATCCTGGTTAACACGGTCTCTACTAAAAAAATTAGCTGGGCGTGGTGGTGGGCGCCTATAGTCCCAGCTACTCGGGAGGCTGAGACAGGAGAATGGCGTGAACCCGGGAGGCGGGGCTTGCAGTGAGCCGAGATCGCGTCACTGCACTTCAGCCTGGGTGACAGAGCTAGACTCCATCTCAAAAAAAAAAAAAAAAAAAAAAAACACAATCCAGCTACTTGAGATTCAAAGGCACAAATAGGTTGAAAGTAAAAGAATAAAAGATAAAACCATACAAATATAGCCATACGTGAACTAAAATCACTTTACTGTTAAGAAAAGAAAATGGCTTTTAGGTTACAAAAGTCAAGTTACTGGAGCCAGAGAGACATTTTATTATGATAAATGATGATATATGCACCCACCAACAGAACCCTTCAGCCAACAGCAACAGAATACATATTCAAATGTAGACAGAGTATTGTTCTAGGATAGACCATATACTAGGCCAGCAGTTAGTCAGCAGACTATGGCATATTGACCAACTTTGTCCCACTGCCTGATTCTGTACAATCTGCAAGCTAAAAATGTTTTTACCGTTTTAAGTGGCTTAGAAAAAACCAAAAGGGGATAAATATTTTGTGACACCTTACAATTATATAAAATTCACATTTCAGTGTACATAAATAACATTTTACTAGAGCACAGTCATGCTCATTCACAACTTTGGGGAAGGGAAATTCCTCACTCTAAAAAATATCTTGAAAAACATACAGCTGAGATCATACTTAATGGTAGAACACTGAAGGCTTTTCCCATAAGATCAGGAAAGGATACTTGCTTTTGCCGCACTTATCAACATTGTATTAGAGCTTCAAGCTAGTTAAATTAGGCAAGAAAAGGAAATAAAAGGCATCAAGATTGTAAAGAAAAATAAAACTGTCTGTAATTGCAGATAACATGATCCTATGTGTAGAAAACCCTGAAGAATTCACAGAAAAACTGTTAGAATTAATAAAATGAGTTCAGCAACATGACAGGATACAAGATCAATGATTAAGCAATCAATTGAATTGTCATGTACTAGATAGAATAATTTGAAAGTACAATTAAAAAGAAGACAACAATTCCATTCACTATATTGTCAAAAGAAATCAAACCCTTGGAAACAAATTCAACAAAAGAAGTGCAAGACTTGTGCACTGAAAGATACAAAGCATTGCTGACAGAAATTTAAGAAAATGTACGTAAATGGATTTGAAAACTTATTGTTGTCAATATGGCAATTTTCTCAAATTGTTCTATAGATTCAAAACACACCTAATCAAATCCCAGCTTTTTTCTATAAATTGACAAGCTATTCCTAAATTGTATAGGGAAATGCAGAGAACTCAGACTAGCCTAAACAACTTCAAAAAAATGACAAAAAACAGAAGACTTAGACTTCCTGATTTCACAATTTACCTAAGGATACATTAATCAAGTACTGGAATAAGGAGAATCATAGAGATCAGTAAAATGGAATTGATATTTTAAAAGGAAACCCTTGGCCAGGCGTGGTGGCTCATGCCTGTAATCCCAGCACTTTAGGAGGCAGAGGTGGTTTCACTGATGTCAGAAGTTTGAGATCAGCCTGGCCAACATGGCGAAACCCTATCTCTACTAAAAACACAAAAATTAGCCAGGCATGGTGGCACACGACTGTAGTCTCAGCTACTCATGAGGCTAAGGCAGGAGAATCACTTGAGCCCAGGAGGCGGAGGTTGCAGTGAGCTGAGACCATGCCACTACACCCCAGCCTGGGTGACGGTGAGACTCTGCCTGAAAAAAGAAAAAAAGGAAACCCTTATATTTTTGGTCAATGGTTATTTTTATTATCATTTTTATTGTTTTTTAAAGATGTCAAGAAAATTCAGTAGAGAAAGGACTGACTTTAAAAAGAAAAAAAAATGGTCCAGGAGGAGCTGAGCACAGTGGTGTAGCTGGCCAGTAGTCCCAGCTACTCAGGAGGCTGAGACAGGAGGATCACTTAAGCCCAGGAGTTCACGGCTTTAGTGTGAGTATGCAGTGATCACACCTGTGAATAGCCACCTCATACCAGCCTGTACAACATAGCAAGATTCTGTCTCTTTAAAAAACAAAAAACGGTGCAGGAGAATTTGGATATCCATACACAAACAGATTATTTTAGACCCCTTACCTCACACTATGCTTAAAAGTATACTCAAAATGGATTCCCTATACCTAAACATCAGAGCTAAAAATATAACACTTCTAGAAAAGCAAATGTAGAAAATCTTTGTGATTTGGGATTAGAAGATTTCATAGATATAACACCAAAAGCACAGTTTATAAGTGGGGAAAAAAGTGTAAGACTTAGAAAAAATTAAAAACGTTTGAGTTTCAAGAGAGAGCATTAAGAAAATAAAAGCTACAGCCTCACAGCCCTAGAGAAAATATTTGCAAATTTTATATATGATAAAGTATTCATGTCCAGAATATATAAAGGACTGTTACAACACATTAAGACATCAAGAAAATCTAATTTAAAATGTGTAAAAGAGTTGAATAGACTCTTAACCATACATGTAAGTACATGACAAGATGTTCTGCTTCCTCAGAGAAGGCAAATTAAAAGCACAATGAGAGGAGTGACTCAGTGAAAATTATGTAGTGGGTAGCTCTAAGAGCCTGTCTCTCCACAGAAACATTGAAAAATAAAGAACAAACTGCCCATTTCAACTCTGTTGGAACTCTGAAGAAAGAGACAAAGATTTATAGCTACTAAGCAAATGTTGATTTAAAAAATTATAAAAAAAATAATAATTTTTTAAAAGCCTGTATATATATTTGCCATTGTCTGGTTTAGTAATGGCAGCCTTGAAAATGGCAACCCACCTGGTCCCTGGTTTCAGAGAGAGCAGAACATACCTTATTTATAGAGTTGTGTTTGTCAGGCTGGGTGCGTTGGCTCACACCTGTAATCCCAGCACTTTGGGAGGCCACAGTGGGTGAATCAGTTGAGGTTAGGAGTTCGAGACCAGCCTGGCCAACATGATGGAACCCCGTCTGTACTAAAAATACAAAAAATTAGCCGGCCATGGTGGCGCACACCTGTAGTTCCAGCTACTTGGGAGGCTGAGGCAGGAGAATCGCTTGAACCCGAGAGGCAGAGGTTACAGTGAGCTGAGATTGAGCCACTGCACTCCAGCCTGGGCAACAGAGCAAGACTCTGTCTCAAAAACAAAACAAAACAAGTTGTGTTTGTCTAAACCGTCTGGGGCTACCAGAAAAGCTACTGCAAGATGCTCAGCTATGTTATACTTAACTCAGAATTTACCCAGGATGGAAAGGCAGGCAGGGTTATTCGTCAGAAGTTCTGTAAGGCAAACGAGCCAGCCACCTGCAGTCACCTGGGGTAAAATATTTTAATTGAGGCATATAATAGAATGCTGAAAGTCTTGCGGGTGGTGGGAACTTGAGAGTTTCCTTGGGAAATTAAAGTACCCAAAAGCACACTGTACATTGGGTAATTTAGAAGGCTTTGCACATGCCAACAACAAGATACACACTCAGAAAAGACCTTATAAGACCCGTAAACTTTCACCTCTGGCTGAGCTTCTAGACTAAGGGTACAGGTAGTGAAGGCTAAGGCATAGTTGTAAACCATTGTAGGAATGCCCCAGCACAGCGCCATTCTGCAAAGACAGTAGTGGTTTTTGTCTTTGTCTCTGTCTTTTGTCTCTCTCTCTCTCTCTCTCCCTTTTTTCTCTTTCTCTTCCTCTCTCTCCCTCCCTCTCTCTTTTCTTCTCTCCCTCTCCCCACTTCTGCCATTCTAGGAAATCACTGTCAAAATACTAGCTCTTCGAACACAAGTGAAATGAAGACTTAAGAAACTACACATAACAAGGAAGACAGACTTTATAAAAATATTTTAGAAAAGTGACTAAACAAACAACTATAGCAGTCAGTGAAAGCAAACCCTGAGGTGGAGGGAAATATTTCTAGAGTTACCATTAATGCTCAAAATGTTGTTTTCAACAAAAAATTGCAGAAACAAGAAAGTGTGGTCCATTCGCAGAGGAAATTAATAGAAATTCTCTTTGAGGAAGCACAGACATTGGACTTAGTAGACAAACATTTAAAATCAATTATCTTAAATATGTTCAAAGAGCTAATGGAGGTGATGGACAACAAACTAAAGGAAACCAGGAGAATTGGCTTGGGCATGGTGGCCCACGCCTGTAATCCCAGCACTTTGGGAGGCCAAGGCGCAGATAATTTGAGGTCAGGAGTTCGAGACCAGCCTGGCCAACATGGTAAAACCCCGTCTCTACTAAAAAATATACAAAAATTAGCCAGGCCTGGTGGCAGGCTCCTGTAATCCCAACTACTTGGAAGGTTGAGGCAGGAGAATCCCTTGAACCCGGGAGGCGGAGGTTGTAGTGATCTGAGATTGTGCCACTTGCACTCCAGCCTGGGTGACAGAGCGAGACTCCATCTCAAAAACTAATAAATAAAGAAATAAATAAATGAAACCAAGAGAATGATATATGTACAAATAGAGTATCAATAAAGAGAAAGTATAAAAAGGAACCAAACAGGTTTTGGAGCTGAAAACTACAATAACTGAAATGAGAAATCTATTAGAGGGGTTCTCCATCAGATATGAGCAGGCAGAAGAATGAATCAGAGAAGTTAAATAAAAGTCCATTGAAATTATTGACTGAGGAGCAGAAAGAAAACAGAATGACGAAAAATGAACAGAACGTAAGAAACCCATAGAACAACATCATATGTGTCAACATAAGAATCTTAGGAAAGGAGAGAGAAGGAAAGGGCAGAATATTTGAAGAAATAATTGTCCTAAACTTCTTAAGACGTGAACCTACGCGTTCAAAAAGCTCATTGGACTTAAAGAAAGATAAACAAAGTGATCCACACTGAGAAGCATTATAATGAAACTGTATTTTACAAAGCCAAGAACAAAGAGAGAATCTTGAAAGCAAAAGAGAAGCTGTTTGTCCCATACAATGGATCATCAATAAAATTAATAGCATGTTTCTCATCAGAAAGCATGGAATCCAGAAGTGAGTGGGATGGTAATTTTTTTAAAGAACTGAAAGTGGGGGAAAAACTGTAACCAAGATCTCTATATCTAACAAAACTATTTCCTCAAAAATTATTTGAATTTTGCAGTGGAATGTTAGTTGTAGCACCAAAAGCATGAGCAACCAAAGAAAAACTACTGCATTTCATCAAAATTTGAAAGGTTTTCGTTTGTTTTGTTTTTGTGTTTTGAGACAGTCTCACACTGTCACACAGGCTGGAGTGCAGTGGCACCATCACAGCTCACTGCAACCTCAAACTCCCTCCCACCTCAGCTTCGTGAGTAGCTGGGACCACAGGCGTGCACCACCACAACCAGCTAATTTTTTTTTTTTTTTTTTTGAGATGGAGTCTCGCTCTGTTGCCCAGGCTGGAGTGCAATGGCATGATCTCGACTCACTGCAAACTCTGCCTCCTGGGTTCAAGCGATTCTACTGTGTCAGCCTCCCAAGTAGCTGGGATTATAGGTGCCCACCACTACACCAGCTAATTTTTTTGTATTTTTAGTAGAGACGGGGTTTCACCATGTTAGTCAGGCAGGTCTCGAACTCCTGACCTCAGGTTATCTGCCTGCCTCGGTCTCCCAAAGTGCTGGGATTATAGGCGTGAGGCACTGCGCCCAGCTAATTTTTGTATATTTTGTAGAGATGAGGGTTTGCCATGTTGCCCAGGCTGGTCTTGAACTCCTGGGCTCAAGCGATTCGCCTGCCTCAGCCTCCCAAAGTGCTGAGATTACAGGTGTGAGCCACTGTACCTGGCAAAACTTAAAACTTTTATACATCAAGAGATATTATTTTTAAAACCAAAAAAACCTATAGAATGGGAGATAATATAATCCAATAAGGGTCTCCTAACTAGAATATATAAAGAACTCCTACAGCTTAACAACAAAAAGCAAACAACCCAATTTAAAAATAGACACCTAAAAATGGACTTGAATACATGTTTCTCCAGATGTTCAGTGATCATCAAGCACATGAAAAGATGCTCAACGTAATTAGTCATTAGGGAAATGCAAGTCAAAACAATGAAATTCTACTTCTCAATAAGATTATTAGAATTTTTAAAATGGAAGGTTTTGGCAAGTAGGGAAATTAGGGACTCTCATATATTGCTGGTAGAAATGTAAAATGGTGCAATCACTGTGGAAAACAGTTTGGCAGTTCCTCAGCAAGAATTTCCATGTACCAGCAATTCTACTTCTAAATATATACCAGAATAATTGAAAACAGGTACTCAAATACTTGAACACAACTTTCATAGTACCACTGTTCACAATAGCCAAAAGGTAGAAACAGTCTATACATCCATCAGTGGATGAATGGTTAAACGAGATGTAGTATATACACACCATGGAATATTATTCAACCATAAAAAGGAATAAAGTACTGATACATACTACAACATGGTTGGACCTCACAAACATGTTAAATGAAGGAAGCCAGACATAAAAGGTCATATGTTGAATCATCCCATTTACATGAAATATCCAGAACAGGCAAGTCAATAGGTCCAGACAGCAGACTGGTGGTTGTTAAGGTCTGGGCGAAGTGGGTAATGGGGAATAACTATTTAATGGATGACTTTTTAATTGAGGTGTATCAGAATGTTTTGAAACTTAATAAGAGGTGGTCACACAGCATTTTGGATGTACTAAATGCCATTGAATTGTATGATTTAAAATAATTTCATATTATGCCATTTTCACCTCAAAAAAATAAATAGTTTTTGGTTGGGCACAGTGGCTCATGTCTGTAATCCCAACACTTTTGGGAGTTCAAGACCAGCCTGGGTGACATAGTGAGACCTTGTCTCTAGTTAAAAAAAAAAAAAAAAAAAAATTAGCTGGGCATAGCACACACCTGTAGTCCCAGATACTTGTGAGGCTGAGGCAGGAGGATTGCTTGAGCCCAGGAGGTCAAGGCTTCAGCGAGCTGAGATTGCACCACTGCACTCCAGCCTAGGCTAGAGTGAGATTCTGTAGATAGATAGATAGATAGATAGATAGATAGATAGATAGATAGATAGATAGAGTAGATTTTTTTTTTTATAATCCCAGTGTAACAGTGTTTCACACCCACTAGAATTGCTGATGGGAATGTTAAATGGACAGCCACTTTGGAAATTGACTTGCCAGTTTCAAATGTTCTTTAGGTGTTGGATGGATAAACAAAATGTAATATATACATACAGTGGAATACTATTCAGTAATAAAGCACAACCAACTGATGTCTGCCACAATAATAGATGAACCACAAAAACACGCAAAGTCAAAGAGGCCAAATTTTTAAAAGGCCATGTGTTTTATCATTTTATTTATATGAATAGTTGAGAAAAGACAAATCTGTAAGAGACAAAACATAGATTAGTGGTTTCCTGTTGCTGAGGGTGGTAATAGGAATTGACCAAAAATGGCTACAGCAGTCTTTTTGGATTAATTGAAATGTTTTAAATGTTCTCAAACTGATTGTGGTGTTGGTTGCACATATCTGTAAAGTTATCAAAATCACTGAGTTGTACACTTAAAATAGGTAAGTTTTATATATATGTAAATTATTCCTCAATAAGGCTGTTTTGAAGAACATCATTGGTTACATGAACATTCTGCAAAAAATGTAATTAATTAATTAATTGGAAACACCAGTTGTTTTTCTAATTTTTTTTAATTTTTAAGTTTTTCCCAGAATCTTTTCCTGAAGTAATTATTCTTGATACTGCCCTATGACTCTTGAAATTGGTTTATCAATAGAAACAGTGTTGTTTTACTAATTGGGTTTTGGCAGTCTCTCCTAATTACATCTAAATGTTTCGCGGTTTTCCTTATAAAACTTCTAATGATAATTTTTGTGCGTTGCCACCTATTTCACACTTTGTTTGATGTATTTAATTTCTTTTGTACATACAGAGGATGGTTAGAACGAGAGAGCAGGTATGGTCTGCAAGCAGGACACAACTGGTTTATCATCTCCATGCAGTGGTGGCAACAGTGGAAAGAATATGTCAAATACGTGAGTTAGATTCCTGTCTATTTACATTTTTCACAGGATTTTCAGCTGCGTGAGACTTCCAGCCAATAATAAAATGCTATGACTACCAGCCAATAATAAAATGCTCCAACTTAAATAAAGATTCGAAGGGAAAGGAAATGAGTGTTTATATGATACTTGCTATGGTCTAGGCTTTGTGATTACACTTCCACATACATTTCTTTCCTTGCAACAACCCTAAAAAAAGATAATATTGGGTACGGGGGTACCTGCATATGTCACATACATCACATCTCATTTATTTCTCGCACCACCCTTGTGAGGAAGATAATATTATACCCATTTTACCTGTGGGGAACCTGGTGCTGAAAGAAAAAGTAACCTGAATGTCATGATCAGGGTGGAAGATCTGGGATCAAACCGAAGGACTGACTTTAAAGCTTATATTCTCTCAACTACATCATTTACATTGTCCTTTATTTTACCTTTTCCATTAAAATGGAATTTTTTTCAGAACTAGAAAATTGAAAAGAGTAATGCCAAGAATCAAGTATTTGCCTTCTTGGAGAGCCAACTGATATATACACTCATTGCCAAATGATCACTAACGAAAATTCTAATCATTTGATTCCTATTTGCCTGTATTTCCTCTGTCACTGCTTATTATCAGAATATTGGTAGTTACATACTTTTTACATTATCTATCTCATCATTCTTTCTCATCCTTTTTCCATTTTGCAGAGTTTATTAATGTGTTTTCACATGTAAAATATATTAATTGGGAAACACGGACTTTGGTGTCTCTGAAGGAATAAAAAGTAGGCAAATGACTTCCTGGACCTTGTAGGTAGATAATGATGGTATGTGTAGGTAGAAAAATGAGAATATTGGGGTACAGCATCAGTCATTATTTTGAAATACTTTTTTGGTTTTTATATTTGTAGCTTGGCCTTAGAATGAGTGGTTGTTAATGTTTTAATGAGTATAGACTCAAAGAATAACCTAGTTTTGTCTTGGATGTATTACGTTTTGTTTTCCGTAGGAACACAATAGAGATCTTACTCTTAGCAGCGTGTCCCTTATAAACAGACTGAACTGCACTGACAAGAACATGAACCTGGTTTATTGTTGCCTACCATAGTCCTTTTGTGCACTAAAGAAATTTGGGGAGGGTAGTAAGGGAGAGGTATACATGGGAGAATCTACATATTCCCTTCTCCACTCTGGCATTTGATATTATTTTCTAGCATGCGTCTGTCAAATGCAAACTTTAAAATTTACTTAAGAATGAAGTCTGGCTGGGCCTGTAATCTCGGGACTTTGAAACGCCCAGATAGGGGGATCACCTGAGCCTAGGAATTCAAGACCAGCCTGGGCAACATAGTGAGACTCCATCTCTACAAAACAAAAAAAAATTTTTTTTTTTCTGAGACGGAGTCTTGCTTTTGTCGCCCAGGCTGGAGTGCAGTGGCGCGATCTCGGCTCACTGCAAGCTCCGCCTTCCAGGTTCACGCCATTCTTCTGCCTCAGCCTCCCGAGTAGCTGGGACTACAGGCACGTGCCACCACGCCCGGCTAATTTTTTTTTGTATTTTTAGTAGAGATGGGGCTTCACTGTGTTAGCCAGGATGGTCTCAATCTCCTGACCTCGTGATCTGCCCTCCTCGGCCTCCCGAAGTGCTGGGATTACAGGCGTGAACCACCACGCCCGGTCCAAAAAAATTTTTTTTTAAATTAGTCATGCTTGAGCCGGGTGTGGTGGCTCACACCTGTAATCCCAGCACTTTGGGAGGCCAAGGCGGGCGGATCACGAGGTCGGGAGATCGAGACCATCCTGGCTAACACGGTGAAACCCCGTCTCTACTGAAAATACAACAAATTAGCCGGGCATGGTGGCAGGCGCCTATGGTCCCAGCTACTCGGGAGGGTGAGGCAGGAGAAAGGCTTGAACCCGGGAGGCGGAGCTTGCAGTGAGCCGAGATCGCGTCACTGCACTCCAGCCTGGGCGACAGAGCAAGACTCCATCTCAAAAAAAAAAAAAAATTAGTCATGCTTGGTAGTGTGCGCCTGTAGTCCCAGCTACTTGGGAGGCTGAGGTGGGAGGATTGCTTGAGCCTGATAGGTCAAGACTGCAGTGAGCCATGATCACACCACTACACTCCAGTTTGGGTGACAGAGCAAGACCCTGTCTCATAACATAAATGAATAAATAAAGGCAAACTTAGAGTTACAATAAACCTGGGAGGAGAGGAGTATCGCTTTATATGGAGAGAAAGGAGGCAGAGTATGGGAATTTATTCAATAAGATGGGGAAAAATGTAAGTGGAGTAACAGCAGTACTTTCTGAAAATACATATTAATTAGAAAAGTGTTTTTACTAAATAAAGAGACAGGGAACTATGGCAACTTATTAATAAGGTGGGGGAAATGTAAGTTGACTAATAACAATCCTCTGAACATGTTTTAATTAGAAAAGTGTTCTTTTCTAAAAGTAAATGCAAATAACTGCACACTGACAGATTTTTTAAAAATGTTTTTAAACTGAATTCAAGTAACCTTTTTAAAAAAGTGACATTCTGGGCCTTGTTTCCTCCATGTGTAAAATTAGAGTAATAATAATAATCGCCCTCATAGTGTTACGAGGATTAAATGAGTTTGATGCATGTTAAGTGTTTTGTTGTTGTTGTTTGCTTGTTTGTTGAGACAGGATCTTCCTTTGTTGCCCAGGCTGGAGTGTAGTGGCACAATCATAGCTCACTACAGCCTCAACCTCATGGACTGAGGCAATTCTCCCACCTCCTGAGTAGCTGAGACTCCAGGCATGCACTACCACACCTGGCTAATTTTTTGATTTTCTGTAGAGATGGGGTCTCACTATGCCTGCCAGGCTAGTCTCGAACTCCTGGGCTCAAGCGATTCTCCTGCCTTGGGCTCTCAGAGTGCTAGGATTACAGGCACCCAGACTCTTGTTAAGTATTTTAAAACAGTGTCTGGTACATAGTAAGTACTAAATAGGTAGCTATTATTATGAGAAACTTCAATAAGGTAATTGTAGTGAGCTTGGACTCTTGTCCCTTGCACTTGCTTTATGACCTTGAATAAATTACTACTTCTTGCTCTACCTCAGTTTTCACATATGAACAATGAGATTAATAGTAATATCTATTTAAGTAGGGATGTGAGAATTAAATGAGTTAATACATGTGAAGCACTTAGCCCAGTGCCTGGCAGATAGAAACTCTATATAAGGTTAAAGGTAATAATGGTGGTAGTAGTAGCAGTAGTTATATGAGGATTTAAATTTCTTCTTTCATGCCAGGCATGGTGGCTCACGCCTATTATCCCAGCACTTTGGGATGCCAAAGCAGGCAGATCACTTGAGGCTGGGAGTTCAGCACCAACCTGCCCAACCTGGAGAAAACCCGTCTCTACTAAAAATACAAAAATTAGCCGGGTATGGTGGTGTATGCCTGTAATCCCAGCTACTCAGGAGGCTGAGACACAAGAATAGCTCGAACCTAGGAGGCAGAGGTTGTAGAGAGCCAAGATGATGCCACTGCACTCCAGCCTGGGCAACAGAATGAGACTGTATTTAAAAAAAAAAAAAAAAAAATCAAATTTCTCTTTCCAGTCCATGTGGCCACTTTGACAAACGCCTTGTTTAAAAAAAAAAAAAAAAAAAATTTGGGCCAGGTGCAATGGCTCACACCTGCAATCCCAGCTCTTTGGGAGGCTGAGGCAGGCAGATCACTTGAGACCAGGAGTTCCAGACCAGCCTGGCCAACATGGTGAAACCCCGACTCTACTAAAAATATAAAAATTAGCCTGGCGTGGTGGCGTGTGCCTGCAGTTCCAGCTACTTGGGAGGCTGAGGCAGGAGAATCGCTTAAACCCAAGAAGCAGAGGTTGCAGTGAGCCGAGATCATGCCACTGCACACCATCCTGGATGACAGAGTGAGACTCCATCTCAAAAAAAAAAAAAAAAAAAAAAGAAAAAGAAAATTAGTGTTGACATGTCAGATAATTTGATCTTAGAGCTTCATCTGCCTACCTAAGAGAGTACTTAGCTTTAATTTTTTCTCTTCATAAAATGACATATTTACTTACGAATATTACTAATTGTGAGGGTAGTATGTTTCAAATACTGGCAAGACTAAATGGAAAGATCAGAGACCAAGGGATCAGGAAAAATGAGCCATCCTTTCTTAGAAGTGGCTAACCCCAGATTTGCTGATTCACTGGAGCATGAATAATTTGATTGTGTCTCTGCTCATGGAATCTTACCAGTCTTTCCCCGCTTTAATGTGTCAAGCTTTATTCTTCTATGTGTAATCTCCTAAAAAAATGTAAATGGGGAAGAATGGTGAAATCTTTTCTATCATTATTACATTACATAATGTGTATCTTCCTTTTTGAGAACTATGAAGGAGCAGCTATTACTATTCACATGCAGATTTTCCTATTTAGTTATCACGTAACTTTAGAGCTAGAAGATACTTTAAATCACCTTTCGTGCCTCTCTCCCATGGGCTTTGGGGGGTCCCTGTTCTCCTTAGCCAAGGCTGGAGGCCAAGAGCAGCCCTCGAGGATCGTCGTCAGGACTGCCACGAGTGGGGCAGCCTTGTTTTCCTGCCTCAGACATGTGTAGTTGAGTGGGAAATAAAAGGAATGAAACACCTCTCTTCTCTGAATTTACAAATGAAGCCTCTGAGGTCCTTAGGTTTTATAATTGCCCAAAGCTGTATCAGACAATTATTTTATTACTTTATCTAGCACTCTAGAGCTCAGTGTCCTGAGTCCTGCCTTAGTACCTAATCTGTTGCTCCATGCTGCCCTCTATTTTTCCAAAGCTAGCATTTCAGTCACTAGTGAAATATGAAATTGACATAACTGTTAATTGATTCTTGTAACATACCTATGTACAGGGCATAAAAAGTAGTAGTATCATCAATAGAGAAAAAGGTGAATCTTGACCCATATTTTAGAACACATAAACTATTTATACAACTCACAGGGAATCCTAAAATCTCAAAATAAAATTCTCTTATATTAAAATAAGTACCTAGTCCTTTTGTGAATTGTTGACTCAGAAAATGAGGACATTTCTCTCTACAGGTGAAACTTTACCTATTTAGAAATCTATCTTCTGAAAACCAGGGTTCTAGGATAATTTTGAATAGTTCCAGACCCCTGAAGTCAATAAAAACAAAACATGATCCTTTGATGTTTTAGAAAAACAAAAATTTCCGCAAGCAGCCAGAAATGAACAGTCAAAAAAAGCTAGTGACTCTAAGATTCTGCAATATATAACTGTGATTGGTTTGTTCATCTTATAGAAGGAAAGTGGTAATAAGATTAATCGGATGAAAAGGTAGCTATTTCACTGAAAGCCAAGAAGGGTAGAAGGAACAAGAAAAATAAGCGTGTAGGAAGGGGAAGAAGGAACCTGAGTTGTGCTGACAGTTTCAGGCAGTGGAGAACAGTGAGAGCATCAGGTTCCTGTAATAGAAAAGAAAGCCGAAGACAATGAGAAGACAGACCAGTCTAGTTTGTTTGGAGCATTGGAAGAGAAGCAAAGAAAAGCCCATATTCTCCAAGTCTAAAGGTTATTACTCACTGTACCATGTTAAAAGCATGTGGTAGAACCGCAGTTGCTAGAGGCAAATGTTGCAATCTCTGAGAAGTTATTAGAATCATCCTGTTCACAAATTATTATAAAATTTAGCCTAGCAAATTTAATGCCTGGTAATATTTTTATTATCCTGTTTTCTTGCCAGTGATATATATAGATTTAACCTATGGACTGAGCTCTTCAGAATGAGAAGCATTATTACAGGAATGGTTTCATTTACATTTTCTTTAGAAACATAGGCACCATGTAAGACTTTCAAACATGTTAAAACATTTAAGATACAATTCCAAATATTACTCCTTGAAATTCTCTTACATGCCCATCTTAGAGGAAAACTTGAAGAAAATTGTTTGCTCAAATAGACCCAATCTTCCTCAAAATATATTACTACAAATTTTTTAGAAAGTAATTTGTGGTCGGGCGCAGTGACTCACGCCTGTAACCCCAGCACTTTGGGAGGCCAAGGCAGGTGGATCACCTGAGGTCAGGGGTTCAAGACCAGCCTGGCCAACGTGGCGAAACCCTGTCTCCACCAGAAATACAAAAATTAGCCAGGCGCAGTGGTGCGTGCCTGTAATCCCAGCTACTCCGGAGGCTGAGGCAGGAGAATTGCTTGAACCCAGGAGGCAGAGGTTGCAGTGACCCAACATTGCACCACTGCACTCCAGCCTGGGCAACAAAGCGAGACTCTGTCTCAAAAAAAGAAGGAAAAAAAAAGTAATTTGTAATGCATCAACTTTATATAAATGGAATATAGAAGTGAGTATAAATTTATAAACGGATTACCTTGCCAAAAATGTGATGGTTATTGAAACATCATTTAAGATCACTTATAGCAAAACTAAAGTGATTTTTCTGGAGGAAAACAAAGTGACTTGGAAGACTTTAATTTTTCTCAAAGGTGGCGCTGTTACTCTTTCAAAATGGTTTTGCTGTCTGTCTTGCTCCATCTTTATGGGCAGGAAGCAAATGACCTGAAAACTAAATAAATCTAAATCTTCTTCTAAAACACAAGTTCCAGAGCAGGTAGCAGATTTAATAACAAGTCAATTTCTAAGCTCTTAACATCTGGAGCACATTATAAAAACAAATGCATGAGACTATAATCCTCACTAGGGCAATAGTTATTAATTCTGGCTGCATATGTAGTGAGATCACATAGAGAACTTTAAAAATGAAAAAATGCCTTTGGCCGGGTGACTCATGCCTGTAATCCTAGTACTTTGGGAGGCCAAGGCAGGAGGATTGTTTGGATCCTCCAGGAGTTTGAGACCAGTCTGGGTAACATATTGAGACCCCATCTCTATGAAAACTTTAAAAATTAGTTGGGCATGGTGATGCATGCCTGTGGTCCTAGCTGAGGTGGAAGGATCACTTGAGCTCAGGAGTTCAAGGGTATAGTGAGCTATAGGCGACTGAGCAAGACCCTGTATTAAAAAAAGAGCCTTTGCTATACTCCAGACTAAAAAAATCAAAAAGCATAAGTGAAAAAAAAAAGTTGAATTGATTTAAATAATAAGGCATTTATGTTTATGGAAAATTTTCTTTTGAAACCTAATTTAACCAGGTGAGGTGGCTCACACCTGTAATCCCACCACTTTGGGTGACTGAGGCAGGAGGATTACCTGAGGCTAGAGTTTGAGACCAGCCTGGGCAATACAGTAAGACTCCATTTCTACCAAAAAAAAAAACAAAAACAAAAAAAACAAAGAGTCTCGCTCTGTTGCTCTGGCTGGAGTGCAGTGGCATGATCTCAACTCACTTCAACCTCCACCCCCTGGGTTGAGGCCATCCTCCCACCTCAGCCTCTCAAGTTACTGGGGACTAAAGGTGCACACCACCATGCCCCACTATTTTTTTTTAATATTTTTTTGTAAAGACGGGATCTATCCACGTTGCTCGGGCTGGTCTCCAACTCTCCTGAGCTCAAGTGATCCAGCCACCTTGGCTCCCAAAGTGCAGGGATTACAGACATGAGCCACCATCCCTGGCCAAAACTTGTTTTAATTAAAAAAAAAAAAAAAAAGAAAAAGAAAAAAGAAACCTAATTTAAATGTCATGTATTTTGTGTTGGTATGAATTCCATATTAGAAAAGCTGTGAGAAGCTTGATATTATCTTTAAGAAAATTAACACTTAGGACTAATTTATACTTCTTTTTTGACATAGATCATTTTGGTTCTACTGTCTTGTCTACAGGATTTTGGTTTCTAGGCCAGGCACAGTGGGTCACGCCTGTAATCCCAGCACACTGGGAGGCCAAGGCAGGTGGATCACTTGTGTTCAGGAGTTTGAGGCCAGCATGGTGAAACCCTGTCTCTATTAAAAATACATAAATTAGCTGTGTGTGGTGGCAGGTGCCTGTAGTTCCAGCTACTCAGGAGGCTGAGGCAGGAGAATCATTTGAAGCTAGAGGCGGAGGTTGCTGTGAGCCGAGACTGCACCACTGACCTCCAGCCTGGGCGACAGAGCTTGACTCTGTCTCAAAAAAAAAAAAAGAATTTTGACTACTTTGGTGAACCATCTAAATTTTAAAAATTGATGGTCCAAAATTCATATGTAATATAGATTCCTACTTCTTAATCATTTTTTTAAACTATGGTCACCATTTTTCTCATGTAATGCCATACAGTTAACTTACATAAATAATTATGCCATTTTTACTTAAAATTTAAAAAAATTTTTTGGCTACTAAAGTGAAGCAGTGGTAACAGACAAGGAACAAAGAAATTTATAACTGTTTGTGATTAATTAGTTATTTAATCATATTTTCAAAGGAAACTTTATATCACTACTTTAAGTAGAAAACTTATGTCCACTGGGCACAGTGGCTCACGCCTTTAATCCTAGCCCTTTGGGAGGCCCAGGCAGGAGTATTGCTTGAGGCCGGGAGTTCAAGACTGACCTAGCCAACATAGCGAGACCCTGTCTCAAAAAAAAAAAAAAGAAAAGAAAAACTGAATGGGCATGGTGGCTCACGCCTGTAATTCCAGCACTTTGGGAGGCCCAGGCGGGCAGATAACCTGAGGTCAGGAATTCAAGACCAGCCTGGCCAGTATGGTGAAACCCTATCTCTATGAAAACTACAAAAATTATCTGGGCTTGGTGGCATGCACCTGTAATTCCAGTTACTCGGGAGGCTGAGGCAGGAGAATCTCCTGAACCTGGGAGGTGGAGGTTGCAGTGACCCGAGATCACGCCACTGCACTCTAGCCTGGGTGACAGAGTAAGACTCCGTCTCAAAAAAAAAAAAAAAAGAAAAAAAGAAAAGAAAACTAGTGTCGCTTGCCAGAAATAGAAGGCAATAATATTATTAAATTCCAGCTAATAGTGTTGCCTTTTGAAGACTCTGCTATTTAGGATTGTTCTCTCTTTGTTAAAAAGAGAAATAGAGAAAATATGAAATGTTAGATTAGCATATTAGCACTATATAAACAATACAATGTTTGGTGAAAGAAAAAAATATGATTTTTTTTTTTTTTTTTTTTTTTGAGACAGAGTCTCACTCTGTTGCCTAGGCTGGAGTACAGTGGCGCAATCTCAGCTTACTGCAACCTCCCGGGTTCAAGTGATTCTCTTGCCTCAGCCTCCCGAGTAGCTGGGATTACAGGAGCCCTCCACCACCCCCAGCTAATTTTTGTATTTTTAGTAGAGATGGGATTTCACCATTTTGGCCTCCTGACCTCAAGTGATCCATCTGCCTCGGTCTCCCAAAGTGCTGGGATTAAAGGTGTGTTCAGTTATTGTAGAAGGTCACATAGGTATAAGTCATAGCATTGCCCTTCACTCTATGTACATACACCACTCATCTTTTACATATATACATATTTTTCAGTCATAAGAACTAAAACACAGTTATTGCTAAATGATGGAATCTGAGTACATGTGATATTTTCTTCATGTTTTCTATATTTTCTACATTGACCATGTAATCTTTAATAATAAAAAAATTATATACATTCATGTACTATGGGAAATAAGGAAGAAAAGAAAAAAATTTAAGCTTTATTTACTTTTAATGTTAAAAAAATGGCTGCCAACAGAATAGAGTGTAAATTACTTTATGTGGCACAAAATCCTTCACAGTCTGTTTTGTCTACCTTGCCAATTTTATCTATATACATACTTTTCCTCCTGAAAGAGATTAAAATATAGCTATGTATTAGAATGTTTTTAAATGTCTGTGGCCAACCACAGGAGACTTAAAAAAATAGATAATTGTGAGATTTGTTTCTGAAGACTACATAGTTGTCAGATTATAAACTTTGCTTCTTATTCTCTGATTTCCTGATTTTAGGATGCCAACCCTGTGGTAATTGAGCCATCATCTGTTTTGAATGGAGGAAAATACTCATTTGGAACTGCAGCCCATCCTATGGAGCAGGTCGAAGATAGAATTGGAAGCAGCCTCAGTTACGTGAATACTACAGAAGAGAAATTTTCAGACAACATTTCTACTGCATCTGAAGCCTCAGAAACTGCTGGCAGCGGTAAATATGACCTATTCCCCTGAGGTTTATTGGTTTATTCCCCCTGGATAGGTCTTTCTTTTCTTTTCTTTTTTTTTTTTTTTTTTGAGACTGAGTTTCACATTTTGCCCAGGCTGGAGCGCAGTGGCGCGATCTCTGCTCACTGCAACCTCCACCTTCTGGGTTCAAGCGATTGTCCTGCCTCAGCCTCCTGAGTAGCTGCGATTACAGGCACCCGCCACCACGCCTGGCTAATTTTTGTATTTTTTTAGTAGAGATGGGGTTTCACTATGTTGGCCAGGCTGGTCTTGAACTCCCAACCTCGTGATCTGCCTGCCTCGGCCTCCCAAAGTGCTGGGATTACAGGCGTGAGCCACCATGCCTGGCCTCCCCATGGATAGTTATTAAGGCAGTCTAATTTGACAGAGGCTGTAGTGAATATGGTAATAGGAGATCAGGCTTCCATTAACAGAAATAAGTTTTGAATGAAATGGTCAATTGTAAAATTCTTGAATATATTAGTATTTTTACAAAGAAAACCTCTTTTCCATATTATACTTCATTAAATCTCTCAATATGGAAATATTTTCACTATTTTCTTTTGAGACAGGATCTCGCTCTGTCACCCAGGCTGGAGTACAGTGGCATAATCACGGCTTACTGCAGCCTCTGCCTCCTGGCCCCAAGCAATTCTCCCACCTCAGCCTCCTAAGAAGCTGGGACTACAGGCACGCGCCACCATGCCCAGCCATTTTTTGTGTGTTTTTATTTTAGGGATAGGGTTTTGCCATGTTGCCCAGGCTGGTCTCAAACTCCCAGGCTCAAGCAGTCCTCTGGCCTCAGCCTCTCAAAGTGCTGGGATTACAGGCATGAGCCATCACATGCGGCTATTTTCACTATTTTCATCAATCAAGCCCCATCTTTCCCTATTGCTATTAAATTATTTAGTCAGTAAATTTAAATTTTCAAAGATAGTCATCTCCAGGACTCTCTCTAGCCATAAACATAATTAAATTAAATGCACCCCACATCAGATTCTATGTATATTTCAGGCCAAAATATGGAGATTATTTTGTTAAAATACTGAGAAAGAATTCAGATGCCTCCCATAATTCCCTTTAGGCCTTGGTACTTACCTAAAACTTCATGTTTCCACACCTACAAGGAAGATGCTGTGGTATTTCTATGGCCCAGCTGAATTGAGTTGATTGCTGTTATTCTGGTACAGTAGCAGAACCCTCAATCTTACCCTATTGTTATTTATTTATTTACTTAAAGAGACAGGGTGTCACTCTGTTGCCCAGGCTGTAGTGCAATGGCATGATCATAGCTCACTGTAACCTCCAGTTCCTGGGCTCAAATGATCCTCCTGTCTTAGCCTACCTGGTAGCTGGGACTACAGGTGTACACTGCCACACACAGCTAATTTTTTAATTGTTTTGTAGAGACGAGGTCTCATGTTGCCTGTGCTGGTTGCAGTCTTCTGGCTTCAAGCAGTCCTCCAGCCTTGGCCTCCCAAAGTGCTGAGATTACAGGCATGAGCCATTCCTCCTGGCGTGTGTTATTATTTCTTCCAAGATGTTCTTTTCCTTTTCTGTGGAAGGTGTAAGCAAATTGGACAGAGCTAGCATTTTCTTCACAAAGCTCCTTGTAGAATCTGCTTCTTCCCTCCCTTTCTGGTATTACAAAGATCACTTAGCAGTCCTAGAAGTGCTGTCATCAGCTTTAACATGAGGATTATTTCTTAACCCCATCTAAAGATCCTGTTTGGTATGTGCTTACCATATAACTTGTGACACCCAAAGGCTGCATACCACAGGCAGAAGGTTACAAAGTGATGACTGCTAGATTGTTTACCAAAGATTAGCATGTAGTTGAGAGTTGAAATGGCTTAAAATACCACTGAGGCTCACAACTCTAAGCCATGGTTAATCATCTTCTGTGCATATTTTCGTATTGTAAAGATCATGTATTTCTTTCAAAAGAACTTGTGGACATTGAGTTCATAGATACAATAGGATCTAGCCCCCATTACTCTTTTGTTGGAGTTCTTGTTTTAGTTTTCTTTTAATTTAGTGACTTCATATCACCATTATCTACCAAGAACATTTGGAATATTTTTCTAGTTTGAGGAAAATAATTAAAGGATGCTATGTAGAAGCCCAGCCACTTAGCCCAGCTCTTCCCTTCCAGTCGGAGGACATATAATTCTCATTATGAATTATTAGATATTCTAGGAGGGTGGCCAAATGTTCATTTGGTAATAATTTTAAAAGCTCTTATTTTTAGTACCATGCCATGTATTGTTCAGAGAAGGATAACATTTCCTGTCTTCTACAGAATTACCAGAATCTTAATCTGTACTGACATGTCAACAGAGTAATACAATACATGGGCATTGAGTTCATATCCTCAAGCCTGTTTATGTATAATAACTAAAAATAAGAGATTCTATCCTCTTTTTTTTTTATAGGCTTTCTGTATTCTGCCACACCAGGGGCAGATGTTTGCTTTGCTCGACAACATAACACTTCTGACAATAACAACCAGTGTTTGCTGGGAGCCAATGGGAATATTTTGTTGCACCTTAACCCTCAGAAACCAGGGGCTATTGATAATCAGCCATTAGTAACTCAAGAACCAGTAAAGGTAAGTAATTTTACATCTAAACTTAAAATTATTCTCTTGCAAGCTATTAATAAATTTCATTTCAGAGGTTTTAGCACATAGCAAAACATTGATGGTTCATTTAATTACTGTATTATAGATGGACATCTCTTTGTATAGTACATTTCTGTGAGAATATTTATGATTTAGAACTTACATAGAAGTAGTTTAGTAACCCTTGGCATTATTGTTATTCTTACTTAGGACAGCTATTCTGAAAATGTTGTTTCACATACGCTATGTATGAATTTTTTTTTCCAAACTAGTATTTTTTATTGTTTGAAAGAAATCTGTGAAGTTATTTCAAGTGCTTTAGTGATTTTTCCAAATGATATGCTTTGAGTTTCATTTCTTACATAGTTTATTTTGAAAGTCAAAAATAAAAATCTCTCATTAAAAATTCAGTTTTTTTGCTGGACGTGGTGGCTCATGCCTGTAATCCTAGCACTTTGGGAGGCTGAGGTGGGCAGATCACCTGAGGTTAGGAGTTTGAGACCAGCCTGGCCAACATGGTGAAACCCCGTCTCTACTAAAAATACAAAAATTAGCCGGGCATGGTGACGTGTGCCTGTAATCCCAGATACTCGGGAGGCTGAGGCAGGAGAATCACTGGAACCCGGGAGGCGGAGGCTGCAGCAAGCGAAGATCGCGCCACTGTACTCCAGCCTGGGTGACGGAACAAGACCCCGTCTCAAAAAAAAAAAAAAAAAAAAAATTAAGTTTTTCCAGCAACATGAAACTGGGTGGTGATATATGAGTTTGTTTTCCTGTTTCTAGGTATTGCTGAGACCCAAAAACTTTTGTAATATTGAAAGTCAACATTGTCATTCTATTCTTTCTCAGGCTACATCATTAACACTAGAAGGAGGACGATTAAAACGAACTCCACAGCTGATTCATGGAAGAGACTATGAAATGGTCCCAGAACCTGTGTGGAGAGCACTTTATCACTGGTATGGAGCAAACCTGGCCTTACCTAGACCAGTAAGTATAGTTAATAGTGCCTTATATAAGGAGCAGTCATAGATGGGGGTCTTCTGTTACTTTTTCTATGTGACTCTCACTAACCACAAAGTAGCTCTTACCTTGTGGTAGAAGAGTGTTCTGAACCTGTGTGGATTGTTCAATGTTAAGTTCCTTCACATTCGTTCATTCATTCATAAATAAAGGCAAGGAAATAGGAGGCTGTTGAATGTGTTATCCACATAAAAGTAGACATCACCTAGGATATGTGGAACTTAGGCTGGAGGGGAAGACAGGCCAAGAGCCAGTGCCAAAAAGTTCAGTGAATGTAGGGCGTGATGCAGAGGTTATTTCTGAAACTACTATTCCTAACAATCACACAAGTATCTAGTTAGGGATTGGATTCTTCTTGTAGCTTTTGGTGGATTTTTGTGGTTTATGTTTTTGAAGGAGGGGCATATAAAAGATCACAACATATGATAACAGAATATTATATTAAAATATTAGTATATAGCACCATTTGTTGTGCTTACACGGTAAACAGCACTCGGTACTCTGGACACTCACTTTTTACATTGTTGATGAAGTAAAATATAACAAGATGTTTTGGTGGGATTTGTTTTGGTATATTAAGAAACACTCTTCCACCTGTAATCCCAGCACTTTGGAAGGCCGAGGCAGGCAGATCACGAGGTCAGGAGTTCGAGACCAGCCTGGCCAACATAGTGAAACCCCGTGTCTAATAAAAATACAAAAATTATCCAGTGTGGTGGCACACTCCTGTAGTTCCAGCTACTTGGTAGGCTGAGGCAGGAGAATTGTCTGAGCCCAGGAGGCAGAGGTTGCAGTGAGCCAAGACTGCACACCATTGCACTCCTGCCTGGGTGACAGAGCGAGATTCCGTCTCAAAAAAAAAAAAAAGAAAGAAACACTCTTCCTTTTATAATGTCCAAGCTAAAACTTCCTTATGCCAGGAAGGTTTTGTATAGATGAGATATGGTACGTTAACTTCTAAAAAGAGTAAAAATCTGTTATAAAACAGACTAATGTAATTTTGATGTTGATTTTGAGTTCTTAATAATTACGTTTATGAAAAATAACCTCAAGCTCCAGGGTTTGAACAATATTCCCACCTCAGCCTCCCCAATAGCTAAGACTGCAGGCACACACCACCATAACAGCTAATTTTTAAATTTTTTTAAGAGACAGAATCTTGCTGTGTTGCCCAGGCTGGTCTCGAACTCCTGGTCTCAAGCAGCCCTTCTGCCTTGGCCTCCCAAAGTGCTGGTATTACAGGCATGAGCCACTGCACCTGGCTTGTAGTGTTGTTTTTATTTGATTTTTATTGCTCCCTCTTGATACTAAAAAAAAAAAGTTCTGTTGCAGAAGATATTGGTTATGAGAGTAAAGGAAAATAAAGCCTGGTCACCTGAGACTTAAAAGACTCTGTACAGAGTTTCTGTTTTCAAGAATTTCAGTGTTGGCTGGGCGCGGTGGCTCACGCCTGTAATCCCAGCACTTTGGGAGGCTGAGGCGGGCGGATCACGAAGTCAGGAGATCGAGACCATCTTGGCTAACAACGGTGAAACCCTGTCTCTACTAAAAATACAAAAACAAAATTAGCCAGGCGTGGTGGCGGGCTCCTGTATTCCCAGCTACTTGGGAGGCTGAGGCGGGAGAATGGCAAGAACCCGGGAGGCAGAGCTTGCGGTGAGCCGAGATCGGGCCACTGCACTCCAGCCTGGGTGACAGAGCGAGACTGTGTCTCAAAAAAAAAAAAAAGGAGTTTCAGTGTTAACCCTGCTATCCTTTTAGAATATGAAATTGATCATTTACTACTCTTACAACAATATTTTGATAATTAAATGTTTTCCTGTGTCTGTGGGCTTATAAGCAGGTTAAAACTACTTAAAAATCCTGTTCCAACAATGTGAAATCTGAGTTTTTTTTACATCCAAATTTTTTGTTTAAGTCATAGACAAAACATATGTGAACAGACTGGTTACGCAAGTAGAACGTAGTAAATTTTTATATGGGAACAGTTGCATCCTCACTACTAGTACAAAAAATAAAAATTTAAGCAATTTATAATACTCTTCATATTAACGAAATGTGGATGTTTTTAAATGATGTCCAGTGATAAGGTTTTATGAGAGTAGTATACTTACACATTACTGGCAATAGTGTAAATTGCTAAACTTTAGATGGCAGCATGACTATATAGCTAATGAATACTTCCATAGTTTTTGACTTGTAACTCAATTTTTATGAATTTGTCCTTAAAATGTCAATCATTTATATACATGAAATATGTAAAAATGAAAAGACTTATGGTGTGAGGGTAGTAGAATTATAGATAATACTTAGGGTTTTTTTTTTTCCTCAGTGTTGTTACTTGCTTTTAAATAAAAGGGGAGAAGATATCTACAAGGAGTTATAATCTTAGGAAATGGGTTTCGGAGCAGGAATTTTAACAGTAATCAGATCCATGTAACTTAAATGTGTGAGTTTCAGTAATTACTGAAATGTAGCTAGTGAACTTGTTGGACATTTTGGTTTAGAAATAAATCTCAGAAGTTAGATTAAAATGGCAAGTTTTGTTTCTTTTTTTAGTGATCTCTTTTTATCTTTTAAAACAATAGGTTATCAAGAACAGCAAGACAGACATCCCAGAGCTGGAATTATTTCCCCGCTATCTTCTCTTCCTGAGACAGCAGCCTGCCACTCGGACACAGCAGTCTAACATCTGGGTGAATATGGGTATGATGAGCCTGAGAATGTTTCCTCAGCATTTACCGAGAGGTAACTTAAGAATGCAGCAAGAATACCATGCATTTCCTTAAAAAAAAAAAAAAAAAAAAAAAAAAAGGTGAAAACTACGTTGCTCGAAGTCTGGTGCCACTGTATTGATACACATTCCCATCAGCTTTCCTACAGACTCAGTAATTAATTTTTACAGGGCTTAGAACTATGGTCATGCACAAGACTAGATGAGGGGTTGAAGCAAACATTCCAACAGCAAACTGAGATGGGATGTTTCCTTTTCTACTTACAAAGAAAATAAATAGAAATAGATTTTACATGCTTTATTTCTTTGAGACAAGCCATTGTAAATTGTTACTAGACTAAGTAGTAGTATACCAGTCATTGACTGGTCTTTTCAACTCCACTCAAATTTGTAAAAAGCAATTCCTCTTATACTATCATCTTTTTTGTTTTTTAAGGTTTTTGTTGTTGTTTGGTTTTTTGGCAAAACATGATACATTTCTCATGCTTGATCTAAAGAGGCTTTACATAAGAGACAGAGAGTACAGAGCAAAAGGCATATTTTTGAAGATTAAAGTGATATATTTGCTTTGAAAAAACATCAAGCCTATCAAAATGACATATAAAGTAGTTCCCATTTTAATGTATAACATGCAAAAAGTTCCCCTTTCATTTCTCTGTAAGGTTAAACTTTATTGACGGGCAAGACTTGCTCTGTGCTTTTGCTTTGCAAATGTTTGAAATTATTCTTCAGCAGTAAAGAAATAATAAGCTGAGCACAGTGGCTCATGCCTGTAATCCCACAATTTGGGAGGCTGAGGTGGGCAGATTACTTGAGGTCAGGAGTTCAAGACCAGCCTGGCCAACACGAACCCTGTCTCTACTAAAAACACAAAAATTAGCTGGGCGTGGTGGTGCTGTAATTTCAGCTACTTGGGAGGCTGGGGCAAGAGAATCGCTTGAACCCAGGAGGTGGAGGTTGCAGTGAGCCAAGATCACACCGTTGCACTCCAGCCTGGGTGACGGAGTGAGACTCTGTCTCAAAAAATAATATTAATAATCATGAGCAACCATTTACACAAATTCTCAGACTATGTTAACAATACCAGCATGTTATTATAATTTAAATAACTTAGTATGCAAGAACTACCTCTAAACCCTGACCAAAAGAAGTACTTGCTCTCCTTTGAAATTGAACAAAGTTAGTTTTGTATCTTCATTAAAGGTTATATTCATTTAATATATGAAGATTCTTTTATTTTTTATTTTTTATTTTTTTCGAGATGGAGTCTTGCTCTGTCGCCCAGGCTGAAGTGGAGTGGCACGATCTCGGCTCACTGCAAGCTCCGCCTCCCAGGTTCACACCATTCTCCTGCCTCAGCCTCCTGAGTAGCTGGGACTACAGGCGCCCACCACCACACCTGGCTCATTTTTTGCATTTTTAATAGAGACGGGGTTTCACCATGTTAGCCAGGATGGTCTCTATCTCCTGACCTCGTGATCCATCCACCTCGGCCTGTTTGGTAAGAATTCTTTCAGTAGTGTTTCGTAGTAATTATAGCAAAGCATTGGCCCCTGTCTACCAAACTTTGTCTTTGGGGAAAACAGCAAAATCAAAGAACAGTGAGGCTGGGCATGGTGGCTGATGCCTGTAATCCCAACAGTTTGGGAGACTGGGGAGGAAGATCATTTGAAGCCAGGAGTTTGAGACCAGCCTGGGCAACATAGTAAGATCCTGTCTCTACAAAAAATTGTTTAAATTAGCTGGGCAAAGTGGTGTGCCCTGTAGTCTCAGCTACTCAAGAGGCTGAGGTGGGAAGATCTCTTAAGCCCAGGAGTTCAAGGTTGTGGTGAGCTATGATTGTGCCACCATACTCCAGCCTGGGTAACAGAGCAAGAGCTTGTCTCTTAAAAAAAAATAAAAAGTGAAGGAAACCATTTTTTAAAAAAGGAACAGTGAGATAGAACCTTTATGAAACATTCTTGATTTAATTTTCCATTAGAAGGATTAGCCTTGCTTCCATGGCACCCATTACAACTTTTTCAATTCTCTTTGAAAGATAACATGAGGCCAGGTGCAGTGACTCATGCCTGTAATCCCAGCACTTTGGGAGGCCGAGGCTGCTGAATCACCAGAGGTCAGGAGTTCGAGACCAACCTGGTCAACATGGTGAAACCCCATCTTTACTAAAAATACAAAAATTAGCCATGTGTGGTGGCAGGTGTCTGTAATCCCAGCTACTCGGGAGGGTGAGGCATGAGAACTGCTTGAACCCAGGAGGCAGAGGTTGCAGTGAGCCGAGATCGCGCCATGCACTCTATTCTGGGCAACAGAGTGAGACTCTGTCTCAAAAAAATATATAAAAGAAAGATAACATGAGAGGCAAGATGTGTTGTTGCACTTTTAGTAGGTATTCTTTGTAACTCTTGTGCTGATCCTAGATTTTTGCTGCTTCTATAAATTCCACTAGATTTGTTGGTGCTATTCAAAAGCACAAAAGTATGTATAGTAAGTGGCTGCCTGCTTAATGAGCTATGCTATAAAAACTTTCTAAAACTCAAATTTTCATATTGTGGCTTAAGACAATAGAGATTGACTTGAATACTATACTTATATGCTTCTGAATCCTAGAACTGCATATTTCAGATGCTCCAAATTTGGTTTTAATTTGAAATTTTATTCCTTGCTAATTAGTTGTGAAATCAATCATTAATCATTTTAAAATTTATAAAAATATGCTTTCTTGCTGTAATCTTACAACTAATCCTAAAATGTATAATTGGAGAAATTTGCTCTTTTGTTTTCTTTTAGAGATTATCCTTTGCTTGCTGATTGTAAAAGATTTGCTTGCTATGTGTTCAAAAACTGATCACGGGTTGGGTTTTGTTCTGCCATAACATGATGTTCATCTTTCTCAAATACTCAATTTATTACAGCTGTTTACTAGGCTCTTTTATTCCTTTTGAAGTGACAAGTATTCAAACCTTCTTACAGTTACAATTACTTAAATGTAGGCTTTTCTACAGACAAGGCTATAGAAGTCATTGTTTTTTAGGTGACTTTTTAGCCTGCCTTAGGTGAGGGAATTCCTTTTCTGAAGTTCTAAAAAAGTAGATGATGCACATATTTTCTCAGCTTTATTTAGTGGGGAAGACTCATTAAAAGCATTTTTCAGGAAGAAAGAAGCTAACTCATGATTGAATGGGTAGAAAATTATTTGGAATGTACATTATATTGATAAGTTTATATTTTTAAGTTGGGTTGCTCAATAAAATACAGCCTCAGCAGAGAAGACTATTTTAAGCCACAGTTTTGTCTAGATTTTTGGCGGAGTAGTTAACCAGGGTTTAATGATGTTTTTTTTTTTTTTTGCCACCTCTCTTTGATTTCCATAATCTCTTGTCATTTCATACCCCTCCTCTTTTGAAGTATGTAGTGAGACTTGATATATTCTTCCTTCACTCTTTACTCTTTTCCCCTGTATTACCACTCTTCTTGTTTCTACCTTTAGCCCTTCAGGAATTCAAGGTCATGTCTGTCGTCAACTTACTGGGTGGACAGGCTAATACGATTTTTTTTTTTTCCTTATTGGGCACTTGTTTATTTGGCCATGGGAAACTTCTTGGCTTCAATTTGAAACTCTGTTTTGACCAAATGTGGTAGCTCACACACTTGTAATCTCAGTTTGTAATCCCAGAACTTTGGGGGGCCAAGGTGGGAGGATTCCCTGAGCCTTGGAGTTCAAAACCAGCCTGGGCAACATAGAGAGACCCTGTCTCTACTTGGGAAGCTAAAGTGCGAGGATCACTTGAATGAGGGAGGTTGAGGCTGCAGTGAGCCATGATTGCCGCACCGCACTACAGCTTGAGCAACAGAATGAGACCTTATCTCAAATAATGATAATAAAAAACTCTGTTTGGCTATGTAGAGTCTATACCTATTTAGAATTTTATGTCAAATTCTCTTTTTTTTTAATTGATATGTAATAGATATACATATGTTTTCTGGTGCAGTTGTACCACTGTGCCAGATAATTGAGCTACTTAATGACTGAAAGTGATGGGATTAGTGATTCAAAGAAAGTTTAGGAAAGTGGACCAGGTGAATCCAATTATCTATCTGTGGGATTCAAATCCCATCTCATTTTACCTCCTCCACTGAGTTTTTTTTTTTTTTAACTCTGTCCTAATTTTTTTTTCACTGAGTTTTATTTCATTTTGCTATTGACTGTGACTCAGCTGAGTGCAGCCAGATATCAATGCCAATTGTTTTCTGGCATGTTCCTACTCTTCTTGGTATCCAAATATTGCCAATAATTTGGACCTTGGGCCTTGGGCCTTTGCTCATCTTTTCAAAGTTGAGGCTTTGGACTCACTTTAAAACACCTGGAAGGCTGGGCTTGGTGGCTCACACCTGTAATCCCAGCACTTTGGGAAGCCGAGGCAGGTGGATCGCTTGAGCCCAGGAGTTAGAGACCAGCCAGGGCAATATGGCCAAGACCCTGTCTCTACCCAAAAATGTACAAAAATTAGCCAGATGTGGTGGCGTGCACCTGTAGTACCAGCTACTCAGGAGGCTGAGGTGGGAGGATTGCTTGAGCCTTGGAGGTGGAGGCTGCAGTGAGCCAAAATCACAGCACCGCACTCTAGTCTGGCAACATAACAAGACTCCATCTATTAAAAACAAACAAACAAACAAACAAACAAAAAGAACTTGGGTCTCCTGCCTGCATTTTAAAGCGTTTTGGTACTCTTCATTTATAAAATTATTACACCTGTAATTCTCATTTCTCATTATTATTTCCTAAAATAGTATGGTCCCCATTGCTGAGAGGGGTGCTTCTTTTTCACATCTGCCTTTTTTCTTACTGTGATTACTGTAACCATAGGAAATGTACCTTCTCCGAATGCACCTTTAAAGCGGGTATTAGCCTATACAGGCTGTTTTAGTCGAATGCAGACCATCAAGGAAATTCACGAATATCTATCTCAAAGGCTGCGCATTAAAGAGGAAGATATGCGCCTGTGGCTATACAACAGTGAGGTAAGAGGCATCTCAGAGTCATAGAGAGTCTGATTGTTGGTATTTGTTTAATTTTAAATAGTAAAAGAAATTTGCTAAACTTCTTTGTATTGTTCCAATTTTAGTACATATGTTGCCAAAGAGCACAAGGCTAATTAAGTGTTAAATCATATTTCATGAGTATGGGATTTTACCTATAATAATTATGCTAAAAGCCATGTCTAGGATATCAGTGAAAAGTTCATCTTTTAAGTTACTATATGTATACTTGTAATATTTGTCTCTGAGATCCATAATAGCAATTGATCACCATGGACAGTACTATCTTTCAAAGATTATTGTTACATATAAAGATTACATGTTACAAAGATTATATGTTACATTATAAACTAATGGTGTGGCCGAGCACAGTGGCTCACGCCTGTAATCCCATCACTTTGGGAGGCCGAGGTGGCTGGAGCACCAGAGGTCAGGAGTTTGAGACCAGCCTGGCCAACGTGGTGAAACCCTGTCTCTACTAAAAATACAAAAATTAGCTGGGCATGGCGGTGGGAGCCTGTAGTCCCAGCTACTCAGAAGGCTGAGGCAGGAGAATTGCTTGAACCCAGAGGCAGAGGTTGCAGTGAGCCAAGATAGTGCCACTATACTCCAGCCTGGGCAACAGAGCCAGACTCCATCTTTAAAAAAAAAAAAAACAAAAAACAAAACGTATTCATGTAACCAAACACCACCTGTTCCCCAAAAACCTATTGAAATTTTAAAAAAGAGAAAGATAACGCTTATGAAGTACACATTGTCTTTCTGTCATACTGCCACCTAAGTTATAAATATTTATGAACAACTATAGTAGGCCAGATATTTGTGATATGTTATATAACTACAAAGAAGTTGTTTTTTTAATTGTTACTCATTTTTATCTCTGTATTTGTTTCAAGTTTACTAACCAAATAACAAAAACATTTCCTCCTCCTTACACAGAACTACCTTACTCTTCTGGATGATGAGGATCATAAATTGGAATATTTGAAAATCCAGGATGAACAACACCTGGTAATTGAAGGTACAAGATGGAAGCATGCATCTATATTAAATTTTCAAGGGGAAGAATTTAAAGAGTTACTAATAACCCATTTTATAATTTTCTCCAAAACAACTATTATTTGATTATTATGTTTTTATGATAAAGAAACCCTTTGGAAAAAAAAGAAAAAGAAAACCCTTTGAACTCTTATGTAATCCTACCATACAATTTAGATTGCTTTAAAGGGAAAATATTCTGTTTTTAGTCATTGACTGACAAAGAATGGGAATGGTAGATAAAAAACAAGTGAATTCAGTTTACACATTTATAGTTCCTTAAAATTTTCAAGTTGCTGCTTTGAGTTTGAGTAAAAAGAACAACTTTCTTGCATAGTTAGTAGCACAGGCTTTCATTAGTCACCAACATTGGCTACTCACTGACAGAGCTATTTGTATATTCATAGATTTACACACTGGCATGCACATGCCATTAAAAACTTTTTAAGTGTATCTTTTCCCATCAAGTTTTGTGGCAACATTGTTAGCTGCCTTTGTATTAAAATGAATAGGCCGGGCGCAGTGGCTCACGCCTGTAATCCCAGCACTTTGGGAGGCTGAGATGGGTGGATCACTTGAGGTCAGGAGTTCCAGACCAGCCTGGACAACATGGTGAAATCTGTCTCTGCTAAAAATACAAAAATTAGCTGGGTGTGGTGGCACGTGCCTGTAGTCCCAGCTACTCAGGAAGCTGAGGCACGAGAATCAGTCAAGCCCAGGAGGCGGAGGTTGCAGTGACTCAAGATCACATCACTGCACTCCAACCTGGGGGGACAAAGCCAGACTGTCTCAAAAAAAAAAAAAGGAATAAATTACTCTGACAGTTGTTACAATTTAAGAAAGAATTGTAATTTCTAATGTTTTAAGTATAAGAAATTCCATTGTTTCTGAACTTTAATTACTTCTGTAGATGGTTGAGTATAATTTTACTTCAAGTAGGTAATTGAGGGATAAGATTATTCAAACCAAGTGACTTTAAAGTCCTCAATATGAAGAGTAGGAATGGTTTTAGAGCCAATTACAGGCATGTGCTGCAAAAAGATGTTTGTCAACAAAAGACCTGTATACAGCAGTGGTCCCATAAGATTATAATACTGTATTTTTAGTTGTGCCTTTTCTATGTTCTAACATGTTTAGATACACAAATACTTACCATTGTGTTACACTTGCCTACAGTATTCAATGCAGTAACATACTGTACAGGTTTGTAGCCAAGGAGCGACAGCCTATACCATACATAGCCTAGGTTTGTGTAGGTACACTCTGTGATGTTCACACAAAGACAAAATCACCTAATGATGCATTTCTCAGAATATAACCTCGTCGTTAAGCAATGTATGTACTAAAATTAACTAGATTTTAAAACTTCTGATTTAGGAATAAGATGTCTTTAAAAAAAAAAAGCAATCGAATGGGTATAAATTAGATAGATAAGAAATTAACACATTCCTATCTGTCCTTCCAGTTCGCAACAAAGATATGAGTTGGCCTGAGGAGATGTCTTTTATAGCAAATAGTAGTAAAATAGATAGACACAAGGGTAAGTCTCCAGTATTATTTTTTAAAGAGATTATTTTAAATGTATTCTTTTTTTTTCTTCTCTCAACTGTTAAAGTGCTAACAACTTTTGGTTTTCTAGTTCAAAAGTAATTAGGGCCTTCTTCTTTTTCTTTTTTCCTGAAGCAGCATTTGATGTTGGCAAACCCACCATCAAATTATTTTCTAAATTTCTTTCTAACTCTGCAATTAAATAATTTATATGTTTTAAAAGACATACTAGAAGAAGAATTGTTTGAATTATTTTGAAAAATCATAGCAATTAAAAAGAATAATTGCTGCTTCTGGGTTACAAATGAGCATGGATCATCACTGTTGCCAGACACTCCATGAAAAGCCTTCTCTAGCATTTCAGAGACCTGCTAGAGAATTATTAGCACCATTTAGCTGATTATGAGAGTTATAAAAAACCTTTTCATTGAATATAAGTAACTGTTTGTGCCATGGCATATTACTACAGCTAAGCTTTGGTTCTCATATTGTTTGTTCCAGTTCCCACAGAAAAGGGAGCCACAGGTCTAAGCAATCTGGGAAACACATGCTTCATGAACTCAAGCATCCAGTGTGTTAGTAACACACAGCCACTGACACAGTATTTTATCTCAGGGAGACATCTTTATGAACTCAACAGGTAATCTTTCTGGAGTCACTGGCCTCTTAACCTGTGACTTTGATATAAACCCAATATCACCTAAATTTCCTCTTTTTTCACCCTGTGGGAGAAAGATTTTATCTTATTTGCCCTATTTAATATGAAATAGGCCAAGGAATACATCTCTTGTTTCAAAAAGAAAAGATATTTTGATGTGAGATGCTAGGCATTTTTGCGCCCACATGATTGTGATTTATGAGAATCTTTGGCAACAAATTTTCCTCTCAAACTTCTAGGACAAATCCCATTGGTATGAAGGGGCATATGGCTAAATGCTATGGTGATTTAGTGCAGGAACTTTGGAGTGGAACTCAGAAGAATGTTGCCCCATTAAAGCTTCGGGTAAGCAGGTTAAAATAATATAAAAGTATTTAATTCCTAATAGTTGTTTAATCATTTTTCTCTGCTTGTTTTTTGTGTTTAGCCTTTTAACTTAATAAATGTTTTTGGATCCTTCACTTGGTATAAACAAAAGGTCAAATTCTTTTGCTTGTTTAAATATATGCAAAATTACTACTGTATATGTAGTGGGTAGGATAAAGACCAAAGGTACACTCTAAATTCGGGATGTCATTCATTTTACTAATTTGTCAAACATCTTATATGAAGAGTAAACCTTTTTTGGTAATACTTCACTATTAGCAGTATTCTAACTGCAAGGTGGACCTCAGAGTCTTATTAATTACATCCAATCCAATCCATTTTCAACGTAACTAAGATAGTTCTATCTGTAGAATACAAAGAAGTAGGCTGGGCGCAGGGGCTCACGCCTGTAATCTCAGCACTTTGGGAGGCCGAGGTGGGTGGATCACTTGAGGCCAGGAGTTCAAGACCAGCCTGGACAAGATGGCGAAACCCTGTCTCTACTAAAAAAAATTAGCCGGGCATAGTGGTGCATGCTTGTAATCCCAGCTACTTGGGAGGCTGAGGCACGAGAAACGCTTGAACCTGGGAGGTGGTGTTTGCAATGAGCCAAGATCGCACCACTGTACTCCAGCCTGGGCAACAGAGTAAGACTCTGTCTCCAAAAAGAAAAAAAAAAAGTAGAAGGATGAATGAATGAAACTAATGAATATAAGTTTTATATTAATATCAGATGTAGTAGATTTTAGTGAAGTTAGGATTATTCATTATTTTTATTTAAATACAAAGCAAAAGCTTTTTATATTACAAATTATTAACTATAACAGCTACACATTTGACTACTTACCTCTTGCCAGGCACTATTCTAATTAATTTATATCCTCAAAATAATTCTATAATATAATGCAGTTAATAAAATTTAGGATGCAACAAGACCAGAAAATGTAATTGTTGAAGACAACATTATATTATATAAAATAATGTATACACATATTATTTTATACATGTTATGTATTATTATATACACATTATTTTATGCATATGTTATGTATATACTATGTACCTATAAAATATACATATTTTATATGCATATAAAAATGTAAAACGTTATAGAACAGGATGTCTTTCAATGTGAGCAAACGCTGTTTTAATGTTTCTGTCTTAAATAACATCTGTGTGCCTGAAGAACAGTTTGCTTACATAATACTGAACTGAGGACACAGTATTGCACAGTATTGGCCAAAATACTTCTCTTTTTTTGGGGGGGGTCATTTGACATTAAGATTCAAAAGATTTCATGATTATCCAAAATATATTTGTTGAAATAGAGGCAGACTAAGTACTATACTATTTATTTTCTTACAATGGCTCTGATTGGATTATAGGACATGTTCATTCCAAATTTTATGGGTAGGAAATAATGACTGTGACTTCTCTTATATTTATAGTGGACCATAGCAAAATATGCTCCCAGGTTTAATGGGTTTCAGCAACAGGACTCCCAAGAACTTCTGGCTTTTCTCTTGGATGGTCTTCATGAAGATCTTAATCGAGTCCATGAAAAGCCATATGTGGAACTGAAGGACAGTGATGGGCGACCAGACTGGGAAGTAGCTGCAGAGGTTTGTCAGTTTTGAGTTTCTAATGTAAGCAATAGACAAAATGTTCTGGCCACAAATACATGTAGCACAACTTAAATGCAAACTCAACTATTCTGAGATCAGAACTTTACTGCAAAAATGAATGAATTTCTATTTCTGTGCTTAATTCTTATGCAATAATGCCAAAACAAAAATACGTTTAATGAAAATAGAAAACTGTTGCCATTTCATATTGTAAACTTTATGGGACTGGATGTAGGAATAATTATCCAGTGGAATTTAAAGAGTCCCCGTAATTGCTAAAGTAATGGATACAGTGACCTATAGGCATGCTTTATACTTGTTAATGGACAAATAACTTTAATATTTACCATTGTTACCTTGATAAGAACAAATGAAAAATAGGATTTTCCATCTCAATTTAATATTTTATGTTAAATGAAGAGTAAGGATTATATTCTTTACATTTAAATCCAATATATTTAACTAGCTTCTTTGAATTTATATAGAAATGCTTCTCTTTTGGATTTTGAGAGAAAATTCTCATCTTTTTTATTGCTAGGCCTGGGACAACCATCTAAGAAGAAATAGATCAATTGTTGTGGATTTGTTCCATGGGCAGCTAAGATCTCAAGTAAAATGCAAGACATGTGGGCATATAAGTGTCCGATTTGACCCTTTCAATTTTTTGTCTTTGCCACTACCAATGGACAGTTATATGCACTTAGAAATAACAGGTAGGTCAGAAAGTTCTGAAAAATTACTTGACTCCATTAAATTTACTTTATTTAAATAGCCTGAATTTGTAAGCATAGTTATTTGTTTACAAATAAAGACCGGTAGTCAGCATATTATAATTGAGCAACCTAATTTTAGGCATGACTTGAGGTTTGAAAGATGTAGACTGGGGCATGTTTTTTTGGTTTCAAATATGCCAGCAACTCTCTTTAAAACCCTGCAAAGCCACTGATACTTTTATGTCAGATGAACACCAAAAAAATACTGATTTCACTTAATATTATCCCTAAGTACCATCTGTTTTAGTGTTTACACATAAAATAAAAATTCTAGGCTGAAATATTTGCTATTATATTTACAGGTCAGATATATCTGTACACAGCATTTAAGACTTTCAATGAAACCTGCATTTTACCAATAAAAGATCTTTTCTCTTTACTAGTGATTAAGTTAGATGGTACTACCCCTGTACGGTATGGACTAAGACTGAATATGGATGAAAAGTACACAGGTTTAAAAAAACAGCTGAGTGATCTCTGTGGACTTAATTCAGAACAAATCCTTCTAGCAGAAGTACATGGTTCCAACATAAAGGTAATATTAACTACTCTAAGAAACTTTTGATTCTATCCTCCAAAGATGACATTTTTCTCAATTATTATGATCAATTGTTAGGTTATGTGACCAAGAGAGATACTAAAACATAACGAAAACTGAACAACAACAACAAAAAATGCCAAGTTTTCCAACCCAGAAACTTAAGAGTTTTCTACCAGAATAAAGGGATAATACTGATGGTGGTATTTTTGAAGAAGGGAAATACGTAAGGCTGCCTATATGGAGTGTTCTAGCTGTGTCACTATAGTATAGGTTTCCACCAAAGACTGCTGCTGTTACCAAAGACTGCTGCTATTACCCTTGACAACTCTTCTGTATTACCGCTGTTACTAGAATTCTTCCTAGGTTAAAGTATTTTATGTATTTATGAATGTGTGTTTTTAGTATTTATGAATATATATACTTGGTCTTTTAACACACTAAGAAATTAAGAGTAAAGACAAATTGACACCAATCATGTCTTTCTACATACCAGCTGGGGAAACAAATAATCTAATAAATATATTGCCTACTCTAAATTAAGCTCCTGCAACTGGTATTATTTATATTCATCTTTGGGATTTCTGAACACACTCTCACCTCACTGACAGTTTCTTAATATGAAATGCAAAAATGGAGTCTCTGAGGGTTGGAATTTAGATCCCTGAAACGGACAAAACTGAAGTCAGTCGTATATAACACACTTCTTCCTGTGAAAAGAGATAATAGTTCGAAAATTGAGGTTAGTTTTCCGTTATTTTTATCAAGCATTCATCCTTTATGTAGTTGAAAAATTATTCAATCATCTCGTTGGTTTTACGGATGAAAGCGCCTAAGACATTCTTTTGAAATATGTTAGAGAGAGAACTTTTCCATTTTATCTGAAACATCTCCCCCTTCTCATCTTGCTTCTGTTTCTGTAGAACTTTCCTCAGGACAACCAAAAAGTACGACTCTCAGTGAGTGGATTTTTGTGTGCATTTGAAATTCCTGTCCCTGTGTCTCCAATTTCAGCTTCTAGTCCAACACAGACAGGTAAGATAGAACTAGAACTCCTTCTCATGATTGCTCCTTTAAATATTTGTCTAAGAGTTGTCATCTTTTTTATATTTGTTCATGCTGAGGATATTATAGCAGAAGAATTTTGGAACCCAAGGGAAACCTTACTGATTATTCCATATTTTTTCGACGAGAAACCTAAAATTTAGAGAACCCAAGTGACTTCAGTTAGATAGGTAGTCGTTAGCTAATATACCCTTGGAATTCAGATCTCTTTGAACTTGTATCTAATATAACATGGCAACAGCTAGTATGAGAGGAACATACTACCAGAAAATATAAACAATAGATATAGCTAGAAAGAAATCCAATATTATATGTAATTTAATGTGGTCACTCACTGAGTCCTTTTAGCCACTAGTATGCTTTGTCTATTCTTTATATTACTTACAATTAGGTTAATTAGGCTAATTCCCCAACTATAAAGGGCTTTATGAGGCTCCCCTCATTGATGTGTAGTAGGTAGATAGTCCTGACGGTGAGTTGGTGGATGTTCTAATTTTAGTTTTAGTTTAGAGCATCACTGTCCAATAGAATTCTGCAGTGGTGGAAACTTCTGTGATCTTTGCCATCCAATACAGTATCCACCAGTCACGTGGACTGTTAAGCGCTTGAGATGTGGTTAGTGTGAGTGAGAATAATGCATTTTTAATTTTTATTTAATTTAATTTATTTATTTTGAGAAATGGTCTCACTCTGTCACCCAGCCTGGAGTGCAGTGGCATCATCTTGGCTCACTGCAGACTCTGCCTTATGGGCTGAAGCAATCCTCCCACCTCAGCTTCCCAAGTAGCTGGGACTACAAACGTGTACCACCATGCCCAGCTATGGTGTATCTTTTGTAGAGATGGGTTTTCACCATGTTGCCTAGGCTGGTCACTAGCTCCTGGGTTCAAGGGATCTGCTACCTCAGCCTCCCAAAGTGCTAGGATTACAAATGTGAGCTGCCTCATCCAGCCTAATTTAAATTTTAAATGCAACATCTGGGTAGAGGTTACTGTATTGGACAGTGTCTTCAAAGGCAAAGAGAAGGAAAAGAAAACAAGTGGTAGAACTGTTTGTGTGCTACAACATGGTGCTGATACAGGTTTCTGCAAAAATTCTGCTTAATAGTTTCCAGCAGTTACTCTTTCCTTTTCATTTGGCCAAAAGTGTGAGTTAGGGAAGTAAAACTGGAAAATTAAAATCTTCCAATAAATCTAGAATTATTTATACTGTGATTTCTCCCTGCCCTGTGTTAAGAGACTACACTGTCTCTGGTCCTCAGGATACTTGAGAAAAGAGCAAAGATGAAAATACCACAAGCTTATGATACTGTACTTATCTTTGAATTTGTAGATTTCTCCTCTTCGCCATCTACAAATGAAATGTTCACCCTAACTACCAATGGGGACCTACCCCGACCAATATTCATCCCCAATGGAATGCCAAACACTGTTGTGCCATGTGGAACTGAGAAGAACTTCACAAATGGAATGGTTAATGGTCACATGCCATCTCTTCCTGACAGCCCCTTTACAGGTTACATCATTGCAGTCCACCGAAAAATGGTTAGTTAAATGTTAGGCAACTCACTGCCAGTCTTGCTAGTGTCATTTGTGAAATAGTCATTTTCTGTCTTTGCAACATCATTGAATGTATTTTCTTCTCTTCTTTTCTTTAATTTTTTAAAATTTAATAATTTTACAAATTTTATTTTTTTACTTTTTTATCCTGTCCTCAAAATCTGTTGCTGTGAATGCATTTTCAATGTATTATATATGCTAATATAAGTGATCAGAGCCAGGATTTAGTATTACTCATGGTGGCTAATGTATGAAATGACATTCCTTATCCGTATATTAAGAGGCAACAGGATAGTCAGTGCATCTGAGTACTACTTTCTTTAGAAATTTGTGTCTCCTGGCCGGGTGCAGTGGCTCACACCTGTAATCCCAACACTTTGGGAGGCTGAAGCAGGAGGATCACCTTAGCTCAGGAGTTCAAGGCTAGCCTGGGCAACATAGTGAGACCTCGTCTCTTCTAAAAAAAAAAAAAAAAGACTTCTTTTTTTTAACTAAGCAGCCATGATGGTGTGTGCCTATAGTCTCAACTACTCTGGAGGCTGAGGCAGGAGGATCACTTGAGACTAGGAGGTCAAAGCTGCAGTGAGCCATGCTTGCTTGCCCCACACATTCCAGGCTGGGCAAGACCCTGTCTGAAAAAGAAAAGAAAGAAAGAAAGAAAATGGCCAGGTGCGGTGGCTCACATCTATACTCCCAGCACTTTGGGAGGCTGAAGCAGGGGGATCACCTGAAGTCAGGAGTTTGAGAACAGCCTGGCCAATGTGGTGAAACCCCATCTCTACTAAAAATAAAAAAATTAGCTGGGCATGGTGGCATGCGCCTGTAGCTTCAGCTACTCGAGATGCTGAGGCAGGAGAATTGCTTGAACCCAGGAGGCAGAGGTTGCAGTGAGCGAAGATTGCGCCACAGCACTCCAGCCTGGGTGATAAAGTGAGACTTTGTCTCAAAAAAAAAAAAAAAAAAAAGTATCTCCTAAGCCAGGCATGTTTAGGAGGATCCCTTTAGGACAGGATTTTGAAGCTATAATATGCTATGATGCTCACACCTGTAAATAACCACTCCACTCCAACCTGGGCAATAAGTGAGACCTTGTCTCTAAAAAAATTAGAAAAAAACAAAAACCAACACACACAAAATTTATGTTTCCTGTGTGTTTGTGTAGGTATGTATATCTTCACTGCCACGTAAATGCGGATGGCTTCGGAAAAGTTTTTTGTTTTGGGGTTGGTTTTTTTGTTTTGTTTTGTTTTTTTTCTTAGAGGATACAAGAATGTTCTTGAGGAAAATCAAGTTGTGCGTAATTCCTCTCTTGACAGTCTAATATATAACTATTGCATTAAAGGTTGACTCTTTGGTAAAAAAGAAAAAGGAAGGTTTGAAAACTGGTCAGTGGATAATTGTTAAAGAGGTAGTCTTCGGGTATAGTGGCAACTTGGTAGAGTAGAAAGGGCACTGAACTAGGAATTTAGCAACCTATGTTTTAGTTCTAATTCTGCCACTAGATAGCTGATTGAGCTCTTTGGACTTTAGTGTCTTAATTTTATAAAGTAAAGGAAAGGCCGGGCACAGTGGCTCATGCCTGTAATCCCAGCACTTTGGGAGGCCGAAGCGGGTGGATCGTGAGGTCAGGAGTTCGAGACCAGCCTGGCCAAGATGGTGAAACCCCGTCTCTATTAAAAATACAACAATCAGCCAGGCATGGTGGCACACGCCGGTAGTCCTAGCTACTCAGGAGGCTGAGGCAGGAGAATCGCTTGAACCTGGGAGGCGGAGGTTGCAGTGAGCCGAGATCGTGCCATTGCACTCCAGCCTGGGCGACAAGAGCAAAACTCCGTCTTAAATAAATAAATAAATAAAATAAAGGAAAGCAAGGCTTCTAGATCAAGTAAATTGATTGTATAGCAGCAACAAGAGAAAACGAAATTGTAAAAAAGGTACTGTATTGGTTTCTTAGGACTGTTATAACAAATTACCACAAATTTGGTGGCTTTAAACAACAGAAATATATTCTTTTTTTTTTTTTTTTTTTTTTTTTGACAGTCTCGCTCTGTCGCCCAGGCTGGAGTGCAGTGGCGTGATCTCCACTCACTGCAGCCTCCGCCTCCTGGGTTCAAGCAATTCTCCTGCCTCAGCCTCCCAAGTAGCTGATACTACAGGTGCACGCCACCATGCCTGGCTAATTTTTGTATTTTTAGTAGAGATGGGGTTTCACCATGTTGGCCAGGATGGTCTTGATCTGACCTCGTGATCTGCCTGCCTCGGCCTCCCAAAGTGCTGGGTTTACAGGTATGAGCCACTGCACCCGGCCCAGAAATTTATTCTTTCACCTTCTGGAGGCCAGAAGTCTGAAACTAAGGTTTCTGTAGGGTGGGGGCTTCCTCCAAAGGTTCTAGGAGAGAATGCTTTCTTGTCTCTTCTAACCTCTGGTGGCTCCAGGCATTCTTTGGCTTGTGACTGCATAACTGCAATCCCTGCCTCTTCATATAGCCTTCTCCTTCTCTCTGTCTTTCTCTGATAAGGATACTTATTGAATTTAGGGCCCACCCAGACAATCCAGGATGATCTCATCTTGACATCCTCAACTTAATTACATCTACAAACATCCTTTTACCAAATTAGGTCACATTTACTGGTTCCAGGGGTTAGAACATGGATATATGGATATACTGTTTTAGAGGCCACCATTCAACTCAACTACAGATATTATTTATCTTAGTATCAAAAAAATTAAATGCTGAGAAAAAATTAAGTACCTAGGAATAAACTTTAAAAATGACACATAAGACATCTATATAGAAAATAAAATATTGATAGAAATTAAAGAAGACTGAAATATTGGAAGGAGTAAACCATGTTCATGGATTAGAAGACTCAATATTTTAAGATATCAGTTCTCTACAAACTAATCTACGGATGACTTAATGCACAATCCCAATACAAATGCAAAGTCTGCGTGTGTGTGTGTGTGTGTGTGTGTGTGTGTGTGTGATTTGATAAGCTGATTCTCATATGTGGAAATACAAAGCACCAGGAATAACCAAGATACTCTTGAAGAAGAGTAAGATATGAGGATATCATCAAGATTGGATATCATCCAGATATCAAGATTTATTTCACAAAGATATGATATTTAAAATAATGTCATATTGGTACAAGAAAAGACAAGTAGACCATTGGGATAGAATAGAGAGCCCAGAAACCAGTTCACAAATGTATGAACACCTGATTTATAACAAAGATAACATTGCAGAGTGGTGAGAGAAAGATAGTTTTCTCAGCAAGTGGTGCTGGGACAATTAGATATCCATATGAAACTTGGCACCTACCTTTCACCACAATTCCAGGTGTTCTATAGAGCTAAATTTGAAAGCAAAACAATGAAACAGCCCTTGGAAGATAATACTGGTAAATACATTCCTGACGCTACTCATATAAAAGAAAAGATTAAATTGGACTTCATTAAAATTGATAACTTGGCTGGGTGCGGTGGCTCACGCCTATAATCCCAGCACTTTGAGAGGCCGAGACGGATGGATCACAAGGTCAGGAGTTCAAGACCAGCCTGGCCAATATGGTGAAACTCCATCTCTACTAAAAATACAAAAATTAACTGGGCGTGATGGTGGGCACATGTAGTCCCAGCTACTCGGGAGGCTGAGGCAGGAGAATCACTTGAACCCCAGAGGCAGAGGTTGCAATGGGCCGAGATCATGCCATTGCATTCCAGCCTGGGCAACAGAGCGAGACTCCGTCTCAAAAAAAAAAAAAAAATGATCAACGACACTAGTAATCAGTGAAATGTAAATTAAAACAATATTATGATATCAGTGCACTCACCTGAACAGGTAAAATTAAACAGACTGACAGGGTTGCTAAGTAGAGCAACAGGAACTCTCATACCATGCTGATGAGAATATAAATTAACTTTATATTTAATTATAAATAATTTTAATTATAAATTAAATACTATAAACAACTACTTTGGAATACAATTTTCTAGTTAAAGATAAGCAGTTCTACCTGTAGGTATCCACCCAAGAGATATGTGTACCAGGAGATATGTACAAGAATATTCGTAGCACCATTATCTATAGTAGCCCCAAAATGAAAACATTGCATGTCCATTAGTTGTAGAAGGGATTGGGAAGCTGAGATATATTAAGATAATGGAACATTATACAGGAATGAAAATGAATGGATTTGTAGTTATATAGAGTATAAATGAATCTCGTAAACCTAATGTTGATGGAAAGAAGCCAAACACAAAAGAATTAGGCTAGGCACGGTGGCTCACACCTGTAATCTCAGCATTTTGGGAGGCTGAGGTGGGCCGATTGCTTGAGCCCAGGAGTTTAAGACCAGCCTGGGCAACATGGTGAAACCCCATCTCTACAGAAAATACAGAAATTAGCCAGCGTGTGCCACACACCTGTAGTCCCAGCTACTTGGGAGGCTGAGGCAAGAGAATCTCTCAAGCCCAGAAGGTGGAGGTTGCAGTGAGCTGAGATCACACCACTACGCTCCAGCCTGGATGACAGAGCTAGACCCTGTTTCAAAAAACAAAAAACAAACAAACAAAAATGAATTAAGTAATTCTATTTATAAATATAAAAACTTTTAAAACAGGGAAAATGAAATCTAGTGTTTATTTACTTGTGCATAGGATATAAAACTGTAAAGAAAAGCAAGAAAGTGATTACTGTAACATTTAGAATAATAGTTACCTTTGTGAGGAAGGGAGAATTTGTGATTTGGAGGAAGCAAATGGGAGGCTTTTGAGTGTTCGCTATATTCTGTTTCTTAAACTCAGTGATAATGGAAAGCTAGTTGCTTTGTGATAATTATTTGAAATGTACTTTTTTTTTTTTTTTGCAATGGAGTTTCACTCTTGTTGCCCAGGCTGGAGTGCAGTGGCAGGCCCTCAACTCACTGCAACCTCCGCCTCCTGTGTTCAAGTGATTCTCCTGCCTCAGCCTCCTGAGTAGCTGGGATTACAGGCATGCGGCACCACGCCTGGCTAATTTTGTATTTTTAGTAGAGACAGAGTTTCTCTATGTTGGTCAGGCTGTCTCGAACTCCCGACCTCAGGTGATCCACCCACCTTGGCCTCCCAAAGTGCTGGAATTACAGGTGTGAGCCACCACATCCAGCCAGAAATGTACCCTTTTACCTCTGATTTTTATTTTTCTCTGCATTAGTAGCCCTTGGCTTAAAATTTCTTTCTTTTTTTTTTGGTTGAGACAGAGTCTTGCTGTTGTCGGCCAGGCTGGAGTGCAATGGCACGATCTCGGCTCACTGTACTCTATGCCTCCTGCGTTCAAGTGATTCTCCTGCCTCAGCCTCCCGAGTAGCTGGGACTACAGGTGCCTGCCACCATGCCCAGATAATTTTTGTGTTTTTAGTAGAGACAGGGTTTCACCATATTGGCCAGGCTGGTCTCGAACTCCTGACCTCATGATCCGCCCGCCTCGGCCTCCTGAAGTGCTGGGATTACAGGCATGAGCCACTGCACCTGGCCCTGGCTTGAAGTTTCTAACCATGTTAATAACTAGGAGTAGAATTTATCTCAGTAGTAACTGAGAAAGTATGGGCCCTAGGGCACTAGGAGAAGTTCCTTAATGAGAGGATGAAAATTGTGTGGGTTTAGCTACGTTTTAAAATTTTATAAAATATTTGTACTGAACTCTGTCTGGATTTCTCTGGATCTTATAATAATAGTAACATATGAAATAGAGGCTTAAAATTATGTATTTAAGCTTAAATGAAAATGGCAAAATAAAATGCTTAATAATCTGAATAAAGGGTCTTTTTACTTAGAAACTAGCTAACTTAACCCCTAGTGAGTTGATAAGTTGTTGATTTAGCTTTTCTAACTACTCAATAAATACCAAACTTCTTAGGGAATTAAATGTTCAAAGGTTCAGCAGCTTTAGATAACCTTGAACTCCCACCAACCATTCCATTATACTAAATGTTTATTTAACAGCCATTTCCAGGATAATTCTGTGCAGTATCTCTATATTAAGGAATATCGTAAATATCTCTTTAACGTACTCAAAGCAAATTTTAAAAATTTTACCTTACTTTTATCCTATCCTGTATTTAAAAAACAAAAAAAAAGATTAAAATCACTTAACTGCTTTTAGGAAGGTGGATAAGCTTGTTATAAAATAGAATTACTAGGTTTCACAAATCTCCAAAACTTTGGAAATTGCCACTCCAACAACCACTATCAACAGCTTATCCCTAGAAAACTATAGTTGAGAGAGTCTTTTTTTTTTTTTTCCACTGGCATCTTTTCATTTCTTTTTTTTTTTGAGACAGGTCTCACTCTACCTTCCAGGCTGGAGTGCAGTGGCACGATCACAGCTCACTGTACCCTCAACTTGCCAGACTCAGGCAATCCTCCCACCTCAGCCTCCTGTATAGCTGGGACTACAGACACATGCCACCATGCCCAGCTAATTGTATTTATTTCTTTATAGAGATAGGGTCTCCCTACATTGCCCATTCTGATCTCAAACTCCTGGGCTCAAGGGATCCTCTTGCCTCAGCCTTCCAAAGTGCTGGGATTACAGGCGTGAGCCACCACACCCAGCTTACTGGCATATTTTCTGGAGAAAGAAAGAGCCTTAATTGTTTAAAAGCCCTTAGCTATGAAGCTATTACTAGTTTTTACATGTGAGTCAGTGTATGTGAGAAATGTTTATCAGAGAAAACTGGTTTGAATATATTAATTGCTGAAACCCAAATTTGATAGAATAGGCAACAACTCTAAAACTGGCAATACCTCAGCCCCTTTAATGACTCCACTGTAACCGTTCTCTTTGTGTCAATAAAGATGGTTTTATAAATACAGAGAAGAATGTGATAGTGACTGATTTGAAATGGTGATAGTGCCTGTCATTGGCAGGCATTTAGAAGAACTAAAGGGAGGAATCAGAGGCCTGTCTTCTGAACTCTCTATTCTCTTGTTTGTACATACAGATGAGGACAGAACTGTATTTCCTGTCATCTCAGAAGAATCGCCCCAGCCTCTTTGGAATGCCATTGATTGTTCCATGTACTGTGCATACCCGGAAGAAAGACCTATATGATGCGGTTTGGATTCAAGTATCCCGGTTAGCGAGCCCACTCCCACCTCAGGAAGCTAGTAATCATGCCCAGGATTGGTGAGTTCAGGGGATCCATCTAAACCTGTGGTTTCCAAACTCTAGAAAAATAATCTATATGAATTCTACATGACTGATAGGACCCAGCCTATGTCAAGTTAATCACTCTTGGAAGAACCACTCAGACAGCATACAATTCAACCATTTGGTTTGATATTTGGAGTAGGAGAGATGATACAGCTTCCTTTTGCCAAACATTCTAGTGTCAAATAATCCTTCCATTCTCTAATCTTTTACCTGGATTCATCCTGCTAATGCTTCAAGTAATATCCTGTCTTCTGTGTTGCAAAAGTAGAGAGTATGAATTCACCAGGAAATTTGTATAATCTCAGTCCTCTGAAATTCAGAATGAGAGTGACTGCATACGTGAACTCTGAAAAGTCTCATGATACAAAAAATAATTCTGTTGGATTATTTCCATACCATGTCATTCTTTTTTCTTTTTCCCTTACCATGTCATTTTAACGTGAAGTAATTTCATAAATCTAGATAAAAATAATTAACATTTTCTGTTTTCTTTCCCTTTTTCCTATCACTGTTCTATTTGATTAGTAAATGCATTTACTCTGAATAATTTTTGGGATTTTGATGATGTCTTATTTTTATCTCAATCAAATTGTAGATCATTTTTCTTTTCTTTTCTTTTTTTCCCTTTACAGCAGAGTTTTGCTCTTGTTGCCCGGATTGGAGTGCAATGGCACGATCCTGGCTTACTGCAGCCTCCACCTCCTGGGTTCAAAAAAATCTCCTGCCTCAGCCTCCCCAGTAGCTGGGATTACAGGCATGCACCACCATGCCTGGCTAATTTTGCTTTTTTGGTAGAGATGGGGTTTCTTCATGTTGGTCAGGCTGTTCTCAAACTTCCAACCTCAGGTGATCCACCTGCCTCAGCCTCCCAAAGTGCTGGGATTACAGGCGTGAGCCACCACACCCGGCCTGTAGATCATTTTCTTGCCATCATGGTACAAATGAGAGTTCTGTTTTATGGTAACTAAAAAAAGTTCTTTACTTATTTGTTATGATATGGGGTATTTTGATGATTAGGGTAGGGCTTAGGATAAATACATCTTTTTTTTTTTTGAGACAGATTCTTAATTTGTCACCCAGGCTGGAGTACAGTGGTGTGATTTTTGTTCACTGCAAACTCCACCTCCAGGTTCAAGTGATTCTCATGCCTCAGACACCTGAGTAGCTGGGATTACAGATGCTCGTAACCACACCCAGCTAATTTTTGTATTTTTAGTAGAGACAGGGTTTCACCATGTTGGCCAGGCTGGTCTCGAACTCCTGGCCTCAAGTAATCCACCTACCTCGGCCTCTCAAAGTACTGGTATTACAGGTGTGAGCCACCACACCTGGCCAGATTTAAATTTAAAGATTTAAATAAATCTTTACTTAAATAAGTTATTTATTTATTTTTATTTTGTATTTTTTTGACACAGAGTCTCGCTCTGTCACCCAGGCTGGAGTGCAGTGGTGCAATCTCGGCTCAACGCAACCTCCACCTCCTGGGTTCAAGCGATTCTCCTGCCTCAGCCTCCTGAGTAGCTGGGATTACAGGTGCCCGCCACCATGCCTGGCTAATTTTTGTATTTTTAGTACAGACAGGGTTTCACCATGTCGGCCAGGCTGGTCTCAAACTCCTGACCTCAAGTGATCTGCCTGCCTCAGGCTCCCAAAGTGCTGGGATTACAGGCATGAGCCATCGTGCCCGGCCAAAATAAGTTATTTAAATAAATAATTGTTTAAAGTATTTATTTTAAGATTTAAATAAATCCTAAAGGAAAACTGCAAATAATAGATAAGCAGTTTAGTTAATGAATGTTGTGTTTAGTAAAGATGAAAGTTGGACAAGATTAAATTTGAAGTGAAGTAATTGAATTAAAGAGCTTCTAGACGAGGGCTTTTCCCAGGACTTGCTAATGAATTGGATGTGGAGTATAGGGAAAGAGGAATCCAGGCTGACTTCTTTTTTTTTTTTCTTTTTTTGGCGTGGGGATAGAATCTTGCTCTGTCACCAGGCTGGAGTGCAGTGGCATGATCTCGGCTCACTGCACCTCTGCCTCCCAGGTTCAAGCAATTCTTCTGCCTCAGCCTCCCAAGTAGCTGGGAGTACAGGTGCATGCCACCACACTCGGCTAATTTTTGTATTTTTAGTAGAGACAGGGTTTCACCATGTTGGCCAGGATGGTCTCGATCTCCTAACCTCATGATCCCACCTCAGCCTCCCAAAGTGGTGGGATTACAGGCGTGAGCTGCTGCACCCGGCCCAGGCCGGCTTTTTACCCTGAACAATTGTTTGTGAATGGTGGTACCATTTAATGGAAGAAGGAAAACTGGAGAAGGAGCAGATTTTGGCAAGAAAAGACAGGAATCAAGTTAAATTCAAGAAGTCTATGATATATTCAAGTGGGAAATTCACTTGAATGTCCTCTGCTGGAGATACAGATGTCATCAACAAAAAGGTGTATTTAAAGCCCTGAGACCAGATGATTAACATTTAGAGAGTGAGAGTTAAATAGAGAAGATTCCCATCATCTATACATGAACTCTGAACTGAGTTCATACGCATTCCGACATTTAGAGATTGAAAAGGGAAAAAGAAGCATCAAAAGAGATTGAGGCTGGGTGCAGTGGCTCATGCCTGTAATCCCAGCACTTCGGGAGGCCAAGGTGGGAGAATCACTTGAGGCCAGGAGTTCAAGACCAACCTGCCCAACATGGCAAAACCCCGTCTCTACTAAAAATGCAAAAATTAGCCGGGCATGGTGGTACGTGCCTGTAATCCCAGCTACTTGGGTGGCTGAGGCCTGAGAATTGCTTCAACCCTGTAGGTGGAAGTTGCAGTGAGCTGAGATCACACCACTGTACTCCAGCCTGGGCGACAGAGCAAGACTCTGTCTCAAAAGAGAGAGAGTAAGATTGAGAAGGAGCAGCCCATAGTGTAAGAAGAAAACCAGGAGTTAAGTGAAGGAAGTATTTCAGGAAAGGAGTGATAGTCGTTTCAAATGCTACAGAGGACTGGGAATTGCCCGCTGGATTTGATAAAATGGTCTTTGGTGATCTTTGTGAAAGCTATTTTAGTATAGATAAGGGAGTAGAGATTGGAGTGGGTTATGTCCTTCGGACATTAAAAAAGATAGCCAGGCATGGTAGCTCTCACCTGATTCTAGTGGTACTTGGTAAAGTTATGGATGAAATAAGAGTGGCCTGGAGTTGATGACTTTTATAGTTGGGTAATGAATACATGGGATGTTCATTGTATAGTTCTCGACTTCTTGAGTGTTTATGTCAATAAATTTGAAATTTTAGATTAAATGGACAAAATCCTGGAATTAAGGGTCTATGGAGAAGAGTGATTATTTTCAGGGACAGTGGGTAAAGAGGCAAGTGAGGATTTCAGGGCAGTGATTGGAGGTTTCTCTTGGGTGAAAGAATCATTAGAATAGGGATGTTCGAATAAGTAAGTAACCCAAAAAGATAGGAGGTGGTGGTTGCAAAGTAGGATACTTGGAATTGAGATTTTGGAGGTAGAAAAGTTTGTATTCACAAGGTCTAGAATATGACATTTGGAGAGGGTTTACATATGGGGTGGAGGAACTTATTGTTGGAAAAGAGAAGACCAAGTTACTGTTATATTAATTGCATTGATGTTGATGTCACCAAGAATAATAACAGGAGAAATGGTGGAGAAAAAACACAGTGAACTGGGTGCTGCAATCTTTAGTGAGTAAAGAAGATATGTACCTTCCAAGGAGGAATAGCAGGTAGCATAATTCAGTAGCACATGCTACAAAGAAGCTGGAATGTTTTAGAAAAGGAAGGAAGAAGAAATCATGCACAAGTGGCATAGGAGTAAGGAAGAGATCTATTTTACCTCCAGGTTCTGGAACGTATGAGAATACAAAGTGCAGGGGGTAGGGTGCGGTGACTCACGCCTGTAATCCCAGCACTTTAGGAGGCTGAGGCAGGAGGATCACTTGAGCCCAGGAGTTTAAGACCAGGCTGGACAACATGGTGAAATACTGTCTTTACAAAAAATGTAAAAATTAGCCAGGTATGGTGTTGCGTGCCTGTAATCCTAGCTACTTGGGAGGCTGATGTGGGAGGATCACCTGAGCCCAGAAAGGTGGAGGCTGCTGTGAGCCATAATTGCGCCACTGCACTCCAGCCTGGGCAACAGAGTGATACCCTGTCTCAAAAAAAAAAATGGAAAAAGTCTGCAGGGGGAGCAGGATTCTCAAGAAAGCCAGGCTTCATTCAGTTAGAGCAAAAAGGTAAAAGAAATTTTCAGAAGGGAAGTGCTGCACAGCTTTCTATGAGTGCTACTTGACTGTTTTATCCCGTTATCTTTCTTTTGATTCCTCACTTATTGCTGGCCTGATTTGGACATGGTACTAGACAGTACAGGCTATCAATGATCATTCACTGGACGAGTTATGCAGAAAGATGGGAACTCCTATGCCAGATGTGATTCTCACCTTTGCCCTTACAGTGACTCTTTATCATGGTTTCATTACCTTCAATAGCCCATGTAATAACCACTGTCAGTTGCCAGATGAGCTGTAAAGTATGCCACTCTTATGTTATATTCCTCGCATTGCTTCCTTCTCCCCCACCCCCAGCTTTATTGAACTCAGCTCACTGCAACCTCTGCCTCCCAGGTTCAAGGAATTGTATATACATCTAAGGTGTACAGCTTATGTTTTGATAATATGTATAAATTGTTGCATTGCTCCTTGTTAGGGCAAGGATGAGTAAATTTTTTTAAAAGTTGGAAAATTCACAGGGCCATCTTGACATAATCATTGGCAGTTAAAAGCAGTTACTCCAAAAATGGTATGTAGCTTATAACTCTGAGTAGTTAAGGCAGTACTTAGCATGTACCACATCAGCGATTCTGATTAAAGAAGACTTCTAAATATACAGCTTTCTGCAATGTGTCGGTGTTCTTGTCATGGAAAGATCTAATTATTTTAGTTTAATGTGAATTAAATCCTCTGATAGAATTAAGGCTGAAGGATAATTAGTATTTGATTTCATGATTAGCTTATCTTATAAAATTTTCATGGGCCACATGGACTCCCTTAGAGACATCTGGCAGTCTTATGTCTACCCTTCTGTAAGCCCAGATAGAGGATGGGAAGCCAGAGTGTATTTGGTACTGGGCTGCAGCTAATGGATTAGGGTAAGTAACATTGAGCTGTCAACATGAGCGTACTGCTATGGCAAATGCCCCTTCCTAGGGTTACTTCAAGAGAAGATGAAGAGGAGTTGGACCTCGAACCAGAAATGCTTCTTACACTCTTTTTGTTCTCTTCTGTTTCAGTGACGACAGTATGGGCTATCAATATCCATTCACTCTACGAGTTGTGCAGAAAGATGGGAACTCCTGTGCTTGGTGCCCATGGTATAGGTAAAGTGACCTGCAAAAGAATTACTTTAGTAGAATTTCAGCTTTAGATATTATACAGTTTTCATAAGATTTCCAGTTTTGAGAAGTAAATAGTGAATAATGAGAAACTTAAGAATTGTGGCTGGGCACGGTGGCTCACGCCTGTATTCCCATCACTTTGGGAAGCCGAGGTGGGTGGATCACCTGAGATCAGGAGACCAGCCTAACCTAGTAAAACCTCGTCTCTACTAAACATACAAAAATTAGCGGGGCGTGGTGATGCGTGCCTGTAATCCCAGCTACTTGGGAGACTGAGGCAGGAGAATCGCTTGAACCCAGGAGGCAGCGGTTCCAGTGAGCCAAGGTCATGCCACTGCACTCCAGCCGGGCAACAAGAGCGAAACTCCGTCTCAAAAAATATTTTTCACTTCCTTTTGAGGTCAATAGATAAGTTTTGCTTTTGAGATTTAGCTGGTTTTATAAACTACAGTCCATACCAAATTCATAGCTTGTGATAAACATTTATTACTCTATAACTTCACCTCTCCTTTTTTGTGTTGTTTTGTTTTGTTTTGAGATGGAGTCTCGCTCTGTCACCCAGGCTGGGGTGCAGTGGCTCAATCTCAGCTCACTGCAACCTCTGCCTCCCAGGTTCAAGCAATTCTCCTGCCTCAGCCTCCCGAGTAGCCGGGACTACAGGTGCACACCACTGTACCCAGCTAATTTTTGTATTTTTAGTAGAAATGGGGTTTTGCCATGTTAGGCTGGTCTCAAACTCCTGACCTCAGGTGATCCACCCACCTCAGCCTCCCAAAGTGCTGGGATTATAGGTGTGAGCCACCACGCCAAGCCTCTCGTTAAATATAAGTTTGCCAGTTCTAAGCACAGTAGACCATAGTCTTTACTAGACCTTGCTGGAAATCTGTTCTTGGTTTTTAAAGAGTTACGGAGATTGATTGGTCATTGCTGTTACAACAGGGAAAGTGCCTAATGATACTAAAGTCCGCCTTTAGAGAACTGCAATAGACTTAGCAAACTGAGTCTAAAGTAGGCATTGGCCAGGCGTGGTGGCTCACGCGTGTAATCCCAGCACTTTGGGAGGTGGAGGCGGGCAGATCAAGAGGTCAGGAGATTGAGACCATCCTAGCTAACACGGTGAAACCCCATCTCTACTAAAAATACAAAAAATTAGCCAGGCATGGTGGCGGGCACCTGTAGTCCCAGCTACTTGGAAGGCTGAGGCTGGAGAATTGCTTGAACCCGGGAGGCGGAGCTTGCAGTGAGCTCAGATCGCACCACTGCACTCCAGCCTGGGCGACAGAGCAAGGCTCCATCTCAAGAAAAATAATAATAATAATAAAGTAGGCATTGGAACCATGACTTTATTATATCCTCCCCCCTACCCCATCTCCCACCCCACCTCTGCAACTCTATAAACTTTTTTTTTTTTTTTTTTTTTTTTTTAAACAGAGTCTCACTCTGTCACCCAGGCTGCAGTGCAGTGGTGCAACCTCGGCTCACTGCAACCTCCACCTCCCAGGTTCAAGCAATTCTCCCACCTCAGCCTCCCAAGTAGCTGGGATTATAGGTGCCTGCCACCATGCCTGGCTAATTTTTGTAGTTTTAGTAGAGACAGGGTTTCACCATGTTGGTCAGACTGGTCTCGACCTCCTGACCTCAGGTGATCCACCCACCTCGGCCTCCCAAAGTGCTGGGATTACAGGCATGAGCCACCATGCCCGGCCCCTGTAAACTTTTATATGCATTTATTTAATCTGCCATTTTACAGACAAGGAGCTAGGTGTTACACCAGATAAATTGTCCTACCTCAGAGCATTCAATAACTGAATTTGGAATTTCTTGAGTGCTGTAGTATCTCAAACAGGCAATTCCCATGTCATTTATTTGCCATAAAGTTCACATCTTCCTGTGATTAACAGGTGGTTATCAAGTACTTTGTAAAAATAAAGACTTGAAAAATGAAAAGCATGATTCCCTGAAACTGTACTAATTATTAATAAGTATCCCTACATTTATCAGAGTCTGAAGTTAGAAGCCCATGACAAATTGTGAGGCCCAAGAGGAAAGCAGAAAAGTAGGAAGGGAGAATATTTTTTATTAAGAAAATTTAGATTCCTTCATAATTATTTCTTCCTCTGTGGATCTTTTCCCCCTTTTTAGATTTTGCAGAGGCTGTAAAATTGATTGTGGGGAAGACAGAGCTTTCATTGGAAATGCCTATATCGCTGTGGATTGGGATCCCACAGCCCTTCACCTTCGCTATCAAACATCCCAGGAAAGGGTAAGTATTTAGGGCCACCATAAAATGGTGGTTTTTATATGAGAAATTTCCACCAGTGTAACTATTATGCCATTTCTGTTTTAGACAATTTAAAAACAACCAGAAAAACCTTCATTGGCATCCTCTATGGCACCTAATATATTGACATGTTTGCTTGAGCTTTTTCATTTTCCAACTTCTGGAGTTCATTGTATTGGGGCATTGTCTTTGTCCATTTTGTGTTGCTATAACAGAGTACGTGAGGCTGGTAACTTGTAAAGAAAAGAGGTTTATTTAGCTTACTGTTCGGCAGCCTGGGAAGTTCAAGGACATGGTCCTGGCTTCTGGCAAAGGCTTCTGTGCTGCATCATAACATGGCAGAGAAGATCAAAGGAGAACAGACACAGGCAAGAGGGAGGACCAAACAGGAGGAAGATCCTCGCTTTCTAACAGCCCGCTCTCTTGGAAACTAAGTTCTCAGAAGGAGAACTCAACTACTGCAAGAATGGCACCAACCATTTACAAGAGTTTCACCCCTATGACCCAAACACCTCCTGCTAGGCCCCACCTCCTAACAACGCCACATTGGGAATCAGATTTCAACATGCATTTTGATGGAGACAAATAAACCATGTCCAAACTATAGCAGGCATTAAATTTCAAAAATATTAATAAGTGAACCTTGAAACAAAACTGTGTCTGGCCATGACATATCAATAAGCATCTCTCTGTTAAATATTATTGAAGTTGCAGCATTTGGTAACCACAGTTACTTAGTTCAAATGTGTCCCAGGGCTATAGCTGCTGCCTTTAATAGGCAGAGTGATCAGAAAAGTTACAGAAAGGATTGAAATGTTTCCATTTTGGGTACCTAAGAGCACATCTCAGTGGCCACTCTTTGCACTTCACATTCTTCTATTGTCACTGTCTGGCCAGAGCAATTTTTAAATTTTGAAAATGTTGCTTCAGAAATAATTTTAACTCCATACCTAAAAATGTTTGCCTCAGGCAGTTTTTAATCAACCAAATATTATTTGAATGGTAAAGACATTAAGAATCTGATAGAGAGGTAAAAACAACAGAGTCAAAGGAGTTCCTTAAGTCACATGAGGAATTGTAGTGGTTTTTGCATTTTTATGGCTCTTGATAGTTGGAAATTTCCTTTACTATTTTTTAAAGCATTCCCTTTGGATAAGTTAGTAACGGTAACTGACTTTTCTGTCTTGTTGTGCTATGGAGGACTGGGGAAACTACCAATTCTAGACCTAGTTTCTTATTTAGATCCCAAAATATGCCGCACACACCAAGGCTCCTGGGAGCCCTTTCTAGCCAGAAATAAGTATAATTTGTGGATACTTGTCAAATGAAAGATCACTAGGCTAAAGCTAAAGAAAGCTGAAGAGAAACTAATGTTCTAGATCATGCTCACTAGCAAGGAGGGAAAATTTTACTAGTTGATAGATTCATAAATCTTTGTCAGCACAAAATCTGACAAGACATTACTGTCAATGATGACAAATTATTTGGCTCTATAAATCTCTTCCCCTTTTTAACAAATCCAGTGTGCAATCGGAAAAGCTCTTTAGGACATCCTGCTTATAGGAAACGGCCTACGTGACCTGTTAAATCTCACCCTACTTCCACTTTCAGTGATGCACTTAGGATACCATGGAAGTGAAGGGCTATTGATGCCTTGCTAGGGAGTGGGCCCATATGACTAATCTGGGCTCCCCTACATGTAGGGTTTCTGAATGTGCTTAGAAAGTCATGTAGACAAAAGAGATACCGTGGTTTAAATTGGGATTATTGCCCATATACTTTATATTTTTTATTCCAGTGATTTCCCTTTTAGGAATTTATCTGAGGGGAGAATACTCTGTAATTACTCCATAATTTGCAGGCAAATATCATCATAGCATTTTTTAGAATAGCAAAAAGTTATTAACAACTTATATTTGTCTCACATTAGAGGAATGGTTAAATAAAGCATGGTGTATTCATTGGATAAAATATAATGCGGTTGTTGAAAATGATTACCAGGAGTTTTTGCTAACATTTATGGGAACAAGCTTATGATATGTGAACATTTTTTAAAAAACAAGACATAAAGTTGCATATACTGGAAATAATACCTTCAATATTGAAAAAAATACTATTTAGGAAAGAGGACAGAAGAAAATCTGCCAATATTTTGACAGTGGTTGCCTTTGTATTAAGAATATAATTAAGAATATAAAAGGATTCCCTGCCTTTTAACATTTTTCTCTGCTTTCCAACATGAATATTATACCTAGTAATCAGAAAAAAAACAGAGGCAATCACTCTTATCCTTTACATTTCTCTCCTGTTGGGACCTCAGATTCCTCAGTAGAAAATTAAACTGGATGCCAGCCTGGGCAATATGATGTCACCCTGTCTTTACAAAAAATGCACAGATTAGCCAGGTGTGGTGGTGTGCACCTGTAGTCCCAGCTACTTGGGAGGCTGAGGTTGGAGGGCTGCTTGAACCCAAGAGATCAAGGCTGCAGTGAGCTGTGATCTCGCCAGTGCACTCCAGCCTGGGTAACAGAGCAAGAACCTGTCTCAAAAAAACAAAAAAAGAAAGAAAAAAAGAAAATTAAGCTAGACAAATTCTTAGGCCACTCTCTTTTTTTCAATAGTCTTCTATGAAAACTATTACTTCATTTCCTGTGTTTTGTGTTAAAGATGAGCTTTAAAGTAACTTTGAAAAAGAAGAGGGTGCCTATAAGTAATTTATAGATTATTTAAACAATAGTAGAGGATCTAAGCGTAGATCCCAAGAGGTAAAGGGAATCTTTATCACTTTGGGAAATTTACTGATAAATAGAAATTATTGTCAGTACAGTCCACAAATATGTTTTTTATCAGCCTTCTTTCCTGTCTTCATCTAGCACTGTAGCCTGTGTTCCACAGAAAATATAGTCAATAAAAATCAACATTCTTTACTAGCTTACTCTAATTTGTGGTTGGCCATAAAGTATTCCTGGTAGAGATAATAGAGATAATATTTAACTGGCTATGAGAAAGGAAACACTACCGTATATGATACACCCCTTTTTCTACTCATTCCAACAACGATGATGCAGCACGTTTCCTTTTGAAGCACATCAGTTTTTTCCTTGAGTGACCAGTTCAAAAGATGATGACAGTTAATATCTTGTTACTACAGAATTTGTACTCAAAAAAGAAGTCTATAACCCAAGTCCAAGCCAGATTTCCTTTTCTAAAAAAAGAATTTTCCTCTAAGTTCCCCTTTTTAAATGAGCTCTTTAGCCTGGATAGTTATGCAGTGCTAGAACCTTAATTGCACGATCAAATCCAGCCTTGCTAGTTTATAGCAGCATTTGAGAGCCTCGTGACTCTCATATAGGGAAGAAGTCTCACCTGAAAACCCATTCTAAACTGAATGTCTTGAGCTGTGCCAATTTGTATTGCAACAGCCTAATGTTCCCATCATGAGTTTCAGGAAGGGAAATTCATGGAGGAAGTTCACCTCTGGAAGGGAGGAGCAATAAATAGGGTGGGTGATGGACATATGTGACGTTTGCCACAGAGAGGCAGTCAGTGTGGGCCTTGTGGTCTGGGCTCTGCTTTGGGACACAAATATATACTGTGTGAAGTCTCATGATAGCATTCATAACCCTGATGCTTCACCCACCTTCCCATACATTAGAGGGACAAACAGAAGGATCCCGGCTCTATGATTCTTGATTGTTTGTCAGGTAGCAGCCAGGCATGGAGAGGAAAAAATTGTTTCTTTTCTGTTGCACTCTAGATCCTTCCTTCTCTCCGTCTTCTTCATTCTACACCACCCCCAACTTACATCCCTGCACCCCGCCCATTCTTTGCTCTCTGTCCTTTCTTATACTTAATTCCTCCTTGCTCCACAGCCTAACATGCTGATTAACAGGACCCCAAAGGTTTGGGTGAGTATTAGGGGCCTTCTCAGCAAAAGCAGCACACTCTTTTGAGCTTGCTCTTCCTTTTGTTGCCATCTCAGATAAAAAGGCCCCATGAGGGAGGAGACAGATAATTATAGACTTGGTATTCTGATAACTCTGTGTTACATGGAATCAGATGCAAATGAGTTGTACCCTGTGGGGTTTCATGCTCTGCTGTGTTGTCTTCTCATGGTGAGCTTTTCTGTGCCCTTATTTCATCCAGCTCTGGTTTCTGTGTTTCATGTTATTTCTCCTAGCCTCTGTAAAGTCTGCAGCATACTAATAATGCTCTGGCTTTCTGATTAAAAGTAAATGGCTTACTATCAGCACCCCTGGCTTGAGGGCCAGCTCACATGTAATCCCTTATAGGATTCCAAAGTTGTTAAATAAATGCAATTCTTTTTGTTTTTGTCATTTTGAAGCGTTCAAAAATTTTTCAAGAAAAGCTATGGTCATATAAATAGAAATTTTATCCAGAATGTTACCGATGTAACATTTGTGAATAAATATATAGGTGCTGTATTTGCTCAGACTCTAGTTTGGGTTGTGTTTTCTTTTCCCTTTTTTTTGAGACAGGGTCTCTCTCTGTCATCCAGGCTGGAGCGCAGTGGTGTAATCACAGTTCACTGCAACCTCTACCTCCCAGGCTCAAGCAATCCTCCTGAGTAGCTGGGACTACAGACATGTACCACAATGCCCAGCTAATTTTTAGATTTTTCTTTTACAGAGACAGGGTCTCACTCTTTTGACCAGGCTGGTTTCGAACTCCTGGACTCAAGCAATTACCCCACCTCGGCCTCCTAAAGTGCTGGGATTACAGGCATGAGCCACCATACCCAGCCAGTTGTATTTTCTTTTTCCTTATATAGAGTAAAATAAGGGTGAGTGACCAAGAGGTTGATGCATACCTAGATCACCACTTTAAATGCCTTCCCACGCACCCCTTTCCTCCTGTTCCCTCTACCTGCAGGTTGTAGATGAGCATGAGAGTGTGGAGCAGAGTCGGCGAGCGCAAGCCGAGCCCATCAACCTGGACAGCTGTCTCCGTGCTTTCACCAGTGAGGAAGAGCTAGGGGAAAATGAGATGTACTACTGTTCCAAGTGTAAGACCCACTGCTTAGCAACAAAGAAGCTGGATCTCTGGAGGCTTCCACCCATCCTGGTATGTTACAGTCCTGCCTCTGAGAGAGCAGGAATCTGGCATAAAAGAAAGAAGACATGAACAAACAGGAGGTTTTGTTATTTTTGAGAATAAGACCTTTCCTGCAGCAGTGTTTAAAACACTTTCTGTACAAGCTTTTTATGTTGAATACAGAGATGAATCTTTCTACAAATATTTTGTAGTTCTTTTTCCTAAAGAGCTTATAACCTAGAAGATCAATCATGTAGACCAGTAACTGCAATTCAGTGCAATGTGAGAACTGCCACAAGGGGTACAACGTGGTGAATTTGAACTTCAAGAGAGGTTAAACTTCTGGCTCTGTGGAGAGAGGAAGCTTAGGCTAACCCTTTGTGGACTCTAGAAGAGCAACTGAGCCTGGAGCCCCCAACACCCACTGCACATAATCATGTGGCTATGGCACACTACTGAGTTGAGTGTGTGTACACAAGCACACCAGTGCACTAGGGCCTGTGTGTTCTTTTAGATTTAATTTACTTCTGCCTTCTCCCTTCATGGATTAGGAGACTGTCCTGTTGTTTGTCAGGAGAATTTGAAGTGACAAATCTTCCTATTCATTAAGATCAGTGTAACTGTAAGGTACTGGCATATTTTAATTCAGATATTTATATGTTTTTTTTTTTTTTTTTTTTGAGACAGGGTCTCACTGTGTCACCCAGGCTGTAGTGCAGTGGTGTAATCTCAGCTCACCGCAACCTCCACCTCTCGGGCTCAAGTGATTCTCTTGCCTCAGTCTCCTGAGTAGCTGAGATTACAGGCATGCACCACTACCACCCGGCTAATTTTTGTACTTTTAGTAGATATGGGGTTTCACCATGTTGGCCAGGCTAGTCTTGAATTCCTGACCTCAGGTGATCTGCCCACCTTGGCCTCCCAAAGTGCTGGAATTACAGGCGTGAGCCACCGTGCCCAGCCATGTTTTCTTATTCTATTCATGTCTCTGTCATACTACTCTGTGAAGCTGAATGTAGGTTTTTCTTAGACCAGAACAGCTTCCCAGGGAATGATGCACAAGAAATTAATAACATTGGTTGTTAGCTAGCTCCACAGATAGGAACTAGAGGGAAGGGGCAGGCTTGGAGACAAGGTGGGTGGGGAGGAGGGGGAGACTTTTTTTTTTTTTTTTTGAGACGGAGTCTCACTCTGTCGCCCAGGCTGGAGTGCAGTGGCACCATCTCAGTTCACTGCAAGCCTCACCTCCTGGGTTCATGCCATTCTCCTGCCTCAGCCTCCTGAGTAGCTAGGACTACAGGCGCCCACCACCACGCCTGGCTAATTTTTTGTGTGTTTTTTATTTATTTATTTATTTATTTATTTTTAGTAGAGATGAGGTTTCACTGTGTTAGCCAGGATGGTCTCGATCTCCTGACCTCATGAGCCACCCGCCTTGGCCTCCCAAAGCGCGGGGTTTATAGGCGTGAGCCACTGCGCCCGGCTGACGGGTAGACCTTTTAAAAAAAATTGAGGTATAATTAGCATACAATTAAAAGCATAGATTTTTAATATCCAGTTTGATGAATTTTGACAAGTATATATTTTCATATAATCATCACATAAAACAAGCAGAGCAGTCATGTAGACCAGTAACTGCAATTCAGTGTGATGTGAGAACTGCCACAAGGGGTACAATGTGGTGAATTTGAACTTCAGGAGAGGGTGAACTTCTGGCTCTGTGGAGGGTGGAAGCTTAGGCTAAGCCTTTGTGGACTCTAGAAGAGCAACTGAGCCTGGAGGCAGTACCCACTGCGCAGTCACGTGGCTGTGCCACACTGCTGAGTTGAGTGTGTGTGCACAAGCACACCAGTGCACTGGGGCCTATGTAGAGGCCTTTATGAAACCATATTTTTGAAGTCTTTAAAAAATAATGAAGAGTAAATGTTCTGTTATATATTCCCAAACATTCACATGTATTTGACTTGTTTTTTCCATGTAAATTTTGTATCTTCAGAACCCTTTAATGCAGATGTTTTCTACCTTTACTTCTCCAGATTATTCACCTTAAGCGATTTCAATTTGTAAATGGTCGGTGGATAAAATCACAGAAAATTGTCAAATTTCCTCGGGAAAGTTTTGATCCAAGTGCTTTTTTGGTACCAAGAGACCCGGCTCTCTGCCAGCATAAACCACTCACACCCCAGGGGGATGAGCTCTCTGAGCCCAGGATTCTGGCAAGGGAGGTGAAGAAAGTGGATGCGCAGAGTTCGGCTGGGGAAGAGGACGTGCTCCTGAGCAAAAGCCCATCCTCACTCAGCGCTAACATCATCAGCAGCCCGAAAGGTGAGGCCTGGGGGCCTTATGCAGGTGCTTTCTTGGGACTCCTGTAGGCTACATATGTTTCTCTGTCTTCTGTTCTGGAACATCAGGTTGGTTGGGTGGAAAGAACCTATCTGGAATCAGACCTATCTGTATTTGAGCTATGTAAGTTTTAGCAAGAGGTTCAGCCTCCCTGAATCTATTTTCTCATCTGTAAAATGGAGATAATGCCAGGTTTACAGAGTTGAGAGTGACACATGGAGAGTAAAGCACTTCACACAGTGCCTGATATACGGTAAACAGGAATGGTAGCTGCTGTCTTGTCCCCTTATAGCAAAAGTTCTGAGGTTCCCCATCTTTCAGGGGGTCTAGAGGATCAAAACTCTTTTTTTTTTAATTTATTTTATTTTTTATTTTTTTGAGACAGGGTCTCACTCTGTCACCCAGGCTGGAGTGCAGTGGTGCAACACAGATCACAGCTCACTGCAGCCTCTACCTCCTGGGGTCAATCAATCCTCCCACCTCAGCCTCCTGAGTAGCTGGGACTACAGGCATGCACCACTGCACCTGGCTAATTTTTGTATTTTTTGTAGAGATGGTGCTTTGCCATATTTCCCAGGCTGGGCTCGAACTCCTGTGCCCAAGTGAACCTCCTGCTTCAGCCTCTTAAAGTGCTGGGATTACAGGTGTGAGCCACTGTGCCTTGCCCAAAACTATTTTCATAAAAATACTAAGACAATATGTGCCTTTTCACTTTTATTCTCTCACAAATGTACAATGGTGTGAGAGATAACATGACATGGAATAATATCGTCACTTTGACAGTGAAGTCTGTGCTAATGTATTGTACTTTTTCATTCCTTAGTTTTAATTTCTAATACGGGAAATATTGATAGATAAAATTCACATAAAAGTTCTAAAGGTTCTCAATAATTTTTAAAGGTATAAAAGGGGCTATGGGTAAGAGGCTATAACCAAAAAGTTTAAAGCCTTACAGGATTTTTGTGAGACATAGAGGTAACAATGGACAGCAACAAATTCCCAGTACCATGCCTAACAATAGGAAGTACTCAGTAAATGGTGGTCACATTTTTTGTCTAATTTTACAAAGGAGAGGAATATGTATTTGGAAAACTCCTTACTCTAATAGTTAGATTTTTTTCAACTGAATCTGACATAAATCATCTTTCTGCTATTTTCTGAGTCCCTATAATGTACTTTACATTTTGAGGACATTGTTGCTTATAGGGACTTGGCATTGAAGAAGACAAAAATGTAACTTACTGGCTACATAATAGGAACTAAAGAGTAGCCAGTCACGACTGCCCTGTCTTTACCTTTGTGTGTACAGTTGTGAAGCTAACCTCAGAGGTAGCATTTGGGGCTGGCTTACTTTGTGGCATTTGAATTTGTGAATCTTTTCTTCTGTCCTGTTCACAGGTTCTCCTTCTTCATCAAGAAAAAGTGGAACCAGCTGTCCCTCCAGCAAAAACAGCAGCCCTAATAGCAGCCCACGGACTTTGGGGAGGAGCAAAGGGAGGCTCCGGCTGCCCCAGATTGGCAGCAAAAATAAACTGTCAAGTAGTAAAGAGAACTTGGATGCCAGCAAAGAAAATGGGGCTGGGCAGATATGTGAGCTGGCTGACGCCTTGAGTCGAGGGCATGTGCTGGGGGGCAGCCAACCAGAGTTGGTCACTCCTCAGGACCATGAGGTAGCTTTGGCCAATGGATTCCTTTATGAGCATGAAGCATGTGGCAATGGCTACAGCAATGGTCAGCTTGGAAACCACAGTGAAGAAGACAGCACTGATGACCAAAGAGAAGATACTCGTATTAAGCCTATTTATAATCTATATGCAATTTCGGTAAGTGGTTTATTATATGGTTTTCAGAGAGTGGTCTGTGTTTTGTTCACTTGTCTTCATGTATTCATCAGCAAGTATTTTTTTCAGGTCCTGCTTATTTCCTAGCATTGAGCTTAGTGATAGACAAAGTTAACACAGAAATCTTGGCCTGCCCAGGTGTGGTGACTCACACCTGTAATCAATCCCAGCACTTTAGAAGGCTGAGGCAGGAGGATCACTTGAGCCCAGGAGTTTGAGACCAGCCTGGCCCCATCTCTAGAAATAATTTTAAAATGGAGCAAGGTATGGTGGCATGTGCCTGTGGTCCCAGCTACTTGGAAGGCTGAGGCAGAAGGATCACCTGAGCCCAGGAGGTCAAGTCTTTAGAGAGTTGTGATCACTCGACTGCACCCCAGCCTGGGTGATAGAGCAAGTCCCTGTCTCAAAATAATAATAATAATAATAATAATAATAATAGTAATTACAATTATAAAATGATTGTTTATCCACACAAGACTTAGAGCTTATGACTTTTGTATTTTGCTTTTTGCTTATTTTGGTTTTAGAAAAAGTTAGAGGGTTCTAAAATATTTTTTCACCTACTGATCATTTACATGATCAGTGTTCTCCTGCTCAGATCCTAGTGCTATACCCTGGCCATAGTACAGTTAACTGCTAACATACCTCCACTCTCTTATCTCTTACAGTGCCATTCAGGAATTCTGGGTGGGGGCCATTACGTCACTTATGCCAAAAACCCAAACTGCAAGTGGTACTGTTACAATGACAGCAGCTGTAAGGTAAACATTCTCAGTCTTTGAATGAAAGTTAGAAACAGAATATCAACAGAACTGGGGAACATTTGTTGAAATAATGGACTATCTCTTGAATAGGAAATAGATATTTCTGTTAGAATCAATATATAGATGCTGTCAGTATTAAAGGAACAAAAGTTATATGCAGAGTAGGGAATGAAAACATGAGTAGTGAGGAAAAATAAAGAGTTAGTTGACTGGGTGCAGTGGCTCATGCCTGTAATCCCAGCACCTTGGGAGGCTGAGGCAGGCTTAGGAGGTGGATCACTTGATGTCAGGAGTTCAAGACCAGACTGGCCAACATGGTGAAACCCCATCTCTACTAAAAATACAAAAATTAGTTGGGCGTGTTGGCGCGTGCCTCTAATCCCAGCTACTCGGGAGGCTGAGGCAGGAGAATGGCTTAAACCTGGGAGGTGGAGGTTGCAGTGAGCCAAGACTGCGCCACTGCACTCCAGCCTGGGCAACAGAGCAAGACTCTGTCTCAAGAAAAAAAAAAAACAGGAGTTAGTTAATGCAAAAACTCCTATCTTCTAGACTGTTAGAATTTGATGGGGTTGGGCCGAACACGGTGGCTCACGCCTGTAATCCCAGCACTTTGGGAGGCCAAGGCAGGCGGATCATGAGGTCAGGAGATCGAGACCATCCTGGCTAATATGGTGAAACCCCGCCTTTACTAAAAGTACAAAAAATTAGCCAGGCGTGGTGGCACGCACCTGTAGTCCCAGCTACTCGGGAGGCTGAGGCAGCAGAATCGCTTGAACCCAGGAGGCAGAGGTTGCAGTGAGCTGAGATCGCACCAGTGCACACCAGCCTGGTGACAGAGCGAGACTCCATCTCAAAAAAATAAATAAATAGAATTTGATGAGGTTTTAGGTCATTCTTTTTTGACTTGTCTATGGTCAAAATATTTTCCCCAAAGCAAACATTGGAAATAATGGGGCTCATCTTAAAGGGGCAGGTGTGAGACAGCCAAACTAGTGAGCTTATTGGAAGCAATCAGGTTTAGTAATTACAGAGGGTTGGTCTTCCCTTTCCTGGCAAGGATTTAGAGCCATAGTAGTGATGGCTTTTTGTTAAAGGTTTTTCTTGCCCTTTCAGGAACTTCACCCGGATGAAATTGACACCGACTCTGCCTACATTCTTTTCTATGAGCAGCAGGGGATAGACTATGCACAATTTCTGCCAAAGACTGATGGCAAAAAGATGGCAGACACAAGCAGTATGGATGAAGACTTTGAGTCTGATTACAAAAAGTACTGTGTGTTACAGTAAAGCTACCACTCTGGCTGCTAGACAGCTTGGCGGTGAGGGAGATGACTCCTTGTAGCTGACATTTGGCAAAAGCGTCACTGAAAGGCAAGCTAAATGTAGTTATTTTATCCTGTGGCCCTGAAGCACAAAATAAAAATTCTAATTAAAATAGTTAACTTTAAGAGTAGTAATCATTTTATTTTGAAGTCTCATACAAGCTCTCCGATAGAGAACTTTCAGGCAGATCCCACCATTAGCCTGTAAACAAAAGGTTTGGCACCAGCCACCTGGGACCAAATAAGAATTCAATTGTGCTTGTCCAGATATGAACAAATATGTAGTGAGTATAGAGTTTACCATAATCATAACAAATATTAAAGATTTCCTTGGAGTCAGAGTAAAAAACAAACAATTATAATGTTGTCTAGGGACGACATGATATGCTACCTCCTTTTTCCTGAAGTTTTATTCCATTATATTGACAAGATGGAGAAAGCAAGATCACGAAGGTGTGCAAATGATTCTTAAGGCATGGACGAGGATTTTTCAATTTATTTTTTAAACTGTTTCCATACCCTTTCTTTGTCTTTCTTGCTTTTTGTTTTTGCCGTTGTATTTATGTTTGAGACACAACCAGTCATTGGTGGCAGGGGCATATAGTGGTCAGTCTGAAAGGGAGGCTCTCTTAAGAGCTGTGTGCCTTCCACCCAGAGCCTTGTGGGAGACCCAGTAGAAAGAAACAGCATCCTGGGAAATCCAGCTACCATGGCCCTCCCAGTGGAGGCATCTTACATTTAGGATACTTCAAGTATCCTCAGAAATGTATTCTGCACCCCCGGCCCCACCCATGCTGAGGGAAGGGGAGCAGTTGCCAATATTTGCACCATCTTCACATGCACCTGTTGCAACAAGAGCTTCTGGGAAGGTAAGTGGCATTGGAGCTAGATCACGTTTCACAATTAGTGGTTGTTCTTTTCTGTGTTTGTCTTGCACTTTAAAAAAGAGAGAACACATGCAAATGAACTTGCTTGTGTGTATTTGATGGCTCTAAGGGCTATAAATTACAAACAAAACACATCCCAGACATTAGGAGTTCATAAGTGTATTTAATGAAATTGGTGGTTTTAGGAAGTCAACTTTAGTTTTGCTTTGTTTGCATGTCCACTAATTTTTTTATTTTGATATTTGTCTTTTTTTTAAATTTTACAGTAGTCATCGAAAGTTATGTTTCTTTGCTTACTTCATTTTTTTCTCTAATCAAGACTGGAACAAAAGTATAAATATTATTTATTTCAGGTAGCATTTTTTTCGTGTAGTTTTTTAATATATACTTGAAGGAAATGTTTCACCTTATTTTTGGTCTTTGTTTATTCATTTAGACCCTGCAAGTTGATTCTCATTAATTGTCAGATTCCACTACCCTTTCTTCCTCATAGATAGTAATTACCAATGTAACTAAGTATTTGTGTTCTGATATCTGAGGCCAGTAACTATTAATATCTAGTTCTCAGAGCATTTGGAAAGGTTATCTTAAATGGCTACCTAAATTGAAATCCTTTTCAGAAAAAATATAATTGCAAGTAGGTAGGACTGGCCTAAATTGTCTAATGTAATAAAGTCAGACAAAATGCATACTTTATAGTTTCAAGATTTTCAGTATATAAAATCTGTCCATTCCCATTAAAAAGTGGAAGATTTTAAATAATTTCTTTACAGATGTTTTATTTAAGCAGGTAGCTCAATCTACTAATGTTGTTTGATCTGTGTTTGTTATACTGGTTGTAATTAATTTTTTTAATTCATGAACTAGCAGAAAATTTATTAAATTAACTATTAACTACATTCACCTTGTAAATTACTGTATAAAACTTGTTGACAATGCACTGACTTTAGAAAGATGTTAATGTACATAAATAGAGTGTAAATAAAATAGTGTTGATGTACCGAAATATGAACTGTATAAAAAGTATTGGTAATTGTATATGGGGTGTACCTGTTTATCTGTAACTAGTATACAAACAAATTAAATACTGTGGATGCCTCCATGTGCCGTTTTTCCTCATACAAGTAAACACAGAAAGACAAATTCTTCAGCCTCCCTCTCTGTGATCCTGTTTTAATTCTCCTACTTGAATAATTTCTTTCTGACTTACAGAGGGGATGCTTCATCTCTGAGGTTGGAAACTCTGTAGAGCAGGATTCCCAAACTCCTGGGCTACAGACCAGTACCATCTGTGGCCTGTTAGGAACTGGGCTGCACAGCAGGAGGTGAGCGGCAAGCTGTATTTAGAGCCGCTCCCCCTTGCTCCCATTACCACCTGAGCTCTGCCTCTGTTAGATCAGCAGCGGCATGCCATTCTCACAGGAGAACGAACCCTATTGTGAACTGTGCCTGCTAGCAATCTAGGTTGTGTGCTCCTTATGAGAATCTAATGCCTGATGATTTGAGGTGGAGCAGTTTTATCCTGAAACCACTCCCCCCATCCCCCAGTCCGTGGAAAAATTGTCTTCCACAACACCAGTCCCTGGTGCCAAAAAGGTTGGCAACCACTGATGTAGAGTGTAGAACAAGATCCCTCCAGTGACCAGGTGACTTTAAACATGGCTCACATCCCTTTTAGAAAGTTATGGCAGGGAAGCAAGTAGAGAGCAGGTGGTAAACTGAGGATTGGTGCCTACATTGGTACCTACAGTGGGTCCTACGGTCATTTTTGTGCAGATCAGGAGATGAGGTGAAGAGAAGGAAAGCTCATTTGCATAATGCCTTGAAATGACCCTAGGTTTCTAGGGAGCACCGAGAAACCAGAGATGTCCCTAGTCGTCTGTCTGGGAGATCCAAGGAGACAGTTGGCAGTGTTGAGAAGAGATGAAGGTGACAGCTGTAGGTCCTTCACCCTCAGCTTCTATTTGTTCACCTATAAAATTAAAATACCGAACACTCAGGCTTGTAAGAATTAAATGAAGGACACAAATGCCTGGCACAGTTGCTTGGTAAGTGCTCAATCCAACGATACTCAATCCTATTTTACAAAGAGGGTTTTTTTTGTTTGTTTTGTTGTTTGTTTTTTTACCTCCTTGCTATTCTGATGCTAAAAGAGTTTAATAGTCCTCTGTTCACATTTTCCAAAAACGAGAATACACATTAAAAATGCATAAAATGGACCAGGCGCAGTGGCTCACGCCTGTAATCCCAGCACTTTGGAAGGCCAAAGCAGGTGGATCACCTAAGGTTGAGAGTTCAAGACCAGCCTGACCAACATGGAGAAACCCCGTCTCTACTAAAAATACAAAATTAGCCGGGCGTGGTGGTACATGCCTGTAATCCCAGCTACTTGGGAGGCTGAGGCAGGAGAATTGCTTGAACCCGGGAGGCAGAGGCTGCAGTGAGCTGAGATCACGCCATTGCACTCCAGCCTGGGAAACGAGCGAAACTCCGTCTCAAAAAAAAAAAAAAAATGTATAAAATGAAACATGTTCAATCAGCAGCAGTGGCAGCTTGTTTAAGGAAAGGAACAAACAGAAAATTAATACAGAAAGTCAAAAAATGAAGCACAACTCTTTTAAGTGCCAGTCTGTTTTTAGGTTTCCTTTTTTTTTTTTTTTTTTTGAGACGGAGTTTCACTCTGTCGCCCAGGCTGGAGTGCAGTGGCGCAATCTCGGCTCACTGCAAACTCCAACTCCTAGGTTCACACTTTTTTTTTTTTTTAAATAGAGACAGGGTCTCTGTTGCCCAGGCTGGAATGCAGTGAGGTAATCATGGCTCACTGCAGCCTCAACCTCCCAGGCTCAAGCAATCCTCCCACCTCAGCCTCCCCAGTAGCTGGGACCACAGATGTGCGCCACCACACCCAGCTAATTTTTGTATTTTTTGTAGAGATGGGGTTTCACCATGTTGCCCAGGCTGGTCTCGAACTCCTCGGCTTAAGCTATCTGCCCACCTCAGCTTCCCAAAGTGCAGGGATTACAAGTGTGAGCTGCCATGGCTGGCCAAGGCTGTCTTTTAAAAAGCTAAAAATGGGCTGGTTCAAGACCAGTCTGAGCAATATGGTGAGACCTCATTTCTACTAAAAAAAAAAAAAAAAAAAATCAGCTGGGTGTGGTGGCCCATGCCTGTAGTCATCCCAGCTACTCGGGAGGCTGAGGTGGGAGGATCGCTCGAACCCAGAAGGTTGAGGTTGCCTTGATTGTGCCACTGCATTCCAGCCTGGGTGACAGTGAGACCTTGTCTCAAAAAGCCTCGGAAGGACTGGCCTAGGGAGATGGGCAAGCATTTTGTTTCTAGTTTCTGAATGGCCCTATGCGTTGAGAGAGGTCTTCGGCCTCCCAGCCTCCCTGGCTGAAGGTGGTGAGTCTGCATGGAGTCTCTCCACCACTTGGTGGCATTGCTCACAGTGACTTCTTACTTCTAAACACCATTGAATTGGAGCAAGTAGATGATTTGCCACATTTTTCCCAGCTAGTTTGGAGGCTGAGTACAGAATTTTACTGGGACACACCAGAATGTGTAAGTTGGGGAGTGGCGATCCCAGTTTCTCTTGATAATGTACCAACGGCTTCCTTAGTATTGAAATCACAAAGACAGAAATGCACACACCTCTATGATCAGAGATCCATACAGGAGAGAGCAACAAAAAGAGGCCTTTTAAGTTTGCCAGACTTCCTGACCAGTGGGAAGCAAGAGAGTAGATAAGTGTGCAGCAGTCACAAACCCAGGCCTATAAGAACCTGGTTGGGAATAGAATGTAAGAGAATGGGGAGCGATGGGGACTCTAGTGTGTTCTAGGCACATGCCCATCTAAAGGCTCCATGTGACTGTTGTCCTGCAGGAATGTGGGCCCCAGTGTTCACCAAACCTTTTGTTTTGTTTTGTTTTTCCCATGAAGAGAAGCCAGAAACCCAGATATTAATACAAAGTATCCAGTTTAGAAGTGTTGGTAAATTTTTTTAACTTTGAACATTGTGCTGCCCAAAGAAGGTATCTGCAAGCCAGGTACAAACCAGCAGTTCATGCCCTCTGGTGAGCAGAAAGGTCATAGACTTTGAGCCCATTATGTCGGAGGTCACATTCTAGTTCTGCTGTTGCAACAGCTGTAAACGAAAGTTTTCAGATTTCTAACGCCCAGTGAAAATACCACTTCATTTCCAAAGGTTATTAAAAGGAATAGATCATGTATGTAAGTAGGCACAGAGCTTGCCACCTATTAGGTACTCAAAAGCATTCTTCCCTCACTTAAGGAAACAATACAGGCATAATATAACAATAATGTTATGTTCAAGTTCATTATCAGGAGGCATACACCCAAACAATAGGGGAGTGAGCACCTACCACGTACAGAGCTCTCTGCTAGTTTCTCTGGGGGCAACAGTTCCCAACCTGGCAATTCATCGGCATCATCGGAATCAGCCAGCAGCTTGTTGGATATGCTGAGTCCAGAGTCCTGCCCATATTACACCTAATGTTCTGTGCCTATTACACCCAGATTTATGAGATCCTCCTCTCCCATGCAGTCCAAGAATCTGCATTCTAATAAGTTCCTCAGAGGAAGCTCTTTCACAGCCAGTTTGCACTGGTCTGTGGGTTGGTCATTTATGGAAACCACTGCTCCAGGGAATGAATCATTATTTCCAGTCTCATTAGGGAAAGATGATATGCATATGCACACATGTAAGGAGTGACAGTAATTAGCCAAAAGCTCTGTAGACATAATTGCCTCTGATGAAGTGCTGACTGATGACATCAGACACTAGGCTATTGACAGTGTACCCCAGGGAAATGCAAAAGGGAAGCGAACTGCCTCATAAAGTGAGATTAGGATTACTGGGTCAGAAATGTGGAGAGGGTGATTCAGATGGACAAAGGAGCAGAGGCAGGATTCAAGTGATGCGTTTCAGAGGCAGTGCAGCCTGTTTGTGCTGAGTGGAAGGTGCATGAGGAACATAGTAGACTGTAACAGGAAGGCAGGAGCTGTGAAGGCCTTTGAAGGTCAGGCCAGTTGTAATAAAAGTATTTCACATTGTCAGGTATCTTGGGATAGTTGCCAAACATTTTTCTATGGTTTGTATAAATACATATCCATTTTATTTATGTATTTATTTATTTTAGTTTTTTTGTTTGTTTGTTTGTTTGTTTTTGAGACGGAGTTTCGCTCTTGTTGCCCAGGCTGGAGTGCAATGGAGCGATCCCAGCTCACTACAACCTCCGCCTCTCAGGTTCAAGCAATTCTCCTGCCTCAGCCTCCTGAGTAGCTGGGATTACAGGCATGAGCCACCACACCCAGCTAATTTTGTATTTTTAGTAGAGATGGGGTTTCTCCATGTTGGTCAGGCTCGTCTTGAACTCCCAGCCTCAGGTGATCCACCCACCTCGGCCTCCCAAAGTGCTGGGATTACAGGCGTGAGCCACTGTGCCCGGCCTATTTTAGTTTTTTTTTGAGACGGAGTTTCACTCTTGTCGCCCAGGCTGGAGTGAAGTGGCACTATCTCGGCTCACTGAAACCTCCACCTCCCGGATTCAAGTGATTCTCCTGCCTCAGCCTGCCAAGTAGTTGGGATTGCAGCCGCACGCCACCACACCTGGCTAATTTTTGTATTTTCAGTAGAGACGGGTTTTCACCATGTTGGCCAGGCTGGTCTCGAATTCCTGACCTCAGGTGATCCACCCGCCTCAGCCTCCCAAAGTGCTGGGAATACAGGTGTGAGCCACCACACGGCACATATGTATCTATTTTAGACCATTTTATTATAAACATAAGTTCTGTTTGCTGTAATTTCTCTCTTTTTCATATTCACAATCCACTTTGGCTGGAATTTCTCTTGATAACAAACTTTAGACCTTACCAACAAGCCCAAGAGGAACTCACAGATGGGTGCTAGGCTTGAAATGCCCCAAGAAGACTGAAGGAAGTGGAGGAGGAAGAAAAAAGGAGGCAGAAGGGGGAAAACCTAGAAGAGCTCTGGACAGGGAGGAGGCATGCCAGAGAGAGGAGCCCAGTCACAGCTGAGTGCAGCCCAGGAAGGAAAAATGTGCCTGGTTGGAGGAGTTGTCCAAGGACCTTGGGGATAAGGGGACGGGGCTTCTCTGCTGATCTGATGGTTTTTTCAGTACCACCCTTCAGTTATCTGTAGCAGGATCCTCTGCTGCTGATGGCCAAACCTCAGTGCCCACTGGGATTACAAACTGGGGAGGAAGAGGGGGACTTCCACATTAGGGATCAGCAGGGAGCCTCCAGAATGGAGTAGGAGATACCTACGGCCATCATCAGAGGCTGCCGCAGCCCCAGGTTCAGAGCAGTCATCTTAGCTGATGCCATGGAAAGCAGTAGACCAGAAGTCCAGTCCGCAGTGTTTGCTCAGCACTTGGCAGAATTGTATGACCTTGGGGGTCACTTGCCTTGTCCGCGCCTCGGTTCCCCCTGTGAATATTGAGCGAGTTGCATTAGGTCAGTTGTCTTCAGCTTTTATTTTGAAACAACATTGAGACCCGACCCTTTCTTCCAGCCATTCCAGCCACATTTACCTGAAGGACCCATAGCTAAAGCAGATGAGGTTGGAGTTACTCCGGTTGAAGTGACAGTGGGGGGTGTAGTGCTGCCTGGGCAACCGCTGTGGATTGGATGTCTGCTAAAGCACCTGTCACCTCTAAGCATTCAGAAAGCCAAGCACACAGTGCTCCAGTAGGGTCTGAGGAGCTCCCAGAGAATTGTCTCCAGCAAGAGGAGTTGACAGTGCTCCCAGGAGAACACTCTCATTTGGTCTGCTAGAAATCATGGCCACAGGGTGGGCCTTTTCAAAGGCCATTTTGCTACTCAGTATACTGGGTAGCCAGCTAGAGTGAAGAAGCCACAGGGAGTGCCCGGAGCAGTCAGCCTGCTGCCTGGCCTCTGTTCCCTGGACATCCATAGGGAGCAGCCCCAGGGCCTGTGGCCTTTCATTGTTGTGCCAGCTGGAGAAAGTTACTGCTGCCAATCCTTGTTTGCAGAGCTCTCTGCAGCACAGAGCTGCAAATAAACATCCTCTCACTTGGGGAGGGATGGGGGAAAGGAGAGGGCTAAATCATCCAAAACACGTTCATTGAGTATCTACCACTTAGCTTAAAGGATAGTCCTGAGCTTGGAACCAGAAGAAACGCTGGAGATGGGCTTAGACATTTACTGGACTTCTATCTGCCAAACCCCATGCTATGCATGTTTCACTCGTGATTCGTAAATGCTCACCACAGCTCTATGAGGGATGCATGATCACCCTTTTTTCTAGATCAGGAAGCTGAGGCTCAATCAGGTTAAGTCACTTGCCTGTGGTGTCACACAGATGGAACATTTCTGAGCAGGATTCAAACCCAGGTTCATCCAGCTGCTTCTTTACCACCCTACCTCCCCCTGAACTGGAGTCTGTGATCCACCACTTAGCAACTCCTGGCACAACGGTAGTCACCCTGAGCCTCAGTGGGCTCATCTTTGACAAGGGATCAGGGTACCATGACCATAGCTACCTGAGAGGCTTGTAATAAGCCCTGAATAAGAAAGTGAGTGTGGAACCCTTTACAACCAAGGACACTTGTGCAAATGCAGTGTGTTGTTACGTAAGGAGAGGAAGTGGGTGTCCCCAAAGCAGCTCCTCCTCCTCTTCCTGGAAGATGATGTAAATAAAGAGTCATGCAGGCCTCTTGATGGAGAGTGATGTCTTAGGTTTGTTCTATTCGCTTCTGATGGCCCAGGGACCTTAGCAGCTGGATAGAAAGAAGAATTGAGGGGGATTAGATGGGGAGATAGGACCAGGGAGAGAGAAAGGATTCTGGATTGAGTCAAGCAAAGACTGTAGTTCCAAACTGGACTTTGGAGTATCTGATAGTATCTTATCAGAGATTTAACATGGGTGTGATCATTTCAGAGGTGGGATGGGAAGGACAGGAGTCCAATATGCTATTGTTGTAAAGGCGGCCACCAGCCACAGCAGCCATGAGAATCTCGTGCTCCCCACTGGCCCCCTGCCAGACCGGGCTACCTGACTATGCTTCATCCACTGAGGACAATGCCTTCTCCCTTAAACTGGGGCCTTTTCCTTCCTGGCCTTTCCTGGGAAAGGAGAGAACAATTGAGTCTGATCATTTATCCTCAGCTGTTTATGCCCCAGTAGCGTGGGCTTTAAACCAAATACCACATGTCCATCTGGACACCATGGCAGGCTCATCACGTGGCCGACACACTCCCTAGCTGCCTGCCCCGCTCCTGCATTCATTCAACCCTGACTCTGCAGCGTTCCAGAGCAGCCCATTGTTTTTTCCCCTGGGATTAAGAGCCCAACTCTGGTTTTCTCATCTCTCCTCTGGATGGTAGTGGAAATGTTAGGCCTCAATCCAAAACTGATATGTATTCAGAAAAAAAGAAAGAGAAAGAGAAACCAGTCAGGCCTAATTTGAACTGGGGAAATAGCCAGTGTAAATTTGGAGGAAAATTCAAACTCCATAGCTGACTTGAAAATTGTCAGCATTGGCCGGGGGCAGTGGCTCACGCCTGTAATCCCAGCACTGTGGGAGGCTGAGGCAGGTGGATCACGAGGTCAGGAGATTGAGACCATCCTGGCTAACATGGTGAAACCCCATCTCTACTAAAAATACAAAAAAATCAGCTGAGCATGGTGGCGCATGCCCGTAGTCCCAGATACTTGGGAGGCTGAGGCAGGAGAATTACTTGAACCCAGGAGGCAGAGGTTGCAGTGAGCCGAGATTGAGCCACTGCACTCCAGCCTGGTGACAGAGCAAGACTCCATCTTAAAAAAAATAAAAAAGTCAGCCTCCAGGGCCTGTACCCACCCAGATGGTACCCCCTTGGGAGGGGGCAGCATCAGCACCATGCCTGCAGAGGCTTAGGTGTAATTGTGTTTACGTTGATAGTTTATGCCTGTCTGGAGCATAGGCCAGCTCCGGCCCCACTCCCTGAAGCATCACCAAATTCCAAGCAGTAGTATCTCCATGAATCTGCGAATCTGCTGTTGCTGCTGCTGCTGCTGCTGCTGCTTTTTTTTTTTTTGAGACAGAGGGAGTCTCTCTCTGTTGCCCAGGCTGGAGTGCAGTGGCATGATCTCAACTCACTGCAACCTCCGCCTCCCAGGCTCAAGAGATTCTCCTGCCTCAGCCTCCCAAGTAGCTGGAATTACAGGCATGCACCACCATGCCCGGCTAATTTTTATATTTTTAGTAGAGATGGGGTTTCACCATGTTGGCCAGGCTGGCCCCAAACTCCTGACTTCAGGTGATCTGCCCACCTTGGCCTCCCAAACTGCTGGGATTACAGGCGCGAGTCACCGTGCCTGGTTGTGAATCTGCTTCCACACTGGCTGTGTTTTCCTGGTTATAGCAGCCTCAGGCTCAGTGAAAGGTCACTCGCTGTAATGACTCAGGTTTCATTGGTTCTCCTTTATCCCCCTGCAAAGACCCACTCTCCCTCAAAGTACTGATGGCAGCCTCCAGAGGGTATCTCAAGTGTGCTCTTCAACTAGTCCTTTCAGCTGCCACGTGGTGTCCTCTGAGAGGGACCACCCGATCTTCTGGGCACCCCTCACCCAACGTGACCACTGCCTCTAGGCATTGCCTCCCAGGCAGGACACCAGGGGCCAGAGTTGCTCACTGCTCCCTTCACACTCCACGAAGGCTTTCCCAAAGCAGAGCTGTTCGTATTTCCACAAAATCACCTTCCCCACCTCCCCACCGAAAAAAAAAAAAGAAATCACCCTTCCCCACCCCCTCCCAAAAAAATCACCCTTCCCCACCTGCCCCCCCAAAAAAAGAAATCACCCTTCCCCACCTGCCCCCCCAAAAAAAGAAATCACCCTTCCCCACCTGCCCCCCACAAAAAAAGAAATCACCCTTCCCCACCTGCCCCCCCCAAAAAAAGAAATCACCCTTCCCCACCTGCCCCCCCCAAAAAAAGAAATCACCCTTCTTCACCTCCCCCCCAAAAAATAAAAAGAAATCACCCTTCCCCACTTCCTCCCACCAAAAAAAGAAATCACCCTTCCCCACCTCCTCCTCCCCCCCGAAAAAAAGAAATCACCCTTCCCCACGCCCCCCCAAAAAATAAAAAGAAATTACCCTTCCCTTTTCCACATGCGGCTTCCATTCTCCTTATGCCCCTGGTGTGAGTCCCAGAGGCTGAGTGGTTGCCACACTGAACTCAGAGTCCCTCCTCCCCTACATCTCTACATCTCTACATCTCTACATCTCTGAAGCTTCACTTGGACCCAGCTTGTCATACCCAACCCTATTCCCTTAAGAGAGGTGTCTCGCAGGAGGCCACTGAGGCAGTAGACCCAGGCAAGTCTGTCCTGTCATGTTGTAAGCAGCTCCTGATGTGGCTTGACCTCAGGGGCTAAACGAGGATACACAGCTTCATCTAGAGTAGAATGAACCCCGATTCAATAGCCTCATGGAGACTGGGGACAGACCAGGCAGCAGAATGGAGGTGCAAAGCCACCTAGGGCTCAAGGACTGGGAAGACACATGGAGCTAGGGAATAGCAGAATCTGAGAATCAAGCACCTTGTACACCCAGATCCCACATGTGGAAACCGCTGTTCAAGCTGTAATGATACCAGGTTGACTGTGTCAGCCCCTGAAGGAAAGCTGGCATAAATAGAGCCTGGAAAACCAGGCTTATCTTTGCCCAATGGGCAAGGTAAATATTTAGTCCCAGCCCTGGAATGGTGCCTGGTAGTTCCATTCTTTGCTATCATTTTTCCTTTTATTCACTCGTGCTGCAAACATTTGCCACCTGCCCTCCCTCTCTGTGGCCAGCCTTGGCCTGGGCACTTCGATGCTCTGATGACTAAGACGTGATTCCCCATTCTTTTCCTCAGGGACTCTTGCTGGGGGAGCAGACAAGGAGCAGAGATCAGGTCAGGCCTCACAGGCTGGGTCTTGGCTAGCACGTAGACTTCACAAGAGGAAGCAAGACTGCGGGGAGTGGTGGGGGAGAGCGCTCCAGGGCTAGGGTCAGCACACATCCCAGCGTCCTTGACTGGCCTGGCGATTTCTGCACCCATGCTTCCCTGTAAGCGTCCATGTAGAAACACAGAACAAGAAACACTTGGAGGCCAGCAGCACTCAGTATAAGGGAAGCAGCAAGGACTGCTGGGTTTGCAGATCTGGGTTCAATTCCCCATTTTGTCATTCATTCGCTGGCAAGGGACAAGTTCCTTTACCTCTCAATTTTCTTCAGAAAAGCAGTACAATGTAGCAATTGTAAGTGTGCGGACTCAAGTATCAGAATTTCTGGGTTCAAATCTCAGCTCTATTTGTTTTTTGGGGGGTTTTCTTTTTGTTTTTTGAGATGGAGTCCTGCTTTGTCACCCAGGCTGGAGTACGTTGGCACCATCTCAGTTCACTGCAACCTCCACCTCCCAGGTTTAAGCAATTCTCCTGCCTCAGCCTCCAGAGTAGCTGGGATTACAGGCACATGCCACCATGCCCAGCTAATCTTTGTATTTTTAGTAGAGACAGGGTTTCGCCATGTGGCCAGGCTGGTCTCGAACTCCTGACCTCAGGTGATCCGCCCCCCCCTTGGCCTCCCAAAGTGCTGGGATTACAGGCATGAGCCACCGCACCTGGCCAAATCTCAGCTCTATTTGTTAGCCTTATGTCCTGTGTATTTCGTTTCCTCATCTGAAAATGAAGAAAATAGACATACTCATCTCTGACTGTTATTCTAAGGATTAAGTGCTATATAAAGCACAGCAAATAATTTTGCCAGATGCAATAGAAATTAGTTTCTTGAGGAATGTGTCAATATCTAGCAATTTTACATAGGCATTTACCCTTTGAACCAGAAACTTCACTTATAGAAATCTATCCTAAAGACACACAGTCAAAAATTCAAGACGGGCATGGTGGTTCATGGCTGTAATCCTAGCACTTTAGGAGACAGAGGAGAGAGGATTGCCTGAGCTCAGGAGTTTAAGACCAGCCTGGCTAAATGGCGAAACCCCGTGTCTACTAAAAATACAGAAAGTTAGCCCGGCATGGTGGCAGGTGCCTGTAATCCCAGCTACTTGGGAGGCTGAGTCAGCGAGGAGGAAATCTACAGGCAGATGGGCCTCCAATGCCCTCCCAGCTGCCCTGCCCACAGGAAGCCCAACACCAGAATCACACAGGAGGGAAAACCCCTTGATCAGTCTGTTATCAGTTACTAGAAGGTGTGCCCCATTAGGGAGGGAGGTGACCGGGAGGAGGAAGGAGTGGCAGCAGGCCTGGGCTGTCAGTCTCTTTCTCTTGCCCACCCTTCTCTCTTGGCTTCAGTCTTCCTCTTATAAGTGGGATGGAGGTAGGGTCACCAGACCTAGTAAATAAAAGTACAAGACAACCAGTTAAATTTAAATTTCAGGTAAATAACAAATAATGCTCTGGTGTAACTATGTCCCATGTAATTTAGGGATATACTAAAAAAAAAAAAAAAGAGATTTGTTATTTATCTGACATTCAGATGTAACTGGGCAGCCTGTATTTTGTCTAGGTGAACCCATCTAGACAAAACTGAAGCCAAGGGTGGGGACAGGGGCAGGCACTCATCCTGTGCTGGGGGAGCCTGCAGCAACTCTACACAGGATAGGCTTGTGGGAGGCAGAGCCAGGGACAGAGCCAGAAGCAGAGAGATGGACATGTGTGTAATCCCACGGCTCCTGGGGAAGGGGGAGAGGAAGCGTTAGAGGAAAATGAAATGGGAAATTGGTCCCCAACCCGATCAATCCCCACAGTGAGAAAGCAGGAGGAGCCCTGGCCGAGAGCCCCTTCTTTCAGGGATGTGGGCTCAGCCTGACTCTGAACTCTGCACCTGCTACCCCCTAAGGCAGGACATAAGAACTGCAGGGCAGTCCTGGGGCTCAGAGGGCCCCCTTTTCTCCCTCTGATGCTCTGGGTGACCTTAGACAATTCTAGGTGAAGGTCAGGCTGGGAGATCTTCCTCTGTAAACTGTTCTGTGTACGGTTGGGACAGAGTGCTGAGGGATGTCCCTAAGTGTCTGGGCAGAGAGGTGGCCCCTTGAAGGGTCTTAAGTTTTCTCCCTTGGATAGGAAAGAACTGCCACCAACCACAGATCAGAGTTCATTATGCATCACTCTGCATAATTCCAGCCTCCGCCCAGTGTTCCCTACTCCCCACCTGTGGGTCTTGCCTGTCCTTCATTGCCCTCTCCAATAAAAAGAATCATCATAATAATTATAAATTATTGAATATCTCCTCTTGTCCCGGCATCTTGTTTCATCTTGACAACAAGCCCATGAGGTAAATGCTGTCATCACCCCCATTTCACAGATGAGGAAACTGAGGCTCAGAAAAATGAATTAAACTACCAAGGGCACCTAGAGAGTCAGCAATGGAGGGGGATTCCACCCCAGGCCGGTGTGAGTCTGGGCTGCATGCCCGGATGTTTCTGCATTCCTCTCTTGGCTTCTGTGTCGTAAACCTGGTGCTCCTGTGCCTGCTGTGTCTGCCTGCCCTACAGTTGGGAGTCTCGGAGGAAGAGCCCAGACTAGGATTTTCCTCCCTAAATCCTCTGTCCCTGGCACAGAGGAAATAATAGTGTTTGTTGAAAGATTAAGGCCGGGCATGGTGGCTCATGCCTATAATCCCAGCACTTTGGGAGGCCGAGGCAGGTGGATCACCTGAGGTCAGGAGTTCGAGACCAGCTTGGCCAACATAGCAAAACCCCATCTCTACTAAAAATATGAAAAAAATTAGCTGCATGGTGGCATGCGCCTGTAGTACCAGCTACTCGAAAGGCTGAGGCAGGAGAATCACTTGAACTCAGGAGGCAGAGGTTGCAGTGAGCCGAAAACGTGCCACTGCACTCCAGTCTGGGCAACAGAGTGAGACTGTATAAAAAGAAAGAAAAAGAAAAAAGAAAGAAAGAAAGAAAGACAGACAGACAGACAGACTGGAGGGAGGGGAGGAGGGAAGGACAGAAGGAAGGAAGGAAGAAAGAGAAAGAAAAAGAAAGAAAGAAAGGAGGGAGGGAGGGAAGGACGGAAAGACGGAAGGAAGGAAGAAAGAAAGAGAAAGAGAAAGAGAAAGAAAGAAAAAAAGAAAGAAAGAAAGAAAAAGAGAAAGAGAGAGAGAGAGGGAGGGAGGGAGGGAGGGAGGGAGGAAGGAAGATTACGTTTGTTTTTTTTTTTCCTTTTTTGAGACAGGGTCCCTCTCTGTTGCCCAGGCTGGAGTGCAATGGTGCCTGCACTCCTGGGCTTAAGCCATCCTCCCACCTCAGCCTCTCAAGTAACTGGGACCATAGGCGTGCCACCACGTCTGGCTTCTTTTTTTCCCCCTCGTAGAGACAGGATCTCCCTAAGTTACTCAGGCTGATCTTAAACTCCCAGGCTCAAGTGATCCTCCCGCCTTGACCTCCCAAAGTGCTGGGATTACAGGTGTGAGCCACTGCGCCTGGCTGAAAGACTAAATCTTGATGGAAGATTAAATCTTGTTCCAGAATGCACCCACATCCCTTCCCTGTGTCCTGCTCCGCTGCCCTCTTCCTGTCCTCCAGGCCTTGCCGCAGCTGACACTTGGAACAACCTGAGGAGCCTCCCACGTGTCCAGCCGAGGGCTCTGCGGAAGGAACTGACTCTTCTGTCCCGCAGCTCTTCTCCAAAGGAAGCCCCTCCCTGGGCCTTGGACATCGTCCTTTGTCCCTGGGGGAAAGAATGCCTTTGTCCCTCTCAGATAAACAAACAGAGCGGCTAGGACATGTGTAGTGCGAGGTGCAGGAACAGTTCCCCAACCTCAGAGAGGCCTGGCCTTCCTTCTGAGGTCACCGGGGACAGCAGGAGCCCGGGACAGCCTTGCCCAATTAGATGGGGGGACCAAGGGTAGCCCCTTCTGCAGATGGATGAACTGAGGCCCAGAGCAGGGAGCATGCCTCCATGCCCATGGAGCCACTAGCTTCCTTGCCTCTTCCCACCCCAACACACACACAAGCTCAGAGCCTCAGGGTTGCACCACGCTGGGGGCACCGTTCACAAGGCCCTGTCGGTATAGGCGCCCCCTGGAGTTTTAAGACACGGCAGCCTGCACGAACCATGGGCAGACGTCCACACAGCCCCCACGACTCTGGGCCCCCTGTAGACCCTCCTCCGCCCCACCTTCCTCCCCCACCCCTACATTGTCAGATCAGAGCCACAGGAAGCAGGGCCAGCAAGTGTGCAAACCAAGAGCCAAGATGGGGAAGTTTATTTTCCAAGAACCATCTAAACACATGAGGAATATTTTTAGCCCCTGGCTCCCACCCGGATGCTGAATCTAAACAGGGGGCCAAAGAGGCGGCCCACTGGGGATGGAGAGCAACCAGCGGAGATGGGTGGGACGGGGTGCTGCAGCCCCCACCCTGCCCCTGGACACAGATGGCTCAGCCAAAGGAGAGAGCCGGCCAGGGGAGCCAAGGAGGCACAGGGGAGTGGCCCCAGGTTCTGACAAGTGCCCCGTCCCTCTCTGTGCCTTGGGGCTTCCTTATCCGTGCTGTGGGAGGGATAACACCACCCCAATGGGATTGCAGCACGGCCCCCACCTGGAACACGATGGGCACCCCAGAATGTGCTTTATGCTGTGCTGAGTGCCGGCCAGTGACCCTCAGAGAAGTCAGGGTGCAGGCAAAACCATCAGCCTGTGAGCCTTCCCCAGGCCTGGCCAGCTACAGTGAAGGAGTGAAGGCTGGTGTGTGTGTGTGTGTGTGTGTGTGTGTGTGTGTGTGTGTGTACCCCATGCAGTCACCCACGGGGCCTCAGAAATGAATGAAAGGAGGGCTCAGGGGCCAGGCTGGACCCTCTTTGTGAATAAGGGGGTTCTCCTCCCTCGCCCTCAGAGGGAACTGTCTCAGAAGCCAGGCCAGACTGGGCACAGGGAACTCAGAGCCACCATCCCCAGGGTGGGGGTCTGCTGGGGGTGGTGGAGGCCGCATGGAGGGAGTGAATTTACTAAAAACAGGAAGCTCGTCATGAACACACGCATGTTCACAGGAAGGAATGCCATCAGTGGCGGCCTCGGGAGGTGGGGGCCAGTGCCCGGGGTGAGCTGCCCACTTCTGCTGTGACTGGCCCTGGTGACTTGGCTGGGAGTTGAGTGCTGGCAGCACCTGCTGTGGCCTCTGGGCCGCAGGGAGGGCAGGCAGGACATGGGAGGTGGCCAGAGCCCCAGGCCCTGGACAAGCTGTGCCCGTTCTGGCTCCTGCTGGCCGGATTTATGATTTAGGGACCAGGGGGATGGGGAGGGTCGAACACCTTCTGCCTTAGGTTGGAAAGGCCAGGACTTCCTGGTCCTGCTGCCACATTATTCACTAAGGTTGCCTGGAGGGCAGGGATGGGGGTGGGGATGCAGTGCCATTGGGGAGCTGGGAGGGGCCATTCTGACCTCAGAGCCCTGATCCTTTGGGGGGCAGCTTAGATCCCCTGCAGTCTGTGTGGGAACCAAAGAACAGGTTCCAGGTTCTGCGTCCACACACCCCCCGCTGACAGGCGGCCTGCGGTTGCCATGGCAACAGCAATACCACCCCTCCCCCACAGCTGCGTGGTCACCAGGGAAGGGAGGGGGGACTTATTTTTGGTTACAAAAGGGAAGACGGAGGGAAAGGGAGGAGGGAGGGGAGCAGCCGTCTCTCCTCTCCCTGGGCTGACTGGGGGTGGTCAGGGGCATGGGGGGCTCGGGGTGAGAGAAGGCTTAGAGACCACCTTCTCCCACCAGCTCCCCTCCCACAGCCAGCGAGGGATTCTAGAACCAGGTGATGGAATCCCTCAGTGCCCTCCTGGTGGGCACGCCTTCCTGTGAGGAAGCTCTCTACCTCCGGACTCTCAGCCTGCCAAAGGGGTCCTCACCCAGCCAGGGAAACCTGGGTGCCCCATTCACTCAGCCAACCCCACTCCAAGGCTCACGAATTCCAAAATCCAGTCCTACTCCTGATGATGAGGTCTGACAGCTGCGGGCCCTCAGTTCCTGGCACCTGGGGCCTGACCTGGCTTGGGGACCGCGTGGGTCCCCTTCTTTCCTTCTCATTCTGGTGTCCTGGACCCCCTCTCACCAGCCTCCTCCCAGTCTCTCCCTCCACTTCCCTCTGGCCACAGGAGGGAAAACAACCCATTAGAGATGTAATCACCGTGGTGGTGGGGACTTTCCTGACAAGTCCCAAGGGACCAAGCCCCACACCCTTGGACACCCCCATGAGCTCTCCCTCATATCTCACTGCTAACCCATCAGCAGATCAGCTCCTGGGCACTGCGGCAGCCCCTGAACTGTCCCTGCGTTCTGCCTTCACCTCTATAGCTCCCCTCCCTGCTCCAAACCAATGCCCTCCACCTCACTCTCCTGCCTCCCCTCCCCCTGCTTCCTCCCTCCCTCCCTCCCTCTACTCCTCCCTGCTGTTTCTCTGGAAGGCTCCCTCCCTGCCGCACCTCAACATTTGCAGTCTCCAGAGGCCTCCATCTCTGGCCTCCTCCCAGCCGCCCCTTCCCCCAGGGCTTCCCACCTTCCCTGCCCTGAATTCTCTCTTTTTTTTTTTTTTTGAGACAGAGTCTCTCTCTGTCACCCAGGTTGGAGTGCAGTGGTTCAATCTTGGCTTACTGCAAACTCTGCCTCAATTCTCCTGCCTCAGCCTCCTGAATAGCTGAATTACCGGCACCCGCCACCATGCCCAGCTAATTTTTGTATTTTTAGTAAAGACGGTGTTTCGCCACGTTGGCCAGGCTGGTCTCAAACCCCTGACCTCAGGTGATCTGCCCGCCTCGGCTTCCCAAAGTGCTGGAATTACAGGCATGAGCCACTGCGCCCGGCCCCCTGCCCTGAATTCTCTTTCTCCCATGCACTCACTGCCTCCCGATCTATTAGACAACATGCCTGCTTCATTTATGGGCTGTCTCTCCACTAGACTGTGAACTCCAGGAGGGCAGGCATTTTTGTCTTTTATTCTCTGCCATATCCCCAGTGCCTAGAGCATAAACGCTCAATAAATTTTTGAGCAAACAAATGAACTTCCTTTCGCCCACCTTGCCTAGGCCATCCCCACACATGACACCCTTTCACCCCTAGCACAGGGGAGAACGCACAGGGCTGGGGCTGCCGTCATGCAGTCGGCTCTGCCCTAGCCTCAGTATATGGCCTCCAGCCAGCCAAGCAGCCTCTTCTCTCTCGCTCTGTTGCCCAGGCTGGAGTGCAGTGGCACAATCTCAGCTCACTGCAACCTTCGCCTCCTGGGTTCAAGCAATCCTCCTGCCTCAACCTCCTGAGTAGCTGGGACTACAGGTGTGCACCACCACACCTGGTTAATTTTTGTATTTTTTATAGAGACAGGGCTTCACCATGTTGCCTAGGCTGGTCTTGAACTCCAGGGCTCAAGTGATTCACGTGCCTCTGCCTCGCAACGTGCCAGGATTACAGGCGTGAATCACTATGCCCGGCCCCAACCTTGTCTTTCTCAGCCTCAGTTTCCCCCTCTATATGATGAAGAGATCAGATTGGAACTCCTCTAGCTTCCGCTGTGATGAAGCTCCAAGATGCCTTCAGCATCTCTCCAAGGTCCAGGTCCTGGTAGAAGGGAGTGGGGTATAGACACGGAATTCACATAGAACGGGAGTGGGGACACCTGGTGGTACCTGCTTGGGAGAAATCTCCTGGCCTTAAAGCCCCCGCCCTGGAACAGGAGGAACAGGGGTGGGTGGAGGGGGACAGGGTGGGGTAGTTGTGGAAGGCTAAAAACACACTTGAGAAAGGTTTCTCCAAAAATATGTCCATATTTTAATCATGCCTAAAGTCCCACCTGGGAAGGCTAAGGACCGGAAGCCTGGAACTTGGAGAGCTGAGGCAACAGAGAGGCTGCGTGCAGAAGTGAGCCATCATCGCAGGAAGCCGGCCAGCAGGCAGGCCAGCATGGGGCCCAGCAGGGCAGGCAGGGCCCAGGGCAGCGGCCGACCCGGGGCCCCGGACTTTATCACCGTGCGCTGCCCCAGCTGCTGCAGGGGCCTGACATTGTCCTTCATGCTCACTGTCTGTTCCTTGTCGTAGTACAGCTTCTGAGAGAATGCCAGGATCTGCGGAAGTGATGGGGCTCAGCAGGTCGGGGCAGGGGGAGCTGCACTCCCTGCCGTGTGACCTCAGGCAGGCACCTCATCCTGTCCTGGGAGCCCTCATTAGGAAAGAGGGGCTCTGAACCCCTGGCTCTCAAGGTGGTCGTGAAGATGATAAGAATAGGGGATGTAAATGAGGTGCGTGGCATGGGTGAAGGCTAAGTGCCCATTGGCTTCCTTTCACTCACACCCCAGGGGGCCCGCAATGCCTGCTTCTCTTGTCACTCTTACTACAGGACTGTGGCTCTCAAACTTGAGCATGCGTTAGCATCAGCTGGGGGGCGGGCTTGTTGGGCCCCAGATGCCTGGGCTCCACCCCCAGAGTTCCTGATTCAGTAGCTCTGAGGATTAGCATTTCTAACAAATTCCCCCAGTGATGATGTTGACTCCACTGGTCCAGGGGCCGCACTTTGAGAACCACTGTTTTGGAATGAAAGCAGTGCAAGGGTAGGGATTTGGGTCCTTTGGGCTCACTGCTGTCTCCCCAGAGCCTCGTTCATGATAGAAACCCCAGCACCATTTTCTGAATGACTCCACCTTCCCCTGCCTCCTGTCTAGCCCCCAATCTGGTGATGGAACAGCTCAGGCTTTTCTTGCCTGTCTTCAGTGAATGTCGATGATTAACAACGGACTTCAGTTACCTGGGCTCCCCACCTGTATCCTGAGGGACCTCTGAGGGCAGACAGAGGGATAATTTCTGGGGAGCCAGGCAGTGGGAGCCCATGCCCTGCCCCAGGCCCTGTGCACCTGTTCTCTGTGAAGCTGAATGGGCTCCCGGAACACAGTCCAGACGACCTTCTCATCGCAGGTCGGTGTGGTGAGTGAGCCCAGGTAGCGGAAGTAGTGCCTCAGTTTCTCCTCCTTGGGGAGCAGGTCCAACAGGCTGCTCTCTGCCATCGTAGTGCTCATCTCTGAGATAGGGGCAGAGGACACTGTCAGTGAGGGTGGGAGAAGGAGCCCCTCTTCCCCTGCACTCTGAGAGCCCAGCTCCCCGCACACCCACCCCTTCCTTTGTGGGAGGAATCCCCCCCCTCACCCCAAGCCCTTCTCCCCCATCCTGACTCACCAGGTTTGGGGATATTAGACAGTGCCTCCACCAGTGGCTGGAAGCCCTCGTTCACCTGGGTTCCAGCCTGGAAAGGGAGGGAAGGGTCTTGAGAAAGTCTGCAGGGAGCCAGTGGTGGTGGCCAGTTCATTCTCCCGATCTGGGGGCGGAAGGCCAGGCAGCTTCTGGGATTGAGGCTCTGGGCTCCCCACCTGGCCCGGGGACATGCAACCCCAGAAACAGAGGCGGAAGTTGGAGTCTCCCCGCCCCCTCCTGCCTCGCTGGAGTCCCAGGTCTCTGAATCCTAAGAAGAAGCTCTCAGCCCCGGGTTCCCCGGGAAGTGGGGGATGGGAGTCCCACCTCCACCAGAAAGGCCAGCACCGCAATTTCGTCTTCAGGGTCCTGGGCCTCTTTCACATTCCTCGATGTCCCCTTCTCTTTCTCATGTACTATGTGCATCTGGTCGGGGTGGAGGGGTGAAAAGGGGACCTATGAAGGGCCTGGACTACCCTCCTTGCCCAAGGCAGGTGCGCGCCCAGAGCCCAGACAAGGTCCCAGTCGGGAAGGGGCCCTCACCTCCATGGCAAAGTGCTCCCCATCGAGGCTGTGCTCCGAGCCCTTATATGGCAAGTCGGACCAGTGCAGGTGCAACTGTTTGGCCTGGTATGGGGCAGGCAGTCCTCCTCCAGAAATGCTGGCCTTGTTCTCCAGCAACATCATCACTGGGAGCACAGAAGGGGCAGAGTCCTCGAACCAGCCTCCCTCAGCCTCCTCTAGCTCTTCATCCCAGCTTCACCCAGATGGGACATTGTCTCCTGCCTCCCAACCTTCATGAGCTCTGGTTCTGGCCTGCAGGGGTGGCGCGGGGTGGGACAGGGTGGGACAGCCCCGGACCTTTCCCTGGCCTCCTCCTTGGTCTCCCTGCCTGCCTCCCCCTCTCCTGCACCCTCCACTGCCCCAAACTGCAGCTCTGTCCTGGTGCCTCCTCTGCGTCCACCTCCTCTGTGGTGCCCTGGTGTCCTCGGGGTAATGTCCAAACTCCTCAGGCCTGGGTGATCTGCCCTTGGGCCCCAGCCCAGCTGCCCCTGGGCCTTGCTTGGGCTCTGCCTGGCTTCACTGTCTGTCCTTCCTCCACACAGAGCTCCTGGCAGTCCTCTGAACACGCCGAGCTGTTCCATGCCTCCGCGCCTTTGCACATGTCCTTCTTCCTGGAACGTTTCCTGCCCCCACATCCCAGACTGGTCTGACAAAAGTAACGAAAACATACTAGAGTGCTCTCTCCTCCTGGAAGCTGTCCTCCCCCATGGGATTTTCAGCCACCTCACAGCACAGATGGGCCTGGGTCTGGCACACCCTCCTGGGAGGAGCCCCATCCTCTCAGTCCTTGGGGAACTCGGGTGCCCAGGCCTGCCTGGGGCCTCCATCCAGCCCACCTGAGTGCCCGTTATTTTGGACAGTCCACGTTTGCTTCTTATCGTAGCCAGAGAAGAAGAAGCGTCCCAGTTTTTTGTCCACCTTTGCCTTGGTGGTGACGATGTTGATGGGGGACTGGCGGTCCTTCTGGCAGTTTCCACCCCACTTGACTGGCACTGAGCAGGGAGAGAAGGTGGGCTGAGAGTCGGGTGCCTGGCACCAAGGTGTAGCCCCCACCACCCCACTGAAGTCAGGCCCACCCACTCAGTTCCCACACAGAAACGCTTTGGGGTGGCCTGAAGGCTGTGCTGCAGGGATGCTCAGCTCCGAACTCCACTCTCGCCCTCCCTGGGCCCTCCTCCTCCTCCTCCACAGAAACATACATGCAAGGCTGGGGAGTCTAGCCCCAGTGTGGAACAGGGTGGGAACAGGGTTGCCAACTGTTGACTGTGAGCTCCGGGGTAGGGACAACTTCATGAGGTGGTGCACATGGCCTCTCCAAGCCCTGGGTTTCCCAAATGTAAAATGGGAACTGCAGAGATAATCCGCTTCCCTGGGATGTCAGAGAGTTTAAAGGAGGTGGATGGAGAGGGCTTTGGAAACTGTGGAGTGGGACCCCCGGGGGGGCTGCTGATGAAGGGCGCTGAGCATCATCTGAGGAATGGGAGGGAGAGGAGTAACCCTGGAGGAGCTGGTTCCCCGAACCCTGGTGACCCCAACACCAGGTGGGCCAGGGTCAGGAGCGGGCAGCACTGCTCAGTCACCAAAACACAGCAGACTGCAGGGTTTGCATTCGAATTGGTCAGCATTCAAATAAAAGCGTAAAGGACCATCACTCAGGCACCCTGCAAGGGGTGTCACTGGGATAGAAACAACTCCCCGTTTTATTATGGGAAACAGCAAAACGCCTTTCTTCCTTTAATGCTGCTACCGATTTATTCCACAGGGAACATGCCCTCTCGATGACAGCAGGTGCCAGTGAAGACTCAGGTCACTCTATGCTCCCTGGTCCCTGAGCACCAGGACAGGAGAGTGTGAGTGTGTGTTTGTGTGTGTGAGTGAGTGTGGGTTTGTGTGAGTGTGAGTGTGTGTGTGCATGTGTGAGTGTGAGTGTTTGAGTGTGTGCTTGTGTGTGTGTTGTGTGTGTGTTTCTGTGTGAGTGTGTGTGTTTGTATATCTGTGTGTGTGTGTGTGTGAGAGAGAGAGAGAGAGTGTGTGTGTGTGTGTGTGTGTGTGTATGCTGGGAACTGATATCTGCCTGGGAAGCCACCATCACCCCTCCCCTTCCCACTCTTCCGGGGTCTCCATTTCGGCTTGCGTGGTGCCCACCATGCACAAAGAGCAGTCCCCTGGACTGGCTGTACTCACCCAAGCAGGGGTAGTTGGAGGACTCGGCTTGAACCTCGTAGCACCAGTGTGACTCTGGAGCAGAGAGGAAGGGTGTGAAGTGTGCGTGCGTGTGTCTTGTTGCTCACACACACAGGAGGATCAGAGGCTGGGCCTACCCCTGGGGTTGGAGCCCCTCTTGGGCTGGGATGGAGTGTTCCTGGCAGCAGGATTGAGGGCCCAGAAAAAGAGACTCAATTGAAAACCAAGCAGGGGCTGATCAACAGGTCAGCTGGCATAGGGCTCTGTTCCCCAGGCAGGGCCAGGCCAAGCAGCCACTGGCCCTCCAGGGAAGCCCTCTGAGGCCACTCATCTCTAACATGGGGCTGGCTTGGATACTCCATCCTTTGGTCACCAGCAGCCTCCTCCGCGCTTACCTCCCCCACCCCAAACCTGGAAAAGAGGCTGGTGAGAGGAGAAGAGGAGGACTTGGCCCAGCCTCCGCTCCTGGGACAATAGAGTCAGGTTCAACCGGGCAGCCTTCCCAGATCCAAGATGAGGGAGGAGATTAGGCGGCCCCTCCCCAGAATGTCTCACCCTGTGTTACTAAGATCCCTTCTTGGCTAGCGTCTCACAGCTCCCGCTAGGAGGAAAGCAGCCAGGCTTCCTCCCCTGCCCCTCAACCGCACAGTCCTGATCTCTGGGGACAGGCTGAGGGCTCTGCCTCAGGGCAATAGAACCCAGCATCTCTGAAAAAAAGGCTGCACCTCAAATGTCCCACATGGATGCAAGATGTTAATAAGAGGGGAAAGTGCATGCAGGGCAGAAGGGCCTATGGGAACCCTCTGTACTTCCTGCTGAATTTTTATGTGAGCCTAAAATTGCTCTAAAAATAAAGTCTATTAATTTTTTTAAAAGGCTGCACCAGCAGGGCGAACACAACATCTCATCCAGAGCTTGGAATTCTGGCTGAGCCGCTCAGGGGGCTTAGATGGGTTTGGGGGCAAGTCCCTTAAGCTCTCTGAGCCTCAGTTGTATCATCTGTAACATGAGACAAACATACCCACCTCATAGGGCCTTGGGGAGGATTAAATGAGGTTTCAGGCGGCTTGGCACTTAGTAAAATCCCATCGACAACTCCTTCCCTCCCCCCCACCCCTCCCACCCACCCCATGGCCTCCTTTTGGGAGCAGATGGCCAAAGCCAAGGAGGGGCCGAGAGAGGAGAGAAATGAAGTGACTTGGAAAGAAATCAAGATGAGGAAATTCCTAAGAAAAGCACGGTTCCCACTCAGCCAAAGCTGAGGTCTCTGAGCTCATCCACCCTCTCCCTTCTTGCCTGGGCTGCCCCCACAGTCCCATCTTCTTGTAGTCTAAGCCAGGGTAGAGTCCCCGGAGTGGGGACAGGATGGGGAAGGAGCCATGAGGGAGCATCCCCAGGAAAACTAACTGGCCACGAAGAGCTGCTTTGGGCTTTGGAGTTTCCCTGCCCTGATCACTGCCTCTCCTTCCCTGCTGGCATCGCCTTTTTCAGAGCTGCAGTGTCCTCCCCCTGATGGCCCATCCCCAGCCCCGGGCAGGGCTCTGCTGTCCCTGGGAGTTGCTGCACCTGAACCACCCCCATGTGGGTGGATTCTGCAGAGGGCAGTGGCCACTCGCCACCCCAGCAGTGGGGCAGAGCTCCGAAGCCTCCAGCTCCCGCTCTGCCTTTGCTCAGTCTCCACAGGGGAGTTATCTGACATTCTGAGTCCCATAATCTTCCTCTGACAGAAGGCATGTTACAGGAAAGGGGTCCCGATCCAGACCCCAAGAGAGGGTTCTTGGATCTTGCACAAGAGAGAATTCAGGTTGAGTCTGCAGTGCAAAGGAAAAGCACGTTTATTAAGAAAGTACAGTGGTGAAAGGACAGCTACTCCATAGACAGAGTAGGACATTCCCAAAAGTCAGAGAAGGAAGGAATGCATTCAATGCGTTGTATATATGGGGACATGTGCTCTGCTACAAGGGTTTGTGATAAAGGATTAATTTTCTTAATTACTACATTATCCAAGAATTGATATTATTATTATTATTGAGATAGAGTCTCGCTCTGTTGCCCAGGCTGGAGGGCAGTGGTGGGCTCTTGGCTCACTGCAACCTCCACTTCCCAGTTTCAAGCAATTCTCCTGCCTCAGCCTCCTGAGTAACTGGGATTACAGGCATGTACCACCATGCCCAGCTAATCTTTGTATTTTTAGTAGAGACAGGGTTTCACCATGTTGACCAGGCTGGTCTCGAACTCCTGACCTCAAATGATCCACCCGCCTCGGCCTCCCAAAGTGCTGGGATTACAGGTGTGAGCCACCGTGCCCAGCCAACATTATTATTTTTAAAGCAAAATTAGGAATGCCTTTGCTCTCCAGATATCGGAGTATCTGGACCTTCCCAAGTCTGGGTCTGTGTAGTAAATATTATTAATTTGTTCCCTTAACTGCAAACATCTAGAGGCTAGAAATGCCTGACTTTCTGATAATGCAGCCCAGCAAATCTCGGCCTCATTTTCCTAGCTCTCACCCAAAATGGAGTCACTCTGGTTCAAACGCCTCTGACAGGTGCAGCCACCAAATTCCCAGTGCTGGTGACTAAGGAGATAATAAATCAGAGGGCATTTGCACCATGACAGTTCCTTGCCATAATCATCCCATGTCCCCACCCGCAGAGGTCTTGAAGGAGGAAGGGGTTTTGAAGATTGGGCTGGCCTCTTCTCTGACTGGAGGGCCCGGGGGCAGCCATTCCAGGAGAAGCCTCCCTTCAGCCAGCATCCCCAAGAGCCAGCTGCAAAGGGTGGAGCCCCCTGTAACTCGCCTCACAGCCTCCCTGGGGCCCATCTGGTCCAGGCTTAGCTTTTCTTAGGAATTTGGTCTTCCCTGGCTCTGGCCGCAGCTCCTAGGTTTGTAGTGGTGACCTGTGATCCACTGTCTTAATCATGGAGACTTTTGACCTGCTTGGCTGAACGCACTTGTAACTACCTTCTTCAGGAAGCAGCAGCCAGGAAAACATAATGGTGGTGAGGTCAAGGCCAGGGGTCAGGTCCATGTCGGTGGATGAGGGTGGGGTGCTGGTGGCAGGAGCACCCACCACTCAGGTTCCTGTCTTCGTTGAATGAGAGGGCCACCCTTGCAGGTAAGTACCAGCCCACTGACTCAGGCCACTCCCAAGAGGGCTTGGGAAGGAGAGGGGCTACCTACCCAGAGGTCTCGGTGTCCAGCGCCACATCCTACCTAGTCCATCCACCCTGACCAGAGGTTAGAGACCGAAAGTCAGTCGCCTGTCACCCAGCTACTGCCCCCCACACTGACTGACCTGCCACCCCTCCCCCTTATTTCAAGATGGCTGAAGAAGCCTCTCTAATGGACCTTGCTCACCCCACCTCCCCCTCTGAGGGACAGGGGATAATCCTGAAAAACAGCTCAGCACAACCCAAGTGTTTCCTGGGCAAAGTCTCAGTCGCTCCCGGCCAGGGGTCTGGGGCTCTGAAGGGGACCAAATATCCTCACCCGGCCTCTTGTCTCAATGGACAGAGATGCTCTGGGGGTCGCCATATGCAACCTGGTCCCTTCTCAGCTTGAGTCCTCCATAAGATGAATGGAAGGCAGGTCCCAGTCAGAAAGCCTTGGCACTAAAGGGGATAGCAGCTTGTGTGAGGGGTGAGCTGAGACACATTCCTGACACTGGCCCCAGGCTTGGGGGAGAGCCCCATAAACTTGGTATATGACACACCAGCCACGTGCCACACAGGCACCGCACTAATCACTTAAACCCATTATCTTATTCAAACGCTTAAAACCCCTGAAGTCAGAATGACAACACCTGTTTTGCAAATGGGACAGGAAGTGACTTACCCAAGACCACACAGCTACAAAGCACCAGAACTGCAAAGCATTTCTCTTTCTACTTTCTAGCTGCTTAGTAGGTTTCCAATGTCCAACCCTACAAATAAAAGTTTCCACATTCTGCTTTTTCTCTTTCTTCTCCCAGGGGCCCGGTGGAGAGGCTGCAAGGTGCCCCTCGACCCTCTAAGACAGCTCAGCCAGTCCCTGCTGCAAAGGGCACACGCTGGCTCCTCTCTGTGCAGAGGACACCTTCACCCCTCACTCCGCCGCTTTGAGGATGGAGCACCTAACTTGGGAGAGGAGGTTTCAGCCTGCGTGGACCCCAAGAACCATCCGAGGGGTGGTTGGGCTGAGAACTGGCAGAGGGGGTCTTCCGGTGATGGGGTCTGGGGTTGCAAAGAAGGTGCCTCCAGGATCGGATCCCTGTGCCCAGCCGCTTGAAGCGCCTTTAGCTTCTTATCAAATATTAACATGCCTTTCCTGCCACCTCCCACCTAGAGGAATAATTAAGAGCTCGGCTTCACCATTAATCTTTAAACGAAAATCACCCTGTCCGGAAAGACCGGCTCCGCAGAGGCCTTGGGGCTCCGGGTCCCCCACCCCCCGCCCCCGCCAGGCTCCCAATTCAGCGCTGGAGGTTAGGGAGGCCAGGGGAGCTTGCGACCCTCAGGGGCAAGGAACCCGTGTGGGAAGCGCGGCTTCCAGGACCCTGCCAGACCGCCCTTGCTCTGGCCGCGGGGCAGTCACCCAGCGCTGAGTCCCAGCGGGACGGACGGAAACCCACGGGCAGACGGAGGAGGCTGGGTGAGAAAAGAAGGCGTGCGTTGAGGCGGGTCCGAGAAGCATCCTTTTTTTTTTTTTTTTTTTTTTTTTTTTTTTTTTTTAAACGGAGCACCAGGCTGGAGTGCAGTGGCGTGATCTCACTGCAACCTCCACCTCCTGGGTTCAAGCGATTCTCGGGCCTCAGCCTCCCGAGTAGCTGGGATTACAGGCGTGTGCCACCACGTCCGGCTAATGTTTGTATTTTTGGTAGAGATGGGATTTCACCATGTTGGCCATGCTGGTCTCGAACTCCTGGGCTCAGGTGATCCACCCGCCTCTGCCTCCCAACGTGCTGGCATTTCAGGCTGGAGCACCCGCGCCCGGCCTGAGACGCATCCTTATCAGGGACTCCCAACTCGTCTCGCCGGGCCACGCGCACACACCCTCACCGCGCACACCCGTGCACACGCTCCCCCAGCCGGTGCTGACACGCGTGTGCACACACAAGCTCGCGCGCTGCCCAGTCCTCCCGCACCCTCGCGGCCCCCGGCGCACACGCAACCCGGGACCCCAGCGCCACCGACGCTCACCGGTCGCCCGCGGGGGGATCCTCTGCAGGGGCGGGAGCTGGGGGCACGGAGGGGACCGCCGAGGGGCACCTGGGGCCGGAGCCCGGGAGCTCACCTGCACTGGCCGATGGCCGCGCCGCGGAGAGGGCCAGGAGCGCCAGCAGCATCCGCATCTTGCGGGACAGCAAAGAGTCCTCTGAGCCGGGGGTCGCGCACCGAGGAGGCCGCCGCGGGTGCAGCGATCCTGCCGGCCTGGGTTTTATAGCGGAGCCGCGACGGGAGGGAGCCCCGACAGCTGGACGCGGGAGGCGGCTCCTCCCCCTGGCGGGGCCTGCCCTCCCCTCTCCACCTTCCCCTGTCCCTCATCTGAAATCCTCCGCTCTCCCCGGTCCCCCGCCCTGCCTGGCCACCTCTTGCCCTGTGCGCAAGGCCCCCTCACCCACTCCGCGTCCTCTCCACTCAGCAGCGGCGCCCTGCCCCTCCCCCATCCTACTCCTGGTCCCTGGTTTGGGAACAGGGACACGACACCACAAAGTGCTTGACCCACACAAAGATGAGTGCCCCATGATGACTTTGATCATTCTGGCGCCACCCCTGCGCAGTGGTCTTGAATGGGACCTTGGAATGGCCTTGGGGTGGGGGTGGGGGTGGGGGTGGAGATGGCCTCGAAGAGATGAGAGGCTGAGGGGCGTGTGATGCCGTTTGTTGAATCAGTGGCCGCAGAAAGGCTCTCCTATCTCTCTTTGGCAGTGGCCATTGATTCTCTGGGTCTCATCTCTTCTATTTCCTCCCAGGCTGCTCCAAACTTAATTTCTAAGCAGACCAAAGACCTTTCTTCGAATACAGAGCAAAGCTGTCCCTAAACTACTGCCCTTGCTGGTGTTTATGTGATGACCAGGGAGGGTTGATGGGGCAGAATTAAGAAATGGATTGTAAGAGGATTCGGTGAGGGAGAAGCTGATGGGGTCAAAGGGGAGGAGCTAGGTTCTTTGAGCCCCCCAGGTGGAGAGATGAGATGGGAAGAGAAGAGACTGGGGTCTGAATGGACCCCTGGTTCTCCCATCTGGCAAGACCTCCAGAGGAGTCCAGGGGAAGTTCCCTTAAGGGCGGCTCCAACATTTGGGGAAATGGGGTCCCCCCCATGCCCCCAAGCTGCCTCTTGTCTCCTCTCTTAGCTGTGCCCTCCTGCTACTGCAGGTCCTCTGTGTCCCACATGGGGTGGGGGCTTCTGTGGGAGTTTGGGAAGCTCAGGCTGGGGTGCGGGAGAGGGACGGGGAACCAGGCAGTGGACCTGGACCTCCTCCATCAATCCATCAACAGGAAGCCCCCTTTTTCTGGTTTAGCCACTCCCCATCCGCTGCCAACCTCTCAGTCCCTACCGACCTTCGAACCTGGGCTAGGGACTTCTGAAGGGGGATTGCCTCCCCCAGAAGGATTCAGGCAAAGATGCTTCCTCCTTGCTTAGGGTTGAGGCTGACTCCCCGCTCCTGGCCCAGGATCACACAGCCTCACAGAGCAGCTTTGATCCTACAGAGAGGCAGGAGGGAGGTGAGGGGGTGTCCATGCCAGGCTTAGGGCTCTATTGTCAACACCACTGTATAATGTAATCACCAGCCTGCGACCATGACAGCCACAGGAGGGATTCCACACCCAGAGCCTATTCTGGGGAGTGCATTTGTGTTCACAGGGCTATAAAAATGTCCCTTTCAGGACTGAGGAAGCCTGTTCCTGGGAATAAAAACCACCCCCAGGGAGTCCCTGTGACCTCTGGCCAGCCCCCTGATGAGCAGGGGAGAGGCTTGGGAAACTTTGGTGGGGTTAAGGGACTGTTGATCAATGATCCACTTTAAAGTTCATTGCATTCAGGCCCCCCAGGAGAGAGGGGGGCCCTGGGTGCATTTTGGGACCATAAAGATGGGTGAGGAGAACGAGTCCCTGGTAGGGCATCCCCTCTGAGGAATGCGGGAGGGGTAAAGCTATACACTCTCTTATGGGTGCATCTTAATTATGGGCACCACAGAGCCTGCACATTGGCGATGGGGTGGTGGACTGGTTCCTGCTCCATCTGCCATCTCTAACTTCAAGGTTACACAGGGTGAGTGGCCCTCTCTTCCTGTTCCTGGTCTTAACATTCTCAGCCTTATCTCCAGCCCTGACCCCAGTCCTGGCCTGCCATAAACCAGTCACCTGTCACTATTTAGACTACCTGGGGCCCTGCTTACCTGTAGGGGACAAGGCCTGATTTAGGGTCGTTAGAGCTGGAATGAGTGCTGACATGTCCCAGCGACTTACAGGGCCCATAAAGCTGCCAGCCCAGGCCACCTGAGTGGGAGAGCCCAGCCCAGCAGCCCCAGCCTCCTTCCTCTTACTCTGCAGAGGCCCCCAGTGTTCTGAGTTCAAGTCTTTGCTCTTCTTCTGACTCACGGATGACCTTGGGCAACTTTCCTGCACCCGGCTGATTGCAACTTCCTCATCTATAAACTGGAGATGGTAATCCCTGCCCGGCTGACCTCCACCAATAAACAGTTATTTGGAGTCTGCTGTGAACCAGGGCCTGCCCAGCCCAGACTCTCACAACCGGCCTCTCAGTGCCTGGGTGTAGCCACTGGCCCATGGCGGATGCAAAGATTAATCACACTCTTGTCCTCTGGGGATGTTTGCACGCATGGCCCTGTCAGGAACAGAAGGGAGGCCATGGGAAAGCTAAGGGGCTTTGAGACACATAACCCTGGAGTCACTTCTGGCTCCATCCACTTGCTCTGTGATGGCAGCTGAGCCTCAGTTTTCCTCATCTATGAAATGGAAATCATCCCCCAATCTCTCTCAAAGATTGCCCTGAGGCCTCAGTGAGCTAAAGTCTGAGGAGGCTGGGCCCACGGCTTGGCACATTGGCACATGTGGCCATGACCTCTAAGCAGAGTCCCCTTAGCTGGATTAAATCTGACCCTAGGCAGGTGTGGAGGCAGCATTGGGTGGGATGGAACATTGAGTTAGCACTGGAGAGGGGCCCTGGCACATCCAGGCTCTTCCTGGGCTCCCAAGGGCAAGGAGGAGAGCCCTGACTGTAAACCTGGGAACATGAGGTTCAGATGCAGCTCCCGCTGGAACTGTGAGAGCCATGGAGTGGAGGCACAAAGGGAGCTGAGACCCTGCACCCCTGGGTTCACAGCTCAGGGGAAGGTCAAATACATTGCCCTAAACAGAAACCTATCATACCTTATGCTCAGCGTCGCAGGAGGGCAGAGAGAATATCAGGCAGAGGGTCAGAATAGGAGTAGGAGCCACACTGCCCGGGGTCTACATCCCAGACCCGACACTCAGCTTTCACCCCCGTCAGGCTCAGTGTCCTGATCAGGAAAATCACCAGCCTTCGACCATGATTTTAAAAAAAAACCAAAATAACAAAAAACACAGCAGAAATAAAAACAGCAGCTGCCGGGCACAGTGGCTCATGCCTGTAATCTCAACACTTTGGGAGGCCGAGGTGGGCAGATCACTTGAGGTCAGGAGTTCGAGACCAGCCTGGCCAAGATGGAGAAACCCCCGTCTCACTAAAAACACAAAAATTAGCCAGGTGTGGTGGCGGGTGCCTGTAATCCCAGCTACATGGGAAGTGGAGGCAGGAGAATCACTTGAACCCAGGAGGCAGAGGTTGTAGTGAGCTGAGATTGTGTCACTGCACTCCAGCCTGGGCAATAGAGCAAGACTCTATCTCAAAAAGAAAAAAAAAAAAAGAAAAAAAGAAAACCAGCAATACCTTCACAAGAGCGTGGTTAAAATTCCACAAGGTAATGCTGGGTGAAGGGCCTGTCTGGACACTTACTGAGTGCTCAGTAAACCTCAGCTGTAATTCTTAGTTGTTAAGGCCACAGTGGCCTTATGCCCAGAACAGCACAGGAGCCCAGAGGAGCAGCCCCTAACCCAGCCTGTAGGAAAGAGACTGGGGAAGCCTCCCTCAAGAGATCAGACCCGCACTGAGTCTTCAAAGAAAAGTAGACTTTAACTTAAAAAGGGAAGGGAGATGCAGGTGAAGGAAACAGAATGAGAAAAGGCATGGAGGTGAGGCTGGAGAGGGGTTTGGGACCAGACAGGGCTTGTCTGTTAGGATTGGAAGGTTGGACTGATCTTTCCTTTGGTGCGGGATAGATATCAAGATCTTAATTTTATAGACTGGGGAACATTCTCAGAGAGGGTCACTCGACCCCAGAAGCAGGTAGGGATCCTCTGTTACTTCTATGAGTTACAGAAGAGGAAGCTGCGGCTCAGAGAGGGCAGTGGTTTGCCCAAATTCACAGCAAGGAGAGAGGAGTACAGGTGGGATTAGAACTTTGGTCTCCTGCTCCACTTCCCAGTGCTCTTTCTGTGCCATCTCACCTCCTCCCAACACCACATACTTCCCTCCCGCTGGGAGTCCCAGCCTCCATCTGCCCTGGCTTTCCTCACCCGCAGATTCTCCGCTGACTCGCAGATTATTCAGGGAAAGGTTTGCAGAGATTCCAGCTTTTGTGTTCCCAGAGAGTGAGATTAAATCCACACAAAAGAAGGGTTAGTCAATAGCCTGGGCTCCACCTCTCCCCAGCCTGGATCTCTGCTGTATTCCAGCAAAGACGAAAAAACTCCTTTCCTGCCAGCACCTGTGGAGGCTGCGTGCCCTCTTCCCACCCTCTATGCCTGCCCTATTTCTCTGGACTGTGCAGAGAATCTGGGGGAGGGGAGGGAGGGGAGGGAGGGGGCCGGCAGAGAGAGCTGGAGACTGTCACTAGGGAAGGACAGGAGCCTTTTTGGTACAGGAGTTGGCAGAAACTTCTGGCCCCGAACATTTTGAAATAACAATAGCAGTAATACGTGTGGAAAAACCCAGTGATAGAGGTGACATATGTTCTGTTCCTCTCCTGCAGAAAACTCAGGAATACTCCCCCGTGGTCGTCCCCTCCCCTCTCAGCATCTTGGCCACAACAGCCCAGGCTCACACCAGCAGGACACTGGGATCAGAGCGAGGTCAGATTTTGCAAGTGTGTTCATTTACATTCTGGTTTTGTGGTGGAGGGATCCCCTAAAGAGGGTGATGAGGGGGAATTGGGTTGGGGAGAAGAAGAGCCACACGAGCAACTTTGGTGGGGAAAGGAATGGTCCTTCCTTAATTAACATTGTGACAACATTAAGAAAACAGGCTCGCGGGTGGCTTGGCGGTGGCTCGCACCTGTAATCCCAGCAATTTGAGGGGCCAAGCCTGGCAGGTTGCTTGAGCCCAGAAGTTCGAATCCAGCCTAGGCAAGATGGTGAAATCGGTCTCTACAGAAAATACAAAAATGAGCTGGGCATGGTGGCACATGCCTGTAGTCCCAGCCACCTGGGGGGCTGAGGCTGGAGAATCACTTGAGCTCAGGAGGTGGAGGCTGCAGTGAGCCAAGATCACACCACTGCACTCCAGCCTGGGGCCTGGGTGATAGAGTGAGACTCTGCCTCAAAAAAAAGAGAGAGAGCGAGAGAAAGAAGAAAAAGAAAAGAAAAGGAAAGAAAAAAGAGACTTGGCCAGGCACAATGGCTCACACCTGTAATCCCAGCCCTTTGAGAGGCTGAGGCAGGAAGGTCACTTGAGCCCAGGTGTTTGAAAACAGCCTGGGCAGCATAGAGAGACCCTGTCTCTACAAAAAATAAAAAATTAGGGGAGTATGGTGGTGCACGTCTATAGTCCCAGCTACTCAGGAGGCTGAGGTAGGAGAATCCCTGGAGTCTGGGAGATCGAGATGGAGGCTGCAGTGGGCTATGAGCATGCCACTGTACTCCAGCCTGGGCAACAGTGCAACAGTGTGAGACCCTGTCTGTAAAAAGAAAGAAAGAAAGAGAGAGACAGAGAGAGAGAGAGGAAAGAAAGAAAAAAAGAGAGAGGAAAGAAAGAGAGAGAGAGACAGAGAGAGAGAGGAAAGAAAGAAAAAAGAGAGAGGAAAGAAAGAGACAGAAAGAAGGAGAGAAAGAAAGAAAAGAAAGAAAGAAAGAAAGAAAGAAAAGAAAGAAAGAAAGAAAGAAAGAAAGAAAGAAAGAAAGAGGAAGAAGGAAAGGACTAGCAGGGGTGGGGGCTCACACCTGTAATCCCAGCACTTTGGGAGGTGGAGGCAGGTGGATCATCTGAGGTCAGGAGTTTGAGACTAGCCTGACCAACATGGTGAAATCCCATCTCTATTAAAAATACAAAACTTAGCCAGGTGTGGTGGCAGCGCATGCTTCTAGTCCCAGTTATTCAGGAGGCTGAGTCAGGAGAATCGCTTGAACCCGGGAGGCAGAGGTTGCAGTGAGCCAAGATCATGCCACTGCACTCCGGCCTGGGTGACAGGGCAAGACTCTGTCTCAAAAAGAAAAGAAAAAAAAAAAAGAAAAAAAGGAAGGAAGGAAGGCAAGCAGAAAGGAAGGAAGGAAGCAAGCAAGCTCTTTCAGGGGTGTGTGTGTGTGTGTGAACTTCTTTTTCCTGATTACCCAAATAACACTTGCTCATTGTAGAACATTTGGAAAGGAGAAAAAGAAACATTATTCATAACCTTATTTCCCAGAGGCAATCATTTTACAAATTTGATGTATTTTTAAGAAAAAACACCTCACCTCAATCCGTGTTTAATTTTTCTGTGTCCCCTGCAGCCTTTATCTATATGCAAGCGCGCTATTGACATAGTGAACAATGGAGGGTCCTGCTTTTTAATGTCCACATTTCAGTGTAAACCTGAGTCCGTGTTACTGGGCAGCCTTTGCAACTTTCATTTTGTGGCTCCACAGTACACCCAGGTTGTATCATCAGCTCACTCCCCATTATAAAGAACATTGCAGCAAACGCCTTCCCGCTAGATGGACAGGGCCGCTGGATGGGCAGGGAACCTGGGAGTCTCAGCTCCTCTACCCAGCTCCCTACTGAGGGGAGCTGCCCTAACTAAGTTCATGAAAATAGTTGAGGAGTGCGGTGGGGGCTGGTGAAGGTCCCTTGGCGGCCAGTGGGAGAATCAGAGCCTGGAGTCCTCACTCTGACCTCTGATGTGCCTGTGAGATGGGAAATATGTGTGAGGTTGGGGGTGAGGTGGTTCTGAATAGATTTGCAGCGTGTGAGAAAAAAATGTGCTTGTGGGCGACTCCTCCCTGAGTGCCCTTGCACCACATTGGCGCCCTCTGCTGTCCCTGCTCGTCTAATACTTTGGAAGTTCTTTCTGTGTAACTGTAGACCAGTCTGTCCTTCCTGTCTCCTTTCCATTTAGGGGAAGAGTATCATTTAACAGCAATGAAATAGCATTCAGAGAATTGAAAAAAAACTCTTTAGGTCCACCCCAAACCCAGTACCCAGAACTTTAGCCTCCTTCAGGAGACTTCCCTATTGGAACTACTCTCTCTCTCTCTTAGATATTGAGTTGGGGGTTGGGGGGATGGGGACTGAGACAAGCAGTTGAGAATAAGGCAGCAGTTTCCCTGAAGACCCTGTCCTAGCCACTCCCTTCTCCAGGTGTGGCCCTGGGGAGGGATGGCTGTATTACAGCCCCAGAAAGAAGCCAAGCATTTGGCAGCTCAGCTCACCTCCTGCATCTGATAAGGGTGACACATGGGTACACGTGGGGTGGTTAGATGGGTCTTCCCTGCCCCTCCGTTTATTATGCAAATGGGGAAGTGGGGAATGGCTTTTTCCTAGCAAGTAACTCCGAGATTTCCGAAGTTTAATGAGCCTTGTGTGGTAAAGGATTAGGGGCAGGCCTGGCTTCATGGGGCAGGGGCTTGCATAGTTGCAGAGCAGCTGCACTTAGAAGAGCTTCACATTTTCTTTTTTCTTTTCTTTTTCTTTCTTTTTTTCCTTTCTTTTCTTGAGACAGAGTCTCAATCTGTTGCCCAGGCTGGAATGCAGTGACGTGATTTTGGCTCACTGCAAACTCCACCTCCCTGGCTCAAGTGCTCCTCCTACCTCAGCCTCCCTGGGATTACAGGCACAAGCCACCACGCCCAGCTAATTTTTTTTTTTTTTTTTTTTTTTTTTTGAGACAGAGTGTCTCTCTGCCGTCCAGGCTGGAGTGCAGTGGTGCGATCTCAGCTCACTGCAAGCTCTGCCTCCCGGGTTCACGCCATTCTCCTGCCTCAGCCTCCAAAGTAGCCTGGACTACAGATGCCCGCCACCATGTCGGGCTAATTTTTTTGTATTTTTAGTAAAGACGGGGTTTCACCATGTTGGCCAGGCTGGTCTCTAACTCCTGAGCTCAGCTGATCCACCCGCCTCGGCCTCCCAAAGAGCTAGGATTACAGGCATGAGCCACCTCACCCTGCCCACATTTTTATTTTGTAGCTTATACTGGAGGCTGGGGTTTAGGGGAGCGGTGTCTGTCTTCTGGTTGTATCTCCACCCAGCCAGGGCGGGCGGCAAGGGTGTTGAGATTCTAAAAGCCGTGAGGGAAAGCTCCCCAGGGCCCAACCTCCCCATACAATTCACAGGACAAGTCTGGAGTGAGCGAGGACTATGTCCATAAAAGGAAGGAAAAGACAAGACAATGTTGCCCAATGAGTCAAGCGTGATCGTCGCACAAAGAAGCAGGGCGCTGTTCCCCAGAGCAGGGCCAGTTCAGAGAAGAGGTCGGGAGCAGCTGGACGATAGAGAACAGTCCTCCTACCAGCAGCCCTAGGGCCCTCGGCTGGCGCAGGTTCTGCTTTCTCGCGGGAAACGCTCCCCTACATATGCTCGCTCACAGCCCACCGCCCCGCGCCGCTGCAGCTTCTGTGCCCCGGAAAGCCTCTCCAGCAGCCTGGCAGTGCTCGAGGTGAGCACAGCGTTTCGGCCTCCCGAGCCTGCCTACTCCTCGTGGCGATGTCTGACAGCTAGGTCAGCGGCGCGACGTCCATGGGGGCCCTGCGCGCTGAGCGCGACGTCCAGCCCGAGCGCGGTCCCTAAGCGGGCCAGCCTTGGCCTGGGGCGCCGTCTGAATTGGGCGCTGGCTGCACACTCAGCTGGCCTGGAATGCCCTGGACGGCACCTGCCTGCTTGACTTCTGCCTCTACCATCTGGTCTGGCATTTCGCCCCAGGCTGATGATAAGAAGGTGCCAGGAGGCCCTGGGACACCGCGCAGGAGCACGGCGGGAGCCATACTGGGGCATAGCCCTGGACTGCCTCTCTGAACTGGCCTGCTCTGGGGAAGAGTGCCCTGCTTCTTTGTGCTACGATCATGCTTGACTCACTGGGCAATATTGTCTTGTCTTTCCTTTCTCTTTCTTTTTATGGATATAGTAGCCCTCATTCACTCTAGACCTGTCCTATGAATTGTATGGGGAGGCTGGGCCCTGGGAAGCTTTCCCTCGGCTTTTAGAATCTCAACCCCCTTGTGGTCATCCAAGCTTTCCAAAAAGGAAAGACATTTCTTTTCTTTTTGTTTTTCTTTCTTTTCTTTTTTTTTGACATGGTCTTGCTCTGTTGCCCAGACTGGAGTGCAGTGGTGTGATCATAGCTCACTGAAACTTTCTGGGCTCAGGTGATCCTCCCACCTCAGCCTCCCAAGTAGCTGGGACTACAGGTGCAGTGCCATCACTCCCGACTCATTTTTATGTTTTTTGTGGAGACGGGGCTTCACTATGTTGCCCAGGCTGGTCTCGAGCTCCTCGGCTCGAGCGATCCGCCCGCCCCGGCCTTCCAAAGCGCTGGGATTACAGGCATGAGCCACTGTGCCTGCCCAAGCTTGTGATTTTATATGCTCAGGAGCAAAAATCTGGTCCCGAAGTGGCTGTACCCAGTGTCAAAGAAGGGCATATTCACTTTGTGAAAGATGTGCGGGAGGAATTCCAGGGGTTTTTCTCTCCTGCTTCGCAGGTAGTAGCGTTGGCACAGCTTGGATGGCCACACCGCGGTTGAGATTCTAAAAACCGAGGGAAACCTTCCCGGGGCCCAGACAATTACAGGACAGGTCTGGAGTGAGCGAGGACTATCTCCATAATAAGTGAATTCCTGCCAGTGCCGGGACAGAGCATGGGGTTCGAGCTTCGCCCACCTGTCCCGCACTGCCTGGGACTGAACAAGGCATGGACCTTCGCTGAGCCTCTCAGGCAAGCTCCGACCTCCCCGGTGCTTCCGGGTGAAACCCGCGGTGGTCTAAACAGTTGAGGCAGGCGACGATCCATGAGGGTTGTTGGACCAGTGCGGACGCGTCTTGGAGTTCGGGTCGAATCCTGAGTGGAGGCTGTAGCGCGGACGCGGCTTCCGGTAGGTGGCGGAGGGGCGTGGGGCACTTCAGCACCACGGGGTGGACAGCACCCTGGAAGCAGCTGCGGAAGCCTGCAGCCGAGGTCGCAGCCAGGCTCCCCAGACCCCCGCCTGGTTCCGCGGTCTTTACCCTGGAAGTAGAGGCGGAGGGACAGCCCCAGCGGGACCGAGCTTCGAGACCCGGACCTCACGGCCCACAAGCTGTGCGGAGTTTGGGCCTGCGCTCGGGGGATCTTGTCGAGTTGGGGTCAGGGATGAGGAGGAGGGGGCCGCGGGCGAAGGCTGGCGATTCATCCAGCAGCGCTCAGCAGAAGACCAAACCTTGGTCGCGCCCCTGGAGCCCTCTTTTCCTTGGAATTCCAGTGTAGACACCGTCGCGGGTGCTGGTTGCAAGGGACCCTCAGGTCCCCGCTGGCCCAGACTTGCAGCCTCGTCTAAAACCTCCCGCCCCAGGTTAAAAGGCAAAATAACGGCACCTGGAGGGGCAATGGAGCGCGGACGGGCTGTTCGAGGGCAGCGGGGCAGAACGGTCCCGCTGCGCAGCGCTATGACCGGGACGGAAGCCATGGACCGTTTCTGGGAAGCAGGTAAATGGAATTAAGTAGATTTAAGATTCCAAGGCGTTTTACACGCGGTCCCTTCTGAGCCTCTCAGCAGCCGAGGAAGGTAGGCCCAAGCATCAGCTGTCATCCACGAAGGCTCTCAGAGGGCGGCCGACGCCTCCACGTCACACAGCCGAGGGTCTCTGAAGCCGGGACTCGAATCCAGGGTTCTGCACACCAGATCTGCTGCTAGTCCTCGGCACCTGCTGCCTCGCGGGAGCCCAGTCGCCTGCAGGACAGGGAGTCCCTGCAGCTGCCCCGTTCGCTGTGCCTCCGGGGTCAGTCGTGGGCGCCCCAGTCCAAGCGCGGCCTCGGAACCGAATGGACAAAGACGACGGGGGCTGGAGACGCGTAGGGATGGCTGCGGCAATTACGGCCCTAGGAGGGGGAGCGCACCGCGCATGGGGACCGTGGACAGGCGGGGCCCCCTGATCCAGTCGGAATGAGGCGCGGGGCTCCCGGTTAGCGACTTGCCTATACACAACGCCCCATCTCCTGAGTTCGCTTTCAAGGCCCACCCACTGTTCCACTCATTCAGCGCTGGGCCATTCCACAGGCAGTTCCCCCGAGCCGGCCAGGTTCCACCTTCTGGCTGTTTCAGCTTCCTGAATTTCTTATCCCACCTGCCCGCAACAGCCTTCTGGACCAGCCTGGCGGGACACAAGGCGAGCCCCTGGTACTTAGGAATGTCCACTAGTCAGGGTCTGCACAGTTGCTGCAGCCAGCCAAACACTTTGTTGGGGACGAAGGAGAGGGATCTCTGGTGACTGGGGAGAGCCCAGGTCCAGCTTTTGGGGGCTAGGGAGCTACACTGTGGAGGGAGCCACACCCTGTCCTCTGGGTGACCAGTGAGGACTATACTCACTGTGCACCAACAATGTCAGATATTTCTTTCCTGGACGCCCAGGAAGTTCTCCTCAGACCAGAACTTAGTCCCCGCTTTCCAGCAGCTGCTCAAAATATATAGTCTCTTGGCCAGGCACGGTGGCTCATGTCTGTAATACCAGCATTTTTGGGAGGACAAGGCAGGAGGATGGCTTGGCCAGGAGTTCCAGACCAGCCTGAGCAAGACAGTGAGACCTTATCTCTACAGAAAAAAAAAAAAAAAAAAAAAAGCTAGGCCTGGTGGTGCATGCCTGTAGTCCTAGCTACTCAAGAAGCTGAGATAGGAGGATCATTTGAGCCCAGGGGTTTGCAGCTGTAGTGAGCTGTGTTCATGCCACTGTACTCCAGCCTGGGTGACAGAGGAAGACCCTGTCTCTATAAAAAATTATATATAATATTATATATTACATATAATCTTAGCAGGAGGGGTGGCTGAAAGCAGGCCTGGGTAGGTTTTGTAAAGAATGAGTTCACTGGACTCCTCTGCAAAACTCTACCTGTGGAACCCAGAGCCAAGGCCTTGCCACTCCCTCCCCACTGGGTAAGGCACAAGTGGCAAGTGGGCCAAGGATAAGTGGTAGGGGGACACGAGGGTGTCCAGCCTGTTAAAATGGTCACTGCAGATGTCATGCTGGCCTGGGAGCAGTAGAGCTTGGAAAACATCTGCTGCTGCCTGCCTGCCCTGATGGTCCCAGAGATAGGGTGAGGAGTAAATGATTCAGGGCAGGACCCCACAGCTGATCAGCTGATGGCTTGGTTGGGCACAGCAGATTCAATTTTTGCCTTTTTTTTTAAAATATACAGAGTCTTGCTCTGTTGCCCAGGATAGACTGCAGTGGTATGATCTCAGCTCACTGCAACCTCCACCTCCCGGGTTCAAGCAATTCTGTGCTTCAGCCTCCCGAGTAGCTGGGACTACAGGCTCGCACCACACGCCTGGCTAATTTTTTGTATTTTTAGTACAGATGGGGTTTTGCCATGTTGGCCAGGCTCGTCTCGAACTCCTGGCTTCACGTGATCCGCCTGCCTCGGCCTCCCAAAGTGCTGGGATTACAGGTGTGAGCCACCACGCCCAGTCTAGCAGATTCAATTTTTAACAATCTTCCTTCTCTGTCCCACCTTGGAGCCCTCCTGATTTTGTCTGTTTATCTGGTAGGGCCTGCTGTGCTCCTTGCGGATGTGACCAAAGCTCTGAAGCACAGGGTCCCCGCCTGATCTTCCCTTGCCTCTCAAATGTGGCACCCTCCTTCAGCTTGTATATCTGGGCTTCATGTTCTGAGGCAGGAAACTGGATATTGCTGAGGTACAGCCACTCAGCTGGGACCACAGAAGGCAGAAGAGGAGAGTTAGAAACAGGAGAGGACATAAAGTGGGCACCTTCTCATCAAGGACTGGCGCCTAGCCTGGGAGGCCTCCTTCCTGCTGAATATAATCACAATAACACAATAATAACAGTAGCTCCCAATTCTTGCCCATTTACTATATGTCTCTGCCAGGCATGCTGCAAGTGAGTTATATCCATCATTTCATTTAATCCTTTCAGCAATCTGTGAGGTATGTGCTGTGATGATGTTCATTTATACACATGGTGCTGGTAGAAGTTAAATTACCCAGACCACACTGCCAGAAACAGCTAGGATTCCGGCACAGGCCTTCTGACTTCAGATGCCTCTCAGATGCTTTCCTGGCCTTGCAGGGGTTTTTCTCTGTGGTGCTTCAATGCCCCATGGAGCACGACCTCTCTGATGACCTCAAGACAAAACTCTGCAAAAGAACCCCAGCAGGGTATCAGGCTGGAGGAGTGTGTGTCGGGGGGGGGGGGGGGGCGGGTGTGCATGTGTAGAGGGTGATTAGGTGCATTCTGGATAAATCAGAGTGCCAAGAGGGACTCCCCCAAACTTCCAAGGTCCTTTCAGGGTTGGACAGCCAGGAGAAGGTGGCTTCCTCAAGAAAAGAGGTACTGCTGGAGCCTGTCCGCCCTGGCTCCTTTCAGATCTGTGGGTAAAAGGCAGCCAGTGGCTGAGCTGGGAGTTCAAGAGGAGCACAGGAGCATGCAGGCCTACAAGTCTGTCTCCTTCCTGTCTGCTGATGAGAGCAGCTTGATGAGAGTACAGCTCCTCCCTGGGGATCTCAGAGTCTGATGGAAGTGACATAGTTTATAACTAGGGGCACAAGGACCATGCCTGTTTCTCATAGGGGACCCAGCACCAGGGCAGTGCCAGATACACAACGGGAGCACAATACATATTTGTGGATGGACAATGCTCATTTTTATTTTTCTTATGCCTCAGTTTCCCCGGCGATGGTGTCCTGGACTGAAGAGACTGACTGGAGTGCATGTTACTGCCGACAAAGTTTCAGAACACCGGCCAGCGCAAGACCACCGACATCAGACTGAGATACAACGGCAGCGATCCTGGATTTGCAGGGCCAGGATAAACAAGGGACTGTAGAGACCATTTTGTCCCATTCATTAATTTTTAGGCAGAACACAGATCTAGAGAGAATAGATGACTTGCCCCAAGCTACCCCGCGAAGGAGGAGGAGGGCCACGGATAAATAGTGTGCTTCGAGAATCTTAACTCTTCGGGGTCAACCTCTCCTTCTACGCCAAGGAAACAGGATCTTCCTGCAACCCCCCGAGACAACCACCGAACAGTCACCCAACTTAGCACTAGGGCCCAGACGTTCCGTCGATCGAATGTACCACGCTCGATTTCTAGGTCTTTAGCACAACGCAGGATAAGTCGATTGGTCGTCCCTGCCGGTCGCTGCTGAGCGCTGATTGGCTCCGGCTTGGGAAGCGGCAGAAAAGGCCGGCGTGTGGGGCGGGCCTGGGGAAGGGACTCCCGCGGCCCTAAGGTGCTGGCGGGCGTTTGGCGTTGCAGCTGTGTGGGCGCTGGTGCGTGCGAGTAGCGCTCGAAGAAACCCAAAGGCGTCGTGGGGCTGCCGTGTGCCCCAGAGAGCACTGCAGGCCGGGTAGGGGCTAAGGCTCCCCGCAGTCTTCTGTGTGTCGTCCAGTACGCAGTTGAAATCGTTCTCCAACCTGGCCAGTCCTCCGAGGCCCTTCTCAGGCGACCAGACTCTGTTAACAGAGTCCATTGCTAAAACTCCTCGTTAGTATTTACCACTCCTCCAGTCTGTGTTTTGAAGCAGTGGTTTTCAACCACTGCCCGTTTTCAGAAGAAATCATCTCAAGCGTCCGTGTGCTGCTAGAAGCCGGGCCGGGAGGTCTTGGTGCCGGACTCCACCCTGCAGCCCTTCCCTTTCGCCACCGCCCTGTGCTTAGAGAAACCTTAGAGTGGAGCAATGAGTCGCCCTTGACTGAGTAACTCTTCGGGGTCAACTTCTCCTTCCACGCCAAGGAAAGGATTCCAGGGCGATGTTTCTGGAAATAGAGATCTGACCAAGCCACTGCTCTGGTGAAAATTCAGTGGGTCCCTAGCACCTAGTGCAGCGGCTCCTAGCCTGAGTATTGCCGTCTTTCGGTGGGGAGGGGTTGGGTTTTTTTGTAGCATCTGTTGATCTGATCTCCAACATCCTCCACGTCAATTCCCACTCCACCCACATCCCTTATCCTATACGTAAGCTTTCCAGCCACGGTGCTGGCTTGGGTGGGGGTGCGTGCGGTGCTGACACCAAAATGGAGGTCCCGTGTTTCTGAGAGTCTCTTTCAGAGCAATGCAAACCTGAAACTACTCCTGCCAAGAAACGATTGCAGCTCTTCCCGGAAAAGTTAAAGCCTTTGAGAAACAAAGCTGAGGTGGGTAACTTAATTAAAAAAATACAGAGAGGAGTTTCAAGTAGACTAAGTGGGAAGAAAAGGAAAGAGTCTTGGGTGGGGCAGGGATTCAGGGCACCAGCTTCCTTATCGCTGAGCCTGGGGGGTGGGGGAGGAGGGGGCATGTGTTGTCACGGGAGGCATTGATAGAGCAACCTCCTTCAGGGAAAGAAAAATGGAGATAGGAAGCAGAGTGAGGAAAGGCCACAGTGGAGTCTGAGGGCTTCGGGGTGGACTTCTGGCAGGAGCCTTCTCCAGCCATGGCTTTAGGGCTGATATGGTTAGGTGCTTTGTGTCCCCACCCAAGTCTCATCTTAAATTGTAATCCCCATAATCCCCACGTGTCAAAGGAGAGACCTGGTGGAGGTAATTGAATCGTAGGGGTGGTTTCCACCATGCCGTTCTCATGATAGTGTGTGAGTTCTCAGGAAATCAGATGGTTTTATAAGGGGCTCTTCCCCCATCACTCCACACTTCTTTCTGCTGCTTTGTGAAAGAGGTGCCTTGCTTCCACTTCTGCCGTGATTGTAAGTTTCCTGAGACCTCCCTAGTCATGCAGAATTGTGAGTTAATTAAACCTCTTTCCTTTCTAACTTACCCAGTCTTGGGTAGTTTTTTGGTTTTGTTTTGTTTTGAGATGGAGTCTCACTCTGTCACCTAGGCTGGAGTGCAGTGGCGTGATCTCGGCTCACTGCAACCCCCACCTCCCAGGTTCAAGCGATTGTCCTGACACAGTCTCCTAAGTAGCTGGGATTACAGGCACACACCACCACGCCCAGCTAATTTTTGTATTTTTAGTAGAGACGGAGTTTCACCATGTTGGCCAGGCTGGTCTCCAACTCCTGACCTCAAGTGATCTGCCCACCTCGGCCACCAAAAGTGCTGGGATTACACATGTGAGCCACCGTGCCCGGCCTTTTTGTTTTGTTTTGTTTTTGAGACAGAGTCTCACTCTGTCACCCAGGCTGGAGTGCAGTGGTGTGATCTGGCTTACTGCAACCCGCACCTCCTGGGTTGAAGTGATTTTCCTGCCTCAGGCGCCCACCACCACGCCTGGCCATGGGCAGCTCTTTATAGCAGTATGAAAACAGGGTCCCTCTCGGTTGTCCTGTCTGGACTGTCAGTTCACCTGAGCTAGACTCAGGCAGGGGGCTTCCTTTGGCTTTGCTCACCTTGCTGCTGTGGGTCCACTTCAATAAGATGACAACAAAGCAGAGCTCACCTGAGGACATGCAAGAGCCCTCGTTTATGGAGCTTGCAGACTTCACAAGACTCCTAAGAATTGTTGAACGATCGCTGGTTACGGCTTCTTGAGATGGATTACTTGCTTGCTGAAGCACCTGCTTGCTTGACTGTTGCTGCCTGAATTCCTCTTTTTCCCAGGAGACCAGCTAGGGTGGGGAGAGCCTTGCTGGAGCCCTAAGCAAGGAAGGCTGATTTCCAGGGGTGTAGGCTGGCTGACACGGGTGTCACTTTGTTATAGATTAAGATATACCACATAAGCAATATGGCAAAGTTGGGGGTTTTTTTTTGTTTTGTTTTTGTTTTTGAGATGGAGTTTCGCTCTTGTTGCCCAGGCAGGAGTGCAATGGTGCAATCTGGGCTCACTGCAACCTCTGCCTCCCACGTTCAAGCAGTTCTTCTGCCTCAGCCTCCTGAGTAGCTGGGATTACTGGCATGCGCCACCACGCCCGGCTAATTTTGTATTTTTAGTAGAGACAGAGTTTCTCCATGTTGGTCAGGCTGGACTCGAACTCCCGACCTCAGGTGATCCACCTGCCTCGGCCTCTCAAAGTGCTGGGATTACAGGCGTGAGCCACCATGCCTGGCATATATGGCAAAGTTTTAACACCATTTTTTACTAAGATAAGTATCATAAAGGACTTTGTAAAGAATATATTACAACCGATCAGGCCAGTGGCTTTTTGTTTGTTTGTTTAGCAGGATTTGATTGAACCTCATCATGCTATAGATCTTCCATTCAGGGATGATGATGTGGGCATAGTTCAGTGGAGGCTGCCTGCAATGAAACTGGGCAGAGGCAAGAATCGAGAGATCAGCTTTAGCCCAGCTCCCAGGAGCACCAGAGTTAAGAAGGATATCTCCTAGAGGGAAAGCCAGAGACCAGGCAAGGGAACATACATGAACACCCAGCCTGTGCTCTGGTGTGAGGTTGCAACAGGAGTAGGATTGGTTCAATCAGCATATTTTCTTTCATGTACTAGGTTGAAAGTATTAGTCCATTTTATAGATGAAGAAATGGAGGCCCAGAGAGATCACGTGACTTAGCCAAGTCCACCAAGTGAGTAGACGGAGATGACCTGACCTCTGGAGTTCTGTCTCTAACATACCCTAGTTCTTTCTTGATTGTCCATAATATACAAACACAGTGGCCTGAGAATATTTACTCCCCTGGTCACTATTTCTTCAGCTGGAAAGGGAAACAAATTAGTAACATTTGAAAAAACAAAAACCCCAACAACTAAAAAAGTATTACTAAATGCAATGCTGTTTGAGAGAACAAACTGTCAACAAAAATAATACTTAATTCTCTGGAAGTGAAATTAATTAAAAATTCAGAGGAGATACCAGAACACTAGCTGGTAGGATTAAATAAGTGAAGGACCAGCTGGAGCAACATAGCAAGACCTCATCTCCTCAAAAACAAAAAAGAAAAGAAAATTAGGCGTGGTGGCATGTACCTGTAGTCCTACTTACTTGGGAGGCTGAGTGTCAAGGGTTGGGGGGAGAGAGGAGGATTTGGAAGTAATGACTCAGGGGGGTGGGGTTTCTTCTTGGGGTGAAATGTTGGGGATGGAAATGTTCTGAATTTAGCATGCTGGACCACATCAAGTTCAGAAGCTTCTGAACAGCGAAGGAAACAATCAATGAAGAGACCCACAGAATGAGAGAAAATATTTGCAAACCACTCATCTGAAGCTCAGATAACTCCATAGGAAAAAAATCGAATAATCCGATTTAAAAATGGGCAAAATATCTGAATAGACATTTCTCAAAAGAAGACACATATTCTACATTGAAAAAAAAAAATAAGGCCGGGCGCGGTGGCTCATGCCTGTAATCCCAGCACTTTGGGAGACTGAGGAGGGCAGATCACCTGAGGTCGGGAGTTCGAGACCAGCCTGACCAACATGGAGAAACCCCGTCTCTATTAAAAATACAAAATTAGCTGGGTGTGGTGGCACATGCCTGTAATCCCAGCTACTAGGGAGGCCGAGGCAGGAGAATCGCTTGAACCTGGGAGGTGGAGGTTGCAGTGAGCCAAGATTGTGCCATTGCACTCCAGCCTGGGCAACAAGAGCGAAACTTTGTCTCAAAAAAAAAAGAAATAAGACATACAAATGGCAAACAGGGCCAGGCGCAGTGACTCACTCCTAGAATCCTAGCACTTTGGGAGGCCAAGGCAAGTGGATCACCTGAGGTCAGGGGTTTGAGACCATCCTGGCCAACATGGTGAACCCCTGTCTCTACTAAAAATATATATATAAATTAGCCAGTTGTAGTGGTGGGCTCCTGTAACCCCAGCTACTCTGGAGGCTGAGGTAGGAGAATTGCTTGAACCCGGGAGGCAGAGGTTGCAGTGAGCTGAGATTGCACCACTGCATTCCAGCCTGGGCGACAGAGTGAGACCTTGTCTTAAAAAAAAAAAAAATGGCAAACAAACATATAAAAAGGTGCTCAACATCATTAATCATCAGATAAATGCAAATCAAAACTATAATGAGATGTCATCTCACCCCAGTTAAAATGTTTTCTGTCCAAAAGACAGGCAGTAACACATGTTGGTGAGGTTGTGGAGAAAAGGGAACCCTCATATACCATTGATGGAATGTAAATTAATACAATCACTATGGAGAACAGTTTGGAAGTTCCTCAAAGACTAAAAATAGAGTTACCATACGATCAAGCAATCCCACTGCTAGGTATGTACCCAAAAGAAAGGAAATCAGTATATCTAAGAGATATCTGCACTCCTGTGTTTATTGCAGCACTATTCACAATAGCCCAGATTTAGAAGCAACCTAAGTGTCCATCAACAAACGAATGGGTAGAGAAAATGTGGTACATACACACAATGGAGTACTATTTAGCCATAAAAAAGAATGAGATCCTGTCATTTGAAACAACATAGATGGAAATGGAGGTCATTATGTTAAGTGAAATAAGCCAGAAAGACAAACATCGCATGTTCTCACTTACCTGTGAGAGCTAAAAATTAAAACAATTCAACTCATGGGCATAAAGAGTAGAAGGATGATTATCAAAGGCTGGGAAAGGTAGCAGTGGGGCGGGGGTGGGAAGAGGGGATGGTTAGTGGGTACAAAAAAATTAGAACAAATAAGACCTAGTATTTGCTAGTACAACAGAGTGACTGTAGTAAAAAATAATTTAACTTCATTTAAAATTAACTAAAAGAATATAATTGGATCATTTGAAACACAAAGGATAAATGCATGAGGTGATAGATACCCTGTTGACCCTGATGTGATTATTATGCATTGTAAGCCTGTATCAAAACATCTCATATACCCCATAAATAAATACACCTACTATGTACTCACAAACATTAAAAATTAAAATAAATAAATATAACGTGATGGTTGCACGCTTCAGTGAATATAATTTTTTCAATGTTTTTAGCTTTTAGGTTCAGGGGTACATGTGTGTGTTTGTTATATAGATAAATTGTGTGTTATGGGGGTTTAGTGTACAGATTATTTCATCACTCCAGTAAAAAGCATAGTATCTGATAGGTACATTTTTTCTTTTCTTTTTTTTTTTTTTTTTTTTTTTTTCTGTGAGGCAGAGTCTTGTTCTGTTGCCCAGGCTGGAGTGCAGTGGTATAATCATAGCTCACTGCAGCCTCGACCTCCCACCTCAAATAGCTGGGACTACCAGTTGTGCACCATCATGTTCAGCCTTTTTTTTTTGGAGATGGTATCTCACTCTGTAGCTGAGGCTGGAGTACAGTGGCACGATCTTGGCTCACTACAACCTCTGCCTCCTAGGTTCAAGCAATTCTCCTGCCTCAGCCTCCTGAGTTGCTGGGACTAGAGGGGCATGCCGCCACACCTGGCTAATTTTTTGTATTTTAGTAGAGACAGGGTTTCACCGTGTTGTCCAGGCTGGTCTTGAACTCCCAATGCTCAGCTAATTTTTAAAATTTATTATTTTGTAGAGACAGGGTCTCGCTATGTTGCCCAGGTTGGTCTCGAACTCCTGGGCTCAAGCGATTCTCCACCTTGGCCTCCCAAAGTGCTGAGATTACAGGCATGAGCCACCAAATTATACACTTTGAATGGATGAGTTAAATGGTATGTGAATTAGATCTTTATAAATCTGTTCAAAGGATAGCAGTCACTCACTTTAGCCGAGAGAGATTATTTGGTATTTTATGGGTGACAGCATAGTGACCTTGTTTTTGTCAGTGCTTAGACAAAATTATGACATGGCCTTGCCTTGCCTCATTTTATCATGGTCTCAGAGTAACCTTATTGGAGGTTGGAATTCTGTGAGTTTGTTAATGTTCCCCATGAAAGTCAGATGAGTTTGTGACAACATTGAGGTCTAACCATGAATGTCAAATCTGCTCCGGATGTCAGGAAGTGCTTTTTTTCTTTCTCAGCTAATATTGGGAAGCTCAGCAGGGTCCTGGGGGCCCACAGGAATGTGAATAAACACGCTTGGAAAGTCTGCAGAATTTCCAGTCCTAGCCTCCTGCTGGTGTGAACCTGGGCTCCTGTGCCTGGGACCCTGGGAGGTGGGGGGACACCGGGCTGGAGGAAATAATGTGCCATCTGGGATTTTTTGTGCTTTCTTCTGTCTGTTGCTATTTCAAAATATTTAAAGGCAGAAAGTTCACCACCTGCTCTGTCAAGGAGGCCCCGTCATACCCCAGTGACCGCCTCCAGCTCTCACCCCTCTCTGTTGACCCCCTAGGAATCCCTGAACAGCCCAGGGAGGACTTGGACGGTGGGGTGAAGGGAAGGGACAGGACCTGCAGCCTTTTCTGGCCCAGGCAAGAAGGAAACTTCCTGTCTTTCTTCTCCATTGCAGATTTGGGATTAAGCCTTATTTTGCATTGGGTTTAATCTCAACAGACACCGAGGGGCACCTGGAGTCCCTGCAAAACCTTGTCTGGTATCAGCTACCTATCAGAGGATGCAGAGGACAAGGTCAGGTAGAGGCTGTTTCCAGTGAGAGGAAGGCAGGGGGAGGGCATGGAAGGAGCACTGGAAATGGGGTGGGAAAACCAAAGCTCCCTCCATGCAGGGCTACTTAGGTGAGTCCCTTCCCTGTCTGGGCTCCCTTCCTTCCTTCCTTCCTTCCTTCCTTCCTTCCTTCCTTCCTTCCTTCCTTCTTTCCTTCCTTTCCTTCCTTCCTTCTTTCCTTTCTTCCTTGCTTCCTGCTCTCTCTGTTGCCCAGGCTGGAGTGCAGTAGCATGTCCTCGCCTCACTGCAGCCTCGACCTCCTGGACTCAAGCCATCCTCCCACCTCAGCCTCCTGAGTAGCTGGAGCTATAGGCGTGTGCCACTACACACGGCTAACTTTTGTATTTTTTGTAGAGATGGGGTTTCACCATCTTGTCCAAGCTGGTCTTGAACTCCTGGGCTCAAGCGATCTGTCCACCTCAGCCTCCCAAAGTGCTGGGATTACAGACATGAGCCACCGTGCCCAGCCTGTGCCTTAGCATTCTATCCTATGACTCAGAGGTAGCTGAGCTCCATCTTCTAAAATCAAGTGACCATCACTGAGGCTGTCTCCTCCCCTATAAAATCAGGATTGTGTTACTCATTGTAGAAAAACCAGTAACCCCAGCAAGCAAGCTCACCCCCCTGGCTCCACAGACCTCCCCAGTCTCATCTCTCAAGACTCCTGCCCTTCACAAGATGCTCTGGCGCACCCCAGCCCTGTGCTCCCTCTCATTTGGTTTCCTCTGCTTGGATTGCCCTTCTCACCTTCTTTAGTTGGTGTCTGCTCACCTTCTAAGACTCAGCCCAGTCCTTATCTCCTCCAGGAAGCCTTCCCCAATCTCCCTTCCACTGGCTGGGTTAGGTGCTGTCCCTTGGGCTCCTATCAAGTCTGGGCCATTGCTGTCCTAATAATGTGGCTGATAATTTATAGCTAGTCATTAGAGTTGTAATTTATTGAGCCCTTACTCACAGCCTGCCCCTGAACCAGACCCTTTATACAGCGTCACCTCATTGAATCTGACAAAGTATAACTCAGCTCCTAGTTCAAAGTAAACATCTGCCCTGCCATTGATCCCGCTGAGGTAACAGAAATAAAGCCAGCTGTGGAGGTAACACGAAACAGTAGTTCTCCCAAGCATAGGGTACAGCTAGAAAGTGCCACAACGTGCCTGCCTGCAATGTGTGCACGTGCGTGCACACGTGTACGTGGATAAACACGTCTGTGCACGTGTATGTTGCTTCTCTGGCCAGGCCTGGCTGCCCCACTCATGTGCACCCAGTTCCTCATCACTGTCACCCCCGAGGCCCAGGGCCAGCATCAGAGCATCCCTGGCTGCTCCCTAACCTCAGCCCTCCCCGCCCAGGGTGGTCCTGGGATACACATAGGGGTGGAGGGAAGTGACTGCTGCTGCTGCTGGATCTCAGAATACAAATACTAATACTATTACCTAATGGTCTTTTTAGTGTCCCTAATGGTCTTTTTAGTGTCTCTAATTGTATCTCTTTTTCGTTTCTGATATTTTAACTGGGTATTTCTCTCCATGACCCTTGGATATTCTAGCTAGAGGATCCTGTGGGGAAAGTGCCGGGCACACAGTAGGGGCTCACTCTTCTAGACGTGTTATCTAAAACCTGGTTCATCTGTCCTTCCACGCAGGGCCTAGGGGATGCCAAATTCCAGGGTCCAGAAAGAGCTTGGGATAAAATGAACATCCAAGGGGAGGGCTTTGACCTGGGCTGAGTCTGCCTGTGCCGAGTCTGCCTGTGCCATCCAACTGGAGTCTCAAGTCCTGAGGCAGGACGTCCAGATGCCCCAGTGCAGGGTCCTCCTGATCAACACCTGCTCCCCTGTACTCATTAGCAACCTCACCCACCCTACTCTCAAAGCACACTTGGCTCTCATATCCAGGAGCTCTGCATCTGTAGATTCAGCAACAGCAGATGGAAAATATTCAGAAAATAAATTGGACAGTTATATTTCTATTGAACATGTGCAGACTTTGTTCTTGTCATTATTCCCTAAAGAATACAGTATCACGACCATTTATGTAGCATCTGCATTGTATTACACATCCTGAATAATCTAGAGATGGTCTAATGTCTACAGGAGGATGTGCATAGCTGATATGTAAATACTAGGCCATGTTATGTCAGAGACTTGAGGATCCATGGATTTTGTCATCCCCGGGGACCCTAGAACTAATCCATGGATACCAAGGGATGACTGTAGAAACTCACTCAGGAAGGCTTCTCATTGGAGGAAGGGCCCAGTTCAGGACACACAGGGACATCTCCCTGGACTACTGTCCATTCATCCATCCATTCATCCATTGTCTCCCCCCACCCCCCCATCTCGGACTGTCCCAATGACAGCCCTAGCAAGAAGAGACAAGCAACAAGATAAGTTCACGTTGTCCAGTTTTGAGGTATTGGAAGAAGTTGCACCGGTATGAGAATAGTGGGTCAGTTTTCTACAGGATCCAGAAAGCATATCGGGCAGCCTCGGGGTGCGGAAAGGAGCCTGGCCTCTCCAGCAGCCACACAGGCCTGCAGTAGGATGGGGCTGGGGCTGGCCATGTGGATCACTTGGGCCTCATGAGGGGAAAGGAAATACCAGGGGGCAGAAGAGGAGCATGGGGGCAGCTGGTTGCCTAAGGGGAAGGCACCTCAGGGAAGGGGACTGTATTCATTTGTTTTCACACTGATGTAAAGAAATACCTGAGATTGGGTAATTTATAAAGGAAACAGGCTTAATTGACTTGCAGTTCCGGAAACTTACAATCATGGCAGAAGGGGAAGGGGAAGCAGGCACCTTCTTCACAAGACGGCAGGAGGGAGTGAGTGGAGAACCAGTAAGTGCCACACTTTGAAACTATCAGCTCTCCTGAGAACTACCTCACTATCCGGGGAGCAGCACGGGGGAAACTGTCCCCAAATCCAATCTCCTCCCACCAGATTCCTCCCTTGACACAGGAGGATTACAATCCCAGATGAGTTTTGGGTGGGGACACAGAGCCAAACATGTGAGGGTCTCAGTCTATGTTGCAGCTCCCCTGGGGCTGAGGCTGAGTACAGACCTGCCGGCCTTGCCCTATAGCACGCGAGGGCTCTGCCAGTGTGCTCCCATCTCCTGCTTCCTGGGGATGGTGGTGACTTCCTCCAGAGAAGGGTGTATTTGTTCTCCTCCTGCCCCTGCAGGGCATTGTGGAGCCCTGGCCAAGTTCTCCCAGGATAAGGGCAGGAAACAGGGCTCCTTGCCCTTCTTGTTGCTTGAGTGACAACCCTGGGGTCATCCCTAGGCCCCGTCACTGCCCCTGCTTCTAAACTGAGAACATTTTGGCAAATCTTCCTGGTAGAGGCTGGGGGCTCATCCCTGCTATCTGTTCTAGCTTGGTAGAGCCAGGTTAAGACATCTGGGCAAGAAGAGAGTAGAGTGTACCCCAGGAAGCGTGGGTGGAGGGCACTGGCCTTTGGGCTTCTCTGGACCAGGGTGGGAAGGGGGAAGTTTACCAGGAAATAGAGCTCTCAGGACTATGTTTAGGAGGAGGTGGTAATGCTGGTGGGGGGACGTCCATTCATCCATCCATTCATCCATTGTCTCCCCCGACCCCCCATCTCGGACTGTCCCAATGACAGCCCTAGCAAGGAGAAACAAGAAGGAAGACAAGTTCATGTGGTCCAGTTTTGAGGTCTTGGAAGAAGTTGCACCAGTATGAGAATAGTGGGTCAGTTTTCTCCAGGATCCAGAAAGCATATCAGGCAGCCTCAGGGTGAGGAAGGGAGCCCAGCCTCTCCAGCAGCCACACAGGCCTGCAATAGGATGGGGCTGGGGCTGGTTTGGGGTGGAGGATAAGTGACAGCCAAGGTTTGTCAGCATGCAGAGGGGTGGCTGACTCATGGACTAGGGGCTGCGGAGCCCAGTGGTTGCCCTTAGTTCTTGGATCCTAGGAGACTTCTGGAGCCTGGATCTGGACAGCCTAGGGGTGGAGGTGGTGAGGGGCAGGGCTGGGGGCGGGAGGAGAGGCCTCGCATGGCAGGGTGCGGGGCAGGAAGCCAGCCAGGGACTGCTTTGCAGTGTCTGCTCCCATCGCCCTTCCCACCCCCAAACCCACCCCTACCCCTACCCTGGTGCAGGGTCGGTCCGGGGCAGGTGTCTTCTGCTTTGGCCTCAGCAGATCCCAAGATGGAAGCCGGCAGCCACGCGGGCATGTCACTTGCGCCAGCTTTGTCCTGCAGTTTCTGCTTCCTGGAGCGTGGGACGCCCACCCAGGAGAGCACGGGCAGACCCCACACCTCTCATTTTGAGGGTGCTGGGAGGTGGGGGACCAAGGTCCTGCAGCCCTGTGCTTGTGCCGTGAAAATTAGCCTAGGAGTCCCATGTCCACCTGTCCACGTGGAGCCCCAGGAGCGTGAACAGTGGCATGCAGCGAGATGAGGAGGGAGAGAGAACTGGAAAAGAAGGAGAGAGAAAGAGAGATGAGGAGAAGGGAAAGTGAGAGAGGAAGAGAGATTTGGAGAGAGACAGAGGAGGCTGAGAGGATAAGGAGGGTGAGATGGGGAGAGAGATACAAAACACAAAGAGACAGAGAGAGACGTGCAGGAGTAGGAGGTCGAGTTACTCTTGATCCCAGTTCCCAGTGAAAACTGTAGGTCGCCATCACCTAACCACACATGCAATAAAGTCTGCCTGCTGCTTAGAGCCCTGAGAACCCCTTCTCATGGAGCATAAAACCTTTGACTACTGCCCTTCCTCACCGCATTTTTGTTGTCTCTTCTGGTGAACCATGATGTCTTGTCTATTGCCTTCCTGGGCTCAAGGATCCATCAAAAACTGATGCTTCTTTGGGGAGAGTCTGCAGTGCCTTCCACTCACTAGGCTCCCCAGGAAGCTTGCACACTTGGCTTGGGCCCCAAGCAGCTGGGTACATGATGGGACTCTGCTTCTCTCTTTCAGTAAGAAGGAGAACTAAGAAAGAGACTGAAGCATGGTCTGTGGAGAAGGCACTTGTGCAAACACCAGGAGAATGAGGGGCCTGAGTTGTCTTCGTTTCTCCTAAAAGCATGCATTCCCGGCTGGGCGCGGTGACTCATGCGTGTAATCCCGCCACTTTAGAAGGCTGAGGCAGGCGGATCACCTGAGATCGGGAGTTCGAGACCAGCCCGACCAACATGGAGAAACCCCATCTCTATTAAAAATACAAAATTACCCAGGCATGGTGGCACATGCCTGTAATCCCAGCTACTTGGGAGGCGAAGGCAGGAGAATTGCTTGAACCCAGAAGGCGGAAGCTGCAGAGAGCCGAGATTTCGCCATTGTACTCCAGCCTGGGCAACAAGAGTGAAACTCCATCTCAAAAAACAAACAAACAAACACACAAACAAACAAACAAACACATTCCCTCCCAGGCCACCCAAGTGAGGGCATGAAGCACAGCGTGTGTGTGTGTGTGTGTGTGTGTGTGTGCACGCGTGTGTGCATATGTGTGTTTGTGTGTTGCAGGGGTTACAGTGGACAGGATGTGGGAGGGCAGCTGCAGCTCCAAGCTGCAAGTCTTTCTGATAGAATGCTTAAAACTCCTTGGACCACAGCAAGAGAGTGTTTTCATTTGCACCCATTTTTATTAGCGTTTGAACCTGTACTTTTTGTAGCATGTAAACCTTAAGCTGCTTAACTATTCCTTGAAGCATTTACACCAGCGGTTCCCAACCTTTTTGCTACCTGAGACCAGTTTTCTTGAAGACAATTCTTCCACGGACCCGGGAGAAGGGGAAGGGATGATGTGGAGATGATTCAAGCCCATTACATTTATTGTGTGCTTCATTTCTATTATTTCACTGTAATATATAATGAAATAATTACACAACTCACCATAATGTGGAATCAGTGGGAGCCCTGAGCTAGTTTTCCTGCAACTGCATGGTTCCATCTGGGGGTGATGGGAGACAGTCACAGATCATCAGGCATTAGGTTCTCATAAGGAGCACGCAATCTAGATCCCTGGCATGCGCAGTTCACAGTAGGGTTCACGCTCCTATGAGATAATGGCACCGCTCATCTGAGAGGAGGCACAGCTCACGTGGTAATGCAAGGGATGGGAAGTGGCTGTTTCTACAGATGAAGCTTTGCTCACTGGCTGGCTGCTCACCTCCTGCTGTGTAGCCTGGTTCCTAACAGCTGGGGATCCCTCATTTACCCAGCAAGATAAATACATTATTATGTCAATTGAAATTCTTCACCTTGAACCACCCCAAATTACCTTGCATACCTACACCCACCCAAGGGTCCCGGAGCACACTTTGGGGGCTGCAGACAGTAAGCCTGGAGCTCCATGGAGCATTCCATCTCTCCACCATCTGTGGGCTAACAGGCTGTGTTAGTTTCCTAGGGCTGTTTTACAGTACCACAGACTGGGCACCTTCAACAACAGAACGTTACTGTCTCACAGTACTGGAGGCCATGAGTCCAAGATCAAGGTGTCAGCAAGGTGGGTCCCTTCTGAGGCTGTGCAGGAAGGCTCTGTTCCAGGCCTGTCTTCTCATGCGCGGGTGGACGTCTTCTCCCTGTGACTCTCCATTAAGGGTGATTCTGGTGAGGGCTCAGAAGAGGAGACTTGGACAGAATGTTGGTAGGTAAATGTGTCAGTGGAAACCAGAGGGTAGACAGGACTCCATCCATGCCCAGGGCTTTCTGGGGACAGACCTGTCCAAGCAGCAGCGATTCCCAACCGAGTTCTGTTTCTGGAAAGCCAGGCAACAGCTGGGGCTGGGCCCTCTGGGATTTGTTTAGTGACCCGATGATGTGGGAGGCCTGCAGTGGGTGGTTGGGTGGGGGGTGGTACTGCCCAACCTCATTGCATCACTCACTTCCCAGGCCCTGCCCTCAACCCCTCCTGACCAGGCCCTGTCCTGGTTCTCAGCCACCCTGTCCCAGTGGGTGCTTCAGCCCACTCACTGACCAAGTGAGGGACTGACTCCAGGTTACAGAGTGCTGTGTTTATGTGACCTGAGAATATGTGTGCGCAGAGTGTGCCCGCAGTGTCCTTGTACAGTTGAGCATATACATGTCCTGCCCGTGTGTAGGCAGCCTGTCCACACATGCCTAGGAGTGTGACTCCACGTCCTGGTAGATGGGGAAGGAGAGAGGGAGTTGTGCCCAGGGTCCCCTGATTACTTCTATGGGTGCATGTTTGTGCATCTTGTTAGGGGTCCTTGGGGGTATGGAAGATTCTCCCCTGGGTGCCCTTGATCACCTGTGTGTGCGTGTGTCTGTGTGTGTGTGCATTAGGGGGTGTACTGTGTTACAGCATCCTCAACCAACTCTGTATGTGTGCATATGTTTGTGTGTGTGTGTGTCTTACAGGTATGAGCGAGTGGATGCTTCCACTACGTGTCTGCACACGTGTGCGTGCACTTGCATTGTCCTTGCACACCTTCGTGTGTCCCGTGAGAGCGAACGGAGCCCCGCATGTGCTGGCACCTGCAGGAACGTGTGAGTGAGTGTGCGATCCGTGGGTCCCTGTCCTGCTGGCTCCCCGCTTGTCCCGAGGGAGTGCGCGCACGGGGTCCCAGGCCGGCGTGTCCGCCGGTGTGAGTGCGAGTGAGTGTGGCCCCACGCAGCTCTCTCCGCTCCGCGCTGCCTGGGCAGCCCGCACACTCACGCTGCGTGGTTGCTGCCGGGTGACACGGGCTGGGCCGGCCCCCTGCCCGCCCGCCCCTGGCACTCACTCGCGCTGGCCTTCGCGGAGGCCCCGCCGCGCCATGCCGGGCCTGCTGAGCCGCCCCCGGCGGGGGTCGCTCCGGGCCAGGCCGTGCGGGGGCGGCGAGGCGCTGCCTGTATGACCCCCGGCGGCGCGGGGAAAAGGCGACCGTTTGCATCCAGGAGCATGTGGCCATCGACGTGTGCCCCGGCCCCATCCGCCCCATCCAGCAGATCTCTGGCTACTTCCCCCACTTCCCGCGGGACCTGCCCCATGACGCCCCCGCGCGCCCAGCCACTGCCAGCGCCGGCCGCCGCCGCCCCTCTGACGGCGCCCGCGACCACGACAAGGATGGCGACCATCTCTTCGGAAGCCTAACGATCCAGCACAGGTCCCAGCCCTGCGCAGCCGCCCGCCAAGCCGCCAGAGGACCAGCCGAACGCCAAAGGCTAGGAGTGGACGATTGCAGGAAGTTTCCAACTCGCCGACTTCGCCCCACTCCACTGGCTCCGGCTTGGCGGTCCCCGGCTTCGGGGTGCCCTCCGTCCCTCCCCCTCGCGTCGTCGCGTTCTCCCTTGGCATAACCCCCCGCCGCGGGGCCGCAGACCCCCTAAGCGCTTCGTGCGCTCTCCGCGCCCTGCCCACCGGCCCCGACCCCTCCCCCGACCGGACGGGAGAGGTGGGAAGTTTGGGGGCACCCGCTGTGGGTGTCCCATTTGCGGGGCTGGGCTCCGGGGAGCCGGCGCGCGGCGCCCGCTCCCTGCCCGCCAGCCGTTTGGGAGCTCAGGCGCGGGCAGCCGCTTTTGTTCCCGGGAAGGGCGGAGCTGCGTCCCGGGGAGACACGCGTTGCAGCCGGCAGCGTAGTTGCTCCCCGCTGGCCGGCCGCTCCGGGAGGGCCCCGCAGCGGAGGGTCGGGGCTGGGGCGGGCTGGGGAGGGGGCCCAGGGCTGGGGCCGGTTCGGCCTCCCGGGTGGCGCGCGGGCCGAGGAGCTAGGAGGACCGCCGCGCCGCTTGTCCTTTGGAAAAACCTTGGCGGTTCCTCCTCTGGTGTCCGTGGACCCCGCCGCGGCGTTCTCCAGGGCCGCGGACCTTTGCCCACCGGTTGCGCCCGCTGCCCCGGGCAGAAAGGACCCCCCTCCTCCCGGACCGAGCCCCGAGCCCCATGGAGCAGGCAAGGGCCAGAGTCCCGGGGCCGAGGCCCGACCGGCGGACGCTCCGGGACCTTTTCCCGCCCCCGAGGGTGCATGTCCGGCCGGGGCCGGGACTGGCTGGGAAACCGAGGCCAGAAGAGGTCGCAATCCAGCGAGGAATCGGTTTGTGTGGGGTGGGGGTGGGATGGGAGACCCCTCCCCAACCCCACCAGCCCCAGCCCAGCTGTGGCCTCAGCCATGTCACTCAGAAAACCAGCGTCAAACCCCACCCTGCCCAGGATGTGGACCTTGCCTGGTGAGAGTCCCGCTCGGATTTCCCCAGGGCCCCTCCACCGCGCAGCAGGGGTGTCTGCGCTGGGCCCAGGCATTCACCAGGGCCTGCAGGCTGCCAGCCTGGAGTTTCCCTAGGATCAAATGTGCCACCGGAAGCTGAAGGTGGGGACGACCAGTGGCCCCCCCCGGAGCGAAAACCCCCGCATCTCTCCAGGATGGGGGATCTGCTTGGGGGTCCACTTAGGGGTGTATCCCTCAGGCATTGGAAGTGCGGATGGGAGGCCCCGAGCCATGGTGGCTCCCCCAGTCCCCAGTTCTTTCTCTGTGTGAATCCAGCTTTGCAGGGACGGGGATGTGGTGCATTTCCCGGAAGAGCCGGGGTCCTGGGGTGTGGGGAGCTGGGGCTGGGGTGTGGGGAGGGGCCCAGGGTGGGCAAGCAGAAGCAGGACTGGCACAGGCCTCTGGAGGGCCTGGGGGAGGCTGGACGCCCCGGGGTGCACCCTTGCCTGTCCGCTCTTCTAAGGGTCCGTCTCGGTTTGCCCATCTGTAAATAGGGTTGATTGTCCCTGCTCTACGTGGCTGTTGTGAGCATTCAATGAGCACTGCCAGTCCTCGGAGACTCTTGGGTTTTTTTATTGTGCTAAAATATACAAGTATAAATTTCCCATTGCAACCATTTCTTTTTGCTCCTTCACTCCCCACCCACCCACCCACCCACCCATTTTTAGGGTACAGTTCAGTCATGCTCAGTACCTTCTACCTTCACACTGTGTGCAACCCATCTCCAGAAGCCTCTTCATCCTGCAAAATTGAAACTGGACCCATTAAACAGCAGCTCCCCATTCGTCCTCCCCCGGCCCCTGGCAACCGCCTTTCTGCTTCCTTCTCCATGGATGTGACTGTTCTAGGAACCTCATATAAGTGCAATCACCCAGTATCTGTGCTTTTGTGTCTACCTCCCTTCAGTCGGCAGAATGTCTTCAGGCTTCATCCATACTGCAGCCCGTGTCAAAACTTCCTTTTTCAGGCTGAATGATACTTGAGAATCAGAATCTCCTCTCCTGAACACTTCACCAGCAACAGCATCTGAGAGGCCCAGGGAGGGGCAGGGCTGGGGTTTGGGGGAGAGGCTCTCCTCTCAAAGCCAGATGCCCCCCCATCTATCCCCTCAGTGCCAGCACCAGCCAGGGCCTCCTCTCATGGCTTACTCCTCCTGTCCCTCCCGTGGGAGCCGCCCCTAAACCATGGGGTCAGTTTCTGTCTCTTGCCAACTCACTAGCTGGGGAGGGTCTATCCAAGAGCCCCCCTAACAGCTCCCTGACCTGGAATCAGCCTCCTGCCCTCCCCCTTCTGTGGACAGAGGTCAGACTCCATGGGAGGGCAGCCCCACAGAGGGCTGGGTGGAGGCACTGGTGGGAACCCGGGGTCAGGGCCAGGGAAGCCACCTGTTTGGGCACAGAAGCTGTTGGCAGCACGGTGACACGGCCTCAGGCAGTGCCCACTGGTCTTTTTGCTTCTGGCCAAATGTGTGGCTGTTCAGGGTGCTCAGGGGCCTGCCGGGTGAAGGAGAGGAGAGGCGGCAGCAGAGGGCCCATCACAGTCCAGGGGTCAGAAGGACAGAGCAGGCATCACTCCGTCCCAGTGTGGCAGCACCCCCAGCCTAGCCCCCACGGGTGTCTTGGGGTACAGAGGTGGGACAACCAGAGCCACTGGACAGACATGCCAAAACTTCTGGTGGCCCAAAGATATGCAAGTGAAATGTGTCAAGAGACAGGACCCAGTGAAAACATTTTGAGCTACAACAAACAAATGTATACGAATTGTAAGAATAAGACACAGTGGTCAGGGACCCCCCGCACAGGGTGGGCCACCAGATTCCCAGAACTCTGCACTCCAGGCACGTGGTGGGAAAGGCAAGAGGCCAGGGTGAGGGAGTTGGGTTTGGAAGAGCAGCCATGTCACTGTGGGTGCACATGGGGCTACTGAGCCAGGCCCTGTCCCAGAGGCAGCCCCACAGTGCAGGGCACAGCTCACGTATGCCCACCTGACCTCAGCCACTTCTCTGGCATCTCACAGGGGCCTGGCGTGCAGGGAAGGGGAGGAAACGCTCTGCCTGCCAGGCCCTGTGTCCACGTCGTCTCCCTCCCTCTCACTCCAGCCCTGGGAAGATGGGACTCTTACATCCTTGCCCGTTTTTTTTGTTTTGTTTTGTTTTGTTTTTTTAATTTTGAGAAACGGTTTCAGTCTGTTGCCCAGACTGGAGTGCAGTGGCATGATCATGGCTCACTGCAGCCTCTGCCTCCTGGGTTCAAGCAGTCCTCCTCCCTTAGCCTCCCTAATAGCTGGGACCACAGGCATGTGCCACCACACCCAGCTAATTTTTAAAGTTTTTGTAGAGACAGTGTCTCACTATGTTGCCCAGGCTGGTCTTGAACTCCTGGGCTCATGGGCTGGGATTACAGGTGTGAGCCACTGCGCCCGGCTGAGGCGCAGATGATGATAAAGCTGAGGCTTCGGGTGAAAAGTACTCATCCACTTCCTAGCGAGTGAATACAGGGGCTGAGCCCAGAAACCATGCCAGCCAGGCCCCCAAACTTCTGCCCTCTTCCAGTGGCAGAGAAGTAGGTGGTTGGGAGCCCCCCGATCCCCCGGAGCTCTGCCAAACCAAGGTGGGGTCGGCCTGGGAGGGAGACTCAGCCTCCCCTTGGAGATGAGCCTGGTGTGAGCAGCCAGGCTGCCTCCCTGACCCGGCTGGGTAGAGGCCTTGCGGTGCATCTTTGAATAATGTTCTGGGGTTACCGGCTGCGCCCCACAGATGCCACAGCTGCCTCCCTACAGCCCTGTGCTCCAGCCCAGAAGAAAAAAAAAATGCGGTTTTCCGAAACAAGAGCCTGCTGAGGTCAGCGAAGCCCCTATCTGCCCATCCTTCTGTGTGTCCCTGGGTCTGCACGCTTGGCTGGGTTTTCTAAGGGAACGGAAGGCAGAGTGAGTGAGGGGCGCCGTCTTGTGGAGGAACCCTCTGTGGCCGATCAGCTTGTGTGACCTCTGTGGACTGACTGGGAGTTGTGACAAATATGGCCAGAAATGGGGCCTCTCCGACGGTGACCCGGGGTTATGTGGATTTAGGGTCAGTGAGGGACGTGGCCTCTCAGGAGGCGGTGCTGGGAAGATGGGGGAGAGGAGTCAGGACGAGGGAAGGGCCTGACCAAAGCAGGGTGGGGAGGGAGGCTCAGAGGAAGGTGAGCCACCTGGCTTTCAGGATGGCGAGGAGAGAAAGTCTGTCCTGACAGAGGCCCCCTAACAGCTGCCCTGGGCCAGGATGTTTGTGGGAGGGGAGATTGCACCGCGATGCCACCCTCACTCCCTGTGTCTGGAGGTGTGGGGCCAGGGGCTTCTGTGACAGGGGCCATGAATGCACCCAGCCAGGAGACCCAGGGGACAAGGGCATCTGCTGGCCCAGGCACCTGCAGGCCCTGGCAGCTCCATCCCCCGATTTCCCGTTCACACCCTTTGCTGTTCTCTACCCGGGACCTGAAGCCCATGGACCACAATGGGCTGGCAGACCCCTGTGTCAAGCTGCACCTGCGGCCAGGAGCCAGGAAGGTGAGGGAGTTTCACCCAGGCTTGCCCACCAGCTGTGCCCACCTATGGGGCCTGGACCAGTCCAGGGAAGCCCACAGCTGCCACTCCCCCTCAGAGCCCAAGCAAGCTGAGGAGACCTCAGCCACTCACCTCCATGCAGAGCGCCCAGTCTGTCCCACACCCGGGATGCCTTCCAGCGTTACCTACCTGCTGATCGGGGGAAACCCCTGGAGAATTTCCAGGCTGGCATTTTATAAGAAGCATTCTCAGCTGGAGGTTACTATGATGTGCAAACAAAGACTGTGGTCAGATCACACTGGAAAACATTGTTAAACCAGTTTCTTTACTGTAGGACTTACCAGAGCCTTTAATGTGCTGATGGGCTGCTCCTCGACTCTCAGTAAGGGGGATGAAGTAGGCAGCATCTGCCCAATGTATTTGACCACAGAATCCTCATTCCCATGAGAGATGGGCCAAGAGGCCAACCACAAATGCACTTAAGGCACCAGCACAACAGTGTATCTAGGAGAGGAGAGAAAAAAATGCTATTAAATAAAAGCATCAAGGTGACCTTGAGCCATGAAAAATCAGAACTTCTTAGACTTCCTTCCTTCTGTGCATCCTACACTTCAGTGTTGCTTTATTTTTAGTTTCACAGGGCAGAGTCTGAGTTGACTTGGGGACCTAAATGTGTATGCCTGGGGCCCACCGCAGTCCAGGAGGACCACCCCAGAAGGGAACATTGCGCCTTCTCTGGGGAAGGCAGGGCTGTAGGAGACACGGCAGTGCCCCACCACCTACTCCTGGGGAAGAAATGGCTCCCCGCACCAGGCCTGGGTGTCCTTATGCTGCAGGTGGAGCTCAGGGATGTGAGAGCCAAGAGTGAGTGTAACCAGGGAAGTGTGCCCAATGCGGGAGCTCAGTGACCCCTAACTCGTGGGACTGGAGCCGGCAGGGCCTGTTGTAGGAAGTCCCCGGGACTCTCCCCGGTGTTTTATAAAGAGCAGTCTCCTTGTAGACCAGCTCCTGAAAGCAGTGCGAGAGAGGGATTCCTGTGTCCTTTGCACGGTGGGGAACCTGACGCTGCCACAGAGCTGGAATTGAAACCCCGGGCTGCCTGACCTCCAAACCTAGGCCGGGGTGGCGGGCATCAGACTGAGTCAGACACGGAGCTCAGAGTCGCTGGCACAGGAGGAAGGAGTGGTGGCAATACTCCCGCTCAGAGAGGCCACTGCACGAGCATGCCTGAGGCCAGGATGGGTTCCAGGCAGAGGGGACAGTCCGCAAAGGCAGGGCATGCCCTGGGAAGGAGACTCCAGTTCCACACCAGGTGTCCTGCAGAACCCACCCCAGGGCACCAGGGGCTGGAGCTGGGATCCTCCTTGGATGAGCCTCCTATGGCTGCTGCAGCAAATGACCACAAACTTAGAGGCTTAGAGCAACACACTTACTATCTCACCGCTCTGCAGGTTAGAAGTCTGACAGTGGTCTCCCTGGGCTAATGTCAAGGTGTCGGCAGGGCTGCGTTTCTTCTGGAGCCTGGGGATTCCACCCATTTCCTGGCTCTTTCCAGCTTCTAGAGGCCGCCCGCCCTCCTTGGCTGGTGGCCCATTCCTCCACCTTCACAGCCGGCCTGGTTGCATCTCCCTGGCCTTCTTCCTTGGTGACATCTCACTCTTCTCTTCTCTGTCCTTTCTTCTGCTTTTAAGAACCCTGTGACCACATTGGGCCACCCAGACAGTCTAGGATAATCTCCCTAATTAGTCAGCTAATTAACAACCTTAACCCCATCTGCAGCCTCAGTTCCCCATGGCCACGTCAATAACATATTCACAGCTTCGGAGATTAGGACGTGGCCATCTCTGGGGGCCATCGTTCTGTCTACCACACCCTTTGGTGCTAATAAGATCATTTTTTCCTTTCTCCAGGCAAATAAGCTTAGAACAAAAGCTCTCCGTAACACTCTGAACCACGTGAACAAAACCCTCACTTACTACAGGATCACTCGTGATCCACAAGACCCTGCAGTGGGTGAGGGCCCTCGGCTGCCTGCTCCCTCCCCAACCCCCACCCAGAGAAACCGATGCGGGTGCAGGGTCAAGTTCAGACCTCAGACCCAAGTCTCCCACTTTGGTCCCTTTCTCCCCTCCTGAGGGACCTGGAGGACGGAGTCTGCCCCTCCTCCTTCCCGGCATAAGCATCAGGTCAGCTGCAGTGGAGAAAGTGGTCCCTTGTGCTTGGAAAGAAAAGCAAGCATTCCTCCTGGTTCTCACTCTGCCCTTCCCCTTCCCTTCCACTACCTGGTTCACGCTGAGTACTCGGGGCCTCCAGGTGGTTGCTCATGGCATCCTGGCCCTACCACCACCACAGATGTCCCTTTCGGGAGGACTTGGGGGCAGTCCAGGGCCTTGTCTCTGGGGAGGCCTGTGGGGCTGGCTCTACACTGTGACCACAACTTTGTAGATTCCCCACGATGTAGATTGGATTGTGCACATGTGCACACACACACATTTGGAGCACGTGTAAGCACACACTTAAGAGTGTATACCCATACATACGTACACATATCATGAAAAAATCTATAATGAAACATATCAAAATAACTGTGATTATCTCCATGTGGCAGGAGAATAGGTCATTTTTTCTTACATGTGTGTCTTGTTTTGTTTTTTCCAAATGTTCCACAATGGAGATTCATTACTTTTATGATATGGAAAAACAACAAATGTTATTTAGAAACCGAATCCATAATAGCTGTAATATTACAATAATTTAGTCTGGGCACAGTGCCTCACACCTGTCATCCCAGCAATTTGGGAGGCTAAAGCAGGAGGATGGCTTGAGACCAGGAGTTTGAGACAAGCCTGGGCAACATAGCGAGTCCCCCATCTCTACAAAAAAAAAAAAAAAAAAAAATCAGATTAAAAATTAAAATAAATAAAATAATTTAAACACTTTGATAAAAGAGAGTGAAAACAAATTTGGGGAGTAGACTACATGAAGGCTGGGAATCCACCGGGCTGAGTGGCCTTTTTCTTAACACCCCAAAATGGAACAACCAAACATGGCTTTAGAAACTCTTCCAGCACCTGCCAGCATGTGTGGCCTATACTTCTCTGGAGAGGAAACCCGCTGTCCCAGTTTGGAAAAGAATCTAGTATGAGACTGTATCTGATTTATCTGTTTATTGAGACAGGGTCTCACTCTGTCACCCACGCTCGGTGCAGTGGCATAATCTCAGCTCACTGCAGCCTTGACCTGCTGGACTCAAGCCATCCTCCCATCTCAACCTTCCGAGTAGCTGGGACTACAGGCATGTGCCACCATGCCCAGCTAATTTTTTAATTTTTCTTTTGTGGAGATGGGATCTTGCTATGTTGACCAGGCTGGTCTTGAACTCCTGGCTTCAAGCGATCCTCCCACCTTGGCCTCCCGAAGTGCTGGGATTACAGGTGTGAGCCACCACACCTGGCCTTGTATCAGATTCAGTACTGATTATTTTTTTTAACTATTGTTAAGTTTAGCATGTCATCATTTCAGAATACACTGCTTCTCAAAAGAATGAAGGCTACAACAGCCTGAGTCTCTGTTTTTCACGAATTCCCCAGATGATTCTGAAACACACCAGCTCGAGACCCTCCACTGTTGCATGTTTGAAAGTAGTGGTTCTCAAACTTGTCTGCAACTAGAATCACTTGTGCAGCTTTTAAAACTCTCAGTGGCAAGACCGTACTCCAGACCACAAAACTCAGGGGTGGGGTGAAGGGGGCTGTTCATCAGTAGTGTAAATGTCCCCAGGTGATTTTAATGAGCAGCCAGGTTTGAGAACCAGCGTCCTAATGGGAGCAACCTCATATCCAGGTGTTGTGCCTCCTGAGCCTGGGAAACAACTCTGGCAAAAACCTTGCGTCTGAATAACTTTGTGTTCTCTGTCTCCATCTGGTGGTCATTCCGCTACATTGCTATTATTTACCTGTGCAACTTGGGCTCTTGTACTTTTAAGAAAGTTTGCCAAAAGAATCAAAAAAACCAAAAAGACTTGAAATTTCAAGAAATAGAAATGGCTACGAAATATGCCATTATAAAGAACCGAATGATCTAAGAGTTATAAATGCATTTGAATAATGCATCTCAATCTTTGGCAGTACTTGGCAAATTAAAAAGCAGTCAATAAGTGCTACTTATTCCCATTATAATTAAACATAAGTTAGACCCCATCTTTTGGGTACCAGTGATTCATTTTGAATGAATGGCTTTAATTCAACAAAAAAACATATTTAGTCTTATTATACCTGGCATACCGTTGGCAGTGGTGAACAGACACAGCCTGCATGGTGAGAAACATTGTGTGCGTGCATGTGTGTATGTGTGAGAGATCGAGAGAGAGAGAGAGAGAGAGAGAGTGAGAGAGAGATTATTATTTTAATAAAAAGACTGTTTGTGAGTATACCGCTCCATGAGTTTTGTAACCCCACCCCAATCAGGATTCCAAACAGTGAGAGATTATCATTTTAATAAAAAGGCTATTTGGGGGTATACTGCCCTATGAGTTTTGTTGCCCCACCCCAATCAAGGTTCCGAACAGTTTGATCACTCCCACAAATCTGCTTCATGCTCCCTGTCGTGGCATCCTTGCCTCACCCCAATCCCTGGCCACCAACCGATGTTTTTTGTCCCTGTAGCTTTGCCTTTTCCATAATGTCATGTGTTCATACAATATGTAACCTTTTGAGAGTGGCTTCTTTAACTTACCAAAACTTCCTTCCTTCTGCTTGTTTTAGGTTTATTTTGCCCTTTTTTTTCTTTAGTTTGTTAAAGCTGAGGTTTAGATTGTTGACTCGAGCCTTCCTTCTTTTCTAAAATAAGCATCAAATGCTATAAATTTCCATCTGAGCTCTTCTTTAGCTGCATCTACACATTTTGTTTTATTGTGTGGGGGTTAAGATCCTGAGGTCTGGAGTCAGACAGACGTCCTTTGGATCTGGACTCTGCCACTTGCTGGCCATGGGACCATCTTGTGACCTTGTGTCTCCTCTCTGTGGACCTCAAAACAAGTCTTTATTCAATGCCCAGGGTCCTGCCTAATATTAAGGCTTTAGAGACATATTTTCAAATTGCCTCATGAGGGCCCTTTTAAAACATCAGAAACATTGAATTACTCATAAGATAGCTAAATTTGTAGTAATAAAGTATCTGCCTACACGCCTAATGGATTCAGTAATGTCACTTAATAGGAGTTTGTGTTATTTACAGCAGTCTCTACTTATATTTGAAAAGAGTAACACATCACTTATTAATTTTACAGACAATGTGTGGGTTACATATGGACTTGTGAATCTCATGCATTACCCGTGTTGTCCCCCAGATACATACAGTCACTGTGGGAACAAACACCACCCTGAGTACCTGCTGCTTGCTAGGGATTTTCATGGAGATTATGGCATTTAAACCTGAAATAGGGTCGGGCACAGTGGCTCATGCCTGTAATCCCAGCATTTTGGGAGGCTAAGGTGGGTGGATCACTTGAGCCCAGGAGTTCGAGACCAGCCTGGCCAACATGGTGAAACTCCATCTCTACCAAAAATACAAAAATTAGCTGGGTGTGGTGGCGTATGCCTGTAATCCCAGCTACCCGGGAGGCTGAGGAATGATAATGGCTTCAACTCAGGAGGCAGAGGTTGCAGTGAGCTGAGATCGCACCACTGCACTCCATCCTGGGCAACAGAGCTACACTCCATCTAAAAAAAAAAGGCAAAACAAAACAAAGAAAAGAAAAGAAAACCTAAAACAACTCTGCAGAATAATTGATATTATCACCACTTTATACATGTAGAAACAGGCTCCAAGGGGCTCAATGAATTTCCCAGAGTTCTACAGTTAATAAGGGGCAGAGCCAAGATCCTGACCCTGATCTGTCTGTGTAGCATGAGAGAAATATCCACTGTGGACTGTATTTGAAAATATTCACAGATACTGTGTTAATGCTATATAAAGTATATTATACCTAACATTTTATTACATATTTTTTCATTTAATAATAATTGTGAATAGATACTTCTATCATCAACCTATAAATCTACCTACTTCATGCTTTTAAAGGACTATGTCATACTTCATTAAGTGAATTTACTGTAATCTATTTAACCAACATTCCTTTAGTGAACACTTTAATTGTTTGCAATTTTTTGTTCTTGCATAGAATGCTGAAATGAACAGGATCATATGCAAGTGTTTTTGTACACCTCTAGAAGTGATTTTTTAAAATTCCTAAGAGTGAGATGATAAAATTAGTTACAAACATTTACTAACACATATTACCAAATCAGGCAGCATAATAAAAGATCATCATATTTTTATTCATTCACTTAGCAAATACTTACATCGTGCTTGTGCTGTGCTAGGTACTGCTCCTAGACCTTGACTCCTCATGACATCCTGAGGGGAGAACTGTAATGATTCTGTTTCATACATGAGAAGACTTTGGCTCAGAGAGGCAAAGTAACTTGGCAGAAGTCAGACAGAAAGTAGCTGGTTTGGAAACCAGGGTCTGCAGTGCCCAGGCACTTAATGACTATGTTGTCCTTCCTGATTTATTAAGGCTTTATTCCCAGAATTACTCAAATCCTAAAGAATAAATCTTATTTGATGGGAGTATCAAATGAGATTTTAAGTGGGAAAATATCTCATTAATGTTAACAGTATATGTTTTTAAATAAGATTTTATTATTTTTCTAGCAAAAAGCTTATAAACTATATCGTTTGTTTTATTTTTAAAAAAAGGAAACTATAAACCCAATATTTTAAGAAATGACTTCATTCACTTAACACTTTTGAGCTGAGTCTCTCCTCTCATCAGTTCTCTGTGAGCAGAAAAGAGGGAGGCTTAGGGGCTTAGGGGATTAGGGGTCATGGTCACTGGGAAATGCAACAGAAACCTGTCGGAGCGCCTAGAACCTAGAAGAGTTAGCCATAGTAAATCGGTTGGTGCATATCCTTATAGAACTTTTATTTTGTAAGGGTGTGTGCAAACTAGTTATTATGTTACATCTTACATACATTTACAACCTTCCTTTTTATACCTAATGTATATTTTTCCATGACCTTGAATGCACTTTTATAACTTTTTTTTAGGTTTTAAGGCATTTTATTGCTAAGTTCCACCTCCTAGATTTGGGAAAGAATCTAAAAAACACATATTTGGTGCCTTCTGTGTGCTCTGCCCAGTCACACACGTTATTCTATTTAACCTTCTGATGACCTAGGTTTCTTCACCACTCTCTTTTAGAGAGTTGCTCCCAGCAGTCATGTGACTCATGTAAGGCCATGTTGCTCCAGGTGGCTTGCAATCCAGGTTGGCTGAACTTCCAACTACATTCTCTTTGCTGTGCACTGTCCAAAAGTAAGGAGAGTTTCCTGCCTCTGGAATTCTCTATGTACAGGTGCCACCAGTTGTTTTCTTTGTGCACAGAAGAAAGTAAAACCCAGAGGCCACTATTAGTGATGGAGATGCATTGTCAGGAGAGGACAGAAGACAGGTAGAAGTTGTCAGAGCTCTCATTTCTCCCACATGGGCTTGTACCATATGCAAATGGTTTCATAAGCATATGGTAACAGTGTGTTCAGCCACAAGAGGGAGAACAACTTGGAGCTGGAGATCCTTCTTCTCATGCCTCACCGTACTTTTGACTTCCCGAAAAAAAGGATTCAAGTGGCTCATTTTGGCATCTTGCAGTATAGTGTATTTCCACTGGGCAGGGAGTCGCAGTCTCTCTTACGCTCAGGCTGGCCACAGCGGCTTTCCTGGATATGTCTTCATCCTGGTTCAATCCTAGGGCGGGGGAACAGGGTTGCCCGCACCTTCCTAACAGAGCCAGGCTCCCAAGTAGAGCAGCTGAAGAGGGAAAACAGTAACTGCAGGCTGCAGAACTCATTGTCTGGAGCAATATCTGGGGACTGGGGCAGGTCCTCGGCCCACCATGGTGATGAAAAGTGCTCAAATCATCAAAGAGTAAAAATTCTACACCAAAACCCACACTTTCCACAATAGTCATGTGGATTTCTCCTCCTAGCCTGAGGGCATTTCTCGGGTGCTCCTTTCTGTGTATGATTCTTCACCTCCAGGACAGCCCAGCTCCAGCACACTCAGGACAGGCTATGCCTGATTCTGCCTGACATGCTCCAGGCTTAGGAAACTGGCTCCTGCGAGCCTGGGCTGCCACCCCTCTCCCTGACTCTGGGTTCCAACCCTGGCTTCCTGGGGTGCTTGTGGCATGGGATGGAGTTAATGGTCAGCCTGGGAGTTGGAACTTCCACATTGTGTTAGCCTTTAAAACATCAGTGTCAGCCAGGAACTCAGAAAAGATAAAGACTCCAGACTGCCAAAAGCCCCTTCTCTTAAAGGGATGAGTCAAAGGCTTTCTTCCTTTCCCACATCCCAGGCAGGATTCATCTCTACCCTATTCCCAGAATAAACAGAGTCCCATTAGGTTTTCATGCCTACAATTGTCCCCAATTTGTACTAAAGAGTAGTTGGTTCCAGACAGGAAAACCATAGCCTCCACTCTATAGAGGGTGAGAAATGTGTGTATAAACAGCCTGCATTCGAATGCAGATAGTCATGGCAGGCTGGATGAAGACCACCACTAGTTCAAAAGATGCTTCTTTGAGAATTAGAAAAACGCCCCCTTCCAGTAGACAGAGTCCCATGGGTAAACAGACAGCACCTGTATCCTATTTAGGAAAAGTGTCCCTCCCTCTAGGTGTAGGCAGTGCCAGGGTGGAGCACTTCAGAAATGACACTGGAGATGGATGATGGTCCCACTCATCCTGGCCACCAGACATAGTTGTTCAGTGCACAACCTGGAAAATCATGCATGTCAGCCCTGGTTAGAGTGGATGAGATGAAAGTATGGGGAGATCTTATACTTGTGCTTTCATTTCCTGTTACATCTTAAGTATAATGTCATTCTCATTGCACAGACATGGAAATTAGGGCCCAGAAGGTGAAGTGATCTGTTGAAAAATAAATGGCAAGGCTGGTCTCTTCAACTCAAAAACCAGACCACTTTCTACCATGCCATACTGCCTCCTTGCCTGAAGCACTTTTAAAGAGCCACCTTCTGCCTACGTCTGCATCCTTTAGTTTTCTCAAGGCACAAAATCTTTAAGAACCAACCACCCAGCATCTTTGCATATCTTGTGTCCTGGTGTGGCAGCTGCTGACCACATCCTGAGTCACGCTCACGGCCAAGCTCCCCCACTCAGGACCATTTGTCTGTCCAGATTCATCTTTTCCTGTTCTTTGCAAAGTCCAGCTAGAGCAAGCAACTTCTTCCCAATGGGTTTTTCCCATCTCTGGTTGGCTGGCTGGCTGGGCTTCCTCTACAAACCCGCCCCCGCTTTCCCCTAAGCAGGGCCTGGTGGCCCTGTCCTGTGGAGCTGGGCTCATGAGGGCATCTGACCAGGGGCAGCTATTCCTGGTGCTGTTGTCATTGTCCTGTTTCATGTATGAACGTAGCTGCTGGCCATGTTCACAAATGAAATGTGAAATTGTAATTACTTTGGTCTTCATCTGGAGGTCCACTGAGAAGCCTCATACAAACTTATGGCCCTGTTCATCTTAAAGCGTTTTGATTCATACTTTCGAATGGCCTCATGAGGACCTTTTATAAAGTAAAAATGTTAGGCAACCACATGATATCCATTGACCCAGTGAGGCTGTTTTACTGGATATAAGAGGTTTGACCCAGCACTTTGGGAGGCTCAGACAGGAGGATCACCTGAGGCCAGGAGCTGGAGACCAGCTTGGCCAACATGGCAAAACCCCATCTTTATTAAAAATACAAAAAAAAAATTAGCCTGGCATGATGGCACATGCCTGTAATCCCAGCTACTCGGGAGGCTGAGGCACAGGAATCACTTGAACCGGGAGTTGGAGGGTGCAGTGAGCTGAGCTGAGATGGTGCCACTGCACTCCAGCCTGGGCAACAGAGTGAGACTCTGTCTCAGGAAAAAAAAAAAAAAAAAGAGGTTTGAAAAAATGGTAGCACGTACTTATGTTTTCACAATATTTTATGTATATAAGGATTTACCAACCTCATGCATTAAGTGCTATCCCCAAAAGACATGCAGTTGCTGTAGGAAAAAACATCAAGTTCTGAGCTCCTACTGTTTGCCAGGCATATTCTGAGATGATCACGTTTAAATCTCAGAGTTACCCTGCAGAGTAGTCAGGGTATCACTGCCTGACAGATGAAGAAGCTGAGGCTTACAGCAGTTAAATGACTTATCCCAGGCCACATAGATAATGAGTGGGAGAGCCCAGGTCTGTCTGTGAGGTATAATGAAATTAGCATAAACCCTCCACATTGGTGCCACTTGAATAAATTAACATATTCTCTCACAGAAAGTATTTTATTGGGCATAACATTTTATATGTTTTACCATTTAACATTAGTTGTGGATCTTCCCACATCACATAAATATGCCTACTTCTTTTTGGATTATATGATTACTAATCAGCGGATTTACTATAATTCATTTAACTAATACCACTTTTGATTGTCATTTTATTTGCCTAATGTTTTTTCCTTTTGCACAGATAGATGTAATAAACATGATTTTATAGTAATATTTTTGTCTGCCTGTGAAAATGTTTACTGTACAATAAACTCCTAGGAGTAAAACCAGGTCAAAGATTATAAATACAGTATTTATTTTCATAAATATTATCAAGTCAGCCACAAGTGTTTAAATCACTAATGGCTTCAGATTATTGTATTTAATGAGTAAACACTTTTATAGGGTTTGCTTTTATAAACACACTTATTTGTCAGATATCATTCTAAATGCTTTACAAAATTAACTTTTTCAATTTTTAATATAACCCTGAGATGTATATTATGATTATCCCCATTCTACAGATAAGAACACTGAGGAGTTAATTAACTTGCCACATATCTAGGAAGTGACAAGGCTAGTTGCACAGCCAGGCAGTCTGGCTCCTGAGTCCACATTTTAGACAACACTATACCTCCTGGTTCTTTTGAGGCATTACTACTGGAACTACCCTAATACTCATGAATAAACATTTCTTTTGGGGAGGGTCAAATAAAATTTTAAACAGAAAAGCGTTTCACCAACTGTCAAGCTCATAAAAGTTGTACATTATCCACTTTTTTCATGATGCCCACAGATAATTTATTAATGATATCATCTATTTTAAAAGACATATGTAAAACCCAACCCTTAAGAAAGGATTCCTATCACTGTTCCCCACAGGCACCCTCCTCAGTCTTACACCTTTCCACCCCCCAAAACAAATCATTCAGCATATTTATTTCATACTGTAATATAGGAAATAGCTATTTTTTAGACTTTTTATATTATTAGCACTGATCATACAAACATGGAATAGAAATTCCTTATGTTTTATCTGGATTTAAGGTGATACATAATGGAATATATTTCTATCAAGCCGTACACATTAGAGATAATGAAATCACTTGTGTTCTAGTTTAAACATTATGGGAATTTCAGAACTGCAACATAACAAATAATCCTCGGATGAAAACTAAATCTCTCCTCTGGTCAGGCATCTATGTGCATCAGTGAGGAGAAGACAGGGACTGTGGAAGGGAAAACAGCGAGTCAGGAAGGACTGTGGCCACGTCCATTCCCTGGTCCCTCAAGTAATTAAATCCTGACCTCCTCTACCCCAGTCTGTCCTGGGGAATGGCCAACACTGGCCTTTCACAACTGTGTGTTACTAGAAATGCAACAGAAACCCAGCTGAATCCCCTCCTCTGCCCTTCTCAAAGGAAAGATCTGTCCCAGGACCATTTGTTCCAACATTTTCAATTATGAGAACTGGGAAGATAAAGTTATTTTTACATTTATAAAGAAACACATATTTATTCACACTCATTACAGGAAGGTCAGAATCTATACAAAACCAAGAGGATTTTTAAAATCCCATAATACCACCATCAAAAGAGCCACACTTAGCATGTTGGTCCACAGGCTTCTTAGCACCCTCTTCTGTTGGTGTATGCACAAAATGCACAATCACATTCTGTCTACATTTTATAATTTGCCTGTTTGTTGATTAACACTATATATTGAACAATTTTTAAGACCTGCAACATATGTTGACAACATTACTTCCAAACAATGTATTTACAAATAAATGCACACACACACTATCTGTCTTATATACAACGTGTCTTACTTTCTAATTCTCCACTCTTGAAGATTTAGGTTTTTCCAACTTTTTCTTAATATATTCACCAGGAGTCAGCAACTTTTTTCCATAAAAGGCCAAAGAGTAGGCCGGGCGCAGTGGCTCACGCCTGTAATCCCAGCATTTTGGGAGGCCAAGGCGGGCAGATCACGAGGTCAGGAGATCCAGACCATGCTGGCTAACACGGTGAAACCCTGTCTCTACTAAAAACACAAAAAATTAGCTGGGTGTGGTGAGTGTGGCGGCGGACACCTGTAGTCCCAGCTACTCGGGAGGCTGAGGCAGGAGAATGGCGTGAACCCGGGAGGCAGAGGTTGCAGTGAGCCAAGATCGCACCACTGCACTCCAGCCTGGGCGACAGAGCAAGACTCTGTCACAAAAGAAAAAAAAAAAAAAAGGCCAAAGAGTAGATATTTTAAACTCTGCAGGCCATAGGTTTCTGTTGCAACACTCAACTCTGCTGTTGCAGGGAAAGAAGCCATACACAATTTGTAAATGAATGGGCATGACTGTGTTCTTCCCGACATGGTTTGCCAGCCCCTGATGTATAACACTACAGAGGATGCTGTTAGAATGAAATTTCTTTACATATCTCTGATGATCTCCTTAGGACTAATTACTAGACATGACATCATGGTAGCTGTGGGTCAAAGGGCATGCATGCTCTGGGATGTACATTCCCAGATTGCTCATCATGAGCCTTTCTCATGTCAAAATGTTTTGTGACCACCAGAAGGCTGGTTCTGCTTTTATTACCCATGGAATGAGAAATAGAAATGACATGGCATGGCCCTTCCCCACAGCACCACGGCTTCTCTTCCTCAGCACGGCGACAGGGGCTTCCCCTTTGCCGCCGCCGCCGGCCAAGCTCCGCCGCCACCGGCCAAGCTCCGCCGCGCCCGCGGCCCGCGGCCGCCATGCAGTTTATGTTGCTTTTTAGTCGTCAGGGAAAGCTTCGACTGCAAAAATGGTATGTCCCACTATCGGACAAAGAGAAGAAAAAGATCACAAGAGAACTTGTTCAGACCGTTTTAGCACGGAAACCTAAAATGTGCAGCTTCCTTGAGTGGCGAGATCTGAAGATTGTTTACAAAAGATATGCTAGTCTGTATTTTTGCTGTGCTATTGAGGATCAGGACAATGAACTAATTACCCTGGAAATAATTCATCGTTATGTGGAATTACTTGACAAGTATTTCGGCAGTGTCTGTGAACTAGATATCATCTTTAATTTTGAGAAGGCTTATTTTATTTTGGATGAGTTTCTTTTGGGAGGGGAAGTTCAGGAAACATCCAAGAAAAATGTCCTTAAAGCAATTGAGCAGGCCGATCTACTGCAGGAGAAAACAGAGACTATGTATCACAGCAAGAGTTTCACTGGGTTTAAGAAAGCGTACTAGAATACCTGCTGGAGTACTGACACGCATCGAAATGTAGTAGGGTATATACATTCAGTTTGTAATGACAATTCTGTCAAGTTTGTTATTTATATTTTAGCATTACCTGAAAAGTCTAATTACATTAAATCCCAAGGGATAGTCCCAATTACTTCATTAAACTGGTATTTTCATAGGGAATTTTGCTTGGATAATGATCCATTATTGGGGCTTATAATTTATTTTTTACACAGAATATGGAAATAGCTTCAGAGGTTCATTGACAAAAAAGCATTCATTAAATACTGTGAATCACTAATGCCATTGATACAGAAGAATTTCCCTATGAAAATGAGAGCTTCTGTGAGAAAATGAAGTAGTTGGGAGTTTAATTTCTTACTAATATGATTTTAACTTGCTGCTTCATTCCACTATATTCTGAGTTGGGGGAAAAGGGCAGCTATCTCTTTAAAATATTTAGGAATTCTTTGAGGATTAAAATGTAACTGGCTTTTGTCCTCAGATACGTTTGTAATTAATGGTTGTGTAAGTTTAGGGATTTGTTAGATATTTTTCTTGGAACAGTTTACATGATTTTGTAGTTCAATATTTCAAAGTTTCAAATTGAATAAATATTAAAATGAGGATACTTTAAAGACACTCAAATAAGCAATTTTAAACTTGCTTTCTGGTGGGGATATAATCCCTTTGAGAGTCCGAAAGATGATGGGCCGTCACCCCAGGAAAATTTGTACATCATTTTGTTTCTAATTTCAGGGAACTCTCGGAGCCCCTAGAAGTCCTTCTGTAGACACTCAAATCTGGAGAGTTTGTTAAAATCTGTCTTGAGGATTTTTAAAAAAGTAATATCCTCAGTCTCAGTCAAATTCTTTGGATTTTTTGCTTTTGTAGGTATAAGTAAACAGTTAAAAACCTTCATTGCTACTTAAAATACCAGATGAGTGACTACTTTTCCAGTTTTTTTGGGAAAGATTTTTCTCTAGTTTCTTTAGTTTATGTAATACAAATGTACTAATGAATTTAAACACTGGTGGAAGGGAAATATTCTAATTGAATTTTTGGTCAACTCAGTATTGACCAGATGACTTACACTGAAAATCTTTTCATAATATTAGTAGTAAATATAGTGTTTTAGGATTTTGTAAAATTTCTGGAGGATGTCTGTCATCATTTTGAACACTGTATGTAGTAAAGTTAGAAAAAAATGAATCTAAAGTCTTGGGCATTGTTTAGAAGTTAAATATTCAGCCTTAAACCAAAGAAGGAAAGCAAACAGAAACTTAAGTTTTAGTTATCTTTACTGTGAACTAAATGTTCTAGAAATCTGATTGTGTCTGTGTCAGTTTGTATACTGTGTGTAAGAATATATGCATTTCTTTTGTAGCCACGTCATGAATATTTTAATGTCCCTGTGTACTAAATGACTACTCATCGAGTATGCAGAATTTCACAGAGGAAATAGAATGCTGATATACATATGAAAGAAAATATCCTCAGCATGGTGATTTATTGTCTTGTATAATAATAGTAGAACATTTTAGAACTAGTACTTTTATGATTGTATTTTTTTCCTGTTCACATTCCAAACTTTTCTGTATTTTCATTCTATATGTGATCTTGATACAGCTCATTCCTCTCTGCAACTGATTTAATCTCATCTTGATAAAATATGACCTAGAAGTGTTTTGAGTAATATTAAATCTTAAACATATACATATTATTAATGAACCATCTGTGATTTATCTTATAAGAGGAAAACATGACAATCATTAAAATGTTTACCAAAGAAAATATAGCTGAAGTGCTAGGTCAAAATAAGCAGTGCCATAATATATAGTGTGGTTTGGTCTTCAAATATTGAGGTTAAAAAAAGAAACTATTTTGTGTGATTATCTTACAATCTGTATGAGCTAATGTGTTCTAATGTATCACATAAAAGTATATGTGAAAATATTACAAGAAACTAAAATTAATTTGTACCATTATATAATATTTAAGGTTAAAACATTCAGTATTAAGAAATTTTGTAGTGCCACATTTATTGAATCACATTTGTGCTATATAATAATATCAAACAATCCCTTTAAGAACTTATTAGAGAGCTATGTCTGAAGTCTGTTCTGCAGTATCTGTTGCTGAATAATAACTCTTTCAAAGCATTAATGCTGAGTTTATATAGTTCAAAAATTCTAATATTCATTCAGTTTTAATACCTAAATACTTATATTTTACTAGTGATGGCATTCTAATATATTAAGTCCTCATTTAAATACTTAATACTTTGTTAACTGTGGCATTATATTTCTGAATTTTAAAACCTTTAATATTGGTAACTATTGCATATTCTTTTAATAAAACATGCAGCATATTTTTTTATAAAAGGAAAAGAATTCATTGTTTATATATAGACAGCATAAAGCCTAAGTTAAGTAAGTTATTAAACAATAACTTCACAAGATGTTCAAATCGATTTACCACTGAAAGAAGATCTATGAAAATGTGTTTTGACCAAACTTAGTATTAGGCAGGTACACAGATAAGATTTTCCATTCTTAACATTCTCACTGTAATGCACTACATTTGAAGCACCTGGATGTGCTATCAGGTGGGAAATTTAGCATTATATATTGGAAGCATTGAGAAACATTGGTCTTTCATTTCTATTTTTCCCCTCCTTTCCTCCTCCTGCCCCATAATATATTATTCATCTGGTTTTAATGCTACATAAATATGCATTGTCTCATGTCTGTTTGCGTTGGATGCCTTGTGCTAAGCTGTAACAAAATGTTGCTTCTTTTGCTGTCTGTATACAGCTGCTTGCTTTAAATTAGTAGATTCTGAAATAGCTTTCCTTGCATGTCTAAAATAAAAGTATTGCATATAAAAAAAAAAGAAATGACATGGCATGTATGCAGGATATTTAGTCATCATATAGATAATCCTTGTGCACAAGGGTATTCTACATTCTTTCCCAATAAGTCTACATCTGCCAGAGTTGAAATAAAACAAAACAAAACAAACCTATTTAGCACCTTCTGTATAGCAGGCCCATTCATATATGTTATTGTATTTAATTCTCAGAATTCTTATGACCTAGGCATTTAAATTAAAAAAAATTTAGTTGACAAGGATTGTATATATTTAATGCATACAACATGATGATTTCATATATGTATATATTGTGTACTAATTATCACAAATTTATTACATCCATTATCACCTATGCTGTACATTAAATCTCCAGCATTTGTTCATCTTACAACTGAAAGTTTATAGCCTTTGATTAATAGCTTCCCATTTTCCCCACCCCCAGCCCTTGGCAACCACCATTCTACTATCTGTTTTTATGCATTTCACTATCTTAGATTCCACATAGAAGTGAGATCATACAAAACTTGTCTTTCTGTGTCTGGCTTATTTCACTCAGCATAATATCCTCCAGGTTTATCCATGACAGGAGTTTCTTCTTTTTAATGGCTAATAGTCCATGGTTTATATACATATTATTTATCCATTCATCTGTTGATGGGCACTTAGGATGTTTCCATATCTTAGCTATTGTGAATAATGCTGCAATAAACATGGGGCACAGATCTCTCTTCAAGATTCTAATTCCATTCTGGGGAGTATATATCCTGAAGTGGGATTGCTGAATTGTATGGTACTTTCACTTCTAATTTTTTGAGGCACTTCCATACTGTTTTCCATAAAGGTTATACCACTTTACATTCCAACCAACAGTGTACAAGGGTTCTCTTTTCTCCACACTTTCACCAACACTTGTTATCTCTTCTCTTTTTTAGAATAGCTGTCCTATCCTATGTGGCAATATCTCATTGCGGTTTCGATTTGCATTTCTTTGATGATTAGTGACATTGAGCACCTTTGCATATGCTGGCTGGCCATTTGTATGTCTTCCTTGGGGAAAAAAAAGTCCATTCAGGTCCATTACCTATTTTTAATTGGGTTATTTATGTATTTATTAATTTTTGCTATTGAGTTGTGTGAATTCCTTATATAATTAACCCCTTATCAAATATATGGATTGCAAATATTTTCTTCCATTCCATAGGTTGCCTTTTCATTTTGTCATTGTTTCCTTTGCTATGTAAAACGTTTTAAGTTTGATATAGTCCCATTTATTTATTTTTGCTTTTGTTGCCTGTGCTTTGGTGTTATGGCAAAAAAATATTATTGCCAAGACCAATGTCAAGAAGATATTTTCCCTATGTTTCCTTCTAGGAGTTATATGGTTTCAGATATTACATTTAAATCTTTAATCCATTTTGAGCTAATTTTTTGTATATGATGTAAAACAAGTGTGCAATTTCATTCTTTTGCAGGAACTTTCCCCAACACCATTCATTGAAGAGAGTTTCCTTTCTACATTGTGTATTCTTTTTTGTAAAAGTAGAGTGAAAGGAAGCCTATTAAGAAAGTAAAGGAATAAAAGAATCTACATTGTGTATCCTTGATGACCTTGTCAAAGATTAGTTGACCATATATGCATGGGGTTATTTCTGGTGAGCTTGGTAGTTTTATCTCCCTCATTTTATCGATGAGGAGGCCAAGTCTCAGAGAGTTCATAGACCTGCCTAAGGTCACTCAGCTAGAGGTGGTACAACCAGGGTTTGAATTGAGATCTGCCAAGCTTCCGAGTTTATTCTTTTTCCCCCACACCAAGGATCCTCAATTCTGCCTTACTGACATCAGGATCCAGTCAATTCTTTGTGATGGGGGCTGTCCTGCACCTGGCAGGATGTTTAGCAGCTTCTCTGGCCTCCACCCACTGGACGCAAGGGGAATGCAGAAGAGTCTTGCTCATTCTCCCATTTAATCCTCAGGACAATATCTGACATAAGTGTTATGTCTTTTATTTCATAAATGAAGAAAATGAGACTCAGAAAGGTTTAAGTCAGTTACCTAAGAACACACAGACAGCAAGAGGTAGAACTAGGAACTGAACACAGGTGTCCACATGGGACAACAAAAAATGCAGTTTCCAGCTTCTTTTGAGTCTCTCATTTCAATAGTTACCATCATCTGGATACGAGCTGAAGCACAGGAAACCTGGGCTGAACTCTCCTCCCATCAGGCCTAGGAGCCCCAGACCAGAACCCCAGCCCAAGGTCTCCCAGTCAGGCCCGCTGGAGGGAGCTGGCATCCACACTGGCCAGTTTCCCAAAGCTACAGGGATGCCAGTCTCACTGCTGATGAACAAAAGGAAGGGCATTTGCTTCTCCTGCAGGCTGTCGGGATTTAACACAGATTCCTTTTCTTGCTCTCTTCTCTCGTAGCACAAAACAGGGTGGTCCATCCCCCTCCCGCTGTCCCAAGGCTTTGTTGCATGTTCTCTTTAATTTCTCCCACTCTTGCAGTGCACCCTACCTGCATCTCCCTGGCAACCATTCTGCTCTATCCTCTCCACACCTGGATCACAAGAACACTTGGGAGGCCCCTTAACAAGCTACATCCCAAATTATCATTCCCCTTTGTCCTCAGCCAGTGCCCAGGTCCAACTCGCTCTCCTGCGGTGACTTTCTTTCCTGCCCAATATGGTTTCATCATCTGTAAATTGGGGATAATTAAAGTCTTGATCCTGATATTTGACTCTCAAAGCAGAAGTAGCAAGCTCAGCCAAATCACTTAAACAAGAGGAGACGTTCCTTGTGAACCAAAAGGGCACTGGTCAGAAGGGCCGTTCCTTCTTCTCTCAGGCCTCTCCAGCACGCCCTTGGCTCAGCCAAAGAAGAGACTCAGGCTGTGCTTCTATGCCATCGGGATAACATAGGTACCTTGTCCTTGACCCTGCGACTTTAACAGTTTCCTCCTGTGGCTCAGTTCTACAGCTTCAGTGACACAAGGTGGTTTTTGCTCAAAATGGCCTTTAATAGGTTAAATTACTTCTCTGTCACTCTAAGTCTGTGTGGAACAGTTCTAAGTAAGAGACATTTATTCCCCTGATCCCAAGGAAGGGAGGAAAAGGCAATGACATTAACCACGTGTTGGACCTCAGCCACTGGAAAACCCTGGTGTTGGCTGCTGCCAATGCAACCGGGGATAGCATCACAAACATCAAGCGATGCCAGGAGGCCCTGCTTCATTCAGGGAGCAGGGAGTCGGGATAGGCATGCATACCTGTTCTTATTCAGCAGAGACACTTCCTCTTTATCTATTTCTGGGTGAGAACCAGCACCATTTCCCTGGTGATGGGGGCCCCAGCTAGGAATCATATAGGGTAGGATGCTACCCTATATGGTTTGAAATATCATGCTGGAGTCTGAAATGGTCATGCTGGACTGCAACACCTTGTGGGTCCTCAAATGATTATGAGTTTCTGCCCTCAGGCACATAAGGCCCCAGCAGAAGCAACCTGAGAGTGGACCTGAAACAGCATGGGTATGTGTGTCTGTTGAGGAATCATAGAGAAGGTTTCTATTCAATATGGACCTCAGGGCCATGTTCGCCTGACTCCAGTCCCAGCACAGCCACTCACAAGCCTTGACTGTGAGCAAATCACTTATGTTCTCTGAGTTCCAGCTCCCTTATTTCTCTAATGGGAATTGGATATCTCACTACAACTCTGCTTTTGTGCAACTGGCCACAAGAGTTGCTTGCTAAGTGTGAAAATCCCTTACTGACATCAGAGGCCTCTCCTTCTGTTTCCCTGCTGATCAACAGCTGTGGCCAAAAGCTGACTTTAGCCAAAAGCTAAATTTTTGCAAGAATTTAATATAAATTTATATTAAATATAGAAATAGAAACAAAAGGGCTAAATCTGCCTGTGTTACAGGATCTTGGTTAATGCTAAGATCTCAAATGACCTGAGTCAATTACGTAGTCTCTTTCTCTGCCAAGATGATTAAACAGTCCCTAAAATAAAGGCTATGGGTCTTGGGTTCTCCCAAAACTTTGAGAAATAAAGAGGGGACCTCTATGCTGGGTTGTAACAATTGCACCTCTCACCTGATAGTGGCTTGTGGTATCCTTGGAGTCTAAAATCTACATGATGCTCCCTGGGAAGTGGCTGCTTTCTGACTGGTATGCTTGGATCTGTGCAATGGACAGTCATTGGTGGCCCAGAAATCTTTACTTACTTCAGGCTGGTCCAACTCCAAAAAAAAAGTGTCCACTCTACCCTTTTTCTCCTCTTCACTGAACTTCCCTTTCTCAGTTTCATGCTGAAACCCCAAGACTCACAAATATTACCTTCTTCTATGCCAACAAAGTGCACAATGATGTCACCCCAAAGTCTTCCGGCCTCACCAGCCAATAGGAAGGAATGAAATTACATCTGAAATACACCATGGGCTGGCACTTCCTAAATGTAACATGACTATAGTATTCCACAACTATAACACTGCCATTTTTTCAGAAAAAAATTTATAATTGTTCCATGGCAGGCAGGTCTATGCAAACCTACCCCCAAAGTACAAGGAAGCTGAGAGGCTGAAGAAAGAGGCTGACAAATCCTATCTCTTAGAAGGTAACATTTAATAGGGACCTACAAACAGAAGCCATGTCTGTGTCTCTGGTGGTGGAGAGATGAGATGGTGGATCCCTGCACCATTACCCCACAGACCCAGGGCTGATATACCACAGGAAAAGGGCATACATGATTCAGAAGTGATGTGTAGAACAATTAAAGTATGATAACACCAAAGTTGTTTTGACCTAAGAGCAGAATTTACAGTAAGTATGTGCTGTTACACAAGGAATAACAGACAAACTAGAAATTTTATTTATTTTTTGAGATGGAGTCTCGCTCTGTCGCCCAGGCTGGAGTGCAGTGGCATGATCTCGGCTCACTGAAAGCTCTGCCTCCCAGATTCTCTTACGCCATTCTCCTGCCTCAGCCTCCCGCATAGCTGGGACTACAGGCGTCTGCCACCATGCCCAGCTAATTTTTTTGTATTTTTAGTAGAGACAGGGTTTCACCATGTTAGCCAGGATGATCTTGATCTCCTGACCCTGCGATTTGCCCATCTCGGCCTCCCAAAGTGCTGGGATTACAGGCATGAGCCACGGCGCCCGGCCACAAACTGGAAATTTTAATGGCCTTCCCAGAGCAGAGGTTAATCTGAAGGCAACATGGCAGATTACAACATGGAGTTGCTTTGGCCTTCACACAGTGACTTCAAGAAATTAAGAATCCCCAAAAGTAGCCACTCTCTTTAGGAGTACAGTGGAGGGCGGCAGCAGTGGTGGTAGTGATGGTGTTGGTAGAAGAAAGAGGTTAGGCTGACTTGTCAATGTCAGCCATTCTAACTGACTTTTGAATCATTAGATTCTCCAATGAGAATCTGCATTGTCTTAATTAGCTGCTGCAACAAAAGTAAATTGTCCCAAAGCTCAGTGGCTTGAAATAACAATTGTTCTCTGTTGCAGAAAGTCAGGAACCCCAAACGGAGGGACCGGCTGGAGCTGTGGCAGAGGAACATAAATTGTGAAGATTTCATGGACATTTATCAGTTCCCAAATAATACTTTTATAATTTCTTATGCCTGTCTTACTTTAATCTCTTAATCCTGTTATCTTCGTAAGCTGAGGATGTACGTCACCTCAGGACCACTGTGATAATTGTGTTAACTGTACAAATTGATTGTAAAACGTGTGTTTGAACAATATGAAATCAGTACACCTTGAAAAAGAATAGAATAACAGCGATTTTTAGGGAACAAGGGAAGACAACCATAAGGTCTGACTGCCTGTGGGATTGGGCAAAAAGAGCCATATTTTTCTTCTTACAGAGAGCCTATAAATGGACATGCAAGTAGGAAGGATATCGCTAAATTCTTTTCCTAGCAAGGGATATTAATATTAATACTCTGGGAAAGGAATGCATTCCTGGGGGGAGGTCTATAAAGGGCTGCTCTGGGAATGTCTGTCCTATGCGGTTGAGTTAAGGACTGAAATACACCCTGGTCTCCTGCAGTACCCTCAGGCTTATTAGGGTGGGGAAAAACCCGGCCCTGGTAAATTTATGGTCAGACCAGTTCTCTGCTCTTGAACCCTGTTTTCTGTTGTTTAAGATGTTTATCAAGACAATATAAGCACCGCTGAACATAGACCCTTATCAGGAGTTCTGCTTTTGCCCTTGTCCTGTTTTCTCAGAAGCATGTGATCTTTGTTCTGCTTTTTGCCCTTTAAAGCATGTGATCTTTGTACCTGCTCCCTGTTCATACATCCCCTCCCCTTTTGAAATCCTTAATAAAAACTTGCTGGTTTTGAGGCTTGGGCAGGCATCACGGTCCTACCGATATGTGATGTCACCCCCAGCAGCCCTGCTGTAAAATTCCTCTCTTTGTACTCTTTCTCATTATTTCTCAGCCGGCTGATACTTATGGAAAATAGAAAGAACCAACGCTGAAATACTGGGGGCGGGTTCCCCCAGTAGTTCTCATGAATCTGTCAGTCAGCTAGGGGATCAGAAGGGGGTCAGCTGATCTGTTGGTCAACTAGGGGGTCAGAAACCCAAATCTTGCTGGTTTAACTTGTTATCCCTTACTGGTTATCCCTCCCTGTGTGAAATCCAAAACTGGAGTACTTGAACAGCAAGCAGCTTTCCTCCAAGTGGTGATTCTGGGACCAGGCTCCTTCCATCTTGTAGTCTTCACCAGCTTCAACACATGGCTTCCAAGATAGCTTGCTTATGTGCTTCATGCCAGCAATAGGAAGAAGACAGTGGAAGGCTGTGCATGGGGAGCAGGGGAGTTAGGGGTCTCACACTGGAAGTGGAGTGGATCACTTCTGCTCATATTCCATTAGCTAGAACTCAATTGCATGGCTGTAGCAAACCAATGGCAAAGAAAGCTAGGAAATGTAAGCTACTGTGTCCTCAGAAAGAAGAAATGAGTCTGGTAAACAGCCAGCCAGCCTCTGCCACTCATATAGAGGCTTTCCTCCCCAGCTGTGGCTAAAGTGAAAAAGACTGACCAGCTATTTACCAAACTTAGTGGTCAAGCATTCCACAGAGTCATCCTCGTAATGTGAATGTTCTTCTGACCATTCAGAGCCTACGGAGCAGCAAAGCTGGTATTTAGAGCAGCTTTTGCAAAAGGAGAAATAAAAACTTAGATACAAAAGATGGATCAACATTTCTGAGAACCTGTAATACAAGAAGGCTTGAGTTTTTTTTTCAAGTTGGAAAGAGGAAGTAAAATGTTATTATAATCAAATATGGGATTTTCCCTACATCTGAATGTGCCAGGAGGCTTTTTACCCTAGGAAGTCTCTACTTGTTAACATTTCAGACAGTGTGACTGAATGAGGAATTCTAGATAGTTCTGTGAAGACTGGGGGAAGAAGAAAAGAGGATGCCAGTCCTTGTTCCTAGGCCAAGACCTGAGCCCTGTAATATTAATATTTGGATCTAAAATCAGGTAAACAGGGGTGTGTAAGGAAAAGTCATAAACAGTGTCATGTGAAGGAGAGAGCTTGGGATTTGAAATCAGAAAGACTTGGGGAATTAAGTTGTGTAAACCTGGGCAAACTACTGTCTCTTCGTGTGTGAAATGAAGACAACCTCTGAGAATGTTTTTGATCTTTAAAGGGGGTAGCGATAGGAGATCTGCATGTGGGGTGGGGGGTAAAATCTGGCACACAGAAGGAACTGGCCCAGTATATGCCAGTTCCTTTCTCCCTGCCCCATTTCTCTCTGTCATTCAAAGTGGCCACCATTCTTTAGAAGTCTTAATTATTAGGCAGAAGAAGCTGTTTCCCTTGGCTTAGAGAGCTTTTTTGAAAATACTTAATGCTAAACACAGGTCTATAGAATCCAGAAAGGTCAGCTTCCTACTGGGGCTTAAGCTTCCAAATACCTGTGTCATGACCCAGGATGCACATGCTGGGAGGGAAGACATAAATCATAGCCCATCTCTGCCCATCTGTGTTGTCATCAAAGGAAACTTCCCCAAGCAACATGATGTTGGGTTAAATAACTTGTCCTCAGTCATGCAGCTACTAAGTTGGAGTCAGGATCTGAGTCCAGGTGATCTGATTTCTGAGCTCAGATTCTTAGGCTTACCTGAGACACTATCTAGATCTGGTACAAGATGAAGAGGTGTAGGTGGAAGGATGCATGCCTTATATAAGATTGTGACTTTATTGACCCTCCCTTGCTAATGACTCTTTAGGCAGAATTGGTCACATACTAAGCTTCCTGACCTCCATATGGGAATCATGAGCCCGCATAGAGCCATGGAAGTGACAGTAATACTAGCTTCAGCCTTGGAGTCTCTTCATGGTTCAGTTTACAATATCCAGCAGAATAAAATAGGGACAGGTTCTGAGTTTTCTTTATCTTGAAATATTTCCTTAATTAAATTATACACTTTTGCATGAGCTGTCTGTAGATGCCCTGCTCTAGGGAATAGAAAGACATGCATCCTCTTTCTCAGAAATTCACAATAGTAGCTGCTAGTGTTGAGGGCCCTGTGCCAGGGGTATGTATGTGTACACATATTGTAATTTGGTCTGTCCAACATTGAAGTAGGAATTATACTCCCCACTTTACAGAAAAGAGAAGTGAGGCTCAGAAAGGGAAGTTAATTTTCCCAAGGTCACACAGCTAGCAAGTAGTGAAGCAGATGCGAACCAGACCCGTCACACTCCGGGGTCCTCACTCTCAGGCCACTGTGCTATACTCGGATCAGGCTTGTTTTCACAACCTCGAAACGGCCTTAGTAAACAGCCAGCAATAAGGGCCACATGCTGCTCCTCAACTCACTTAAAACCGAAGTAACAGTTTTGGGTGGATGGCACCTACTTTTAATCTGATTGAGTACTCAGAAGCCTCTAGAGTGAGTTGCTTAGCTCAAAGCAGTTATTTTGTGCTAATGAAATTGTGATTACGGGTGCCACACTAGATGAAGCAGAATTCTGTGACCTCAAAAGCTCATTTATCTGTACCCAGAGATGAGTCCAAATTATTTTCTAAGAATTTGGATGTAGCCTGACAGTAATGTGTACTAGTATAGACCACTGTCTTTGGAGTTTGACTGTGGTTCTGCCATTTAACTATTACTTGGGGCTAGTTAAACTTTCTGTGGCTTAATCTTCTCAACTGTAACGTGGCAATAATAATGCCTGTCTGTATTGGAAACCACGTGAAGTGTCTTCCTAATTACAATGGCTCTCTGAATGCTCCTCATCATCCCAAAACACACATTATTGAGGATAATAAATGCCCATTATTGAGAGCTGAGGATGAAAGATCAGTAAGACCCCATGCTAGCCAGCAAGATACAGGAGAGAAATGTAAAATGATCATAATAATTAATTACAATAGAGTCTGACAAGTCCTATGACAAAATAAGTACTAAAGAGAATGTTACTCTCCTAGGGGTGGAAGTTGAGGAAGGTTTTGGAGGTGACATTTAGGCTGGGCCTTGTTAGATAAGAAGGATTTGCAGAAAAGGTCAGTTGTTTGCCCAAAGGACTTCTAACCAATGGCATTTCAGGAACTGTGATACATGAAGTAGAACAGAGTGGGTCTCTCCCTGTAACCTCAGAGTTAGGAACCAGAAGTGAAACATCATGTACTTTAGACTTACAAGTGAAGTCTAAAGTTGACTTCACTTTAGAAAGTGGCCCAGGGGGCCTATCACAAGGTTGCAAACTTGTCTCACTACCCTCAACTAGCCCAGGTATCCTCCTTATCTCACATTATATAAGGTATCTTGTGGGACACACGACACATGGCCAAAAGTTATACATGTCTCCCTGCATCCTTGCCATTGGAGAGGGAAGAGGGTATATTTCTCCCTACCCCTGACAACATCCCCACTCCCCTGCAAAAAAAAAAACAACGGGAGTGTGTGTTTAAGAAAATCATTCATCTAGATTAGGAGTGCTACAAGGAGGGGGAAATGAAACCTCACTCCCCAGCTGGTTGGTTACTATGGTCCCGCCCCCACTCCCACCCCAGAGCTGCAGGACGAGAGATATCCTAGAAGAGTTTAATATGCATAACTTGAGTTTGGGTTCTCAGAAATGAAGTTGGATGAGATGAAGCAGAGCTTTATCTCAAGAAAATTACATAGCTCCTATAGGCAAAGACCATCACATCTGCCTAGGTATCCAGCAACAGAATCAGACCAAGGCAGTGGGAGACTGAGGCCACCTCTCTACCACCAGCAGGTGATAAGGGAGCACCCCTGCCTGTTCTGTACTGCTTTTCCCTGCCCTCATTTCCAGAGGTGCTAGGCCTGGAAGTTGGGGGTGGAGGTGGGCGGGTGTGGTGGGTCGGGGGAAGAAGGGAAAGAGCAGACTGCACCCTTGCTACCTGGCACCTAGCTCCCAGACTGTAATTTCTCTGGGATTCTCTCATGCCTAGCCCACGCCTGGCCCAGAGCAGACATTCAATACTTATGTTGAAAATGAATGAGTGAATGAATATACATAATAAAAGTTAATACTCATCCCTCCACCCTCCCCACGCCAGCCCCTTTTTCTCAGTCACTCACAGCTTTTTTGATTTAGGAGTCTTTTTCATTATTTAACTTTTTTTTTTTTTAATTTTGTAGAGACAGGGTCTTGCTCTTGTTACCCAGGCTGGTCTTGAACTCCTGGGCTCAAATGATCCTCCTGCCTTGGCCTCCCAAAGTGCTGGGATTACAGATGTGAGCCACTGCAACTGGCCTGGTGTAGGAGTCTTATTTTTCTGTCAGAGGAGGGCGTTCCCTTGGCTCAGAGCCTTGCTTAGGTAATGTAGAAGGACCCAGGGTACACAGGGTGGGTGGCTATTCTCCAGAAATGTCAGTTTCTGGGCAGGGCTTAGGTGTCTGCAGTCCCTAGTCCCACCCCTGGCCTTGCATTCCAGCTCAGCGGGTGGAAGGTATAAATTTCAGCTGCTCTCAGCCCTGCTGTGTTTTTCCAAAGCCTTCCAACAGCAACATGAAGTTGGCAGCCTTCCTCCTCCTGTGATCCTCATCATCTTCAGCCTAGAGGTACAAGAGCTTCAGGCTGCAGGAGACCGGCTTTTGGGTGAGTCCAGGCAGAAGGTAGCCCTGTTCATTTTTCCTTGAATGAGGGGGCCAGAAAGTAGGACATCAGGGACCAGTGTGTGTGGGGAGGAGAGGGGAAGAAAGGAAAGAAGAAAAGGTCTTAAAAGGCCACTGCAGGGACCCTCCAACTGCCGCTACTCAGCTCCCCAGAGCAGAATCTCTTTTCTTCTACCTCCACCTTCCCGCACTCCTTTCCCTGGGTCACCGCTCCATTTGGAATCTCTGTACCTCCCCTCTTACCCCCTCATCAGCCACCCTCTGACTCCTGCCCTCTCCCTCTCCATAAGCTTCTTCCTCTCTTGCTACAAGTAAATTGGATCACCTAGAGAAAATATTTTCTGAATCATGTTAAATATTAATCATCTCAATCTCTTCTTTTCCTTTTACCAACATTCTCAAAGGAGTAATCTTAATTCTCTGCCCTTATTCCCCCATAAGTTATTCCTTGACCCCTTGAAGATGGCCTACAGCCTCCATCCCTGCCCCATCACTCTCCTGAAACTTCTCTCCCAGATCCTGTGGACAAATCTCATGACTCCTCAGTCACCAAGTCTTTAACCTCTGTAGTGTCCGACACTGCTCGCCACCTCCTCAGTTCTCAAACTTTCTTTTCTCCTGTATTATCCTTCATGGTATTTTATTCTTCTCTCTAAACATTATTGGATTCAGTTATTACTTTCCTCTCTTCTTTGCTCTCCTTCCCCTGACATTAAACTGGTTGCCAAATACTGTCCATTCTCTGAGAGTGTCTCTTGCATATGTTCTTTCCTTACCCTGCCATCTCCCATTGTCACGCAGTATTTCCAGCCCCGATGACCTCATGTCTGGGCCATCCAAGGAGCTTCCTAATAGCTCTCCCTGCCCCTGTCTTTCTGCAGCAGTTTGCTTGCTTGTTGAATTCTGTTCCATTCTAGGCTCTCACACCAGAATAATCTTCCTAATTAAACAGCAATCACATCTCTCTCTTGATCTATCAAATGAAATCCAAACTCCTGAGGCCCTCGAGATCTGCCCCCCAACCCCCGTAACTTTATCCCCTGCTTACTTTTCCTGCTTCATTTCCAGCTGTTCCCTAACACTTACCCAGCCCTCCATCTGCCACTCCTCCTGTGTTCCTTGTGTTTCACGGTGAGGAGTGAAGTGGATGAGGCACCCAGGGTGCAAACATGAAATGGGTGCTCACCGCCAGCATTGTGCAAGGCACCTCACTTGCCTCACCCTCATCCCAGCCCTTTTGCATTTCCCCTTGTGAACTGTTGCTAGTAATTCTTCTTTCTTCTCACAACACTCCACCCATGCCCCTCAGTTCTGCCTTAAAAAGATTCCTGCACTTCAAAACTCACCTTTTCTGATTAATCTAATTGGAAGTAATGTCATATTCTCTGAGCCTTTTTTTTTTTTTTTTGGCAGGATCTTGCTTTGTTGCCCAGACCAGAGTGCAGTGGCATGATCATGGCTTACTGCAGCCTCAATCTCCTGGTCTCAAGTGATCCTCCTATCTCAGTCCCCCAAGTAGCTGGGACAACAGGCATGTGACACTAAGCCTGGCTAATTAAAAAAAAAAAAAATTGTAGAGACTGGGTCTCACTGTATCACCCAGGCTGGTCTCAAACTTCTGTGCTCAAGTGATCCTCCCACTTCAGCCTCCCAAAGTGCTGGGATTACAGGCATTAGCAACCATGCCTAGCTGAGACTCTTTAATTCTTCAGATATACCTCTCTTAGGACACTTGTTACATATTGCTTTGTTTTTAGTACTTTGAATATGTTTTATCCATATTGTTAGACTCTAAGCTTGTTTGTCTTATATCTTTGTATTTGCTGGATAATTTCCTCTATTTTATACATAGTAAGAAATCAACATATACTTAATAAGTATATATTATTGACTTAATAAGTCAAACTGCTGTGAGTGGGGAAGAGGAATCTTCAGCCTGCTCACCACAAATCAACAAAAGCTACGGGAAGCATGGGGGGATGGTACTGATTTTCTCTGAGGTCTACAACTACATTGAAGATATCCCACCAGGTCCCCTTCTTATACCCCTCAGATACTGCTAATCAGTCCTAGCACTCTTTCTCTTTGAACCTGGACAAGGTGTCTGACCCTTCTCAACACAGCATCAGACAGCCACCTCTATTGACTGAAGTTGACAATGGAGAATAAAACTCATTACCCCTGCTGAATCCAGGGGCCCCTTTTTACAGATGAGAAAAGTTCCAGAAAGACCCAGAGACATAATCAGGTAAAGAAATTCCTGCTAATAGCTGAGTAGCCAATCAAAGTACAGTACATATTCATCCAGAGTTCTGCATATGTTTTCCTAAAAGCCTGTGCGATCTTAACCAACTCTTTGAGCCTACTTCATTGGTCCTCAAAGAGCTTGATGTTCTGGGAACTTGGGAGCCTCCAATCAGGTCCAGAATGACTCCTTGAAATTTGGAGATATGTACCTAGGTCAGGATGAGCTTCACCATGTGGGACAGCAGAAGGTGCTCAGACTGAGGGGCCAGGCAAATCTCAGTTGAATCTCACTTCTGTACCCACTGGCTAGCAAGTCACCTCTGTGAGCCCCAACTGCCACACCTGTAAAGTGGGCCTAGTAAGACTCACTGCATGGGGTGACTGCAAGTGTCTCCCGATGGCACATGGTAAATGTGAGTCTCTTCTTCTCCACTCTATTCCCTGCAGAGTGGGGAAAGTGAAGACATTTAAGTGGGTTTCTCTGCACTTCCCCTCCACAAACACAATTATCCCCATCTCTAAAGTCGGCCTTACTGTTTTGAGATTATGTGAATGCATTGCTTTTAACTAGAATATATAAGATGTTAATGATATTATTCTTCAAGTAATAAATCATATTGCATATTGAATGAAAAGAAAAATGTAGAACTGACTTCTTAATCAAGGGCTGTTCTCCCTAGCATCTGTCCCAAAAGTACGGTGGTTTTCAGCACATCCGTTCTTCCATAGGTACCTGCGTCGAGCTCTGCACAGGTGACTGGGACTGCAACCCCGGAGACCACTGTGTCAGCAATGGGTGTGGCCATGAGTGTGTTGCAGGGTAAGGACAGGTAAAAACACCAGGCCCTCCCTGCTTTCTGAAACGTTGTTCAGTCTAGGTAGGTTGTGCACTTGGTCTCAGTGGGACTTTCCAGAAATGAGTAGGACAGAAACCTACCTGTCTCCCTCTTCCCCCACCCTTCCCAAGAAAAAGATGCATCCATCACAGGCTGGTGGTTTCCACACCTTTAAAATAATTCCCTAACCCAGTATGCCCTGGAGAAAAATTGGACTATTTACTTAAGCAAAATGATAAAAATCACACATAATCCCCCACCCCAAAACAATGTCTGCTTAACACTTTGGTGCATATTTTAAACATACACAAATATGTAATATTTATATAAAAATGAGATAATCATGTGCCTATTTTTATTTTTTATTTCACTTAAAAGTAGCTACCAAACAACTTTTAATGTCAATACTAATGCTTCTATCCCATCATCTTTGATAACCTATAGAAGTTCATCAGCTATGCTCAGATACTTAGCAACCTTTAGTAATACATGTTTAAGATATTTCTTATTTTGATATTATGAATATGATTGTAACAAATACTAAATTGGCATACACACACTTATTAACTTCCTTGGGACAAATTCTAAGATGTAAAATTGATGACTAAAGAGTATGTTCATTGGTCGGGCCCGGTGGCTCACACCTGTAATCCCAGCACTTTGGGAGGCTGAGGCGGGCGGATCACGAGGTCAGGAGATCGAGACTATAATGGCTAACATGGTGAAACCCTGCCTCTACTAAAAATACAAAAAAAATTAGCCAGATGTGGTGGGGGCACCTGTAGTCCCAGATACTCAGGAGGCCGAGCCAGGAGAATGGCGTGAACCTGGGAGGTGGAGCTTGCAGTGAGCCGAGATCGCACCACTGCACACCAGCCTGGGCAACAGAGGGAGACTCCATCTCAAAAAATAAAAATAAAAATAAAAATAAAGAGTATGTTCATTTTAACCCTGTGATGTACATTGCCATGTTGACTTATGAGAACCCCTTTTCTGTGAAAATATCTCAGGGGCCTCACAGGATAATTTATTTGTTTTCAGTAGCCATTAGTTGAAAAATGCATAATAAAAAGCTACCAGTTTTGATTATAAACTAAGTTGCACTAAACACAACAGAATCAGCATACACTTTAAATAAAAACCCTTTGTGTTCAGAATGTATTGTTTGGCCAATCCACCTGCAATCCTTGGACTGCTTAGGGCCTGGCTGGCTCTTTGCAGGTGTGATTGATTTCCCAAATTGGGAACTGTTGCCTCTTGATTGTATTCTGTGGATCCAGGTCCCCAAAACAGCAGGTCTCGGGCAAAATTTTTTTTGTCTTTTTCTCAGATGAAGAGTTATCTTAAGGATCATCTTTCCCTAAGATCGTCATCCCTTCCTGGAGTTCCTATCTTCCAAGATGTGACTGTCTGGAGTTCCTTGACTAGGAAGATGGATGAAAACAGCAAGCCTGTGGATGGAGACTACAGGGGATATGGGAGGCAGGGAAGAGGGGTTGTTTCTTTTAATAAATCATCATTGTTAAAAGCACTCATACTATTTGAGTTATTTGGTTAAAGGTGAGGAGGAGGGGGAGGAGGACAGATGACATTTGTTGCGTACTGACTATCAACAAGGACCATGTTAAATTCTCCCCAGGCATTATCTAAGTAACCTTAACAACCTTTTGACTGCACTTCTTATCATTACCATTTGAGGACACTGAGGTTTGGGGCAGAGTCATATAGCAGGTAAGTGTCAGGGCCTAAACTATAATCTCATGTCGAACGCCATATAAGTCCTATGCATTATAGCATGGTGGTCAGGAGCCCTGACTCTGAATTTCAAACCCAGGCACACCACACAGCCATGTGGCCTTCAGTGAGAGTCTTCATCTTTCTGTGATTCGACTCATATATATAATAGTACCTCATGAAACTACAAAGATTAAAGAGGGTCACATAAAGTGCTGACACATAGAAAGCATTCAGTAAGTGTTAACTACAATGATTATTAACACAGTAGTACCCCTAATCCACGGGGGATATGTTTCAAGACCCCCAGTGAATGCACAAAACCGTGGATCGTATCAAACTCTACATATACTGCCGTGGATAGTATCAAACTCTCTATATATGTGTTCTGTCCTATAAATACATCCTTATGATAAAGTAAATTTATAAATTAGGCACAGTAAGAGATTAACAATAACTAATAATAAAATAGAACAAATATAACAATATGCCAGCATCACTACTCTTATGCTTTGAGACCACTAAGCAAAATAAAGGTTACTTGAACACAAGCACTGGGACAGTGGATCTCATAACTGAGATGGTTATTAAGTGACTAACGGGTGGGTAGCATATAAAGCGTGGATATGCTTGACTAAGGGATGATTCACATTCCAGGCAGAATGAAGTGGGATGGCGCAAGATTTCATCACGCTACTCAGAACAGCAGCAAGTTGAAATGTATGAATTGTTTATTTCTGGAAATTTCCATTTCGTTTTTTTTTTCTTTTTTTTTTGGACGGAGTTTTACTTTGGTCACCCAGGCTGGAGTGCAATGGTGTGATCTCGGCTCACTGCAATCTCTGCCTCCCAGGTTCAAGTGATTCTCCTGCCTCAGCCTCCCAAGTAGCTGGGATTACAGGCGTGTGCCAACACGTCCGGCTAATTTTTGTATTTTTAGTAGAGATGGAGTTTCACCATGTTGGTCAGCTGGTGTCGAGTTCCTGACCTCCAGTGAGCAGCCCGTCTCGGACTCCCAAAGTGCTGGGATTACAGGCATGAGACACTGCGCCCAGCGCATTTCATATTTTCATACTGTGATTGACCACGGGTAATTGAAAAGGCTGAAAGTGAAACTACTGATAAGGGGGGACTCCTATGTAATCACATAGATAGGCTGATGACCCTGAAACAGAACTCAAGGCCAATCCTCCTTCCTAGCCTCTCCTGGTTCAAAGTGTAATCTGGATACCGAAATCAAGCTCCTGTCTTCTGGTTTTCCCCATTACAAAATGTGGGAGGTAAAAAACAATGGGTTTATAATTTCTTGTCTATGTTCTTCACAATCACAGCCAGCCTGGGCTGCAATCTGATTTCAACCAATTTGCTGCCTGTGCAGCCTTGACCAACCATTTATACTCTTCGGCACCATTTTCCCAACTATAAAAGGGGGAAATAATATCTACCTCATTTGATACTAAGACTTATAAAACTTTATAGTTTACAAAGCATTTTCACAAAAATCCCATTCGATTTTCACATCAACCGGTGGCAAATAGGGGACCCTGAATAAAAAATTAGTGAATTCATTCATTCTGTTAACAAATATTGTGGGGCATCTACCACATCCCAGGGGCTGTGCTAGCCCTGGGATACAACAGCGAATGAGACAAACGGGAACTGTGCCTTCATAAAGTTAATATTCTAGAGGGGAAAACAGATGATAAAGTCATCAAATAAACAAGATAACTGCAGGTTATGGTAAATTTTCCGAAGGAAATAATCAAAGATGTGAATTAGAGTGAAGTGGGGGTATGCAAGCCTACGTGAGTTAGGATGACCCAGACGCTCATGAAGGGATAAAAGTGAAGTCTTGAGAGGTTTCCACACATGAAAGGAGTGAAATTCCACTGAGGTTCCAGATCATCCGATGCAGAATCTAACAAAGGAAATGGCTGTGAACGTGCTTAGCACCCCTTAAAGCCCCTCAGTCACTGCAGGACTATGAAAATGCAGAGAATTGAGGAGGAGACAGAAGATTTTCTTGGAAGAGAGCTTTTGCCATGCTGTGTTTCCACAGTTTCAGGGTGGGAGGTGGGAGCAGGAGTGCTACTGTCTAAACTCAAGCCAATGCAGGGTGCCTTCAAAGGCCTCCCTCAGAGCTTGAGATACGTTTCCTTCAGTTGGTGATCACTGCAGAGTAGGGATGTCCATTTCCTTAAAGGAACCACACTGATCCAAAACAGTATATTCTACCAGAACTGAACAGACCGGCATCAGTATACTGTATTTTACAATTCCTGGGCCATTCCACCCTGAATAACACAATATGTAGGTCATCCATATTGCAACTTAAAGTGAACCACACCAAACCCAGATCCTTTCCAGTCTCTTCGAACGTGCATTGTGGAAATGACCAGGCCTCACATCCTTCTAGCCCAATGTGTAAGACAGCTCTTTAGTACTACTTCACATACTCTTGGTCTTACATTCTTACTCTAGCCATTGCTACAGCAACTAGTTTATCACAGGCATCTACTAGCTTAGCACAGGTATAACTGGTGAGAGCCTTGCCTCAGATATGCACCTAGTTTCCTCACTTTTGCCTCAGGGCTTCTTTGACTATGCAACATAGGACTCCTCCAGGAACCAAGCACAGATGCATGCTCAACACAGGAACACCAGTGAATTAATGCCTTGTGGTCAACTTTTGACAATAGACTTCAAAAGCTGACAGATAAATGCTTTTCCTCTCTGTTCCTCAGAAGAAGGGTTTTGAGAGCTTCACAAGGCTTCTCAGAAACTCCTGAGGACTGAACAATCAGTCACCCCTTGCAATGGCCAACTCAATAGCACATATTGGTATTAATTCTCCTTCCTTCCCTGTTCATTTCTGGATAAATCCCTCACCTATCAACCTCATCTGAGGCTCTGCTATCAGGGAACCCAGATTAAAATATCCAACGACTAGGTTTCAGCTCCTGATCTTCTCTGAACAAATGCTTGAATACATTTCTTTACACGAATACACACACACACATGCACATATATAACGCACATATGTACACAGACTAGGAATAAGAAATAATATACCAGCACAACGGAATCTAAATCCAAACAAAAAAATTAACATTTCTCCCCAAGCCCAAAGTCTTCAGAAAACTACCTCTGCTAAAGCATACCCCCAATTTTCACTGCTGAACAGAAATGTTTTGTTCTCAGGATAAAACATACATTCAGGTGACTTCAAGGTTTTCCCTAAGGGCCAAGGGTGAGGATTTGCTTTATATTTGCATAACTCAAAGGCCCTAGAGATGGTTTTCCCAATCTGCCCAACTGTGAAAGTCAAGCCTTCACTTCCTGGATGACTGAAAAGTGATCACAGATTTTTAAATGGCCATTTTATTCTCCAGCTTCTTGACTTCAAGGTTTCAGAAAATCTTGGGGTGTCTCATTTCAACCCGGTCACTCTTAGGCAGATTATATTTTACATGATTCAGTTAAACTCCAAAATTACTCTTCTAGTGGGGCGAGGTGCCTCATGATCCATGAGAGGATTCACACTGGGAAAAAGGGAGAAAAAGGAACCAAGAGTACAGCCAGCTGTCACTTAAGTAGGGAAAGCTGCCTTATATTCCACTGACCAGATTGCAATCACAGAGCCACAGCCAACTGCAAGGAATGCTAGGGAACGTAGCCTTTATTCCGGGTGGTTTTGTGCCTGGGGAAAGATTTTAGAAGAGTAGAAGGGTGCCTTAGAACTAGCGGTTTCTGCTACTGCCATCCACAGCATACCCTCTCCAACTCCAGCCCGAATCTGAAACTCTAGTACGGAACAGAGTACCTTCAGCCCTGTCCAGGAACAAACTCTGGGAGGACAAACTTTCTGGAAGCACAAATTGAGAACTCACTTTTCAGTCAGGGCTCAAGAAGGAGTGGCCGGCGAAAAATCTCCAAGCCAATTTCTTTCTTTTTTTTTTTTTCTGAGACGGAGTCTCGCTCTGTCGCCCAGGCTGGAGTGCAGTGGCGCGATCTTGGCTCATTGCAAGCCCTGCCTCCCGGGTTCACGCCATTCTCCTGCCTCAGCCTCCCGAGTAGCTGGGACAACAGGCGCCCGCCACCACTCCCGGCTAATTTTTTTTTTTTTTTTTTTTTTGTATTTTTAGTAGAGACGGGGTTTCACCGTGTTAGCTAGGATGGTCTCGATCTTCTGACCTCGTGATCCGCCCGCCTCGGCCTCCCAAAGTGCTGGGATTACAGGCGTCAGCCACCGAGCCCGGCCTCCAAGCCAATTTCTGACAAGCATCTGCAGGGTACCGGTCGGAGGAGTCCCGTAGTCATGGAAACCCCTCTGAGCCCCAGTCCGGTCTAAAAAAGGTACTTTCGGAACTAGAGCGCGCGGAACGGGAGGATGTCCCGGAAGTATTTCCCTGGGATCACCCCACCCACCCCCCCCGCCCGTAGAAAAGATGGCTGCTGTGCAAGTTGTCGGTTCGTGGCCTTCCGTGCAGCCGCGGGAGGCACCGCGGGAAGCAATCCCTGAGCGAGGCAATGGGTTTCGCCTCTTGTCTGCCAGGCTCTGCGCCCTGCGCCCGGATGACAGCAGCTCCGCCCGCACCGAGATCCACCTGCTCTTCGATCAGCTCATCTCCGAGAACTACAGCGAGGGCAGTGGCGTGGCCCCGGAGGTAGGCGGCGCGCCCTGCTGGCCCCGGCCCCGGCCCCACCCCTCCGGGAACCCAGCTGGTGGCCTCTGCCTGCCTTTCCCTGATCTTCCCACTCTCGCGCCTGATGATTTAGTTTCAGGATGGCGTGCCCCCTCCAACCTTGGCACATTCTTAGTTCTCCATTTGGAAGACCCTGCAGTGCTTGGCACGCTCGAGTCATTCAAAACCCAACTTGACGACTCCTGCTCTGATAATGCCTCGGGTTTCCTCTCTGATACCAACTTTCCATCCGCCCGCACCCTCCTTCACTCCCTCTCTGTGCACCCAGAACACTTGGTTGACAAAATGCATTACTACTGTTTATTGCGTACATGGTACACGGACCACGTGGGAATCTTAGAACTTGCGTAGTATTAGGGCTTGTTTGCTAATGAAAATACTGAAGCTCGTAAAAATACAGTATACAAAACTCTGCCACAAAGCCCCTATGTTTTCTGTTCCTACACACTAGCTCCTCCCCTCTGCCGTCTTTCTGAGTAATCTTACACACATCAGGCCTTAAATTAATGAATTCTCTGAACTGTTGACACCATGGCCTTCTGGCCCTACGTAGGAAAGAGGGAAGTGGTGCAAGTTGCCTGCTTGCACAGGCATCTCAAACTAGACAGTTCCTAAAGATGAAATTCATTAGCTCCAAACACGCATTCCCGTCCCCAGTCCATCCCACCTTCCAACACACATGCATCATCCACCAAGTCACACCAGACACAAACACTGGTTCTTCCCTCCTTCATCCCAGATCCTGACCAACTCAGGTATTTCAGAATGTGTCTCATATATATTTCTCAGTTCATCCCCTCCTGTCTATTCCCATAGCGAGTGCCTTAGACCTCAGGCAAGGCGACTTATGCCTGGACTGTTCGCTGATCCCCTCTGACTGATCTCCTGCCTCCTGTCTAGCTCCTCTCCAAGCCAGTCATTCCTCCAATGCCAGAATGATCTTTTCTTTAGGAGGAAAAAAAATTGTTCATAAACTTTAAAATCTGCTTTGGAAAAGTCTTCAATACGTATTGGTAAATGGTTGAAGCAAGTTGCAGGACAATTCATACAGAATGAGATCAGTATGAAGCTGGAGGAGGGATTTTAAAATATGTGTGTTTATATATGCAAAGTAAAAGGTCTGAAAGAATTGACTACAGAATAATAGTGTATGTCATTAGGAAGCAGAGTGAGATTAAGGCAGTAGTCGGGGACTTTTGCTGTATTTGTGTAATTGGATACTTTTGCAACAAAACTTCCATTCTCTCCTGTTACTCCCCCTTTTGTTCCTGTGTGCAGCCATTTAAAACTTGCTGTTCTTCAGGCACCTACTAGTGTTTCACACCTCCAGGTTTTTGCATACTCTGTCCACTTTGCTTGCAGTGTTTTTTGATGCCCTATCTGGCAAATTTCTCCTCATCCTTCAAATCATTCCAGATTCTGCTTTACAGTCACCTCCACAAGGCCTCCCTAATTACTGTTTCTGGACAGAGTTTGTACTTTATTCTTTCAGCACTTGATTCACCTTATTTTAATTATTTGTTGTGTTTCTTTCTCTCTCACTAGTTTGTGAGCTCTTTGAGGTTCAGGAACATGTTTGTTTTACCTTTGGAGCCCAAAGACCTAGCACACTATGACACATAGTAGGTGCTCAGAACCTTGTCATTCTATAAACATCGATGGATGAAGAGTGTGACTTGCAAATAGGTCCCTCTTTTTTTTTTTTTTTTTTTAAGAATTCCCTAATTATGCATAAAATCCATAGAAGTGTTAGGTCTGATTTTTCCCAATGGCATTGAAAATCTGGTTCACTTACCTTTTGATATTTTTAGCTTCAGTTTGTGCTTTCATACCCTAGAAGCCTTTTTCTGGTTATTTAATTATACTGTCTTTACATATAGAGAGCACAGAGTCTTCAGCCTGACCAAAACCGTACTGATTCTTTTCCTTTTTTTTTCTTTTTTCTTTTTTTTAAGAGACAAGGTCTCACTCTGTCATCCAGACTGGAGTGCAGCAGCAAGATCATAGCTCACTGTGACCTAAAACTCCTGGGCTCAAGCCATCCTCCCACCTCAGCCTCCCAAGAAGCTGGGACTACATACCACCATATCCAGCTAATTTTTTTAAAAAAGTTTTTTCTGTAGAGATGGAGTCTCACTATGTTGCCCAAGCTGGTCTTGGACTCCTGGGCTCAAGCAGTCCTCCCGCTTTGACCTCCGGAAGAACTGGGATTAGGTGTGAGCCACTGTGCCTGGCTTTTTCCTTCTTTTTTAGCACATGCTGTTTTTGTGCTATCACTTCATTTTTTTCCTTCCTGCCTCACATTTTCTTTCCCCATTTTGAATGTGAATATTTACTTTTATTTTCCCATTTGGCTGTGTTTTGAGGATCTTCACTTGACTAATAAGTATTTTACCTCTTATCTTTTTTTTTTTGGTAGGACGTTAGTGCTCTTCTTGTCCAGGCTTGCCGACTGGTACCTCTTAATCAGAATCATCTTGTCAGCAAAGTGAGCCAGCTTATCCACCATTTACTTAACAGATTACAGGTAATCATGTATGTAACTCTAGAATTCAGATCATGAACTTTGAGAGTAAGTAAATACCTTTGAAATACTACATCTGTAGTAGGTATGATAGGCTGTTTTTTGAGATGCTATAGGAAAAGCAAATGCCTAAATAAGAATGCTTTTAAAGCAAATATAACTCTGATCCAAAAAAATTATTCTGTAGAATTCTAGAAGTTTGTTTATTAGAAGTATGCCTTTCTGTTTGGTTCAGTAAACCAATATCATTCAGGCCCCCCAACCTTATAATTTCTTTTTTTTTTTTTTTTTTGAGACAGAGTTTCACACTGTTGCCCAGGCTGGAGTGTGGCGCGATCTCAGCTCACAGCAAGCTCCGCCTCCCGAGTTTACACCATTCTTCTGCCTCAGCCTCCCAAGTAGCTGGGACTACAGGCACCCGCCACCACGTCCGGCTAATTTATAATTTCTTATGGAAGATATATTTGAACAAAATATATCTAAGAATAAATTGAAATAATCCCCTGCCTCTTTCCCACCAATATTTTTCCCCTTTCCTGAAGCTACCATTTTTATGGTCTACTTTTGATGCTTCTAAAATATAAGAAGTAGCTTGGGGCCAAGGGGACAGCAGGATAAAAAGACCCCAGTTATTTATTTAAGACTGTTACCACATGAGTATGTGAATATATTTAAGAGCACAAAACATATCAACTAGCATTATGTGAATTAGGATGCTTTTGGCTGCAATAAGCAGAAAAGCCATCCCAGAGTCACTAAACAATTTTTAAAAAAATAAAAAGGAATCACTCCATGTCCCAAGTCCCAAGGGACGCATCTGTAGCCCCTTAATAATAAGAGGCTCATCTTTCCCTTCACCGTCCTCAGCATGTGGGTTATCCTCAGCTAGCATGTCTCACAGTCATAAGATGGCTGTGCCAATTCTGGACATCCCATGCCAAAGAAATGATTACTGTTCAGCAGAAGCTAATTAACTTTATTTTATGTTGTGTCTCTTGTACTTAACAGTAAGGAAACGTGTCCCATGAACTCTCTAGTAGACTCCCCAATATCTTGCTGGAGAGACTTAGGTCATATAAATACCTCTCTAAACCAGTCTTTAAGCAGGAGGATGGTCTTATTGTGAATGGCTCCAGCTAGTAGTTTCAACCTTCACTACACATTAGAATCACTTGGAGGAGGACTTAAGCTCCCTTGATGCTTACAATGTGCAGCCACAGTTAGCCTACATCAGGGTTTCTCAACCTCAGCACTATTGATATTTTGGCTCAGATCATTGTTTTAGGGGCTGTCTTGCACATTGTGGAATGTTTAGCAGCATCCTTGGCCTCTACCCACTAGACGCCAGTAGCACCTCTCCAATTGTGACAGTCAAAAATGTATACAGGCATTGCCAAATGTTCCTTGGGGGTTAAGGTTGCCCCAGGTTGCCCCACTCTCTTAAACTAATTAGCGTTTACCCTTAGGTCTCACATGGGAGAGGTGGACATCCAATTAAATTAGTACTCTGCCAGCAGGGAAGGAAGAAATGGATGCTAGTAGGTAACCAACAGTGTCTGCTGCATGGAGTAAGGCTGTTTTCAGTTTAGAATCTTTGAAACTAACATGAGGTAGCTTCTGTATGTTTACTATTCTCAGGTGTATCATCTTTGTAACACTGGCAATTGGAGATGTTCCTGATCACCTGTGGCACCTATAACCCTTTACCAGCTTTCCAGCACTTGGTGACAGTTTGTCTCAATTGTCCATAAATTGACACTTGGATTAGCCTGGTCTGTCCCAACAAGATTATCAGCTCCTTGACAGCAGGGATATGCCCTCTCTTCATGGTGTATTCCTCATGTCATGTTAGAGATGCAGTAGGTATTTAGCAGTTATATTGGTTCACTGTGTATTCATTGAGTGTTTATTATGTATAAGGCAGTTTAATTAAATTTCAGTGCGTTGAAATACTCATATCTGTGTATTCACAGCTGCCAATGTCTGGTTAGTTCAAGGAAAAGTTACAAGGACTTCATCAAGTTCTACTTTACTAAAGAGGAAGAAGTGAGCAAGACCTTGGGGTGGGGAGAAGGCCCCTACGTTGATCAAACTTTCAGGCCCTTTAGAGGTGATCCTTTTGACACATAAACGACAGACACACACTCTCTCTTTTATACAGCTTGATTCAGGTGAGCATACATGTCCATAAAAGCATAATATTTTTTAAAAGTTAGATCAGAATATATCTTTTCCTGTCCTGTTAGGTAATTGTTGATGAACAGCACTTGGATTTCCTGTTGGCATATACTATTTCGGCTATTCATCAGTGTAGTTCCTGGACACACAGGGAAATTCTTCAAGCCCTGGCAGCTCTGGTGTACTGCAATGGCTCCAAATGTCAAAAGGTAGTTTAAAGTGCTTTATCCTTCCTTTGAAAGGCCAGGAGCACAGACTCTGGTGCCAACACTGTGTTCAGGTTTCTATCTTGCCACTAATCTCTAGCAATTCTTATTCAACCACTCTGGGCCTTGTTTCCTCATGTATAAAATAGTTACTCTGAGGATGAAGTGAGACAATACGTGTCAAGTTCATGGCCCTCGGTAAATAGTAAACATTATTCTTAATATTATCATTACCCATCAGCCATACGGCCACACTAAAGAGCATCAGCAGCTACCTAGGCTGGGAGTAATGATCATTATTGATGCTTTTTGGCATATCTTTGCATATCCATCGGAGACATTTATCTAACAGCTAGTCTTTTGGTGCTTAACTGCCATTTAGTTAAAAAAAGAAAGAAGAAATCTGTCTAAAACATAATATTTTCCTAGAAGCTTTTCTTTGACCTACATTGACTCTTATTTTTCTTAGTACCTCCCAGAGCTGCTAGGCAACACCGGACTCTTAATGAAGTTGAGTGACTTGGCTCAGTCTGATCCTGAAGTCAGGAGAGCTGCAGTACATTGTATGGCAAACTTATGTCTCAGGTATGTGGCTCCAGTCAAGTTTCTCAATGGTAATAAGATAGTGCCTCTATTGGGCCCTTTGTAGGTAGTTCCCTGTGCCTGAAGCCAGAGCCAACTTAGACAAATAACTAACTTTGCATTTCCCATGTACTTTACTAATAAAATCATCTTATGTTGTTTGTTAATTTTAGTATTGCTTGTAAAGAAGGAAAAAATAGACTAGGACCATATTCCTAAAATGTGGTAATAGTGACATAATGTGCAGTATGTCAAAATTTTGTTTTCTATTGATATAAATTCTAAGCATATTAAGTTTTTAGAAGGATATATTCATGCAAATTTTAAGTGCTGGTGAGATGTATCTGTAAAGGGCAATTTCTTTTCTTTGAAGAAGATGGAAACAGCCCCAGCTGCTCACCCTCGATTCTCACAGTAGGCAGTAGACAATGAGCAGCACAAATGTGAACTCGTCTCTGCATAGCACAGTGCTGTCCAGCGAGTAGGAAGGCAGGTACAGATGTGTGATTCTAGCTTGACAGGACCTGTCTGGATTATTTCCCTCCTAGGACTGAACAGCAGAACTAAAACAAGATTTTTCTTTCTCCATAGTTCTTCTACCACAAACTTCTGTAACCTTTCTGTATGGAAACCACCCTTCCTCTATATTCATTCTAGCCCTGTGCCTGTCCCCCAGCAGTAACTAATTAACCAAAATAATAATTTTCCATAGCATAGTTGCACTCAAGGGTATATTCCAACTCTAATAGTCTATATTACTGCTATTTTTAATTAGTCTTTTGCAAGCCTCATTTTAAAGGAGACTGAGTTTGAGTTGTTTTCTCTGTATGCGTTTAGTGTGCCAGGACAGCCGTATTTGGAGGAGCCCTACCAAAATGTCTGTTTCCAAGCTTTTCTGACTATTTTACAGTCTCCAAAATCATCTGATATGGATGATATCACATTTTGCATGGTAAGTGGACTATCATTGACGTAGTGAATGTTGCGGATGTGTCTAGAAGCAGATTGGAAAAGTGTTACTAACGAGTTTAATTTGCACCATTAGCTTCGTCTAGAGAAATACACATATATGAAATGTTTGTAACCTAAAAAGACTAAAATCATACCATTTCGGTTTAAATTATAAGAAGCTTTTTATTTGTTATATTTTGCAATTCTAGATTTTTAGAGGAAACTATTCTTTTTCCTTCTGAGTATAAAAGCAATAGTTGCAGGCTAGTGACTATCTTTAAGATGAAAGTAAAGAGAGATTTCACCAAATATATCTGCAATATTTTATTTCTTTTTTAAAAATACGATGCAAACGACAGTTTATTAACATCTTTTAAATTTAGAGTAACACATTTCAAATGTTATATAGCTGAGATAAAGTTCCTTCTAGTCTCCTGCTCGGATATAGCCACTGAAGACAATTTGTGCTGTGTGCCCTCAGATTTTTTTTTCTATATGTAAATGAGCATAATTACAGCTTTAAGTGGGATCATATTTAACATGCTGTTTTGTAACTTTCTTGTTTTGTTAAAACTTAATATCTCTGGGACATCTATTCGGTTCCTGTTAATATACCTCATAGTTTCTAACTGCTATGGCTGGAAGACCTTGGACAAGTTAGTTAACTTCTTGGAGCCTCTGTGTTCCTCCCTGAAAAGGGACTGATATAACCACATTGTGGGGTTCTTATGAGAAGTATATGAAATAAAGCATTCAAAGGGCCTACTGTTATTGTTGTTGAGTTTTACATTTAGCAGAGGGTTAGCTTCTTTTATAATCATTATCATAATCATCAAAATTGAAGTTTTTAAAATTTTCCCACTATTTCAAACAAGGCTACAGTTCACATCATCCCAATGTCGGAAGTGTTTCTTAAGGAGAGAGTTCTAGAAATGAGATTACTGAGTCAAGAAATCAATCTTGGTCAGAATTGCCCTCCAGAAACCAAGTTTCTATAATTTATCAGCAGTTCCCACATACATCCCCTTGCTTTTAAGAGGGCTGGGTTTGCCATATTACAGAGCTTTCCCAATTCTGATCTGTGCTATCTTTTTTATCCCTTGTCACATTTTTCTTGCTAAACATCTTCTCTCTTTTTTCTTGCTCACCATTTGTACATAGTGGTTTATAAACATGTACAATAAGACCACTTCATTATTCTTTTCTTCTAGAAAAGAATTCATGGTAGTTTATTAGGTCTCCTTAGATCTTCATTTCTGCTTTGTGTGTGTATATGTGTGTCTATAATAAAGTTTTTTTTCATCATCTAGAGACTGTCTCTCTTCCATCCTAAGTGGTGCTAGTAAGTTGATTCCTGGACAACCAGATTTTATTCTGCCTTCTAACTGGGTCTCCCTTTTCCCCCTAGTTATTGCAAAATGCATTAAAAGGTATACAGTCACTTCTAAATGGTGGGAGAATGAAACTAACACAGACTGATGAACTTGGAGCACTTTTAGCTGTGCTAAAGGTAAGGCAAGTCTTCATATGATCATTGTCTTTCCTGTTTCAACCCATGGTACAAGGACCACTTTACATCCTTATTCTAAGGCTAACTTTGAGGTATTAAAAGTTCTTACATATATTTTGAGAGAGTAGACAAAAATGTTCATATTCAAAGACACTTAATATTAAGAACAGAAAATAAATCTCCATTTAATAAATGCATCAAAATTTTAAAATTATTTATGAATCTTAGGAAGGGAATCGGTAGGGGAGTATGACCTATAGAATATTTAATTATAGACTATGTTGTACTTGTTTGTACAAGAAGAGCCAGTGCTTCTCCTTGGCTTTCTCCTCCAAGTAGTAGACAGGCCAACCAAGACGTGTGTCAATGGGCAGCTTCCGAGCGTGCCAGTCAGTCGGAAAGTCAGGCCAGCATCTCTGGGGACCCAGCTTCTTCAGCCAGCAAAGTAAGAAGTAATTCTTTCCTTGTGGCATTCTCTTGCTCCCACATCAAATAGAGAGATAGCTATAGGTGGAGATAGGTAAATAAAAATGATAAATTTGTTTAAAAAATTATAGACAGATAAAGTAATTGGATAAATTTTATAAATAAATAAGGAAACTAAAACCAGACCTGATTTGATCTGACCAAACCAAATCCAGCTGGAGGCCAGATAAACTTCAGCTCTTCTTTAAGCCCTATGCCTTCAAGGTATCTATTTTCTATCTCATTTATATTTCCTTAGTAGGCTTTTGAACATTATCTATGAGTGTTGTGATCCAGACATGGTAAATAGTTCTATTTTATGATTAATGGTTTATGATTAATGGTTTTTTTGGTTTCGTGTGTGTGTGTGTGTCCTTATTCATCATTATTAGAAATTCATGTTTCACGGACTCCCTGGACTAAACATAGAGATGCCCACGGTGTTATACCCAACTCCGCTTCCTCAGTATGATGGGCGAACACCTATCAAACCACAGCAATCAGAATCCAGTGCTTCTCGACCAACTTTGGTACATTTATGTTTATTTAGATTTAAGTTGTGGCTTATTTTTAATAGATTGTTGTGTGTGTTTTCTATGATTTGCATCACTACTACCCTAAAAGCCTACCTTGAATTTTATTTCAGTTTAGGGTTGTTAGCATAGTAAATTTAAACTCATCTGATGCTCAAAATACCAATTAAAGCATCTTATACTTCTTAGAGGTGTAGTCAGTATAACAGCTATAAAAATGAGCATTCACTTTATACCCCAAACCAAGCATTCTCATCCCCATGATGCTCAAGACCAGGAGTCAACAAACGTTCTCTAAACTTTCTCTACTAGGCTAGTAAATACTTCAGGTCTCTGTCATAACTACCAACTCTATTGTAACAGTGCAAAAGCAGCCATAGACACTATGTAAATGAATGGGCATGACTGTGTTTCACTAAAATTTTATTTACAGAAGCAGGCTGTGTGCTGGGCTGGATTTGGCTTTTGGGCCATAATTTGCCAACCCCACTCTAGACTGTTAGAAGCCCACCTACCAGTCAGCGCACCATCTCCACACCTTACATTCACCTGATTTCCCAGCCTTTCCAGAAGCTGCCATCTCCCTCGTGCTTTGGTTGGAGAACCTGGAGCATACAGATGTATGGCCAAGGATTCACTTCCAGAAATGTCATACCTGATCAAAGTGCTTCTTATTAGAAATTATTTCACTCATTCACTCACTCAGCATTTACCCAACATCTGCTGTGTTCCAGACGCTGTGCTAAGCACTAAGTATATAGACTCTGGCTGCTTTTAGGAGTTTGAGGGAGAAGGCAAAGATGGATAAATAAACAACTACAATGCAATATTATTGTTTCTCTCATTAGAATATTCACAGAGTACTCTGGGAACACATTGAGGACACTCAGTCTAAATGGAGGGGGAAGAGGAGGCTTTTTAAAGGTGTGGTAGCTAAACAGAGATTTCAGAGTGAGTAGCAGTACAGACAAGGAGGAATGAGTGTTTCAAGCAGATAAACCAAAAGGTGCATAGACATAGAGAATGAGAGTATATATTGCCCATTTGTTAACTAGTAGGACTAGAGTTTCAGTGCGGGGAGAGAAAGAGTGGAGCCGTTGTGTAGCAGAGGCCGAATGATAAGATTCTTGTACAGGAGGCTGAGTAGTTTGGGTTTTTATCTCGTAGGCAATAGAGATTCATTAAAGAATCTTATATAGGGGAATGATGTGATCAGATTTGTGTCAGAAAAATCACTGTGATAGCAAATAAAAGAATATGGATCTGGGGGCCACAATAAGTAGTCCAAGATAGAAGTAATGGGAACTTCCTTCCTCAAGGCCACAGACTTTGAGAACGTGGAGGAAGACACAGATTCCAGATATACTTGGATATCAGAAAGAAAGTAACAGGGAGAAAGAAAGAAACTGGCTTCTACTTAGTATCTACTTCTACAGAGACCCAAAGCCCTGAAATGAGCATTGTATGTAATAGACTACCGTCTCTTCTGTGCAGGCATGTGGAGTGGTACTAGCTATGTATCTTACTCGGAGAACTGATAAAATAGACACTCAAGTCATTTTCTATAGGCTTTAATGCTCTTGAGAAATTCCAGTTGAGAAGGCTGAATACTTTCACAACACATGTGCAAGGTAGGAGGTATTAGCCGCATACTTACAGATAAGCAAGGTCAAGCTCAAGAGAGGCTAAATGATTTGCCCCAAGGCACAGAGGTACAATTTAAACCCAGGCCACGTGTTTAACTGTGTCTCATGTATTTCATTCCTTCTTTCTTATAGTAGACAGTAAGCACTTAGCATCATGCCTGATGTTTAGGGTATTAATGAAGTTACACTTTTTTCTTTTCTCTTTTCTTCTTTCTTTAAACTACATGTTGGGGACATATTTAGTCACTTTAAAATGAAGAAGTAACGATTCAGTGAAAAGCCATTCTGAAGTAGTTATTATATATGTCTTCATTTGCTCCCACAATCAGAATAAAAAGAAAAAATCCAAAGTAAAACCAAAGAAAATCCAGCAAGGAGAGGAGGAGGAAAAGGAATCCAGTGGTGAAATAGAGGCAGCCCCAGTCACTGGCACAGGCAGAGTGAACCTGCATGAAGGGAACACTTGGTGTCCCTCCTCCCTGGGTGTCCAGAGTTTGCCTTTAGATGGAAGTGGAGCTGCAGAAAAAGATGGAGTCTCCTCATCCTTCAGTTCTTCCAGTTGGAAAAGGGTCAGCAGTAGTGAGTCAGACTTTTCTGATGCTGAAGGAGGCATGCAGAGTAAAATGAGGTAGTAGTATTTTGTTACATTTTTATACCTTGTATTCTAAGTTGCATGTAAGTTTATAACTTAACCTGAATGCTGCATGTGATTTAACTTGAAGAGCCTGATTTCTGGGGGGCATGGTGTTATTCAGAACATGACTTGTTCTCTTTTTTTTTTTTTTTTTTTTTGAGACGGAGTCTCGCTCTGTCGCCCAGGCTGGAGTGCAGTGGCGGGATCTCGGCTCACTGCAAGCTCCGCCTCCCGGGTTCACGCCATTCTCCTGCCTCAGCCTCCCGAGTAGCTGGGACTACAGGCGCCCGCCACTACGCCCGGCTAATTTTTTGTATTTTTAGTAGAGACGGGGTTTCACCGTTTTAGCCGGGATGGTCTCGATCTCCTGACCTCGTGATCCGCCCGCCTCGGCCTCCCAAAGTGCTGGGATTACAGGCGTGAGCCACCGCGCCCGGCCGACTTGTTCTCTTGATCTGCCATTGCACATGTCATTCCTCTCCTTAGAATATTCTTTTTTGCCTTTTCGTCTTGCTAACCACTACTCATCTTTGATATGGGCTCAGAAATCATATTCCCCGGGAAGCCTTTTCTGCCTTGGTGTTATTCGTAACATGTGATAGTTATCTCCTTAACTGTCCCTCGCTGCCTAGCTTGTCAAGGCTGGGGCTTTGTTTATGTCTGGCAGCCTCAGCATGATGCCTGGCACATACATAGGTCATTCAGTAGATATTCGTTGAATGGATGGATGGATACTCGGCAGTGTTTCATGTCTAACACCAGTGTCCTGATATCAAAATGTTGCCCTCTTGTTCTCCAGTTGTGTTTTTTAATTGTCAGCCTTAATAACTTGTTATAGAGACAAATTGTCTTAACATGTTTTGATTGTAGTTTGAAAGAAAAATTTTTAATAACACATTGACATCTTTAGGAATTATTTAGAATGTTTAATTTTTGAATGTATCATTTGAATTGGTGGAAATAAATACCATTTCATGTTTGCATTTTTTTTAAAAAAATGATTTTTTAAGTGTTTTTTCTTTTTTCTCTTGGTTATGAAAGGTCTTACCAAGCTAAAGTTCGCCAAGGAGCCTTAGTTTGTTTTCTTTCTACTATAAAATCGATAGAAAAAAAAGTTCTTTATGGCTACTGGTCAGCTTTTATTCCTGATACGCCTGAACTTGGCAGCCCACAGTCAGTGTCCTTGATGACTCTTACATTGAAAGACCCTTCTCCAAAGGTAAGAGAATTTAAACTCTAAGCTTTATAATAGGAAGAAAAAATTTACAGATCCTTATTGTTATCTCTGCCTTATCCTGTCTGATCTGAATATAGCTCTTAGTAACACTGACCCAAGTTCCGACTTGACCACTGGACAGACAGGAAAATAGGAAGTGGGCTTATGTGAATAATACACTGAGGCTGATCATGTAGGATCGCTTCCTGCCCCAGGGCTTGCTTGAAGCCTGAGCACACTGAATTCTAACTTTGGTGTCTCCCTTGAACTGCACTGAAGCAGCTGTGCTTCTCTTCCTTTTATGAAAATGTTGATTGCTGTGGTATTTATAATAAGAAAACATCAGAAATGGCTTAAACAACTCAGTAGAATATCATGGTACATAATGGCTATGAAGGATGCATAAGGCTTAGAAAAATGCCCAAAATGTTCTGTGAAAACACAGGATATAGAATTATGTATACAGTAGGATCCCAAACATGATTTTTTCTTGCAACTTTTCTAGTTTTCAAATCATGTGTAATAAATATTTACATATTTTAATGAGAAAAACTTATTTTTAAAAAGAAGAAAAAAATGATTGGCAGGCATGGATAGCTATAGCAAGATATCTCATGGCTTATCAAATATTTGCCTCGCTTGAATATGTTAATTCTTCTCCAGAATTTAGCCACTTAACCAAGTAAGGAAAATAGCCTGCTGTTTACAATAATGAACATTAAAAAGTCATGCTGAATGGCATCTGGGTGTCCTCAGGTAACCAGCTACCCACAAAGAGGAGTTTTAATTAGGCCAACAGCATATTGTTCCTTTTCTGTTTTTAAGATTATTCCTTAAGGGGTCAGGGGTGGTAACCCACAATACGTTGGAATTCCATATGAGTCATCTCCTTGAGTAACTTACTATATAAGAAAATTTCTGGATGACCCATCAGAAGCTTTTACAAGGTAAAGAAAAATAAATTAGCCTCAATTTTATATACACGCAAAAAAATGACTTGTGGGGTATTTCAAATACTCCTTATCCTAGGAAATTAAACTGGCAGAAATTTTACAAATTAACTAAATCAATAGTGAATGAGAACCTAGGAGAAAAATGGAAAAATGAGTGGTGGCAAATAAATCAGTAATGAAGCCATTAGAGTAATTGAAATAAAAGCTACTAAAAATATTGAAAATATATATTTGAAGACCCTCCAGCTAGGGGAGCTGCCAGCAGTGGCCAACGAGATGGTGCTGTGGAGCAAGAAGCAGCCCAGCTTTATCACCTTTATCACAGCTGCCCAGCCAAGGGGATGTGGGACACGGGGGTTTAGAACAGGAATACAAAAAGGTTATGAGGTCATAGCTGATGAAAATGAATTGGAATAATTTTCATGATGTTTATATCTTCATATATTTTTAAATGTTTACATTTCACTTAAAGTGCCATGAGAAATTTCACCTATTGCAAAGTGGTCTTATCCATCTCCTTGATTTAGGTACCTTTTAGACTTGTTCTTGCTGTTTAACTTTGGTGAATGCAAGAGATGTGCTGAGGAAAAAAGATACAGAACTTCCTTCTGGAGATGTTGTAGATCCAGTACAAAAAGCCACAAGAAAATCCTAGAGAAAAAAAAAAAAAAGTCATCCTACTTAAAGTGGATTTTAAAAGATGAAAGAAATTAAATTAGTTCAGTGTAATGGCAAGTGAAATGATCGTACTTAAGAGATTCTTTTAATCAAGTGTTAGCTTGGAAGGGTTTAAATAAGTGTGGTAATTATTGTTTACAACAGAGCTTGGAGCATACCTTTGCAGTCTGTCCATAGTGTGATTAACTGTGCACCAAGACATATGCTAGAAAAAAGTGTTGTGGTAGGTGATGTCATGGGACAGGCTTTTGTTTGTTTGTTTGTTTGTTTGTTTGAGACAGAGTTTTGCTCTTGTTGCCCAGGCTGGAGTGCAATGGTGAGATCTCAGCTTACTGCAACCTCTGCCTCCCGGGTTCAAGCAATTCTGTCTCAGCCTCCCGAGGAGCTGGGACTACAGGCATGCACCACCATGCCTGGCTAATTTTGTATTTTTGGTAAAGATGGGATTTCTCCATGTTGGTCAGGCTGGTCTGGAATTCCTGACCCCAGGTGATGTGCCTGCCTTGGCCTCCCAAAGTGCTGGGATTATAGACTTGAGCCACCGCACCCGGCCCAGTGGGACAGGCTTTTAAAATAAAGACTTCTAGAAAGTTATGTGCATTAAAATTAAAAATAACAGATCATGTAATTAGAATGGAACAGCATTCTGGATTGACCAGGTTAAAAGAGCTGCCATGACTCCAGGCCAAGTGGTCATCTCAGGTGCTCCTTGTGCATATAGAGTTAGATGGCTGGAGTTCCTCTTAGCCAGGATTAAATAAGACAACTGTAGTTTATCTTGTCATTGAAGTGCTTAGTGATTAGTTTTGAGTTTATGGCAGGTCTGATATGACCCATGGCATACTCAGCTGGAAGCACAATTTTAACTGGTGTACTAAGAAATTTTCTAAAGACAAATGGACAGAAGGAAAGGTGATTAGACTCTTCCAGTCAGAATGCCAACAATAAACAGAGGCTACTTTTAGGAAATTGAAACATAATATGCTAGAATGGTTAATTGGGGAGAAGAAAACTTAGAAATGTCCATTCGGATTTGGCAGTGCTGTGGTACTTGGGAAATGATCACATTTCCATGTTGGAAATGTGCTTCATAGAGCACATCTTATACACTTCCAAAAGGGACAGAACAAATTATCAATAAAAATAACAAGACTAATTTAAGAATTTCTTGGATATGATTTCCTTAGGTGTTATAAACGCATATTATGGAGAATATCATCAAGACTTGTCTTAAGAAACAAACTACAGGGCAAACCTTTGTCTTGGTACCTTGAGAATTATCCTGATTTACAAATTTCATGATGATGATTTATTGCTGTTTCAGATAACTATAAAAAGTGAAAACAAATCGAAATCTAGATAATAGTGGTATAACTAGAAAAGAGAATGAAAAGGTTGGAATTGTTAACTGTTATGGAATGGTAGATTTTCTCTCATATGGCCAGCCAAGAACAGGCAATCTTTGCTTAGTGTATTAGCAAAGAACAGGCAGTCTTTAATTAGTGTATCTGTATTGACGCTTCTGATAAAGACATACCCGAGACTGGGAAGAAAAAGAGGTTTAATTGGACTTACAGCTCCACATGGCTGGGGAGGCTTCAGAATCATGGCAGGAGGCAAAAGGCACTTCTTTACATGGTGGCAGCAAGAGAAAATGAGGAAGAAGCAAAAGCAGAAACCCCTGATAAACCCATCAGATCTCGTGAGACTATCACGAGAATAGCAGGGGGAAGACCAGCCCCCATGATTCAGTTACCTCTCACAAGTCCCTCCCACAACACGTGAGAATGCTGGGAGATATAATTCAAGTTGAGATTTGGGTGGGGACACAGCTAAACCATATCACTTAGATACCTCCCAACCCAGAGTCCCTGACACAATGTTGAAATGCTGTTACGTAAAAGACAACTGACTTTGGAAGTGAGATCCAATAAAATAACATGTGAACAGTCATGTGCCCTGCATGGAAACTTCAATGTACCTACTCCCAGCAGGGACTTCTTTGTCACCCTTCCAGAAATATTCTGAGACCAAACACACATAAAGAGGAAAAAAATTAGGATTGACTAGGCTACCTCAGCAAACATTTGTGCTACGTTCTTAAGTAGCAAAAAAGGAAAAGTACTTTTCTGTTTTATTAGCTTTAGACAAGTCTTCATGTCCAAGGAGGTGAAACTATACACTAGTAAAACCAAGCACACTGACTTCTGTAAGACTGAAAAGCCTTTCATTCATCATTTTAAATATTCAGACAATGAAAACTTAACAAAATGAGCTCTCTGAAGAGCTACACCTGTTATGATTTACTTGCACGTTAGTAATTTCTGCTGAAAGTGCTGATTAGGACTGGTAAACCAGATATTAAATATTGATATAAGAGCAAAAGAAGCAAAACTTGTACCAGATTCAGTATCTTAAGTAACAATTATAACAACAAAGATATGTTAAACAGAGTTTAAAGGAAATTAACTCAGAACTGTGAGAAGTACAATTTGATATAGTATCAAATTTCTATATAGATTTTGTAACTTAGTGGAAAAAAATAACCAATTTCAATGACATTTGTTTTCATCTGTGATAGTCATGATTTTCCCCTTAAGATGCCAAAATTGTGCTAAAATTTTTGACTTTTGGAACATTAGTTCATTTCTTTCCATTCGATTTTTAATTTCATTCAGTTTGTGAGCTGTTGGAATTGTGATTTTTAATTGTCTTCTAAAGAAATGAAGGTTTAGCATAAGATCTATCTTGTTGAGTTCGGACGAGCCTCTAGTAGGGATTGGCCAGCTGTGGCCCGTAGGGCAAATCTGGCCCACCACCTGTTTTTGTACAGCCTGTTAGCTAAGAATGGTTTTTACACTTTTAAATGGTTTTAAAATAAAACAATAATATCTCGTGATATGTGAAAATTATATGGAATTCAGATTGCATTGTCCGTAAATCAAGTCTTTTTGGAACGCAACCACGTTTATTCCTTTACATGTCTATGCTACAATCACAGAGTTGGGTGGTTGTGACAGAAACTGGCCCACAAAGTCTAAAATATAAAATGTTTACTGCTGGCTCTTTACAGAAAAGTTTGCCAGCCCCTGATCTAAGTCCTTTTTGGATCAGCTGACTTGTGTTCATGCTCTCGCTCTCTCGTTTTTTCACACATATACACACGGTTTCCTAATACATTGTCAATTTCCCACCTTAGGGGATTATGCTTAATTCTGAAGTCTGATGCTACTGTACTTCAAATTTCTCTTCAGAGCAATAAGTCTAGATTTCTACGACTCCACTCTATAAAAGGCCTGCCTGGTGATTTATTACCTGGTTGTTTGGAGATAATATAATTGAAGGCTTTTGGGAAAACCTTTTTTGCTCCAAACTCAGATATGCTTCATATTGAGTAACTATTTAGGTTAGATTCTAGAATTGTAATGTTGGTTCCCTGCTTTTAAATTTTTTGACTGAAAATGTTAATTATCATTTTTGGATGAGCTGGCCTAAGAGAGTACAATATTATTCCGTATTAATAGTCCTATGCTTATTACCTATATCCCATTTTTGTAAAGTTGGGCTTTCTTTTCCTTTCTAATACTACAAAATCATCTGAGTACCAATTGAAAGTAATCTTTCAACCTTATAAAGAAAATCTTGGTGCCAGTGACACCTTTCCTAACAAATACAGCAGTCCATGACAAAGATGTTCTTTTTGTCCTTTCCATTCATAAGATTGTACTTAATGGTATTCCTTTTTTGAATTGTCAAATACTGTCACTGCAGGCAGTGTTATTTCCTGTACCTAAGACTGTTTCTGAAAGTTGGATCACTAATGATGTCTGCCAAGCAGTATGTACACAAAGTTCCTAAAGTCCTATTTAAGTTAACATTGAACACACATACTTCAGAGTGGAATATGAGGCATAATGTTCTCAGGAACTTTAATAGGAAACAGACTCTAGGCACATGTGTTTTTTCTACCCCATGGGCTGTTTAGTTCTAACTTTTCAGTTGGCATTCTGCTTGAATAAACCAGGCCTCTAATTCTTATTCTCATGCTTAGGATTTCAGATTTTTGTGCTATGGTGTAGCTTAGATTTATTTCTTACTGTAAAACACCTAACAGCAATGGGTTTCTAGATTTTTTTTTAGCCAGGTGTGGTGGCACACATGTAGTCCTAGCTACTTGGGAGGCTGACGTGGGAGGATTGCTTGAGCCCAGGAGTTTGAGGCTGCAGTGAGTTATGATTGCGCCACTGCACTGCAGCCTAGGTGACAGAGCGAGACTGTGTCTCTAAAATAAAAATAAAATAAAGATTTTTTTTTAGGTGTGGGACGCAAGTGGCCTAGTTTTTAGGAACTAACAGATAATCCCATTGCCTTTATTCTTCCAATTAAAATGATTGTAAATACTTTGAACATTAAATATGTATAGGAAGAAGGGAATCTGACTCCTAATTTTCAACTAATCAATGTGAATCATCCCGAAATTTCAGACACGTGCCTGTGCTCTGCAAGTTTTATCTGCCATCTTGGAAGGCTCAAAGCAGTTTCTTTCTGTTGCTGAAGATACCAGTGACCACAGAAGGGCTTTTACCCCCTTCTCCGTAATGATCGCTTGCAGCATTAGAGAGTTGCACAGATGTCTTTTGTTAGCTTTGGTGGCGGAGTCATCCTCACAGACCGTTACTCAGATAATTAAGGTAATGTACCAACTGTGGGTTCCAGAGCAGGCTTCTCTGTTTTAATTTTGTATACTGTTTTACATAGCTCAAAAGTAACTTGACTTAAGAATATAACTAAGTAATAGTTTTATTAAAAATACACTATTTGGAAGTCTGTACCTACTCGTCTGATCTTATCTATAATCTCTGTATGTCCCAATAAATGATTTGCTAAAAATACTTCTTTATCTTTAGTTGTACCAATGAGAATACAAGTGTTATTAAAAAAAAGGGGGGCTAATTTTTAGTTGTGTGAAAACTTTTCTTTTTTAATTAAATGCTGCAAAATTTGTTCTATGCTGTGGTTTAATCAAGCCTTTTGATGAGCTACTTTTTGTGTTTTACAGTGCCTTGCAAATTTAGTATCAAATGCACCTTATGATCGTCTAAAACTCAGCCTGCTGACCAAAGTCTGGAACCAGATAAAGCCTTATATTCGCCACAAAGGTTTGTAGTGGCTTAAAACTGATGGCTTCTTTGTATCAGTCAGATGCAGACTATTAGTAAAAATATACAGATATAGATATATGTATATATTCAAAGCATTTTTACAACTCTTAAGAGATCTCTGCTTATTCTTCTCAACTTTTCAGGGGTATAAGCTGTTGCAAGAATTGACCCCTCAAGTCCCAGTGGAAGTGAGCTAGAGGATTAATTGTAAAGTTTGCCTGTTTAATGCTCAGGGCAGTGACCAGAGTATCCCTTTAGAATTAAGATTGAGCCAGGTGCAAGCAGCCCCCCTGAGGAGTATGATTGTTTATATCCCTTACACATAGGTAGAGGATGGATGGATGGTTAGATAGACAGACAGACGGACAGATAGATATTATCTACTTTTTGGAAAGAAAAACTGGAATACAAAATTTAACTTCTTTATTGTTATTTCCTATGAAGTTCAGATAAAACCCCAGAACTTCAAATCTTTACTAAGTGCAGTCTTATTATTTCCTCCTACACATAATGTATTTGTGCTATAAACACTTGCCTTTTGTAGATTTGCCTTTCTTTTGTTTGCAAGCTTTCAGATCGGACCACATTCTGATGAGTTCAGTTTTTCAGGCAGAATTGTAACAAGGAAGGAATAGTGGATGTTTTCTGTGACATAGTGGGAAGAGCATGGGACCTGAAGTCAATCCAAGGGTCTGGATCCCACTCCCATTTTTGCCATCTCATGGCCATGACCCTCTCTGAACCCTAATTTCTTCCTAACAGCAAGAATTATAACTACATCATAAGATTTTTATGAGGCTCAAATGAGATAATGAGATGTAACTAAGTCCAGTTCACTACTTACACTAATATGTAAAAAAGGGACCCAGAAAGATAAGTCTTACCCTAAGGTTTCCCATCACATTCATGGCAGAAATAAGATGAGAACAACCCCTGCTCATTCCACTGTACCAACTTTTCATTATCTGCATCTTCAGCTGAGGAGAGTGCACCATGCCTCAAAGTTTCCTTTCAAGTATCTGACTTTATCCTCAAGTAACTTTTTTTCATTAAAATGTTCAAACCCTGAAATTCTTAGGTATGAGCCTAACAAAATATGTACAAGATCTATATGAAGAAAACTGTGAAACTCTGATCAAATAAAGAACTAAATGAATGGACAGAGATTCCATATTCCTGGATAGGAAGGCTCAATATTGTGAAGATGTTACTTCTTCCCAACTTGATCTATAGATTCAGTGCAGTCTCAATCAAAATTCCAGCAAGTTATTTTGCAGATATCAATGAACTGATTCTGAAATATATATGGATATGCAAAAGACCTGGAATAGCCAACACAATATTGATAGAGAAGAACAAAACTGAAGGACTGACATTCCCTGACCTCAAAATCTACTATAAAACTACAGTAATTAAGACAGTGTGATACTGGCCAAGGAAGAGACAAACAGATCAATGGAACAGAATAGAGAGCCCAGAAATAGACCCACATAAATATAGTCAACTGATCTACAACAAAGGAGCAGATACTTTTCAACAATTGGTGCTGGAACAGCTGGACATCACATGCAAAAAAAAAAATGAGTCTAGACACAGACCTTTTAGCTTTTTAAAAATATTTCTTGTTAAAATCCGGGGTTCATTCAAGGTACATGCATTGCATTTAGTTATTATGTCACTGTAGTCTTTTTAAATGTAGAGTCCCCCCACCCATCTTTTTTATATCAAACTGACTTAGGAAAGAATCCAACCCAATTGTCTTATAGAATGTGAACTCTAAGCTCTGTCACCAAAGATAACAAAATAAATCACATTCTCAATTTGTCAGATTGTTTCTTTATGGTGTTAACTTACTCTCCTGTCCCATGTATTTCCAAACTGGAAATGAGGTCTAGAAGTTTGATTAGATTCAGGTTACACAAGGAACTACTAATTTTTAATTGCCTGCTGGGATAACTACCATCTTTACAGTAGTTGTTGCCATGATGATAAGTTCTTACTGCTTCCTTTGACAGATGTTAATGTTCGTGTGTCAAGTCTCACACTCTTGGGAGCTATAGTGTCCACCCACGCACCTTTACCTGAAGTCCAACTACTTCTGCAACAGCCATGTTCTTCTGGACTCGGTAATAGCAATTCAGCAACCCCTCACCTCAGCCCTCCTGATTGGTGGAAGAAAGCCCCTGCAGGACCCTCTCTGGAAGAAACGTCAGTTAGCTCACCTAAGGGGTCTTCAGAGCCCTGCTGGCTCATTCGACTCTGCATTTCCATTGTCGTACTGCCCAAGGAGGATTCCTGTTCAGGTAGCGATGCTGGCTCTGCAGCAGGAAGCACCTACGAACCATCCCCCATGCGACTGGAGGCCTTACAGGTAGGAGATTTCATTTCCTCATCTCTGAAATGGAAGTAACCATTCCTCCTTCAGAGTGACTGTGAGGAGCGAGCAGGTAAAACCAAGCCATATGTCAATTGTGTTCGTGGGAATTGTATTTTAGGTATGGGTGGTGTATTGTTTTGTTGTTGTTTTGTTTTGGGGAGGTGTTCTTTGGTTGTAAAATAGCAGATTCATTCCTTTTTGTTCTTTGATTGCAAATTATTTTAGTCCCTTCAGGTATTATATGACAAGTGGATGTAATAGATTGTAGAATAATTCTGAGTGAAATTGTACAGTTAATTTTTGATTTTTGCAACTTAAATGTTTAATTCTCTATAAGCTTTTCCTTGGTCTTGTACCTGCTTAGAGTAACAAAATAATTGTTCCTTCAAAGGAAGAAAACAATCCTAGATAAAAGAGTTTACTTTTTCTATACAAATATGATCTGAGACTAGGCCTGGTCCTGAGGTCTGCTGCTGATTAACTGGGCAGCATGAAGCATGTCCTTTCATCTTGTCAGGCTTAGGTTCTTTAGTTGTAAAATTCAGTTAATACCTACTTTAAAGAATAGTTCCAAGACTTAAATGAGATTCTGTTAATGAAAAGCAATCATATACTAAAGCACCATAAAACTATGATACAGTTTATTGATGTTAGTCACAAAATAAAGATTATGGTTCTTAATTTCATTCAACAGATTTCAGCCCCTGTTAAATGTAAGCGATTTCTGAAATATTGTAACACTTTTCTGGATATTGCAGCCTTGCACTCAGGTCTTAGAGGGTTAATTCCATGCTCTCTTTGCAGGTATTGACTCTTCTGGCAAGGGGCTACTTTTCAATGACTCAAGCCTACTTGATGGAGCTTGGAGAGGTGATTTGCAAGTGCATGGGGGAAGCAGATCCATCCATTCAGCTTCATGGAGCAAAGGTAATTTTCATCAAAACCACAATGCTTTTTCCTTCTCTTCACTTTATATCCTTCCTTTTCTTCACTTTATATCCTTCCTTTTCTTCACTTTATATTCTTCTGCCACATGTCCTTCAATTCTGAGATTTCTTAAAGAGATTTCAGGTAAGGAGGACATGCATTCTTCTGTTTTCGGCTCTTACATATAAACCCCACGCATTGACTCAGTAACAAATTAATAAGATATAGCTGTTGATTTCAGTCCTTGAAAGAATGCCTCTGTTAACAGTGACTGAAAAAAGAAAGAAAATTAGTTGCAAATTATGTTTCCCCTTGATTTGAGGCGATCTCCAAACTCAAGTGAAGGTGTTACTAAAGTGAAGGTGTTACTAGAGTGAAGGTGTCACTCGAGTGAAGGTGTTACTCGAGTGGAGGTGTTACTAGAGTGAAGGTGTTACTAGAGTGAAGGTGTTACTCAAGTGAAGTCATTCATTAGTTCTGATGCTCCACTTCGGTAATTCTTTTTCTTGGCAGCTTCTGGAAGAACTGGGCACAGGCTTAATACAGCAGTATAAACCAGACTCCACTGCAGCACCTGATCAGAGAGCACCAGTCTTCTTGGTAAATAAATGTCAATTCATAGTTTTCTTTTATTAATGCTTCAGTTGCAGTTTTATTTTGAAGCTCAGTGATAAATGGAGTAGATGATATGGTTTCTTCCAGTGTCAAAAATTATGTTTTATAATCCAGGAAAACATGAAACTAGTATAAATTGGTTTTATTTTACATTTCAGTTTATTTGCAGTTTAGTTTGTGGTAGGCTTATGTATAACATATAACCAGCAATAGTAAAACTAATATTTCTTTTGCATAAAACCTAGTTTTTTATGCAAAAGAGGTTTATCTGGCTCACAGTTCTGCAGGCTGTACAAAAAGCATGGTGCCAGCATCTACCTCTGAGGAAGCCCCAGGAAGCTTTAAATCCTGGTGGAAGGCAAAGGGGGAGCAGGCATGTCATATGGCAAGAGAGTAAGCAAGAGGGAGATGCCAGGCTCTTTTAAACAACCAGCTCTCGTATGAGCTCATAGAGTGAGAGTTCACTCATTACCACAAGGACAGCACCAAGCCATTCAAGAGGGATCCACCCCCATGACCCAAACACTTCCTATTAGGCCCACCTCCAGTGTTAGAGGTCACATTTCAGCATGAGGTTTGAGGAGGCACACATCCAAACCATATCATTCTGCCTCTGGCCACCACAAATCTCATGTTCCTCTCACTGTAAAATACAGTCACCTCCTCCCAATAGTTCCCCAAAGTCTTAACTCTTTACGGCATCACTCAAAAGTTCAAAGTCTCAGCTGTGACTCAAGGCAAGTTCCTTCCACCTATGAGCCTGTAAGATCAAAAACAAGTTACTGATTTTTAAGATACAATGGTGGTACAGGCATTGGGTAAACAGTCCCATTCCAACAGGGAGAAATCAGCCAAAAGAAAGGGGCAACAAGCCCCACACAAATCCAAAACCCAGCAGGACAGACATTAAACCTTAAAGCTCCAAAATAGTCCTTGACTCCATGTCCCGCATCCAGTGCACACTGGTGCAAGGGGTGGGCTTCCAAGGCTTCTGGCAGCCTTGCCCTTCTGGCTTTGCTAGGTGTAGGCTGTGTCCCATTCCCAGAGTTCCACTAGGCAGTGCTCAGTGGAGACCGTGTGTAGGGGCTCCAACCTCACATCTCTCTTTGGCACTGCCCTAGTAGAGGCTCTCAGTGGGGGCTCTGTCCCTGTGGCAGGCTTCTGCATGGGCACCCAGGCTTAGGGAATCCTCTGAAATCTAGGTGGAAGCTCCCAAGCCTTCTTCGCATTTGAATTCTGTGCATCTGCAGGCTTAACACCACATGGAAACTGCTAAGGCTTACAGCCTGTACCCACTAAGCAGAAAACCGAGCAGTATCTGGGGCCCTTTGAGCCAAGGCTGGGGATGCTGGGAGCAGTGCCCCAAGGCTGTGCAGGGAAGTGGGGCCCTGGGCCTGGCCTCCAAAACCACTTTCCTCCTAGGCCTCTGGGTGTGTGATGGGAGGGGTTGCCTCAAAGATTTCTAGAATGCCCTCCAGGCTGTTTTCCCGTAGTCTTGGCTGTTAGCACCTGGCTCCCTTTTAGTCGTGCTAATCTGTCTAGCAAGTGGTTGCTCCGAGCTTGGATTCCTTCTCTAGTACAGGGCCAGGGTGCAAGTTTTCCAAATTTTTATGCTCTGCTAACCTTGTAATGATAAGTTCCAACTTTAAGTCATTCCTTTACTCCTACATCCGACTATAGGTTGTGAGAAGCTGCCACATCACCTGTTGAATGATGCTTAGAATTTCTTTCACCAGATACCCTAAGTCATTACTCTTAAGTTCAACCTTATGCAAATCCCTAGGACATGGGCATAATGCAGCCAAGTTTGCTAAGGTGTAACAAAGGTGACCTTTCCTCCAGTTCTTCAAACTTTTTTATTTCTATCTGAGACCTCCTCAGCCTGGCTTTCACTCTCCATATTTCTATCAGCATTTCGGTCACAACCATTTAATCAGTCTCTAAGAAGTTCCAAACTTTCCTTTGTCTTCCTGTCTTCTGAGCCTTCCAAACTCTTTCAGCCTCTGCCCAGTACCAAGTTCCAAAGCTGCTTCCACATTTTTAGGTCTCTTTATAACAACACCCCATTCCTTGGTACCAATTTTCTGTATTAGTCTCTTTTCTGCTGCTGTAAAGAAATGCCTCAGACTGGACAATTTATTTTTCAAAGAGGTTCGTCTGGCTCACAGTTCTGCAGGCTATACGAGAAGCATGGTGCCAGCATCTAGTTCTGGTGAGACCTCCGGAAGCTTCCAGTCATGGTGGAAGGCGAAGGGGGAGTAGGTGTGTCACATGGCGAGAGAGGAAGCAAGAGATGCCAGGCTCTTTTAAACAATTAGCTCTCGTGTGAATAACAGAGTAAGAACTCATTTATTACCACAAGGATAGCACCAAGCCATTCAGTAGGGATCTGCCTGCATCACCCAAAAACCTTCCTCTAGGCCCACCTCCAACATTGGAGGTCACATGTCAACATGAGATTTGGAGGGGACACACATCCAAACCATATCAGCCACTTAATGGATATGTGGTTATAGGCATGGTTTCCTAGTTGTAAAAAAGGAATAATAAACCATAACCCTTCAGTCACAAGGCTGTTGAAAAATCAAATGACATGTAAAGATGCTAACACATAGGAGGTAATTCCGTTACCCGTGTCCCCGCCGCCCCTCACCAGCCCCTCCACGATTCTATTCAATTCCTGTGATTTCAGGTTGTTTCTGCTACCCCTACACTGTGCCAGTTCCAAAGATGGATGAAGGGCATGTGACCACACCAAAAAAGGCTTCTACTTAGTGCTAAAAGCAAAATTAGCTCAGTGTTGGTGGTCTTTGCTCCCTCTGCCCTTTGCATTCTGCCTATTCTTTTCCCTTCACAATTTCTGTCATCCTTGCAGTGAATTAAAGATTCTAACCCTAGTCCCTGCCTTAGAATGCCACTAAAGCTTTCATATAACATGTGCAGGGAAGTGAGTTGAGCTTTGTTATCAGACAGAACTAGGTTTGAATTCAAACTTCTCCCTTTGCTAGATAGATGACTTTGGGCAAGCCTCTTAACTGTTCACACTCAGGTAGTGTTCATCTGTGAAAAAAAAAAGTCATGTTTTCTACATTGCTTGTCTATTAATGAGTAACAAATTAAGCATTTAGCAGCTTAAAGCAATGTACATTTATTTTCTCACAGTTTCTGTGGGTCAGGAATTAGGAGTGGCTTGGCTGAGTGATTCTGGCTTAGTTCTCACATGAGGTTGGGATCAAGATGCCCCCAGGGTTGCAGTCAACTGACGGGTTGCAAGACTTGATGGGGTTGGAGGATCCTCTTCCAGGGTGGCTCACCCATAGACCTAGCAAATTAGTGTTGGCTGCTGGCAGAAGGCCTCAACTCATTTCCTCCCCATGAGGACATCTCCAGAGGGCTGCTTGAGTATCCTCTTGACATGGCAGCCAGCTTCCTTCACAGCAAGTGATCCAAGGGAAAGAAAGCAAGACAGAGCTGTGGTGCTTTTTATGACCTAGCTTTGGAGGTTTCGTGCTGTCATTTCCACAACAATCCTATTGGTTACACAGGTCAGCCTGTTCAGTATGGGAGGGGACTACACAAGGGTGTAAATATTAGTAGGTGACTGTAATTGTGTGCCATCCTGGAGACTGGCAACCACTTTTTGTCCACATTCTTCTGGAGTGGGGCAGGGAGGACCCAGACTGGGTTTCCAGGAGCTGAAGTAGGAGAAAGACAGAACTGGTGCATGACATACACAGCAAAACCCAGGACTAGGTCCATGGAACAGAAATAAAACATACCAAAACCACAGAGATTCACAAATGAACATGAAATCACAGGATATGTATAAAGCATGGAAAAGAAACTGTTGACATGGCTACTTTAGAGGCTGTGAAGTGAGGTAGTTCTTCAAAGTGCTGAAAACAGAACCGACTGCCCAATTTAAGAGTGTCCACTGTGTACCAGGCCCTGCACTAGAAACCTTACACAGAATATTACATTTTATTATCACACAGACTCTGCAAAGTAGTTGAAAAAGCCCTAGCCGACTGTCAACTGATTTGGATTCTAGTTCACCCCTGCTGCAGATTAGCAAGTTGTATTGTCTCTTTGTGCCTCAGTTTCCTTGTGTGAAAAAGTAGGAATAATGCTACAGACCCCATTTATTTGTGCCAAGGAATAAAATAAGTTGATACTTGTAAAATACTTAGAGCAATGCCTGGCATGGCATGAGCTCTCTGAAGAACATTAGCTGCCGCTGCTGTTGCTGTTACTGTCATCATCATCTTCAGCCTCCTCTTGATTATTATCACTGTTGCTGCGTAACTTTATCAGACCGCAGTCTCCTAATCAACAGGAGTTGAACGGGAGGCTTAAACCAAAGTCCTTACATCACTGTGGAAGAAGAACCAATGAAAACACTTACAGAAAGCTGCTACTTTAAGGGAAAATGTTTCACTAAGGCCATTTCTGGTAGGCTTAGCTCCAAGTTGGTTCCCCTGTTATGTCTTGGGCTGCAGCTTTTACTTTGCCTCCGTTCCAGGTGGTGATGTTCTGGACTATGATGCTGAACGGTCCTTTACCCAGAGCCCTGCAGAATTCAGAACACCCAACTCTCCAGGCGAGCGCCTGTGATGCCCTGTCTTCCATCTTGCCAGAGGCCTTCAGCAATCTGCCGGTAATGTGAGGGTGTTTTCTCACCCTTAAATCATGGCTGGAGCACCAGAGCTAGAATTTGATGCTTTTGCATTTTGAACCAGTATTCAGCATCATCTCTGATGAAAAGGCGCTAGTTCTACTTGAGTTGGGGATGAGGGCACTGGGGAACAGCAAATAGGAAAACTTGAAGCCTTAATATATCAGGAAAGCTGTTTCCCCCTGTGCATGAGAGTGTAGGTGGTAGAGGCAAGGGTAGAAGAAGCTTGGAAGGCAGAGAGATTTCAGGAAGATTTCATATCCAAAGTTTAAAAGGCCTGAGTTAAAGCCCAGCTCTTCGACTTGCTAGCTGACTCTTAACCTCTCTAAGACTTGGTATTATCATCAATAAGATGGTAGTCATGTGAAAAATAACAAGTATGTGAAAATACTTAGATTTGTTGTCCAACACATATGGTATTTGTCTTAGTCTGTTTGAGCTGTTATAATAAAATACCATAAATTGGGTGTCTTCTAAACAACAGAAATGTATTTCTCATAGTTCTGGAGGCTGGAATTAAGATCAAGTCACTGACAGACACAGATTTGGTGCCTTGGGAGGGTTCGCTCTCTGGCTCACAGATGGCACCATGTGAGCTGTGTCCTCAGGTGGTGGAAGGGGCAGGCAGCTTTCTGGGGCCTCAATCATAAGGGCACTAATCTCTTTCATGAGGGCTCTGTTCCCATGACCTCATCTCCTTCCCAAAGCCCCACCTCCTGATACCATCATCCTGGGAGTGAAGATTTCAACATAGGAATTTTGGGGGAGCATAAGCATTCAGAATACTGCTATTCAGAATAGCAGTATTCAGACTGCTTTTTTTCTTTGGTCCTCAGTGACATTTGCCTCCATTCTTATTTACATAAATGAGCTTCTATAAAGAAGGCAACTTTAATAAAGGTTAAATGTGATGAGATGCTGTGTGTGTCTTGCACAAAGTGGGTGCTCAGATAATTATGGAATCTGAATTGAACCTGCTTTTTACCAGGGTAGCCTCAAGGTCGCAATGGTGTTCAACTCCTGATTATGGTCTCAGACACAGATATTTCACATCTTTTATGGAAGCCTTTGGCTTGTAGTTATTTCATTCTCATTTTTCCCTTGTCAACCTTCTCATTGCAGAATGACAGGCAGATGCTGTGCATCACAGTGCTGCTCGGGCTGAATGACAGCAAGAATCGCTTAGTGAAAGCTGCAACTTCACGGGCCCTGGGAGTCTATGTGCTTTTTCCCTGTCTCAGACAGGTCAGAGTGAGCCTATTTAGCTCTTCTGTGCCCCTTTTGTAGTCCATGACACCCCTATTTTGTGGATATAGAGCTCCTGCATTGGATGGTAAAGGAAACTAAATTGCTTTGTAATCTGATATCTGTAATTGCTACTAAAATATGGTCATGGGCCAGGCATGGTGGCTCATGCCTGTAATCCCAGCACTTTGGGAGGCCAAGGCGGGTGGATTGCTTGAGCTCAGGAGTTTGAGACCAGCCTGGGCAACTTGGCAAAACCCTGTCTCTACAAAAAATTTTAAAAATTAGCCAGGCATGGTGGTATGCACCTGTAGTCCCAGCTACTTGGGAGGCTGAGATGGGAGGCTCACTTGAGCCTGGGATGTGAAGGTTGTAATGAGCAGAGATCATACCACTGCACTCCAGCCTGGGTGGCAGAGCCAGACACACACACACACACACACACACACACACACACTCTCTGTCTCTCTCTCTCTCTACATATATATATGTAGTGTTATACATAAATATATATATAACTACAGGCATTACCATATATATAAATGAACTAAGGCATTACCATATATATATATATATATATATATATATATATATATTATATATATATGTTATTTATTTTTAATTTTTAATTACTTAGCACACAGCCTGGGACCTTAGGCACCCAATAAATGCTTAAATTAATGAATGATCTAATAAAAATGAAATGGGTCATTACCAGGTGGTAGTCATCATTTAGAAAGCTGACATAGTTTTTACTAAGAAGGAAATAATGTCCTCTTTCACTCTTACTTGTGACATTTATCTCACTGAGTGATGTGTAGTACATAGGATGTGTTTTGGAAATGCATTTCTTTTTCAGAACATTATTTCCCGAGACGGAAATCAACCAAGCACAGAATTCACAGATAACTGTCCCAGGCCAGCTTATATATTCGATGTTCATAACAGCAAAATCCATAGGCTCCTCGGGTGTCCATGGCACATACCAAAATTATGGGAGCTTCCCCTGGGATTTTTTTGAGTGTCCAAATTGTAAAATATAAGAACAGTAAATTGATTGAGTAGATGAATTTTTATTTCTAAGTAGAAATGTGCATGAAGGCTTCTAGCTTTATCTGAAAATAAGTGAGAATTTCAAAGGTAGCAGCATGACCTGCTAAAGTAACTGCAGTGTTTTGTTTTGTGTTACAGGATGTCATATTTGTTGCAGACGCAGCAAATGCAATATTGATGTCACTTGAAGACAAGTCTCTGAATGTTCGAGCCAAAGCAGCCTGGTCCCTGGGCAACCTGACAGACACTCTGATTGTCAACATGTAGGTGACTGAGCTTGCTTTCCCCAGCTGACTTCTGAGATTGAGGGCCCAAGAGAATGTCCTCGATCTCTACCATGAAAGAATCAGCAGTAGTTCCCGCATATTATGCAGTCAGTCTTCCTGCTTTTTTTGTTTGATATTCCTTCAGAAAATAAAATTAATAAACTGTTCTTAATATATATTAGGAATGCATTAAGATATATATGTATTAAAAATACTGTATGCCGATATAAGTAATATGTCTACATTATAGAAAACATAAAAGCAAAACCTTAGTAATGGTTACTGTACTTTTAAAATGCATTTAAAAAAATTTCTTAAAGTAGTATATTCACAGGCTAAAAAAAATCCAGATAGTACAAAGCAGCATTCAGTGTGAAGCCTTTCTTCTACCCTGACACCTTAGTTCCCCTCCCCAGAGGTAGCTGGTTATTCATGTGCACGTGTCCTGCTTTTTGTCACTTCAGCGTATAAGCAACATGTAAAATGTGTAAGCATTCTATTATTGACTTGTTAGAAATCCTTATTTATGATTACATAATTATCACTGTGTGATGATTAACCATTTTTCTATTACTGAACATTTGTTTTAGTCTTTAGGCTTGTAGGCTTTTATATTCAGGGAATATTTTTGTGCATGAAATCTGCATTTTGAGATTTTTTTTTTTTTGAGACATTCCTATGTGGGGAACTATTGGGTCAAAAGATATATAATGTAAGTTTCTTGATATAATCTAAGCAGATTTGTTAAACTGTTTTCCTAAACTTTTAGGCTTATACTAATTGAATATATTTCTATATGTATATATTTAAGTGTATTTACCTTTTAACATGTGTTGTCTGCTTTGGGTGGAACAGGGAAACACCAGACCCAAGTTTCCAGGAAGAGTTCTCTGGTCTCCTGCTCTTGAAAATGTTACGATCAGCTATAGAAGCATCCAAGGATAAAGACAAGGTAGACTCACAACAAAACCCAGTATCTCCCAAACAGATAGTTAATGTATTGTAGCTGCAGTGTGGTAGTTCAGTGTGGCTTGATGTTCCTCAGACTGTCCCACCAAATGTACTCCTGTTCAAAAGAGACTGAGGGTGTGCTCAGGGTATAAATGGCCCATTCCACACGTGTATGGTTTCTTTACTGTCTCCTGCCTCCTGAAAAATATCAGTGCCCATTGTAATACTACATGACATATTCAGATTCCTTTTAAAATTAACTTTTTTTTATTTTCCAAAAAAAAAAAATTGACAAGTCAGAAAGATGAGTAGCTCTTGGCTTTGAATATTACCTGTTAAACTAATAAGTTTAAAAAGCACATGTCTGGGCTTTAGGTCAGACATACATGGATTCAAGCCCTGGCTCGCCCTTTAGTAACTGGGTAAGTTTGGTATATTACATAACTTCTCTGAAGGTCAGCTCCTCACATGTAACATGGAAGTTATATACCTCACTGGATATGAAGATGCCTTATGTTAAAGCACCTAGCACAGTACCTGACCCATACCATGTGCTCACTTTAATACTACTTCTGAAAATCTGGTAATCACCCAGGAAGCCCTACCTCAGAGTAATTCAATCAGAAATTCTGAGGTTAGGGCCTCCGAATCGGTTTTAAAACAAAAGGAGAAACCTCCCCAAATGATTCTGATGGGCTGCAGAGGTTGAGACTCTAGTCTAGTAGAAAAGTATTGGACTGGAATTATGGAACCTAGCTTCTCCTCATTGTCTTGCTATCAATCAGCCTTGTCCTGTTGTTCCCGGTCCTTATACTCCATCTCAGTAAAACAAGGAAGATGGACCTCTCTGAGGTCCTGTCTAGCACTAAATAAAATAAATAAATAAATAATCAGAGAGAGGAGTTCTGTAGAACCTCACATTTCTGATGGCTCAGGATGTTAACCAGAGCAGACCTTGTGAGTTCCAAGGACTTGCTTTAAGAAGTTGAAGACCTCCTGGGTTTTTTTAAAGCTGAAATTAGACTTTTGGAAACATCTCTTTGGCCAAACAGATTTCTAAAGCATTTACATTTTTTCTAGGTAAAAAGCAATGCAGTCCGGGCCCTTGGAAATTTGCTTCATTTTCTGCAACCCTCTCATATAGAAAAACCCACATTTGCAGAAATCATTGAGGAGTCTATCCAGGCCCTAATTTCTACTGTTCTAACAGAAGCTGCCATGAAAGTCCGATGGAATGCTTGTTATGCAATGGGAAATGTATTTAAAAATCCTGCCCTTCCTTTAGGTAAGAAAGTTTCCCTTCACTCCCTGGTGGAAAGCCTCTTGGGACACACACCAATCTACGTTGTTGTTAAAGATGTTTGTCACATGTTATTTGTCATAGTATTAGGAAAAAATGGAGACATACTGAAGACAAGTTTAGGGGGACATTGAAATACATCATTACCTATACAATGGGATATATAATGGGATATTTTGTTGCCATTTAAAATTACTTACAAGAATTTGATAATCTGGAAAAATACTTCTGATGTTAAACAAATGAAAGCAGGTATTAAATAATTTCTACAGAATGATCTCAATAGATGGGTAGAAAAAAGACTGAAAGGAAATTGGACTAATTATTAACAGTGATTGCCTCTGGATGGGTAGGATTTTTTCTGTTTTCATTTTCTCAGTTGTCTACAATAAGCATATATTACTTTAATGGTCAAGAAAACAGGAAGGAAAAAAACTGGAATGAGAGGGAATATAAACTGGAAATCCCCTATGAGCTGTGTACAGAAGTGGATGCCATTAATAAATGTAAGGAGGGCATCTGTCTCTAAGTAGTGGCATGCCATGCACCTTGATATGTCATTCAGGACCAGTAGCTGCTTAGGTGTATGGATCGGAGCCTCCAAACCTCGCTCACTTTGAATGCCAGCGTTCGCTTTATTGCATCTCTCTCTCTCAGATCTGAGACCTAAGGATGTGTTCCTGGAGAGGAGAGCACACATCAAGTGAGGGGAGTCTGGCTCTGCTCCCCTTTATTGCCCAGAGCGTCCAGGCAGACCAGTCAGCTGGGAGTATGTAAGGTAGCTTCCCGGCTTCTTCCATTGAGGAAGTCACCTAAGGGTGACCTTTTGGGTTGGAGCCCATTGAGGTGGTTATCCGCCTTCTGGAGAGCCAAGAAGTCCTTGAAACCAGGGCACCTCAGTGGTGGTTGGCTCCTACCAGCCTTCCTGTATGGCCCTTGCCCTCAGCCTACTAGAGAGAGAAGTTTACCTGCATGACTTGGAGGGAAAGGGAAGCTCCAAAGAGGCAGGAAGTTTGAGAACTAGAAAGCATCCAGTAGCAGAGCTATCAAGAGCCACATAAGAAAAGGGAGCTAGAAACTGATAAAGGACTCTGACGGGTCGGATTGTGAGTGTCTCATAGCTCTAGCAGTGGCCCATTGTCAATGGCACTGGCATCCACCAAATGGAAAGGGCCTGCTTGCCGGTCTTCAGAGGCAACAGAGAAGCCAGGAAGGGCTGGGAGAGTTAAGAGAAGCTGCATTCTACTCTGTCACCCATCTTGAGTAAGGACACCCCAAAGTGGAGTGGGTAGCAGTAGCTCTGGTAAGGAGGAAAGCAGGCTGATTTCCTAGGGCCTACAGGTGTGGAGAAAAGATAGAAATCTGGGCATCTTATTCTTGAAATTGTAAGTTTTCTTTTTCTTTGCAATAAAATGCATGACTGGCTATGGCCAGAGCAGTGTCTGGATGCTGTTGCAGGTGAGCATGCAGTGTGTGGCTTGCACACAGCTCAGAAGTGCCCAGCTGAGAGGATAGGTGGGGTTGCAGTTCAGTCCACGCTCTGCCCACAAAGCCATACCCCAACGGGACAGAATCCTCCCAGAGAAGAAGCCTTTTTCTGAGTCACCAAAGGCTTTATATTGGGTAGCAGAGGCTCTAAGCGTGTGGCAGGCTGAGGTAGGGAAAGAGGGAGGTTTGGGGATTGGCACCTGGCCACTTACCTAGGATCCTACAGTCAGTCACCACCCTTGTCTTACAGGATGATTGTGAGAATGAAGTGAACACATAAAATGAGTGTCTTGAGCACTAGTGTTTAAGCTTCCTTCCACCCCTCTCCCTCTCACCCCACCTAGTTCTAAGCCTGCATTTGTTTTAGTGACTGTGGATTCTTTCTAGGGACAGCCCCATGGACCTCCCAGGCCTACAATGCCCTGACATCGGTCGTGACATCATGCAAGAACTTCAAAGTGCGCATCAGATCTGCAGCTGCCCTTTCCGTCCCGGGGAAGAGAGAGCAGTACGGGTCTGTTGACCAGTATGCTCGGATCTGGAATGCATTGGTCACCGCTTTACAGAAGAGTGAAGACACCATAGACTTTTTGGAATTCAAGTACTGTGTCAGCCTACGGACCCAAATCTGCCAGGCACTGATTCACCTCTTGAGCTTGGCCAGTGCCTCGGACCTCCCTTGTATGAAAGAAACCCTTGAACTGAGTGGGAATATGGTCCAGTCCTATATTCTACAGTTTTTAAAATCAGGAGCAGAGGGAGATGACACTGGAGCACCCCACAGCCCACAGGAAAGAGACCAGATGGTCAGAATGGCCCTTAAACACATGGGCAGCATCCAGGCACCAACTGGAGACACAGCCAGAAGGGCCATCATGGGCTTTTTAGAAGAGATCCTGGCCGTTTGTTTTGACTCATCTGGATCACAAGGGGCACTCCCAGGGTTAACAAATCAGTGAAGATCCCACCATACTTTCTAGATGTCGAAGGCGGCAGTAGGAAGACCTGAGCTTGAGCATAAGATCTGTGGGATTTCATCTTAGGGGCAGAAACAATCCGTTCACTATTTATTTAGAATGACTTAGCAGCCATTTAAATTTTCACAGAGGGCTCAACCACCTTTGGAGTGACTCCATAGCACTGGCCATGGTCAGGGTTGTTGGAACATCTGACCTGTGCATCCAGGAGCCGAGGAGTCAGGTTGTAATACAGGCCAAGCAGACGGGCTTTGAGGGCATTTAGTCTCAGAAAAAAAAAATGTAGAAGGATTTCGGAATTAGAATTTTGTGTATTGTATCTGTAGTTTTGTAATAAACTAACGAAAAATAGTGTGTCCACAATCTCCTGTTGTTACCAAGTTGTATTTCTAGCAAGCTGCAAGCAGAGCTGCAGTTCAGCCAGTTTGTCCTGGCCCAGCTGCACAGGATGCGAGGATGCTGACAGTGCCTCACAGCCGCACAGGACCGAGGATGCTGACGGTGCCTCACAGCCACACAGGACGCGAGGATGCTGACGGTGCCTCACAGCCACACAGGACGCGAGGATGCTGACAGTGCCTCACAGCCACACAGGACGCGAGGATGCTGACGGTGCCTCACAGCCGCACAGGACCGAGGATGCTGACGGTGCCTCACAGCCACACAGGACGCGAGGATGCTGACGGTGCCTCACAGCCGCACAGGACCGAGGATGCTGACGGTGCCTCACAGCCACACAGGACGCGAGGATGCTGACGGTGCCTCACAGCCACACAGGACGCGAGGATGCTGACGGTGCCTCACAGCCGCACAGGACGCGAGGATGCTGACGGTGCCTCACAGCCACACAGGACGCGAGGATGCTGACAGTGCCTCACAGCCGCACAGGACGCGAGGATGCTGACAGTGCCTCACAGCCGCACAGGACGCGAGGATGCTGACAGTGCCTCACAGCCGCACAGGACGCGAGGATGCTGACGGTGCCTCACAGCCGCACAGGACGCGAGGATGCTGACAGTGCCTCACAGCCGCACAGGACGCGAGGATGCTGACAGTGCCTCACAGCCGCACAGGACGCGAGGATGCTGACAGTGCCTCACAGCCGCACAGGACGCGAGGATGCTGACAGTGCCTCACAGCCGCACAGGACGCGAGGATGCTGACAGTGCCTCACAGCCACACAGGACGCAAGGATGCTGACGGTGCCTCACAGCTGATGAGCTGCTGCTCCGAGCTTCTGGAGTGCCCGTGTTCCCCTGACCACCTTCCCTGCCACACCTCCCCACAATCCAATAACCAGAGTTAACTCCCAGCAAGCAGGGCCTTCTAACCTAGGCTACAACATTGACTTCTACCTACATTTCCTGATGCTCTTTAGGAGAATGTGATCCCACACACTAAATATATGGTTGTTTTGCCACCTTTTAATTTGTGCCTTTAAGAAAAGATCATTTGGTTAGTTGGTTACAAAGAGGGGTTTCCAATTATATTTTGATAATGCCCCACAAGTTATGAAGGTAACTTCTACTGAATATATATATTTAAATTTTGCATTTTTCTACTGAGCACCAACGATTTATTGGAATTGATTTCAATTAGGAATTTAGGGATATATAAGAACCAATTACAGTTGTCCATACTTATCTTTGATGTGGGACAATTAAGAAGTTACAAAAAATGGGTGTTGGTGATATTTTATCATGGTTATTTAGCTTAAAATACACGTGTAAAGGCAGGTGTCTTCCATTTTTCTCCTTTGCCTTTTAGCTGCTGTTTTCCTGCCTCTGACATGTTGGCTGCTCAGAAACTGCTCTCTGGGCAGTGATTGGGGAACAGGGTATTCAAGTTCACTAAAGGCTCAATTTTCCATTGATAGAATATCAGTGTCCACAGAATTAAGACTGCAAGCACAGCAAAGACACCCATATTGAATGTTCCCTTAAATTGCTTTTATTTGGAGACAATTCTGAACATGAAGTGTTATAGAGGGCCCAGGAAACTAAGTTGAGCCCACCTGACCCTGTGATGAATCTTGGAACTTCCGTCTCTTGAATACATTCTTAGTAGTAGCTTCTTGGCATTTTCAAAAAAGGAAAAAAAAAATATGGCATAGACAGCTTATTACTGTGATTCTTTGAGTTTTCTCAGGTGAGTTTTTTGATAAAATATTTGTGAAGTGGCCTCATGGTTTCATTTGATGATTCACTCTTATCCTTTCCTTATCTTGAATAAAATCCCATTCATTTTCTTTTTAAAACTTCAGCTTCTGTAAAGGTTTCCAGATCCTGATGTGGATGTTAATGTTCATGTGCAGGAAAACAATGAAGGCATAGCACCTCTAGAAACTTCAGAAGGCAGTGGTACCTGCTGTGTCCCAACAGTATGCTGATTCTCTTCTCTGCAGCATTGTGGGTGTACATACACTAAAGGACAGAAGCTCCTCATATGCCTGGGCACGTGCCTCCATAAAGCTGCTGTGGGGAAAGGAAGCCACTGACAATAAAGACAACTTAAGCTGATGAAAATCAGCACACAGCTCCACTGGTTCAGATTTCTAATGCAGAATGCCAGATTCTAAATTATCTTTTGACACTTAAAAATTGGGAGGAAGAGTCATCCAGGCACAGATGGCTAGGGCCCTTGTCCATTAGACTACAGCATTATGAGACGTTGCTTATCTTACTCTTTGAACCTTTTCTGTGACGAGTAAAAAACAAACAAACAAACAAAACATTAATTCCTATCCCCTTCCAGAACTCAAGAAAAGCGCCTCTTCTGAGGTTGGGTGCCATGGCTCATATCTGTAATCCCAATAGGCCAAGGCGGGAGGATCACTTGAGCCCTAGGAATTCTAGACCAACCTGGGCAATATAGGGAGACGGTCTCTACAAAAAAAAAAAAATTAAAAATTAGCTGGGTGTGGAAGTGCGCACCTATAGTCCCAGCTACTCAGGAGGCTGAGGTGGAGGATTGCTTGAGCTCTGGAGGTCAAGGCTGCAGTGAGCTGTGATCGCACCACTGCACTCCAGCCAGGGCAACAGAGTAAGACCTTCTCTCTAAACAACAAAAAAGGAAACCTCCTATGGAGCACCAATGCAAAGGTGTCCTTGATTTTGGTATTTGTGCTTGAATACAGACCATGAGCAAAAGCCTCACCATCTTTCCAGCATAAGAGCTAAGTAAATCAAATACTCTGGTTCATTCAGCCTTTGCTGCATTGATGTAGTGCAGTGGTTAAGAGCTTGGGCTTAAATCCTGGCTGTGCAGCTTTCTACCTGTGAAAGTTGCTTAACCCTTCTGTGCCTTATTTTATTCATCTGTAAAATGGGGATAAAAGTGCCTATTTCATAAGGATATTATAATGACTAAAATAGATAATACATAGAAAGTTCTTAGAACAGCTTCTGGCATTCAATAAATGTCAGGTATTTATTTCCTTGAATTTTCAGAGCAGCAGGCAGAAATACTGTCAACACATCATGAGCCTTTGTGATGGCAGTTAAACAGCTGGAATCTTGTAGGTCAGGTGCTAGCTGGCATGCCTCGGGAACCTGGATCAGAAAGATAAGCAGTGAGGAAGAGGCGCTGCTGCAGGACCTCTCTATCCTACTAGGAACAGCCCTCTGTCTAGCCCCCATGGGTCCCTCCCAGGAAAGAGAAGGGACTAGAAGTGGGAGAGGCCACACAAACTGAACAGGGAAGTAGGGGAGTAGGTCTTGGTTCTGCCTCATGACCCATCTCTGCGAGCCAGTCTTCAGGAATCACATCTCCAGCTTGCACACGCTCAGGAATTACTCCTGGTTTTAAAGGGCAACTCCTCTACTTAATGACTACACCCTTGGGCAGTCACTTGACCACTTATCTGTAAAGGGATACCAGTATCTCACACAGTTGTTCAGGAGTAGCTCCCATAATGTAAAGCACCTGGCTCGGAGCCTGGCATAGAGAGAGGGGCTCAGTGACAGATGGTGCCTCTTGTTACACTTTTCCTAGGTCTTCTCCCGGGGCTAGCATTTCTCTGCTTCTCATTGGAGTAAGATCCCTAGAGTGGGATATTGGAGAATGTCTGTCTGGTTCTAGTACACACCTTGAGTCCTCAAGCCTAGGCTGAAGGCATCCTCAGCTCCAGGAACATGGACATTATATTAGGGGTGGGGCCAAAGTCTTGGAAAATGAGCACTCATTCAATTACCATTTCCTTCCAACACACCCGAGCACCACAACACCGTAGCCCGCAGCCGTGGCTCACTGGACTCATCGGGGAGGAACGCGGTGGTGGTGCAGCCTCTCTCCAGGCATACTGCGTGAAAAAGCCCCTCCTTGAGAATGATTGCTTTACAGTCTCCACCATGACCAACCAGGATTTGCTGTAGGAATGCAGGAAAGTCCTATTAATAAAATGCAATCACATTAGTGGGTCAAATAAGAAAATACAAATGGTCATCTTTATGGATGCTGGAAGAGTGACGAAATGCAGTATCCTTTTCTGATCAAAATTATTTTTAAAAAAGAATTCAAAAAGATAATTCATTAGCATAATGAAATATACCTATCTTAATAGGGACTTCCCTAAAACTCAGAACCAAGACAAGCAAGAATGATATCACCAATATTACCTAATACTGTACAAGAAATTTTAATGGCCAATGTGATTCAATAAACCAAAAATCAAAATTTTCAAAGTTTTTTTTCAAAAAGAGGTTCCAAATTATCATTATTTGCAGAAAACCAGTCTGAGTGATTGGATTCACAAATCCTTGTGTGCAGAAAACCAAGAAAGTAATAAAACCAAAATTCAGAAAGTAATTAAACCAATATTCAGAAAGTAAAAAAACCAATAAAAGTTCTGTAAGGCAGCTGGTTACAAAGTAAACATGCCAAATCAGTAGCTCTTCTATATATCAGCAATAACCAATTTGATTTTTAATAAAAATTTTAATAATAAAAATACCTGAGAATAAATTTAACCAAGCTTATGCAAGGATTCTGAGGAAAAAAAATAAAAACTTTTACCAGTGGTCATAAAAGAAGATTTTTTTAAATGAGAAGATATATCATTACTAGACTGAAGGACTCAATCTATTAAAAGGCTACTTTCCTCCAAATCTATACATTTCATAAAATTCCCATCAAAATTAGAATTTTTTAAAGGACAAAATGATGTTTTTTTTCGAGACAGAATCTCACTCTGTCACCCAGGCTGGAGTGCAGTCATATTATCTTGGCTCACTGCAACTTCTGCTCATGGGTTCAAGCAATTCTTGTGCCTCAGCCTCCCAAGTAGCTGGGATTACAGGTGTGTGCCACCACACCTGGCTAATTTAAGGACAAAATGATTCTAAAGGTCATCTGGAAAAGTGAATAAAAAAATTCAAGCCAGGAATCAGGCTTACAGCTACCACACTGTGGAGGGAAAGAGAAATTTCTCCCCCAATTAGTGTGCATTTTTCAACCTTTAAAAATCCATGCTTTTGTTTTTTAAATAAAAATTCTTCTCCCATTCTCATTCCAGTCATACTCCGTCCTGTCTTTCCCACTGAATGTTACTATGAATCCTGGACCACAGGCATGGAGCAGCTAGCTCTGAAAACAAGGTGGTAGCAGGAAGATCAGGGAAGGAAAAGAGAACTCTAAACACCACCAAAGTGGCAGTAAGTCTGCCATTTTATTCCCCCTCTGGGGTCTCCTGGCCTGGACTCAAAGATGAACCAAAACCTGGAATTGCATACCAGATGCAGATAGAAAGAGCTCTGAGCCTCTGTTTCTGACCTTAGGAGAGAGGTAAGCACCCCTATAGGTCAGCAAAAGCGGGGAAATCCTGTGTTTGCTGTCTCTTTTCTCCCCACACCAGCCCCTAGGCAATCTCACTGCAGCAGTGGCAGCCAGGCAGGTGCCTAGAACTTCAAGGGAAGGAAACTCATCTCTCTGCCAGAGGAAGAATGGTCCCAACAGCAAGGGAGTCATGCCCATGGCTTTTTTCTCTTTACACAACCTTCCATGCTTGGCCGTGGAGGCAGACAGTCACAGAAACTGTAGGGCAGAGCAGTACAGTTAAAACCCTGACTTTCTAGCCAGAGGACCGGAAAGAGGGACCCCTGAGACTGTAAAGTGTTGAGATTTCAGAGAGGAGGGAACGCAAGAAGGCAATACCCTAAAGTTGTATGTGAACTCCTGGGCTCATGCCCAGGCATTCCATGTGTGGATCTGAACAAAGGCTTTGAGAACTGAACGGTGGGACAAGGCACTGTCCAGTCTCGTACCCGCCACTGGGTGGCGCACACACGGGGCGGATCTGAACAGCGCGGCAAAGGCTCTGAAGCTTAATTGATATTGAACCACAACCCGCAGGAGGCAGGTGGGAACTTGTGACTGAACCTAACCAGGACGATTGCCTGCCAAAGCAAAAACACAGGATTCCAACATGGCCCAGATTCTCATAACACAAAATTAGAATGTTCAGGATACCGTCCATAACTACTTGACCTGTAGAGAACAGAGAGAACCTTAATTTCCTGAAGACACTCCTGGGCTCAAGGGAATCTTCCCACCTCAGCCTCCCGAGTAGCTGGGATTACAGGTGCGTGCCACCACACCCGGCTAATTTTGTATTTTTAGTAGCGACCGGGTTTCTCCATGTTGGTCAGGCTGGTTTCTACATTTCACGTGAAGCACTAAATATATAACCTAAATAGACTATGAAAACCTAGGTGTTTTGTAATCCCTAAAGCAACTACATTTTCAACTTACACAAAAAGATATGGTTAAAAAAATCAGTGAATTAAAATGGAATTCCAAAAAATTCAAATAATCCAAAGGAAGGCAGGAAAAGTCAAAACAGGAATGAAAAACACAGGGAAAAATAGAGAACAAATAGAAAACACAATAAAATATTAAATGTAAATCCAAACATACCAACGATTATATTAAATTTAAAAAGTTGAAATATGCTAATAAAAAGATAGATTGTTGAATGTAAAAAACTAACAAACAAAAAACCCAACACTCAACTATATGTGTCTAAGAAACTCATTTTAAGTAAATAGTATAGATTAAAAATGAAAGGACAAAAAAGAAAGATATATCATACAAATACTAATCAAAAGAAATCTGGAGTAATTACATACCATCAGACAAAACAGACTTCAGAGCAAGGAAATTTACCAAGGATACAGAGGGACATTACATAATGATAACAAGGTCAATTTTCAAAGAAAACATTAACAATCCTAAGCATCTATGTACCTAACAACAGAGCTTCAAAATCCATGAGGCAAAACCTGACAGAACTGAAAAGAGAAATGGCAAATCAGCAATTACAGTTGGACACCCCAACCTGCCTTTCTCAGTAATCCCTAGAACAAATAGATCACATTCTGGATCATAAAACAACAATTTTTTTTCTTTTTTAGACAAGGTCTTGCTCTGCTGCTCAGGCTGGAGTACAGTAGAGCAATCTCAGCTCACTGCAGCCCAACTTCACGGGCTCAAACGATCCTCCCACTTCAGCCTCCCGAGTAGCTGGGACCACACGCTTGTGCCACCACACCTGAGTAATTTTTGTATTTTTGGTAGAGATGGGGTTTCGCCATGTTCCCCAGGCTGGTCTCGAACTCCTGACCTTAAATGATCCATCCGCCTTGGCCTCCCAAAAGTGCTGGGATTACAGGCATGAGCCACCACTCCAAGCCCATAAAACAAACCTTAACAAATTTAAAAGAACAGAAATAATACAAAGCAAGGTCTCTGAGCATAATGGAATTAAACCAGAGATCGATAACTGACAAAAATCTCTAAATAGTTGGAAATTAAATAATATACTTCTAAGTAATCCATGGGTCAAAGGAGGTAGTCTCAAAGGAAATGAGGATATTAGAAAATACTTAAAACTGAACAAAAACAAAAATACAATAAATCAAAATGTGTAGATGCAGCTAAAGAAGAGCTCAGATGGAAATTTATAGCATTTGATGCTTATTTTAGAAAAGAAGGAAGGCTCGAGTCAACAATCTAAACCTCAGCTTTAATAAACTAAAGAAAAAAAAGGGCAAAATAAACCTAAAACAAGCAGAAGGAAGGAAGTTTTGGTAAGTTAAAGAAGCCACTCTCAAAAGGTTACATATTGTATGAACACATGACATTATGGAAAAGGCAAAGCTACAGGGACAAAAAACATCGGTTGGTGGCCAGGGATTGGGGTGAGGCAAGGATGCCACGACAGGGAGCATGAAGCAGATTTGTGGGAGTGATCAAACTGTTCGGAACCTTGATTGGGGTGGGGCAACAAAACTCATAGGGCAGTATACCCCCAAATAGCCTTTTTATTAAAATGATAATCTCTCACTGTTTGGAATCCTGATTGGGGTGGGGTTACAAAACTCATGGAGCGGTATACTCACAAACAGTCTTTTTATTAAAATAATAATCTCTCTCTCACTCTCTCTCTCTCTCTCTCGATCTCTCACACATACACACATGCACGCACACAATGTTTCTCACCATGCAGGCTGTGTCTGTTCACCACTGCCAACAGTATGCCAGGTATAATAAGACTAAATATGTTTTTTTGTTGAATTAAAGCCATTCATTCAAAATGAATCACTGGTACCCAAAAGATGGGGTCTAACTTATGTTTAATTATAATGGGAATAAGTAGCACTTATTGACTGCTTTTTAATTTGCCAAGTACTGCCAAAGATTGAGATGCATTATTCAAATGCATTTATAACTCTTAGATCATTCTGTTCTTTATAATGGCATATTTCGTAGCCATTTCTATTTCTTGAAATTTCAAGTCTTTTGGTTTTTTTGATTCTTTTGGCAAACTTTCTTAAAAGTACAAGAGCCCAAGTTGCACAGGTAAATAATAGCAATGTAGCGGAATGACCACCAGATGGAGACAGAGAACACAAAGTTATTCAGACGCAAGGTTTTTGCCAGAGTTGTTTCCCAGGCTCAGGAGGCACAACACCTGGATATGAGGTTGCTCCCATTAGGACGCTGGTTCTCAAACCTGGCTGCTCATTAAAATCACCTGGGGACATTTACACTACTGATGAACAGCCCCCTTCACCCCACCCCTGAGTTTTGTGGTCTGGAGTACGGTCTTGCCACTGAGAGTTTTAAAAGCTGCACAAGTGATTCTAGTTGCAGACAAGTTTGAGAACCACTACTTTCAAACATGCAACAGTGGAGGGTCTCGAGCTGGTGTGTTTCAGAATCATCTGGGGAATTCGTGAAAAACAGAGACTCAGGCTGTTGTAGCCTTCATTCTTTTGAGAAGCAGTGTATTCTGAAATGATGACATGCTAAACTTAACAATAGTTAAAAAAAATAATCAGTACTGAATCTGATACAAGGCCAGGTGTGGTGGCTCACACCTGTAATCCCAGCACTTCGGGAGGCCAAGGTGGGAGGATCGCTTGAAGCCAGGAGTTCAAGACCAGCCTGGTCAACATAGCAAGATCCCATCTCCACAAAAGAAAAATTAAAAAATTAGCTGGGCATGGTGGCACATGCCTGTAGTCCCAGCTACTCGGAAGGCTGAGACGGGAGGATGGCTTGAGTCCAGGAGGTCAAGGCTGCAGTGAGCTGAGATTATGCCACTGCACCGAGCGTGGGTGACAGAGTGAGACCCTGTCTCAATAAACAGATAAATCAGATACAGTCTCATACTAGATTCTTTTCCAAACTGGGACAGCGGGTTTCCTCTCCAGAGAAGTATAGGCCACACATGCTGGCAGGTGCTGGAAGAGTTTCTAAAGCCGTGTTTGGTTGTTCCATTTTGGGATGTTAAGAAAAAGGCCACTCAGCCCGGTGGATTCCCAGCCTTCATGTAGTCTACTCCCCAAATTTGTTTTCACTCTCTTTTATCAAAGTGTTTAAATTATTTTATTTATTTTAATTTTTAATCTGATTTTTTTTTTTGTAGAGATGGGGGACTCGCTATGTTGCCCAGGCTTGTCTCAAACTCCTGGTCTCAAGCCATCCTCCTGCTTTAGCCTCCCAAATTGCTGGGATGACAGGTGTGAGGCACTGTGCCCAGACTAAATTATTGTAATATTACAGCTATTATGGATTCGGTTTCTAAATAACATTTGTTGTTTTTCCATATCATAAAAGTAATGAATCTCCATTGTGGAACATTTGGAAAAAACAAAACAAGACACACATGTAAGAAAAAATGACCTATTCTCCTGCCACATGGAGATAATCACAGTTATTTTGATATGTTTCATTATAGATTTTTTCATGATATGTGTACGTATGTATGGGTATACACTCTTAAGTGTGTGCTTACACGTGCTCCAAATGTGTGTGTGTGCACATGTGCACAATCCAATCTACATCGTGGGGAATCTACAAAGTTGTGGTCACAGTGTAGAGCCAGCCCCACAGGCCTCCCCAGAGACAAGGCCCTGGACTGCCCCCAAGTCCTCCCGAAAGGGACATCTGTGGTGGTGGTAGGGCCAGGATGCCATGAGCAACCACCTGGAGGCCCCGAGTACTCAGCGTGAACCAGGTAGTGGAAGGGAAGGGGAAGGGCAGAGTGAGAACCAGGAGGAATGCTTGCTTTTCTTTCCAAGCACAAGGGACCACTTTCTCCACTGCAGCTGACCTGATGCTTATGCCGGGAAGGAGGAGGGGCAGACTCCGTCCTCCAGGTCCCTCAGGAGGGGAGAAAGGGACCAAAGTGGGAGACTTGGGTCTGAGGTCTGAACTTGACCCTGCACCCGCATCGGTTTCTCTGGGTGGGGGTTGGGGAGGGAGCAGGCAGCCGAGGGCCCTCACCCACTGCAGGGTCTTGTGGATCACGAGTGATCCTGTAGTAAGTGAGGGTTTTGTTCACGTGGTTCAGAGTGTTACGGAGAGCTTTTGTTCTAAGCTTATTTGCCTGGAGAAAGGAAAAAATGATCTTATTAGCACCAAAGGGTGTGGTAGACAGAACGATGGCCCCCAGAGATGGCCACGTCCTAATCTCCGAAGCTGTGAATATGTTATTGACGTGGCCATGGGGAACTGAGGCTGCAGATGGGGTTAAGGTTGTTAATTAGCTGACTAATTAGGGAGATTATCCTAGACTGTCTGGGTGGCCCAATGTGGTCACAGGGTTCTTAAAAGCAGAAGAAAGGACAGAGAAGAGAAGAGTGAGATGTCACCAAGGAAGAAGGCCAGGGAGATGCAACCAGGCCGGCTGTGAAGGTGGAGGAATGGGCCACCAGCCAAGGAGGGCGGGCGGCCTCTAGAAGCTGGAAAGAGCCAGGAAATGGGTGGAATCCCCAGGCTCCAGAAGAAACGCAGCCCTGCCGACACCTTGACATTAGCCCAGGGAGACCACTGTCAGACTTCTAACCTGCAGAGCGGTGAGATAGTAAGTGTGTTGCTCTAAGCCTCTAAGTTTGTGGTCATTTGCTGCAGCAGCCATAGGAGGCTCATCCAAGGAGGATCCCAGCTCCAGCCCCTGGTGCCCTGGGGTGGGTTCTGCAGGACACCTGGTGTGGAACTGGAGTCTCCTTCCCAGGGCATGCCCTGCCTTTGCGGACTGTCCCCTCTGCCTGGAACCCATCCTGGCCTCAGGCATGCTCGTGCAGTGGCCTCTCTGAGCGGGAGTATTGCCACCACTCCTTCCTCCTGTGCCAGCGACTCTGAGCTCCGTGTCTGACTCAGTCTGATGCCCGCCACCCCGGCCTAGGTTTGGAGGTCAGGCAGCCCGGGGTTTCAATTCCAGCTCTGTGGCAGCGTCAGGTTCCCCACCGTGCAAAGGACACAGGAATCCCTCTCTCGCACTGCTTTCAGGAGCTGGTCTACAAGGAGACTGCTCTTTATAAAACACCGGGGAGAGTCCCGGGGACTTCCTACAACAGGCCCTGCCGGCTCCAGTCCCACGAGTTAGGGGTCACTGAGCTCCCGCATTGGGCACACTTCCCTGGTTACACTCACTCTTGGCTCTCACATCCCTGAGCTCCACCTGCAGCATAAGGACACCCAGGCCTGGTGCGGGGAGCCATTTCTTCCCCAGGAGTAGGTGGTGGGGCACTGCCGTGTCTCCTACAGCCCTGCCTTCCCCAGAGAAGGCGCAATGTTCCCTTCTGGGGTGGTCCTCCTGGACTGCGGTGGGCCCCAGGCATACACATTTAGGTCCCCAAGTCAACTCAGACTCTGCCCTGTGAAACTAAAAATAAAGCAACACTGAAGTGTAGGATGCACAGAAGGAAGGAAGTCTAAGAAGTTCTGATTTTTCATGGCTCAAGGTCACCTTGATGCTTTTATTTAATAGCATTTTTTTCTCTCCTCTCCTAGATGCACTGTTGTGCTGGTGCCTTAAGTGCATTTGTGGTTGGCCTCTTGGCCCATCTCTCATGGGAATGAGGATTCTGTGGTCAAATACATTGGGCAGATGCTGCCTACTTCATCCCCCTTACTGAGAGTCGAGGAGCAGCCCATCAGCACATTAAAGGCTCTGGTAAGTCCTACAGTAAAGAAACTGGTTTAACAATGTTTTCCAGTGTGATCTGACCACAGTCTTTGTTTGCACATCATAGTAACCTCCAGCTGAGAATGCTTCTTATAAAATGCCAGCCTGGAAATTCTCCAGGGGTTTCCCCCGATCAGCAGGTAGGTAACGCTGGAAGGCATCCCGGGTGTGGGACAGACTGGGCGCTCTGCATGGAGGTGAGTGGCTGAGGTCTCCTCAGCTTGCTTGGGCTCTGAGGGGGAGTGGCAGCTGTGGGCTTCCCTGGACTGGTCCAGGCCCCATAGGTGGGCACAGCTGGTGGGCAAGCCTGGGTGAAACTCCCTCACCTTCCTGGCTCCTGGCCGCAGGTGCAGCTTGACACAGGGGTCTGCCAGCCCATTGTGGTCCATGGGCTTCAGGTCCCGGGTAGAGAACAGCAAAGGGTGTGAATGGGAAATCGGGGGATGGAGCTGCCAGGGCCTGCAGGTGCCTGGGCCAGCAGATGCCCTTGTCCCCTGGGTCTCCTGGCTGGGTGCATTCATGGCCCCTGTCACAGAAGCCCCTGGCCCCACACCTCCAGACACAGGGAGTGAGGGTGGCATCGCGGTGCAATCTCCCCTCCCACAAACATCCTGGCCCAGGGCAGCTGTTAGGGGGCCTCTGTCAGGACAGACTTTCTCTCCTCGCCATCCTGAAAGCCAGGTGGCTCACCTTCCTCTGAGCCTCCCTCCCCACCCTGCTTTGGTCAGGCCCTTCCCTCGTCCTGACTCCTCTCCCCCATCTTCCCAGCACCGCCTCCTGAGAGGCCACGTCCCTCACTGACCCTAAATCCACATAACCCCGGGTCACCGTCGGAGAGGCCCCATTTCTGGCCATATTTGTCACAACTCCCAGTCAGTCCACAGAGGTCACACAAGCTGATCGGCCACAGAGGGTTCCTCCACAAGACGGCGCCCCTCACTCACTCTGCCTTCCGTTCCCTTAGAAAACCCAGCCAAGCGTGCAGACCCAGGGACACACAGAAGGATGGGCAGATAGGGGCTTCGCTGACCTCAGCAGGCTCTTGTTTCGGAAAACCGCATTTTTTTTTTCTTCTGGGCTGGAGCACAGGGCTGTAGGGAGGCAGCTGTGGCATCTGTGGGGCGCAGCCGGTAACCCCAGAACATTATTCAAAGATGCACCGCAAGGCCTCTACCCAGCCGGGTCAGGGAGGCAGCCTGGCTGCTCACACCAGGCTCATCTCCAAGGGGAGGCTGAGTCTCCCTCCCAGGCCGACCCCACCTTGGTTTGGCAGAGCTCCGGGGGATCGGGGGGCTCCCAACCACCTACTTCTCTGCCACTGGAAGAGGGCAGAAGTTTGGGGGCCTGGCTGGCATGGTTTCTGGGCTCAGCCCCTGTATTCACTCGCTAGGAAGTGGATGAGTACTTTTCACCCGAAGCCTCAGCTTTATCATCATCTGCGCCTCAGCCGGGCGCAGTGGCTCACACCTGTAATCCCAGCCCATGAGCCCAGGAGTTCAAGACCAGCCTGGGCAACATAGTGAGACACTGTCTCTACAAAAACTTTAAAAATTAGCTGGGTGTGGTGGCACATGCCTGTGGTCCCAGCTATTAGGGAGGCTAAGGGAGGAGGACTGCTTGAACCCAGGAGGCAGAGGCTGCAGTGAGCCATGATCATGCCACTGCACTCCAGTCTGGGCAACAGACTGAAACCGTTTCTCAAAATTAAAAAAACAAAACAAAACAAAACAAAAAAAACGGGCAAGGATGTAAGAGTCCCATCTTCCCAGGGCTGGAGTGAGAGGGAGGGAGACGACGTGGACACAGGGCCTGGCAGGCAGAGCGTTTCCTCCCCTTCCCTGCACGCCAGGCCCCTGTGAGATGCCAGAGAAGTGGCTGAGGTCAGGTGGGCATACGTGAGCTGTGCCCTGCACTGTGGGGCTGCCTCTGGGACAGGGCCTGGCTCAGTAGCCCCATGTGCACCCACAGTGACATGGCTGCTCTTCCAAACCCAACTCCCTCACCCTGGCCTCTTGCCTTTCCCACCACGTGCCTGGAGTGCAGAGTTCTGGGAATCTGGTGGCCCACCCTGTGCAGGGGGTCCCTGACCACTGTGTCTTATTCTTACAATTCGTATACATTTGTTTGTTGTAGCTCAAAATGTTTTCACTGGGTCCTGTCTCTTGACACATTTCACTTGCATATCTTTGGGCCACCAGAAGTTTTGGCATGTCTGTCCAGTGGCTCTGGTTGTCCCACCTCTGTACCCCAAGACACCCGTGGGGGCTAGGCTGGGGGCACTGCCACACTGGGACGGAGTGATGCCTGCTCTGTCCTTCTGACCCCTGGACTGTGATGGGCCCTCTGCTGCCGCCTCTCCTCTCCTTCACCCGGCAGGCCCCTGAGCACCCTGAACAGCCACACATTTGGCCAGAAGCAAAAAGACCAGTGGGCACTGCCTGAGGCCGTGTCACCGTGCTGCCAACAGCTTCTGTGCCCAAACAGGTGGCTTCCCTGGCCCTGACCCCGGGTTCCCACCAGTGCCTCCACCCAGCCCTCTGTGGGGCTGCCCTCCCATGGAGTCTGACCTCTGTCCACAGAAGGGGGAGGGCAGGAGGCTGATTCCAGGTCAGGGAGCTGTTAGGGGGGCTCTTGGATAGACCCTCCCCAGCTAGTGAGTTGGCAAGAGACAGAAACTGACCCCATGGTTTAGGGGCGGCTCCCACGGGAGGGACAGGAGGAGTAAGCCATGAGAGGAGGCCCTGGCTGGTGCTGGCACTGAGGGGATAGATTGGGGGGCATCTGGCTTTGAGAGGAGAGCCTCTCCCCCAAACCCCAGCCCTGCCCCTCCCTGGGCCTCTCAGATGCTGTTGCTGGTGAAGTGTTCAGGAGAGGAGATTCTGATTCTCAAGTATCATTCAGCCTGAAAAAGGAAGTTTTGACACGGGCTGCAGTATGGATGAAGCCTGAAGACATTCTGCCGACTGAAGGGAGGTAGACACAAAAGCACAGATACTGGGTGATTGCACTTATATGAGGTTCCTAGAACAGTCACATCCATGGAGAAGGAAGCAGAAAGGCGGTTGCCAGGGGCCGGGGGAGGACGAATGGGGAGCTGCTGTTTAATGGGTCCAGTTTCAATTTTGCAGGATGAAGAGGCTTCTGGAGATGGGTTGCACACAGTGTGAAGGTAGAAGGTACTGAGCATGACTGAACTGTACCCTAAAAATGGGTGGGTGGGTGGGTGGGTGGGGAGTGAAGGAGCAAAAAGAAATGGTTGCAATGGGAAATTTATACTTGTATATTTTAGCACAATAAAAAAACCCAAGAGTCTCCGAGGACTGGCAGTGCTCATTGAATGCTCACAACAGCCACGTAGAGCAGGGACAATCAACCCTATTTACAGATGGGCAAACCGAGACGGACCCTTAGAAGAGCGGACAGGCAAGGGTGCACCCCGGGGCGTCCAGCCTCCCCCAGGCCCTCCAGAGGCCTGTGCCAGTCCTGCTTCTGCTTGCCCACCCTGGGCCCCTCCCCACACCCCAGCCCCAGCTCCCCACACCCCAGGACCCCGGCTCTTCCGGGAAATGCACCACATCCCCGTCCCTGCAAAGCTGGATTCACACAGAGAAAGAACTGGGGACTGGGGGAGCCACCATGGCTCGGGGCCTCCCATCCGCACTTCCAATGCCTGAGGGATACACCCCTAAGTGGACCCCCAAGCAGATCCCCCATCCTGGAGAGATGCGGGGGTTTTCGCTCCGGGGGGGGCCACTGGTCGTCCCCACCTTCAGCTTCCGGTGGCACATTTGATCCTAGGGAAACTCCAGGCTGGCAGCCTGCAGGCCCTGGTGAATGCCTGGGCCCAGCGCAGACACCCCTGCTGCGCGGTGGAGGGGCCCTGGGGAAATCCGAGCGGGACTCTCACCAGGCAAGGTCCACATCCTGGGCAGGGTGGGGTTTGACGCTGGTTTTCTGAGTGACATGGCTGAGGCCACAGCTGGGCTGGGGCTGGTGGGGTTGGGGAGGGGTCTCCCATCCCACCCCCACCCCACACAAACCGATTCCTCGCTGGATTGCGACCTCTTCTGGCCTCGGTTTCCCAGCCAGTCCCGGCCCCGGCCGGACATGCACCCTCGGGGGCGGGAAAAGGTCCCGGAGCGTCCGCCGGTCGGGCCTCGGCCCCGGGACTCTGGCCCTTGCCTGCTCCATGGGGCTCGGGGCTCGGTCCGGGAGGAGGGGGGTCCTTTCTGCCCGGGGCAGCGGGCGCAACCGGTGGGCAAAGGTCCGCGGCCCTGGAGAACGCCGCGGCGGGGTCCACGGACACCAGAGGAGGAACCGCCAAGGTTTATCCAAAGGACAAGCGGCGCGGCGGTCCTCCTAGCTCCTCGGCCCGCGCGCCACCCGGGAGGCCGAACCGGCCCCAGCCCTGGGCCCCCTCCCCAGCCCGCCCCAGCCCCGACCCTCCGCTGCGGGGCCCTCCCGGAGCGGCCGGCCAGCGGGGAGCAACTACGCTGCCGGCTGCAACGCGTGTCTCCCCGGGACGCAGCTCCGCCCTTCCCGGGAACAAAAGCGGCTGCCCGCGCCTGAGCTCCCAAACGGCTGGCGGGCAGGGAGCGGGCGCCGCGCGCCGGCTCCCCGGAGCCCAGCCCCGCAAATGGGACACCCACAGCGGGTGCCCCCAAACTTCCCACCTCTCCCGTCCGGTCGGGGGAGGGGTCGGGGCCGGTGGGCAGGGCGCGGAGAGCGCACGAAGCGCTTAGGGGGTCTGCGGCCCCGCGGCGGGGGGTTATGCCAAGGGAGAACGCGACGACGCGAGGGGGAGGGACGGAGGGCACCCCGAAGCCGGGGACCGCCAAGCCGGAGCCAGTGGAGTGGGGCGAAGTCGGCGAGTTGGAAACTTCCTGCAATCGTCCACTCCTAGCCTTTGGCGTTCGGCTGGTCCTCTGGCGGCTTGGCGGGCGGCTGCGCAGGGCTGGGACCTGTGCTGGATCGTTAGGCTTCCGAAGAGATGGTCGCCATCCTTGTCGTGGTCGCGGGCGCCGTCAGAGGGGCGGCGGCGGCCGGCGCTGGCAGTGGCTGGGCGCGCGGGGGCGTCATGGGGCAGGTCCCGCGGGAAGTGGGGGAAGTAGCCAGAGATCTGCTGGATGGGGCGGATGGGGCCGGGGCACACGTCGATGGCCACATGCTCCTGGATGCAAACGGTCGCCTTTTCCCCGCGCCGCCGGGGGTCATACAGGCAGCGCCTCGCCGCCCCCGCACGGCCTGGCCCGGAGCGACCCCCGCCGGGGGCGGCTCAGCAGGCCCGGCATGGCGCGGCGGGGCCTCCGCGAAGGCCAGCGCGAGTGAGTGCCAGGGGCGGGCGGGCAGGGGGCCGGCCCAGCCCGTGTCACCCGGCAGCAACCACGCAGCGTGAGTGTGCGGGCTGCCCAGGCAGCGCGGAGCGGAGAGAGCTGCGTGGGGCCACACTCACTCGCACTCACACCGGCGGACACGCCGGCCTGGGACCCCGTGCGCGCACTCCCTCGGGACAAGCGGGGAGCCAGCAGGACAGGGACCCACGGATCGCACACTCACTCACACGTTCCTGCAGGTGCCAGCACATGCGGGGCTCCGTTCGCTCTCACGGGACACACGAAGGTGTGCAAGGACAATGCAAGTGCACGCACACGTGTGCAGACACGTAGTGGAAGCATCCACTCGCTCATACCTGTAAGACACACACACACACAAACATATGCACACATACAGAGTTGGTTGAGGATGCTGTAACACAGTACACCCCCTAATGCACACACACACAGACACACGCACACACAGGTGATCAAGGGCACCCAGGGGAGAATCTTCCATACCCCCAAGGACCCCTAACAAGATGCACAAACATGCACCCATAGAAGTAATCAGGGGACCCTGGGCACAACTCCCTCTCTCCTTCCCCATCTACCAGGACATGGAGTCACACTCCTAGGCATGTGTGGACAGGCTGCCTACACACGGGCAGGACATGTATATGCTCAACTGTACAAGGACACTGCGGGCACACTCTGCGCACACATATTCTCAGGTCACATAAACACAGCACTCTGTAACCTGGAGTCAGTCCCTCACTTGGTCAGTGAGTGGGCTGAAGCACCCACTGGGACAGGGTGGCTGAGAACCAGGACAGGGCCTGGTCAGGAGGGGTTGAGGGCAGGGCCTGGGAAGTGAGTGATGCAATGAGGTTGGGCAGTACCACCCCCCACCCAACCACCCACTGCAGGCCTCCCACATCATCGGGTCACTAAACAAATCCCAGAGGGCCCAGCCCCAGCTGTTGCCTGGCTTTCCAGAAACAGAACTCGGTTGGGAATCGCTGCTGCTTGGACAGGTCTGTCCCCAGAAAGCCCTGGGCATGGATGGAGTCCTGTCTACCCTCTGGTTTCCACTGACACATTTACCTACCAACATTCTGTCCAAGTCTCCTCTTCTGAGCCCTCACCAGAATCACCCTTAATGGAGAGTCACAGGGAGAAGACGTCCACCCGCGCATGAGAAGACAGGCCTGGAACAGAGCCTTCCTGCACAGCCTCAGAAGGGACCCACCTTGCTGACACCTTGATCTTGGACTCATGGCCTCCAGTACTGTGAGACAGTAACGTTCTGTTGTTGAAGGTGCCCAGTCTGTGGTACTGTAAAACAGCCCTAGGAAACTAACACAGCCTGTTAGCCCACAGATGGTGGAGAGATGGAATGCTCCATGGAGCTCCAGGCTTACTGTCTGCAGCCCCCAAAGTGTGCTCCGGGACCCTTGGGTGGGTGTAGGTATGCAAGGTAATTTGGGGTGGTTCAAGGTGAAGAATTTCAATTGACATAATAATGTATTTATCTTGCTGGGTAAATGAGGGATCCCCAGCTGTTAGGAACCAGGCTACACAGCAGGAGGTGAGCAGCCAGCCAGTGAGCAAAGCTTCATCTGTAGAAACAGCCACTTCCCATCCCTTGCATTACCACGTGAGCTGTGCCTCCTCTCAGATGAGCGGTGCCATTATCTCATAGGAGCGTGAACCCTACTGTGAACTGCGCATGCCAGGGATCTAGATTGCGTGCTCCTTATGAGAACCTAATGCCTGATGATCTGTGACTGTCTCCCATCACCCCCAGATGGAACCATGCAGTTGCAGGAAAACTAGCTCAGGGCTCCCACTGATTCCACATTATGGTGAGTTGTGTAATTATTTCATTATATATTACAGTGAAATAATAGAAATGAAGCACACAATAAATGTAATGGGCTTGAATCATCTCCACATCATCCCTTCCCCTTCTCCCGGGTCCGTGGAAGAATTGTCTTCAAGAAAACTGGTCTCAGGTAGCAAAAAGGTTGGGAACCGCTGGTGTAAATGCTTCAAGGAATAGTTAAGCAGCTTAAGGTTTACATGCTACAAAAAGTACAGGTTCAAACGCTAATAAAAATGGGTGCAAATGAAAACACTCTCTTGCTGTGGTCCAAGGAGTTTTAAGCATTCTATCAGAAAGACTTGCAGCTTGGAGCTGCAGCTGCCCTCCCACATCCTGTCCACTGTAACCCCTGCAACACACAAACACACATATGCACACACGCGTGCACACACACACACACACACACACACACACGCTGTGCTTCATGCCCTCACTTGGGTGGCCTGGGAGGGAATGTGTTTGTTTGTTTGTTTGTGTGTTTGTTTGTTTGTTTTTTGAGATGGAGTTTCACTCTTGTTGCCCAGGCTGGAGTACAATGGCGAAATCTCGGCTCTCTGCAGCTTCCGCCTTCTGGGTTCAAGCAATTCTCCTGCCTTCGCCTCCCAAGTAGCTGGGATTACAGGCATGTGCCACCATGCCTGGGTAATTTTGTATTTTTAATAGAGATGGGGTTTCTCCATGTTGGTCGGGCTGGTCTCGAACTCCCGATCTCAGGTGATCCGCCTGCCTCAGCCTTCTAAAGTGGCGGGATTACACGCATGAGTCACCGCGCCCAGCCGGGAATGCATGCTTTTAGGAGAAACGAAGACAACTCAGGCCCCTCATTCTCCTGGTGTTTGCACAAGTGCCTTCTCCACAGACCATGCTTCAGTCTCTTTCTTAGTTCTCCTTCTTACTGAAAGAGAGAAGCAGAGTCCCATCATGTACCCAGCTGCTTGGGGCCCAAGCCAAGTGTGCAAGCTTCCTGGGGAGCCTAGTGAGTGGAAGGCACTGCAGACTCTCCCCAAAGAAGCATCAGTTTTTGATGGATCCTTGAGCCCAGGAAGGCAATAGACAAGACATCATGGTTCACCAGAAGAGACAACAAAAATGCGGTGAGGAAGGGCAGTAGTCAAAGGTTTTATGCTCCATGAGAAGGGGTTCTCAGGGCTCTAAGCAGCAGGCAGACTTTATTGCATGTGTGGTTAGGTGATGGCGACCTACAGTTTTCACTGGGAACTGGGATCAAGAGTAACTCGACCTCCTACTCCTGCACGTCTCTCTCTGTCTCTTTGTGTTTTGTATCTCTCTCCCCATCTCACCCTCCTTATCCTCTCAGCCTCCTCTGTCTCTCTCCAAATCTCTCTTCCTCTCTCACTTTCCCTTCTCCTCATCTCTCTTTCTCTCTCCTTCTTTTCCAGTTCTCTCTCCCTCCTCATCTCGCTGCATGCCACTGTTCACGCTCCTGGGGCTCCACGTAGACAGGTGGACATGGGACTCCTAGGCTAATTTTCACGGCACAAGCACAGGGCTGCAGGACCTTGGTCCCCCACCTCCCAGCACCCTCAAAATGAGAGGTGTGGGGTCTGCCCGTGCTCTCCTGGGTGGGCGTCCCACGCTCCAGGAAGCAGAAACTGCAGGACAAAGCTGGCGCAAGTGACATGCCCGCGTGGCTGCCGGCTTCCATCTTGGGATCTGCTGAGGCCAAAGCAGAAGACACCTGCCCCGGACCGACCCTGCACCAGGGTAGGGGTAGGGGTGGGTTTGGGGGTGGGAAGGGCGATGGGAGCAGACACTGCAAAGCAGTCCCTGGCTGGCTTCCTGCCCCGCACCCTGCCATGCGAGGCCTCTCCTCCCGCCCCCAGCCCTGCCCCTCACCACCTCCACCCCTAGGCTGTCCAGATCCAGGCTCCAGAAGTCTCCTAGGATCCAAGAACTAAGGGCAACCACTGGGCTCCGCAGCCCCTAGTCCATGAGTCAGCCACCCCTCTGCATGCTGACAAACCTTGGCTGTCACTTATCCTCCACCCCAAACCAGCCCCAGCCCCATCCTATTGCAGGCCTGTGTGGCTGCTGGAGAGGCTGGGCTCCCTTCCTCACCCTGAGGCTGCCTGATATGCTTTCTGGATCCTGGAGAAAACTGACCCACTATTCTCATACTGGTGCAACTTCTTCCAAGACCTCAAAACTGGACCACATGAACTTGTCTTCCTTCTTGTTTCTCCTTGCTAGGGCTGTCATTGGGACAGTCCGAGATGGGGGGTCGGGGGAGACAATGGATGAATGGATGGATGAATGGACGTCCCCCCACCAGCATTACCACCTCCTCCTAAACATAGTCCTGAGAGCTCTATTTCCTGGTAAACTTCCCCCTTCCCACCCTGGTCCAGAGAAGCCCAAAGGCCAGTGCCCTCCACCCACGCTTCCTGGGGTACACTCTACTCTCTTCTTGCCCAGATGTCTTAACCTGGCTCTACCAAGCTAGAACAGATAGCAGGGATGAGCCCCCAGCCTCTACCAGGAAGATTTGCCAAAATGTTCTCAGTTTAGAAGCAGGGGCAGTGACGGGGCCTAGGGATGACCCCAGGGTTGTCACTCAAGCAACAAGAAGGGCAAGGAGCCCTGTTTCCTGCCCTTATCCTGGGAGAACTTGGCCAGGGCTCCACAATGCCCTGCAGGGGCAGGAGGAGAACAAATACACCCTTCTCTGGAGGAAGTCACCACCATCCCCAGGAAGCAGGAGATGGGAGCACACTGGCAGAGCCCTCGCGTGCTATAGGGCAAGGCCGGCAGGTCTGTACTCAGCCTCAGCCCCAGGGGAGCTGCAACATAGACTGAGACCCTCACATGTTTGGCTCTGTGTCCCCACCCAAAACTCATCTGGGATTGTAATCCTCCTGTGTCAAGGGAGGAATCTGGTGGGAGGAGATTGGATTTGGGGACAGTTTCCCCCGTGCTGCTCCCCGGATAGTGAGGTAGTTCTCAGGAGAGCTGATAGTTTCAAAGTGTGGCACTTACTGGTTCTCCACTCACTCCCTCCTGCCGTCTTGTGAAGAAGGTGCCTGCTTCCCCTTCCCCTTCTGCCATGATTGTAAGTTTCCGGAACTGCAAGTCAATTAAGCCTGTTTCCTTTATAAATTACCCAATCTCAGGTATTTCTTTACATCAGTGTGAAAACAAATGAATACAGTCCCCTTCCCTGAGGTGCCTTCCCCTTAGGCAACCAGCTGCCCCCATGCTCCTCTTCTGCCCCCTGGTATTTCCTTTCCCCTCATGAGGCCCAAGTGATCCACATGGCCAGCCCCAGCCCCATCCTACTGCAGGCCTGTGTGGCTGCTGGAGAGGCCAGGCTCCTTTCCGCACCCCGAGGCTGCCCGATATGCTTTCTGGATCCTGTAGAAAACTGACCCACTATTCTCATACCGGTGCAACTTCTTCCAATACCTCAAAACTGGACAACGTGAACTTATCTTGTTGCTTGTCTCTTCTTGCTAGGGCTGTCATTGGGACAGTCCGAGATGGGGGGGTGGGGGGAGACAATGGATGAATGGATGGATGAATGGACAGTAGTCCAGGGAGATGTCCCTGTGTGTCCTGAACTGGGCCCTTCCTCCAATGAGAAGCCTTCCTGAGTGAGTTTCTACAGTCATCCCTTGGTATCCATGGATTAGTTCTAGGGTCCCCGGGGATGACAAAATCCATGGATCCTCAAGTCTCTGACATAACATGGCCTAGTATTTACATATCAGCTATGCACATCCTCCTGTAGACATTAGACCATCTCTAGATTATTCAGGATGTGTAATACAATGCAGATGCTACATAAATGGTCATGATACTGTATTCTTTAGGGAATAATGACAAGAACAAAGTCTGCACATGTTCAATAGAAATATAACCATCCAATTTATTTTCTGAATATTTTCCATCTGCTGTTGCTGAATCTACAGATGCAGAGCTCCTGGATATGAGAGCCAAGTGTGCTTTGAGAGTAGGGTGGGTGAGGTTGCTAATGAGTACAGGGGGACAGGTGTTGATCAGGAGGACCCTGCACTGGGGCATCTGGACGTCCTGCCTCAGGACTTGAGACTCCAGTTGGATGGCACAGGCAGACTCGGCACAGGCAGACTCAGCCCAGGTCAAAGCCGTCCCCTTGAAGTTTCATTTTATCCCAAGCTCTTTCTGGACCCTGGAATTTGGCATCCCCTAGGCCCTGCGTGGAAGGACAGATGAATCAGGTTTTAGATAACATGTCTAGAAGAGTGAGCCCCTACTGTGTGCCCGGCACTTTCCTCACAGGATCCTCTAGCTAGAATATCCAAGGGTCATGGAGAGAAATACCCAGTTAAAATATCAGAAATGAAAAAGCGATACCATTAGAGACACTAAAAAGACCATTAGGTAATAGTATTAGCTTTTGTATTCTGAGATCCAGCAGCAGCAGCAGTCACTTCCCTCCACCCCTATGTGTATCCCAGGACCACCCTGGGCAGGGAGGGCTGAGGTTAGGGAGCAGCCATGGATGCTCTGATGCTGGCCCTGGGCGCTCTGATGCTGGCCCTGGGCCTCGGGGGTGACAGTGATGAGGAACTGGGTGCACACATGAGTGGGGCAGCCGGGCCTGGCCAGAGAAGCAACACACATGTGCACAGACATGTTTAGCCACATACACGTGTGCACGCACGTGCACAAACACATTGCAGGCAGGCATGTTGACGCCTCAGGCAGCGGAGGACCCTGACTCTGGGCGCTGCTGACCCGGGCAAGGCCCCATTGTGATGCGTGCCATGACCTCAGAATGTCACTGGTGCTTAGCACCTATCCGCTCTCTGGCCTGCCTCAGTGTTCTACGGCAGTTACACACAGGCAGTGGTATCTGTGAGCAGCTCTGTGGACTCAAAGGTTTTCTCCCTGAGAGGCATGACCCAGGCCAGCTGATTCATCAGAGTCAGGTGAGCGTGACCTGCTCTCTTCCCTCCAGGCGGACTTGGAGACAGTGGCTACGGTGCGGGCGGTGTTGGCCTCTGTGGGGCAGCTACCGAGGAGGGTCATCCCTGAGCACTCACCAGGCGCCCGTTCTACACTGCCCGTGTAGACGATTGGCTCTTTCGTCTCCATGGTGGCTTCGTAGAGTGGGTGCTGTTCCCAAATGTAACCATTCGACAGATGAGACGTCTGGGGTCAGAGAGGCAGTAACCGGCCTGGGAATCCGGACATGACCCTGAGTTTTGCTCTCAGCCCTGCCGTGTGCTGTGCTGGAATTCAGGCCTGAACCCTGTGACCTCCCTGCCCTAGATCCCAAATCTGCCCAGGTTTCCGATCCCGATGGGGCAGAGCCTGGTCCTGGCAGAGCCACTGGTACAGATCCACTGGTACAGATCCACTGGTATAGATCCACTGACGGTCCTCAGAACACCTCTGTGCCCTAAGCTGGGTCCCGATGGTCGCTGTGGGCCCCACTGAACACACATGGTCCCTTGTCCGGGGGAGCCTGCTGCCCTTGGGCAGCTGTGGAAAATGAAGGAGCCCTGGAGGGCTGGCTGAGGGGAGACTATCTTCCCTTCTGTTCAAAGGGGTCCGGGCACTAGGGTTCTCCCCAGGCATTTCTTGCTCTGTGTGGTCCTCTTGAGGCCTCGCCCTCCTTTTGCCTCGAGTATTCCCAGGAGGGACGGTCCATCCAGGTGTTCTCCAGGACCAAGGACCCACTGTTCTTCCTCAGTGACCCAGGAAAATGAAGCCTCCTCCTGTTGGGACGGCTCAGAATGGTGGACTCCACAGTCCCTCCGCAAGAGACGTGGTTTCCATGCGTACAATAGATCTTTCTCATCCCCCAAACCGAACACCCTCCTGCTCAACAGGCGTTATTCCTGAAGTGGCTTCACTGTTCAGACTGAAGAGCCACGGTAGCCAAAGTGATGAGCGGAGTAGAACCGAGCAGTCAGGAGAGATCTTGTTCCCTGTAGGAAACTGGGCATCTCTGAGGCCCTGAGCATCCCAGGAGGCCGATTGTACAGAGACCTCTGGTCGCTGACCCCAGTCTGCCTCCACATCCCTGGAATAGCCCATCATGGGCCCTTCACCCTTGGCAGGTGGAAACCATTCAACCTGCTGGGGCCGGTGTGTCCCCATTTCATGGCACTGGGGGACAACAGGATTCTCTGTCTAGGTCCCACTGTACTCAAGTCCTTGGGAAGATGCCCACCCCTGCTTGGGACTTGAGACTCCAGAGACTCGAGCAGCTGTGGGCCACTGGGTCTGGCCCCTTTTTCCCTGGGGGCGGCGGTGGAATGGGGGTTACGCAGCCAGCCAGCATCTGGGAGCCCGGCGAGAGCGGTTCAGGTGTTCTCCGAAGCCGCCGCGTACAGTGTAACCTTTAGACAATTTTGTCTCACAGGATGGACGTGGTAGAGGTCGCGGGTAGTTGGTGGGCACAAGAGCGAGAGGACATCATTATGAAATACGAAAAGGTACAAGTCGGTCTGCTTCTTGGAGGGAGGCCTCTTCCAGTGTGCCCTGGTCAAAGGGTCCTGGGCTCCCTAGGAGCACAGGGCAGGGACGGGTGGCCAATGCCCCCAGGCCCTTGCACCCTTTACCTTGGACCCCTCACCAAGGCTCCCTCTGGGCTACAGGGACACCGAGCTGGGCTGCCAGAGGACAAGGGGCCTAAGTCTTTTGGAAGCTACAACAACAACGTCGATCATTTGGGGATTGTACAGTGAGTCCTCTGCACTCCCCTCACCCCTAAAGCACCTGTCTCAGCTCAGGGATGGGTTTGCTTTTAGAAAGGCCTTTCTGATGCAGGACATGTCTCACCAGGTCGGGTCAACCTCCTTTCCAGGGACAGAACTCCTCCCTGACTCCCCTGCAGGTCCAGCCCGAGGTTGTTGTTAGGCCAGAGGTGTGGGGCCCATCTAGGGAGCTGGTGGGAATGGAGACTGGGCTAGGTCAGGCCCCTGGGCGCTCAGCAGTTCTGTCGGCAAGTGAGCACAAGAGGAGCTGGGCAGCCTGAGGGTCTGGCCCTGTCTACTTGGAGACAACCCCGGTGAGATGCAAGGGTTATGGCCACAGGGTGAGGGGACGCCTGGCCCGGCCTCAGGGCTGTTGTCCAGCAGGTCTCTGAGGGCCCACCTGCCCCTGTTCTCCCCCATGCCCCTAGAGCTATGGCCCTCACTGTCCCGTGAGGGGAAAAGGCATGGTGACAATGGGGGCTGTAGCCCTAGGAGAACGGGGGGAAGATGGGCAGGGCCCCGTTCTGGGCATCTCACGGTGAGGCCGGGGAGGCAGCAGGGCTCGCGGCTAAAGACCTGGGTCTGGTGCTGGGAAGGGATCTGGGGCCGGGTAAGAGGAGCCCAGCCAGGAGCCCATCCCTCAGGGATCACAGGATGGAGAGACAGAGGATCCCAGGGGAGGTAGGGCGGGAGGGAGCTGATGAGCCGTGCCACTTCTGAAACGCAGGGTGTGTGGCTCGGGTGCAGGGAGAGGCAGGTGGATGCTGGGAGGTCAGAACCTGCAAGGGCCTTGGGGCTGTCAAGTGGGATGGGCCCCTGGTGCACCCAGAGTACACGGGGCAGGTCTCAGGGCAGGCTCCCTTGACCCTGGCGGGGTGATGTGGTCACTCCCTGAGGGACTCCTGTCAGGGCCCGGTCACCCACCCTGGGCGGCCCCCATCCCATCTCAGGGCTAACCTTTCTCAGCTCCAGCAGAAAGCACCACCTCGAGTCCAGGACGGGCAGCCCCACTGGGCAGCCTGACCGCCCCCCACGCCAGGGGCCCCAGTAACCCCGGCCAGGCTGTCCCTACACTCCTTCTTCTCCCAGGTCCTGCCCCTCCTGGGAGTCAGCCCCACAGGAAGGCCCTTGTCCTCCCTTCCCTGTGCCTTCTCCTGGGCTGAGCCCTGAGCTGGAAAGGGACAGAGCCAGTCCTTTCTGGGGGCCGGCACCCAGGCTGGGGCCGCTCCAGGCCCCGTGCAGTTCCTCAGCTCTGCCTGGGTTGCCTTACAGTGAGACGGAGCTGCCTCCTCTGACTGCGCGGGAGGTGAAGGTAAGAGCCTGATGCATGGAGGGGCTGGTCCAGGGACGTAGGGACTGGGCGGGTGGTCAGTGAGGCAGAGGAAGCAGCTGGCCTGAGCGGTGGCGGGTGAGGGCAACGCGCTGTCACTGGGAGGGGCAGCAGTCCCTGCTGGACCTGACCCCAGGTTGCTGTTAACTTTGGCAGTTTGATAAAATTCCAAAAGGAGAACCACAGTCCTGGCTTGGGGGTGGCTGCGCGCTTGTGTCAGGATCCCACCTAGAGGCTGGGACCTAAGACTGGTGTGGCTGTGGCCTGAGGATGGTACATCCCGGGGTCCCAAAGCCAGCCCACTGGTGCTCATTTGCTCAAAGGCTCTCAGCCCTTGAGGTCTGCCCTTCCCTGGCTCCTTCCAGCTGGCTCCCACCAGGGCTCCAGAGCCCAAGACCCAGCATCCGCGGGCGGCTCTGGGAAGCCTGGCAGCTCCGCTAACTCCAACATGCCTCATTTGACAGCAAATTCGGCGGGAGATCAGCCGAAAGAGCAAGTGGGTGAAAATGCTGGGAGAATGGGACACCTACAAAAACAGCAGAAAGGTAATGTGTGGAGGGAGGAAGCACTCTCTGCAGAGACAGGGGACAGGCACCCATGGCTGTGGCCTGGCGCCGTCAGCCTCTCAGAGGGTGGGTGGCACGCTGTCCTCGCCCAGAGGACTGCAGGCCTGGTCGCCAGATTTCCTGCCTATTCGTGCAAGCGTCACCTTGCTGGGAGGGAATCTGAATCTAGGGCTGGGACTACCCGGAGCTCAAGGCTAGGGATGCCCTGGTGACCTGAAGGAAGGAAAAGGTTCAGATCAGAGTTTCGACTCTGAGTGTCCATCCACTCTTTCAGTCCTGGGAAGGGAGACCCTGTCCCAGCTTGATCTCACCTCTACTGAGGAATCATGGGGCCAAAACCAACAATTTCCAGAATCCCCGGGCTCTGGTCCTCACTGGGGTCACCCCGTGGCCTGCGACACCAGATTGTTTTCTGCCCACAGCTCATAGATCGAGCGTACCAGGGAATTCCCATGAACATCCGGGGCCCGATGTGGTCAGTCCTCCTGAACATTGAGGAAATCAAGTTGAAAAACCCCGGAAGATACCAGGTACGCTCAGCCAGAGCACAACCAACAGGACAGGCCGTGTCAGGGGCCCAGGTCTCCAGCTGGAGGGAACGTCAAGACCACCCTGGGGAGCTGGGGGTGAAGGTCAGATGAACACCCTGGGCACAGATGGTGACACAGTCACCACAGACAAACTCAGCTCTGGTGACCCTCCCTGGCTTCAGTAACAAGCCAAAATGCAGCTTTCTGCAGAAGGAAACCTTCCTTCTGTCCTTCCTTCCCGAAGTGCTGACTGTGGGCTGACTGCCACTGGGGGCAGGGAGTCTTCCATCTGTTCTGAGACTGCTTCCTCCTCTTGGCCCTGCCCTACAGATCATGAAGGAGAAGGGCAAGAGGTCATCTGAACACATCCAGCAGATGGACCTGGACGTAAGCGGGACATTAAGGAGGCATATATTCTTCAGGGATCGATACGGAACCAAGTAAGCCACAGGGTCCCAGCAGAGATGGGGTGAATGAGAGGGATGGGGGCTTCCCCGGAGCAGAAGCCAGGGTCACCCAGGAGGGATGACACAGCTGCCAAGAGCTCTCCTGGCCCAGGGAGCAGCCGGCACCATGAACCGAGCACCTCCCTGGTTCCAAGCCCTGGGCCAGACTGGAACATGTGGGGCCAGAACCCAGGAGGATCCTGAGGAGATGGAAGGCAGCAAACAAAATCATGCACAATGGTGAAAGGTGCTCTCCCTGACCCATGGGGACCCATGGTAGGAGCCACGGGAGGGTGGCAGGATAGAGGGCACCAAATGCTGGGAGAATTAGGGGTCCTGGAAACTCTCATCCAGGTCTGCTGGGAACATGACATGGCACAGCCACGTTGGCAGCCAGTTGGGCAGTGGCTCACAAAGCTCGATGGACTTGAACCACGCATCCCCAAAGTGTCACAGAGATTGAACCCACTGATTTGGAAACTGACATCCACATGAAACCTGCATGCCAGGTTCACTGCTTGACTCCTCGTCACTCACACACGGAGCCTTCGGGGACGGCCTTCAACACGGGAATGGGGAGAGCAAGGCTGGTCCTCCCTTCAAACGGAAGACCCAGTGAGAAAAGGGAACGAGCCAGTGATGCCCGCACGAACGTGGGTGGATCCTAGATGCATTTTGCTGAGGGACAGAAGCCAGACCCAATAAGCTACCACAGTAGGATTCCCATTCCTAGGCCATTCTGGAAAAGGCCAAACCACAGGGACTGAGAAGCAGTCTGGGTGGCCAGGGGCTGACGGATCGGGGAGAGGCTGGGTGCATAGGGGCCACCCTGGAGACTTGGAGGATGAAGGAGTCGCCCCAGGAGGGGCTGGAGCGGTGGCCGGGAGACTCTGCACATTGGTTTGGAACCGTGGAGGAACTGTACACCCACAGACTGAACTGGGGTGTGTGCAAACTGAAAAAAAAAAAAAAAATCATTCAGAGTGAAAAGGATCAGGCACTGTACAACTGGGCTATTTGCATGTCACAGATGTGGATTTTACTGAAACATTTCTTCAAGAGTCTCAGGCCCTGAAGAGCTCACTGCTTATCCGGTGAATCATCTGAACCTGAAATGGGATTTGCTGTTAGGCTTTGTAGACAAAGTGAAATTAACAACATCTGCACAAAACAAACCAAAGCCCCCTTTCTCTGTTTCCTAGGCAGCGGGAACTACTTTACATCCTCCTGGCGTATGAGGAGTATAACCCGGTGAGTATTCCCGGCAGTGAGGTTCCCGGGCCATATTTCCATATTCACAGGAGTGGGTGTCTGGTGGGGGTGTCGTTGCTTCTTTTAAAATTAGTATTTGTGACCCACCAGGATATAGGAAGTAGGATGTCAGCTCACTGCTGGCATAAACCTCCAAGGAAGGGGGTGGTCTCAAGGGGTCAAGCTGATACACAAAGGAGTCAGGGCCTGGACTCCTGGTGTCACCTGGGCCTGACCACCACTTCTCAGAACAAGAAATGACGCCGTCCTCCTGGGGCTGCCCCAAAGCCCAGGAGCTTGGCAGCATCGCACACAGGATGGTGCTATCAGCAGACATTTTGGACAAGGTGCTGAAGTGCCTGATGGACTTGGCTCTTGTCATGAAATGAATGTGCATCCTGAGGAAGCCTCTTTTTCAGAGGAAGCCTCTCCTTCAGAGGAAGCCTCTCCAGTCACCTCTGCCCTCTCCAATGACATGAGTCCTCCCAGGTGAGCTCAGCCCTCCCAGCTGATGTCCTTCCATGGTGACTCTGGCTCTTGCAGGAGGTGGGCTACTGCAGGGACCTGAGCCACATCGCCGCCTTGTTCCTCCTTTATCTTCCTGAGGAGGATGCATTCTGGGCACTGGTGCAGCTGCTGGCCAGTGAGAGGCACTCCCTGCAGGGTAAGTGAACAGCTGCCCCGGGGACCTCCTGCAGCCAGACCTGGGGATGGCCACCCTGGCCAGGTGATCACAGCTTTCAGCCAAGGCACCCTCCTTGTGTCACCAGCTTGTTGGGAGACTTTAGGATGTCTCTGCTGAGGGTCCCACAGGAGTCCACGGCTGACCCCCAAAGCCCAAATCAGACGCCTCTCATCCCCATCAGCAGAGGGCATCTCATCCTCCCCGTGGCCACCCTCTGTGTCCTGGAGCCACGCCCTCCGGCTCTGATTCTGTGCAGCTGACTCTCCCCCTCCCTGAGAGTCCTCCTGCCCTCCAGCTGCCCGGGCTCCTGCTGCCATCGGTGCCCACGAATGGGCCGACCAAGCCCAGGTGGCAGCATCTCCCCATCCCCTGTTCCCTGGCCCGACCCCACTACCAGGAGATGACCAGGAAGCCCAGCACCCACCCAGTTCCAGCCGCCCTGTGGTGGCCTGAAAGTCAGGCTTGCCCTTTTTGCACCCTGGCCCAGGAGGCCTCCAGGGGAACCTCCAGCCAGGCTCCAGGGACTGTTCCCGCCCCACCTCCCCAGGGTAAAGGCCGCATGTTGGGGTCACCAGATGGGAGGGTGGGAGGCCTTGGGGTTTGGGGGCCTCTCCAGCTGCCCAGCTCTTGCAGCTGATGGCTCCACATCTTGGGGGAAGGCTCTGATTTCACGATGGGCTGGGGGCTTCTCAGGATTTCACAGCCCAAATGGCGGGACCGTCCAGGGGCTCCAAGACCAACAGGAGCATGTGGTAGCCACGTCACTACCCAACACCATGTGGCATCAGGTGAGTTTATGGTCCCCTCAGCTCTTCCCAGAGGCCCTGCCTCCCGTGGGGCTGTAGGAGCAGGGGGGCTGGAGCCCCTCGTGGGGCTGGTGACTGGCTGAGTCCCAGCCAGGGCCTGACCTGGGACGTCGGGTTCTCCATGGGCTGGGAGTTGGTTTCCTTTCCTGCCCTGGAGGAGACAGAGGCACAGGGATGGGGGCCCAGCTCCCGCAGAGCAGGGCAAAGGGCAGCGTGTCCACCGGGAGTGTGGGAAGGTGACAGTGTTGTGGGGAGCTCTGGACACCGCCCAGTGTTCTGCACTAGGGGAAGGGTCTTCAGAGGCCCTGGAAGAGGGAGGTTTTTAGGGCAGCCCAGTGGCCTGAGCACCTCTGTTGCTTCCATCAGGACAAGAAAGATCTATGTGGGCAGTGTTCGTCCTTAGGCTGCCTCATCCGGATATTGATTGACGGGGTAAGGAGGCATAGGGAGACCCTGGCTCAGGGACCCTCCTTGCCCTGCAGTGCCCTGCTTCCCCAGCCCGGGGGTCTGGCTCACTCCCAGCCCACAGGAGGCTCAGGCGGGTCCCCAAAGGACACACAAGCAAAACCCTCTGCCCAAGAGGGGTCATCCCAGGGCAATGGCTGGGGCTCAGGCCCAGCCTCATGGGCAGACTGGGCCAGGACCCGACTTGAGAGGGCTCAGGGAAGCCTCAAGCCCTGGGCAAGCCCCTCTCTCCAGGAGCCACATCCCCACTCAAATGAGTGCCTCCCATGAGGAGCTTCAAGACCTTGTCTGACCCAGCGTCCTGGAGGGCTCAGGCGACCCTCATGGGGAAGGAAGGTCACTGACTCAGGAGACTGAAGCCCCAGTGTGCGCAGCTCGAGCCACCAGCCCCAGCCTGGAAGGACCAGGTTCTTTCACACCTGCTGTCCCCACAGATCTCTCTCGGGCTCACCCTGCGCCTGTGGGACGTGTATCTGGTAGAAGGCGAACAGGCGTTGATGCCGATAACAAGAATCGCCTTTAAGGTTCAGTAGAGTAAGTCTACGTGTGCCCAGCGGGGCCTGGGGAGCCCTGGGGTCAGACCCCGACTGGCCCGAGGGCAGCTTCCTCACACTGTCCTCATGATCCTCTGTTCTGGCCCAGAGGGAGGTCTGGCCAGGTGGGCTGGGCAGGACACTGTGACACCGAGCCCATTCCCCACATGACCCAGATGAAAGTCGAGAGTGTGGTGAGCACTTCCCTGTCCAGATCACCCCCCAGCCACAGTCTCCTGTGTATATCTGGACGCCTGGGGTGGCCACAAAAGGATCCGGCACCGCCCAGTGGGAGACTGAAGTGGCCACGGGGTATGAGCTGTGACCATTCCCAGGTAACTCCCCTGGCCTGATATCCACCCTGTCCCTAGAGCGCCTCACGAAGACGTCCAGGTGTGGCCCGTGGGCACGTTTTTGGAACCGGTTCGTTGATGCCTGGGCCAGGGATGATGACACTGTGCTCAAGCATCTTAGGGCCTCTATGAAGAAACTAACAAGAAAGCAGGGGGACCTGCCACCCCCAGGTGGGCTCCAGTGCCATGTCCCCTCCCATGTCACCCTCTGGGGTAGTCAATAGTAGGGGAGTGCCCGGGACCCGCAACCCTACTACCTGGGCCTTCCTCTTCACCTTTTCTTCCTCCTCTTCCTCCTGGACTCTAAGAAAGTACAGGAGGCCCACCGGTCCTCAGGGCAGGCGCTCAGTGCGTGTATACTGGACATGCTGTGCACGCAGGAGGGGGATGTGGGCGAGACCCTCCAACAAGCCCCCTCCCACTTTCTGCGGTGTCTCCCTCTCCCCCTCGCAGGGCCCTCCAAGTTACTAGCCGAGCCCAGACCCATTTGTGGGAGACCCCGCCCCTCCCTGCAAGCACCCACAGCCTCAGAGAGCAGCAGAGGCCCCTCACTCCTGCACGCTCCTCCAAGCTTGCCAGGACAACGAGCCTGGAGCCAGGGAGACAAGGGAATCGGTGTCCCTGACCCACGGAGCTTTCAGGGAGAGGGCGCAGGCGGGACCCCGGGCCCAGGGCCAGAGCCAAGAGTTCAGCCAGAAGTGGGAACGGTCAGTCCTGGCATGGACTGGGCAGCCCAGGAGGGCAGAGGGTGACCCACGTCCGGGCCCAATCACCCACTGCGGAGAGGGGTCCCCACCTGAGGTGGCAAGGGGCTGGGTGACATCCAAGGCCCCTCCCACCTGAGTTCTGACTGGGGGCCGTATCCCAGGCCCAACAGCCCTGGGACGAAGGTGTGTGGCAGGAAGCCGCCAGCCAGTCTGAACCCTGGGGGCAGTCCCAGGAGCCACCCGCCATGCCACGACAGCTTCCCCACGCCAGGCAGCACGCACCCCTCCCTCTGGGATCAGCAGACTACAGGCGTGTCCTCAGTGTCAGGCCACGGGGGCCACACAGAGACCCCGAGGACTCCAGAGACGCAGGCAGGTGGGGCCCAGCCCGGAAAGGCCTGCGTGGGCTCACTGGAGATGCTGACCGCGTCTGTTTTCCTTTCAGCCAAACCCGAGCAAGGGTCGTCGGCATCCAGGCCTGTGCCAGCTTCACGTGGCGGGAAGACCCTCTGCAAGGGGGACAGGCAGGCCCCTCCAGGCCCACCAGCCCGGTTCCCATGGCCCATTTGGTCAGCTTCCCCGCCACGGGCACCTCGTTCTTCCACACCCTGTCCTGGTGGGGCTGTCCGGGAAGACACCTACCCTGTGGGCACTCAGGGTGTGCCCAGCCCGGCCCTGGCTCAGGGAGGACCTCAGGGTTCCTGGAGATTCCTGCAGTGGAACTCCATGCCCCGCCTCCCAACGGACCTGGACGTAGGGGACCCTTGGTTCCGCCGTTATGATTTCAGACAGAGCTGCTGGGTCCGTGCCATATCCCAGGAGGACCAGCCGGCCACCTGCTGGCAGGCTGAACACCCTGCGGAGCGGGTGAGATCGGCTTTCACTGCACTGAGCCACAACGTGGGCATGGACTTCCCGGCCCTGCAGTGCGCCCAGCACTGATTCCGACCAGGGCACCCCCTTCAGAGCTAGGGACGAACAGCAGTGTGCTCCCACCTCAGGACCTTGCCTCTGCGGCCTCCACTTGGAAAGTTCTCAGTTCCCTCCAGGCTTCTAGAAGCATCTGGGCCAGGGCTCATGGCTGGATAATTTCCCTAGGCTTAACAACCCAAGCAAGCTTCGCCTCCTCGTTTTATTTTTTGTTAAACTTATGAGAATGTGTTAAGAAAGAGTGCAGCTCGAGAGACATTCAGAGATGGAACACACCAGACCCCAGATCACAAAGCCAACCATGCCCAGCCCCTCCCAACACCCCCAGCCCCACGACCATCGTTCTGAATTCTGACGACGCCGTGAGCCTGCCTTTGTACTTTAAACTCATGGAAGGATAACCACCTTCACGTTTTGAAATAAATGTTTCCTGTTGAAATGATTTTAGATTTTAGACAGAAATATTGAAAAGGCACTATAGTGTCCTCCTATACCTTCCATCCAGCTGCCCCTAATAATGATGTTTTGCAGTCCCATGGCACATAAGAAATTTAGGCCGGGTGTGGTGGCTCACACCTGTAATCCCAGCAATTTGAGAGGTCGAGGCGGGAGGTGCAGGTTCACTTGAGTCTAGAAGTCTGAGACCAGCCTGGGAAACCTAGGTGGACCCGGTCTCTAGAGAAAAGTCAAAGAAATTAGCCAGGCATGGTGGCGCGTGCCTATAGTCCCACCTAGTCAGGAGGCTGAGGCAGGAGGATTGCTGGAGCCCACGAGTTCCAGGAAGCAGTGAGCCATGATTGCACCACTGCACTCCAGCCTGGGTGACAGAGTGAGACTTTATCTCTTAAAAAAATTTAAGAAATTTAATGTGGGTACAATTCTATTAACTAAATAATAATGTGAACTATTATCTAAGGTTATGAAGGCTAGAATTATCCCATTTTTGCCTAACTTCTCGTACCTGTCCCAAGATCCCACCTTGGACTCACCCTCTGCCTTCCACTCATGTCTCTTCAGCTTCCTTCACATGGTCCAGCAAACACACACCTGGGCTGAATGGTAGAGCTGATTGCTCATACACAAAGGTAGACCGGTGGGCAGGGATTTTCAGACTTATACAGTCAATGAGTTTTCCTTGGTGTTCTGGAGAGCACCGTTGAGAAACACTTTGACAGTGAATCTAGGCCTCAGGATCCATCAGCTGCTCTAGCTTGAATTTTGCTCAAGCTCAGTGAACACCTGCTCTGCCGGGTGCACGTGAAAGGGGCAAGGATGAGTAAGCTGTAGATAAAGAAGACAGGACGCAGGGGGTCTGTCTAAGCTCTATCCCCTGCCTTCAGCACTGAGGGATGAAATCCAACTCTTAGGGAACGGTGGCCACGTGCTGGGCCAGCCCCAGGCTCTCAGGATCTGACAGTGAGTGACGCAGAACCAGGCCTTGCCCCTGGGGAGCTCTCCAGCATACACCTCCCTCTCCCCTCCCAGCGTCCCGCAAAGCAGACGTCAACGCCATTGTTAATGCACAGAGGAGGAACCTGACTGTTAGACCTGGGTTTTCCAGGGTTGCACGGCTTCTGGGAGACGGATGTGACCCTGAGGATAGGGCACAGGCCAGTGTAATGCCAGGATGGAATGAGCTGTGATCTGTGCTGCACAGAGGCCTAGGCCAAGGTGGGACTGACGGATGACCAGGTCAGCCGGGTCACTGAAAACACTCTTGGGTCCTCACCTGCTGGTTCCCAGGAGTCCGGAACTGCCAGGAGAGTGGTGGCAGGTCCCCCATCCTCAGCTGGGTGGGCCTGGATAGAACAGCAAGGCGAGGGCACATTTCCCTGGCCGTTCCCTCCAGGCACAGCTGTGACCTGCTCATTCCAATTTTGGGGAAATATTTCCACATACACAGAACTGCAAAGAGCAGTGGACATGGTGAGAGGTGTTTGGACATGGGATAGGCAGGATTTTGGAGGCAGAGCCCCCAGGGCTTGCCGATGGGTTAGCTGCAGGGCTTGAGCGGGGAAGGAGAATCCAGGATGATGTGTTCACATCGGTCCATTCGCTTCCTCCGTGCCACGCCTGTGCTGGGCACTGGGAGAGACAGATGAGCACAGGAGCACCAGGCTGGGGGAGGTGTGGGGGGAAGCCCAGAGTGTCTGGGCAGGGTAGGAAACCCAGAGCGTCTACTGGGAGCTGAAGGCTTATGTCTACCTCAATGCTGTCCGCGTTCGCTGTATGAACAAGTTCAGGCTGAGCTGCCTGGAGGAGGAGCAGCTGCTGTTGCTGGTGACCAGCACGTTCGGGAACGGAGACTGCTCTGGTAACGGAGAGATGGGTGGCCTGAGGTCTGGATGGTCTAGGGGGTGATAGGGCACAGAAGGACCCAGGAAAGGGTCTGGGGGATGCAGGACGTTCTACAGAGGGCGTTTGGGAGTCAGTGCTCAGGTCACTCCAGGTCACGCAGGTCATTTGCTGGCCTCTGTCGTAATTATTGCCATATGAGAGTGCCACCTTTCCTGCGACATAATTTAGATATTCCTGTGAATGGCCTACCTGTTTATATTTACAACTTCATGTTTAAAGGAAATTTGTATCACTCTCACAAATGGAAAGCCAGCAAAACATAAATTCAATGAAAACAAAATGAAGTCAATGAACTTTAGCTAGATGCTATTCCCTGACCAAGGCCTGCTGGAGGCGGTACAACCAGGGTTTGAATTGAGATCTGCCAAGCTTCTGAGTTTATTCTGTTTCCCCCGCACCAGGGTTCCTCAATACTGCATTACTGACATCAGGGGCCAGACGATTCTTTGCGATGGGGGCTGTCCTGCACCTGGCAGGATGTTTAGCAGCTTCTCTGGCCTCCACCCACTGGAAGCCAGGGGAATGCAGAAGAGGCTTGTTTATTCTCCCATTTAATGCTCAGGACAATATCTGACATAAATGTTATGTCTTTTATTTTATAAATGAAGAAAATGAGACTCAGAAAGGTTTAAGCGAGTCACCTAAGAACACACAGACAGCAAGAGGTAGAACCCGAAACTGAACACAGGTGTCCACATGAGACAACAAAAAAGTTCAGATTCCAGCTTCCTTTGAGTCTCTCATTTCAACAATGGCCATCATCTGCATACGAGCTGAAGTACAGGAAAGCTGGGCTGAACTCTCCTCCCATCAGGCCTAGGAGCCCCGGACCAGAACCCCAGCCCAAGGTCTCCCAGTCAGGCCCGCTGGAGGGAGCTGGCATCCACACTAGCATGGTTTCTCAAAGCTACAGGGATGCCAGTCTCGCCGCTGATGAAGAAAATGAAGGGCATTTGCTTCTCCTGCAGGCTGTCGGGATTTAACACAGATTCCTTTTCTTGCTCTCTTCTCCCGTAGCACAAAACTGGGTGGTCCATCCCCCTCCCGCTGTCCCAAGGCTTTGTTGCGTGTTCTCTTTAATTTCTCCCACTCTGGCAGTGCACCCTACCCTCGTCTCCCTGGCAACCATTCTGCTCTATCCTCTCCACACCTGGATCACAAGAACACTTGGGAGGCCCCTTAACAAGCTACATCCCAAATTATGATTCCCCTTTGTCCTCAGCCAGTGCCCAGGTCCAACTTGCTCTCCTGAGGTGACTTTCTTTCCTGCCCAATATGGTTTCCTCATCTGTAAATTGGGGATAATCGAAGTCTTGATCCTGATATTGGGCTCTCAAAGCAGAAGTAGCAAGCTCAGCCAAGTCACTTAAACAAGAGGAGACGTTCCTTGTGAACCAAAAGGGCACTGGTCACAAGGGCCGCTCCTTCTCTCAGGCCTCTCCAGCACACCCTTGGCTCAGCCAAAGAAGAGACTCAGGCTGTGCTTCTGCGCTGTGGGGATAACGTAAGTACCTGGTCCTTGACCCTGGGACTTTAACAGTTCCCTCTTGTGGCTCAGTTCTACAGCTTCAATGACAAAAAGTGGCTTTTGCTCAAAATAGCCTTTGATAGGTTAAGGTACTCCTCTGCCACTCTAAGTCTGTGTGGAACAGACAGGGTTTTGCTTCACAGAGAAGATGCATAAAATTTGGTCTTAAAAATGAGTTCACCATGCACACATACACACGAAAAAAGTAAATACTGCATTACTGTATATATGAGGTTCCAAAATAGGCAAAACTAATTTATGGTGACAGAATAGTGGTGACCTCTGAGGGTCAGTATCGACTGGGAGAGAACAGAAGAGAGCCTACTGGGGTGCTGGAAATGTTCTGTATCTTAATTTTGCAGGATAATTCCTTGGATGCATCCCTAAAAATTCAGTCAAGCTATGTAGTAAGATTTGTACAGTTTACGTAAGTAATAGGAGAGATAAGAGGGGGAACCTGTGGAGAAGCAGAACATTTCAAGATCTAGAAAGCAACATTTGCAAGGGTACACAGTGTTCAGACAGGGACCAAATCATAGAAACTACTAGGGCTTGCCATGCTGAAACGACTGACTTCAAACCATAGGGCATACATACCTTCCACTGAAGAAGAGCACCTGAGTGAAATGACTAGAGGTGCATTTCAAAGATTATTCTATTGGAAATATAAAGAACGAATTGGAGGAGTAGGAGGCAAATAGTCCAAGGGACAGATGAAGACCTTTTTTTTTTTTTTTTGAGACAGGGTCTCCCTCTGTCACCCTAGCTGGAGTGCAGTTGTGCGATCATGGCTCACTGCAGCCTCTACTTCCTGCGCTCATGCAATCCTTCCATCTCAGCCTCCCAAGTGTCTGGGACTCCAGATGTGCGGACCACACCTGGCTAATTTTTTTATTTTGTTGTAGTGACGGGAATCTCACTGTTGTTTCCCAGGCTGGTCTTGAACTCCTGAACTCAGGCAATCTTCTGGCCTTGACCTCTCAAAGTGCTGGGATTACAGGTGTGGGCTACAGTGCCTGGCCTTATTAAAATGTTGATGTAATAAATGGGACTACCTAGTGCTGTGCTTTCTCCTTAAAGGAGAAAGCTGACAGAATAAAACTAGCAGTAATAATCTGGTAAATTGTGCTTTCTACAGAGTAAATTTTGTTTGTCTCATGACATTTATGCAAATATTCAAATGTTTCAGGAATATAAACATTTAAAATTTGGGTTATAAATAATGCCTCCTGGCTCTGAAATTATCTGAATTCATGAAGCAATCAGTAGTAAATATGAAGGAAAAATGAAACACAGCCTTATATGCAAGGACAAGCACAAAGTTCTAATTCTTGTTATAATTTGGGTGCCCACCTGGTTTTGAAGGTAAGCCTTGGTTTGACTGGTTCTGAGACATTTCTCTCAAATAGCAAATGAGTAGTGGGTATGAATAGGGTACATTGGAAAGTCATGTCAAAATTCCATGTAATTTTTGGAGCGTTTTTTCTCCCATGTAATTTATATAATTTGACATGTGTATTCCTATGTAAAATATTTAACCACTTCTCTACAACAAGCATTAAGTGGGCTAATTAGTATGCTCTTCTTATTTCATATTTCTGTGATTTCTCTTATCTGGAATGACTTTTTTATGCCACCCAGGCTGGAGTGCAGTGGCACATTTACTGCTCACTGCAGCCTCAACTCCCCAGGGTCAAGCCATCCTCCTACTTCAGCTTCCCTAGCAGCTGGGACTACAGGTGTGCACCACTATGCCCTGCTAATTTTTGTGTTTTTTTGTAGAGACGGGGTTTTGCTATGTTGCCCCGGCTGGTCTTGAACTCCTGAGCTCAAGAGATCCACCCACCGCAACCTCCCAAAGTGTTGGGATTACAGGCGTGAGCCACTGCACTAAGCTTCTTTTCTAATTTGTTTTTATTCTGAGATCAGATGAGATCGGCATGTTCAGGTTGGTATGGCCATAGACTGCTTTTATCTATTCTAATAATTTTGTATTGTACAATGTGTTGGAAAGGCAAGATGAAGTTAGATTATGAAGGGTTCATTTCCATTCAATTCTGTCTATCCTTCTGGACTTGGTGATTTTTGTTGCTTTGTCCAAGAATACCCAAGTGAGTTATTTGTCCGTTTTTCTGTATAGACAGCATGTTTTGTAACTTACCATCATTTTGTATACATAAGTTAGACTATTTTTATGTACCCTTTTGTTTAGTCAGATTGGTTTGATCACTTAATGTTTGTACCTCTTGAGGAAAAATTTAGTTGGGAAAATAGTGGTGAATTCCTGTGACACTGCTGTTTGAACATTAGGAGACAGCAATCAAATATATGACTGATGGATGTTTACTGAAACATATTCTGGGAGACCCAAGTCTTACCAAATTCAGAGTCATTATTTTGGATGAAGCCCATGAAAGAACTCTAACTACAGTGAGTATTTTAATTTATTATTATTTTTTATTAGCAAGTAGTTTGTTTGGGTAGCTTTTTATTGTGTAGAGAATTGCCTCCTCTTACTTTTTAATTTAATTTAATTTTTTAGAGATGGAGTCTTGCTCCATCACCCAGGCTGGAGAGCAGTGGCACGATCATAGCTCACTGCACCCTTGAACTCCTGGGCTCAAGTGATCCTCCCACCTCAACCTCCTGAGTTGCTGGTACTGCAGACGTGCATCACCATGTCTGGCTAATTTTTAAGAATATTTTTTGTAGAGACAGTGTCTCGTTTTGTTTCCCTGGCAGGTCTCAACCTCCTGGCCTCCGACCTTGGCCTCCCAAAGTGCTGGGATTACAGGTGTGAGCCACCGCACCTGGCTCCTACTTATATTTTAATGTATTAAAATAGGAATTCCTTGGTTAGAACAGCAGCGTATTTAGAATAGTTTGGCTGTTAAGTGTGCTTGTGACTTACTAGAAATTTACTTTTCTTTCAGGATATCTTATTTGGTCTATTGAAGAAGCTATTTCAGGAGAAGTCTGCTAATAGGAAGGAGCATTTAAAAGTGGTGGTAATGTCAGCAACTATGGAATTAGCCAAGCTCTCTGCATTCTTTGGAAATTGTCCAATATTTGATATACCTGGAAGGCTTTATCCAGTCAGAGAGAAATTCTGCAATTTGATTGGTCCACGAGACAGAGAAAATACTGCGTATATTCAAGCGGTATTACTTGGCATTCATTTAATGTCTTTTTTAAATATCTATGATTCTTACTAATTGGGTGGTTTGATAATTCATTTGTTCACTACTATTTTAATGACAGTCCTCACAGGTCCTAGAACTTTTAAGAACCAAATTTAATTTTTCTGTGGGGCAAGGGAAGTGGTGGTAAGGGAATGACTGTATTTCCACTAGCATATTATGCCTGCATTTCTTGCTTTAGATTGTGAAAGTCACCATGGATATCCATTTGAATGAAATGGCTGGAGACATCTTGGTTTTTCTGACTGGTGAGCATTCAGTATCAAGTTAAAAAACTTAAGTATTTGTAAGTAAGGAATGTGGCACCCAGATAGAGTGCTACCTCTGTTGGGAATTCTGTGCCCTTCTCAAGTGTTGCCCTAGCTTTTTCTGATTATCTGAATAATTTTAGGTAAAAGATAGATAAAAATTGTAAGCTAGCTGCCAAAGAGGATTATATATATTTATGTCAAAGACATAATAGTATGTATATATATTTTATGTCAAAGACATAGTAGTATATGTCAAAGACGTAATAGTGTATATGTATATATACACACACATATATGTCAAATGTCAAAGACATCAGGCTCATTAGTAAATATATGTAAAACACACTGACCTTTTAATAGAAAGAAATTAAATAGTGAAATATTGTTTTTTGTTGGTCTGTCTTAGATAGAAATGAAACCTGACTAAACAGACCTGAGTTAATTCCATTATTTCAAAGGACATTTCACCAGGTTCTTCTTTGGGTGGTGGCATTGTACTGTGTGATAACAACACATAAGGTGTAGAATCTATGTGTCGTAGACAAGCATGTGGCATTTTTGGAGATCAAAAATAAAATAGTTAAATCCCAAACTAGTGGCATAACTTTTCAAGTAGCAGCACCCTCCTAATAGGAATTAGTAGTTTCCTTGTTTACCTTTTTCCTCTGCCTTGTACTAATGTCAGAAGTAAGGGATTGTCACAATCTTTGCCTTTTTGGAGATTACTTAAGTATTTTGAAATTTAACCAAATGCAATAGCACCTGGACTAGCTTTTCTCCTTTGTTAACAATTTGGTGAGTCTTCTCAAATACAGGGTGAAAAGCTTGACGATGATAAATATTTTTATTCCTTTAGAGATTTAAGTTTCTTAGAAACTGATGTTTCTTCTACTTCGAATTTTATTGTTGAAATATGGTACAGCTTATGTGTTCATCTCCTTTACATTAAATGAGAGATTTACAATAACTTTTAGGCAAAATTAATTTTAATCTTGACATTTTCTTTATTTTTAAATTAATTTTTCTGTTCAGTTGCTGAAGTTATTTTTTTCTTCCCATTTTAGGCCAGTTTGAAATAGAAAAAAGTTGTGAGTTACTTTTTCAGATGGCAGAGTCTGTTGATTATGATTATGATGTTCAAGATACCATCCTCGATGGCTTGTTAATATTGCCGTGTTATGGATCAATGACAACTGGTAATTTCTCATTAGAATAGAAAATTTGATTTTTTTAAAAAACTTTTTATTGAATAATCGTGTTTACAGAAAAGCAGTCAGATCTTAAGTGCTTAGGTAAGTTTCACAAACCAGTCTCACCTTTGTAACCCACATCCAGATCATGAAACAAATCAGTGAGAACCAGCATTCCTTGACAGTAGTGATTTTTGCCTGAAGTCTTTTTACATTCACTTTTTTGAGAGTCGTGGATATCCCCCTTATTATCGTTTAGAGTATTGTTTCTCCCAGCAAAACAAAACTATTGGTGAGAATTCTTTGAAATGAGGACAGTAGTTTCTTGCTGGTATTACTGTAAGTCAAAACCTAATTTGCCATTGCCACAGAATTTTTAGAAATTGTGTATATCCAGCTATATCTAAGTCTAAACACAGTGGATTGTTTTCTTTTTTTTTTGTGATGGAGTCTCGTTCTTGTCATCCAGGCTGGAGTGCAGTGGCGCAATCTCAGCCCACTGCAACCGCCACCTCCTGGGTTCAAGCGATTCTCCTTCCTCAGCCTCCCAAGTAGCTGGGATTGCAGGCGCTCGCCACCACACCTGGCTAAGTTTTGTATTTTTTTTTTTTTTTTTAGCAGAGATGGGATTTTGCCATGTTGGCCAGGCTGGTTTCAAACTCCTGACCTCAGGTCATCTGCCTGCCTTGGCCTCCAGAATTGCTGGGATTACAGATGTGAGCCACCATGCCTGGCTGTGGATCATTTTCCTTTTAAAGTAGCCATGCCTTAGTCTGCTTTTCAAGAATGATCCTGTTCTTTGGTGAATTCCAAGAGCAAATGCAAACTCTTGATTTGACATTTTGGTTATAGTAAATATTGTTGAATGAGGTTTAGAATTTGTTTTATAAAACTTTTATTATGGAATTTAACTTGTAAAGTTAAAGGGAAATTAACCTTAGCCTCCTATTTGGAGTTGGAATTAGCATTTGAATGTTTTTATATTTTACATGTATGTGTATTAACAGCTTTTGTTGATTGGGTGATTCTTATCCCTATATTAACAAAGTTTTGGAATATATGTGTCAGTAAAGAACATAGATGTGCTATTTTGGAAATCTTTTTTATGATGATATTAGCTTCTTACTCTCTATTAAAGCATAGATATCTATTTTAGATTTTGTCATCTTCAGGGAAATTCTTAGGATCATTGTTTAAGGTTCTCATTGTTTTCTCAAGATTTGGTTCACTGATGCTTTTATAATTTACATTGAAACTGATAAAAACCCATTATGTTTGGTTTGTTATTAATCATTAACTAAATATGTACATAGACATATATTTTTCTATACAGAGTAAATAATTTCATTCTTTCTTACTGCTACATTGAAAATAATGTTCTGGATTTTCTGTTGCCTCTGTTTTTTTTTTTTTGTTTTTTTGAGATGGAGTCTCGCTCTGTCGCCCAGGCTGGAGTGCAGTGGCGCGATCTTGGCTCACTGCAACCTCTGCCTCCCAGATTCAAGCAATTCTCCTGCCTCAGCCTCCCGAGTAGCTGGGACTACAGGCGCGCGCCCCCACGCCCTGCTAATTTTTTGTATTTTTCTTAGAGACAGGGTCTCACCATGTTAGCCAGGATGGTCTCGATATCCTGACCTTGTGATCCTCCCGCCTCAGCCTCCCAAAGTGCTGGGATTACAGGCGTGAGCCACCACGCCCGGCCTAGAAACATGACTTGTAATGAAAAATTGAGTTCTTCAAAACTCGAGTTTGACACATGCATGTTGTAAATTGGTATTTTCTTTTTATATATACTTTAGATCAACAGAGGAGGATATTTTTGCCACCGCCACCTGGAATTAGAAAATGTGTCATATCCACCAATATTTCTGCAACGTCTTTGACAATAGATGGAACCAGGTAAAACTTTTGAACTTTCTCTTAAAGTCAAGGAAGCCTATCGTTACTAAACATTAGCTAAACATTACTGAGTTTGCTTTTCTGTGCCCTCCACTAATTCCCTTCTCTCCTACTTTTTGATGTTCTTAACATGTAATCACCTATTTTGTTTTGTAATTATTGATTGCTTTGAGCAGGAAATGGAGTAGGAGGTACATACTATATTCCTATTCACACTTTTTGTTTTTTTAGAGACAGGGTCTCATTATGTTGCTGAGGCTGGAATATAGTGACTATTCACAGGCGTGCAGTCATAGCACACTACAGCCTTGTATGGAGATCAGCCAATCCTCCCGCCTCAGTCTCCTGGGTAGCTGGGACCACAGGCATGTGTCACCATACTTGGCTGTTCACACTTTTTAACTACTTGGCAACTTGAAGCTTCTTTTCAAATTTAAGATTATGTATAATGCTTTATGGGTTTCACTAAATAGGAAGCCAAACCTATTTTTCTGTACTCCCATTATAAGCATATACCTTAGATGATTTGATATTTCCTTCTACCTTGCAGCCTCACTCGGTAGAGTTTGTATATCCAATGTTTATCTGGATGTATTGTCTCTGACTTTTTACCTTTTTGTGAAAATTAACTATGATTCAGGTCCCTTATCTTTTCTGGATGTAGTAAATAGTGCTATCAAATTTTTGGGTAAATTTAGTAAGGAAACACAAAGAAATTTTAAGTCTGGACTGACAACTAATGCAAAGTTCTTTAAGACTGGGTTATTTATCATTTACCGAATATATTTTATTTCTTTAGCTAAGTCTGATTGTCTGTCTCCGGAAGGCTGAACCTGAATCTCAAAGATCCTGTGTGTTTCTTCTGGGTAAAATGATCACCCAGGTCTGAGAGGAAGTCTAATTTCCTCTGCTTTTCTTCGTTACTTTAAAAATAATGGTTTCACTAAGGGATTAAGGGAGTGCTCTCCTGGGTAAATTAACCTCTGTAATTTTCTGTTTCCTGCACAGGCAAAAGCCATTAAATAGCATGTTTCAGAATGTTGTCTTGTTACTGCTATCCTACTTTGGTTCCTTACCTGACTTGTTCACCATTTAATTGGCTTAGAATGGCATGTTAAGGGCTAGTTGAAATTAGATTCTGAATCTGTTTAAATGGTCTGAAGCTGACTTTCAAGTTTGTGTATTTTTGTATTGAGGCAAAATTCACATAAAATTAATCATTTAAAATGAAAAATTAAGTAGTACTTAGTACATTTACAGTATTGCGCAACCACTGCTTCTGCTTAGTTCTAAAATATTTCAACACCTCAAAATAAAACCCCATACCCATTAAGCAGGTACTCCACATTCCCCTCTCGACCCCAGCCCTTGGCAACTACCAGTCTTACTTTTTGTTTGTACGTATTTTCTTTTTTAAAAAATTCTTTAGATGTGTCAGCAGGAAGCAGTAGGTATTTTCTATTCTGGATATTTCATACAAATAGAATCATATAATATGTGGCCTTCTGTGTTTGCTTTCTTTCACTTAGCATAATATTTTTGAGGTTCGTCCACATTGTAGCATGTATCAGTACTTCATTCTTTTTTGTGGCTGAATAATATTGCATAGTGTGTGTGTGTATATATATATATATTCCATTGTGTGTGTATATATGCGTGTGTATATATACTACATACATATATGCAAAGCAATTTGTTCATCCCTTCTTCCATTAATGGTTAATGGACATTTAGGTTGTTTTTACCTTATGGCTGTGATTCATAGTGCTGATATGAACATTGGTCTATAAGTATTTGTTTGAGTACTTGTTCTCAGTTCTTTTTGGTGTACACTTAGAAATGGAATTGCTGGATCATATGGTAATTTTGTGTTTAACTTCTTGAGGACCTCCGAACAATTTTCCACCTCGGCTGAACCATTTTACATTCCCACCAACAACATACGAGGGTTCCAATTTCTTGACTTTCAAGTTTTACACTTAACATAAAAGGCATTGTGTACCTGCTAGTTTGCTAGAAAAGGAGAAACCAAAGTGGTTAACAATTAACAAGTCTTCTTTTATTTTCCAGAAACTTAACTTGCTTTGATTCTTCTTAGATATGTGGTAGATGGTGGCTTTGTGAAGCAGTTAAATCACAACCCCAGATTAGGGTTGGACATCCTGGAGGTGGTTCCAATTTCAAAGTAAGTCTCTATGTCAAATCTTTTTATTCAAAGAACAACTGATTAGGTAATTTCTAGCTGTTTTGGGGAGACAAAGTAAATTACCTGAGAAACCCACAGAACATTTTGGGGAATTTTTGGGTTTTTTTCCTTTTGTAGGAGCGAGGCATTACAGCGAAGTGGCCGAGCTGGCAGGACTTCTTCAGGAAAATGCTTTCGGATCTATAGTAAAGATTTTTGGAACCAGTGTATGCCTGACCATGTGATCCCTGAAATTAAGAGAACTAGTTTGACATCTGTAGTTCTGACCTTAAAGTGCCTTGCCATACACGATGTCATAAGGTATGTAGACAACTAGAAAAAAAAGGAAAAACTTGTTAGCCTGGAACCAAGTTATTGGCTCAAAAATTATTTTGAAATATTTGACTGATACATCCCTGAGAGTTGAGGCTAACCTCTTTTACAGGTTGGTTTTTATATTGGTTGCTTTTCTTTTCTTTTTTTTTTTTTTTTTTTTTTTTTGAGATGGAGTCTTGTTCCGTTGCCCAGGCTGGAGAGCAGTGGCACGATCACGGCTCACTGCAACCTCCGCCTCCCGGGTTCAAGCAATTCTCCTGTCTCAGCCTCCCGAGTAGCTGGGACTACAGGTACCTGCCACCATGCCCAGCTAATTTTTGTATTTTTAGTAGAGATGGAGTTTCACCTTGTTGGTCAGGCTGGTCTCGAACTCCTGACCTCAGGCGATCCACCCACCTCGGCCTCCCAAAATGCTGGGATTACAGGTGTGAGCCACTGTGCCTGGCTCTATTGGTTGCTTTTCAACTAAACTAACACAGAAGACTTCCTTGCATTGCTTTAGTAGGATCTCTTGCTCATGTTTAACCTTGGCTTAATGGCGGGGTTAGGGGGTTGTGCTGATGTTTATGTGGATCACTTAGTGACCACTGTTTATTTGTAATGAAAGGTATATAATGAGCTGGGCATAACAGCTTATGCCTGTAATCTCAGCACTTTGGATGGCCAAGGTGGGAGGGTTGCTTGAGCCTAGGATTTCGAGACAAGCCTGGGCAACATAGTGAGACCTTGTCTCTACAATTAAAAAAAAAAAAAAGTCTGATATGGTGCATGCTTGAGTCCCAGATATTTGGAGGCTGAGACGGGAAGATTGCTGGAGCCGGGCAGGTAGAGGCTGCAGTGAGCCATGATTGCACCACTGCAGTCCAGCCTGGGCAACAGAGTGAGACCCTGTTTCAAAAGAAGGGGGCTGGGCGTGGTGGCTCACGTCTGTAATCCTAGCACTTTGGGAGGCCAAAGTGGGCGGATCCCTTGAGGCCAGGAGTTTGAGACCCGCCTGGCCATCCTGGCAAAACCCTGTAGCTACTGAAAATATAAAAATTAGCTGAGCTTGGTGGCACGTGATTGTAGTCCCAGCTACTCCGGAGGCTGAAGCACGAGAATCACTTGAACCCAGGAGGCAGAGACTGCAACGTGCCAAGATCACACCACTGCACTCCAGCCTGGTCAACAGAGCGAGATTCTGTCTCAAAAAAACAAAACAAAACAAAAGGGTATACAGTTGGAAAGTGGAGTGTTTTTTTTGTATGGCCAGCATCATACTATATACCATGAAAGACAGAGTAATACTCTGTAGTTTTTTGCTTTCACTAAGCTTAAGTTATATTAGGAAAACAAGGTTCAGACACGTGAAATAAAGGAAGAACAGTTAAATTAGCCAAATATTAATATAATTTATTGGTATAAGATAGAATATTGTTATAGATAGAAATTTCTATCATACATGGTAGGGGAATTAATGGAGGAAAGTACTATCTTCTTTATTTTGGTCTTAATTGCCTTGGAATGTAAAACTGCTCAGGAATTTTGGGGGATGGTAACCGTGCAGTTTTTAAATTCATAGTAAGTGATTATTAGGTGCATCCAAATATGTATTGTAGGCCGGGTGCGGTGGCTCACGCCTGTAATCCCAGCACTTTGGGAGGCCGAGACGGGTGGATCACCTGAGGTCAACCTGGCCAACATGGTGTAACCCTGTCTCTATTAAAAATACAAAATTAGCCAGGATGGTGGTGCTCGTCTGTGATCCCAGCTACTTGAAAGCCTGAGGCAGGAGAATTACTTGAACCCGGGAGGCAGAGGTTGCAGTGAGCCGAGATTGCGCCATCGCACTCCAGCCTGGGCAACAAGAGCGAAACTCTGTCTCCAAAAAAAAAACAACCAAAAAAAGCAAAAAAAACCCCAAAACCCACAAATACTCATTGTATACTCTTGGAAAGCCAATTTGCCAATTTCAAAATGTTTTGATAGTTATCATTAGACTAGAGATTTTCTGAATGAGAATATGTAGATACTGGAAAGAGAAAAGCATGTAATAAATGAAATTCTGACTGTAGCAATAAATTATACCAATGAAAAGAAGGAAAGCGCCATTTAAAGAAATCCAAAGAGCCCAATAGAAAACTTTCAGATGAACCCAGATATTAAAATAATGTCTTGATTTTTTTCATTTGGGGAAAAAGGGCCATTTTTGGAAATAGCTGCTCAGTAAGTTTGACATTGACTCTTAGTATATTCACAAAGGATAGCAGAGCAGCCTCTAACCAAGAATGAGTATATATTAGAAAAATAGGAACAATAATTAATATCATCTGCATTGAATTATTTTTCCATCTTAAGTCTTAAAAGCCATAGTGTACTAAAAATCGCAAAATTTTGTTTCAAAATGCTTGAAACAAAAAACAAAGACTTCCTTTTTAAAAAGTTGTATAAAGAATAAGGAGAGGTAGAGCCAGTGTTTGGGGTAGATGGTATAGGATTCATAGACGACAGAAAGAAAATGGACCTTCTCAATTATTATTTTGCTTTCCCTTTCTTTTCCATCAGGAAGAATAATTTTAAAGCTGAAAATGCAAGAACAGGTCTGAATAAGAAGGAATTGATGACTAAGGTGGAAGGAAATAATGAGGGAAAACCTACCACCATAAGTGATTTTGTCTTGAGCATTTAGACATTATTTCCGTGGTGTTAAAAGAACTTGCAGATTTAGCGTCAGAGTCACTGTAGGTCATCTATGAGAAATTATGCAGAATACGTTATCAGAAAATGGTGAGAAAGGCAAAAGTCTTAATTTTTTTCATTTGGTAAAAAGGGCGGGTTCTGGAAACAACTACCCAGTAAGCTTGACATTGATTACTAGCGAACTCTAGTACAGTTTATTGAAAAATGGTTTAAGGAAATTTAATGACGATTAATGAGTATGAATTTTAAAAGTTCACAATGAATATGTCATTTTTTGTTGTTGTTGTGTTTGGTTTTGGTTTTCTGAGGCAGGATCTCACTCTGTCACCCGGGCTGGAGTGCAGTGGCACAATCTCAGCTCACTGCAACCTCCACCTCCCAGGTTCAAGCGATTCTCGTGTCTCAGCCTTCTGAGTAGCTGGGATTACATGCGTGTGCCACCATGCCCGGCCAAATATGTCATTATAAGCCATTTCCTTTTCAGTTTGAGGACAGGACCGTCCACATAATGGGTGCTCCACAAGAATTTATTGAAATTTAACCTAATGTCTTTTATTTTCAGCACAGTATTTAACAATACTGCATTTGATATCTTGTGAATAAAAAAGTAGTCTGTAGATGACAGTACTGCTGAGTATAGTTGCCAGATAGCCCAGTCTAGAAAAGTATTAATTAATTGCTTAGTGTAGACTAGATGAAGTTTTTACTGGTATTGTGCTGAACTTAGTTTTTTCTTGATAAACATTTTTAATGATACTGAATAAAAATATTGAAGTTATGATTATATTTTTCTGGAAAATATCTTAATATCTAATAGGTAGATGACCAAGCTTTAAAATGACTTTAACAGATTAGAACCATGGGCAAAAATCAACAGGGTGTAAATTTGAAAGGATATATCTTATATCCTGTGTTTGGGATGTACAATAGCAAATACATGTGGTAGAGATCTGAAATTATCAGATCATCACAACCTTAATATTGGCTTATACGTATGGCTCTGTTTAAAAAATTTTTTTTTAGGCCGGGTGCGGTGGCTCACGCCTGTAATCCCAGCACTTTGGGAGGCCACAGTGGGCGGATTGCGAGGTCAGGAGATGGAGATCATCCTGGCTAACACAGTGAAACCCCGTCTCTACTAAAAATACAAAAAATTAGCTGGGTGTGGTGGCAGACGCCTGTAGTCCCAGCTACTCGGGAGACTGAGGCAGGAGAATGGCGTGAACCCGGGAGGCGGAGCTTGCAGTGAGCCCAGATCGCACCACTGCACTCCAGCCTGGGCGACAGAGCAAGACTCTGTCTCAAAAAAAAAAATTTTTTTTTTAATTCCACTGGCATAGACTTTGGTTACATTAATAAACTAGGTGATGGGGAATTACAGCATTCCTGTTATGTGTTGGTCACTCAACATTTGGAGTTCAGTTTTGGATATAATCAAGTTTTATGAGGAGTTTGACATACTAGTGTTTTTAGAGAATGGTACTTAGGTATGGTAGATCTCTTAGAAACCAAGTAACTTATAAGGAGTGGTTGACAGAATTGGTAATTGGAGGAATCAAGGGGGGAAATTAATTGCAATATTTTAGAATAAGTAGTTTTTCCTTTTATATAGAAGAAGCAGCTGACTGGTTTGGTATTGCTCTAGCACAAGGGTGGCAAACTGTGGTCTAATCTCACTGACTGTTTTTGTAAATAAAATGTTAGAATGCAGCCATACCCATTTGTTTATGTGTGGCTGCTTTCACTGTAATAGCATGGTTGAGTAATTGTGACAGAGACCATATGGCCTGCAAGCCTAAGCTATTTACTATCTGGCCCTTTACGGAAAATGTTTACCAATTCTTGCTGTAGAAGCTACCAGGACCTATTGGTACAAATTGTAGGAAAGCTGGCAGTAGAACAGTGTAAGAGATTATTGTTTGCTTATTATTTTTTCTTTTTATAAGAGATGGGATCTTGCTGTGTTGCCTAGGCTGTTGTCAAACTCCTGAGCTCAAGCAGTCCTCCTGCCTCAGCCTCCCAGAGTGCTGAAATTATAGGCGTGAGCTACCATCCTTGGCCTTGTTTTATTTATTTATTTTTAAATAGGGTTATCAATCCTGGAATGGACATTTTATATAAGGTATTGGACCTTTTGTCTTCTATTGGATTTTTTTCAAGGTGAGAAGTTGGAGTAGATGATTTTTCATATCCAGATTTAAGGTGGAAAAAATAACCCAGTGCAGATGATATCAAGTAATTATTTTTCCTGTTTTTAAAAAATATATATTCATGTTTGATGATGCTATCCCTTTTGAATATTATTGTTAATTGTTAATTTTATTATATTTATTAATAGCGCATTATGGTGATGTAAGAGAATGTCCTTATTTTCAGGAGATGCATGCCGAGATAGTTGTAAGTGTGCAATGGCATTGTATTTGCAACTTATTCTGAGATAGTTTGGCAGAAAATAAGTACATACACATGTACACATATGTGACACAAATATGGCTAAATTAATTGAATATATTTCCCCATTTATATGAAAGCATTTTGTCCGGCCGGGTGCGGTGGCTTACGCCCGTAATCCCAGCACTTTGGGAGGCTGAAGTGGGTGGATCACCTGAGGTCAGGAGTTTGAGACAAGCCTGACCAATATGGTGAAACCCCGCCTCTACTAAAAATACAAAAATTATCTGGGCATGGTGGCAGGTGCCTGTAATCCCAGCTACTCAGCAGGCTGAGGCAGGAGAATCACTTGAACCCAGGAGACGGAGGTTGTAGTGAGCCGAGATTGCCACACTGCACTCCAACCTGGGCAGCAGAGTGAGACTCCGTCTCAAAAAAAAAAAAAAATTAAATTGAATTTAAGAAGCATTTTGAGGCTGGGTGCGGTGGCTCACGCCTGTAATCCTAGCACTTTGGGAGGCCGAGGTGGGCGGATTGCTTAAGCACAGGAGTTCAAGACCAGCCTGGGCAACATGGTGAAACCCTGTCTCTACTAAAATACAAAAAATTAGCTAGGCGTGGTGGCATGTGCCTGTAGTCCCAGCTACTCGGGAGGCTGAGGCAGGAGAATTGCTTGAACCTGGGAGATGGAGGTTGCAGTGATCAGAGATCGTGCCATTGCACTCCAGCCTGGGCAACAGAGTGAGACTCCATCTCCAAAAAAAAGCATTTTGAGGTACTATTGAACAATTTATAATTTTCAGTACTAATTAATATTTCTCTACTATTAATACTTCTCTACTATTAATATTTCTCTACTATTTTTATAAAAGTTTGGAAAAAAATTATGGACTGCAGAAAAGAGTAGACTTGACATAGGCTGTGAAGGATGGGTGGGGCAGGATTAGGATAAGTAGACTGGTGAGAGTATTTCAGCTAAGGGGAGTCAAAAAGAATCACTTCTTGAAGTAGAGGAGTGTGATTCAGAAAAAAATTATTTCCTCTTTTGCCAAATGCTGATCATGATCATATAATTTTTTTTTAGAAAAAGATGACTTGAAAAATAGAAATAAAACCTTTTAAAGAAATTTTCGTCATATCTATATAAAATCCTACCATGTTCAAGGAATGCCTCTCACTTCATATCTTATTTAAACACACAGGTTTCCCTATTTGGATCCACCTAATGAGAGACTTATTTTAGAAGCTCTTAAACAGCTTTACCAGTGTGATGCTATTGACAGGTAAAAAAAAAAAAAAATCACAATCAAAACAGATATTGATCTCCTTTTAAACAGGGCTCTAAATACCTTTCTCTAACAGTAGAAAATAATTTCTTTAAATTGAATGGATTGTTAGTCTTTCATCACAATTCTGATTGAAAAACCAGCCGGGCGCTGTGGCTCATGCCTGTAATCCCAGCACTTTGGGAGGCCGAGGTCGGTGGATCATGAGGTCAGGAGATCGAGACCATCCTGGCTAACATGGTGAAGCCCCGTCTCTACTAAAAATACAAAAACAAAATTAGCTGGGCGTGGTGGTGGGCGCCTGTAGTCCCAGCTACTCAGGAGGCTGAGGCAGGAGAATGGTGTGATCCTGGGAGGCAGAGCTTGCAGTGAGCCAAGATCATGCCACTGCACTCCAGCCTGGGCAACAGAGCGAAACTCTATCTGAAAAAAAAAAAAAAGGAGAAAGAAACTACACGATATAATCCCTTTTGTTTAATAAATATTGGTATTATTTAACAAGTAATTTCTGAGTACCATTTCAGTGCCAAGCATTATGCTGGATACATAAAAATGATAAGAGAGCCAGAGTCCTTGTTTTCATGTTTGTGTGATGGGGTGGTTAGGTTTGATATTAATAATTATTATTCTCTTGGATGTGCGTGGTGGCTCACGCCGGTAATTCCAGCACTTTGGGAGGCCAAGGCGAGCAGATTGCTTGGGCCCAGTTGTTCGAGACAAGCCTGGGAAACATAGTAAAACCCATCTCTACTGAAAATACAAAAATTAGCCAATGGTGTTGGCACACGCCAGTAGTCCCAGCTACTCGGGAAGCTGAGGTGGGAGGATCGTCTGAGCTTCGGAGGTGAGGGGTGCAGTGAGCTGAGGAGATTGCGCCATTGCACTCCAGCCTGGGAGACGGAGCAAGACCCTGTCTCCAAAAAAAAAAAAAAAGGTAAAATTTAAAAAATAAAATTATTATTCTCTCATGTCTTCAAAGACATCTTCCTTTTTTTTTTTTTGAGACGGAGTTTTACTCTTGTTGCCCAGACTGGAGTACAATGGTGCAATCTCACCTCACTGCAATCTCCACCTCCCAGGTTCAAGCAATTCTCCTGCCTCAGCCTCCCAGGTAGCTGGGATTATAGGCATGCACCACCATGCCCAGGTAATTTTTTTATATTTTGGTAGAGATAGGGTTTCACCATGTTGGTCAGGCTGGTCTCAAACTCCTGACCTGAAGTGATCTACCTGCCTCGGCCTCCCAAAGTGCTGGGATTACAGGTGTAATCCCCCTCAGCCTCCTTAGTAGCTTTGCAACCTTTGCCTCCCGGGTTTGAGTGATTCTCCTGCCTCAGCCTCCCAAGTAGCAGGGACTACAGGCGCATGCCACCACACCCAGCTAATTTTTGTGTTTTCAGTGGAAACGGGGTTTTGCCATGTTGGCCAGGCAGGTCTTGAACTCCTGACCTCAGGTGATCCACCTGCCTCAGCTTCCCAAAGTGCTAGGATTACAGGCATGAGCCACCACGCCTGGCCTAATTTTCTTAAATTGAATTGAACTTCTGGAGGTGATTGGAGGTAATGTAAATTATATCTGATTTATTCTGAATGATGAATGTTACATTTGTACTCTCCTAGTGTAGAAAGACTTACAAACTTTTTCTTTGTATTAAGGAGTGGCCATGTCACCAGATTGGGTTTGTCTATGGTGGAGTTTCCTTTGCCTCCACATCTGACATGTGCAGTAATAAAAGCTGCTTCCCTGGATTGTGAAGATTTACTACTTCCAATAGCAGCAATGTTGTCTGTGGAAAACGTCTTCATTAGACCTGGTAAGATGTTTATTTTAAGTTGTGTTTTTTAAAACTAATAGACTTGGCTGGGCACGGTGGCTCACGCCTGTAATCCCAGCACTTTGGGAGGGCAAGGCAGGTGGATTGCTTGAGGTCAGAAGTTGGAAGACCAGCCTTACCAACATGGTAAAACCCCATCTCTACTAAAAAAAAAAAAAAAAAACACCAAAAAAAAAATTAATAGACTTTATTTTTTAGAGCATTTTTAAGTTTACAGAAAAATTGAGTAGAAAGTACAGAGGGTTGACATTCATCCCCTCAACCTCCCACAGCAATTTCTCCTATTAACATCTTTGATTTGTATGACATATAAGTTGCAATTGGTGAGCCAATATTGACACATTATTATTAACTAAAGGGATCACTCTTTGTGTTATATGGTTTTAGCTGGGATTATAGGCATGTGCCACCACGCCTGGCTAATTCTGTATTTTTAGTAGAGGCGCGGTTTCTCCATGTTGGCCAGGCTGGTCTCGAACTCCTGGCCTCAGGTCATCTGCCCGCCTTGGCCTCCCAAAGTGCTGGGATTACAGGCGTGAGCCAGCACGCCCAGCCGGGTTGTTTTCTTATTGTTAAGAGGTCTTTGCATATTTTAAATAGTTATTTAACAGATAGATCTTTTGTAAATATTTTCTCCCAGTCTGTGGTTTATCTTCTAATTGTTTTGACATTGACTTTTGCAGAGCAGAAGTTTTTATTTTTGACGAAGTCTACCTTATCAATTATTTCTTTCATAGATTGTGTCTTTATTGTTGTATCTAAAAAAGTCATTGTCGTACCCAAAGTCATCTAGATTTTCTCTTCTATTGTCTTTTAGTATTTGGACGCACAGTTGTTGCGGTACCATTTGTTCAAAACACTGTCCTTTTTCTGTTGAAATGCCTTCGCTTCTTTGTTAAATATCAGCTGACTATTCTTATATGGGTCTGTTTCTGGGCTCTGTATCTTGTTCCATTTATCTGATTGTCTGTTCTTCCACCAATACCACACTGTCCTGGTTATTGGAGCTTTATAGTAACTCTTGAAGTTTTGTTCTTCCTCTTCAAAATTGTTTAGGCCATTCTGGGTCTTTTTCATATAAACTTTAGAACCAGTCTGTTGAAATCCACAAAATAACTTGCTGAACTTGCTGGGATTTTTTTTTTTTTTTTTTTGAGATGGAGTCTTGCTCTGTCACCCGGGCTGGAGTGCAGTGGCCTGATCTCGGCTCACTACAAGCTCTGCCTCCCAGATTCGTGCCGTTCTCTCGCCTCAGCCTCCCGAGTAGCTGGGACTACAGGCGCCTGCCACAACGCCCGGCTAATTTTTTGCATTTTTAGTAGAGACAGGGTTTCACTGTGTTAGCCAGGATGGTCTCAATCTCCTGACCTTGTGATCCACCCGCCTCAGCCTCCCAAAGTGCTGGGATTACAGGCGTGAGCCACCGCGCCCGGCCCTTGCTGGGATTTTAATTGGGATTATGTTTTAATTAAGATAGATTAAGTTGCGAAGAAATGACATCTTGACAGTATTGTCTTCCTATCCATGTACATGGAATATCTCTTCATTTATTTAGATTGCCAGTAATTCATTGAGCATTTACTGAGGGTTTACCGTGCCTTAGCCCTAGGACAGAAAACTAAGGATAAACAAGTTTTGTTGTTGTTGTTTTTGAGATGGAGTTTCACTCTTGTTGCCCAGGCTGGAGTGCAATGGTGTGATCTGGACTCACTGCAACCTCCTCCTCCCAGGTTCAAGCGATTCTTCTGCCTCAGCCTCCCAGGTAGCTGGGATTACAGGCATGGGCCACCACGCCTGGCTAATTTTTGTATTTTTAGTAGAGATGGGGTTTCACCACGTTGGTCAGGCTGGTCTGGAACTCCTGACCTCAGGTGATCTGCCTACCTCGGCCTTGGGATTGCAGGCATGAGCCACCACGCCCAGCCCGGCGTTAATTTCCTTTCATTAGTAAAGGAAGATAGTGCTTTTATAGTACGTTAGTAATTTACTAATTTTTTTTTTGTAGGATCAAAAGAAAAGGTAGTTTAGCCCTTGCATCCTTAGAGAATTCTTTTGAAGTTTCCAGGTCTTTAAACTTCTGCTTCTTTCTTTTCTTGGTGTGTCAGTATAGGACACAATTTAATTTGACATATGTTAGATTTGTTTTCATGCAGTGGAGTAATTTTTTCTTTCAAGGAGCTTCCAAGTGAACAGTATACCTTGTCTGCAGCCAGACAACAGAATGGGTTAGCTCACTGGCTTTATACCTTTGTAGGCTGGAAGTGTCGGGTCCAGATTAATTTATTATTGCCATGATTATAATGGAGGATACATTTTTCTATAAAAATACTCTAATCAATATACTGTTTCAAATAGTTTGCAGTCTTTTTTTTTTTAATTTAAAAAATTTTTAAATTTTATTGAGACAAGGTCTCACTGTGTTGCCCAGGCTGGAGTGCAGTGGCGTGATCTTGGCTCATTGCAACCTCTGCCTCCCAGGCTCAAGTGATCCTCCCATACCTCAGCCTCCCCAGCAGCTGGGACCACAGATGCTTGCTACTATGCCTGGCTAATTTTTTGTATTTTTATAGAGATGGGGTTTCACTCTGTTGCCCAGGCTGGTCTCGAACTCCTGAGCTCAAGTGACCCACCAGCCTTGGCCTCTTAAAATGCTGGGATTACAGGCCTGAGCCATTGCACCCAGCAGTTGCAGTCTGAAGTGTCAGAATTTTAATTCTAGTAATACCCCTAATTGCAATTTTTTGTTCTAATAAAATGCTGTATAAAAATAAGTAATGTTAACTGGTTTTCATGAGGCAGTATCAGAGCTAAAAATACCAGTGGGCACAGTGGTATCCCAGCTCCTTGGGAGACTGAGGTGGGATGATTGCTTGAGCCCACGAGATCAGGGCCAGCCTGGGCAACATAGCAAGACCCCATCTCTGATAAGAAATTAAAAAATAGGCCAGGTGTGGTGGCTCACACTTGTAATCCCAGCACTTTGGGAGGCTGAGGCAGGTGGGTCACCTGAGGTCAGGAGTTTGAGACCAGCCTGGCCGACATGGTGAAACCCTGTCTCTACTAAAAATATAAAAATTAGCCAGGCGTGGCGTGCACCTGTGTTGCCAGCTACTGGGGAGGCTGAGGCAGGAGAATTGCTTGAATCCAGGAGGCGGAGGTTGCAGTGAGCTGAGATCGTGCCACTGCACTCCAGCCTGGGTGACAGAGTGAGACTCCATCCCCAAAAAGAAAAAAGAAAGAAAGAAATAAACAAGCTAAAATATTTCAAAACCTATTACAGAGTATTGAAGTAGGAGTTAAGAGTGCAGGGTTCTGTCCAGCTCCACTACTACCTAATTATCTGACCATGGCCCTAGCTTTTCTAGATTTCATTTTTCATTTGTAAAACCAAGAAGTTGGATTAAGGTGACCAACTCTAATAGTCTTTTAAGGCTAGAAAAAGAAAAATGTTTTTTCCATGTTGGAATATTTAAATAGATAAAATCAGTGTGGTGTTAGCCTTTTTTGGGTGACATTTATTCTTATATAATTTCAAATAAGAATAGCAAAGGAATTCCTTTATACCTTCTATGCAGTTTCCGCAATTTTTAACATTTTACCCCCTTTGCTTTATTACTCTGTCTCCCTCTATATATGTATATATAAACAGATTTTTTTCTTTTTCTGAATCATTTAAGAATAAATTGGAAGCATTGTGCTCCCTTACCACAAAATATTTACATCTGTATTAGGCAAGAACAAGGGCAATCTCTCATTTAACCATAGTACATTAATCAAAATTAGGAAATTGTTTTGTTTTGTTTGAGAGAGAGTCTCACTCTGTTGCCCAGGCAGTTAGTGCAGTGGTGGGATCATGGCTCACTGCAGCCTTGACCTCCCGGGCTCAAGCAATTCTTCCACTTCAGCCTCCTTAGTAGCTGGGACCACATGCATATGCTACCATGCCTGACTAATTTTTAAAAATTTTTTGTAGAGATGAGGTCTCCCCATGTTGCCCAGGTTAGTCTCAAACTCCTAGGCTCAAGCAATCCTCCTGCTTTGGTCTCCCAAAGTGCTGGGTTTACAGGTGTAAGCCACTATGCCCGGCCTAAAGTTTGGAAATTTAACTTTGATACAATATTACTATCTAATCCAGAATCCATATTGAAATTGTCCATTTTCCCTAGAATCTACAGAAAGTAGTTTGAGAATTGGTAAGTTATAGTACTGTGAAAAACAACCCTATATAACTACAGTTTGATATTTGTTTACAGTTAATTTTAGGTAAAATTTACATATAGTGAAATGCATAAATTTTAGGTGTATAATTCAATGAATTCTGTAAAATGCTTATACCCATGTAACCCAAGCCCTGTCAATATATAGAACATTTTTATCACTAGCAAGTTCCCTCAGTGCCACTTCTTAGTCAGATATCACTCTACCTACCTTTGGTTAAACACTTTTCTTATTTTTTTCTGATTAGTTTGCCTCTTCTGAAACGTCATATAAATAGAATTTTTTTTTTCTTTTGAGACAGAGTCTTGCTCTGTCATCCAGGGTGGAGTGCAGTGGCACAATCTCGGCTCACTGCAACCTTCACTTCCTGGGTTCAAGCAGTTGTCCTGCCTCAGCCTCTGGAGTAGCTGGGATTAGAGGTCCCCGACACCATGCCTAGCTAATTTTTGTATTTTCAGTAGAGACGGGGTTTTGCCATGTTGGCCAGGCTGGTCTCGAACCCATAACCTCAGGTGATCCATCAGCGTCGGCCTCAGCCTTCCAAAGTGCTGGGATTACAGGTGTGAGCCATTGTGCCCAGCCCAAAACTTCATATAAATAGAATTATACACTCTCCTTTCTTGTGTCTGGCTTCTTTCAGTCAACATAATGTATGTTAAGGTTTATTCATATTGTTGTATGTATGAATACTTTATTCTTTTTATTGTTGACTAGTATTCCACTTTATGAACATACAGTTGTGCATTATCCTGTTGATGGACATTTGAATTGCTTCTTGTTTAGTTCTATTTTTGAGTAAAGTTGTTTTGAACATTCTTGCACAAAAATTTGAAGGTGTTTATTTTCATTTTTCTTAGATAAGGTAAATGCCTAAGAAAGAAATTTGCTGTGCCATCGAGTAGGTATATGTGAATCTTTAAGAAACTGCCAAACCTTTTCCCTGAACAGTTGTACCATTTAAAAATCACATCAGCAATGTTTGAGAGTACAGCTTGCACTAAACACCCCTCTCAACATTTGGTATTGCCAATCATTTTATTTTACACATTCTATTATGTACCTCTTTGTGGTTTTAATTTGCATTTTCCTGATGACTAATAATGTTGAGCACTTCTTCATGTGCTTATTGGCCATTTTTCTGTCTTCCTTTGTGATGTCTTTTAAAATATTTTGCCCATGTCTTTTTATTTTTGAGACGGAGTCTTGCTCTGTCGCCCAGGCTGGAGTGCAGTGGCATGATTTTGGCTCACTGCAACCTCCACCTCCTGGATTCAAGCAATTCTCCTTCCTCAGCCTCACAAGTAGCTAGGATTACAGGCTTGCATCACCATGCCTGGCTAATTTTTGTAATTTTAGTAGAGACGAGGTTTTGCCATGTTGGAGGCTGGTCTCAAACTCCTGACCTCCTGACCTCAGGTGATCCGCCCACCTTGGCCTCCCAAAGTGCTGGGATTACAGGAGTGAGCCACCATGCCCGGCCCCTTGTCTTAAATTAAAACAAAAAAAAAAAAAAAAACTTTAATTCGTGGATTCTTTCTTCTGCCAGCCCAGATCTACTGTTGAGCCCCTCTATGGCAGTTTCCATTTTGTTTCTTGTCCTTGTCAACTCCAGCGGTCAGTCAGTGATTGGTCGGAGGTTGTACCTAGCTAAGCCTTTTAATTTAAGCCAGTGATGTTTTCACCTTTTACTGTTGAATCTGTGTTTCTGGTTAGGAGACTACTTTCATGGTTGAGGGAGTTGATGAATTTGTACTGTGTTCAGCCAAGGAGTAGAGGCTCAGACGTTCCCTCTCTATTTACTTCTCAGAAGGCACAGCTTTGGGCATGAGAACAATCTTCTAGAACACCAGGAAGACTATGCTCTTAGCAGGTCTCTGTTTCCTTCATTGATTTCTTCATTGAATTTTTGGCTGGTCTGTCTCTATTGGTGTCACAGCAAGCTGTTAGTCTCCACTGATTGCTAGCTGCTGGCTCTGTTGTTTTTGACAGTGCCCAGAGCATAAATTGCGCCATAGTCTTGATCCAAATAAAGTTGGGCACCTCGGCAGGGGCAAGGTATTGCCCGTCTTTGATAATCCTTTCCCCATCCTTTCCTGGAAACAATCTCTGTGCTATGGAGCAGGAGTTGGAGAGGGTGGTGGTGGTAATGGGGGCCTGTTCTTCAGTGGCTCTCCTATCTGGGTCCTCCCTAAATAGCAGAAGCTTGGGGTTGGGGAGTTAGGAGCTGATACTATGGCTCACTTTGCATCTTCCTCAGCACAAAGCCTTTTGAGATGCAATCTCTGGATGTTCACTAGTTGCAAACATACAAACCTGGAATAGCTCTAGGAAACTGGGAGTAGTGGGAACTACCACTGAGCTGCTGAACCCATTGGAACAACTCTTCTGCAACACAGAGCTGTGGGGAATAGAGGACAGCGTAGGCTGTCATTAGCTGTTATGCTTTGATCTTCCCTACCGAGTAGCATTTAGGAGTCAGGGAAAGGGTGCCGCTTTCAGGCTGCCTTGAAGGCTCTCGCATAGCCCTTCCACACACACAGCTGTTGAGAGTGGGGCATTCTTCCTACTGTCCTTACCGAATTCCATAGATTAGGCTTGTCTTAAGCATTTTAATCAATCTCCAGAGACTTTGAATGATTGTCTTTGGTAATTTTGACTAGTTTAATAGATGTCTCTCTAGAAAAGAAGTTTTACCTAACTCCTCACATCACCATTCCCAATACAGTTGACCCTTGAACACACAGGTTTGAACTGTGCAGGTCTACTTATTTGTAGATTTTTTGTTTTTTTGTTTTTTTTTTTTTTTTGAGACAGAATTTTGCTCTTGTTGCCCAGGTTGGAGTGCAGCGGCACAATCTCAACTCACCGCAACCTCTACCTCCCAGATTCAAGCAATTCTCCTGCCTCAGCCTCCCGAGTAGCTGAGATTACAGGCATGTGCCACCATGCCCAGCTAATTTTGTATTTTTAGTAGAGATGGGGTTTCTCCATGTTGGTCAGGCTGGTCTCGAACTCCCAACCTCAGGTGATCCTCCTGCCTCGGCCTCCCAACATGCTGGGATTACAGGCGTGAGCCATGCACTCGGCCAATTTTTTTCAATAAATATATTGGAAAAGTTTTTGGAGATTTGTGACACTTTGAAAAAACTCACAGATGAACTCCGTAGCCTGGAAATACCAAAAAAATTAAGAAAAAGTATGTCATGAAAACATAAACTATGTGTAGGAAATGCTGCAGGATAATTAAGGAATCAGAGAGACCGAGGGGTTGAGGAGGAGTTATTTAATTATTTAGGTGCACCAACCCAGTTGGATTAACATCCAAAGGACTGAGCCCTGAACAAAGAGTCAAGCTACCTTTTAAGCATTTCGTGGGGCGGGGGGAGATCTGTGCAGGGGGAAGCATATTACAGAAGTGAGAAACAAAGACAGTTATTTAATTAAGACGTGCATTACATTATTTCTTACTTTTCAAGGAACAACATGTTTTACGACTTGAGATTATCTGTCTAGTGACCTTGAAGCTGCACAGCTCGAGAGTCTTCACAATGCCTGGGAAGGGGTGAGATAAGGCTCACTAGCCACAGAGAGAAAAACAGGCAGTTAATTTTAAAGGACTCCAGCTCTTTCTCTTCCTCGGGGAATTGGGTTTTCTTACATACAACTGAGTTTTTGCTTATAAAGTCTTTAATTTCTTTTAATTCCTGTTCCAGTACTAGTCTGTTTTATAATTTACTACCATAAAATATACACAAATCTATTATAAAAAGTTAAAATTTATCAAAAATGCATGCAAACACAGACTGCATGGTGCCATGATTCTAGGGATTCCAGGAGGCACTGACTCACAGGTAGGCTTTTCTCCTGGTATTGAGAGCCAGGATGGGGTCGATGCTGGAGTCTAGGGCAATTTGACTTTTGGCATGATATCTTCTGGGGGATGGCAGTTAGGTGCTTAAAATGAAATATTTTGGGTTAAAAATTAGTATCCCTGGCTGGCGTGTTGGCTCAAGCCTGTAATCCCAGCACTCTGGGAGGCCAGGGCAGGCAGATCACCTGAGGTCAGGAGTTCAAGGCCAACCTGGCCAACATGGTGAAACCCCATCTCTACTAAAAAATGTAAAAATTATTTGGGTGTGGTGGTGTGTGCCTGTAGTCCCAGCTACTTGGAAGGCTGAGACAGGAGAGTCACTTGAACTTGGGAGGTGGATGTTGCAGTGAGCCAAGATTGCACCACTGCACTCCAGCCTGGGCAGCAGAGCGAGACTGTCTCAAAAAACAAAACAAAAAACAAAATTAGTCTCCCGGAGCAGTTCAAGAAATGGAGATTAATAATCATTTATATCTTTTCCTTACCAGGGTCATTTGTATGTTTGTATGGTCTGAGATAAATCGTATTCTTTTTTTTTTTTTTGTCTCTAGCTGCTTCATTCAGTTGCTACCTAGGTAACATAGTTGGAAGCTACTTAAAGCATGGGATAGAAGACTTTATACCTTCATCAGTGTTTTCTTTAATCAAATTACTTTCCTCCTAGTAACAGGAACTGCTGCTTTGCAGTTTCACATCGTATTCTATAGTAAATGCTGCTCCCTGGATTCAGGCAACATTGTGCCTCTGCTAGATCTAGCTGTGATAGGTATAGGGAATAGGAATTGTGATGTGACGTGTTAGATTGAAGGAAAGGATCCCTATGCAGTTTTGAAAAAATGGCACTCTGAAAGATTAGCCCTGGATAAAGTGCTGTATGGGGAATTTGGGCAATCAGAGAGCACATGAGTCCTGAATGGGATCAGGGGAAGTGGTATCGAAGTAATTAACAGATAAATCTCAAAAACGTAATGTTGAGCAAGAGAAAACAGACACATCAAGTACATACTATACGATTCATTTATACAAAGGTTAAAAATGGGCAAAACCCATCTGTAGGATTAGAAGTCAGGATATAGTTATTCTTGTGGAAGGGAATGGGTAGTTACTCGAAGGAGGGCATAAAAGGGGGCTGTTGAGATGCTGGTGATACTGTTTGTTGATCTGGGTACATTGGTATGTTGTGTTTGTGAATATTATATGAGCTACACACTTACGTCCTGTGTAATTTTCTGTATGCATATTATACTTCAATATTACATTAAAAAAGAAAATGTTCGTAGTAGGTCAGTTCTGCATATATGGAGATCATGTCTAATTGCCCATAATTGGGAATTGGATAAATAAGAACTGGTTAAATTGTGTTATGTTCCCCATACTCCTGGGGAATACCGTATCATTGTTTTTTTCTTTAGACAAGGTTTCACTCTGTTGCCCAGGCCAAAGCGCAGTGATGCGATCACGGCTCACTGTAGCCTCAACCTCCTGGGCTTGGGCCGGGCACGGTGGCTTATGCCTGTAATCCCAGCACTTTGGGAGGCCGAGACGGGCAGATCACAAGGTCAGGAGATCGAGACCATCCTGGCTAACATGTGAAACCCCGTCTCTACTAAAAATACAAAAAATTAGCCGGGCGCGGTGGCGGGCGCCTGTAGTCCCAGCTACTCGGGAGGCTGAGGCAGGAGAATGGTGTGAACCCGGGAGGCGGAGCTTGCAGTGAGCCGAGATCGCCCACTACACTCGTCTGGGCGATAGAGCGAGACTCCGTCTCAAAAAAAAAAACAAACCTCCTGGGCTCAAGCGATCTTCCCACCTCAGCCTCCTGAGTAGCTGGGACTACAGGCATGCATCACCATGCCTGGCTAATTTTTGTATTTTTTGTAGAGACAGGATCTTGCTTTGTTGCCTAGGCTTGTCTTGACCTCCTGGGCTCAATTGATCCACTTGCCTTGGCCTTTGAAATTGCTGGGATTACAGGTGTGAGCTACCACACCTGGCCCTATATTGCTGTTTTTGAGAGAGAATAATTTTATGTGTACTGATATGGAGTTGTTATTAAATAAACAAATTTTCAGATTATATGTTCCATTTATAGAAAAATGAAACATTATGTACATATGCTTATATATACATAGAAATTACCTGGAAGGACACACACTAAATAATGAACAGTACTTTGCCTTGAGGATTGGTTTATGGGTAGTGTGACTGGGGAACATTGAACTTTTACATGATATTCTTTTATACCATTACATTTTTTTTTCTGTAAGCATGGATTACTCTTATAACAAAACTAATTTAAAAAGTAAATTACAAATACTATTTTTAAAAGGCAAATAGATTGGGAGAAGTGATGTTGCTATTCAGGTAAAATCTCCAAAGTGATATGAAAAGAAAAAAAGGAATTGTGGGAGAAATAGAGCTTCCTAAGAGAAGTTAAGAAGAGTTAATATAGTTCTACCTTACTTCACCCCAGAGGATGAGGCAGATTTTAATGAGTTTCTGAAAGCAAAGTGATTGTAGGCACTTAATGCAAAGTATAACTGAATTGCCTCTCCAATTCTTTTAGTTGATCCAGAGTACCAGAAGGAAGCAGAACAGAGACATCGAGAATTGGCAGCTAAAGCTGGAGGATTTAATGACTTTGCAACTTTAGCTGTCATCTTTGAACAATGCAAATCAAGGTATGTAAGGTAGTCCTTTGTCCTGAAAAATGTCAATTTGATGTGTAGTTCCAATACGTACTTATGATGTGGCTTGTGACACTAACGTTCAGTGAAGATGATATTGACTTCAAGGTATTTTGAATTTCAGTGAAATTATCTATGTCAGATGACTATTGCTTAGTAGGCATTTATTATATAACATTGATTCTCTTGTTTCCTCCTCAAACCTTTACTGAAAATGACCTTGTAGAATTTTGCTTCTATATAGGTAGCCTAGATTAAAAAATGATTGGATATTTGTTATTGCATATATAAGTAAAGAAATCCATTTACAAATTATTTTTTAATTTAGTCAGGGGCACATTCATTAATTTAAATGTTTTTTTCAAGTTTCCTAAAATTCTTTTTTAGTACTTGGACAGGTCTCCTGAAGGAACTGACAGTTGTTTATGGGTTTCCACTTTTGTAATAGAAATGAGAATTTTAGATTGTCTTTTACTTAGAGAAGATATTTTAAAGATACCAGTTTTTTGTTTTGCAGTGGAGCTCCAGCTTCATGGTGCCAAAAACACTGGATTCATTGGAGGTGCTTATTTTCTGCATTTCGTGTGGAAGCTCAACTTCGAGAACTAATCAGGAAGCTTAAACAGGTGATTGCCATAATGTTTTTTTTCTTGAGTAGCATTTTGGACCTATATATTTCATATTGAAGTTTCATTGATGTACATTAGCACCCTTTCTATTCTACCACCCTTCCATTCTATTTGTTTCTATGACCTCCTTGACCCCATGAAACATTCCTAGTAGTGATAAAAGAATTGTCTTCACAGAAATGAAGATATTTAAAAATTGCTTTCCTGATATATAATTGACGTGTGATAACCTACACATATTTAATGTATACACTTTGATGAGTTTTGACATTTGCGTAAAACAACTATCAAGATAATGGTACATATCCATCATCTCCCAGTTTTCTCATCCTCCCCCCCACCCTTTTTTTTTTTTGAGATGGAGTCTCACTCTGTCACCCAGGCTGAAGTGCAGTGGCGTGATCTCGGCTCACTGCAATCTCCACCTCCCAGGTTTAAGCAATTCTTCTGCCTCAGCCTCCCAAGTAGCTGGGATTACAGGCTTGCGTCACCACACCCGGCTAATTTTTGTAGTTTTAGTAGAGATGGGGTTTTGCCGTGTTGGCCAGGCTGGTCTCAAACTCCTGGGCTCAAGTAATCCACCTGCCTCGGCCTCCCAAAGTGTTGGGATTACAGGTGTGAGCCCCCGTGCTCAGCCTGTTGGTGTTTTGTTTTGTTTGAGACAGGGTCTCACTCTGTTGCCCAGGATGAAGTGCAGTGATGCAATATGGGCTCACTGCAACCTTTGCCTCCTGGATTCAAGTGATTCTCATGCCTCAGCCTCCTGAGTAGCTGGGACCACAGGTGTGTGCCACCATGCCCGGCTAATTTTTGTATTTTTAGTAGAGATGGGCTTTTACCATGTTGCCCAGACCACTCTCAAACTCCTGAGCTCAACCAATCCTCCCACCATGGCCTCCCAAAGTGTTGGGATTACAGGTGTGAGTCACCGCACCTGGCCACAAATAGTGCTTTGTATCCATGGGTTCCACATCTGTGGTTTCTGCATCTGTGGATTCAGCCAACCAAGGACTGAAAATATTTAGGGGCAGGCCAGGCATCGTGGCTCACTTTGGGAGGCCGAGGTGGGCAGATCACTTGAGGTCAGGAGTTCGAGACCAGCCTGGCCAATATGGTGAAACCCAGTCTCTACTAAAAATACAAAAACTAGCTGGGCATGGTGGCACACACCTGTAATCTCAGCTACTCGGGAGGCTGAGGCAGGACAGTCACTTGAACCTGGGAGGCAGAAGTTGTACTGAGCTGAGATCATGCCACTGCACTCCAGCCTTGTGACAGAGTGAGAATCCACCTCAAAAAAAAAAAAAAAAACTGGGGGAGTGGATAAAAGGATGGTTGTGTCTGAACTAAACATGTATAGACTTTTTTTCCTTATTATTCCCTAAGTAATAATAGTATAATTACTATTTATATAACAATTGCTTTGTATTAAATATTTTAAGTAATCTAAGATGATTTAAAGCATATGGGTATGCATAGATTATATGCAAATACTGCATCATTGTATATAAGGGACCGGAGCATCCATGGATTTTGGTGTCCACATGGGGTCCTGGAACCAATTCCCTAGAGATACTAAGGGATGACTGTATCCACTCCCTTCTCGGATGAGGAAATGGTGACTGAGCATTTATTATTCTCTTAAGTTTGTACTTGTGCGTATGTGGGTGACTATATAGGTGTCCCCATTTTCACAGCAATATCTGAAGCTGTAAGATTCATAAAGAAGTAGCAGCTTGCCTGTAAAGAAAGCCTACAGAAGTGGGGAAATCAGTAGAATATGAAAGTTTAGGGAAGAAAGATTCCAGGAGGTGGGAACAACCTATAGCGTAGAATGCTGCAAAAATGTCAAGCAGGATGAGGTTTGAAAAGTGTCCATTCATTCGTTTATTCCATAAATATTTATTGGCCACTTAGTATATGCCAAGAACTATATTAGGCATTAGATACAGTAATAAACAAAGCCAGGCCGGGTGCAGTGGCTCATGCCTGTAATCCTAGCACTTTGGGAGACAGAGTCGGGCAGAACACCTGACATTAGGAGTTGAGACCAGTCTGACCAACACAGCAAAACCCCGTCTCTACTAAAAATGCAAAACTTAGCCAGGAGTGGTGGCACATGCCTGTAATCCCAGCTACTTGGGAAGCTGAGTCAGGAAAATCACTTGAACCCAGGAGGCAGAGGTTGCAGTGAGCCAAAATCACACCACTGCACTCCAGCCTGGGTCACAAAGTAAGACTCCGTTGCAAAAATATAAAAATAAAAACAAAGCACATGTTGCCCAGTGGCTTCCGGAAGTTCCTGGTCCACAACGTCAAGGAGCTGGAAGTGCTGCTGATGTGCAACAAATCTTACTGTGCCGAGATCACTCACCATGTTTCCTCCAAGAACCGCAAAGCCATCGTGGAAAGAGCTGCCCAACTGGCCATCAAAGTCACCAACCCCAATGCCAGGCTGCGCAGCAAAGAAAATGAGTAGACAGCTCGTGTGCATGTTTTCTGTTTAAATAAAAGTAAAAACTGCCAAAAAAAAAAAAAAAAGAAACCCTGTCTCTACTAAAAATACAAAAATTAGCTGGGCATGGTGGTGGGTGCCTGTAATACCAGCTACTCAGGAGGCTGAGGCAGGAGAATCACTTGAACCCGGGAGGCGGAGGTTGCAATGAGCCAAGATTGCGCCGTTGCACTCCAACCTGGGCGACAAGAGCGAAACTCCATCTCAAAAAAACAAACAAACAAAAAAGAGAGCAATTGTCCAATCTGAAGAACAGAGAAAAATAGATTAAAAAGAAAATGAACAGAGAGCCTCAGGAACATGTGGGGCAATATTAGATGGTCTAATGTTCACATAATTGGAGTTCTAGAAGGAGAGGTGTATTTGTTTCCTGTAAATGCTGCACCAAGTGATCACAAACTTAGTAGCTGAAAAGAACAGAAATTTATTCTTTCTCAGTTCTATAGGCCAGAAGTCTAAAATCAAAGTGTTGGCAGGGCTGCATTGCCTCTGGAGGCTGTAGGGGAGAGTCCATTCCTTGCCTTCTTCCAGCTTCTGGCAGCTGTCAGCATTCCTTGGCTTGTGGCCATATATCTCTCTGCTCCATCTTCACATGGCTTTCTTTTCTGTGTCTCTATTGCCTCTTTTGCCTCTCTCTTATAAGGACACTTGGGATGGTATTCAGGACCCACCTGAAAAATCCAAGGTAACCGACTCCTCTCAAAATCCTTAATTACATCAGCAAAGACCCTTTTTCCAAATAAAATAATATTTATGAGTTTCAGGAATTAAAACTTGACATCTTTGGGTGGGTATTATTCAGATACTATGACAGAGAGAGATACCTGCAGAAAAAAATACATTACAAGGTATGTATTGTACATACATTGATTTGAGTGACTGTGGATTTCTTATTAGAAACCTTGAGGAGTAGAAACAGTGGAATATCTTTTTTTTTTTTTAAATTGAGACGGAGTCTCGTTCTGTCGCCCAGGCTGAAGTGCAGTAGCACGATATCAGCTCATTGCATCCTGGGTTCAAGCAATTCTCCCACCTCTGCCTCCAGAGTAGCTGGGATTACAGGCGCATGCTACCATGCTCACCTAATTTTCTTATTTTTAGTAGAGATGGGGTTTCACCATGTTGGCCAGGCTTGTCTAGAACTCTTGACCTCAAGTGGTCCACCCACCTCGGCCTCCCAAAATTCTGGGGTTACAGGTGTGAGCCACCGTGCCCGGTGTGGAATATCTTTAAATTGCTAAAACAAACTGTCTACCCGGAATTAGATATCAATGAAAATATCCTTCATTAATGAAGGGAAAACTAAAGATATTCTCAAATGAAGAAAAACTAAGATAATTCATTGGCAGCAGACCTATACTAATAGAAAATATCAAAGGTGCCAGGCACAGTAGCTCATGTCTGTAATCCCAGCACTTTGGCACTTTGAGAGGCCGAGGTGGGAGGATCATATATAAAATTATATGCTTGGTTGAGTGTGGTGACTCATGCCTGTAATCCCAGCACTTTGGGAGATCAAGGTGGGAGGATCACTTGAGCACAGGAGTTCAAGACCAGCCTGGGCAACATAGTGACATCCCATCTGTACAAAAAATTTTAGAACTCAGCTGGGTGTGGCAGCATGCACATGTAGTCCCGGAAACTTGGGAGGCTGAGGAGGGAGGATCACTTGAGCTTGGGAGTTCAAGGCTGCAGTGATTCCCAGACTGCACCACTGCACTCCAGCCTGGGTGATAGAGCAAGACTCTGTCTCAAAATAAATTAATCAAATTAAATGATATGCTTATATTAGAAAGTAAATAAAACTAAAATAAATGAAACCAAATTGTATTGAAAATACCAATAAAATAGATAAACTTTTAGTGATACTGACCAAGAAAAAAACAAAGATGACATAGATTACCAATACCAGCAATGAAAGTGCTAATGTCAATACAGAACCTACAGATGTTAAACGGCTAATAAGAGAATATTATGAATAACTTTATGCCAATTCCTTCAAGCTCACTTAAGAAGAAATATATAACCTGAATAATTCTACAGTGATTAAAGAAACTGAAATTTGTAGTTTACAACCTTTCCATAAAAAAAAAAAAAAAAAATTCTAGGCCAGATGGCCTCACTGGCAAATTCTACCAAACATTTAAGTAAGAAATGATATCAATTCAACACAATCTCTTCTACAAACAGGAAACATTTTCCAGTTCAGGCCAGCATTATCCTGACATCAACAACAGTTAAAGACATTGTAAGAAAACCAGTATCTCCCATAAACAGAGATGCAAAAATCTCCCACAAAATATTAGTAAAATGAACGCAATATATAAAAAGGGTAATACACTACAACTCCGTGGAGTTTATCCTTGAACTGCAAGGCTGGCTTAACATTTAAAAATCAATTGATAGGCTGGGCATAGTGGCTCACGCCTGTAATCCCAGCACTTTGGGAGGCCAAGGCGGGTACATTACCAGAGGTCAGAAGTTCGAGACCAGCCTGGCCAACATGGTGAAACCCTGTCTCTACTAAAAATACAAAAATTAGCCAGGCATGGTGGCACACACCTGTAATCCCAGCTACTCGGGAGGCTGAGGCAGGAGAATTGCTTGAGCCTGGGAGATGGAGGTTGTGGTGAGCTGAGATCATGCCACTGCACTCCAGCCTGGAGGATAGAGCAAGACTCTGTCTCAAACAAACAAACAAACAAAAAAATCAATTGATAAATTTCTAAAAATATAAAAATTAGCCGGGCATGGTGGTGCATGCCTGTAATCCCAGCTACTCGGGAGGCTGAGGCATGAGAATTGCTTGAACCTAGGAGGCAGAGGTTGCAGTGAGCTAAGATCGTACCACTGCACTCCAGCCTGGGCAACAGAGGGAGACTCTACATCCAAAAAAAAAAAAAAGACAAAAGAAAATTTCACCATATCAACAGGCTAAATAAGAAAAATTGTATGATTTTTTAATAAAGGCAGAAAAAGATTTGTCAAAATTCAGTATCCACTCATGATAAAAATTCTTAGCAGACTAGGAGTAGAAGGGAATTAATTTACTTGACCTGATAGATGACACCTACAAAAAAAACTAGAGGCCAAGCACGGTGGCTCACACTTGTAATTCCAGCACTTTGGGAAGCCAAGGCAGCAGATCACCTGAACTCAGGAGTTCGAGACCAGCCTGGCCAACATGGTGAAACCCCATCTCTACTAAAAATACAAAATTAGCCAGGTGTGGTTGCCGACACCTGTAATCCCAGCTACTGGGGGGGCTGAGGCTGGAGAATTGCTTGAAACTGGGAGGTGGAAATTGCAGTGAGCCGAGATCACACCAATGCACTTCTAGCCTGGGCGACAGAGCAAGACTCCAGCTCAAAAAAAAGAAACAAACAGGCCAGGCGTGGTGGCTCACACCTGTAATCCCAGCACTTTGGGAGGCCAAGGCAGGTGGATCACCTGAGGTCAGGAGTTCGAGACCAGCCTGGCCAACATGGAGAAACCCCATCTCTATTAAAAACACAAAAAAATTAGCCGGGCGTGGTGGCAGGCGCCTGTAATCCCAGCTACTCAGGAGGCTGAGGCAGGAGAATCGCTAGAACCCTGGGGGCAAAGGTTGCAGTGAGCTGAGATGACACAACTGCACTCCAGCCTGGGCAACAGAGTGAGACTCTGTCTCAAAAAAAAAAAAAAAAAAAAAAGGAAAAAGGAAACAAACAAATGAGCAAAACTTACAACTGACATACTTAATGGTAAAAGGCTGAATGTATTCCCCTTAAAATCAGGAGCACGGCACAGATGTCTACTGTCACCATTCCTATTTAATTTATTCATAACATCACATTGGCAGTTACAGTTAATACAATAAAGCAAGAAATAAAAGGCATAGGCATCAGAAAGGAAGAAGCTGTTTCTATTTGTAGACAACACTGTCTACAAAGAATCTACAAAAAAAGGCTCTGAAAATGCATAAATGAGGAATGGGCAATGTTATTCAAAGCCACAGCTTTTACTTCAAATTTTCTGTCTCCAGATCCTTATATCAAATCGCCAACTGGATATCTTCACCTGTGTGTTTCCCAGGAACTCCTAAGACTCAGTGTTTCCAAGCCAAATTTACTGATATCTCTCCAAACTTGGTCTTTCAAAAAAATTCCCTATTCATCTGGTAATGCCACCAGTTTACTTATTCTAACATAGCTTCCTAATATTGATTTATCCATCCATCCATGCTAAAAAATGAAGATTTGTCCTAGACTATTTCTCTTATCTGCCCCATATGCTTGGTCAGTTAGGCTATCAGTTAATCTTGTTATGAAACCAACTGCCCCACACCTAGAGGCTTAAAAGAAAATAATCTATAGGCCGGGTGCGCTGGCTCATGCCTGTAATCCCAGCACTTTGGGAGGCCAAGGCGGGCAGATCACAAGGGCAGGAGTTCAAGACCAGCCTGGCCAACATGGTGAAACCCCGTCTCTACTAAAATACAAAAATTAGCCGGGCATGGTGGCAGGTGCCTATAGTCCCAGCTACTTGGGAGACTGAGGCAGGAGAATAGCTTGAACCCAGGAGGCAGAGGTTGCAGTGAGCTGAGATCATGCCACTGCGCTCCAGCCTGGGTGACAGAGCGAGACTCCATCTCAAACAAAAAGAAAGAAAAGAATCTGTATTTCCTATAATTCTATGTGTAGACTGGCTCACTCTAGGATGGCTTCACACATATGTTTGGGGCTTCAACAGAGAATGCTGAGACAACTGGGAAGGCTGGTAGAGCTAGGGACACTCTCAAAGTGGTCTCATCTTCTAGGAGGCCAGCCTTAATTTAATCAAATTGTGGCAAAGGGTTGCCAACAGTAAGAGTGTGAATCCCAATGGAGAAGAATTTTTCAAGTCTCTATTAACATTACAATTGCTATTGTCCCAAGGATCAAAGCAAATCACTTAAATCAGTCTGCGAGGAGACTACCCAAGCATATGGACATTGGTAGGTGTGAAAAATTTGTGTGGGTAGTAGAGGGGGTGACGAGCTTAACTGCAACAATCTAGGACACTTAACCCTACTGATTCTATTTCATAACCTCTCCAATCTCATTCTTCTTCTTGAATCCCACTTCACTGACAAGTTCAAGACCTCATCTTGTTCCTGAACTACTTATAATAGTCTCCTAATGGAGCTTGCACTGCTACTATCAGCATATGAATTTTCTGAAAAACACAAATCCAGTCACACAATTCTGTTGCTTAAAACTCAATAGCTTCCTTTTGGCCATTAGAATAAACTAAGTGAGGCCCACAAACTCATTTTCTAGCTCATACTTACCTGACTTATCTCTTACTACTCTATCCACTCTACTCTTCCAAATACGAAAAACACTCTTTAAAAGACCATGGTATTTCAATACCACCATTTTCCATATAATGTTTCTATCTGCATTGCCCTGTTACTGCTTCTGTCCTGGTAAATATCAACTTATTCTTAAGATTTCATCCAGGAGGCTGAGGCACTAGAATCACTTGAACCCAGGAGGCAGAGGTTGCAGTGAGCCAAGATTGCGCCACTGTACTCCACCCTGGGCAACAGAGCAAAACTCTATCAAAAGAAGAAAGAAAAAAAAAGATTTCATCTTAAATATCACAAATTTAATAAAAGATTTCTTCCCTGACAAAGTTAAATGCTTCTACCTTTTGCTTCCATTGCATCTCACAGAACCTTCAATTATAGTGTTTTCTCCAAAATACTGTAATTATTTGTTTGCAGGTCTAAACATTTCCATCACCATGAGATGGCAACTTTTCTTTTTCTTTTTTTTCTGAGATGGAGTCTTGCTCTGTTGCCCAGGATGGAGTGCAGTGGCATGATATTGGCTCACTGCAACCTCTGCCTCAGGTTGAAGCAATTCTCCTGCCTCAGCCTCCTGAGTAACTGCATTACAGGCGCGTGCCACCATACCTCGATAATTTTTGTATTTTTAGTAGAGACGGGGTTCCACCATGTTGGCCAGCCTGGTCTTGAACTCCTGACCTCAGGTGATCCGCCTGCCTCACCCTCCCAAAGTGCTGGGATTACAGGCGTGAGCCATTGTGCTTGGCCCTAATTTTTATGTTTTTAGCAGAAATGGAGTTTCACCATGTTGGCCAGGTTGGTCTTGAACTGCTGACCTCAAGTGATCTACCTGCTGTGGCCTCCCAAAGTGCTGAGATTACAGGTGTGAGCCATCATGCCTGGCCCGAGACTCTTTATTATGTCTCTCTCTCCAACATCTAGTATTATTCTTAACACTCAGTAAGTACTTGGAAAATGCTTTTTGAATTAACCAATTAAAATTAAAATGTCTATTTCCAACAGTCCAGATGCCAGTGGAAAGAAAATTTATCAGATAATAGCCTGTCACCAAGTCAAATCTTCTCATCAATTCAGTCCTTTCTTTCTTCAAATATGTCACTTTTCAGTCAAGTTACTTGGGTGAAATGCAGCTCCAAGTGCACTAATAAACTTTAAATATGGACTAATATACCTGCAGTGTTATGAGTATGTCAAAAGGAGAATTTTTTTTTTTTTTTTTTTGAGACAGGGTCTCACTCTGTTCCCAGACTGGAGCAATAACGGCTCATTGCAGCCTTAATCTCCCTGGCTCAAGGGATTCTCCCACCTCAGCCTCCTGAGTAGCTGGGACTACAGGCCCTTGCCACAGTGCCCAGCTAATTTTAACATTTTTTTCTAGAGACAGGGTCTCTCTATGTTGTCCAGTCTGCTCTCGATCTCTTGGGCTCAAGCGACCTTTTCACCTCAGCCTCCCAAAGTGCTAGGATTATAGGAATGAACCGTAGTATCTGGCCAAGATGAGAATTTAAACACTACATTTGGTATTCTAAATTTACAAATGTACCAAATGTACTAAAATTATCAGTGTACTAATACATATTGGTGCTGCATTGTGGCTGTGGCTGAATTATGTTATATTCTGTTTTTTTTCCTGTTTCCTAAATGTTCACACATTTTGAAGTTTAAAAATATCCACGACATAGTTGAAATGTTAGAATACTTACACATATCTCCTCGGAAAATTCACTATAGTCTGGAGCCTGGCTCTCACCCTTACTGAACCAGAAATCTGTCAGAAAGATTTAAATTAGTAAGCACAGAGAGACTTAAGTATGCCTTCTACCACCGCCGACCACCCCTACCCCCACCCCCAACAAAAAAAGAAAGCCAATGTGTTTTTTTTTGAGGTGGGGGTCTCCTTCTGCCGCCCAGGCTGGAGTGCAGTGGCACGATTTCAGCTCACTGCAACCTCCGCCACCTGGGTTCAAGGGATTCTCCTGCCTCAGCCTCCCGAGTAGCTGGGATTACAGGCGCCCGCCACCAAGCCCGGGTGATTTTTGTATTTTTAGTAGAGACAGGGTTTCGCCATGTTGGCCAGGCTGGTCTCAAACTCCTGACCTCAAGTGATCCTCCCGCCTCGGCCTTCCAAAGCGCTGGGATTACAGGGGTGAGCCACCACGCCAGGCCTAAACCTTTTTTTTTTTAGACGGAGTGTCGCTCTGTTGCCAGGCTGGAGTGCAGTGGCTAATCCCGGCTCACTGCAACCTCCGCCTCCCGGGTTCAAGCGATTCTCCTGCCTCAGCTTCCCGAGTAGCTGAGATTACAGGCACGCACCACCACACCCGGCTAATTTTTGTATTTTTAGTAGAGACGGGGTTTCACCATATTGGCCAGGATGTGGCCACGATCTCTTGACCTTGTGATCCACCCGCCTTGGCCTCCCAAAGTGCTGGGATTACAGGTGTGAGCTACCACTCCCCTCCTCAGCTTCGTTTTCTTAATGACCTTTTAATTTTAGAACAGTTTTAGATTAACAGAATTTATTTTATTTATTTATTTTTTGAGACCGAGTCTCACTCACTCTGTTGCCCAGGCTGGAGTGCAGTGGCACGATCTTGGCTCACTACAAACTCCACCTCCCGGGTTCAAGTGATTCTCGTATGCCTCAGCTTCCCGAGTATCTGTAGCGGGGATTACAAGTGTGAGCCAACGCCCCCGGCTAATTTTTGTAGTTTTAATAGAGACGGGTTTCACCATGTTGGCCAGGCTGGTCTCTACCTCCTGAGCTCAAGTGACCCGCCCGCCTCGGCCTCCCAAAATACTGGGATTACAGGTGTGAGCCACTGCGCCCGACCTAAACTTCGTTTTCTTAATAACCTTTTAATTTTAGAACAGTTTTAGATTAACATAATTATTTTGAGGGCAGTAGGGTCCTCTATACCCCACGCAAGACAGGTTTTTCAACTCTAACTTCTACTTCCACCCCACGCAGACTCTCCGCACCTCTCTCCTCTCATCTCGGGTTCTGACAAGGCCTGATCCTCACAGCCCAAATTCACGATTGTGAGGAAAGGTCAGCTCAGACCAAACGTCACCGCCCAGACAGACACAACTAGGTCAGGCGTCAAGCTCGCGGACATCCGAGCCCGGAAACCCTAACACTCCTCCAGGGGTAGGTTCTCCAAGCCTGAACATTTTTAACCTCAAAACGCCCAGGATCTCGGAGGCGTGTGGTGGATGCCACATAAATACATAACACATAACAACGACTTATTATTTAGCGCCAGGCCTGAAGGCCGTTCTCAGGCGCAGCTCGCTTGTTCTCGCTGCCAAAACACCCCGGCAGCCGTGAGCTCTCCACTCGGCGCGGTGCGGGGGCGGGGCTAGGAGGTGGAGCCGGGGCAGGGCGCGCGCGCGCGCGTGAGAACGTCCGGGGAGCGCGCGCGCCGCCGCCGTTGCCGCCGGGCTGAGAGAAGAGCTTGCGGGGTTTGCGGTTGATGGCCCCGACTGAAGGGCTGGAGGCGGTGTATGCCGCTGTTCTTGCTGTCGCTCCCGACACCTCCGTCCGCTTCTGGTCATGAGAGGTTAGGCCTGGGGGAAGCGGGCAGAGGAGGAGGCGGCGAGGGGCCGCGGCGCAGGGGGCTCTGGGGAGAATAGGCACTCGAGGCTCGGACGTGGGTGGAGAACTCTGCCCTCGGAGATTCCGGAAGAGTTGTGTTGAATTTTCTTCCCTTTTTTCTCCTCTTTCTTGTCTGTGCATGAAGGAAAGTGGGAGGGTTCTATGTTATTTATAGAAAAGACACTGAAAGCCTGCTGTCCAACGTCGCTCTTCAGTTTTGACGAAATAACACCCGTGGCGTCGGGGCCTCGGTGAAAGCCTTTAGTGAAAAGCACTGAAACCCAAACCGCCAGACACGGTGACTGCACCACTGTTCAGTCCTGGGAGTGAAATAGAATGACACAGAACATTCCCTGACGTTAACTCTAGCCTCCTCCTAGACAAACGGGAAAAGCACGGCAGTGTGGGATAGCCTCTGCGTTTTGTCAGCTGGGATTCCGACTCTGTTCTTCTGTTTCTAGGAGGTCCACACTGGATCATTTATTAGAGAGATCTTTCTCTGCTAGAGTCCTCTTTCCTCACACCCCTCCCTCCGTAATACACACACCACCGACGGTGGCATTTTATTGGGCGGACTGTGTAACTGCTTATTCAGACTAAAGAGTTACCTAGCAATTACGTGGTGACTCTCCAAAGTATCTATGCTTTAAATGTATTTAGGTAACATTCTTTTGCGCGGGGAGGTAATATTATTGGTGGCACCATTAATTATTGGAAACTTTATGAGCTTTGGGAAAGCTGCTTGAGCAGAAAATCTAATTTGTAGGTCACCTAAGTGCAGTGTTTATTATTAGTTACCTATGATGATAATAAGGCATTAAGATTTAATGTTGTTTTTTTTCCTAACATTTCCAACCATTAAAAAATACTGGCTCACTCTTCCTTATGAAACTTCTTTGATGTAGAATCTACATCAGAGATGAAACTGCACCATTTGGGAAAAGTAAATGTACCAGAGTACCCAGTGAGGACTGGTGCTCATTAACATCTGCTGGGTACCCATACTTCATGACTGTTTTGCGGATGCCTTCTGCCATTAGAGAACTGGAAGCATTTGCAGCTCAACTTTTTTTTTTTTGGTGCAAATGTTCCCTAAAAGATCATTTGTGTAGGGCAGCAGAGCCTTGGCATTAAGGGAGAAGGGAGGAGTCCAGTGATAAATAACCTGAAAATTCATCTGTTGTGATTATTTGCTACTCCTTTAGTGAATAAAGGATACCCAGTGAGGAATATACTGCTGGTATTTAACTGCCTGTTTACTTAGAATATCTTTTATTTGATTTTTTAGGAGACAGAGGCCTGAAGCAAAGACATCTGGGTCAGAGAAAAAGTATTTAAGGGCCATGCAAGCCAATCGTAGCCAACTGCACAGTCCTCCAGGAACTGGAAGCAGTGAGGATGCCTCAACCCCTCAGTGTGTCCACACAAGATTGACAGGAGAGGGTTCTTGCCCTCATTCTGGAGATGTTCATATCCAGATAAACTCCATACCTAAAGAATGTGCAGAAAATGCAAGCTCCAGAAATATAAGGTCAGGTGTCCATAGCTGTGCCCATGGATGTGTACACAGTCGCTTACGGGGTCACTCCCACAGTGAAGCAAGGCTGACTGATGATACTGCCGCAGAATCTGGAGATCATGGTAGTAGCTCCTTCTCAGAATTCCGCTATCTCTTCAAGTGGCTGCAAAAAAGTCTTCCATATATTTTGATTCTGAGCGTCAAACTTGTTATGCAGCATATAACAGGTAGGACATAATAAAACATTGACTTGTTTTCATTCCTAAATTCAGTTAATTTTCTTTCATTATTGGTAATCTACTTAATGCATCCAGTTACTTATTTTCTGTGAGCTTTTATTATTGTATATGTTTATTTTTAATTTGTGTCATTGTTAGCTTATATAATCCTCTTTGATTTTTTTTTCTTTCAATTAACTGGAACTTATTTTCTAACAGGAATTTCTCTTGGAATTGGGCTGCTAACAACTTTTATGTATGCAAACAAAAGCATTGTAAATCAGGTTTTTCTAAGAGTAAGTATAACAAGCAACTAAAAAATTATTAACTGTTTCTCTCCATAGATTTTAGAGAAATAATTTTGAGAGAAATAGGAAATAACTTGAAAGAAATAGGAAGTAATAGGATATATTGTAACATCCACGTTATGTTAAATTTGTTATCTAAATCCTGGAATAAATTATCTCTCCTAATGCTGAATTCCTTCACCTTACCTTCTTTGTAAGAAAAAAAAATTGGTTACTGTTAAAGTAGTAAAAAGGATTAAAAGAGTTAGAACACGGTATCTGATCTGATTTGGCAAGTCCCTTCATGTTGTATCAGTTACTTTGACCATAGTAAGTAAGACCATCATCATGAAAAACTTTTAGTGGCTGGGCATGGTGGCTCACACCTGTAATCCCAGCACTTTGGGAGGCCGAGGCGGGCAGATCATGAGGTCAGGAGATTGAGACCATCCTGGCTAACACGGTGAAACCCTGTCTCTACTAAAAATACAAAAAATTAGCTAGGTGTGGTGGCATGTGCCTGTATTCCCAGCTACTCGGGAGGCTGAGGCAGGAGAATCACTTGAACCTGGGAGGTGGAGGTTGCAGTGAGCTGAGATCGCACCACTGCACTCCAGCGTGGGCTACAGAACGAGACTCCATCTCAAAAAAAAAAAAAAAAAAAAAGACCTGGGCCAGGCACAGGGGCTCACGCCTGTCATCCCAACACTCTGGGAGGCCCAGGCAGGCAGATCACCTGAGGTCAGAAGTTTGAGACCAGCCTGGCCAATGTGGTGAAACCCCATGTCTACTAAAAACACAAAAATTAGCTGGGCGTGGTGGCGCTTGCCTGTAGTCCCAGCTACTTGGGAGGCTGAGGCAGGAGAATTGCTTGAACCCGGGAGGCAGAGGTTGCAGTGAGCCAAGATTGTGCCACTGCACTCCAGCCTGGCGACAGAGTGAGACTCCATCTCAAAAAAAAAAAGAGAGAAAATGAAACCCAAGGAATTTTTCCATAACATAAGTTACACGAGCCCGTCATATAAATCATTGGGAAAAAGAGGATGAGTTTCTAAAATTTCACCTTAAGGCAACTTTAAATGGCTATGTCTGTGTAAAGTATCATGCATTCTGACCTGGAAATTTATAGTTAAACCTATCAAACTAGAAAAATCTTAATGATTTAAAATTAGTAAAACTTCATTAAACTTGACTTTAAAAGTGAGATTACAGGCAAGGCACAGTGGCTCATGCCTGTAATCTCAGCACTTTGGGAGGCTGAGATGGGCAGATTGCTTGAGCCCAGGAATTGAAGACGAGCCTGGGCAACATGGCAAAACCCCATCTCTACAAAAAATACAAAAAATTAGCTGGGCGTGGTGGCACGTGCCTGTAATCTCTGCTATCTGGGAGGCTGAGGTGGGAGGATTGCCTGACCCCAGGTGGTTGGGGCTGCAGTGAGTTGTGATCATGCCACTGCACTCCAGTCTGGGTGAAAGAGTGAGACCCAGTCTCAAAAAAGTAAAAAAAAAAAAAGGGAGATTACAACTACTTGGGAGGCTGAGTTGGGAAGAATGCTTGAGCCTAGGAATTCTGAGCAATGTGTCGAGACCCCATATATTAAAAAAGTGAGATTAAAACATTAATTTATTAAATTCTTATAATCTGAGAATTTAAAAAATATAAACCTTGACAAGTGAGTCAAGGTTAAAATGCATTTTGAAATTTTCTTTTGTGGGTGGGTCCATTTTTTTTCTGAGACGGTGTTTTGCTCTGTCACCCGGGCTGGAGTGCAGTGGCGTGATCTTGGCTCACTGCAACCTCTGCCTCCTGGGTTCAAGTGATTCTCGTGCCTCAGCCTCCTGAGTAGCTGGGATTACAGGCACGTGCCACGGCGCCTGGCTAACTTTTGTACTTTTTTTAGTAGAGACAGGTTTCACCATGTTGGGCAGGCTGGTCACAAACTCCTGACCTCAAGCGATCCGCCGACCTTGGCCTCCCAAAGTGCTGGGATTACAAGTGTGAGCCACTGCCCCCGTCCTGGGTGGGTCCTTTATGTCAGCTTGTAGAAGACCTGGCTTCTTTTTTTTTTTTTTAATTTAATTTAATTTTCTTTTTTTTTTTTTTTTTTTGAGAGAAGACTTGGCTTCTTTGAAACATAGGTAATGTTTTTCATACAGTGAAGAAACTTGTATTTTAAACATTTGTTTAATATAAGAGTTCTGTTTGGTCACTAAAGTAGTATAAAACAGTAACTGTGATGATTATGTACAGTTTAACATATTCTATATTAAGATTTAGAAAAATATTCTAAGTTAATAGTCATTAAAGTAAAACAGTTTAATGATATTTAAAATTCTGGCAAAATCAAAGTAACATTATAAAATTGTTTATCTTTCAGGAAAGGTCCTCAAAGATTCAGTGTGCTTGGTTACTGGTATTCTTAGCAGGATCTTCTGTTCTTTTATATTACACCTTTCATTCTCAGTCACTTTATTACAGGTAATTAGAGGTCCAAATACACAATTACATTTTTAATGTAATCATATATTTCATAGCACTTTGTATCTTACTTCACATAGTACTTATTGTATTCAGTTCAGTTCAGTTTTTAACTTTCTCCTTTCATAAGCGAGAGCTTTTTTTTTTTTTTTCTTTTTGAGACGGAGTCTCACTCTCTCGCCCAGCCTGGAGTGCAGTGTCTTGATCTTGGCTCACTGCAACCTTTGCCTCTCAGGTTCAAGCAATTCTCCCGTCTAAGCCTCCTGAGTAGCTGGGATTACAGGCACACGCCACCACGCCTGGCAAATTTTTGTATTTTTAATAGAGACGGAGTTTCACCATGTTGGTCAGACCTCCTGACCTCGTGATCTGCCTGCCTCCACCTCCTAAAGTGCTGGGATTACAGGTGTGAGCCACTGCACCCAGCCTCATAAGTGAGAGCTTTAAGTGACTTACTCAGATTTTGTATCCCCAGTGCCTTGGCACATAACAGATGCTCAATAAATATTTAATTTTTTGATACCTGAGTTTTTGTTTACATATTTCGTATTTTTAAAGTACCATTAGGTTGTTATTATTGGTCGTTGTTTCTGAAAGTAAGAACACTTACTAAATGACAGTAGCTGATAAGTCTCCATGTCAAATGGGAGTATTCTGAATTTTCAGCTTTTATTAGAATATTAGAAGACCTGGTTTCACTGGAGTTGGAGAGATGGGCAAATCTGGGATATAGTTTGGAGGTGGAGCCAGTATCCCTCAGATGGACTGGATTGGATAGGTGGGTGGAGAGAAGCAAGAATGACCTCTGGGTTTTTAGTCTAAGCAGCTGGCTGGATGGTGGTGTCATTTCATTGGGTTGAGGAAGGAACTGATTTTGAGGAGAAAAATCAATAATTTTGTTTTGAACATGTTAAGTTTGAGAGGCTAAGTAGAATTGATAAGAAAGTGGTTCCAAATATATGTCATGAACTCAGGGTAGAGGTTAAGGCAATAAATTTTGGTATCAGGAGCATATGGTTGATATTTAAAAACCACAGGACTGGACAAAACTAACCCAGGAAAGAGAGTGTAGATAGAGAGCCCAGTACTGGACATGACCACAATTAGAAGAGAAACAGCAAAGGAGACTAAGAAGAAACCAGCAGTGAAATATGAGAAATAGAAAAGTGTTGTGTTAAAAGTCTAGAAAGAAAATTATTCAGGGAGGGAAGATGGAAAAAGAGAGTGACCTTGAAATTTAGCCATACAGAGGGAGTTGATGATCTTGACAAGCAATTCATTGAAAGGAAGAGATGGAATCCTGATTGGAATTGGTTAAGAAAAACACAGCAGATGTCTGGTATTGATGAGTTTTTTTCATTTACAGGCTAGAAAGGTGTCAACTATGACAAACCGTGAAGACTTTTTCCTTATTCTATGAAGGGAAGATCTAAAATCCAAACAGGTTTAAAAAGTCTCTTTAAGCAAAATGATCCTCCATTCCATTATTGTGAACTCTGACATCCTGCCAAACTCATATTTTTTACATATCAAAATAAAATATTTGTAGCAAATTAAAACCCTTTATTAATACTTTATCTTTGTATGTTGCTCTGATAAATTTTGATGTTTTTCTTTTGGTAGCTTAATTTTTTTAAATCCTACTTTGGACCATTTGAGCTTCTGGGAAGTATTTTGGATTGTTGGAATTACAGACTTCATTCTGAAATTCTTTTTCATGGGCTTAAAATGCCTTATTTTATTGGTGCCTTCTTTCATCATGCCTTTTAAATCTAAGGTAAGAAACTCACTTATGCTTTATTGGAGTGATGTTATCGAATCACATTAATGCTATTTAGTCTTTGTTTAAATGAATCCTCCTTTTGCAGTTTTTCAGTTTGCTAACTAGCTTAATTATCTGTATTATTTCAGCTTAGCAACCATTTGTTCAGGCACTTGAACCTGATTATTAACCTATTTGGATAAAATCAGAATTATATTTGCTTCAGAATAATTTTAAAATCAGTCCCCACATCATATGTGGGAAACTATTTAGATGTGTACTTCTGTTCTCCAGGGCATTATCAATTGACAGTTGACTATGTACAATTATTCAGTGGTTTCCCATATGCACTAAAAACTTTTAAATTCTTATAATCAGCAAAAACATACTCACATAGGTTTTACTTGCAGTATACATAAAACATTCTCATTGTATCTTTTTTTTTGGTTTTGTTTTGTTTTGAGATTGTCTCTCGCTCTGTTGCCCAGGCTGGAGTGCAGTGGTGTGATCTTGGCTCACTGCAACCTCCGCCTCCTGGGTTCAGGCAGTTCTCCTGCCTCAGCCTCCTGAGTAGCTGGGATTACAGGTGCCCACCACCACACCCAGTTAATTTTTGTATTTTTAGTAGAGACGGGGTTTCACCATGTTGGCCAGCTGGTCTCGAACTCCTGACCTCAGGTGATCTGCCCATCCCAAAGTGCTGGGAGCCACTGCGTCCAACCTAGAAATTCTTTCAAAGCAGGCCACTCAGTGACTGTAATATGTGAGAACCAGCTTGAGGTTCAGTCATAATCATTATGAAGATTAATTTTATAGTTATTTATATTATTGTATAATATACTCAGTGTTCTCAGTCTAATATTGTTTGTGCTATGTAGTTAAGTAGTTTGGGTAGCTCTATTTGTTTTCTTCTTATTTTTTAGGGTTACTGGTATATGCTTTTAGAAGAATTGTGTCAATACTACCGAACTTTTGTTCCCATACCAGTTTGGTTTCGCTACCTTATAAGCTATGGGGAGTTTGGTAACGTAACTAGATGGAGTCTTGGGATACTGCTGGCTTTACTCTACCTCATATTAAAAGTAGGTAACATTACAAATCTTGTCACTGCATGATTCACATTAATGATTACTGATACATACTACTGTTTTCCTCTTTTAACAGTTTTATAGTTTATCTTCATATCACTAGTTTGAAGTAATAGCAGGTTCTATATTTGTTTAGAAATGGAGAAACGGAAATAGACTATCTTAATCCAGCGGTCCTCAGGTTTCACTGGAGGGAAGGGGAGTCGACCTTCACATAGCGTGGATTATCTAAGTAGGGAAAACAAGTGGAATAGAACATACCCATCCTCAACAGTAACATTGTCATACACATAATTCTTAAACTAGTAGAGTATCTTGTCCTGTTCTCTCCATGCCTGCACCCCTCAACCTAATAATCACTTTATGAAACTTTAAAATCTAAATGTTAAAAACAGGTGAATCAGATAAAATTGCTTTGACTTTGACATAGTTGTATTTGTCTTGATCAAATTGTTACTCTAGGTGTTTAAATGTACTTCAGCTTGCTGAGATGGCTCAAATCTATAAATTGAATAAAATACTCAGCACAAAATGATTAGATGTGACATATAATGAACATTAAGTTAATATGAGGATTTGATGTTATGGGATTTCAGCTTTGGTTTTTGGGTTTAGCAAATAGGACTGTTTGAATTAATAAATGATCTCTTATTTCTCTTTTCAGCTTTTGGAATTTTTTGGGCATCTGAGAACTTTCAGACAGGTTTTACGAATATTTTTTACACAACCAGTAAGTACTTTTTATCAGTTAAGAAAAACACCTTCACCTTTCTTCACTGCAAAAATTTTTTTAGTTCAGCAGTTTTACAAGAATGGATTTCATAAATAGATGATCCTTTTCTTTTACTTTGATTATTTTCTAGTACTTTGGCACTTGGGGCTATAATAATTTAGGAGTTTTATCTCTGTGATCAGATTCTTGAATCACACATTGACAACCACCTGCTAATTGTTGCAGTGCTTATATATTTGAACTTGTCTCTTGCCTCTTCAATCCACTGGACATTTTTAAGGCTTGTAAACCCTTAACAATCTTATGAAATTGTGTTCCTCTTTTTTAATCCACAAATGGGGGCTTTGTTTGTTCCTATTAACTCCTTATTCACCTGTGAAAATCCTTCCATTGTAATTTATTGTTTAGAAAGCTCACTGCCAAAAATCATGTCTCTTGCAGTTTTCTTACTGGAGCAGATTTCCCCATTGCTCAATTATATGTGCATAAATACGTTCATGGCATGAAATTTAACAATTAATTGAGTCTCTGGTGTCATTTATAACATTATTGTGTGATTCTATTGATGTTGCAAATTGCAGTGAAAGGATGTCATAGAGAACCCTAATTTACCACTTAGTAGCCTGAAAGGTTCCTAGTACCTATGTGTGGTCAGCAGACTTCAGGGTTTGATTCTCAATTTTGCAGTCATTTCATCAGGGCCCAAGGAGACTGACTTAAAAGAATGCCAACCGAATAATATACCGTAAAAATAAAAAAAGAATTATGTCTACAAAGTAAACGAGACTAACTGGCCAGGGCCTTTTCCCTAAGATAGAGTTAGCAATGTAGAAACAAACTTTGCTACATCCTATGCAAGCTTGTTTCTCTAGACAAGACATAATAAAATTCAGAGAGTTCAGCTTTGTCCAAGTCAGTTCAACTGATGATTATGTGAGCATCAACCATTTTACTATAATTGGTCTTGTAAGATTTGTGCCGAAATACTCTCAAGAAAATACCCTGATATTCTTTCTCTGAGACAAACTACAGAGAGGATATCAGTCATCAATACTTGGATTTGTTCAAGTCTCCTTTACCAGGGAAATGGCAGTTACTATCTGGAGAGGGAGTCTCCAAGATGCCAGATGAGTAACGTCTTAAAAGCTTGTCAGCATAATTATCTGCAAATGTACTTTGCTAAATGACACCTTACTGAAGGGAAATTGACACCAAGATCATCTAACAGTATCCTGACTTATTTCTGAAATCTTTATTACCAGTTTCAAAAAACCTCAATTTTTAATATCTTTATCCTTTGAGTTTTACTTTGATTTTGATGTTGTTAGCCTGAGACGTTTTAGTACAAGAAGTTTAGATAACTTCAGCTATGTTAAGTCATGCTTTACCCTCATGACCGTGACTGACTTGGGTGTTCTTACATCTCTTTAGTTACCTCTTCCCCATCATTTCTACAGAAAGCAGGTTTCATTTGTAACATTTTGATTTCTCCAAATTTCACTGAGGGTTATTGACATCACATCTAGTTAATGACTAAGTTCTGAATCTGGTGAGGAGGTTAAAATCTTAGAGACGAGTAACTTGTTATTAGGACATTAGAAGAGAAGAAAATTCAAATAATTGCATTTTTGTTCAGTTAGTTTTGACAGTAGTTATTCTACCAAAGCGACATTTACAGTTGCAGTTTCTCCGTAAAACTTTTTTATGTTTAGCACTAAATGCTTTTTATAATTTCGAATAATTTTTAGACCTAGTGGCAGAAAATTCTTCAGTGGTCCCTAAGTCTTCTTCATATTGCACTCACTTGGAGACCTTTCAAATAATAGATTACTGGGTCACATCCCAATATGTCTGGTCCTAGTGAATTGATATTGTGTGGAACAGAGAAATCTATTTTTAAAGCAAGCTTTCCACATGAGTTACATTCAACCAGCCAACCTCTGGCTGGATTGACTTTATGAACCACTGCTGCAGGTAATAAGCTCAATTTGGCAGTCCTGGGTCAAATAATACATGGCTATAGATTTTATAATAGTTACATTTCAGATTGCTTAGTCTCTTAAGCCAGTTATGTTGAATTTGAAGCACTATCATCCTTTGTAAAGCTAGTAGATCTAACAATCTTTCAAAATCCTATTATGTATTATTTAATGATTTCATTTTGGTGCACTCAAGAGGTGGTTCTGTATATGGCTCAGCTTTGAGATGTTTGTATCCTTTGGGAAGTTTTTCAAATGCCTGGTTCCAGGGAGATTTGAGAAGTACAGCATTACTTATGTAATTTGAGGAACAGGAAAGAAAGAAATTTGTAGATGAACAGAACTTACTATCTTCATAGAGTTATGGAGTGGCTGCCAGCAAGAGACAGTGTTCAGATGTGGATGATATTTGTTCAATATGTCAAGCTGAATTTCAGAAGCCAATTCTTCTCATTTGTCAGGTAATTACATTTTTAAATTTAAAAACCTAAATACAACAGTTCTCTGTGACTTGCAAAAGTCAAATTTATGTTTGCTGTAAGGCAAAAAAAAAAAAATCTAGTGTTTAGTGGAAGGTAGCATTCAGGGTACATACTAGTGGATTGGCTAAGTTTTGTCCCTTATGTTCTGATAATTTTTATGCAGAGGAGCGTATGAAGGGGAAAAAATAATTCAACTGGCAGATTGAATACCAAAGTGATTAAAAAACAGGCTATTTTATAATTGGATACTAGCCATGTAGAACAATACTGACATTTGTTACTGGATTGTGGCCCTTTCCTATACTTTATGGCAGTTACTAGTAACTCAAAGACCTTAAGCAGTTATCATACTTAATCTTAAAGGTGTCACCTAAGGATAGCTTTTATGGTTAAATGGATGGTACAGCCAGAACACTAGTGGCTCTACCAATCATACTGCTCTTTGTCTTCTTGAATGTCTCATACGTTCTCCATTTTCACAATTGTAAAATGAGGGGATTAGTGCTCTTCAAAATCCCTTTCAGGCTGGACACAGTGGCTCACGCCTGTAATCCCAGAACTTTGGGAGGCTGAGGTGGGTGGATCACCTGAGGTCAGGAGTTCAAGACCAGCCTGACCAACATGGTGAAACCCTGTCTCTACTAAAAATAAAAAAACTAGCTGGGCATGGTGGTGGTGGTCACCTGTAATCCCGGCAACTTGGGAGGCTGAGGCAGGAGAATCACTTGAACCAGTCGGGGGCGGAGGTTGCAGTGAGCCGAGATGGTGCCATTGCACTCCGGCCTGGGTGACAGAGCAAGACTTCAGTCTCCATCTCAAAAAAAAAAAAAAAAGAATCCCTTTCATTCCCTACAATGTGATGGATTTAAAATGATTATCAAATATCAAATCTAATTCTTAATTCCATTACAGCATATATTTTGTGAAGAGTGCATGACCTTATGGTTTAACAGAGAGAAAACATGTCCACTCTGCAGAACTGTGATTTCAGACCATATAAACAAATGGAAGGATGGAGCCACTTCATCACACCTTCAAATATATTAAGTTGTATAAACTATCAAGGCCACAAAATACTAATGTCATTTGGTCATAATGACTACTGATAAGGCATCAGAATGGATTTTCAGGGCTACCAGAAAAATGTTTCCAGATGGTTTTAGAATGTAGGACTTATGATCCAATTCACCAAAAGATTAAATGAAACCACCCTGTGTTTTAAAATATATATAATGTTCAACCTAATGTATATGCAACATTTATTCTATTCTAATTATTTGACAGGTAACTGCAGTGTTAAATTGTAAATGTGTTTTCTTTATGTTACCAAAACAGCAATTTGAAATTAGAACTAGTGGTTTTAGAGAACTCAGGTATTCTTTCCTGACATTGTTTTCAGAATAAAGAATATTTTTCATAATATTTTAAGATACATACTATCTAAAAGTAGAATTTTGTTCAGCATTGACTTTTATAATTCCCATCCTAAAAATTCTTAATATTTTCATAAAATTTGTATTTTTAAATGAAAATTCTAAATGTTGTATTTTATCAGTAACATTTTCTAAGTGAAGATTAATTTACTGAGGATGATACATTATAGTATTGTATTATTCTCTGTAGTAAGATTAGTAATAAGTGAAAATAAATGATTTAAATTCATTTTGTCTCTGGACGTCATAAATTCTTCCTGCCATCAGCTTTAATGTTCATGATCATGCTTTTTGTATAGTACCATGGAGTATCTCGAAGTAACTATTAAAATAATTCATGTGGATTATAAACAGCTGGCTTACTTGATGATTTGAATAGTATAGAAAACAAGACAAATGGCCAGGCATGGTGGCTCACACCTGTAATCCCAGCACTTTGGGAGGCAGAGGCAGGAGGACTGCTTGAACCCAGGAGTTCAAGACCAGCCTGGGCAACATCCCATCTCTATTTAAAAGAAAAAAGTTTCAAGACAGATGCCCTAAAATCTTATAAAAAATTGCCCTTATAATTAGTCTTCTCCATAAAAGTTTTGGAATTTTATGCTTGAATCACCATCAATTGGAAGATTGAAGCTCGCACTGAGAGGTGGTCATGAGGTTTTGATAGTGTGGTTTGTTCGCCTCTAGGTATTTGTGCAGGGTGCTAGAAAAGAGAATGAAGCACTTTCTCCCCTTGTTACCTCTAAGGAGGAATCTGAAATCTAAAACATGTCTGAAGGGCTGCTAGTGCTTATATCCAAGTTTAGAGTACATCTATCAGTTTGTAGTCGAGGAAAAGGTGGTAGAAAGAACTTAGGAAGCAGAGGTAGAAAACAGATTTGCTGTACTGATAAGACAAAAGCTAAACTAGCAAATGAATTGTTTAGTTTAGCAAACTGACCAACTGGTTATAGAAGGCACTTCCATGACTGTACAGCCATCCAAATTGACAAACAAACATTAGGAAGCCTGTACCATTTTTTTCTCTCCAGGTAAATACTACCAGGTTGTAAGTACAACTATATTCAATTACAGTATATTTTACTCTGTTATCTACTTTGAGACCCACTACAAATATTATTTAAATGGCTTTGTGGTGATGCTAATAGTTGTATTATTTAGGTATACGGCAGAGGATGGGTGAGAAAAGCAATGTGGGATTACAATTCGGCTGTGAAGGATAGCCAAGATGACTTCCTGTTCAAATACAAGAATAGCATTTTACTTCAGCCCTATTAGAATACCTATTTAATACATTTGCTTACTCTGTAACTATTCAGACAGCACTGTTTCTTAATGAATGTGATTACATAACCAAGGAGGTGCATGGTGGGGTTTTTTTTTGGAATGCAGTTTACCTATAAATTGAAAAGGGAGAAAATCTAATGGAGCTATGCCATCCAATAAAAATGCTGATGAACTGGAAGCATTTCTTCCATCCCTCTATTCCTTCACCTCAAAAACAGGTAATGTAGATTCAGAAACTCATTTACTCTGTGAATTCAGATCATGGCTTCTAAAAGATTGTTTTACCAGTATTGATAGGCTACTATGTTGTATAGCAAGGTAAGATCAGTTTGAGAGCTTCTGTAGAGAAATCCCCTTGGCAAGTGTGGTATAATTACCTCACAGAAAAGAAGTGGTTAATGCAAAATACCCAGCTTACACTAGATATATTGAGACATTAGTTAAAACACATTTGTTCACTACGTTATTTTGTGCATACATATCAAATTATCAAATGTAGCTGACCAAGTGTAGCTGAACAGATTGTTGATTGTTAGCACAAGAAGGTCTTCCTAGAGTTTTTTATGAAGCTAGCTTTCACGTAGATTGTTACATGTATTTTTTTAAGTAAACAATTCATATCTACTATCTGACATAACTTGAAAATCAAAGATGTGTAACATCTAACTTAAAAATCAATACTAAAACTTGTTATATACTTAAATAGCTTCAGTTTCTCAGCAGAACAGCTTTTAACCCATTCCTTACATACATAGTTTATTTATATGACAACTTGAACACATCTGACATGTTAAAATAAATTTAAACCATTTATACACCTGATACGTATACTAATTCCTTCCTATCTTTAAGATAATAAAAAAATAAATCACTTCTATTTATGTTCATTCAAATTTGCATTTAATTTCTATTTACATTCATTCAATCCGAAATCAAATAATACAGTCAACTAAATACAAGATGAAAAGCAGAACAGGTGTTACCCTCATAGCACTCCTAATAAGGCAGCTGAAGAATTTTATTTACTGATAGATGCAAAGCGAACTTGGGATAGGAGAAACAATAGTTTAAAGAGCAAACACAAACATAGATGAACCCATCTTTCAGATGTTATTCCGGATAATCCACTGAGATAATACTTGTGCTATAATGTTAAGAATCACACAAGAAAAAGTACTGTATTAATCAGCAACAGACCACAGGTTATGTGTGACAAATACTTTTGTGATAGTTTGTCCAGCTTGCTAGTGTCTACTCCTATGAAAAAAGGTAGATGTTTGGACATTGATGTTTTTGAGAAATTAACCATTTTCAAAGCCTTAAAATCTATTCTTCATAAATTCAACATTTCTCATGGGAATAATCTTAGATCTAGCCCTTGTAAGCTAGGAACCATATGATTAACTGAATATTCAAAATAGGTCCTATATTAAATATATAATCCAAGGCTCAGTATATTAATACTATCTAAGATGCATCTTGTTTATAATCATTCATTACCTATAGTAAAGAATGTTGAATTTATGGAGTATCATACATGCATCCTCCACCCCTGCCCACAAATTATCTTCTATCTTAAAAAATAGTATGGAAAAATCCTTCTTGAAGGATTCAAATTAGTTAAGACCATAAAGGGGGAAAAAGAACATAATTTTCCTAAAAATCTGGTTCAAAGTTCAATAATTAATACTTTACATTGTTAATCACAGCTGGTTTATAAATCCCAGTTTAGTTATTCTGTAATGCTACAAACCTTATAAAATCAAATTAGTAAACTTCAGTGATTATATTTTAATTAAAAAACAGCATGTATAAAATAAAAAAATATCCTGTAATAGCTGATTTTAAAGAAAATAATCAAGTGATGAAAAAAAAGCACTTAATCTCTTTTATACACTTACCTGGTATAACATAAAGAACCCTCTTAGAAACTCAAGACTAGTAATATCGACATCATATTTTAAACTATGCTTGGATTTTTACAAATAAATATAGATAAGCCATATTGCATAGGTGTGTGCTTTCTGTCTGTGACACTAATGTGACACTTGACATGTTTTCACAGTCATAGTAGGGATATCCATTTATGAAACAAGTTCTCAATAAACTTTCCACAGCATGGGAAATAAATTTCACTTAATAAATGTGAAGTCAGAAAAACTATGTATTTGTGTGGATGGTAGCTGTGCAATTAATGCTTTTTATGCAGAAAAGTTGCAGTGTTTGCCACTATTGCTGGCACTACTAATTATGAAAATGGTTTAACTGGGGTGGTTATAGCCAGCCAATCACAGTGCTCATGTTACTAGCAAATAGGACCTAGGAAGAATATTTTGGTGTATAAGTTTCACTGGAATTTGGTCAGGCAGTCAACACTACAGTTAGTAAACATATTTGAAAACAAGTATCAAGAGTATCACAAGCCATTTACAGTCTGAAATAATGCCTGTACATATCACCATAGCTTTTCGGGTTCTGTTTTTTCAGACATCACAAATTGTCAAAGAACAAGGATCTGCACTTTTTAAGTATAATTTCTGCCCTTAATTATTATTGTAGCTTCTAATTTACCAGCAACAGTCAAAGTTCTCAGTAGGCTGCTGCAATAAGGGAGGAGGGGGAAGAGGGAGTGATTTTTTTTTTAAAGGCTTTCTGTCCAAAGATGAACTTTTATCGATTCTTTCAATTATTGCCACAATTGAAAAGGTGTATGTCCAATCATTTTTCATGGTTCTGTTTTTGCTTACTGTCATAGGATTTCATCCCATCTCATTTGAGTTGCAATTTCAAAAAGCAAAGCCTTGCTCTTTTCTGACTGAATTCAACATGCATAAAGAATTTTATGGCTTGGATCCTATGGCTCAAAAAGGTTTGAAAACATAGCAAGCAGCATCTATTTAAAAAAATCCTAGGGTTGCAAAATATTACAAATTGACTTTGCACACTCAGACTGAAGACATTATAAAAGACAAACAAAAAAGGTGATACAACTCAACTGCAACTGCATGATCATCTATTATACCAGTATGCACTGAAATATATTTTTATAAAGCTCTGCAGATATTAAACCCTTTCACCAGCTAAAGTCATGGAAATGCTCTCTTTAAGGCAGGAAATATTTAAGAAAGGTAAAGTTACCTTTATTTTTATTCTTTTAACCTGTAAATCATTTATGTAGATTTTGTTACAATTTCAAAAACATAGTGTCCTGTTAACATGTTTCCTAAATTAAGCCACTAAGTTTTCTTTACTGTGGAAGACATTCATCAAAAGGCCATCAAATATTTTTACAATCAAAAAATGTAGCCCAAGTATAGGAGAAAAAAAAATAGACCTTTTTTTCTTTTTAAAACTGTTGAGGAAAAAAATATAAGGAAGGTAGACAGCAGAAACAGTAGAAAGAAGTAAAACTGAAAATCTTACCAATTTGCTGTAAAGAGATTAGACAGAGAGTGGGCCACAGCAACACCCTCTTCCCCTGGATATCCCTATCTCCCTCACCTTGCCGACCACAGTATGTATTTTTTATCCTGACTCTCTTCTGTTGTTCTTCAGCCATGGGCTGAAGACATTTGGTGTCTTGAACCAAATACTGGTGTAAGAACAGGTGGCGATTTTTTTTTCCAGTGCAATGCAGGCCCGGGACAATGATGAAATGTAGGACATACAACTTATGCCCATTCCAAGGCTTCCAGTTAAGCTTAGCACATAGCAGTACTGCAAGTAGAAATGATTAAATAGATTCATTTTTTTTTTCTCATATTACAGACAGGTATTGCAGCTGGGTTACTGAAAATAAACCCCAGGTCCACCCCAATCCCTCAAACGAGCCACAGCTGTGGTTAACAATGATTCATTTGCATTTTATTATTTCACCAAGAGAAGAAACAGAAGTTGTCTGGCTTTCTTCACACCAACCAATAATTTCGCATTTTAAAGTTTGGGATGTTTTTCATAATGAGCTGAATCAAAAATCTATTTGAAAAATATATATTTATATAAAAAAAAGATTCAGGTTGTTTGCACGTAAAACATCAATTGGTAAGTTTCTTTTGTCTTTGCTTCCATTTTGCTGGAAAAAGTTTGACCAAGCTTGCATGCTAATTTGTCCTTAGTTGCAAGTATTATAGGCAATTTTGTACTTTGCCTAATGAAAGGATAACCCTTCTTCAACACAATCAGAACTCAACAGTGATTCAGAAGCAACATCCTACCCTTAATACTGTCAGTTTCGAGTCATCAACATGAAAATCCTTGATAAGGTTGAGAAGATGTCGCGAGGAATCAATTAATTGATGTGCCTAAGAGTTCAGCAATACTATTTTGCTTTAAGTTTTTTTTTGCACCATTGATTGATTTTTTAAAATCCACGTTTATTTTTCCTGTGTCTGAAGTGTTCTATGTAATGACATTGACTCTCTGAAACTGTCATTTTGAGTCGTTTCACCTTGCAGGATGCTCACACATCTCCCTCTCCACCTTTTTTGCCTTAAATTCATTAAAAGCATTGCTCTGTCATAGATTCATACGCAGGTGCTCTGGCCGTTTGGAGATCATGGGAAAAGCTTGTTTTTTGTATGGCCCAGAGTTCGGCTGTCGTATTGGAAGTGGTGCCGATGCTTCCCCACTCATTGTCACATCCATCTGCTCTATGCCACTTGTTTCCATTGGGTATTCCACAGGTGTCTGAGGATTTGCTGTGCTGGCCGAAGCACCTCTTCCCCAGAAATCCCCAGGAGAAAATTTGACTGGGCTTTAAGACAAGGAAGAGCTATCATTCATTTGCTTAAGGGTCATCTCAACAAGACATATTTCCTTTACGTTTAAAGGGAGTGGGGTAACATGACATTTATTTTCATTTAATTTTATTTTCACGTGGATTAGCACAAAGGCAAAAATTGAACCATCTCTCCCCCACCTAGATTAACTGCTAGAATTTCCTAACTGGTCTCTTTACCTCTACACCTGACCCCCAAAACCCTCAATGAGATATATATACATTTAAATGCGTATTATATATATCATTTTACTCTCCCCTGCTCAAAACAGCTTTCTATTGCATTTAAAATAAAATACTTTTCCAAACCTCTGCCCTTCTCCTCACTCACCACACACTCCAGGAACACTGATTTCCCTTTCACTTCCAGGAAAAGGGCAACTTTTCTCCTCCCTCAGGGTTTTTGCATTTGCTGTTCTTCTGCCTGCAACATTCTTATACCTCCTATTTTTGTAGGGCTGGCTCTTTCCGTTCACTGCTAGATGTTACTACACCAGGGAGGCCTTTCTCTGATCACTGTGAGTAGAAGCCCCCTTGTTTTTCCTCTGCTCTCTACCAGTACATTCTTTTTTTCCCCTTTTAAATTATAGCACTTTGCACTACTTGTAATTATATTTTTGTATATCCTTTGTCTATTGTGACTTTCCCACTAAATTGTAAGCTTCATCAGGACAGGGACAATTCCTGTATTATAGTACTATATAGATACACACACATAACATGCAGTATGTAGTGCTGGTGCTCTTGGTGCACAATAAATGCTGAGTGAATGGATAAAGAGGACATTTGCCAGTATGGCTGCTTACTTTTGGGAGGGAAGGTAAACCATATAACATCATAGATTAGTCAGACTAGTCCTTTGCAATGTAAGATATAGATGCTGTGCTTATGTCAACCAAAGAGAGTATGACAGTCTTTCATTTATATAACTTGGCATAAACTTCTTAAGCAAACACTCTTGTAGGTTGTTTAAAAACAAAAAAAAGTGAAAATAAGAGTGTGAAATACCTGACAGGTGTTCGTGGGCTGCCAATAAATCTTCGAGGTGATCGGATTTTTGGTTCAAAGGAAAACTTTTCTTTCACACTTTCAAGTACAGATGGAGCCACATATGTAAAACCCTGAAAGACAGTAACAGTGGACTACAGAATGGCATTTTGTCATGTATCTCAAGAGAATGGGGTTGTTCAGTCTGACATACCTACACAATGATGCACACCTAAAACCACCAATGTGTACACTCTCCCACGTCCTCAACCTCATTTTTAGACCCGTTAACTTCTTTCCAGCCATTTCGTGAGGCACACACTTCAAGAAAGCAGAATTCCATTGAGCCTGATATGCTAGCAAACAAAATTCTACCCTACTGACAGGAATAGAAAAAAAAACAGGAAAATTCAGGCTCCATATGAAGATGTTAAATACGCCCAGGCACGGGGGCTCACGCCTGTCATCCCAGCACTTTGGGAGGCCAAGGCGGGCAGACCACCTGAGGTCAGGAGTTAAAGACCAGCCTGGCCAATGTGGTGAAACACCGTCTCTACTAAAAATACAAAAATACACCACCATGCATGGTGGTGCACGCCTGTAATCCCAGCTACTCGGGAGGCTGAGGCAGGAGGATCACTTGAACCTGGTAGGTGGAGGTTGCAGTGAGCAGAGATCGCACCACTGCATTCTAGCCTGGGCAACAGAGTAAGACTCCATCTCAAAAATTAAAAAAAAAAAAAAAAAAGATGTTAAATACTAGGAGAAATGTAAAGAAACTTCTAGTGTTTCTAGCCACAGGCATATAAGCAATTAAGTTTATCACCCTAAAACAGTTTCTTATAATCAGACCAAAGTAAAAACAATTTTCTGACTTGGCATCAAAGTCAGATCTTGTGATCTTTCTGGTTTTACGCCAATGATTGGACAGAATTCGTTTTTTGTTTTGTTTTAAGAGATGGGGTATCCCTATATTGCCCAGGCTGGAGTGCAGTGGTGATAACATAGCTCACTGCAGCCTCAAACTCCTGGACCCAAGCTATTCTCCCACCTCAGCCCCTCAAGTAGCTGTGACTATATAGGCACGTGTGATCTCTGCCCAGCTAGAATTTGGTGTTTTCTTGATGAATAAGTATCAACATTTCAAAAACCTTCAGTTGTAATAGGCAAAAATGCAGTTTTGTTCATTTTAGTTCTCTCTTGGATCTTACTATTAGGCTACCAGCTGTCATTTCTCTAGCTGTCAATGTTCATTCTTTTAACCATCTTCACCTATCTTCTATTTATCAAAATCTATGAGTAAGCATTATGTGTTACAATAAATAAGACTCAGCAAAGCTCTGAGTGAAGTCCCAAAGAGTGAGGTGCAATTCTGAAGTGCATATGATTTGTGACAGTTATATGTGAACTTCAGAGAATAATTTTACAAACGTTCTGGTGGACTAAAGCTGTAACTACCAAGAGGTACAGGCTGTGCCTTAATCATCTTTGAATTTCCTCTAATTCTGTGATGGGGTCTTACAACAGGAATTAAAATATTTGTTGAAATGAGGTTGCTAGAACCACATTATCCAGATAAGTGGGATGTCACTATATGTGTGTGTGTATGTATGTGTGTATATATATATATGTGTATATATATATATATAATTTTTTTTTTTTTTTTGAGATGGATTCTAGCTCTGTCGCCCAGGCTGGAGTGCAGTGAGGGGCGTGATCTCAGCTCATTACAACCTCCTCCTCCCGGGTTCAAGCGATTCTCCTGCCTCAGCCTCCCGAGTAGCTGGGACTACAGCCATCATGCCTGGCTAATTTTTGTATTTTTAGTAGAGATGGGTTTTCACCATATTAGCCAGGCTGGTCTGGAACTCCTGACCTTGTGATCCGCCCACCTCAGACTCCCAAAGTGCTGGGATTACAGGCGTGAGCCACTGCACCTGACCTATTTTTTTTTATTAATGTTTAAAGAGATCCACTTTATGTAGAGAATTCTGGCTACAACCTAACAAATGAGTTGCTCTATTCATTAGCCAATTTAAGTAATTGTGAAAAGCTCAACAATACTTTAACTGGCAACGAAAGCTTCAATATCTCACTTTTACCACCACAACTTTGGATTTCTTGGCAGCTAAATAAAATGCTTCTATTTTGTGGGGGGAAAACTGTCACATAAGTTGAAATTCTGCAATGTCCAATTGAGGAAAAGGTCTCTATGTTAAATCAAAGGTATAAATTCCACATCTGTAGTACATGAGAGAAAAAAAATGCCAAAATTAAAGTGATTCATGCCCACTTCCCTAACTGAACCTAAGATTTTACTAACAGAGATGCCGTAACTTTGATCATGCACACATCAAACTTGAATTTAAAAACATGCATGCACTCACTCATCTTTTATCTCTTATGTAATACTGTAAGACTATATTTTGCCTATGTGCTCTATATTAATTTATAGGATTATTACTATTCAGTGTTGTTTACTCAAAACCATACTGTACTATACACAACTTTTGCATCCCATACTAACTTAATTTTTTTAATTAATTTTTTTTTTTTTGATACGGAGTCTCACTCACTCTATCGCTCAGGCTGGAGTGCAGTGGCACAATCTTGGCTCCTGCAACCTCTGCCTCCCGGGTTCAAGTGATTCTCCTGCCTCAGCCTCCCAAGTAGTTGGTACCACAGGTGCATGCCACCACACCTGGCTAATTTTTGTACTTTTAGTAGAGATGGGGTTTCACCATGTTAGCCAGGCTGGTCTTGAACTCCTGACCTCAAGGTTATAGCCATAAGCCACCATGCCCCAACTCCATGCTAACTTTAGAGCTTATTTCCCATCCCATAAGATACAACACTACTTGTATTACATAGTGAGCAATGTGGGGAAGAAAAGCTTAAGAATTAAGTTAGTGACAAATCCAGTGAACTCAAAAACAGGGAAAAAACACTCCCAAACAATTATTTTCCCCATATTCTATTCTCCCTAGAGTAGTCCAAAAACAAATGACAAAAGAAAAAAAAAGGATACAAAATGAGATAGATGTTCATGTGACATATTAAGTACAGTAATAAAATCAACAAGCATATGTGCTATTTGAGCAAAATAGTATGCATTCATGGTCTTCTGATATAAATCCATCATTTCTGTTGGCCAACATCAAAAACCTTTACTTTTCTGAGGAGACAAGCTATAAATCTATACAGACATTTCTACAATGAGAATTCACTATTACATATGAACCAATATGTTTTGATGTCAAATATTCACAATTAATGTTAAAAAAATCCCCTACTTGGCCTGGCACGGTGGCTCATGCCTGTATTCCCAACACTTTGGGAGGCCAAGGCGGGTGGATCACGAGGTCAAGAAATCGAGACCATCGACTGGGCGTGGTGGCTTACGCCTGTAATCCCAGCACTTTGGGAGGCCAAGGCGGGCGGATCATGAGGTCAGGAGATCAAAACTATCCTGGCTAACACGATGAAACCCCGTCTCTACTACAAATACAAAAAATTAGCCTGGCGTGGTGGCGGGCACCTGTAGTCCCAGCTACTCAGGAGGCTGAGGCAGGAGGATGGTGTGAACCCGGGAGGTGGAGCTTGCAGTGAGCTGAGATTGCGCCACTGCACTCCAACCTGGGCGACAGAGCGAGACTCCTTCTCAAAAAAAAAAAAAAAAAGAAATCGAGACCATCCTGGCCAACATGGTGAAACCCTGTCTCTACTAAAAATACAAAAATTAACTGGGCGTGGTGGCGCACGCCTATAGTCCCAGCTACTCGGGAGGCTGAGGCAGGAGAATCACTCGAACCCAGGAGGCAGAAGTTGCAGTGAGCTGAGATCGCGCCACTGCACTCCAACCTGGTGACAGAGCAAGACTCCGTCTCAAAAAAAAAAAAAAAAATCCCCTACTTATGTTAAGAGTACCAAAAATAGGGCCAGGAACGATGGCTCATGCCTATAATTTTGGCACTTTGGGAAGCCAAGGCAGGAAGATAGCTTGAGTCCAGGAGTAAAATAGTGAGACTCTGTCTCTACAAAAAAATAAAAAATTAGCTGCATGTGGCACACACCTGTGGTACAGGTACTCACAAGGCTGAAATGGGTGGATCACTTGAGCCTGGGAGGTCAAGGCTGCAGTGAACTGTGATCACACCACTACACTACACCCAGCCTAGGCTACAAGGTGAGACCCTGTCTCAAAAAAAAAAAAAAAAAAAGTACCAAAAATCTATAGCTGTTTCAGGAATAAAATACATGTAGTCAGTGAGGTTTTTCTCCCCGACTGCTATGACTAATTTTTGGTTGAGATGCTAAGCCAAACATCATTTTAAGTCTGTGGCCTAAAAAAAAAAGGGAATCATACTTTCCAAAGATTTGTACATTCCCACTCTAATTGCTAAAATAAAATGTTGGATTATGAAAATAAATTTTGTAGGCATCAATAAGTTATAAAGGCATGGCTTATTTAAAAAAAAAAAAAAAAGTGGGCCAGGTTACCTACATGAACTGCAAAGCAAGCAAACTGAATTTTCTTTGAAGAGCCCATCCTCACACTAAAATTTCCCATGACTACATGGAAATTCTTTCACTTACCAGAAAGACCTGATTGGCACTTTCACTGAGAGTTGAGTCATCTGGGCTGTCGACAGGTGTCTGACGTGTAAACTTGGAATCAAACTGACTTACATCCTCTTCAGATTGCTTTATACAAACAAAATAATTTAGAAAATAATAAATAGTCCATGTTACATCAATCAAATGCACTGTAAGCTCTGGGAGCTCTTTTCACGGGGGTTAACTATAATAAAGTATTAGAATAGTCTTAGCAGGCACAGAATGAAGAAAAAAATGTAGGTGGAAAGTACTGAGTCAAATTACATCTTCAAATCTTAAACATGCACTAAAATAGATTTTAGTATACAGTTATTCCTATTAAAAATGTGAATATATCGACTGGGCATGGTGGCTCACGTCTGTAATCCCAGCACCTTGGGAGGCTGAGGCAGGCGGATCATGAGGTCAGGAGTTTGAGACCAGCCTGGCCAAAATAGTGAAACCCCATCTCTACTAAAAATACAAAAAATTAGCCAGGCATGGTGGCGTGTGCCTGTAATCCTAGCTACTCAGGAGGATGAGGCAGGAGAATTGCTTGAACCCGGGAGGCACAGGTTGCAGCAAGCAGAGATCGTGCCACTGCACACCAGCCCAGATGACAGTGCGAGAGTCTGTCTCAATAAAAAAAAAAAAAAAAAAAAAAAAAAGTGAATATATCGAGCTCAAAACAAGCTGGAAAAAATGTTAATATCAATTTCCCCTCTCACAAAGCTTCAGTGTGCCTAGTCCACTGGCTAAATCCCTGTTTAGAGATAATTAGTTCAGTTGGCTACTGCAGGTTTGTAATAAACCTGAAAAACTACTGAAGCAGAGTTAAAACATGAATAACACTGGTAAGATGCTCCAGTTAAAGTTTCTTCCCACAGCTTATTTCATTCCTTTAGAAATCTAAAGGAACAAAAATAATTTTCTATTCTGCATGGTTTATAAGTTATATTTCCTTGTGAAAGTATAGTTATCACTTCAGTTCTAACCATGAGATTTATTTATTTAATTCCTTCTCTCTTTCCCAAAATATCTGGTTAGACTCTTGGGCCAAATGTAGGAAGTAAATAATAATTTAGAATATCTGACTTAATACTAAAAGATGACCACATTGACCTTATAATTCTCTTAGAGCCCAGACTGTGAACCTGCACTCCCTGGAGGAATGGCTGATTCCAAGTGTGGGGAAAATGTACAAGATAAGCATAGAACACCAGTTTCCTTATTTTGCTCTCTCGTACAACACCAGACCATGTGGTCATGTCAAAAGGACTCAGAAACCAACATGAAGATGCACCCAGCATTCACTGCACCAGCATTCAACGAAGGGAAAAATTGAGCATCAATAAAAATAACTGCTAGGTGCAGTGGCTCATGCCTATCATCCCAACACTTTGGGAGGCAGAGGCAGGTGGATTGCTTTTGAGCTCAGGAGTTGAAGACCAGCCTGGTGAACACGGCAAAACCCCGTCTCTACCAGAAACACAAAAATTAGCTGGGCATGGTGGTGTACCTGTGGTCCCAGCTACTCAAGAGGGTGAGGTGGGAGGATTGCTGGAGGCCGGGAAGTCAAGGCTGCAGTAGACAGAGATTATACCACTGCACTACAGCTTGGGTGACAGAGTAAGACCCTGCCTCAAAACAATAAATGAATAAATAAAAATAAAATAAAAATAACTGCGATGAAATGAAACACAAATGTGTTAAAACATATAAGTTCATAATATACTAAAAAAGAAAAAAACACACACACACAAAGTTCATTGGTCAATTCTGGAAGATGCTAGGGAACTAATTCATTATTTTGAAAACTAGGAAAGAATCAAACATACATCCTGCCTTTACTGTATGAACTATACCTTGGGTAACTAACTGATCAAAGAGTTTCTCTTTATGAAAGAATTCCAGCTAACAAAGAAAGAAGAAATAACAGTTAGAATAAGACCATTTCACAAACACCTGATGAAATTATAAAAGTAGGCCAGAGTTTCTCAACCTCAGTGCTACTGACATTTTAGGCCTATTAACGCTTAGCTGTAGGGGGCTGTGCTGTGCTGACTCTTACTCCTGAAGGTACCTATAGCATTCCCTCCCCCAACCTGTGACAATCAGTGTATCTCCAGACATTGCCAAATTACCCTGGTAGTGAAATGCTGACATAGGCAATGATCAGTGACCACTAACATCACTTAAACACACACACACACACACACACACACACACACACACACACACACAAACTACACATTATGCCTCCTGATCAAAGCATGCAATACTGAGAGTTTAATCTGAATTAGATCAACCACCTAAATTTAACTACCAGTTTTTGGAAATTCAGAGAACAGATGAACATGGTCAATGAAACTATGGGGATAACATCAGCAAAATCAAAATTTGAGAATTCTACAGGACAAATGACCCAGTTTCTTCAATAAATCACAAGGGGAATCTATAAATGAAAAGAGACCTAAGAGACATAGTAACCAAACTATATACAGACCTTGATTAAATCCTTACAAACAGGAGAAAAAAAAAATGGAAAAACAACAACAACAAAAAAAATTAGGTGGGGCAACACAGGGAGACCTCATCTCTAGAAAAAATTTAAAAATTAGCTGGATGTGGTGATGCATCCCTGTGGCCCCAGCTATACGGGAGGAGCCCTTGAGCCTGGGAGGTTGAGGCTGCCATGAGCCACTATCATGCCACTGCACTCCAGCCTGGGCAACAGAGAAAGACCCTATCCCCCCCCCAAAAAAAAAAAAAAGAAAGAAAAGAAAAAGGAAAAAAAAAAAAAAACAACTAAGGAAACTGTCAACTTCTGAGGTGTGATGATGGGATGGCAGTTATGTTTAAACAAGATGACCTAATCATTTTTTAAGCTGGGCAGTAGGTATATGACAGTTAACTTCCTTACAATTGTTTGTTGTTTTTTAAAGTGGGGACATTATGCTCCATGACCAAAAAATAATCACCATCATCATCCTCCTCCTTCTCCAACTACATCCTAAGGAATGGAAAAAGAAACTGTATTTTCTCAGATTCTGAGGTGGGAGAAGGACAATAACTAACACACTAACTGATTTACTCACAAACATATTGTTATGGGTTGAATCGTGTGCCTTACCCACCCCCAAAAAATTTCGTACATTGAAATTCTAACCTCTAGTTCCTCAGAATGTGACCTTATTTGGAAAGGGTTATTGCAGATGTAATTAGTGAAGATGAGGTCCTACTGGAGTAGAGAGGAACCCTAATCCAATATGCCTGGTATCCTTATAAAAAGGGGAAATTTGGCCACAGATATGCACACAGGTAGAACACCATGTGAACATGAAGGCAGAGATCCGGGTGATGCACCTACAAGCCAAAGAATGACAAAGATTACCAGCAAACCACCAGAAGCCAGGGGAGAGGCATGGAACATACAGTTTCTCACAGTAGTCAAAGAAACCAACTCTAACAATGTGATCTAGAACTTCTAGTCTCCAGATCTATGAGATAATAAATTTCTGTTGTCTAAGCCACCCGGTTTGTGGTACTTTGTTGCAGCAAGCCTAGCAAACGAATGCACACATATTCTATACTTTGAAGAAAAAATTCCCAGAGAATCATATTTAAAATGGTTAAATTAAGCAAAATAAAACAAACCAAAAAAAGGAAAGTCCCAACTACCTGAAATATTTGTCTTAGGTAACTGACTTAAAAATAGCTAATACAGTCAATTGCCACTGGGTTTAGTTCTTTACAAGATAGTACAAAAATAAAAGATGCTTGGCTGGGTGCAGAAGCTCACACCTGTAATCCCAGCACTTTGAGAGGCTGAGGTGGGTGGATCACTTGAGCCCAGGAGTTCAAGACCAGTCTGGGTGACATGGCAAAACCCTATTTCTATAAAAAATACAAAAAAATTAGCTAGGCATGGTGACACGTGTCTGTAGTCGTAGCTATTTGGGAAGCTGAGGTGGGAGAATCACCTGAGCCTGGGGAGGTCAAGGCTGCATTGAACTGTGATCGTGCTGCTGCACTCCATCCTGGGTGACAGAGTGAGACCCCATCTCAAAATAAAATAAAATAAAGATGCTGGAGAGGATAGACCAGAGATCTTTGAACTGCTAATAAAAATAATGTTTCTGTCTGCTCTGAGATTTTTCTTATTCTAAAAAAATATCAAGCGATCCTCCTGCCTCAGCCTTGCAAGTAGCTGGGACTTACAGGCACAAGCCGCCACACCCAGCTAACTTTTAAATGTTTTGTAGATATGGAGTCTTGTTATGTTGCCCATGCTGGTCTTGAACTCCTGGCCTCAAACAATCCTCCCACCTTGGCCCTTTAAAGTTTGGGGATTACAGGCGTGAGCCACTGCACCCAATTATACACTTTCATGTATACTTACCAACAGAGGTTTAAAGGGGGGCTCCACCTTTCGAGCCAGAAGTTCTTCCCAGTTAATGTGTCTAAAGAATGGATGAGCCTAGGAAAAAAAAAGCAGGAAGAAAAGTTGAGGGGACTAGACTTTGCTGGATTGATAAATTAATCACCTTTTTGAAGTTACAAGTCACAAAATAAGCTAAACTTATAAGCAACTACATATAACCCTCAGAAATACATAAAACTAGCATTATCTTCCCCACAAAACACCAAAGATGCCAATCCCTACTTGAACTTCTCCAGCGTCCCCAGGACCAGCTCCCAGACGAGAAGCAGCATTTCTTTTCAGCAGCTTTAAAGAGGAAAAAAAGCTTGGATAAAGAACCTTAGTCAAACTGATTTTTTTTTTTCCTTTTTAGACTGTGCTTGTCTACTTTGGCTTGAGAAAATATAGTTTATTGGCCAGGCACAGTGGCTCATGCCTGTAATCCCAGCACTTTGGGAGGCTGAGGCAGGTGGATCACCTGAGGTTGGGAGTTCGAGGTTGGCCAACATGGTGAAACCCCTTCTCTACTAAAAATACAAAAATTAGCCTGGCGTGGTGGTGAACACCTGTAATCCCAGCTACTAGGGAGACTGAGGCAGGAGAATCACTTGAACCTGGGAGGTGGAGGTTGCAGTGAGAGCCAAGATCATGCCATTGCACTCCAGCCTGGACGACAGAGCAAGACTCCATCTCAGAAAAAAAAGAAAAGAAAAGAAAAGAAAATATAGTTTACTAATTACTACTTAATATTGTTTAAGGGTCTGTAATCCCAGCACTTAGCACTTTGGGAGGCCAGGGCAGGTGGATCACCTGAGGTCAGGAGTTCCAGACCAGACTGACCAACACGGTGAAACCCTGTCTCTACTAAAAATACAAAAATTAGCCGGGCGTGGTGGCGGGTGCCTGTAATCCCAGCTACTTGAGAGGCTGAGGCGGAAGAATCGCTTGAACCTGGGAGACTGAGGTTGCAGTGAGCCAAGATCGCACCACTGCACTCTAGCCTGGGTGACAGGGCAAGACCCTGTCTCAAAAAAAAAAAATTTAAAAAAAGAATATGAAAAGAAAGTCTTTAAACAAATCTGTACTTCGCCTTCAAAAATTGAAGACTTTTTTGTTCAATATTTATATATGACTCTTTATTCAAAATATACATTAAATTCTATCTAGTTAAATCCTAGTCATTGAATCTTGTAGTGTCAGTGACCATTTAAGAACCTTACCTTTTTAAGCAGATCTCTGGCTTCTTGTGTGAGGTAGGGAGGCAAATTGAGTTTACATTTGAGGATTTTGTCAATTGTTTTCTTTCTATTCTCCCCAGTGAATGGGGGCTAAGAGTAGAAGACAAGTGAAAAATATTAGCAGGGAGAGAAAAATATTAGCATATAAGAAACAAATTTTGAATAATATTATCCATTTCCTAAATTAGTTATACATGGAGATCAGAAATGTATGCTGTGAAATGGGCTAACTGCTAAAGACCTTTATTTTGTTTTACAGACAGGGTCTCAACTATGTTGTCAAGGCTAGATTCTATTAATAATCCTTAGCTCAAATGATCCTCCCACCTCAGCCTCCTGAGTAGCTTAGGCTACAGGCATGCACCACTGTGGCCGGCAGACGTGCAGTTTTTAAGCAACAGGACAGAGGAAGTAGCAGTGTCCTGGAAGGAAGCCTGTGTTTCCACCATTAACTTTCTGTGTGATAAGTGAGCTATGTGATTTTATGCTTCAATTTCTCCATTTATAAAATAAGGGCATTATCTATTCAACATCTATTTCACAGGCCTGCCATGACATAGATCATTTAAAAGAAAATGTTTCGGAAAGTATGGGATCCCATATAATCATACAGCATTATTAGTGTTAAACTGCTAATAACAAATCTTTGGGCTTTGAAAACTCCACTGGTAACATGTTCAGAAAGCACAGGACAGGTCTCTTGCTATAGTGACTCAGCACAGACCAATAATACATGCAGCTTTTAACTGTGCACCTACTGCTCCAGTCAGCATGTCATACATTAATGCTCCCAAACTCCACCAATCCACAGCACGATTGTGGCCACTTCTCATCAAGATTTCAGGGGCCCTACAATGAGGAAAATAATATGCTTAAAAATTCACCCATTTGCATATCATCTGAATTAGAATTTTAAAAACAATATACAGAGTCAATGAGGGTACAGAAAACAGATACTATTCCTTAAAACAGGTAAAATTAGCTATTACCCCCAAACCAATTATGTTTAACATGTAGCTCACATGTATTCTATTGTTCCACAAAATGTGTGTGTGACTGTTCCATCATGAATAGATTCTTTGCATAGTCCAAAGTCTGTTAGTTTCACATGACCTACAATGAAAGATTACAGCATGATTATTCTCCGAATTATAAGTATGTGCAGTGTTTGAACATGTCACATAATACTTTAATCTATCCTTCCATTTAACTTTTCTTGCCTCAAATTTTCTTGCAGATGTCAAGAACAAGGTACCATCCATAAAATGGGATGCTAACTGTTTAAGGCTAGGGCAAAGTCACCTTTTGCCAATGATACAATCTATCTAGTAAAGAGAAAATAAAGATAGAGAAAAAAGTGAAATAACCTGTTTAAGGCTCTAGCTTTAAGTATATACAAAATTCTCTACCATCCTGAAAAAGAAAAATCCTGGGAAAACTGTTTTATGAAGTCTAGTTTACGTACACAGACCCCAATAAACATACTCTGTACCTTTTGAACAAAGGTGTGAGACAGTACTTCAAATATATAGCTTTTATCACAGTGAACTGTGAAGAGTCCTTAAAATGGTCTCAGAAACTCATTATAACAAGGTAGCTCATTCTGCCCAATGCTACCAATTAGGGGAAAGAAAGAAAATTGCTAGATAGTATGAATCAATCATCACTGATCCAGAAAGTAAAAAACTTACCACCTTACACAAAGATCATTTCAGTTCAAGTTTAGCTTTCTTTACTGGACTGTCATAACAAGTGGTTCAACAATCTCAGGGACTCTAGTATTTGAGGTTCATTTCACAGAAAAGGCACAATGACCTATTGATTCAAATGTAAATATATACTACACTCTGATACAGAAGAAGTATGGCCTTTATTTTCACAGAACCATCTGATACACTCAACCTTATAAATCAAAGAAGTTAACTATTCTATCGCTCCCCTATTCTATCCTGTGACTTATAATTCAGATCAGAATCCACGTTTTGGGGAGTGAGGAGGTGTTGATGAGAGGAAGGAAGAGACACTGATTCCCATGATATATTCAGTTAAGTATATCATTTCTCCTTAAAAAAAAAAAAAAGGTGGGTGGAGGAGTATAATCTGGAATGTTTATATGAGCCTCAGTTGTTCATACATCATTTTCTAAGAGTTTGAAACAATTAACTACCTCATGGATTATTCTGTAGACATCTAAGGATTAGCAGCTGCTACCACCTTCTAGATACCCTGGGTCAGCTGGTTGCTCCTTTGGGGTACGAGTGAATTGCCAAGTCTACCTACAGCCCAGATTAGCATAAATTGAGCTGTCTTTAGCAGCATGCAGTTGTAGTCAAGGCTCACTGTGCTATATCTATAGTTGTATAGATTATCAGTCTCTCTGATGTTTATGTTTGTTGTTACAAACAAACAGCAAGAATAAACTGATTCTGGCTGGGGGGAAGGTGGGTTATGCCTGTAATCCCAGCAATTTGGGAGGCCAAGGCAGGCAGATCAATTGAGCTCAGGAGTTTGAGACCACCCTGGGCAACATGATGAAACCCCATTTCTACAAAAAATACCAAAAATTAGTCAGGCGTGGTGGTGTGCCACAGTGGCCCCAGCTACTTGAGGGGCCGGGGTGGAAGGATCACTTGAGCCTGGGAGGCGGAGGTTGCAGTGAGCTGTAATCATGCCACCATACTCTAGCCTGGATGACAGAGTGAGACCCCCATCTCAAAAAAAAAAAAAAAAAAGTAACCTGATGCCTACTAAACATCATATTTCCAAAGTTTTATCAAATACTTTGGTTCAATTTCAATCCTTTTCCCAGCATTAATAAAACCTACTGTAAGAAGCATAGCTTCTAATATTCACATATTTTCTTTTTTTTTGAGACGGAGTCTCGCTCTTTTCACTCAGGCTGGAGTATAATGTCGCGATCTTGGCTCACTGCAACTTTCGCCTCCTGGGTTCAGGCGATTCTCCCACCTCAGCCTCCTGAGTAGCTGGGATTACAGGCACCCACCATCATGCCCAGCTAATTTTTTTTTTTTTTTGTATTTTTGTAGAGATGGGGTTTCACCATGTTGGCCAGGCGTCTTGAACTCCTGACCTCAGGTGATCCACCCACCTTAGCCTCCCAAAGTGCTGGGATTACAGGTGTCAGCCACTGTGCCCAGCCAATATTTACATATTTTCATTATTAAAACTCAACTTATATAATTGAGATTCACTTTTCAATTTAAGTAACAAGCCAAAATTAATGTTTAGACTGGCTTTTACAGTCTAAAACATTATACAACATTTGATGTAAAGATTCCAAAAACATGAAAAACTATAAAGAGTAAGGATTAAACTAAAAAAGGCAGTTGAGCGACTATTATCCTCAACTTCTTTTACTCTCACCAAGCGTAATTACCTAAAGACTTAAAATATCAGCAAGTACTATGATGCCATGAATTCTGAGGGAGGAAATATACAAAATAGAGAGATGAATTTGGGGCTTTGAAAATGGCCACGACCTATGTGGGAGGATTTTAAGATGATTATTTACTATAGAATTGTTTACGGTATGTCTCCACCTTGGTGATTAAGCATGATATTCTCCGGCTTCAGGTCTCTGTAGATGATCCCCTTTTGATGTAAATGCCCCAAAGCCATGGAGATTTCTGCCAAGTAAAAGCTGGAAACAAAAGTGATTTAATAAAATTAAAAAGAGTGTAATCTATCCAAAGCAGTTTACGTATGGAGCAAAATTCCTTGAAAGAAACAGACATGCACCAAAGACCAAATTAGTGGGGTAGGGGGATGTATTGGAAAAAGAGATGGCATAGGATGCTGCCAAAAGGCATGGGGACATTTATGTTTCACTCATTTTAGTGAAACTATAAAGTGCTTTATTTTGCCATTAGAATATATTGCTAAAATTGCAAAGATGTCCAGAATATGCTAAACTGCCATTGGTCATGTTTTGTTCTGTCTGTGTAGGAATTAAGCTAATAGCCATTCATTTCAAGCAAATTTCTCCCATCCACACCCAACTTTAAAATCCCATAGGAAATAGGAACTTTGTTATTCTCAGAGATCACATCTTGATTTCAAAAGGTATCTTATAACCTGACCCTTAGAAGCCCACTCATCCCTTACTTAATACAGCTACATATTTATAGACAGCTGAGGCCCACAGTATCTGCCCTCCCACCTGCCAGCCAGCCCACAACTATAAACTGTGTGACACCCAAATTTATCTACCTCAAAAGAATAAAGGGCTGAATCAACCCTGTCTGGATTCGAAAAGCACAAGGCACTGCAATACTGGCTGCATAACAATGTTGCAATCCTGCAGATTACTCCAGGATGGAGAGGGTGTGTCCTAGAGGACTGAGGCAGTTTCACAGCCAGCACGACCACAAACACAGCCTCCAACACGGCTCAGTGAGCCTCCTCCAAAAAAGGGCACTTCATCCCTAAGGCTCTTAAATGCAGCTTCTTTGTTAGAAAAGGCCTGAAATTAAACAATGGAATGCAGTTTTGGTAATCAAGGTAGAAAAAAACATTTAAGTGTTGTTTTCTATTAAATTAATGTGTAGGATAAACTGATTTATTGTGACCCAATATTGTTGCTTCACAAAAGGATGTGCATATTTTTAATTTGAAGCAGATGACATGTTTAGAAATAGGAGGGTAAATCCCACCCTGACTACATAATCAATCTACAGATGATATGCCCAGGTTTATCACCTCCCTAAGACTGTACCTTGAGAAATAGAAAGCCTAAAAAAAAAGGGATGATTTCTGATAATTTCCATTGTTCCACACATAAAGGTTCACTGGGAAACCACACTCACCCACAGCCAAGGCAGGCAGCTTACCAATTCAAGGAAAGAAAGCCGCAATGAGAATGGTTCTGTTAGGAACAACTGGTGTGAAGAGCGTTCCACTCAAGCCTAAGGGCAAAGGAATGATGTGACCTCCATAGCTGCCCAGTCCCAAAACTGCTTCTCCCCCTTGAGGTCCTGAGTGAGTGACTGGCTCCAGCTCAATTTACTGAATCATGTGGCTGCCCATAGTGGGAATGGGGCTTTGCTTGTAATTACCTGAATCTATGCAACCACAAAAAGTTCACTTACCAGGCAGTGTCTTCCATAAATATTCCCTCTCTTTCTAACTGCATAAATAGTTCTCCTCCTGTAAAGAAAAAGAAAAAACATTATAAATAAAACAATATTTATTTCCAACCCACTTCTAATGAGAGAGTTTGTGCTTTCCTTCTAACCATAATTAAAAGACATCAGCCCCTTAAAAATGAAAAACAGATCCTAAAAATTATAGGTTTTAAAACTAAGTCCTCAGGATTCTATTTTTAGTAGCATTCTTATTCTTCTGTGACACACATATATTTAAAAACTAGAACTGGCTTGGAATTCCAGGTTTTATATCTACAAACTTTAAAATATCTGTAGATTCCAGACCTGAGGTTAAAAAATATATATATTGATTAAAGACTCTTTAACATTTTACCCATAGGTAGAAAAATGATAGTCTACAATTAAATCACCCTCACTAATTTTAGTGAATGCTCATATTTCGTATTTTCAGAACCCTTAAATAAACAGAATAAACCTGGCACTGGCCTAGTAAAAAACATGGCACAATTTGAGTATCAAAATAAATAATGATAATAAAAGGTTATATCACATTGAATGATATTAGGATCCCTAAGTCCACAATGACATAAATAAATGAATACATAAATGTTTTAAAGGGGGAAGAAGAGAAAGTTCTTTATTACAGTAGAATCCCAAGTAATAAATGAAGAAGACGTGACGGAATAAGAAAAAGTACTTGGCAAACATCACAATTAATTGTTGCAGGCAAGATTCAATGGATGTCAAAACTGAATGTGGGCTGGGCGCAGTGGCTTACGCCTGTAATCCCTACACTTTGGGAGGCCGAGGCGGACAGATCACCTGAGGTCAGGGGTGATCTCTATTAAAAATAAAAAAATTAGCTGGGTGTGGTGGTGCATGCCTGTAATCCCAGCTACCTGGGAGGCTGAGGCAGGAAAATCACTTGAACCTGGGAGGTGGAGGTTGCAGTGAGCTGAGATCGTGCCACTGCACTCCAGCCCGGGCAACAGAGTGAGATTCCGTCTCAAAAAAAAAAAAAACAACAAAACTGAACATGAGAGCTTGATGAAAGATATTTAAATAATCTCAAAGTATCTCCTCAAAAGATACTTATTAATTACAAAGACAAAAACGTCACCATGGAAAAAATCAGCAGACACCACCTTATACATGTGACCAAAGTTAACATCACAAGTAATGGGACAAAGATATAAATATCATGTACCTCTTGATCTGATGCATTAAGGAGGACACAATGTCACTTCAATGGTCCTGCCAAAATTGCATAACCTGAATCTAATACTAAGGAAACATCAGCTAAACCCAAAGCATTCTACAAACTAACTGGCCTGTCCTAATCAAAAATGTCAACATTATGAAAGTCAAAGAAAGACTGAGGAAATGTTCCAGATTAAAGGAAACTAAGAAGAGTTATAATTGCATCAATGTTAATTTCCTATTTCTGATCATTTTAGTATAGTTATGTAAGATACTGTCCTTGATTTTAGAAAATATACACTGAATAGGCTGGGTGCAATGGCTCACACCTGTAATCCCAGCACTTTGGGAGGCCAAGGTGGGCGGATCACCTGAGGTCAGGAATTCGAGACCAGCCTGGCCAACATGGTGAAACCCCATTTCTACTAAAAATACAAAAATTAGCTGGGCGTGGTGGTGGGTGCCTGTAATCCCAGCTACTCGAGAGGCAGAGGTTGTAGTGAGCCCAAGATTGCACCACTGCACTCCAGTCTGGGCGACAGAGTGAGACTCCATCTCAAAAAAAAAAGAAAAGAAAAGAAAGAAAACATACACTGAAATTTTAGGGGTAAAGGGAAATCATGTCTGTAACACTCTCTTAAACAGTTCAAAACAATTATGTATGCATGCATGTATATATGTATACACATATATACATATACATAGGATAAAACAAAATAAATGTGGTGAAATGGTAACATCTGGGGAATCTAGGTGAGAAATATATAGGAATTCTTTTATTTTGTGTGTGTGTGTGTGTGAGACTGAGTCTTGCTCTGTTGCCCAGGTTGCAGTGTACTGGCGCGATCTCAGCTCACCACAACCTCCGTCTCCCAGGTTCAAGCGATTCTCCTGCCTCAGCCTCCCGAGTAGCTGGGATTACAGGAGCACACCACCATACCCAGCTAATTTTTCTATTTTTAGTAGAGACAGGGTTTCACTATGTTGGCCAGACTGGTCTCAAACTCCTGACCTCATGATCCGCCCACCTTGGCCTCCCAAAGTGCTGGGATTACAGGCATGAGCCACTGAGCCTGGCATAGGAATTCTTTATACTACTCTTAAAACTTTTTGTGTTAAGTATGAAATTATGTCAAAATAAAGTTTTTCCGGGCGGGCACAGTGGCTCACACTTGTAATCCCAGCACTTTGGGAGGCCAAGGTGGGCAGATCACCTGAGGTCAGGAGTTCAAGACCAGCCTGGCCAACATGGTGAAAGCCCAGCTCTACTAAAAATACAAAAAAAAGCCAAGTGTGGTGGCGCATGCCTGTAGTCCCAGCTAATTAGGAGGCTGAGGCAGGACAATCGCTTGAACCTGGGAGGCGGAAGTTGCAGTGAGCCGATATCACGCCTCTGCACTCCAGCCTGGGAGAGAAGAGCGAAACTCCATCTTCAAAAAAAAAAAAAAAGTTTTTCCAATGGCAATAGTCACAAAACAGTTGCTACATTCTGTAGCTTTCTGTTCCATGTTACACGTTACTGCAAAATCCTTCTCAGAGAACTGAACTGTGTTTGCTAGAAATAGATACTTGTGGCCGGGTGCAGTGGCTGACACCTGTAATCCCAGCATTTTGGGAGGCCGAGTTAGGTGGATCACCTGAAGTCGGGAGTTCGAGACCAGCCTGACCAACATGGTGAAACCCCATCTTTACTAAAAATACAAAAATTAGCCAGGCGTGGTGGCACATGCCTGTAATCCCAGCTACTCGGGAGGCTGAGGCAGGAGAATCGCTTGAACTCCAGGAGGCAGAGGTTGCAGTGACCCAAGATCACACCATTGCACTACAGCCTGTGCGACCAGTGTGAAACTCCATCTCAAAAAAAAAAATAAATAGACACCTGTGATCTAGAAATGATATGGAATCAACAAGTTCCTACGAGGTGGTAGGCCCTGGCAAATATGGATGATTTCCATTATAAGCTACATACCCCATCACTAAGGCTACATTAAACTAAAAACTCTTGTTTAAAGACCCAATTCCAAAAATAGTCAGTATGTTAAATAATCTTCCCAATTATTTAAATTACAGTATCTTACCCCACTACAATTTGATGGCTCTGCATCACTTAGGTATTCGTTTTTCTGTTAAGTGAGTGATTACAAAGGAATTAAAATAAAATTTTACAGATGAGGGAAAAAAATCTTTAGTTTCCTCCATATTTGTCTGCCAATAGAAACATTTGGTCACATCTGAATTTTGTACTTCAGTGTACTCATCAATTTTAAGCACTATTTGATCATAATGGGAAAAAGTATTCTTCCATTGAAAAATAACATTTTGACCCAGTTTCTGGAGCAAATGCAAATAATTACACCAAACTCTGTGTACTGACCACTGAGATACTCAAGGATGAGGTAGAGTTTTCCACCAGTCTGAAAGGCATAAATTAAATCCACGATGAAGGGATGCTTTACTTCCTCCAGAATATTCCGTTCTGCTTTTGTATGAGCTGTATCTTTAGCATTTCTTACTATCATTGCCTAAAGGAAAAGAGATCATCTATAAGAACAAAATAGTGAACATTTTTATTCTATAATCTATTTTATTCTAAAATCTATTTTGTGTTTTTCCTGCCAATATTGAACTATTAACCATAGTTCCCACTAGAAACTGAGATGGGGTAATGGAAAACATTCACTTTATATATGCCTCTGTGCAGTTTGGATTTTTTGCAGTGAACACGTAAGTGAATTACCTAAAGAGACTTTTTAAAAAAGAAATCTGTAATCAGATCAAGTTTATTCATATATTCACAAACTATTGAGTGTCTACCATCCTCCAGGCTGTGCCAAGAAAGCAGAATAGAAGGAATGCCCTGTCCATAGGAGTCTAAAAGTCGACAGGAGCCCAAAGTCTCAGGGAAAAAAAGACAAGTCAATGTAGGCAAGTGCAGGATGGTAAGGGTAAACAGGGGAACCACATCTGACCTAGCAGAAAGTCTCGCTTGAAAGTTATTAAAATGAAATGTGGCCTGGACGTGGTGGCTCATGTCTGTAATCCCAGCACTTAGGTGGGCAGAGGCAGGAGGATCGCTTGAGCCCAGGAGTTCGAGATCTGCCTGGTAACAAGCGTGACCCCATTCTCCACAAAAAGGGTAAAAAAAAGACAAAAAAGAAAGAAAGAAATGTAGAAGGTAAAAAAAAGGCATTCCAGTGCAAAAGAGGACAGAATACGTCTGGGAAATCTACAAGTAGTTTGGTATGGTTAGAAGTGGTTAGAGATTAGGCTAGAGAAGTAGGCAAAGGCCAGGAAATGGAACGTCTGGGCAAAGGAAGGTCTGGGTGAAATGAACACACCTTTGGCTTTATGAAAGACACATCTAGTAGCAGTAGGGAGTATTAGGAAAGAAATGAGACTAGTTAGGAGGCTAGTATAATAAACCAACTAAGAAGATCTATAAGAAAATGAAGATAGAAAAAAATGAAAGGCTAATACATAATTTGCATTTGCTGACAAACTAGTTATGAGAAGAAATGATGATACCTTTATTTCTGCATAAGTAATAGGACAGATAATGGTGCCATTCAATATTGGCAAAAGAAAGTGAAAAAGTTTTGGGAAAATGATGCCCTGTTTTAGACATGCCAGGTATAAGTTCCAGGAAGTTACCCTGATGGTACATCTCCATAAGTAATATGGAAAGCAAATACACAGGTAATTGGTTGCAACATTATCTGTGAAAGTGGAACACTAGAAACAGCCTAAATGCTCAGACATAGGATATTGGCCCAAAACCTATGGAATCTACACAACATGTAACAAAGCTATAAAAATAAGAAAAATCAGCCGGGCGCAGTGGCTCACGCCTGTAATCCCAGCACTTTGGGAGGCCGAGGAGGGCGGATAATGAGGTTAGGAGATCAAGACCATCCTGGCTAACACGGTGAAACGCCATCTCTACTAAAAATACAAAAAAAAATTAGTCGGGCATGGTGGCAGGTGCCTGTAGTCCAAGCTACTTGGGAGGCTGAGGCGGGAGAATGGCATGAACCTGGGAGGCGGAGCTTGCAGTGAGCCGAGATCACGCCACTGCACTCCAGCCTGGGTGACAAAGTGAGACTCCGTCTCAAAAAAATAAATAAATAAATAAATAAATAAATAAAATAAAAATAAGAAAAATTTCTATAAAAACAAGATACAAAAGAGTACTTAAAAGTACAGCAGCATGGATACTATGCTATCTTTTGTACAAGAAAGGGGAAATGAGAATATATATAATATGTATCTGCTTATGCCTGCAAAAATGAAGACAACTAAGATAAACTAAAAGCTAATGATAATGGAAGGGAAGGAAAAGAAATAAGACTTTTGAGAATACCTTCTGAGTAAAACCCCAATGGTTTTATCATCCATTTTTTTCTTCCCTAAATCAAATATTACTGTAATTATAAAATGTAGATTTTTCTTTTTGAACCATATTAATGTTTAATGAGTTCCAAAAATAAAATAAAATCAACAAGGATGAGGGGTAGGAAGTACAACTGAATACAATAGGAATACACAAATTTAATTGACTATTACACCAATAACTTTACCACAGAAAGAGAAAGAGAAAAAAGATATAGGAGAAAAAGATTTTTTTTTTCTAGACAGAGTCTCACTCTGTCACCCAGGCTGGAGTGCAGTGGCATGGTCTCAGCTCACTGCAACCTCCGCCTCCCAGGTTCAAGTGATTCTCCTGCCTCAGCCTCCCAAGTAGCTGGGACTACAGGCACCTGCCACCACACCTGGCTAATTTTTGTATTTTTAGTAGAGATGGGGTTTCACCATGCTGGCCAGGCTGGTTTCGAACTGAGCTCATGATCCGCCCGCCTTGGCCTCCCAAAGTGCTGGGATTACAGGTGTGAGCCACTGCACCCAGCGAGAAAAAGATATTTAAGTAATTTTAGACTGCACACCCTTAGTGGCCTATATGTAAGCACACAAAAAATTGCAAAGAAATATTAAATCAAACTTAGTAGGTTTGTAGCTGGAAATACTATTGGTATTACAATTTTCATTATGCACATATTGTACAACTGAACAAATGAGTGCGTTTATGTTGTTACCAGAGTTCTTCTCACTGTAGAAAAAAAGGATATCCAAATATGAACTGAAAGAAGAATGTGGTCGGGCACGGTGGCTAACACCTGTAATTCCAGCACTTTGGGAGGCCGAGGCAGGTAGATCACAAGGTCAGGAGTTCAAGACCAGCCTGGCCAAGATGATGAAACCCCGTCTCTACTAAAAATACAAAAATTAGCCGGGCGTGGTGGCAGGCACCTGTAATCCCAGCTACTCAGGAGGCGGAGGCAGAAAACTGCTTGAACGCAGGAGGTGGAGGCTGCAGTGAGCCGAGATCACACCACTGCATTCCAGCCTGGGGGACAAAGCGAGACTCCATCTCAAAAATAAAAAAATAAAAATAAAAAAGAACGCTATGGAATTGGACTAGAATTAGGGCTAACAATATGAAGCACTTTGGGAAACCGAGGCAGGCGGATCACCATGTTGGCCAGGAGTTTGAGACCAGCCTGCCCCACATGGAGAAACCTCATCTCTACTAAAAATACAAGAATTAGCCACGTGTGATAGTACACACCTATACTCCCGTTACTCCAGAGGCTGAGGCACGAGAATGACTGGAACCTGGGAGGCAGAGGTTGCAGTGAGCTGAGGCAGCCTGGTGTCCAAGGGTGTGGTGAGCCATGATCATGCCACTGCACTCAAGCCTGGGCAACAGAGGAAGAACCTGTCTCACAAAAAAAAAAAAAGACCAGGTGCGGTGGCTCATGCCTGTCATCCCAGCACTTTGGGAGGCTGAGGCGGGCAGATCATGAGGTCAGGAGTTCAAGACCAGCCTGGCCAACATAGTGAAACCCCATCTCTACTAAAAATACAAAAATCAGCTGGGTATGGTGGCACGCACCTATCCCAGCGACTCAGGAGGCTGAGGCAGGAGAATTGCTCGAACCTGGGAGATGGAGGTTGCAGTGAGCCAAGACCACATCGTTGCACTCCAGCCTGGGCACCAGAGTGAACCTCCATCTCAAAAAAAAAAAACAAACAAATTTTTTTAAAAGAGAGTATAGGGCCAGGCGCAGTGGCTCACGTCTGTAATCCTGGCACTTTGGGAGGCCAAGGTGGCTAGATCACGGGGTCAAGAGATCGAGACCATCCTGGCCAACATGGTGAAACCCCATCTCTACTAAAAATACAAAAAATTAGCTGGGCGCGATGGCGCACGCCTGTAGTCTCAGCTACTCTGGAGGCTGAGGCAGGAGGATAGTTTGAACCCGGGAGGCAGAAGCTGCAGTGAGCTGAGATCACACCACTGCACTCCAGCCTGACTTCATCTCAAAAAAAAAAAAAAAAAAAAAAAAAGGAGTATAAAAAAATCTTTACAGACTAATGACAATATAGAAAAAATACAGAAAAAATAGAAAAGTCTCCATTTTATAATCACTACAGTACAGTAATATTTGGGCAAGAAACAATCCAGATAAAACCATTAAGTAAAGATTATTATAGGACAGAATATTCACACCGTTTCTATCATTCCACAGATCACTTGTTAACTACAAAAGGAAAAAGAGGCCGGGAACGGAGGCTCAAGTCTGTAATCTCAACACTTTGGGAGGCCGAGGAGAGCGGCTCACCTGAGGTCAGGAGTTTGAGACCAGCCTGGCCAACATGGTGAAACCTCGTCTCTACTACAATTACAAAAATTAGGCAGGCGTGGTAGGAGGCACCTGTAATCCCAGCTACTTGTGGGGCTGAGGCAGGAGAATCGCTTGAACCCAGGAGGTGGAGGTTGCAGTGAGCCAAAATTGCACCACTGCACTCCAGCCTGGGCAACAGAGTGAGACTGCTTCTCAAAAAAAAAAAAAAAAAATGCCCTTATTCTTAGGAGATGTATAGATGAAATTAGGGGTGAAGTGCTATGAAATCTGCAGTTAACTCTCAAATTGTACATGAGGAAAATTTATTAACTAAAATTTATTAACTAAAGGGCTTAGGGCCAAAAAACAGGCATTGTAGGAATCAAGTAAGTCAAAAGTGAGAAAGTTATTGTTCTATGAAACCGCAATATTTCAGAGGTGGAGAACACCTTTGGCCAAAGGTTCTAAAATGTACAGTGGGAGGTGAACTAATGCCGTAGGCAATAGTATTTTGCTTCCATGGTATATTTTTGCTGCAACTGGTAGGGTCGGGTGATGGCTGTTGATAGTCTTTTCCTCACTATTCCACTCTAAGCAAATACCTGAATGGTACCATTCCTATAAGAAGTAAACAGTCCCAGGAGAACTAATAAATCCAGACAGAATGTCCAGATTGAAACAACTCACTTAAGGGGATACCTGGTTCTACTCTGATTTCATCTTAAAGTCTGGGGGAAGAGGTATACACTTACCACACACTCAGGTCAGAGGGGTTAGTACTCTGCCTCCAGGATAATTAAAATCAGAAGGAAGGAACTCAAAGGGAGCCTATAGTCATCTTACTTGGGGATTTAGAAATGAAAGCCCTGAACTTAACCCTAATGACATCTTTATTTTCATTATTTTTGCTATGAGCTTGCTTTCAAGGACAAGGAAGGAGACAGTATCAGATCCTCTAGCCAGGATTAAGAAAAGAACCCCAAGAATGGGAAACAATGGCAACCAAGCAAAAGCAGAGGCAAACAGCTTAGGTCCTGGATCCCTGGGCCCCAGAATGAGGCCTGACACTTAGCAGTAATTAAGTCTATGGATTTCCCAATATACCACCCCACCCACCATGAGTGGGGAAAAAAAACAAGCACTCTTTTTTTCACTAGATACCTGTGCCAAAAACATACTTCACCCAAGATCTAATTATGCCTAATATGGTCAGGCCTGATTATCCGACATAAATAACACATCACAAGGAATGAATCAGTTAAGAATCTTGACCAGAGGCTGGGCGCAGTGGCTCACGCCCATAATTCCAGCACTTTAGGGGGCTGAGGTGGGCGGTCACTTGAGGTCAGGAGTTTGAGACCAGCCTGGCCAACATGGTGAAACCCTGTCTCTACCAAAAGTACAAAAATTAGCCAGGCGTGGTGGTACACACCTGTAGTCCCAGCTATTTGGGAGGCTGAGGCCCTAGAATCACTGGAACCCAAGAGGCAAAGGTTGCAGTGAGCTGAGAACGCTCCACTGCACTCCAGCCTGGGTGATGTAGTGAGACTCTGTTTCAAATAAAAGAAGAAATCTTGACCAGTACTTCTTTTCACATTTCTGGGACAAGCACTATTATGCTGCCTTCAATTCTATACCTAACATGTTTTACAGATTAAAAAATCATTAATCTAAAACAATTCCAACAGGAAAGTCAAATAGCTGATATCAATGTCAACCCACTGAAGAAGAAACTGATGTGAAGAATAGCTAGATGGCTTTTTAAAGACAATTACCAATAAAATTGTGGTCACAGTATTTGTTCCTCAGCTTTCAAACTGAGGAGTCATTTATACTGCTTAAATAAAAATCAGCAAGAAGGACCAAAGTTTTACAAGTCTTATAATTTTTTTAAAAAGTCACTTTGATTGTCTTTAAAGTAGTTCTCCACTGGAACTTTTGTTTTAAGACAGTGGAGGCCGGGCGCAGTGACTCATGCCTGTAATCCTAGCACTTTGGGAGGCCAAGAAGGGTGGATCACCTGCGGTCAGGAGTTCGAGACCAGCCTGGCCAACATGGCAAAGCCCTGTCTCTACTAAAAATACAAAAATTAGCTGGGTGTGGTGGCGGGCACCTGTAATCCCAGCTACTCAGGAGGTTGAGGCAGAAGAATCACTTGAACCCAGGAAAAAAAAAAAAGACAGTGGAATCTTTTCAGTAATCAATCCCAAACAAGAATAAGAAAACAAACACACACATAATCCATCAGTAAAACTAGAAGACATGTGGAATCCCACACCTGAAAAGACAGAGTGGGGATAAAGCAATGGTCCATGATGTAGCAGAGTGGGGTAAGATCAAACCTAAGTGCCTGCAAAGGGGAATACACAAAAGAAGTTGAATCTATCTATAGAACCCCAGCAAGGTTCAAACATTAGAGGAAAAATTAGAAGGAAGGGAAAAAATTAAAGGAACTGAAGACTGTAGAAGGCAGAAGGTGGAGTGCTAAAAACAGGGAGATCATCTACAAGTCTGTGTAAGGAACAGACAGACCAAAAAGGCTCCCATCTCCATACTAAGTCGAAGAACTAACCCTAGGAGAGTTAAATTCCCCGGGACAAAAAAAAAAAGTGAAAGATTAGATCCACAGAGTAAAGTACTAATGTAAAAACTCGAGTTTAGTGAAAGTCCGCGTGTTGAGAGGTAAGATCTCCATCTTCTCTCACTCAGCTCCAGAATGCTTTTTCCAGGCAAATGAATGGCAGAACTTTCTTAGCACCAACTGATCCTCCCCAGAAAAAAAAAGATCTACAGACAATATTTACTTATTTATTTATTTGAGATGGAGTCTCGCTCTTGTTGTCCAAGCTAGAGCACAATGGTGCAATCTTGGCTCACTGCAACCTCCACCTCCCAGGCTCAAGCGATTCTCCTGCCTCAGCGCCCCCAAACCAGCTGGCCAGGCTGGTTTTGAACTCCTGACCTCAGGTGATCAACCTGCCTCAGCCTCCGAAAGTGCTGGGATTACAGGCGTGAGCCACCACACCCAGCCCTACAGACACTATTATTTGAAGTTGTTGATCAAGTGCCAGCTAACCACTTGACTACCCTGCAGAGAAGCTTACACACACAGAACTTCTGATCAGCTTTTCAGAGTTCTACTCTTAAATATGAATAATCAGGCCAGGCGCAGTGGATGGGTTATTGAGGCCTAGGTGGACAGATCACTTGAGGTCAGGAGTTCGAGATCAGGCTGACAACATGGCGAAACCCTGTCACTACTAAAAATGCAAAAATTAGCCAGGCAGGGTGGCACATGCCTGTTATCCCAGCTACTTGGGTGGCTGAGGCACAAGAATCGCTTGAACCCAGGAGGTGGAAATTGCAGTGAGCCGAGACTGTGCCACTGCACTCCAGCCTAGACGACAGAGCAAGACTCCAACTCAAAAAAAAAAAAAAAAAAAAGAATAATCAGTGAATGACACCAGACATCTAAAGAAGGCCTCTAACATGGAACAAAGTGACTAAAACTGACTAAATCAAAGTCAAAGAAAACAGAAAGTCAAAAAAGAACATGCGTAAAACAAAAGAACATTTCAAATAATTATAATTAAACTCTCAGAGAGGCTGGGCGTGGTGGCTCACACCTGTAATCCCAGCACTTTGGGATGCCGAGGTGGACGTTTTGCCTGAGGTCAGGAGTTCAAGACCAGTCTGGCCAACATGATGAAACCCGATATCTGCTAAAAATACAAAAATTAGCCAGGTGTGGTAGCGGGCACCTGTAATCCCAGCTACTCAGGAGGCTGAGGCAGGAGAATCGCTTGAACGCAGGAGGCAGGGGTTGCAGTGAGCCAAGATCGCACCACTGCACTCAAACCTGCACGACAGAGTGAGACTCTTGTCTCAAAAAAATAATAATAAACATTAAAAAAAAATAAAACTCTCAGAGGGGTAAGAGAAGATATTATACTCATTAAACAGGTTGCTATAAAACAAAAACAACAGAAAGAATTCTGGAGAATCACAAATACAACAGCTTTAAAAAAAAATTTAGTCAAATGGCTGGGCACAGTGGCTTACGCCTGTAATCCCAGCACTTCAGGAGGCCAAGGCGGGCGGATCACCTAAGTCAGGAGTTCGAAACCAGCCTGACCAACATGGAGGAACCCTGTCTCTTCTAAAAATACAAAATTAGCCGGGCATGGTGGCACATGCCTGTAATCCCAGCTACTCGGGAGGCTGAGGCAGGGGAATCGCTTGAACCCAGGAGGCGGAGGTTGCGGTGAGCCAAGATTGCGCCATTGCACTCCAGCCTGGGCAACAAGAGCAAAACTCCATCTCAAAAAAAAATTGAGTAGAAGAAAGTAAACAAGACAAAGAAATGGAAACGTGGAAAAGATAAGAAAAATTAGATGATCGGTCCAGGAGATCCAACATCCAACTAATTGCAATTCCAAGAAGAGAAAACAGTGGGAAGGAAATTACCAAATAAATCACATAAGAAAATTTCCTAGAACTGAAAGACTAAAGCTTTAAGATTAAAAGAATAAAAATAGGCTGGGCACAGTGGCACATGCCTGTAATCCCAACACTTTGGGAGCCAAAACAGAACAACTGCTTGAGGCCAGGAGTTCCAGGCCAGCCGGGGAAACACAGGAAGACCTTGTCTCTACGAAACATTTTAAAAATGAACTGGGCGTGGTGGCATGCATCTGCAGTCCTAGCTACTCAGAAGTTGTGGCAGGAGGATCGCTTGAGCCCAGGAGTTACAGGTTACAGTGAAGTATGATCACACCACCACACTCCAGCCTGGGAAACAGAGTGAGACCCTGTCTCTTAAAAATAAATAAATTAATTAATTTAATTAAATAGGCCGGGCGCAGTGGGCCATACCTGTAATCCAATCCCAGCACTTTGGGTGGCCGAGGCGGGTGGATCACTTGAGCCCAGGAGTTCAACACCAGCCTGGGCAACATGGTGAGTGCCCATCTCTACATTTTTTTTTATTAGCCAGGCCTGGTGGTGCGTGTCTGTGGTCCCAGCTACTCAGGAGACTGAGGTGGGAGGATAGCTTGAGCCCAGGAATTTGAGGTTGCACTGAGCTATAATTGTGTCACCGCACTCCTGTCTAGGTGACAGGGCGAGACCCTATCTCAAAAACTAACTAAATAAAAATAATAATCAAAGTCAAAGCAACACACATCACTATAAAAACTTAGATCAGAAATAAAGAGAAAATCTTAAATATTTCCACAGAAAAAATAGGCCATGTGTAAACGACTGGGAATCAGAATGCCAAAGCACTTCAACAGAAACTCTCAAGAATAGAAGAAAACTGAGCAAAATTCTAAGTGAAAATAATTTTCAACTCCAATAACATAAACAATCAAGTAAATAAAAATGTAAAGAAATTCTCAAATATGCAATATGGATATATTTTTATTATAAATGTATCTTTATATACCTTGTCTGAGGGAGCCACTAGTATAGTGTCACCAAAACAAGGACATAAACTAAGAAAAAGGGAAAAAATGAAGATATGGGATCCAGGAAACAAAAGATCCAACACTGAAGGAGCCAAGAGGATTCCAGGGTTGTGGTGAAGAAAGAGTCCAGTCATAACAGTTGTGACTAAAGAGCTACCACTCCAGATGGGAACAGGTGGATAGAAAGTTCCTAAGATATGCCTCTGGGAAATAAATGGAACTGATAGATTATCTTATAAGCCTGATCAAAGAACATTAGACTGAAAGGTGTTTTACAAAGTTGTTGGAAGACATCAGAGGACAATAGTAGATTCAAAGAAAGCAAAACAAAATGAGAGGATGAGGATAAAGGAGGGTGAAGTAAACAAGAAACAAATCCTTAACTCGCATAAAAGAAAGTTAATACTGCCAGGCTCGGTGGCTCACGCCTGTAATCCCAACACTTTGGGAGGTCAAGGCGGGCCGATCCCCCGAGGTCAGGAGTTCGACACCAGCATGCCAATATGGCGAAACCGCATCTCTACTAAAAATACAAAAATTAGCCGGGTGTGGTGGTGGGCGCCTGTAATCCCAGACACTCAGGAAGCTGAAGCAGAGGAATCGCTTTAACCTGGGAGGTGGAGGTTGCAGTGAGCTGAGATCACGCCACTGCACTCCAGCCTGGGCAACAGAGTGAGGCTCCGTCTAAAAAAAAAAATTGAAAACTGCTGAATTAAAAAGATAGCAGTTGGCTGGGCATGGTGGCTCATGCCTGTAATCCCAGCACTTTGGGAGGCCAAGGCGGGCAGATCACCTGAGTTCGAGACCAGCCTAACCAACATGGAGAAACCCCATCTCTACTAAAAATACAAAATTAGCCGGGCGTGGTGGCACATGCCTGTAATCCCAGCTACTAGGGAGGCTGAGGCAGGAGAATCACTTGAACCTGGGAGGCGGAGGTTGTGGTGAGCCGAGATCACTCCACTGCACTCCAGCCTGGGCAACAAGAGCAAAACTCTGTCACAATAAAAAAAAAAAAAAAAAAAAAAAAGATAGCAGTAGGCCAGGCGCAGTGGCTCGTGCCTGTAATCCCAGCAGTTTGGGAGGCCGAGGCAGATGGATCACCTGAGGTCAGGAGTTCGAGACCAGCCTGGCCAATATGGTGAAACCCCGTCTACACTAAAAATCCAAAAATTAGCCAGGCGTGGTGGTAGGCGCCTGTAATCCCAGCTATTAGGGAGGCTAGGGCAGGAGAATCACTTGAACCTGGGAGACAGAGGTTGCAGTGAGCTGAGATTGTACAACTGCACTCCAGCCTGGACAACAGAGTGAGAGTTCATCTCAAAAAAAAAGAGATGGCAGTACATGCTTATTACTTAGAAATAAGGAGATCAGAAACAGTGAAGAGTTACCTCAGCAAAGAATTGCAAGAGCTCTCTTTTCCACACTCACCAAGCAGAAATAAAAATAGGAATAACAGTAATGAAACATACCTCACATTCTAAAAAGTATTGCAACTGTGTTAGAAATACATTTTTTGCCGGGTGCGGTGGCTCATGCCTGTAATCCCTGCACTTTGGGATGCCGAGGCAGGTGGATCACTGAGGTCAGGAGATCAAGACCATCCTGGCCAATATGGTGAAACCCCGTTTCTATCAAAAATACAAAAAAGTAGCTGGGCGTGGCAGCATGCACCTGTAGTCCCAGCTACTCGGGAGGCTGAGGCAGGAGAATTACCTGAACCCGGGAGGTGGAGGTTGCAGTGAGCCGACATCGCACCACCGCACTCCAGCCTGGGCGACAGAGCGCGACTACGTCTCAAAAAAAAAAAAAAGAAAAGAAAATAAATACATTTTTTCTGTAAGAGACTGGGTCTTACTACATTGCTCAGGCTACCCTTGAACTCCTAAGTTCAAGCAATCCTCCTGACTCAGTCTCCCAAGTAGCTGGGACCACAGGTGTGCACCACTGTACCTGGCTTGAGATACATTTTTTTGACTGCAAATTTTAGGCCAAAATGTTACAACAATTAAAAATATGATATGATTGCTTCCCAGCCTTTTGGCTGAGATCAAGTGTAAAAATATGGTGTGTGAGGACTAAAAAGGGGGAGTGGAAATCACCTTTTTAAGCACCTTCATGGCAAATATTTTCCCAGTATTTGCTCCTGTTACTTTTCGTACTTGAAAAACCTGGATTAAAAAAAAGTGTGTGTTATTCAAAGGCAAACTATGTCAGGCATACTCCCTTAATTCCTAGTTATAAGAAACATATGCCACAGCAGTTTATATTATAAAAACTATGTGCAAAAATGATCAGCTAAAAGAACAGACCACATTAATGATCATGACTTTCCTGTTTGTTCTGCTGCCATCTGGTGGTAATGTTGGACAATGACCATCTAATAATAAACACTGTTACTTTATATTAATATATAAAATCCTACTTAGAACAAGCTATAAACAGTGTTCCCAGAGGCATAATACCACCTTAAAAATTATAAAATATTTCATAAATTTCTTTCAAGGTTGCTTGCCACTGCCCTTGCTTCACATAAAACTATTTAAAAATAGTTGGCAGTAAAAATTATAAAATATTTCATAAATTTCTTTCAAGGTTGCTTGCCACTGCCCTTGCTTCACATAAAACTATTTAAAAATAGTTGGCAGGAAATTACTGTTTACCTATTACTTAAAATAGTTTGTACTAATACTTGGCCCTCTGAATCTACAGGTTCAGCAGCCGTGGATTCAACCAACCGCAGAATGAAAATATTTGGGGGAAAAAACAATAAACAATACAAACAATAAAAAATAACACAAATATGGCCAGGTGAGGTGGCTCACAACTGTAAACCCGGCACTTTGGGAGGCCAACTCGGGTGGATCACCTGAGGTCAGGAGTTCAAGACCAGCCTGGCCAACATGGTGAAACCCCATCTCTACTAAAAATACAAAAATTAGCCGGATGTGGTGGCGCACACCTGTAATCCCAGCTACTCGGGAGACTGAGGCAGGAGAATCGCTTGAATCTGGAAGGCAGAGGTTGCAGTGAGCTGAGATCGTGCCACTGCACTCCAGCCTGCGGGAAAGAACGAGACTCTGTCTCAAAAATCATAAAAAATAAAATAAAAAATTAAGCATATGGGAGGATGTGTGTAGCTTATATGCAAATACTATGCCATTTTATATAAGGCACTTGAGCGTCGGCAGATTTTGTTATCTGCAAAGGTCTTGGAATCAGTTCTCCCTTACCCCTCCCCCATACTGAAAGACAACTATAAACATTTTCATGCAACACCTAAAACATGTGAGATTCAAAGTGCATGTGTTGCACATTCAGGATGATTAGAAATTACAATGTGTTCTTAAGCATAAGAATAGGCTACAAATGTCTGCTTTGCAAAAATTAACACTACACAATAGCAAAAATAATTCTTAAAACTTAATACTAACCAAGTTATTATCTAAATTATTTTGATAAGAGAATAGTTTGGTAAAAAGTTTTGTGGGCAGAACTCATAAAAGTGACGTCTTAAGTTGTAAAGCCTTGGGCAAAACTGTGAAACTAAATAGTTTTCTTCCCCCTTTTTATATTCCTTCAGCTTCCCCAATTCTATTGCTCCAGAAAACCAGTTGAGATTAAGGTCTCAGTAACAGATAACAACTCAGACTGCCATGTCTCTTGTAAGCAAGGAGGGCTTTATTTTTAAAGAGGATACCATTTAACCAAAGTAAAGAATGAACCCTTTAATAATAGACTTTGCCTGGTACAGTTGTCTATTTATGTATTCTATGAACCTTGACTGAGTACCTATTATGTGCCAGGCTTTTACATGTGTGGTGGTATGAAAAGAAGGGAAAACTGAACTTCTGTACATCCCTCAAACATACCAGCTAAGTGGTCATGATCACATCCTTTGCTGATAGCTGACAAAGACTGAAGATGACTGCTGGAACCAGGGCATAAAAATCAATCTATTCAAGACAGACAACAGCTCTCATTTCAAAAATATTGCCTACCTTTCCATAGCCCCCTTTACCAAGTACCCGAAGTAGCTCAAAACATTCTGGTCTGATTTTTTCTGGCCCTCTGTTCACACTAGTTTCTGAGATTTCAAATTTCTCACAATGTTCCATGCCACTGGGAAGAAAAGCAAAACCAAAAATAAATTTGCAAAAAGTTAAATTACTTTCAGCATATAGTCAAGAAAAAGGAGACAGAGAAATGTAATCTAAGTAAGTAAAAGTAAAAAAGTACATGACACCAAATTATTTGTGCTCTAAACAAACAGAACAGCAGGTCAAGAGGAGGGTGGCCTGATAATCGTTTGCCTCCTTGTTCATAGAATGGGCAATCAATTATTTACTTATTTTTATAATTGTTTATTTTATGCATAAAGGGGTACTATGGTTTTTCATTGGGTAGATGCCTTGGATAATCCATTCAAGTAAGATCACTTAGTCCAACTTAATGAAATCTATATCCTTCGTTTACTGATAGAAACACTGGCGCACATATTGAGGCCGTATTTCTGGATCAGACCTTGCCAGTTTGAGCAGACACAACAAGAGCAAGAACCCTGATTGAATTTTCATGGGTGACTCCAATACAGCTGCTGGTGACCCATCTTGCTCTTAGGAGTGCAACAAAGTAAAAGAAGACAATTATTTATTTTCATAAGCATCAAGCACCCCAAAGCTAAGGTAAGTTAGAAAAAGTTCATTAAGTTGACAAAGAAAAAAAGTCTTGCAGTTATTCAAATTTACTTCATTGAAAATATCTATGAAATTAGGTATTATCCAACCTCATTTGGCAATGTCAGCAGAAAATCAGGGATCTTTCCAAAACTACCCAATTAGTTCACATCATAGTACAAAACTTCTTCTCTGTATCTGTTTTTTCAAGTTATTAGCTTGATTTAAAGAATCCAATGGGCGTGGTGGCTCATGCCTGTAATCCCAGCACTTTGGGAGGCTGAGGTGGGCGGATCACTTGAGGTCGAGAGTTCAAGACCAGCCTGGCCAACATGGTAAAACCCTGTCTCCACTAAAAATACAAAAATTCCAGCCTAGCCAACATGGTGAAACCCCGTCTCTATTAAAAATACAAAAATTAGCTGGGCGTGGTGGCAGGAACCTATAATCCCAGCTACTCAGGAGGCTGAGGCAGGAGAATCACTTGAACCTGGGAGGCAGAGGTTGCAGTGGGCCGAGATCATGCCATCACACTCCAGCCTGGGAACAAGAGCGAGACTTTGTCTCAAAAAAAAAAAAAAAAAAAAAAAACCCAACAAAAATTAGCCAGGTGTGGTGGTGCGCTCCTGTAGTCCCAGCTACTTGGGAGGCTGAGGCAGGACAATCGCTTGAACCCAGGAGGTGGAGGTTGTGGTGAGCCGAGATTGTGCCACTGCACTCCAGCCTGGGTGACAGAGGGAGACTCCATCTCCAAAAAAATAAAAATAAAGAATCCAAAAGGGGTAGCAATTGTCTCTGTCATTTAAATGCTTTCTACATGAGTGATCTATCTTCTCATTCTCCTCCTACACTAATGCTTTTTACTTGAGAGTACAATACAGAGCAGATTAATCACCATACTCACCTAATGGAGCTTGTCTAAAATGACTTAAGATTACATGAATTTCTTTTTTGTTGTTGCTGTTGAGACGGAGTCTCGCTATGTCGCCCGGCTAATTTTTGAATTTTAAGAAGAGACGGGGTTTCGCCATGTCGGCCAGGCTGGTCTCGAACTCCTGATCTCAAATGACCCGCCCACCTTGGCCTCCCAAACTGCTGGGATTACAGGTGTGAGCCACTGTGCCCAGCCGGATTGCATGAATTTCTGTTTGAATGACTGTATGAATTTCTGTTTGTATATTTAAGCAAAACAGAAAGCATTTGACTTTTTGAGGCATTTCTACAAATTTTTCTGTAAGAAAAGATTAAAACTGTGGCTCTTTAAACTAACAACTCAGATTCATATTTAGTACTCTGAATCTGAATTAATATCTTTTCCTCAAAATCCATACATAATCTCAAAACTCTGATAGGTTATATTGATCAGATTTTGGTGCCAAATTCAATACATCGAGTTGATAAATATGACTACATATTTAAGAACAGGTTACAGGAATCACATGATTGCTACGAAATAGAACTGATAAAACCTACTTGTAAGAAAGACAACACAATGAAAATCTCTTCATATAAACTTACAGTTCATATGGTCCAACTCCCCCATGGTCCATGCTTTCATTTAACTGACCCTGAAAAATATGTTAAAAGTTTCAGAAATAATCTAATAAACATAAAATTTAAAGGTTTAATTCTTTGTCTCATAACTGAAAGAGAATGAATGAAATAAACCAGCCTAACAATTCTCTTATACTTCAACAACAGGCAAATATGGTAATGAACAAAACACAGTACACAAACAACACTATGGGAATTTCACTCTAAATTATTTTACAAATAGAGATGAGGTCTTTCTATGTTGCCCAGACTGGAATGCAGTCAATAGCTATGAAGGGGTATGATCATAGCATACCAGAGCCTTAAACTCCTCAAGTGATTCTTCTGCCTCAGCGTTCCAAGTAGCTGGGACTATAGGCACCCGGGTTTTTTTTTTTTTTTTCTTTTTTGAGATGGAGTCTCACTCTGTCACCCAGACTGGAGTGCAGCGGTGCCATCTCAGCTCACTGCAACCTCCGCCTCCCAGGTTCCAGTGTTTCTCCTACCTCAGCCTCCTGAGTAGCTGGGAGTATAGGCATGTACCACCATGCTTGGCTAATTTTTGTGTATATATATATATTTTTTGAGATGGAGTCTTGCTCTGTTGCCCAGGCTGGAGTGCAGTGGCGCCATCTCGGCTCACTGCAACCTCCACCTCCCAGGTTCAAGTGATTCCCCTGCCTCAGCCTTCCGAGTAGCTGGGATTACAGGTGCCTGCCACCATGCCTGGCTAATTTTTTATATTTTTAGTAGAGATGGGGTTTCACATATTAGCCAGGATGGTCTTGATCTCCTGACCTTGTGATCTGCCCACCTCAGCCTCCCAAAGTGCTGGGATTACAGGCGTGAGTCAACACTCCCGGCCCTAATTTTTGCATTTTTAGTAGAGATGGGGTTTCATCATGTTGGCCAGGCTGGTCTCGAACTCCTGACCTCAGGTGATCCGCCCTCCTCGGCTTCTCAAAGTGCTGGGATTACAGGCGTGAGCCATCACACCCGGCCCCAGCTTTTGCTTTTAATTTTATATGACAGGCTGGGCATGGTGGCTCACACCTGTAATCCCAGCACTTTGGGAGGCCGATGCGGGCAGATCACGAGGTCAGGAGTTCGAGACCGGCCTGGCCAATACGATGAAATCCAGTCTCTAATAAAAATACAAAAATTAGACGGGTGCGGTGTCGCATGCCTGTAGTTCCAGCTACTCAAGAGGCTGAGGCAGGAGAATTGCTTGAACCCAGAAGGCAGAAGTTGCGGTGAGCCGAGATCACGCCACTGCACTCTAGCCTGGGCAACAGAGCAAGACTCCATCTCAAAAAAAAAAAAAAAAAAAAAAAAAAAAAAAAAAAAAAAAAAAAAAAAAAAAAAAAAAAGCCACGTGCGGTGGCTCATGCCTGTGGTCCCAGCAGTTTGGGAGGCCGAGGCGGGCAGATCACCTGAAGTTGGGGGTTCGAGACCAGCCTTACCAATATGGAGAAACCCCATCTCTACTAAAAAAATACAAAATTAGTCGGCCGTGGTGGCCCATGCCTGCAATGCCAGCTACTCGGGAGGATGAGGCAGGAGAATCACTTGAACCTGGAAGGCAGAGATGGCAGTGAGCCGAGATCGCGCCATTGCACTCCAGTCTGGGCAACAAGAGCGAAACCCTGTCTCAAAAAAAAAAAAAAAAAAAAAAATTTGGCCGGGCGCGGTGGCTCACGCTTGTAATCCCAGCACTCTGGGAGGCCGAGGCGGGCGGATCACGAGGTCAGGAAATCGAGACCATCCTGGCTAACACGGTGAAACCCCGTCTCTACTAAAAATACAAAAAATTAGCCGGGCGTGGTAGCGGGCACCTGTAGTCCCAGCTACTCGGGAGGCTGAGGCAGGAGAATGGCGTGAACCCGGGAGGCGGAGCTTGCAGTGAGCCGAGATCGCGCCACTGCACTCCAGCCTGGGCGACAGAGCGAGACTCCGTCTCAAAAAAAAAAAAAAAAAAAAAAATTTTTTTTACATGACAACTTAACTGTAGAGGCTACTCATGACTAATCAAAAAATAAAACCAAGTGAATTTTCCTTCAAAATGTACATTTATCTATTCGAAAATGTATATTTTCGGCTGGGTGCAGTGGCTCATACCTGTAATCCCAGCACTTTGGGAGGCCGAGGCGGGTGGATCACCTGAGGTCAGAAGTTTGAGACCATCCTGGCCAACATGGTGAAACCCCGTCTCTACTAAAAATACAAAAATACAAAAATTAGCCAGGCGTGGTGGTGGGTGCCTGTAATCCCAACAACTCGGGAGGCTGAGGCAGAAGAATCTCTTGGATACGGGAGGCAAAGGTTGCAGTGAGCCGAGATCTCGCCACTGCACTCCAGCCTAAGTGACAGAGTGAGACTCCATCTCAAAAAAAAAAAAAATGTATATTTTGTGTATTATGAAATTAAAGGCACTACATTCTGAATATGACTTAAATCAAATGATTTACACACAGTGCTATTTTGATGTGCTTTTAATACACAGAGTAACATAATGCTATAAACTAAGCCTAAGGTACCCACAACTAGTCCAGGGTATCTAGTGTAAAATGCGGCTGATCGAGACAAAATAATTAAGCAACACTGTCAAACAGTTGGAAGTCATGCTGGCCACACATTTATTCTGACCATTGAATAAATGAGTGCAAAATTTAAATAACCTTCTATATACTAGCAATGAACAATCCCAAAATGAAATGAAGGTAACAATTCCATTTATAATACCATCACTAAGAAGTAGCTTAGAAAAAAATTTATGGCACGTACAGTGGCATAAATAACTTCGGGAGTCCAAGGCAGGAGGATTACTTGGAGTTCAAGACCAGCCTGGCCAACACAGTAAGATCCTGCCTCCACAAAAAAATTTTTAAAAATTAGCTGAGTGTGGTGGCACATGCCTGTAGTCCCAGCTACTTAGGAGGCTGAGGTGGCAGGATCACTTGAGTGCAGGAGGTCATGGCTACAATGTGGCAGTGATTGTGCCACTATATTCCAGCCTGGGCAACAGAGTGAGACCCTGTCTCAAAAAAAAAAAAAAATTAACCAAAGTGTAAGACTTACACACTGAAAACAATAAAACATTGCTGAATAAAATTAAAGACGACCTAAATAAATGGAAAGGCATTCCATGTTTATGGATCAGAGATTTAACATTGTTAAGATGGCAATACTAACCAAATTGGTCACGGATTCAACTGAATCCTATCAAAACCCCAGGTTCCTTTCTTGCAGAAATTGACAAGCTGATCCTAAATTTCATATAGAAATGCAAGGGACCACCAGGCACGGTGGCTCATGCCTGTAATCCCAGCACTTTGGGAGGCCGAGGCAGGCAGATCACGAGGTCAGGAGATCAAGACCATCCTGGCTAACATGGTGAAACACCGCCTCTACTAAAAATATAAAAAATTAGCCAGGTGTGGTGGTGGGCGCCTGTAGTCCCAGCTGCTCGGGAGGCTGAGGCAGGAGAATGGCGTGAACCCGTGAGGCGGAGCTTGCAGTGAGCCAAGATCGCGCCACTGCAGCAGTCCAGCCTGGGCAACAGAGTGAGACTCTGTCTCAAAAAAAAAAAAGAAGAAATGCAAGGGACCGGGCAAGGCGGCTCACGTCTGTAATCCCAGCACTTTGGAGGCCAAGGCACATGGATCACCTGAGGTCAGGAGTTTGAAACCAGCCTGGCCAACATGGCGAAACCCCATCTCTACTAAAAATACAAAAATTAGCCAGGCGTGGTGGAGGGCGCCTGTAATCTCAGCTACTCGGGAAGTTGAGGCAGGAGAATTGCTTGAACCCGTAAGGCAGACGTTGCGGTGAGCGAGATCACACCATTGCACTCCAGCCCAGGTGACAGAGCGAGACTCCATCTCAAAACAAACAAACAAAAAAAAGTAAAGAAAGAAAGAAATGCAAAGGAGCCAGGCCGGGTGTGGTGGCTCACACCTGTAATTCTAGCACTTTAGGAGGCCAAGATAGGTGGATTACTCGAGGTCAGGAGTTCAAGACCAGCCTGGCCAATATGGTGAAACCCCATCTCTACTAAAAATACAAAAATTAACTGGAGTGGTCATCCATGCTTGTAATCCCAGCTACTCAGGGCTGAGGCAGAAGAATGGCTTGAACCCAGGAGGCAGAGGTTGCAGTGAGCCGAGATCGCGCCACTGCACACTCCAGCCTGGGCAACAAAGCTAGACTCTGTCGAAAGGGAAGGGGAAGGGGAAGGGGAAGGGAGGCAAGGGACCCAAAATAACTGATACAATCTTGAAAAAGAACAAAGGTGGAGGACTGACACTTCCCAATTTCAAAACATGTTACAAAGCTACAGCCATCAAGGCAGTGTGGTACTGGCATAAAGAAAGACATATAGATCAACAGAATAGAATTAAGAGCCCAGAAATAAACTCTTACATTTATATTGTCAACTAATTTTTGATAAAACTGCCAAAAATATTCATTAGGCAAGAGGCAATCTTTCAATAAATGTGTTGGAACAACTGGATATCCACATACAAATCAAATAATGATGCTAGGACAACTGGATATCTATATGCTACTTCACACTATACACAAAAATTAACTCAAAATGGAGCAAAGACCTAAATACAGGAGCTAAAACTATAAAACTCGAGCTGAGTGTGGTGTTGTATGCCTGTAGTCCCAGCTATCGAGGAGGCTGAGGCAGGATGATCACCTAAGCCTGGGAGTTCCACTCCAGCCTGGGCAACAGAGCAAGATTCTGTCTCAAAAAAATAATAATAAAAAAAAGGTCCTCCCAAGGGCCAGGCGCAGTGGCTCACACCTGTAATCCCAACACTTTGGGAGGCTGAGGCGGGTGGATGACCTGAGGTCAGGAGTTCAAAATCAGCCAGGCCAATGTGGTGAAACCCCGTCTCTACTAAAAATATAAAAAATTAGCCGGGCATTGTGGCGGGAGCCTGTAATCCCAGCTACTCAGGAGGCTGAGGCAGGAGAATTGCTTGAATCCAGGAGGCGGAGGCTGCAGTGAGCTGAGAGCGTGTCATTGCCCTCCAGCCTGGGCAACAAGAGCAAAACTCCGTCTCAAAAAAAAAAAAATCCTCCCAAAACTTAACAACAAAATAAAATTCTTAAAAGAAGCATAGGAGGGAGTAAATCTTCATGATCCTGGGGAAAGTAATAGTTTCTTATATACATTACCAAAAGCACAAACAATTTAAAAAATCAATAAATCGATTTACTGAAAATGTAAAACCTTTGCATGTCAAAAACACCAACACCATCAAGAAAGCTCAAAGAGACTGAGCACAGCGGCTAATGCTTGTAATCCCAACACTTTGGGAGGCTGAGGTGGGCATATCACTTGAGCTCAGGAGTTTGAGACCAGCCTGGGCAACATGGTGAAACTTGGTCTCTACAAAATTAGCCAGGCATAGTGGCGCACATCTGCAGTCCCAGCTACTCAGGAGGATGAGGTAGGAGGATTGCTTTGAGTCCAAGAGGTCAAGGCTGCAGTGAGCCAAAATTGCGCTACTCCTGCCTGGGTGACAGACTGAGACCCTGTCTCAAAAAAGAAAATAAAAACCACAGAATAAGAATATGCAAGGAATGCAGCCAGGCGCAGTCGCTCAGGCCTGTAATCCCAGCACTTTGTGAGGCTGAGACAGACAGATCACAAGGTCAGGAGTTCGAGACCAGCCTGGCCAACATAGTGAAACCCCATCTCTACTAAAAATACAAAAATGAGCTGGATATGGTGGCGAGTGCCTGTAGTCCCAGCTACTCGGGAGGCTGAGGCAGGAGAATTGATTGAAACTGGGAGGCAGAGGTTGCAGTGAGCTGAGATCGCGCCACTGCACTCCAGCCTGGGCAACAGAGCGAGACTCCACCTCAAAAAAAAAAAAAAAACAGAATGCCAGGTGCAGTGGCTCATGCCTATAATCCCAGCACTTTGGGAGGCCGAGGCAGGAGGATAATTTGAGGACAGGAATTCGACACCAGCCTGGCCAACATGGCAAAACCCAATCTCTACTAAAACTACAAAAACTAGCTGGGCGTGGTGATGGGCACCTGTAATCCCAGCTACTAGGGAGGCTGAGGCAGGAGAATTGCTTGAACCCAGGAGGCAGAGGTTGCAGTGAGCAGAGATGGCGCCACTGCACTCCAGCCTGGGCAATAGAGGCAGCTCCGTCTCAAAAAACAAAAATGATACATAAAGAATTACTCCGGGCTGTGCGCAGTGGCTCACGCCTGAAATCCCAACACTTTGGGAGGCCAAGGAGGGCGGATCATGAGGTCAGGAGTTCGAGACCAGCCTGACCAACGTGGTGAAACCCTGTCTCTACTAAAAATACAAAAATTAGCCGGACGTGTTGGTGCGCACCTGTAATCCCAGCTACTCAGGAGGCTGAGGCAGGAGAATCACTTGAACCTGGGAGGTGGAGGTTGCAGTGAGCCGAGATCACGCCACTGCACTCCAGCCTGGGCAACAGAACAAGACTCCATCTCAAAATAAATAAATAAATAAATAAATAAATACTCCAACTCAACAATAAAAAGATAAATAGGCCAGGCGCAGTGGCTCATGCCTGTAATCCCAGCACTTTGGGAGGCCAAGGTGGAAGACTGCTTGAGGCCAGGAGTTTGACAGCAGAACTCTAAAGTGAGATCTCATCTCTAAAATAAATAAATAAAATATATAAAGAAAAAGATGACACACCCAATTTTTGAAAAATGAGCTAGGATCTGAATAGGTATTTCTCCAAAGAAAATATACAAATGAACAATAAGCAAATGGAAAGATGTTCAACATCATTAGTTGTTAGGGAAATGCAAATCAAAACCACACTGAGAAACTACTTCACACCCACTAGGATAATAGATGATAAAGAGGAAAAGTAAGTTGGGGGAGGATGAGAGAAACTGGAACCCTCATACAGTGCTAGTGAGAATGTAAAATGGTGCAACCGTGTTGGAAAAGTTCGTCTCTTAAAAAATTAAACATAGACTTACTACTGCATGACCCAGCAAATCTACTCCAATGTATCTACTCAAAAGAAATGAAAAGTATATGCTCCACAAAGATCTGGGCAATAATGTTCATAAAAACTTTTTTTTCTTTTTTTTCTTTTTGAGACAGGGTGTCACTCTATCACCCAGGCTGGAGTGCAGTGGTGCGATCATGGCTCACTGCAGCCTCAACCTCCTGGACTCAGGTGATCCTCCCACTTCAGCCTCCCGAACAGCTGGGACTACAAGTGCATAGCACCATGCTCGGCTCTTTTTTTTTCTTTTTTTTTTTTGAGACAGAGTCTCACTCTGTTGCCCAGGCTGGAGTGCAGTGGTGCTATCTCGGGTCACTGCAACCTCTGCCTCCCAGGTTCAAGCAATTCTTTGCCTCAGCCTCCTGAGTAGCTGGGATTACAGGCACCCGCCACCACGCCCGGCTAATTTTTGTATTTTTAGTAGAGATGGGGTTTCAGCATCTTGGCCAGACTGGTCTTAAACTCTTGACTTCATGATCCACCCAGCTCGGCCTCCCAAAGTGCTGGGAATACAGGCCACCATGCCCAGCATCGGCTCATTTTTTGTAGAGAACAGGTTTCATCACGTTGCCCAGGCCGGTCTGGAATTCCTGGACTCCAGCGATCCACCTGCCTCAGCCTCCCACAGTGCTAGGATTATAGGCATGAGCCCCCACACCCAGCCTTCTAAAAGGTTTATTCAGGCCAGGCGAGGAGGTGGCTCATGCCTATAATCCTAACACTTTGGGAGGCAGAGGCAGAAGAATTGCTTGAGGCCAGGAGTTTAAAACCAACCGGGACAAAATCACGAGACCCCCATCTCTGCAACAAATCAAAAAATTAGCTGGGAATGGTGGCACGTGCCTGTGGTCCCAGCTACATGAGAGACTGAGGCAGAAGAATTACTTCAGCCCAGGAGGGTGAAGCTGCAGCGAGCTTTTTCACGCCACTGCACTACAGCATGGGCAACGGAGTGAGACCCTATCTCCAAAAAAAAAAAAAAAAGAAACAAAAAATGCTTTATTCACAATTCAGTTGAACATCTGAATGAATAACTCAAATGAACATCAACCGGTAAATGGATAAACAAAATGCACTGTAGCCATAAAACAGAATAACTATTTGGCCCTAAAAAGAAATGAAGTACTGATACATGTTACAACATAAATGATCTTCAAAAACTTTATGCTGTGGCTCACGCCTGTAATCCCAGCACTTTGAGAGGCCAAGGCAGGCGGATCACTTGAGGTCAGGAGTTTGAGACCAGCCTGGCTAACATGGCAAAACCCCATCTCTACTAAAAATACAAAAATTAGCCAGGTGTGGTGGCGCACACCTGTGGTCCCAGCTACTCAGGAGGGTGAGGCAGGAAAATTACTTGAACCCAGGAGGCAGAGGTTGCAGTGAGCAGAGATCACACCACTGCACTCCAGCCTAGGTGATAGAGTGAGACTCCATCTCAAAAAAAAAAAAAAAAAAAAAAGTGAAAGCCACCAAATATAAAAGGTCATACACTATATGATTCCATTTATATGGAATGTCCAGAAAAAGCTTTTTTTTTTTTTTTTTTTAGAGACAGGTTCTCATTCTGTTGCGCAGGTTGAAGTGCAGTGGCAGGATCACGGCAAACTCAACCTTGGAGACTCAAGCGATCCTCCAACCTCAGCCTTCCAAGCAGCTGAGACTACAGCCGCACACCACCAAGACGGATAATTTTTTTCTATTTTTCGTAGAGACACGGGTCTCACTATGTTGCCCAGGCTAGTCTCAAGTGATCCTCCTGCCTCGGCCTCCCAAAGTGTTGGGATCACAGGTATGAGCCACACTGGGCCTAGAAAAGCCAAATCTATAGAGATGAGAAATAGGTTAGTTGCCTGGGGCTGAGGGTGAGAATCAGAAGTAACTAAATTGGCCAAAACTCTGTTTCTTTTTTTTTCTTTTTTTTTTTTTTTTTTTTTCAGAGACAGGGTGCTGTTATGCTGCCCAGGCTGATTTCAAACTCCTAGGCTCATGCGCTCCATCTGCCTTGGCCTCCCAAAGTACTGGGATTACAGGCGTAAGCCACCATGCCCAGCCCCAAAATTTCTTTATAGGGTGATAAAAATTTCCTTTTTTTTTTTTTAAGATGGAGTCTCGGCCAGGCGCGGTGGCTCACGCCTGTAATCCCAGCACTTTAGGAGGCTGAGGCGGGCGGATTGCAAGGTCAGGAGATCGAGACCATCCTGGCTAACACGGTGAAACCCCGTCTCTACTAAAAATACAAAACATTAGCCGGGCGTGGTGGCGGGCACCTGTAGTCCCAGCTACTCGGGAGGCTGAGGCAGGAGAATGGCGTGAACCTGGGAGGCGGAGCTTGCAGTGAGCCGAGATCGCGCCACTGTACTCCAGCCTGGGCAACAGAGCGAGACTCCGTCTCAAAAAAAAATGCAAGGTCTCACTCTGTTGCCCAGGCTGGAATGCAGTGGTGCAATCTCGGCTCATGGGAAACTCCACCTCCCAAGTTCAAGTGATTCTCCTGCCTCAGTCTCCCAAGTAGCTGGGATTACAGGCATGCACCACCACGCCTGGGTATTTTTGTATTATTAGTAGAGACAGGATTTTACCATGTTGGCCAGGCTAGTCTTGAACTCCCAACTTCAAGTGATCCATCTGCCTTGGCCTCCCAAAGTACTGAGATTACAGGCCTGAGCCACTGCGCCCGGCCGAGTGGTAAAAATTTCTAAAACCTAATTTTGGTGATGGCTGCACAACTCTGTAAATATACTCAAAGTCACTGAATTGTATAAACAAAAAACAACAAAAAACTTGGCAGCAGAATTTCAGTTACTGACATTATAATATATAGCTTTAAAATCAATCTAATCTGATTATGAACTCTCAGTTTACACGAAAGGATACTAATTAATTTAAAATAGACTCCAGGCCAGGCGCGTGGCTCACGCCTGTAATCCCAGCACTTTGGGGCCAAGGCAGGCGGATCACCTGAGATTGGGAGTTCGAGACCAGCCTGGCCAACATGGAGAAACCCCGCCTCTACTAAAAATACAAAAATTAGCCAGGCCTGGTGGCGGGCACTTGTAATCCTAGCTACTCAGGAGGCTGAGGAAAGAGAATCGCTTGAACCCAGGAGGTGGAGGTTGCAGTGAGCCAAGATCGCGCCATTGCACTCCAGGCTGGATGACAAGAGTGAGACTCCATCTCAAAAAAAAAGAAAAAGAAAATAGACTCTAAAACATTACAAGTCTTTAAGCAATCATGTCAAAACTTTAGAGTAGTTAAGATATTAAAGTGAATATATCTTTCTTCAAAACTACCAGTACACAGCCAACATACACAACAAAAACACATAGGGGTGTGTGTGTGTGTGTGTGTGTGTGTGTGTGTGTGTGTGTGTGTGTGTGTGTGTGTGTGTTTAGCAATTAGGTTTCTGTCACCCAGGCTGGAGTGCTGTAGTAGGATAATAGCTCATTGCATCCTCAAACTCCTGGGCTCCAGTGATCATCTCTTCTCAGCCTCTGGAGTCACTAGTGCCAGGCGTGTGCTGTGTGCTACTATGCCCACTATTTATTTTTTTAATTTTTTGTACAGATAGGGTCTTGTTTTGTTGGCCAGGTTGGTCTCGAACTCTTGGCCTCAAATGATCCTTCCACCTTAGCTTCCCAAAGTTCTGGGATTACAGGCACGAGCTATCATACCCAGCCAAAAACTGATAGTATTCTTATAGAATAAATGTTCAAATGCCCCCAAAACACAAAATTTTAGTCATAACTCACTCATGGTGTGACCAAATCACGATAACATGTAATACCAGGAATGTACACTTCATGATTATACCCAGGCAAAGAGATGGGGCAGTATCAAGGGGGAAAAAACCAATTCTCACCATTTTAACTGGATACAGTTTCTTTTATGTGTGGGATATGGGGGTGGTCATGGTTAAAGGTTTTTTTTGTCTTTGTTGCTCTACGTAATCGCCTAGGATGGCTTCACTTTTATGACAAAAGACTAACTTCTTCCAGATGTGATAAAACTGGTATTACATAATTGTTTTTTCTTTAATGTTAGTTTTACTTAATTCTAAATTAAAGACTACAGAGTAGTTAAGACTGGACCATGATTTTGAAGCCACCTCACAAGATACGCCCTGTAGCTATGTTTCATTTCCTAAGCTGGCCAGACCTATAATGCTGGCACCTGCATATTGTGCTAATAACTTCTACCGTTACTGTCTAGGACAGAAGCATTTGAGGCACAAATCTTTCCTGCTACTCAGTGTTACCTCTAGAAGGCTCACACAAGAAGTGTCAAATAACATTATGTAATACATACTGACAACTCTCTTTCACAGGAAACTCTTTACTCCTTTTTTTTTTTTTTCTGAGACGAAGTCTTGCTCTTGTCCCCCAGGCTGGAGAACAATGGCGCGATCTTGGCTCACTGCAACCTCTGCCTCCCAGGTTCAAGTGATTCTCCTGCCTCAGCCTCCCGAGTAGCTGGGATTACAGGTGCCTGACACCAGGCCCGGCTAATTTTTGTATTTTTAATAGAGACGGGGTTTTCACCATGTTGGCCAGGCTGGTCTCGAACCCCTGACCTCAGGTGATCTGCCCACCTTGGCCTCCCAAAGTGCTGGGATTACAGGCATGAGCCACCCCGCCTGGCCAGGAAACTCTTTACTCCTAATTTTTTTCTGCTGCCTTAAGCTTTATGGCCTATCCAATGTCTGCTGTGTTCATTAGGATTGACAAGATTCAGTAACTTAGAGGAAATGGAAGAAAGGGTAGAACTTTGCCTAAACTCTTGGGCTATTTAAAAATAGTTGCTGCTGGCCGGGCACGGTGGCTCATGCCTGTAATCCCAGCACTTTGGGAGGCCGAGGCAGGTGTATCGCCTGAAGTCAAGAGTTTGAGACCAGCCTGGCCAACATGGTGAAACCCCGTCTCTACCAAAAAAATACAAAAAATTAGCTGGGTGTGGTAGTCGGCACCTGTAATCCCAGCTACTCGGGAGGCTGAGGCAGGAGAATAGCTTGAACCCAGGAGGCAGAGGTTGCAGTGAGCCGAGATCGCACCACTGCACTCCAGCCTGGGCCACAAGAGCAAAACTCCGTCTCAAAAAAATAAAAAATAAAAAAAAGTTGCTGCTTTATAGTAAGTATATATTACAAAGCAAGATAAGTATTGATATTTTTTCTATAATTTTTCATAATCATGAATATTTGAGTATATACTATCTATATAGCACTTTGGTTTTCAAAAATTTTAAACCTTTTACTCAATAAAAATCTGATGTCCCAATCTGAAACTTGTACAGTAAGCCTGCGTGATTATTTCAAATTTTGAATTAGAGTACAAAGTGAGAATTTTTTAAATTGCATTACAGTTTTCTACTACTCTTAATGCTATAGAGAGCAGAGAAGATTCCAACATTTTTGCAATCTAAATTCTCTGAAGGAAAACTTTTCCTTAGTTTCAATTTACTGCCCCAAATGATATCATCAACAGTGAAACAAAAAAACAAACAAAAAAGACACCCTCCGCCCAAAAACTCCCCTCTTACCAATAGGCTTTGATTATATTCCTCTGAGATATTTAAACAGAATCTTTTTTTTTTTTTTTTGAGACGGAATCTCACTGTGTCGCCCAGGCTGGAGTGCAGTGGTATGATCTTGGCTCACTGCAACCTCCACCTCCCAGGTTCAAGAGATTCTCCTGCCTCAGCCTCCTGAATAGCTGGGACTAGAGGTGTGCACCACCATGCCTGGCTAATTTTTGTATTTTTAGTAGAAACTGGGTTTCACCATATTGGCCAGGCTGGTCTCCTGCTCCTGACATCGTGATCCACCTGCCTCGGCCTCCCAAAGTGCTGGGATTACAGGCATGAGCCACTGTGCCCGGCCTTAAACAGGATCTTTTTTAAGTTAGGTGGCAGATATTCAACTTTGTCCATAAATGTATCATTTAGTCTCATCTTTTAATCTCTAATTAAATAAACTATGGAAATACCTATATTTACTAACGCATAGTCACTCTGTAACGTACCTTGAAAGGCACATCTCTCTAAACGGGATCAATTAGTTTTAAAAAAAAATACACACTATGATACTACAGTTGTAAAAATACAGCACCTCGAGTTTAACTGCAATTATTAAGTCTCTAGGTATACGAGGTTAAACCTGAATGATTGGTTCCTTAGCAATGACAAGACAAGCTGAATTTCTGTGAACTAGCTAATTGCTTAATACGCCAGGATATTTTGAGAGTACTGTACTTTACGTACTTATTTAATGTAACCCTCATGTTATAGAAAACATTAGAGATTAAGGAATTTACTCCAGGTCACAGAGTGAGTATGGCCAAAGGAATCTGAATTCACTTTTGACATACCACAAAGAGGAACATTATAAACACAACTAGTAAATGCAATGAAGAACCTGTGCAATGAAGCCTGCTGAATTAAGTCAGAAGACACTACCACTATGTGATCTTTGGCTATCATATGGCCTATGCCTCAGTTTCCTTACTATAAAATGAGGAAAACTGATATGCACCAATGTTTAAAAACTTTGTGTAATAAATTAAAGTCTATAAATTCACAAATAGAAACTATCAGAAGATTTTCTAAGAATCTAAACTTCTCTCATTTTCCAGAATTTTTTTTTTTTTTTATTTCAGGGTAATCTGGATGTCACCGAATCTCCTTGGATTGTCAACCCAATCGTACTCCAAATCTTCCATTATCCATCTTGAGGCACCTCTTAGAAAAAATAACACACTAAAAAGAAATATTTTCAACTCCAAAAAGTGTTGCTAAGACATATTTTACAGAAGTCTCTTCCTCAAAATCCTCTTTAATTGCCTTTGCTCTTTCCCCAGACTTTCTCTCCCCAAAATCGGGGCCATATTTCTTTCTCTTTCCTATTTCCACCAATTTTTCTGACCTCCTCCTCACACCTTCTCAAAATCCTACTTGCTTGTACCCAGCAGGACAAAAGCCCTGGAACACCTACTGTTCTTGAAACACAAGAAAGTGAAAAGAAAAGTCCCAGTTTACACAGGAATTTTAACAGAGTACTGTACTTTCAAAAAAGAATAAACCTGGCTGGGTGCGGTGGCTCACACCTGTATTTTGAGAGGCCAAGGCAGGCAGATCACCCAAGTTTGGAAGTTCCGGACCAGCCTGACCAACATGGAGAAACCCCGTCTCTACTAAAAATACAAAAATTAGCCGGGCCTGGTGGCGGGTGCCTGTAATCCCAGCTACTCGGGAGGCTGAGGCAGGAGAATCGCTTGAACCCGGGAAGTGGAGGCTGCAGTGAGCCGAGATAGCGCCATTGCACTCCAGCCTGGGCAAATAGAGCAAGACTCTGTCTCAGAAAAGAAAAAAAAATAAAATAAAATAAACCCAGTCTGGAAATTCTATCAGTTCAACTAATGAAGATATAAAGCACCTTCCTATCCAGTTTTCTCCCCTGCCCTGCTCCAAAGCCACTGTCATAGAGAACCAACATAACTGATAAAGAGTATGGTATATGGTATAAATAATGAAAGTAATCTCATATTTGTTTCCAATTGTAACTAGTGTACCATTATGTTCGATTAAGAGGCTAATTGGAATTCTGCATGAAAACATCATTGAAAAAGCACACACCAACCGGATGCAGTGGCTCACGCCTGTAATCCCAGCACTTTGAGAGGCCAAGGCTGGCAGATTGCTGGAGCTCAGGAGTTCAGGCCCACCCTGGGCAACATGGTGAAACCCCATCTCTACTAAAATACAAACAATTAGCCAGGCATGGTGGTGCGCGCCTGTAGTCCCAGCTACTCGGAAGGCTGAGGCACGAGAATCGCTTGAGCTCAGGAGGCGGAGGCTGCAGTGAGCCGAGATCAGGCCACTGCATTCCAGCTTGGGCTACACAGTGAGACTCCATCTCAAAAAAAATTAAAATAAAATAAAGTAAAAAGCCTGGTGGGGTGGCTCACACCTGTAATCCCAGCACTTTGGGAGACTGAGGCAGGTGATCACCTGAGGTCAGATGTTCAAGACCAGCCTGGGCCACATGGTGAAACCCCATCTCTACTAAAATACAAAAAAAGTAGCCAGGTGATGTGGCGCGCCCCTGTAATCCCAGCTACTTGGGAGGCTGAGGTAGGAGAATCGCTTGAACCTGGGAGGCAGAGGCTGCAGTGAGCCGAGATCGCACCACTGCACTCCAGCCTGGGTGACAGAGGAAGACCCTGTCTCAAAAAAAAAAAAAAAAAAAAAGCCAGGCGCAGTGGCTCACACCTGTAATCCTAGCACTTTGGGAGGCCGAGGCGGGCAGATTACGAGGTCAAGAGATCGTGACCATCCTGGCTAACACAGTGAAACTCCATCTCTACTAAAAATACAAAAAATTAGCCAGGTGTGGTGGCACGCGCCTGTAGTCCCAGCTACTCAGGAGGCTGAGGCAGGAGAATCGCTTGAACCCAGGAGGCAGAGGTTGCAGTGAGCTGAGATCACGCCACTGCATTCCAGCCTGGGTGACAGAGCAAGACTGTCTCAAAAACAAAACAAAACAAAAAAACCAGAAAGAAAGAAAAGAAAAGAAAAGAAAAGAAAAAGCACACAACTCAATACCCACTTTCTAAACCGTGTGATTTTGATTTAGTCTTATTTGATTATGAAAAGAACAGTATTGGTCAGGTATGGTGGTTTATGCCTATAATCCCAGCATTTTGGGAGGCCGAGGCTGGTGGATCATTTGAGGTCAGGAGTCCGAGAACAGCCTGGCCAATATGGTGAAACCCTGTCTCTACTAAAAATACAAAAATTAGCCAGATGTGGTGGCGCATGCCTGTAATCCTAGCTACTTGGGAGGCTGAGCCATGACAATCGCTTAAACCCAGGAGGCTGAGATTGCAGTGAGCTGAGATCGCACCATTGCACTCCAGTCTGGGTGATAGAGTGAGACCCAACTCAAAACAAAACAAAAGAAACAAACAAGAAGAACAGTATTATTTTAGGCCACTTAGTTTCTTAAAGTGTTCAAAATTCTTTATATACATCATCTCAATCTTTTGTCAACAGTAGGGCAGGTGCCAGAGGAGAAAAACTGAGGGTGAGGCAAGGGAAAGGAAGCCCCTGTGTAATTAGAGCAAACATCTGACGTCATTAACCCATGTATTCAACTAGACATTGGAATTTAGATGCTAAACTACCAAGAGGTTATCAACTGATGATCATTTGGTCCAGGATCAGTGATTTAGTATGACAACATTTTTGAACTTCAGGTGCAATTTGTCATTTTTTGATAAATTTATCTAGGGAAAAAAAAAGTTATTCCATAAAGATTAACAAACCACTAAGCCAGCAGGGTGAAACCAAGCTATGCATTAGGAAATACAATTCTAAATTTAGCACCCTAAATTACAGCAAGGAAAGCCCTCATACCACCATTCACAAGTCTCTGTTCAGGCAACTTATTTCTGGCAAGCTAAATCAAGGCTGTCAACTGGTTTTTGGTTTTTTTTTCCACCTCAAAATTACATTAATTATTCTGAAAAAAATACAGACATCTTCAACTTGGGGAAAGGTTACAAGTGCCGTGTGTCCTTATAAATGCTTATTTTAAAAAGTCACACGGAAGGGGGTAAAAAAAAAAAAGCAAACAAACAAACCCTGGAAGATTGGAAGATGCAGCAGAGCCCCCTTGCTCCCGAAATAAAACTCCTGGTGGCTGTAACAGCAGCGGCAGTGCTACTCCCGACAGAAGTTTTCAGCTGTCACTTCTAACAGCTGAGCGCTTCCTAGGAGAGAAGCGACAGGCCGAGAAGAGAGGTGGTTGTGGGAGGTCTGAAGATTCAATACTTGAAATTCTAGACTCGAAGGGAAACCCTCCACACTTCGCCTGCACTTACGGGACACCCAGCAAGAGCAGCCCCCGTCTCCCCAACACACGCTCACGCCACCCGCTCCCCGCCACACTCAAGTCCAACAGCTCGAGGAATCGACCACGCGCCCGTTCTCTTTCCCTCTTCAGATCGCTCGGGGCTGCGCTGACCTGGGGCTAAGGGTGCGACCTGCACCTGCGAGCCCCGCAGAGGCCTCACACCTAGGGCCATGACCGCCCCGCCCGCTCCCCTGTCTCAGGCCGCGCGACCCTCAGCTCCTCAGGAGCCCCCCTGGGTCTCCACGCTCTAGGACACACCGCGCTTCCTGAGCCCGCGCCGCCGCCCCGGCCCTGTCACCTCGGGCCCCCGGGGACCCCGGGCCTCACCCCCTCCTCCAGCTCATCCTCAGAGCCCGCGTCCTCTGGCTGGTCCAGGTCTATGTCAAACACTCCTGCCATGTCCTCAGCTTCCCTGTCTCGGAAGTCCGGGGCTGGGTAAAAGCCGTCCCGCCTCCTTCGTCGCCTCATGGGCCCGGACCCGCCGCAGCCACCACAGCCGCTGCCGCCATCACCGGCTGCTTAGGCTCAGTGCGTCTGCGCCTAGGCCTTAGACTGGCTCCTAAAGTTCAGCGTAGGAGCATGCGTACAGGGTTCCGTGAAGCCAAACAGTGGGCAGTGGACATGCGCAGAACTATCGGCAGGATCCAGGCGCTGGCAGAAACATGCGCAAAACACCAGCCGAAGTCGCGCTTGGAGGACTAGAGCATGCGCATTGTCAGCTGGAGCGTTCGGTGGACAGTGAGCATGCGTACCATATCTGAAGTTCGTAAATTGAAATTGAACATGCGTAATTAATCTTTCTGAATAGGAAAAAATATATACACAACAAAACTCTCCGTTTATGGAACATGCGCATTTGTTCTCAGTAAGTTTTTCGTTTTGAAAGTGAGCATGCGCATGGTGAGTAGGTTGGTCCGAAGTTTGAACCGGACAGAAGCGCTGGTCGGCGTCTGGCGGTGAGTCGGGTTACGTGTGGAGAACTCCTGGGGCCCGTGGGGAACGGGGGACCTTTTGGCTTTGCTCTTTACTAGTTCTGTGGCCTTGGAAAAGTCAATAACCTTTCAGAGCCTCAGTTTCCTTATCTGTAAAATGAGGATAATAATAAACCTACTTTGCCGGTTTGACATTTTAAGCACAGAGTCTGTCTCACAACCCACGGCTCATTTCCAGTGCTGCATAGACCTGATGTGAAGTCTTTATCAAAACTTGTCTTTTCCTAGGTAAAAATAATGAGGAACTGCTCTAATGTTTCTTTTGCTTTCTTTCTTTTTCAAATGGAGACAGGGTCTCGCTGTGTTGCCCAGGCTGGTCTGGAATCCCTGGGCTCAGGTGATCCTCCCGCCTCGGCCTCCCAAAGTACTGGGATTACAGGCATGAGCCATTGCGCCCGGTTAATATTTCATCTGGTTTTCTTTCTCCAAGCTGCATCTTTCTTGCTGTCCTACCTGAGCTAAACACAAAATCTTTCTTACAGGTCTTACTAAAGTTACCAGGCTAGACTAGTGGAGAAAGCGTAAGCTATTATTTAGAAGAGAGAAAATTAATGTTAATTGAATGTACAATGTTGAGCACACTTCTGTGTTCTACATGTTCATGTGGTGTGAAGGGTGGTACTACTAATTTCTTCAATCAGCATTTGTTTTGTCTTGTTTTTATTTTTTTAATTTTAATTTTTTTTTTTTCTGGAGACAGGAGGATGTCACTTTGTCACCCAGGCTGGAGTGCGGTGGCAAGATCTTGGCTCACTGCAGCCTGGACCTCCCAGGCTCAGGGGATCCTCCCACCTCAGCCTCCCGAGTAGCTGGGACTGCAGGCGCACACCACCACGCCAAGCTAATGGTTGTATTTTTTGTACAAACAGGGTTTTGCCATGTTGACCAGGTCTGGAACAGCCAGGCTCACGTGATTCTCCCAACTCAGCCTCCCAAAATGCTGGGATTACAGGTGTGAGCCACGCACCCAGCCTCTTTTTTTCTTTTATCACTCCTCAACTGAGGAGAATGTTTTGTTTTAAACATATGTTTAGGAAAAAAGTGATTACAAATCAGATTTTGGAAACTATTGAGCTGTGTATGAATGGATTCAGGTACAGTAAATCACAAATCCCAAAACCATGTAGAGAGTATGAGAACTTCCTTGAATGACTAGCTCCTTAGACAACACAGCTGTTCTATCTCCAATATTATATACGTATGTGGCATTTTAAAATGACTTTTTGGGCCGGGCGTGGTGGCTCAAGCCTGTAATCCCAGCACTTTGGGAGGCTGAGGTAGGTGGAGGTGGATCACGAGGTCAAGAGTTCAAGACCAACCTGGCCAACATGGTGAAACCCCATCTCTACTAAGAATACAAAAATTAGCCAGGCGTGGTGGCACGTGCCTGTAATCCCAGCTACTCGGGAGGCTGAGGCAGGAGAATCGCTTGAACCTGGGAGGCGGAGGTTGCATTAAGCCGAGAACATGCCACTGCACTCTAGCCTGGGTGACAGAACAAGACTCCGTCTCAGGGGGGAAAAAAGACTTTTTATTGATGTATAATTAACATACATGGCATTTTATTTGTTCTTATTAGTAATGTAGTGGTTCTCAAAGCGTATTTTTTTCGATTACAGGTTGTTTTTAGAGGTAATACACCTAGTTTGTGGCTCAGCATGTCAATTGTAACAGTGCAACTTGGTCAGTGTGGCAATCAGATTGGTTTTGAAGTTTTTGATGCTTTGCTTAGTGACTCACACAGTTCCCAGGGACTCTGCTCTATGAGAGAGAATGAGGCATATCAAGCATCTTGCAAAGAAAGATTCTTCAGTGAGGAGGAGAATGGAGGTAGGTGTGGCCCACAGTCCTCTCCTTTACTCTGATCTAACCAACCCCTTCAAAGCCAGGCCTTCCACATGGTTTTTAAACCCCATTCCTTCCCATCTCACTAGGGAATTACTTTGTTTTTGCTTTTCATTTCTATGTTAATAATCTTTGCTTTTCCAGTGGCATTTTCCCTTCTGCATGCTCAGATCTCACCAATTTAAAACCAACCAAACAAAACTCATCTATTGACTGGCTTTCTTCTTCTTATCTCTTTGCCTTTCATCTAAGATTCTCAAAAGAGGACCCTGCTGGCTGGGCGTGGTGGCTCACGCCTGTAATCCCAGCACTTTGAGAGGCCGAGGCGAGTGGATCACAAGGTCAGGAGTTCAAGACCAGCCTGACCAACATGGTGAAACCCCATCTCTACTAAAAATACAAAAATTAGCTGGGCGTGGTGGCATGTGCCTGTAATCCCAGCTACTCGGGAGGCTGAGGCAGGAGAATCACTTGAACCCAGGAGGCAGAGGTTGCAGTGAGCCGAGACCGCACCACTGCCCTCCAGCCTGGTGACAGAGCGAGACTCCATCTCCAAAAAAAATAAAAGGACCCTGCTTAACCACCTATGATCCTGCTTCTGCCCCACATAGCATCATTGAAGCTGCTCTAAGAAAAGTTTCCAGTGACCTCCGAATCACCAGATCCAACTACTGTTTTTCTTTTCTTTTTTTCTTTTTCTTGTAGAGACAGGTTCTTACTACACTATGTTGCCCAAGCTGGAGTGCGGTGGCTATTCACAGGTCTCCTGAGTAGCTGGGACTGCAGGTGCATGCCACCATGCCTGGCTCTTTCTTTTCTCTGTCTCTCTTTTTTTTTTTTTTTTTTTTGAGAGAGTCTCGCTCTGTCACCCGGGCTGAAGTGCAGTGATGTGATCTTGGCTCACTGTAACCTCCACCTCCCGTGTTCAAGCAATTCTCCTGCCTCAGCCTCCCAAGTAGCTGGAATTACAGGTGCCCACGACCATGTCTGGCTAATTTTTGTATTTTTAGTAGAGACAGGGTTTTGCCATGTTGGCCAGGCTGGTCTCGAATGCCTGATCTCAAGTGATCCGCCTGCCTTGGCCTCCCAAAGTGATGGGATTACAGGCTCTCTTTCTTTTTCTTTTTCTTTTTTTTTTTTTTTTTTTGAGACAGAGTCTAGCTCTGTCACCCAGACTGGAGTGCAGTGGTGCGATCTTGGCTCACTGCAACCTCCGACTACCAGGTTGAAGCAATTCTCCTGCCTCAGCCTCATGAGTAGCTGGGACTACAGGCATGCGCCACCACGCCCAACTAATTTTTTTGTATTTTTAGTAGAGATGGGGTTTTACCATGTTGGTCAGGCTGGTCTCGAACTCCTGACCTCAAATGATCTGCCCACCTCAGCTTCCCAAAGTGCTGGGATTACAGGCGTGAGCCACTGTGCCCAGCCTCTCTTTCTTTTCTTAATTCACTTTACTCCTCTACTGCGTTTGATAACAGTAACGTATAAAAACTCTTTCCAGCAGGGCGCAGTGGCTCACGCCTATAATCCCAGCACTTTGGGAGGCCAAGGCAGGCAGATCACTTGAGGTCAGGAGTTAGAGACCAGCCTGGCCAACAGGGTAAAACCCCGTCTCGACTAAAAATACAAAAATTAGCCGGACATGGTGGCACATACCTGTAATCCCAGTTATTCGGGAGGGTGAGGCAGGAGAATCACTTGAACCCGGGAGGGGGGTTGCAGTGAGCCGAGATCTCGCCACTGCACTCCAGCCTGGGAAATAGAGCGAGATGCCGTCTCAAAAAAAAAAAAAAAAAAAAAAAGCCAGGCATGGTGGCTCATCCCTGTAATCCCAACACTTTGGGAGGCCGAGGTGGGTGAATCACCTGAGGTCAGGAGTTCGAGACCAGCCTGGCCAACGTGGTGAAACCCCATCTGTACTAAAAATACAAAAATTAGCCGAGCGTAGTGGTGCGTGCCTGTAATCCCAGCTACTTGGGAGGCTGAGGCAGGAGAATCGCTTGAACCCGGGAGTCGGAGAGTGTGCCATTGTACTCCAGCCTAGGTGACAAGAGCGAAACTCCGTCTCAAAAAAGAAAAAAAAAAGACAAAAAACAACTCTCTCCTTGAACCTCCTTCTCCTAGTCACCCCACTTTTCTTCTCCAGTTGTTGCATCTCCCCTGTCCTCACTTGCATAGTTCTCTCTGGGCAACTTCACTGTCATAGTTTGCTACATTTATTACACCTGTGACTTTCAGACCTCTAGCCCAGCCTCTCTTAAAAGCTCTAGACAGATTAGTGGATATCTCCACCCACATCTCTCATATGAACCTGAAACTCAACATCTCTATTCCCAAGGCATTCATTATTGTTCCTTGTGCTCTTGCTGCATACATACCATCAAACAAGATCTGCTTATTTGACCTCCTATATACTCCTTGAAACTGTTCTTCCCTTTCCACCTTCACTGACTTGCTTTAGTCTGGCTTTTGTTCTTTCTTACCTGGACTGTCTCAAGACACTCCTTTTAGGATTCCTTGCCTGGAGTCTACTGTCTATCACATCCATCCTCCGTACTGCTGTGTTTAAAAAGACATCGGCCGGGTGCAGTGGCTCATGCCTATAATCCCAGCACTTTGGGAGGTCGAGGCGGGCGAATCATGAGGTCAGGAGATCGAGACCATCCTGGCTAACACAGTAAAATCCCGTCTCTACTAAAAATACAAAAAAATTAGCCAGGCGTGGTGGCGGGTGCCTGTAGTCCCAGCTACTTGGGATGCTGAGGCAGGAGAATGGCGTGAACCCAGGAGGCGGAGCTTGCAGTGAGCTGAGATCGCACCACTGCACTCCAGCCTGCGGGACAGAGCGAGACTCCATCTCAAAAAAAAAAAAAAGACATCTAACAGCTGGGCACAGTGTCTCACTGTAATTCCAGTGTTTTGGGAGACCAAGGTGGGAGGATTGCTTGAGGCCAGGAATTCAAGACCAGCCTGGGCAATAGAGCAAGATTCTGTCTCTAGAAAAAAAAACAATAAAAATTAGTTAGGTGTAATGGCACACACCTGAAGTCCCAGCTACTTAGAAGGCCAAAGTGGGAGGATTGCTTGAGCTCAAGAGTTTGAGGCTGCAGTGAATTATGATTGACAGACATTTAACTATTCCTCGCCTGCTTGAAAATTTTTGGTGGTTAATCATGGCCTAAAAGATAAAGTTCAGGCTTTTCTAGCATTGCCTATAAAGATTTCCAAGATTGAGCCCTACCTGCTTTTCATCCCCATCCATCACTTCTACCCTCTCCTTCTCCATCCTCTGCTCCAACAATTCTGAGCTGGATGTTGTACCCATGGTACTTTGTACCTCTAAATATGATGTTCCTTTGGTGTGGATTTATTTGGTCATATCACGTTGCAGTGTGATTAAGTATTGATGTATTTATCTTTCCCACAAGTCTTTTTTTTTTTTTGAGACAGAGTCTCACTCTTGCCCAAGCTGGAGCACAGTGGTGTGATTGCAGCTCATTGCAACCTCTGCCTCCTGGGTTCAAGCAATTCTCGTGCCTCAGCCTCCTGAGTAGCTGAGATTACAGGCACACGCCACCAAGTCTTGCTAATTTTGTATTTTTGTTTTTTGTTTGTTTGTTTGTTTTGAGACAGTGTTTTGCTTTTATTGCTCAGGCTGGAGTGCAATGGCTCAATCTTGGCTCACTGCAACCTCCACCTCCCGGGATCAAGCAATTCTCCTGCCTCAGCCTCCGGAGTAGCTGGGATTACAGGAGCCTGCCACCACGCCCAGCTAATTTTTTGTATTTTTAGTAGAGATGGGTTTTCACCATGTTGGCCAGTTTGGTCTTGAACTCCTGACCTCAGATGATCCGCCCGCCTCGGCCTCCCAAAGTGCTGGGATTACAGGTGTGAGCCACCGCACCTGGCCAATTTTGTATTTTTAGTAGGATCGGGATTTCACCATGTTGGCCAGGCTGGTCTCCAACTCCTGGCCTCAAGTGATCCACCTGCCTCAGCCTCCCAAAATGCTGGGATTACAGGCATGAGCCACCACGCCCAGCCTCCCACCTGCCCTTTCTAAGGCTAGTTTGATGTCTTCATCTCCAAATTCCCAGCACAGTCCATGGCACATCATAAGCATTCAGCATATGTTTGTAGACCTGACCCAGGTACTCTTTTTTTTTTTTTTTTTTTTTTTTTTGAGACAGAATCTCACTCTGTCTCCCAGGCTGGAGTGCAGTGGTGCAACCTTGGCTCAGTGCAACCTCCGCCTTCCAGGTTCAAGCAGTTCTCCTGCCTCAGCCTCCCGAGTAGCTGGAATTACAGGCACATGCCACCACGCCGGCTAATCTGACCCAGGTACTCTTTTAGGCCCACACTGATTCAGCCTGCTTAGCAAATGCTGGGCTTGGTGAACATCTGCATATGCCTGCTGCTGCCCACTGAGATTTCTAAGCAGTACGACAGATCTTTCTAACCACAACCCCTGGAATTTTTTTTTTTTTTTTGGATTTGGACACTTAGATGCTCTGAGTTACCCAAATAAGACATAATAAATCTTTTTTTCTTTCGATGTTTTTGGGTTTTTTTCCCCCTCTAGTTCCAATTGCCCGGGCTGTTCTTGTTGACATGGAACCCAAAGTTATCAATCAAATGCTGTCAAAGGCTGCCCAGTCTGGCCAATGGAAATATGGTCAACATGCATGCTTCTGTCAAAAACAAGGTTCTGGAAACAACTGGGCATATGGGTAAGAATAATTTCTTGTGATTTTCAGTTTAGTGACAGCTACACAGTCAATTAATAGATAGCAAAGTTAGAACTGTATAGTTGATATACCAAGCACATAATCTTGAAATTGCTGTTTTAGATTTAGAATTTTATTTTACCCAGAAGAAACTTTCATTCCATGCCTATGTCTGTACTTAAGGTACAGGTAATGTTGAAATGAAGGATATCTTTCAGCAGGGTTTTCCATCTTCTCACTGTCATGCTGCAAACTAACTTACCAATGTAATGTCCATATCTGGCAGATATCTCAATGATAGAGAATACTACAAGACAGTAGTTCCCAAACTTTGCTGCACATTAGAATTTCCTGAGGTTCTTTGGAAAAGTCCTGATGCCTAGGGCTCACTTTGAGAGATTCTGATTTTTGTTTTGTTTTGTTTTGTTTTTTTAACCACAGCACTGAGTTTTATTAGGGATTTCATTAAGGTTAAATTTCTAGGAATGAGGGAATCCTAGTTAGAGGGCACAAAAGCCCACGAAGCCTCCTCAGATCTAGTAGTGAACCACCGACTCAGGTTCTTTGGAGGGATCACCGCCTCGTTCCAGGTACAGATTATTGTAAGGATACTGCTTTGGTCCCACGGGCTGGTAGACAGGGTACATATCCCCCACCCAGAACATGAATATCATGAGAGCCATGAAGCCGAACAGCTGCATACACATGACATTCCAAGAAACAGGTGTGGGGGACATATTCCTGGTATACATGTCTAGCTGCCAGTGCATCGGTTCACCCCAGTTCAATCTCAGGTCCAGCTGGTCCCAGCTATACCATGGATCCCTCTCATGCAGGGAGCTTTGGGTAGTCGCCATACCCCATGTCATCATCCGGGTAAGGCTCGTAGTCTCCCACACACATGTTATACTTCTTGAGGGCAGTGGCCTGTCCTTTTGGCGTCCTAGGATAGGACCCTGAGAGCATGTCATTGGTTATGCGGGAGGCTGTCCTTGCGCCCAGCGGCACCACTTTCTGGGATGCCCTTTGCATCCACTGGACTCCCAGGACCCTGGCCCTGGCCACTGCCATCTTCACCTTCACATTTCCCTTCTGCTGAGATTCTGATTTAAGTGGTTTGGGGTAAAGCCCTGATGTTGGGTTTTTGGTGTTTTTTTTTTTAAGAGACAGAGTCTCGTTCTGTCACCCAGGCTGGAGTGCAGTGGCATGATCTCGACTCAGTGCAACCTCCATCTCCTGGGTTCAAGCAATTATCCTGCCTCAGCCTTCTGAGTAACTGAGACTACAGGTGTGCACCACTATGCCCAGCTAATTTTTGTATTTTTTTAGTAGAGACAAGGATTCAGCATGTTACCCAGACTGGTCTGGAACTCCTGGCCTCCAGTGATCCACCTGCCTCGGCCTCCCAAAGTGCTGAGATTACAGGTATGAGCCACTGCACCCAGCCTGATGTTGGGATTTTTTATTTTTTTGAGACGGAGTCTCGCTCTGTCGCCCAGGCTGGAGTGCAGTGGCGCAATCTCAGCTCACTGCAACCTCTGCCTCCCAGGTTCAAGTGATTCTCCTGCCTCAGCTTCCCGAGTAGCTGGAATTACAGGTACCTGCCACCATGCCCAGCTAATTTTTGTATTTTTTAGTAGAGACGGGGTTTCACCAGTTTGGCCAGGCTGGTCTGGAACTCTTGACCTCAGGTGATCCACCCGCCTTGGCCTCCCAAAATGCTGGGATTACAGGCGTGAGTCACTGCGCCTGGCCTGATGTTGGGATTTTTTAAAGGTCCCTAGGTGACTTTAATGTGCAGCAAAATTTTTTTTTTTTTTTTTTAAGACAAGAGTCTTGCTCTGTTGCCCAGGTTGGAGTGCAGTGGTGCAATTTCGGCTCACTGCAACCTCTGCCTCCCGGGTTCAAGTGATTCTCCTGCCTCAGTCTCCCGAGTAGGTAGGACTACAGGCACATGCCACCACGCCCGGCTAATTTTTGTATTTTTAGTAGATACTGGATTTCCCTATGTTGGCCAGGCTGCTCTCAAACTCCTAACTTCAAATGATCCACCCACCTCCGCCTCCCAAAGTGCTAGGATTACAGGCATGAGCCACTGTGCCCAGCCATGTGCAGCACAGTTTGAGAACCACTGTTTCAGGACTGTTAGGAATATTAAATGTTATACTGTATCATAAACTTGTAGAACTACCTGGTATCAAAACTTGTAGAACTACCTGGTACCTACCAGGTAAAGGAATGGCCACTACTCATGCCTGTAATCCCAGCAATTTGGGAGGCCAAGGCAGGAGGATCGCTTGAGCCCAGGAGTTCAAGTCCACCCTAGGCAACAAAGGGAGGCCCTATCGCTACGAAAAAATTTTAAAAAGAAATTAGCCAGGTGAGGCCAGGCACAGTGGCTCACGCCTGTAATCCCAACACTTTGGGAGGCCAAGGTGGATCACTTGAGGTCAGGAGTTTGAGACCAGCCTGGCCAACATGATGAAACCCCATCTCTACTAAAAATACAAAAATTAGGCCTGTTGCAGTGGCTCACGCCTGTCATCCCAGCACTTTGCGAGAGGCCGAGGTGGGCAGATCATCTGAGGAAAGGAGTTTGAGACCAGCCTGGCCAACATGGTAAAACCCTGTTTCTACTAAAAAATAGAAAAAATTAGCTGGGCGTGGTGATGGCTGCCATCCCAGCTACTCGGGAGGCTGAGGCAGGAGAATCGCTTGAACCCAGGAGGCAGAGGTTGCAGTGAGCCAAGGTCACACCATTGCACTCCAGCCTGGGCAACAAGAACAAAACTCCATCTCAAAAAATATTAAAAAAAAAAAAAATTAGATGGGTGTGGTGGCCTGTGCCTGTGGCCTTAGCTCCTTGGGAGGCTGAGGCAGAAGAATCACTTGAACCTGGGAGGCAGAGGTTGCAGTGAGCCGAGATTGTGCCACGGCACTCCAGCTTGGGCAACAGAGTGAGACTCTGCCTCAAAAAAAAGAAAAAAGAAATTAGCCGGGCGGCTGGGTATGGTGGCTCTCGCTTGTGATCCCAGCAGTTTGGGAGGCCAAGGAGGGCGGATTACTTGAGGTCAGGACTTTGAGACCAGCCTGGCCAACATGGTGAAACCCTGTCTCTACTAAAAATACAAAAATTAGCTGGGCGTGGCGGCCTGTGCCTGTGGTCCCAGCTACTCGGGAAGCTAAGGCAGGAGAATCACTTGAACCCAAGTGGCAGAGGTTGCAGTGAGTAGAGATCATGCCACAGCACTCCAGCCTGGACAACAGGGCGTGTCTGCATCTCAAAAAAAAAAAAAGAAAGAAATTAGCCAGGGATGGTTACATGCTCTTGTAGTTCTAGATACTTGGGAGGCTGAGATGGGATAATTTTTTGAGCCTGAGAGGTCAAGACAAGGCTGCAGTGAGCTGTGATTTTGCCACTGCACTTCACATTTCACTCCAGCCTGGGTGACGGAGTAAGACCCTAACTCAAAAAGGAAAAAAGATGTGGGATGGGGGGTGCCAGGTGCCGTGGCTAATACCTGTAATCCCAACACTTTGGGAGGCTGAAGTGGGCAGATCATTTGAGGTCAGGAGTTTGAAACCAGCCTGGCCAACATGGTGAAACCCTGTCTGTACTAAAAATACAAAAATCAGCCGGGTGTGGTGGCGCGCACCTTTAATCCCAGCTACTCGGGAGACTGAGGTGGGAGAATCACTTGAACCTGGGAGGCGGAGGTAGTTTTAGTGAGCTGAAATGGTGCCACTGCACCCCAGCCTGGGCGACAGAGCGAGACTCCGCCTCAAAAAACACAAAAACAAAAACAAAAAAAATAAAAAAGGAGAAAATAGCCTACAAAAGAGAGCTTTTAGAGGAAGATTAAAAGAAGTTGCTCACTGGGCTCAGTGGCTCATGCCTGTAATTCCAGCGCTTTGGGAGACTGAGGCAGGAGAATTGCTTGAGGCCAGGAGTTCACAACCAGCCTGGGCAGCATAGTGAGACCCTGTTTAAAAAAAAAAAAGAAGTTGCTAATGGGTACAAAAATACAGTTAGAAGAAATACACTCTAGTATTCAATAATACAGTTAGGAAATTATAGTTAACAATAATTTATTGTATATATCAAAATAGTAAAAGCGGCCAGGCGCAGTGGCTCACACCTCTAATCTTAGCACTTTGGGAGGTTGAGGCAGGCTGATCATCTGAGTTCAGGAGTTTGAGACCAGCCTGGCCAACATGGTGAAACCCCGTCTCTACTAAAAATACAAAAATTAGCCTGGTGTGGTTCGGGCATCTGTAATCCCAGCTACTCAGGAGGCTGAGACAGGAGAATCTCTTGAACCCGGGAGGGGGAGTGAGCCGAGATCGCGCCATTGTACTCCAGCCCTGGTGACAAGAGTGAAACTCTGTCTCAGAAAAAGAAAATAGCTTAAAGAGAAGAATTGTAATGTTCCCAACACATAGAAAAAATAAATGTTTGAGGTGATAGATATCCCATTTACCCTGATTTGATCATTACACATGTATACACATATCCAAATATCACATGTACCCCCAAAATAAGTACAGCTATGAAAACCCCAAATATTAAAGTATCTGATTAAAACCTCAAAAATAAAGAGAACTTTCTATACTCTGTAAATTCCCTCTGCTAGCAGTCCTGTTCGCCTGTTAACCCATTTATGCCAGAGGTTGCAATTTTTTAAATTTTTGCATGAGTGAAAAATCCGACCTTAGCAATAACCTTGAGCAATAGGATATAAATAACTCCCACATGCTTAGCGTTCCAATAATGGAACACTAGGCATAAGTGGGTTAAATATATTCAACTTATGTATTTAAAATTTTGTCAGTCAGGGTACCTGTACCTTTCATGAGAGTTCCTTCACTTCCGTAGTTTTGAAAAAACCTCTCTATCCTGTATCTTTCTCTCTGAATTACATATCTGTGGTTAAATTGAAAAGTGTTTGTGTTTGTTTCTTTTGCCATTGCATAGTTACTCTGTTCATGGACCCAGGCATGAAGAATCTATAATGAACATAATCCGGAAGGAAGTGGAGAAATGTGACTCTTTCAGTGGTTTTTTCATCATAATGAGTATGGCTGGGGGCACAGGATCAGGATTAGGAGCTTTCGTTACACAGAATTTAGAAGATCAGTACTCAAACTCATTGAAAATGAATCAGATTATTTGGCCTTATGGAACTGGTGAGGTATGGACATGTTAATTGAAAAGTTTATGTTTTATGTTCTTTGCAATAGAAATAAATATGGGTAAAAGATTGCTCTCACCACCCAGGTGCGGTGGCTTATGCCTGTAATCCCAGCACTTTGGGAGGCCAAGGCGGGCGGATCGTGAGGTCAGGATATCGAGACCATCCCGGCTAACATGGTGAAACCCCGTCTCTACTAACAATACAAAAAATTAGCCAGGCGTGGTGGCGGGCGCCTCTAGTCCCAGCTACTCGGGAGGCTGAGGCAGGAGTATAGCGTGAACCCATGAGGCGGAGCTTGCAGTGAGCCAAGATCGCGCTACCGTACTCCAGCCTGGGCAATAGAGCAAGACTCCGTCTCAAAAAAAAATAAATAAATAAAAATAAAGATTGTGCTCACCCTTTCATTGGAAATGTTAAGTTATGGCTTCCAGAATGGTTATTTAATATGAGTACCATATTATATATGGTATATATATATCTTCCCTTAAACTTTTCCAAACAGATGAGGTATCCTTGCATTTAAAATTTCAGAGAGGCTGGGTGCAGTGGCTCACGCCTGTAATCCCAGCACTTTGGGAAGCCAAGGTGGAAAAATCATGAGGTCAAGAGATCGAGACCATCCTGGCCAACATGGTGAAACCCCGTTTCTACTAAAAATACAAAAATTAGCTGGGCATGGTGGCGCTGGCCTGTAGTCTCAGCTACTCAGGAGGTTGAGGCAGGAGATTTCGCTTGAACTTGGGAGGCAGAGGCTGCAGTGAGCTGATATCCCGCCACTGCACTCCAGCCTGGCGACAGAGCGAGACTCCATCTCAAAAAAAAATTTTTTTAAGAGAATGGCTGGGCGCAGTGGCTCACACCTGTAATCCCAGCACTTTGGGAGGCCGAGGCGGATGGATCACCTGAGGTCAGAAGTTCGAGATCACCCTGGCCAACATGGAGAAACACCATCTCTGCTAGAAATACAATTATTAGCTGGGTGTGGTGGCACACACCTGTAGTCCCAGGTACCTGGAGGCTGAGGCAGGAGAATCTCTTGAACCCGGGAGACAGAGGTTCCAGTGAGCCGAGATCAAGCCACTACACTTCAGCCTGGGCAACAAGAGCAAGACTCCCGTCTTAAAAAAAAAAAGAAAAATTTTTTTTCAGAGAATGGCCAGGCAGTTGGGGCTCACTTCTGTAATACCAGCACTTTGGGAGGCTGAGATGGGCAGATCACTTGAGGCCAGGAGTTTAAGACCAGCCTGGCCAACATGGCGAAACCCCTTCTCTACTAAAAATACAAAAATTAGCCAGGTGTTTTGGCTCCTGCCTGTTGTCCCAGCTACTCGGGAGGCTGAGGCAGGAGAATCACTTGAACCTGTGAAGCAGAGGTTGCATTGAGCCTAGATCATGTCACTGTACTCCAGCCTGGGCCACAGAGCAAGACTCTGTTTCAAAAAAAAGTCAGAGAAGATGATTGTGCTTCTTTCAGGAACTGATTGCTGAGAATGTCTCTCACTCCAGTACATAAAGCAGACACCTTGACCTCATGTTGGGATTCATGGTGCCATTGCCACCCTCAAGTAATTTTTATTTCTTTCCATTGGGAGAAAATTTCTTTCCTTTTTTTTTTTTTTTTTGAGACAGAGTTTTGCTCTTGTTGTCCAGGCTGGAGTGCAATGGCACGATCTTGGCTCACCGCAACCTCCGCCTCCCGGGTTCAAGTGATTCTCCTGCATCAGCCTCCCGGGTAGCTGGGACTACAGGCATGCGCTCGGCTAATTTTGTATTTTTAGTAGAGGTGGGGGGTTTTTCCATGTTGGTCAGGCTGGTCTTGAACCCTCAACATCAGGTGATCCACCCACCTCAGCCTCCCAAAGTGCTGGGATTACAGGCATGAGCTACCGCTCCCAGCTTGAAAATTTCTATATAAGCCAATTTCCTGTTGATCAACCTAGCTGAAGAAACAAATCAGGTGAGACAAGTCACTATAGGAAATGAAATAGGAGATAAGTATGATAATAATGGCCAATTTTTGTTGTGCCCATACAAGGCATTGTTCTAAGTGTTTAACTTGCATTATATCATTAATCCTTACAGTTCTAGGAAGCCATTACAAATGAGGAAACTGGTTGGGCTCGGTGGCTCACGCCTATAATCCCAGCACTTTAGGAGGACAAGGGGGTGGATCACTTGAGGCCAGGAGTTTGAGACCAGCCTGGCCAACATGGTGAAACCCTGTCTCTACTAAAAACACAAAAATTAGCTGGGCATGGTGGCACAAGCCTGTAATTCCAGCTGCTCGGGGCTGAGACACAAGAATCTCGAACCGGGAGGCCGAGGTTGCAGTGAGCAGAGATGGTGCCACTGTACTCCAGCCTGGGCGACAGAGTCTCTATCTCAAAAAAAAAAAAAAAAAGGAAACTGAGCATAGAGATTAAAAAACTTGTCCAAGGTCATACGGCTAGAAAGTGACAGAGCCCGGATTTGAACCCTGCCAGGATGCCTTGAGAATCTGTAATCTTAACCATTATTCTCTCCTACCTTTCTTTTTTCTGACCTTTTCCTCTCCAGGTTATTGTTCAAAACTACAACTCCATTTTGACACTTTCTCACTTGTACCGATCTTCAGACGCCCTCCTTCTTCATGAGAATGATGCCATCCATAAGATCTGTGCAAAACTGATGAATATCAAGCAGATCTCCTTTAGTGATATCAATCAAGTCCTCGCACATCAGCTGGGAAGTGTGTTCCAGCCTACTTATTCTGCAGAAAGCTCATTTCACTACAGACGAAATCCACTAGGTATTTGTCCCTCTATACGTTAATTATAGGAAAGCCTTATGTTCTGAAAGCTTCAAAGTTTATTCTTTCTGTCTCCTCCTCTGCCTGAAGATACACTTAAGTCTTGCTCATCTCAAAACCCTTTCTTCACATCTGCTAGTTCTCTGAACTGTCTTATTGAAAAGCTTTGAGAAGTTGCTAAAGGGCAGTGGGTATCCACTGCTCTTCAGGATTCTTTCTCTTCTTTTTTTTCTTTTTTTAATAGAAACCATGTTGAGATATAACTCACCTAACATGCAATTCACCCATTTAAAGTGTGCAAGTCAATGATTTTTTTTTTTTTTTTGAGACAGAGTCTCACTCTGTTGCCCAGGCTGGAGTGCAGTGGTACGATCTTGACTCACTGCAACCTCTGCCTCCTGGGTTCAAGCAATTTTCCTATTTCAGCCTCCTGAGTAGCTGGGACTACACTACACTATAGGCACGTGCTACCATGCCCAGCTGATTTTTGTATTTTTAGTAGAGACGGAGTTTCACCATGTTGGCCAGGCTGGTCTCAAATGATCCACCCGCCTCGGCCTTCCAAAGTGTTGGGATTACAGGCGTGAGCCACCGCACCCGGCCCTAGCCTTTTCTTAAGTACAGCAGCCAGACTGAACTCTGGCTTTGCAGTTTTTAAAAGCATAAGTCAGATCCTGTTGCTCCCCTTTTCAGAACCTTCCTGAGGTTTCCCATCTCATCCAGAGTTGTCAATGTGCGCGTCAGCATTGTGTTTGGTGATTGGGAATTCAAAGAGGTCCGAGTCTGCCATGTGGCATGACTTTCCGTAGTTGTGCTCTGACAGAGAAGGTGAGGAGCAGGGTTGGCCGAAGACTGGGATTTTGCCAGAAAGAGGAAGACTGATTGATTGAAAGGCAGGTGCTCCATGGATTAAAGTCTCAAGGAGGTTTAAGAATGGTCAAGGTGGCCAGGCGTGGTGGCTCACGCCTGTATCCCAGCACGTTGGGAGGCTGAGGAGGGTGGATCACCTGAGGTCAGAAGTTTGAGACCAGCCTGGCCAATACGGTGAAACCCCAGCTCTACAGAAAATACAAAAATTAGCCAGGCATGGTGGTGGGTACCTGTAATCCCAGCTACTCAGAAGACAGGCAGGAGAATTGCTTGAACCCATAAGGCAGACGTTGCAGTCAGCTAAGATTGCACCACTGCACTCCTGCCTGGGCGACAGCGAGACTCCATTTAAAAAAAAAAAAAAGAATGGTTAAGGTAAGAGTAGCTGAACAAGAAAGCTGGAAGGGAGAACAGATTGCAACAATTAGTGATTCATGCATTGGCCGGGCACCATGGCTCACTTCTGTAATCCCAGTGCTTTAGGAGGCCAGGGTGGGAAGATCGCTTGAGGCCAGGAGTTCGAAGCCAGCCTGAGCAGCATAGCAAGACCTCATCTCTACTAAGAATTTAAAAAGTGGCCGGGTGTGGTGGCTCATGCCTGTAATCCCAGCACTTTGGGAGGCCAAGACGGACAGATCACCTGAGGTTGGGAGTTCGAGACTAGCCTAAGTAACATGGCGAAACACTGTCTCTACTAAAAAAAATACAAAATTAGCCAGGCATGGTGGCACATGCCTGTAATCCCAGCTACTTGGGAGGCAGAGGCAGGAGAATTGCTTGAACCTGGGAGGCAGAGGTTGCAGTGAGCTGAGGTCATGCAATGCACTCCAGCCTGAGCAATAAGAGCGAAACTCCATCTCAAAAAAAAAAAAACAAAAAAAAAACAAACAGTTAGGCATGGTGGTGTGCACCTATAATCTCAGCTACTAGGGAAGCTGAAGTGGGGCTATTGCTTAAGCCTGGGAGTTCGAGGTTGCAGAGCTTTGATTGCGCCACTGCACACCAGTTTGGACAACAGAACAAAACACTGTCTAAAAAGAAAAAAAAAAGAATTCATGCCTTAGTGCTCATGAATTATTTTCTGACTATTCTATATTTACTTGTGCTATGCAATAGAATTCAACTCTAGGTATTTTACAGAAAAGAATTCTACATTTAGAGGACACTCCATTAGCACAAGCCCGCCTGTGTAGCATCTTATAGATGTTTGTGTCAAAATTTGTTCTTTTCTTTAGGATGTACATTATGAGTTTGTACTCAGTGTTATAAAGTTTGTTTCATATTATGGTAATATATTTTTCCCTATCCTCAAGGTATTTTCTATAAACATATGAGACAGCTGTAAATGTAAAGGAAAGTACCCTTTCTCCTTAATTCTATTTCATTGTAAATACAAGTTTCTAAAGATAGGCACATTCCTATCTTAAGGAATATCTAATCTTGTCTTCTTTCCAAATAGAGTTTCATGTTAACTTTTTTTTTTTTTTGAGACAGAGTCTTGCTTTGTCGCCCAGGCTGGAGTGCGATGCACTGCAACCTCTGTCTGCCGGGTTCAAGCGATTCTCCCGCCTCAGCCTCCCAAGTAGCTGGGATTACAGGTGCCTGCCACAACGCCTGGCTAATTTTCATATTTTTAATAGAAACAGTGTTTCTATTAAGACCAAGACCATGTTGGCCAGGCTGGTCTTAAACTCCTGACCTCATGATCTGCCCACCTAGGCCTCCGAAAGTGCTGGGATTACAGGCGTGAGCCACCGTGCCTGGCTTATATTAACTTTCATGTTAACAGGGTTTGATTATCACCTAACCAGATACGGTATGTAAAAATCTAGTAACATTTCTAAAAGAGTATTTAGTAGGGTGGGTGCGGTGGCTCACACCTGTAATCCCAGTACTTTGGGAGGCCAAGGCAGGCAGATCATGAGATCAGGGGATCGAGACCATCCTGGCCACCATGGTGAAACCTCATCTCTACTAAAGTACAAAAAGTTAGCTGGGCTTGGTGGTACGTGCCTGTAGTCTCAGCTACTCAGGAGGCTGAGACGGGAATCGCTTGATCGTGGGAGGCAGAGGTTGCAGTGAGCCGAGATCACGCCACTGCACTCCTCCAGCCTGGCGACAGAACAAGACTCCATCCCAAAAAAAAAAAAAAAAAAAAAGAATATAACAATATTTAGTGAACATAGAATGACAAGAAAAGCATATCAGTTCTCATGTTTACTTTGTTTGCCTGGAGTTTACCTAAATATTTCATTCACATTTCCAGTTATTCAGCTTCTAAATTGTAGTTTGCTTTTTGGCAAAGTGTATTTTCTCACTCATGCTCAAGTCAGTGCTAAAATGAAGCAAAGAGGTGGTGTGTAATAGACATTGTCTCTGAAATTGTATTTATATTAAAGATTAAATAATTCTGGTCTGAGAAGAGAAAAAACATTTGGCCCAGAAAACCTTCAAATCATGGTTATATATAGACTATTGGCAACAATGTAGAATAAAAAAAAATTAGTTCAGATTTTTTTTTCTTTACAGGAGACTTAATGGAGCATTTAGTTCCCCATCCTGAATTCAAGATGCTGAGTGTTCGTAACATTCCTCACATGTCTGAGAATTCATTGGCATACACCACATTTACTTGGGCTGGCCTCCTCAAGCATTTGAGACAGATGCTCATTTCTAATGCAAAGATGGAAGAAGGTAAAGAGTAGTCCAAAAATATGCAGCCCACAAGCTGGAAAAAATGTCTGTCCTGGAGTCTCAATATAAACTGGCTTGGACCAGTTTAAATAATGGTCCCTTTTTCTGGCTAGAGAGACTCCGGCAGAAACTCACCAGGACATCTTAGGAGGGTTTCTTAATCACTTCACAGTTTCATTACCAAAAGACATTTCAAATGAGTGCCAGATTTTTTTTAAATTTTTATTTTAATCAAATAAGTGAACATAGTTTTAAAAATCAAGTAGCCAAAACTCATTTAAATATATACTTAAATCCATACATTGCACTGTATTTAAATTATATCTCAATTTTTTTTTTTTTTTTTTTTTGAGACTGAGTCTTGCTCTGTCGCCCAGGCTGGAGTGCAGTGGCGTGATCTCAGCTCACTGCAACCTCCGCCTCCCGGGTTCACACCATTCTCCTGCCTCAGCCTGCCGAGTAGCTGGGACTACAGGCGCCTGCCACCACGCCCGGCTAATTTTTTGTATTTTTAGTAGAGACGGGGTTTCACCGTGTTAGCCAGGATGGTCTCAATCTCCTGACCTCGTGATCCACCCGTCTTGGCCTCCCAAAGTGCTGGGATTACAAGAGTGAGCCACCGTGCCCGGCCAATTATATCTCAGTATTTTATTTTTTATTTATTTTATTTTTTTGAGATGGAATCTCGCTCTGTCACCCAGGCTGGAGTGCAGTGGCGCGATCTCGGCTCACTGCAACCTCTGCCTCCCGGATTCAAGCAGTTCTTCTGCCTCAGCCTCCCAAGGAGCTGGGATTACAGGCGTGTGCTACCATGCCTGGCTAATTTTTTTGTATTTTTAGTAGAGATGAGGTTTCACCATATTGGCCAGGCTGGTCTCGAACTCCTGACCTTGTGATCCACCCACCTCGACCTCCCAAAGTGCTGGGATTACAGGTATGAGCCACTGCGCCCGGCCTATATCTCAGTTTTTTAAAAGGTCAAGTAATGGGCCAGGTATGGTGGCTCATACCTATAATCCTAGCACTTTGGGAGGCCAAGGCAGGAGAAGCGCTTGAGCCCAGGAGTTCGAGACCAGTCTGGGCAACATGGCAAAACCCCATCTCTACAAGAAATATAAAAAATTATCTGGACATGGTGACATGGGCCTGTATTCCCAGCAACTTAGGAGGCTGAGGTGGGAGGATCACCTGAGCCCAGGAGGTCAAGGCTGCAGTGAGCTGTGATCACACAACTGCACTTCAGCCTGGGTGACAGAGTGAGACCCTTTCTCAAAAAAAAAACAACAACAAAAAACAACTTAAGTAATGTCTGGTATGAATTTATGACAAGGAAAAACAGCAATCCTACACCTCCCCATTACACAGATGAAACTACTTTCAACGTCTAGCTATTTCATCTACAATTTGCCTCCATAGTTATAAATGTCTTACTTATATTGTTATCTCTTGCATTCCTAGTGTGAAAATTGAGAATTGGCCTGGGCGCAGTAGCTCACGCCTGTAATCCCAGCACTTTGGGAGGTTGAGGTGGGTGGATCACCTGAGGTCAGGAGTTCGAGACCAGCCTGGGCAACATGGCGAAACCCCTTCTTTACTAAAAAATACAAAAAAATTAGCCGGGCGTGGTGGCAGTCGCCTGTAATTCCTGGGAAGCTGAGGCAGGAGAATTGCTTGAACCCGGGAGGCAGAGGTTACAGTGAGCTATGATAGTGCCATTGCATTCCAGCCTGGGTGATAACAGTGAAACTCCATCTCAAAAAAAAAAAAAATTGAGAATTGAATCATCTTACACCCCCTCTACACACACAGACACACACACACACACACACACACACACACACACATTCCCATTTTCATATATATACTGACACATGTGCACACTCACACACATACTCACACATACAAACACAATTACCTTCATTCTTCTAACATACTTGGGAGTTAGATCAGTTTTCAATGTTTGTACTACTTTTGCTATCTAAATATTATTCAGAGTAGAGCCTTGTGTACATAGATTATATTTTTTTGTGTGTACAGTTTATTTTTCCCTCCTGGAGTTGTTAATCATTATATTTATTCAGTTGATATTTTCTGTACCTATTACCAACTTATCCTGAAACTTTTCTGTAAAAAAATGAATCCCTTCTCAGATGTGATGGCTCACACCTGTAATCTCAGCACTTTGGGAGGCTAAGGCAGGAGGATCGCTTGAGGCCAGAAGTTCAAAACTAGCTTGAGCAACAAAGCAAGACCCCATCTCTAAAAAAATAATTTAAAAAAATTAGCTGGCCCGGCAGGGTGGCTCACGCCTGTGAGCCAGCACTTTGGGAGGCCGAGGCGGACAAGTTCAGAAGATCGAGACCATCCTGGCTAACACGGATGTAGTAGAAACCCCATCTCTACTAAAAATACAAAAAATTAGCGAGGCGTGATGGCACACACTTGTAATCCCAGCTACCCAAGAGGCTGAGGCAGGAGAGTGGCTTGAACTCAGGAGGCAGAGGTTGCAGCGAGCTGAGATCACACCCCTGCTCTCCAGCCTGGGCAACAGAGCGAGACTCTGTCTCAAAAAAAAAAATGCTGGGCATAGTGGTATGCACCTGTAGTCCTAGCTACTTGGGAGGGTGAGGCAGGAGAATCCCTTGAACCAAGGGATTTGAGTTTAAAATGAGCTGTGATCATGCCACTGCACTCCAGCCTGGGCAACAGAGCAAAACCCTGTCTCAAAAATAAAAAAAAAGAATTCTTTCTTAATATGTTTAAACCCATCAGGTAAGTGATTACTTCCATTATCTGCCTAGAGACATCTTCTGGAAGGCATTTATCTTCCCATTCCATTCTGGACTGACTGCTCTCTAGGCTTGATAAGCAGCCAGCCCTGGCATCTCTGCTTGCCTCATCCTGATTTATATCTGTACCTCCTAGATTTCAAATCTGCTTTCTTGATTTATTCCCTCATATTGATGGACCATACCTTTCAGGAGCTCCCTAAGAGAGTACAAGGAAATTAAAATGTTTGAGGCTACAAATATCTTCATTCTGGCCGGGTGCAGTGGCTCACACCTGTAATCCCAGCACTTTGGGAGGCCAAGGCAGGTGAAACATGAGGTCAGAGATCGAGACCATCCTTGCTAACATGGTGAAACCCCGTCTCTACTAAAAATACAAAAAATTAGCCAGGCATGGTGGCGGGCGCCTGTAGTCCCAGCTACTCAGGAGGCTAAGGCAGGAGAATTGCTTGAACTTGGGAGGCAGAGGGAAGTTGCAGTGAGCTGAGATCGTGTCACTGCACTCCAGCCTCGGCGACAGAGCGAGACCCTGTCTCAAAAATAAATAAATATCATAATTCTGTTCTGCCATTGCATTTGAATGATAGTTTGGCCAGGGATAGGATTCTAGGTTGGGAATCATTTTCTTTTTACTGAGTATTTCGAAGCCATTGCTCTATCATCTTCTCACTTGCAGCGTTGCTGTTGAGAAGTCTCAGGTTGTTCTGATTCCCAATCCTATTTTGTTATCTCTTGAAGCTTTTAGGATTTTCTCTTTGTCCCCAGCATTCTGAAAGTACTTGACATGGGTCTTTGGTTTATCTCAGTAGAAGGTAAGCTTTATTTAATCTATTTGGTTTACTGTTGCATCTTTGGAGCCTGGAACGGTAAACGCTCAGTGATTATTTGCTGAGTTAGTTGCTCCGGGCACTGAATGGACCCTTACGGACATTGCAGACTTGTGTGGGTTTCACAGTAAGGTGATCTGCCTGGCCATTTTATTGCTGGACTTCCAAATATCATACTCAGCGTATCTTATCTCTTGATCAGTTGCTTCCTCCTCCATCTCTTTCCTGAAGGCATGATAAGCCTGGCTGCCAGCCTTTTCAGAGCTGGACGGGGAAGACATGGACTGTTACACTTTCCTGCGAAAGCTGCTACTTCGTGACCTGGTTTTCCAAAGGTTCTCTACAGGGCTGTGCCAGGTGTCACTGAGGCCAGAGCCTCCCAGGTTTAGCCTTTTCACAGCAGAAACCTTCTAGGGTGGAAGAGCGCACTCCTCCTACTGCAGGGAGTGGGGAAGGGGCTCTCACTGCTTCTCAAATAGATTTTTAGTTAATCCTCCTGTATTTTTACACTTTGATTTTTTTTTTTTTTTTTTTTTTTTTTTTTTTTTTTGTGAGATGGAGTCACACTCTGTCGCCTAAGATGATGCAGTGGCATCATCTTGGCTCACTGCAACCTCCACCTCCCAGGTTCAGGTGATCCTCCCACCTTAGTCGGAATTCCAAGTAGCTGGGATTACCAATGTATGAATGTGTACTACCACACCTAGCTAATTTTTGTATTTTTAGTAGAGATGGGGTTGTATCATGTTGGCCAGGCTGGTCTTGAACTCCTGACCTCAAGTGATCCACATGCCTCAAATTCCCAAAGTGCTGGGATTACAGATATAAGCCACCGTGCCCAGCCTTTTTTTCACTTTGAAAAGTGTCTGGTCTACTTCCAGGACCTCAATTGTGGGCAAAATTTTTAGCTTTTTCTTGTTGTGCAGTCAGTAACCATTTGCTCTCCAGCTCCAAAATTTTGTTGCTGTTATATTCTCTCCTGTTCCTTTTTTTCTTGTTTGTGCTTATCCTTTTAGTGATTAAGCAGGATCTGGAGAGAGAGTGGCAGGAAACTGATATGCTCAGTCTGTCATGTGTAACTAGAAATCACTACTAGGTATTAATAGCATATATTATACCACAAATTAAGTTAGGCTTTTATACTATGAGAGTAGATTTTCTCAACATTTATTTGTAATATCTTACGGATTTTAGATTATAGTGCCAGAGGTTTGGAGATAAGTAGAAAGTTTACATGTAAAAATAGTGCTTCCTGAATTTTTTGGCCATAGTACCTGTTTTTCGAGCAATACCTGTTAATACCACAAGGAACACAATGTTCCTTAGAGTCATGTGAGACATGCTGCTCTGAGCTCTCTTAGGTCAATAAACCACAGTTTGCTGAGTTCCCATGTGGAACTTTTAGGGTGTCAACATTTTTTCTTTTTTCTTTTTTTTTTTTGGCGGGGGGGACAGAATCTTGCTCTGTCACCCAGGCTGGAGTGCAGTGGCGCGATCTTGGCTCACTGCAACCGCTGCCTCCCAGTTGAAGCGATTCTTTTGCCTCAGCCTCCCAAATAGCTGGGACTACAGGTGCGCACCACCATGCCCGTCTAATTTTTGTATTTTTTTAGTAGAGACGGGGTTTCACCATATTGGCCAGGCTGGTCTTGAACTCCTGACCTTGTGATTTGCCCGCCTTGGCCTCCCAAAGTTCTGGGATTATAGGCAGAAGCCACCATGCCCGGCCGGGTGTCAGCATTTTTTCACAGTTGTATAGTTTGAACATATAAATGTTTTCATACACATGTATGAATAGTATATGAATAAATATATATATATGGCACAAACCAGGTTGAAGGATCTAGTTTTATAACTCTTCATATATTCTTTGCTCTGTGGGAAGATTTTGTTTTGTTTTGTTTTTGAGATGGGGTTTCACTCTGTCACGTAGGCTGGAGTGCAGTGGCGCAATCATAGCTCAATGCAGCCTCAAACTCCTGGGCTCAAGTGATCCTCCTATCGCAGCTTCCTATAGCTAGGACTACAGGTGTGTACCACCATAAGTGACTAATTTTCTTATTTATTTATTTATTTATTTATTTTTTGAGATGGAGTCTCGCTCCGTCGCCAGGCTGGAGTGCAGTGGCGCAATATTGGCTGACTGCAACCTCCGCCTCCCGGGTTCAAGCGATTCCCCTGCCTCAGCCTCCTGAGTAGCTGGGACTACAGGCGTGTGCCACCACGCCCAGCTAATTTTTGTATTTTTAGTAGAGATGGGGTTTCACCATGTTGGCCAGTATGGTCTCGATCTCTTGAACTCGTGATCCCCCCCCTCTGCCTCGCAAAGTGCTGGGATTACAGGCATGAGCCACTGCACCTGGCCTAATTTTGTTATTTCTTTTATTTTTGTAGAGATGGGGTCTGACTATGTTGCCCAGGCTAGTCTTGAACTCCTGGTTTCAAGTGATCCTTCCACCTCAGCCTCTCAAAGTGCTGGGATTACAGGCATGAGCCACCGCGCCTGGCCTCTACGTAAAGATTTACCCTATTTCTCTCACCATCAGTATCTGTTTCTGCATGTTCTACCATTAGGGAGAATATGTGATCCAGGAGGGAGCAAGGCAGAAGTTAATGCCTTTTTTTTTTTTTTTTTTTTTGACATGGAGTCTTGCTCTGTTGCCCAGGGTGGAGTGCAGTGGCATGATCTTGGCTCACTGCAGCCTCTGCCTCCTGGGTTCAAACGATTCTCCTGCCTCAGCTTCCCAAGTAGCTGAGATTATAGGCACCTGCCACTACACCCAGCTAATTTTTTTTTTTTTTTTTTTTTTTTTTGTATTTTTAGTGGAGATGGGGTTTCACCATTTTGGCCAGGCTGGTCTCAAACTCCTCACCTCAAGTGATCCGCCTGCCTCAGCCTCCCAAAGTGCTAGGATTACAGGCATAAGCCACCATGCCCAGCCTTGAAGTTAACACCTTTTGTGACCTTTTGTGATGTTATTTCTGCAACATCCTTTTGGTTAAGGTCAGCCCTCTCCAGTGTGAGAGCATACTGCCCAAGGGCTTGAATACCAGGAAGCAAAGATGATTGGGGTCATTTTGGAGGCTGACTACTGTTCTCTGCGCTGTCCCTAAGTCATGTCCTCCCACATGCACAGTACACTCCTCCCCTCCCAAAGCCCCCAAAAGTTACATCCCATTAGCACATCGGTCCAAAATCTTATCCTCCAAAAGCAGCATGGATTTATACTCCTCAAGTGGTATTTCTCGCACTGTCACCCAGGCTGGAGTGCAGTGGCAGTATCACGGCTCACTGTAGCCTCGACCTCCTGGGCTTAGGCAATTCTCCCCACTCAGTTTCTCAAGTAGGTGCATGCCACAGATGCCAGACTAATTTTTTTAAGAAGCAGAGTCTGCTATTTTGTCCAGGCTGGTCTCGAACTCCTGGACTCAAGAGATCCTCCCAGCGCAGCCTACCAAACTGCTGGGATTACAGGCATGAGCCACCACACCCATCCTAAGATTTCTTGAGTATAGCCCTTTGAGTACAATTTTTTGCCCCAACAAAGTCTAGTGGAGTAGGCATAGGAGAATTGGTAGACCCTCCCTTTTAAACAGGAAAAATGATGCCTATAGTCCCAGCTACATCAGAGGATAAGGCGGGAGGATCATTTGAGCCCAGGAGTTTGAGGCTGCAGTGAGGTATGATCACACCTGTGAATAGCCACTGCACTCCAGCCTGGGTGACATAGCGAGAGACCCTGTCCAAAAAAAAAACCTAAAATACACATACCACAAGACCATTTTTCTCCTCTTGTTCAAAGCCATTTATAAAATCTCTTGCTTTTGGGCTGGGTGCAGTGGCTCACGCCTGTAATCCCAGCATTTTGGGAGGCTGAGGCAGGCAGATCATTCGAGGTCAGGAGTTCGAGACCAGCCTGGCCAGCATGGTGAAACCCCGTCTCTACTAAAAATACAAAAAAATTAGCTGGGCGTGATGGCACACACCTCTAATCCTGTCTAGCCAGCTACTGGGGGAGACTGAGGCAGGAGAATCGCTTGATCCTGGGAGATGGAGGTTGCAGTGAGCCAAGATCATGCCACTGCACTCCAGCCTGGGCAACAGAGTGAGACTCCATCTCAAAAAACTAAGTAAATAAAATAAAACCTCTTGCTTTTTTTTTCTTTTGGTAGGTATTGATAGGCATGTATGGCCTCCTTTATCAGGACTTCCTCCTCTTAGTAAAATGTCTCTCAACAAGGACCTGCATTTTAACACTTCCATTGCTAACTTGGTCATTCTTCGTGGGAAAGATGTGCAAAGTGCAGATGTGGGTAAGAAATTCAGGTGAAAATTAAGATTTACATTTTGTACCTGTACATGCTATATGGTACAAATGGTTTTTAAAAAGTCCCTGTGTTCTTGGAGAAAGGAAAGTAATAACTGTGTGTTTTAGTGGCAAAATTTGACCATGGCATCAGTTAGTATGTGACTAGACACCAATATAGAAGTGGTTTAAACAAGATAAAAGTATAATTCCTTTAGCCGGGTGTGGTAGCACACGCATGTAGTCCCAGTTACTTGGGAGGCTGAGGCAGAAGGATAGCTTGAGCCTAGGAGGTCAAGGCTGCAGTGAGCCATCATTATGGCACTGCCCTCCAGCCTGGGCAGCAGAGCAAGACCCTGTCTCTATTAAAAAAAAAAAAAAAAAGAATTGTTTTCTGAACATCTGGCTGCCCTGTCACCCTTACTTTACCATCTGGCTGCCTCCTTATAGAAATGAGCAGAGAAGGACCTGCCTCCTTTCCTTTTTTTTTTTTTTTTTTTTTTTTGAGACGGGGTCTCACTCTGTTGCCCAAGCTGGAGTGCAGTGGTGTGATCTTGGCTCAGTGCAACCTCCGCCTCCCAGGTTCAAGCAGTTCTGCTGCCTCAGCCTCCTGAGTAGCTGAGATTACAAGCAGATGCCAGCATGCTTGGCTAATTTTTGTATTTTTAGTAGAGACGGGGTTTCTCCATGTTGGCCAGGCTGGTCTCAAACTCCTAACCTCAGGTGATCTGCCCACCTCAGCCTCCCAAAGTGTTGGGATTACAGGCGTGAGCCACTGCGCCCAGCTAGGCTTGCCTCCTTTTCTCAAAGTCACATATCACACTTGAATTTCTGTCCCATTGACTGGTACTGAGTTCTGTGACACACCTCACTGCAAGTTCAGTTAAAGTTTAGGGGAATTGATACTAAGGAAGAAGGGGTGAACGGGAATTGCTAAGGAGCAGGAATTGCTGGACAACCAGTGGTATCTGTGAAAAGCATTTTGTTACAAATTTTTCAGGAAGTTGAAAGAGCATTATTATTCTTGTGTGTGTGTGAGACAGAGTCTCACTCTGTCACCCAGGCTGGAGTGCAGTGGTGTAATCTCAGCTCACTGCAACCTCTGCCTCCCAGGTTCAAGTGATTCTCCTGCCTCAGCCTCCCAAGTAGCTGGGATTATAGGCATGCGCCACCATGCCCGGTTGATTTTTTTATTTTTAGTAGAGATGGGATTTGACCATATTGACCAGGCTGGTCTCAAACTGCAGACCAGGCTGGTCTCAAACTGCAGACCTCAAGTGATCCACCTGCCTCGGCCTCCCATAGTGCTGGGATTACAGGTGTGAGCCACTGCGCCCAGCTGAAAGGGCATTATTCTTACTAGCTTTGTTTTTCTATGGCAAGTTTCCAGGTTCATTTTATCATGACTTCAGCAAGTATCATGTTTGCTACTTCTTGTTGTGATGCAAAGAAAACCAAGGCCCAGCACAGTGGCACGTATATGTAATCCCAGCACTTTGGCAGGCTAAGTCAGGAGGATCGCTTGAGGCTAGGAGTTCGAAACCAGCCTGGGCAACATAACGAGACCCCATCTCCACAAAGAATTTTAAACTTTAGCCAAGTATAGTGGTGCACACCTGTAGTCCCAGCTACTAGGGAGACTGAAGCAGGAGGATCACTTGAACCCAGGAGTTTGAGGCTGCAGTGACCAATGATGGTGGTGCTACTGTACTCCAGCCTGGGCGACAAGAGTGAGATCCATTATCAAAAAGAAAAAAGAAAACCGAACAATCTAGTCCCTGTAATGCCCCTTAGAGAAAGAACAAATAATAATTTAAAATAGGACCAGTCACAGTGGCTCTCACCTGTAATCCCAGCACTTTGGCAGAGGTGGGACGATTGCTTGGGCCCAGAAATTTGAGACCAGCTCGGGCAACATAGTGAGACCCCATCTCTACAAAAAATAAAAATATTAGGCATGGTGGCGTGTGCCTGTAGTCCCAGCTACTTGGGAGGCTGAGGTGGGAGGATCACTTAAGGGCAGGAGGTGAAGGCTGCAGTGAGCTGTGATAGTGCCTCTGCACACCAGCCTGGTGACAGACCAAGATCCTGTCTCAAAACAAAACAAAACAAAACTGGCAGTATATTATTTTCGAATAAATGATCCATATTCATTGTACAGAAAAGAAAGGGACCAGTGCAGTGGCTCATGCCTATAATCCTAGCACTTTGGGAGGCTGAGGCAGGTGGATCACTTGAGGCCAGGAGTTCGAGACCAGCCTGGCCAACATGGTGAAACCCCATCTCTACAAAAAATACAACAATTAGGCAGGCATGGTGGCGGGCATCTGTAATCCCAGCTACTCAGGAGGCTAAGGTGGGAGGATTGCTTGAGCCCAGGAAGTAGAGGTTGCAGTGAGCCAACATCATGCCACTGCACCCCAGCCTGGGCAACAGGCTGTCTCAAAAAAAAAAAAAATTAGTAATAATTCACACCTTTCAGAAAAGTGTTAAGAAGAATGCACACCACCATGTACAGCTAATATTTTTTATTTTTAGTAGAGATGGGGTTTTACTGTGTTGCCCAGGCTGGTCTCGAACTCCTGGGCTCGAGCAATCTACCCTCCTCCACCTCCTAAATTTCTGGAAGTCTCTGCACCAGCCATCACAAGTTTTAAAAGGCAAAATAAAAGATCTCTGATGAAATAGACAAGAAAATATCTGTTTGTTTGTTTTCACAATTACTAATTTATGCTATAAAAAGACGGCTTATCTTGTTTTTACTCTAGAGGGATTTAAAGATCCAGCTCTGTATACTTCCTGGTTGAAGCCTGTTAATGCTTTCAACGTGTGGAAAACCCAGCGGGCCTTTAGCAAATATGAGAAGTCTGCAGTGTTGGTCAGCAACAGCCAGTTCTTAGTAAAACCACTTGATATGATTGTTGGGAAGGCATGGAATATGTTTGCTTCAAAGTAAGTATAAAATAAGTCTACAAACCTTTCTTTTTTTTTTTTTTTTTGAGACAGAGTCTCACTCTGTTGCCCAGGCTGGAGTGCAGTGGCACGATCTTGGCTCACTGGCTCACTGCAACCTCCGCCTCCCGGGTTTAAGTGATTCTCCTGCTGCAGCCTCCCAAGTAGCTGGGATTACAGGCGCCTACCACCACACCCAGCTAATTTTTGTATTTTTAGTAGAGGCAGGGTTTCACCATGTTGCTCAGGCTGGTCTCGAACTTCTGACCTCGGGATCTGCCCACCTCAGCCTCCCAAAGTGCTGGCATTACAGGCGTAAGCCACCATGCACTGCAGCCTTTCTAACTTATAAGCAGATACTGTAGCGTTAAAGCATGAGGTCCGATCTGCAGGAAGCATAGTTACTACTTTGTAGGTGTGAAGGTATGAAGCCTTGGGCACGTGACTTCAGGCTTCATTGCCTCATCTGTATAAGTGGGTCCTAACTGAGGACATTTCTCACGAGGATTAGATAAGATAATCTTGTAAAACAGCTAGTACAGTGCCTGGCTAGTAAATGCTCAGTAATTGTTTGACATTATTAAAGTAGAATTTTATTATGAAGCAGGGACAATAAGATAGTTTTCAAAAATAACATCAGCCGGGCATGGTGGCTCACACCTGTAATCCCAGCACTTTGGGAGGCTGAGGCGAGCAGATCAGCTGAGGTCAGGATTTCAAGACCATCCTGGCTAACACGGTGAAACCCCGTCTCTACTAAAAATACAAAAAATTAGCCGGGCGTGGTAGCGGGCGCCTGTAGTCCCAGCTACTCGGGAGGCTGAGGCAGGAGAATGGCGTGAACCCGGGAGGCGGAGCTTGCAGTGAGCCGAGATCGCGCCACTGCACTCCAGCCTGGGCGACAGAGCGAGACTCCGTCTCAAAAAAAAAAAAAAAAAAAAAAAAAAAATACAAAAATTAGCTTGGCATAGTGGTGGGTGCCTGTAATCCCAGCTACTTGGGAGGCTGAGGCAGGAGAATCACTTGAACCCAGGAGGTGGAGGTTGCAGAGAGCCGAGACTATGCCATTGCACTCCAGCCTGGGCAACAAGAGCGAGACTCCATCTCAAAAAAAAATTAAATTAAATTAAAAAACATAAGATTCTTGGGAGAGTGGAAGATCCTTATGTTCCTCAATAAGATTATGATTAAATTCAACTTGGTTTGATACTAAGAAATGTCTACTTCATACTAACATGTTTTAGCAGATTTCTTGATCTCTACCACAGTTACTTAAGTCAAAGCAAAATTCTTCAAATGAGTGGACAAGGCTTCTAACTATCTTTTTCTTTTTTTTTTTTGAGATGGAGTTTCGCAGTTGTTGCCCAGACTGGAGTGCAATGGCATGATCTCTGCTCACTGCAACCTCTGCCTCCTGGGTTCAAGCAGTTCTCCTGCCTCAGCCTCCCAAGTAGCTGGGATTACAGGCATGCACCACTACACCGAGCTAATTTTGTATTTTTAGTAGAGACAGGGTTTCTCCATGTTGGTCAGGCTGGTCTCGAACTCCTGACCTCAGGTGATCCGCCCACCTTGGCCTCCCAAGGTGCTGGGATTACCAGTGTGAGCCACTGTGCCCAGCCACCTATAACTTTCATTAGCTCGGATACCCCAGGGCCCAGCCATCCTGCATGTGACCATTCCATAAAACCCCACTCAGGCTGGGTGCAGTGGCTCACACCTGTAATTCCAGCACTTTGGGAGGCCAAGGTGGGCGAATCACAAGATCAGGAGTTTGAGACCAGCCTGGCCAACATGGTGAAACCCCGTCTCTACTAAAAACACAAAAAACAGCTGGGCGTGGTGGCGGGCACCTGTAATCCCAGCTACTTGGGAGGCTGAGGCAGGAGACTCACTTGAACCTGGGAGGTGGAGGTTGTGGTGAGCCAAGATGATGCCACTGCACTCCAGCCCAGGCAACAGTGCAAAACTCTGTCTCAAAAACAAACAAACAAACAAACAAAAAAACCCACTCCACAGGGCCATGAAGTCTGTCCTCTTCTGGTGTCATTCCCTTCCTACTCTCGTTAAATGGTAGCAGCCATTATTATGTCAATTTAATTCATGTCTGCCCTTGATATTCTTTTTGCACATGATTTTTGTGCCTCAGAACATTTGCAGGGAGCAGCCAGGCATGGTGGCTCACGCTTGTAACCCCAGCACTTTGGAAGGCCAAGGCAGGTGGATCACTTGAGGCCAGGAATTCAAGACCAGCCTGGCCAACATGGTGAAACCCCACCTCTACTAAAAATGCAAAAATTAGCCAGGTGTGGTGGTACGCACCTGTAATTCCCGCTACTTGGGAGGCTGAGGCACAAGAATTGCTTCACCCCAGGAGGCAGAGGTCACAGTGAGCCGAGATCACACCACTGCACTCCATCCTGGGTGACAGAGACAGAGCAAAACCCTGTCTCAAAAAAAAAAAAAAATTTTGTGGGGTGGGAGGGATTGAGAGGACCACCCTGGCATAACTACAAATTAAATGTCCTGGGAGCACCTGGGAGGCTTCACTCCATTCCTAGAACTGGACTGATGTGTTTTCTAGTTTCAAGGCTTATATGAAACTTTTCAGGCACTTTTCAGAGTTTATACTGAATATAGGGTGTTATATATGTATATATATATATACTGAGTAGATAGCCAAATCTGAACATGCTGCTCTTTCCCGGGTGCCTCTCCTTTGCCAGTTTTTTGGACACTGAAAAAACAGGGAGCTTGACATAAATTTTGAAAGTTCAGGCTGGGCGTGGTGGCTCACACCTGTAATCCCAGCACTTTGGGAGGCCGAGGCGGGTGGATCACCTAAGGTTGGGAGTTCCAGAGCAGCCTGGCCATTATGGTGAAACCCCGTCTCTACTAAAAATACAAAAATTAGCTGGGTGTGGTGGCACGTTCCTGTAATCCCAGCTACTCGGGAGGCTGAGGTAGTCGAATCGCTTGAACCTGGGAGGTGGAGGTTGCAGTGAGCCGAGATCATGCCACTGCACTCCAGCCTAGGTGACAGAGCAAGACTCTGTCTCAAAAAAAAAAAAGAAAGTTCACTAATCTTTGGAGTAAACAAAGCAAATGTAAGACTTCTGAACGATTGTGTGATCTTCAAATGTTCATCAGCTAGAAAAGGTCTGTTTATTGTTTAAGAGTTACTCATTTGCCAGACATTTTTTATTTTGTAATTTCTGTTTTTTTTTTTTTTCTACCAGAGCCTACATTCATCAGTACACAAAATTTGGAATCGAAGAAGAGGACTTTTTAGACAGTTTCACGTCATTAGAGCAGGTTGTTGCCAGTTACTGTAATCTCTGATCTTGAACAATGGGAAAAGTATACCTTAAGGCATTTCTGGACTAAAATATTTTCAATACTATTTTCTCTGTAAAGTTTTCAAAGTTCTCCATCCTGGCTAACACGGTGAAACACCGTCTCTACCAGAAAATACAAAAAATTAGCCAGGCGCGGTGGCGGGTGCCTGTAGTCCCAGCTACTCGGGAGGCTGAGGCAGGAGAATGACGTGAACCCAGGAGGCGGAGCTTGCAGTGAGCCGAGATCGCGCCACTGCACTCCAGCCTGGGCGACAGAGCGAGACTCCGTCTCAAAAAAAAAAAAAAAAAAAAATGTTTTCAAAGTTCCATTCTGTTAAAGTAACCACGTAGAATGCTGAGTCTATTCTGCATACTATGCCCACAGAAAAGGAAGAAAACTTTTTAAAATGGAGAATCGCATGTTTTCAATGAAAACATTCACTTGGTATTTCATTTGTAAGAAAAAAAAATGGTGCTTTTATAAAGAACTTTGGGGAAACACTTTGCTGAAATGTTGGGACTCTGGAACTAGCCAAGAAAAGAGAATATTCTCTTTGTCTACATGTTCCTAAATCTTTACTCCAAAACAACTCCAAAAACAACTCACAAAGCATGAACCAAACTTTCACAGCATAATTTCAAGCTAAGGAATTGTAATTCTGTACTTAATATATTCATGTTTGAAATGAATGCTTTGAACCACAGGAGGGAGATGTTGTCAAATGCTACAGTGTGAACATGTATTTTGAATATTCTGTAACAGGGCAAGTTTCCACTCTAAGCAGCTATTTAAAAATAAATATGAGGATTTTGGTAATAAATGCTTATGCTTAAGTACAAAAGTAAATAGGTAAATGTGTACTTAGTGTGCTTTTCTTAAACTTTTTGGGCATGAGAAAATTGGCTCAAATTTTGTTTTGGATCTTGGAATGCCAGAGCAGATATTGATTTTATTCAATTATTGCTTTAAAATTACTTATAATGGGCTGGGCATGGTGGCTCACACCTGTAATCCCAACACTTTGGGAGGGCAAAGTGGGAGGATCACTTGAGGCCAGGAGTTTGAGACCAGCCTGAGAAATACAGTAAGACCCCCATCTCTCCAAAAAAAAAAAAAAATTTTAATTAGCTGGGTGTGGTGGCATACACTTGTGGTCTGAGCTACTTTGGAGGTTTGGGTGGGAGGATCACTTGAGCCTGGGAGGTCGAGGCTGCAGTGAACTGGTATCGTGCCTCTGCATTCCAGCCCGGGTGACAGAGTAAGACTGTCTCCAAAAAAAAAAAAAAAGAATGAAATTACTTATAGGTATTCAGCTGGTACAGATGATGGTTATATGCTTTTCAGTAAAAGGGGTAAGAATTTTCACCTAAATTTTTCACTAAGTTGAGAAAATTATCACCAAGGAAATATAGTTACTTGATGAAATTGACGCACAAGATACGGGTTTCACCCAAGACAAAACGTGCTTGGAAATTGACAACTGAGTTTGAAGGGAATGTTGTATTTCCATAAAACACATCACATGCAATATATTAACAAATGTAAAATGATTAACAAATAGGAACATTTGCCCTTTCTGCCAAATCTACCAATAGTGACTTTTATATGGAAAAATGACAGTTCACAGCTTCACTGGTTCTTCTTTTTCTTTCCATATGGAAATGATTACCTTTTTGCTGTTTTTCTTATCAACTGTTGCTATGATTTAAAATACTGAACCATATCTTATTTGTAAGGAATGTAAAAAGTGGTCGGTTCTGCTGCTAAAAGGCACACCCCGCTGCTGCATTTCGTTAAGCCAAGTACACTTGAAAAATAATTAGATCATAATTTTTACCAAACAAGTTAAAGTAATTGTTTAAGCATTGAAGAGATCCACAGACTGAAACAATTTCCCAGACTAAACCAGCATTCATGAAGATCTGTAACTGAGTATCTCACCAGGGGTTAATCTGATTCTGAGGAACCTTACTAGAAGTTAACTTGAAAGAAAGTCGTAAGTTGAAATCATTTGATATTTGAGAAAATTCATGAGGTACCAATAGGGGCAAGTATATTTCTAATTTGGCAACTCGTGGAATCATTAGCAGGTGAACATTAGAAGCAAATCCCAACTAGACAGAGCTCTGGGTCCATTTACTTATGCTATTTGACCCTTTTTTATGATCCACAACTGCATTATTTGATATGTATGGTTACCTATTACATATATATGTGTGTGTGTGTGTGTGTATGTATTTTTTTTTTTTTTGAGACAGCGTCTCGCTCTGTCACCCAGGCTAGAGTGCAGTAGCATGATCTCAGCTCACTGCAGCCTCAACCTCCCAGGCTCAAGCAATCCTCCCACCTTAGACTCACTAATAACTGGGACTATAGGTGTGCACCACCATGCCCAGCTAATTTTTGTATTTTTGGTAGAGACGAAGTTTCCTCATGTTGCCTGGGCTGGTTTCAAACTCCTGGGCTCAGGCTATCTACCTGCCTCGGCCTCCCAAAGTGCTGAGATTACAGGCGTGAGCCACCATACCTGGCCAATGCCTAAATATTTTAAAGCTTGGGTTAAAACATTCACATGGAAAATAATTTTTTCTTGTCTACTTGGAATAACAAAATTTTTGCTCTTAAAGTTGTGATTTTAAGTTAAAAATTAACACCAAGATGCTGATGTCAAAACTTCAGATGGAGTGGCATTGGAAATGTGCTTTGATTTGTGTGGAGATAATGGCCAGTCAGCCAGGAGGACAACATTGGCTCCCTTAGCTCCTGGGCATACAGATCCAGAAAACTTTGAAAGTGTAATTTCTTAGATTATGGGATAACTGGCACATTACGTTGTCAAACATTATCCTGCAGAGCCAGAATGCACCCCTGTGGACAATGAGCACAGTGTGAATGCATACTGTTTCTTATTGTCAAGCTCTTTCTCTCTTACCTCCCCAATCTTTCCTCAAGAGCTTAAGCTGTAGAACCTGTTTTTTCCCATGCATTCGCCACTTCCAGCCCTGGGATCTCCCCGAAAACTCCCCTCCCCTATCCACCCTTACTATTCAATCTACAACATCTTTCAACATCTTTCTCCTATATTTTACCCATCACTTAGAACTCACTAAGTATGCCAACAATTCACTATTATCAGCCAATTCATCCATTCAACCAGTATCATCTATTCAGTGCCAGGCACTGAGGAAGATGTTAAGGATACAGGGATCAATGCTACCTTGTCTGAAGAAGCTTTTTGGGATGTTTAGTGCTACAATTCTAGCTTCCTAATTATTGCTTGTTATCTTGCCTGTGTGCATATTCACCTTTTTTCCAGGAAAGAATGTGGTCCAAGAAAGAAAGAAAGAACAATGAACTCAGAGCTCTGGTCTGGGCTAGGCTTAAGTGTTGAAATGTCTCTTCACTGGCTCTGTAGGCTCTATAAACTCTACTTTGCAGTATACATACTAGTGATTCTCCTGACCACCATGTGTATCACACTTGAATTCCTGTCCAAAATTTTCTTTTAAAACATACTGCATATGTCCCTAACCCACTATCTTCTCTCATGAGCCCAAAGTTTAGCAGATACCCCTTTCTTGTTCTGCCACCTACCCACCAAATATGGCTTTAACCACTAGCTTGTCATTTTGGGCCAACAATCATTTATTTTATTTTATTTTATTTTTGAGATGATAGGGTCTCACTCTCTTGCCCAAGCTGGAGTGCAGTGGTGTAATCATGGCTCACTGCAGCCTCAACCTCCCAAGCTCAAGTGATCCTCCTGCCTCAACCTCCTGAGTAGCTGGGGCTGCAGTGGTACACCACTACACTCGGCTAATTTTTTTTATTTTTAGTAGAGACAAGGTCTGACTATGTTGCCCAGGCTGGTCTCAGACTCTGAGGCTCAAGTAATCCTCCTACCTCAGCCTCCCAATGGCCCTCCCTCCTTGGATTACAGGTGTGAGCCACTGCACCTGGCCAACCAACAGTCATTTATGTTAAGAGATATTTCCTCAACTGTATCAATCATATTGTTTCCTATGGGTTTGAGGAATGTGAGCTAAAAAAACTGGCTTTAGCCAGGCACGGTGGCTTACGACTGTAATCCCAGCACTTTGGAAGGCTGAGGCGGGTGGATCACCTGAGGTTAGGAGTTCAAGACCAGCCTGACCAACATGGTGAAACCCCGTCTCTATTAAAAATACAAAAAATTAGCTGGGTGTGGTGATGCACGTCTGTAATCCCAGCTACTTGGGAGGCTGAGGCAGGAGAATCGCTTGAATCCGGGAGGCCAAGGTTGCAGTGAGCTGAGATCATGCCACTACATTCTAGCCTGGGCGACAGAGCAAGACTCCATGTCAAGAAAAAAAAAAAAAAAGCAAAAAACTGGCTTTATATTTTTAAATAACTTCCTACTCCTACACCCTGAAATGTCTCAGATGATGCAATGTCAATCTTATTAATAGATGGAAAACCATTTCCGCAAGCAGGAATGCTTGCACAAGGAGTTAAGATAAACAACGTAAATATTTCAAGTTTCTGGGAAACAATGTCAGGTCAGTGTATGGCATTCCAGCTGTGGAAAAGGGGAAAAGATACAAAGTCCTAATCATTTGACTCTAGGGAGCCAGTGAAACAGGAAGAGATGAAAAGAAAGGTCAGGGGAATTGATCATGCCCCCAAAGAACTGCTAAAAAAGAAACTTGATGGGTTTTGAATTATAAACTTTACCTAATATAAGCCAAAAATAAAATTCTAAGCCTTCGAACATCTGAATGGATCCCTCCTATCGGCAAGGGCATTCCAAAGCTAACCTGAGAAACTGTTTCAGGCCATGATGGAAAGGGGGTAGGGTCGGACAGATTTATACCCTGTTCCCTTTTGGAATTCCTGATAGAACAGACTCTTTTTTTTGTTTGTTTTTTGAGACTGAGTCTCGCTGTGTCTCCCAGGCTGGAGTGCAGTGGCGCGATCTCAGCTCACTGCAAGCTCCACCTCCTGGGTTCATGCCATTCTCCTGCCTCAGCCTCCGGAATAGCTGGGACTACAGGCGCACGCCACCACGCCCGGCAAATTTTTTTTTTTGTATTTTTAGTAGAGATGGGGTTTCACCATGTTAGCCAGGATGGTCTCGATCTCCTGACCTCGTGATCCGCCCGCCTCAGCCTCCCAAAGAGCTGGGATTACAGGCGTCAGCCACCGCACCCAGCCAGAACAGACTCTTTTACGTCTGGTAACAAACATTTACACTCATTGTTCTCTCCCTCCAAAGCCTGTTACCTGGAGGCTTCACCTGCATAAAACCTTGGTCTCCACAACCCCTTATCTCAACCCAGATGTTCCAAAGTTTTTAGACGATAACGTAACTCTTTCAGCCAATTAAAAAAAAATTTTTTTCTTTTGACACAGAGTCTTGCTCTGTCACCTAGGCTGGTACGCAGTGGTGCAATCTTGGGTCATGGCAACCTCTGCCTCTCAGGTTCAAGCGATTCTCCTGCCTCAGCCTCCCAAGTAGCTGGGGTTACAGGCCTATGCCAAAACACCCGGCTAATTTTTGTACTTTTTTTTTTTAGTAGAGATGGGGTTTAGTAGAGACGGGGCCTCCTAAAGCACTGGGATTATAGGCGTGAGCCACCGTGCCTGGCCTTGATTATTATTATTTTTGAGACAGAGTCTCACTTTGTCGCCCAGGCTGGAGTGCAGTGGTGCAATCATGGCCCACTGCAGCCTTGACCTCCTCTGGCTCCAGCCATCCTCCCACCTCTATCTCCTGAGTAGCTGGGACCACAGCTGTGTGCCACAACGCCCTGCTAATGTTTGTATTTTTTGCACAGACAGGGTTTTCTTCATTTTTACCAGGCTGGTTTCAAACTCCTGAGCTCAAGCAATCCACCGGCCTCAGCCTCCCAAAGTGCTGGGATAACAGACATGAGCCACTGTGCCTGACATCACTTTTTCTTTCCTTTTTTTTTTTTTTTTTTGAGACAGAGTCTCAGTCTGTCACCCAGACTAGAATGCAGTGGCACAATCTTGGCTCACTGCAACCTCCACCTCCTGAGCTCAAGCAATCCTCCCACCTCAGCCTCCTGAGTAGCTGGGAAAGCAGGCGCCACCATGCTTGGCTAATTTTTAAATATTTTGTAGAGACGAGGTTTCATTATATTGTCCGGGCTGGTCTCAAATTCCTGGGCTCAAGTGATCTTCCCACCTCAGCCTCCTAAACTGCTGGGATGACAGGCGTGAGCCACTGTGTCCAGCCCTTTTTTATACTTTTTGAAACATAGCAAGTAAATTGTTTATTGTTATTGTCATTTTTGAGACAGTTTTGCTCTTGTTGTCCAGACTGGAGTGCAATGGTGCAGTCTAGGCTCACTGCAACCTCTGCCTCCTAGGTTCAAAAGATTCTCCCGCCTCAGCCTCCTAAGTAGCTGGGATTACAGGCATGCGCCACCACGCCCAGCTAATTTTGTATTTTTAGTAGAGACGGGGTTTCTCCATGTTGGTCAGGCTGGTCTCAAACTCCCAACCTCAGGTAATCCACCTGCCTCGGCCTCCCAAAGCGCTGGGATTACAGGCATGAGCCACCGTGCCTGGCAGTACATTGTTTTAAAATGAGGTATATGGGTTGCAGTGTTATTTCTATGAGACAGGCTGTTCTAAACATTCCAGGAGCAAACTGCTGGGAATTGTAGAAACTGGAGTTGAACAGAATTTGTCCTTACTAGGTGAGAGGTCATGGGAACATGATGGTAAGAAACATGACAAAAGGCAAAAGATGGGAGTTTCCTTTTTGATGAAAAAAAGGCCTTTGCTTAAGCTCGACTCATGCGATGAGTATGAAAGAGGCAGGATGTGAGCTTAATTCAACAAACATCGACTGAACACCTGCAAGGAAGGACACTGTGCTAGGGCGGGGTAATAATGAGTTAGACCTGGCCTCCGGCCACTAGGAGGCCACCGCTTGGCATATTGTTTGCTGCAGAGCATACGCCTGACTCATGGTAAAGACTCCATGTTTACTGAACAGATTCATATCAATGTCTAAAACTCTGGAAGACAGGTAAAGCTGCAACACTACAGTCACACAGTGAATGAAGCCCGTTAAAGCCCCCATTATGAGACAATTTGAAGAGTGGAGGAATGTCTGGTAAATCAGAAGATGGTAATAAGTAGTAGTAAGAAACATCTTTGGGCTAGTCACGGTGGCTCATGCCTGTAATCCCAGCACTTTGAGAGGTTGAGGTGGGCAGATCACTTGAGGCAAGGAGTTTGAAACCAGCCTGGCCAACATGGTGAAACCCGTCTCTATGAAAAATACAAAAATTAGCTGGGCATGGTGGCGCATGCGCCTGTAGTCCCAGCACTTCGGGAGTCTGAGGTTGGCAGATAACTTGAGGTCAGGAGTTTGAGACCAGCCTGGCCAATATAGCGAAACGCTGTCTCTACTAAAAATACAAAAATTAGCCAAGTGTAATGCATCTGTAATCCCAGCTACTCTGGAGGTGGAGGCATGAGAATTGCTTGAGCCTGGGGTAGGCAGAGGTTGCAGTGAGCCAAGATCGTGCCAGTGAACTCCAGCCTGGGCAACAGAGTGAGACTCTGTCTTAAAAAAAAAATTATTCTGTAAATTGTCACATAGATGGGGTGTAGGAACTCCTGGACACTCCAAGGTCATCCAGGTGGCACAGGAAGAAGGGAGAAATTAAAGATTAACTTTGGGGTCTTAATTGTCTCAACATGTTCTTCTAATGAACACTGCCTACTTCAGGGAAGACTAATAAATATACCACAAAAAATAAATGAAACAGTCTAAAAAGAAGTATATAAAGTAGGAAAACTTTTGTGTATGAAAGAAGTTTTTACTTCTTACAGAGACCAGGGAGTCTTTTATGCTCAGATGAATTCTTTATAATTGAAGAAGAAAATGCAGAACATCTGAAAACTTCTTTGATCTCATACATTTTTCTAAAAGCAGTGCCCTCCCTTTTCCTTCTGAGATTGTGCAAAGTACTTTCATATACACTTTCTACCAGGAAGACATCTCATTATGTCTGATTCCATCAGAAAGCCGGGAACAGTGACACCCCAGTCCTCCCAGGCTTTGAGAACTACGCATCCACGTGGGAGTGGAACATACAAGCAGATCTTTCCCTCTGAACTCTGGTACTTCTGGAGAGTGGTGTCATTGTGGTTATATGTTGTTTATTCCGAGCTCCTAGCCAGCCAACTTCAATAAGCAATAACTCATTTACTGAAACATGTAAACAGGCTCAGCACCAAAGCAGCCACATGGAAAGCCGCCTCGACCACATGCTCCAGAAGGTGTAACAAAGTCGTGATTCTGCCTTTTGGCTTGGCAAAGGCAGTTGGGAAGATGCCCTCACACTGACTTGGGAGCACTCCTGACCTCTGGGTTCTAGGATGCAGCCGCTGCTGTCTAGGCTAGCACTGCTGGAATCTTGGACTCCGGTAGAAACATACAGGAAATCACATTGCCAAACTTTTCTCCTTATAAAGACAGATGATCTCTCCAGGAACTACCATCCTCTCAGTTCTCAAAGGGAGGGGCCGTTGGTTAAGCCAGCGGGATACTGGGGAGAGGAATTTTAAAAGTTTACTGTGGCCTTAAGGTCCAGTCACAGTGCCATCTCTTTAACAGCACCACCACATAACACGGCTTAAGGACCTGTTACCCTGGAGAATTCTCTGAAGAAGTCCAGCTTATTCACTGACAGAAGTTACAGTGTGGTGTAAAGAACGGCATATTCACTAGGAGTTTAGGAGTTAGGAAGCCTAAGATAGAGAATATTACAGGCCCCACCATCCTATTGGTCATTATCGCCCCTCCACATATTCAAAACAGAATAGTCTGTCTTCCTCAGACTTGCCTCCTTTATATTCCTGGCTTGGGGATGGGCATTGCTGTCTTTTCAGGGGTTCTTTGGGTCCTTCCTCGCCATTTTCTTTCTTTTTTTTTTTTTTTTAGATGGCGTCTCTCTCTGTTGCCCAGGCTGGAGTGCAGTGGCGCAATCTCGGCTCACTGCAACCTCTGCCTCCCGGGGTTCAAATGATCCTCCCATCTCAACCCCCCAAGTAGCTGGACCTACAGTAGAGTTTCAACCTGCCCAGCTATTTTTTTATTTTTATTTTTTTTGAGACAGAGTTTCGCTCTTGTTGCCCAGGCTACGGTGCAATGGCACGATCTCGGCTCACCACAACCTCTGCCTCCCAGGTTCAAGCAATTCTCCTGCCTCAGCCTCCCAAGTAGCTGGGATTACAGGCATGTGCCACCATGCCTGGCTAATTTTGTATTTTTAGTGGAGATGGGGTTTCTCCATGTTGGTCAGGCTGGTCTCGAACTCCTGACTTCAGGTGATCTGCACGTCTTGGTCTCCCAATGTGCTGGGATTACAAGCGTGAGCCACTGCACCCGGCCCAATTTTTCGTATTTTTAGTAGAGTCGGGGTTTCACCATGTTGGTCAGGCTGGTCTTGAACTCCTGAGTTCAGGTGATCCACCAGCCTCTGCCTCCCAAAATGCTAGGATTACAGGCATGAGCTACCACCCCGGTCACCCATTGTTTTTCTAATGCTTTTTTTTTCTCTCTCTCTCTCTCTCTTTCTCATTTTTTTCTTTTTCTTTTCTTTCTTTTTTTTTTGGGGGGGGGAGATAGTCTCCCTCTGTCACCCAGGCTATAGTGCAGTGGCTCTATCTCGGCTCACTGCAACCTCTGCCTGCCAGGTTCAAGCAATTCGCCTGCCTCAGCCTCGAGTAGCTGGGACTACAGGCACCCGCCACAACCCCTGGCTAATTTTTGTATTTTTAGTAGAGACGGGTTTTCACCATGTTGGCCAGGCTGGTCTCAAACTCCTGACCTCAGGTGATCCGCCCGTCTCTGCCTGCCAGTGTTGGGATTACAGGCGTGAGCCACCACGCCCGGCCGGTATGCAGTTGTTTTTTTTTTTTTTGAGACGGAGTCTCGCTCTTTCGCCCAGGCCGGACTGCAGTGGCACTATCTCAGCTCACTGCAACCTGTGCCTCCTGGGTTCATGCCATTCTCCGGCCTCATCCTCCTGAGTAGCTGGGACTACAGGCATCCGCCACTGCACCCAGCTAAGTTTTTGCATTTTTAGTAGAGACAGGGTTTCACCGTATTAGCCAGGATGGTCCCAATCTCCTGACCTTGTGATCTGCCTGCTTGGCCTCCCAAAGTGCTGGGATTACAGGCATGAGCCACCGCGCCCAGCCCCAGTATGCAGTTTTTTTAAAAAAAAAAATCTTAGTAGCTATCTTTTTAAGGAATAGAATGGGGGGCAGGTTTGCCCTAAGCAGTTCCCAGCTTGACTTTTCTTTGGCTTAGTGATTTTGGGGTCCCAAGATTTATTTTCCTTTCACCGGGCTTATGTTCTAGTGTCGCAAGCACTAGCAAGAAAATAGACAAACTAGTTGTGAATTTGGTCGGTACTTTAAGGAAACTAAACAGCGAGCTAAGGCAGAGCTACAGAGGACTCGAGTGGAAAACCTGATGCTGTCTTTCTCCCCACCCTACACATAGCCCCTTATTTGTTCTTTCCTGGTGTCTGAGTTTTTTTCTGGTTAGAATACCTTTCGTTTCACTCCCTCTACCTTGTCAATTCAAATACTACTCCCCTCAGGAAACTTTTGTTTTGTTTTTTTGAGACAGGGTCTCACTTTGTCACCTGGTCAACCAGGCTGGAGTGCAGTGGTGCAACCTTGGCTCACTGCAACCTCTGCCTCCCGGGTTCAAGCAATCCTCATGCCTCAGCCTCCCAAGTAGCTGGGATTACAGACATGCATCACTACGCCCAGCGAACTTTTGTATTTTTAGTAGAGACAGGGTTTTGCCATGTTGGGCCAGGCTGGTCTTGAACTCCTGGCGACAGGTGATCCTCCCACCTCATCCTCTTAAAGTGCTAGGATTATAGGCATAAGCCACGGTGCCCAGCCCTGTATTCACTTTTTAAATCCCCACTGGTGTAAGGTGCTGTGAAGAAGAGACAAAGTTGTCGATACAGATCTCCTCCCTCCAGGACCCTGCAGTCTTCTTAGGGATTTTATTCATATATGCAGATAACTATAATACAGAGTGAGGTGAGGGCCGTAAGAAAGGAAGTGTGAAGAGATCATTGCTGACAAGGAAAGATCAGAAAAGGGTTTCCTAGCCGAGTGCAGTGGCTCACACCTGTAATTCCAGCACTTTGGGAGGCCGAGGCAGGTGGATTGATTGAGCTCAGGAGTTTAAAACCAGCGTGGTCAACGTGGTGAAACCCTGTCTCTACTAAAAAAAAAAACTACAGAAATTAGCTGGGTGTGGTGGTGCAGCTCTGTAGTCCCAGCTACTGGTGGGGAGTGGGGCGGCTGTGGCGGGAGGATTGCTTGAGCCTGGGAGGTGGAGGTTGCAGTCAGCTGTGGCTGTGATTGCGCCACTGTACTTCAGCTTGGGCAACAGAGTGAAACCCTGTCTCAAAACAAAACCCAAACTCAAGACATTAAAATACTTTGAAAAATAAAAAAAGGCTGTAGAAATAGAAATTACTTTTACCCAAGTGTGGTGGTGAGTGCCTGTAGTCCCAGCTACTCGGGAGGCTGAGGCGGGAGGATGACTTGAGCCCAGGAGTTGGAGTTCGGCCTGGGTAACATGGGAGACCCCATCTCCTTAAAACAAACAAACAAAAAACCTTGCTTTTAAATCATAATTATAGCAAACACCACTCTGGGAATCTGCCCACATGGATGGCTAAGAATGGAGCTTGCTTTTCCAACCCTGTGATACAGGGAAGAGTAAAGTCTGCTTATCTATTTAAATAGCAAAATTTGAGGTTGTGGCCTTGATTTTCTGTTATCTTCCTTTCTCCATCAACTACCTGTGATCAGGGCCGGGCGCGGTGGCTCACACCTGTAATCTCAGCACTTTGGGAGGCCGAGGCGGGCGGATCACGAGGTCAGGCGATTGAGACCATCCTGGCTAACACGGTGAAACCCCGTCTCTACTAAAAATACAAAAAATTAGCTGGGCGAGGTGGCGGGCGCCTGTAGTCCCAGCTACTCGGGAGGCTGAGGCAGGAGAATGGCTTGAACCCGGGAGGCGGAGCCTGCAGTGAGCGGAGATCGCCCCACTGCACTCCAGCCTGGGCGACAGCGAGACTCCATCTCAAAACAAACAAATAAACAACAACAACAACAACAAAAAAAAAACAAAAAAAACTACCTGTGATCACAAGATGAAACAAGTATGCTGAAGCTTGGACTTTTGCACTGATTTCTACAGAACAGAGTAGTTCAGAGCCAGAACGCCTCTGCTGCCTGCTCTACTTCCTTGTTTCCCTTGACAAATTACTGAACCACCCTGCCTTAATTTCCTCATGGGGTTGTTAAGTACAACACATGTGAAACAGCCCTGAAAATAATGCCTGGTACAAAGCAAACAATCATTATCAAAAGTTGTAGTAATCCACTGTGCTTCCTGGTACAGGGCACGCCAGAGTTCCCGGGAGCTAATCTTGATTGCTGGTGCTCCGTGTGGTTGTTGTGTACAAAGAAATTACCATGGAGGGAACATGGAGATGGGAAAGGGCTGGTGCAATGGGCAGAATGAAGAGGTGTCTGAAGAACCAACAACCTGAGGCTAGGCAGGAACATCTGGCAGCTCTCAGAGAGGTTTAGCAGTCCTTACTCAAGTGCAACTGACTGTGAGGTGCACTAAAGAGTGAAAGGCAGAGAAAGGCCTCCCTGCCTTAGTCTTGGCCTTCATCTTCTTAACTAATGAAAAGAAGCTGGGTGCTTGCTTTGGCAGCACATACACCAAAATTGGAACAATATACAGAAGATTAGCATGGCCCCTGCACAAGAATGACACTCAAATTTGTGTTCTGTATTAAAAAAAAAAAAAAAAAAAAAAAAGGCTGGGCATGGTGGTTCATGCTTGTAATCCCAGCACTTTGGGAGGCCGAGGCGGGTGGATCACCTGAGGTTAGGAGTTCGAGACCAGCCTGGCCAACATGATGAAACCCCGTATCTACTGAAAAAAATACAAAAAATTAGCCGAGTGTGGTGGCATGCACCTGTAATCCCAGCTACTTGAGAGGCTGAGGCAGGAGAATCGCTTTGAACCTGGAAGGCGGAGGCTGCAGTGAGCCGAGATTGCGCCACTGCACTCCAGCCTCGGCAACAAGAGTGAAACTCCGTCTCAAAAGAAAAAAAAAAAAGTTGGGAAAAACATGGTTCTCCAGGGCCGTGGCAAGCCAGGCTTCTGCACTACTGCCAAGAGGAGTGAACTTGAGCTGCTTTTCGTTTCCTCCACACAACATGGTGAGGAGCCAAAGGAAGACAGTGATCTAAGTCATTCCCCACCTTCAGGCGGCACCATCCCTGTTTTCAAATCCCTAACTGCCTCACTCCCCTAAAGCATTTTTTCCCCGCTGGAAACAGACTGGAACACAATTAAGCAATGTTGATCACTGCTTCAGTCAAAAGTGGTCTGAAGGGAAAAGCTGATGTGTTTTGTCCCCCAAAAGGGATAGATGGCCTCAAAGGAAAATGTCGCATTTGGATTAGATTTGTGGTAGGGGAGGAGTGACCTGCCAAGGGCTCCTTGAATAAACAAAACTGTTCCTCAAAGGGCTTTGGGTGGAGGTCATCAAAGCAAGTTCACAGAAAGATCCTCCTCCCTGGTAACTCTCCAGAGATGGCTGACTCTTTGCTTACATAGGTAGCTCAGGGGTCCCACTTGAAGTCAGTTGCCCAGAATAAGCCAGAGCCTGCCCCCTCAAGAATTCAGGAATGTGGTTTCCAATGCAAATAAAGGCTAAATTGTAGAAACAGTGCTGGAGTGTGTTCAAGCCCTCCCTCTAGGTCCTCTGAGTCATTTGGAAATGGTTAACAAACAGGTTGGACACCTGGGTTGATTACTGCTGAAGGGGATTTCCACACAAACCCTATACTGTAAAATCATCCTCTTGCCTTCCCAAAGCAATTCAGTTCCACTTTCTAGATCGAATGTGCCTTAAAGATTCCAAATGTCCTAAATCAGATCCTAGGGTTCCTAAATTAGAGCAGCAACTGCTGCTGACACAAAGAAACAAGGAGCCAAGCAACTTTGTGCTTAAAAAAAAAAAAAAAAAAAGTTTATTTTAAATTAAGAGGAACAGATGTCCAATGTTTCAAAAAGCCACACATTTGTGGATTTGGCTGACAAACTCTCTAAGCTGCATTTTATTTCTGTTCCCATAGAGTCAGCTAGCCACTTGCAACTGACTCACTTCTCTCTGGGCCACAGTTTGGGCCAGTCTCCTGACTACAGAATTAGAATCCAGATATCAAATGAATCCAGGGTGCTTGGGTGGAGAGCAGGTGTTAAAAGCCATCTAAAACCACCCCTTCCCTGCTTTAATTTAGGAGTATCAACACCCACACAGCAAACTGCAAGGCTAGTGGGTCAAAGAGAATGAGCAAACAGTTGGCACCTGCCAATCCCAGCACCACGCAATTTTAAAGGCAATGAGTAAGCAGCTGTCTGGAACAGGTTTTTGTATAATCCTTCTTAAGAGTACTGGTTAAATATGCAAATACACACAGGTTATTTGCTGCAATTCAAGGCCTCGCCCCCAAGGCAAATGCATTACCTCAGGTGAACTCTTGGCCTTGTTGGGAAGGGATAGGATCCCTAGCTCCTGTCCACCAGACACTAATGACTCAGTTGCTTCTAAAGTTTAAAATACATGATGTGCTTTCTCTTCTTGTTGTCTTTGAGAATAAATAAATTTACCTTCAGACACAAGGGTTTTGTGTGTAGTATCTCATTTACGTTGTGTAAATACTGGAGAGGATTCAATAAATGTTAGAGATAAAATGTTACTTGGCTTTTCAAAAACTTTAAACTCCTGCTTAGTTTTAATTTTTTGTAGCACCTCAAAAAATTATTTATGAATAAAATGAAGCAGTTGTTTGTATTTTTTAATAGAAATGAGACTCTTAGGTCTATTGAGGAAGATCTTGCATGCCATCAATTTTTTCATGGTTCAAAACCTATTTACCCAGCAAATCTCACTGTATTTTCTAGACTGACCTTGTAACAAGTATTAAAAGCTGATACTCCCTTTTCTCCTCTTTCCTTCCAGATGTTTTAGTATTTATATATATATTTTTTGAGGCAGGGTCTGTGTCACTCAGGCTGGAGTGCAGTGACACAATCACGGCTCACTAATGAGGTGATCCACCTCAGCCTGGGACTATAGGCACATACTGTCACACTTGGCTAACTTTTAAATATTTTGTAGGGAGGTCTCATTATGTTGTCCAGGCTGGTCTCGAACTCCTGGGCTCAGGAGTGATTTGCCTGCCTTGGCCTACCAAAGTGCTAGAATTACAGGCATGAGCAACCATGATAACCAATATTCTTTATAATGAAAATAAATTAGAAAATGGTCAATATTTTCAGGTGGGAAAGTTAAAAAACTGTTTTTGGTTTTAAATTCTTCGGTAAATTTTTCACTTATCAAAAGTTTGACAGAGTATCTGCTAGAAAACCAGAGCACATATGCTAAGAAAGCATTTTAAAATATATCTTTGTTTCTGGAGGAGTGAATGCAATGTTGTGAAATTCTTGCATGTGTATCAGATGCTCACTTTTTTTTTTTTTTTTTTTTTTTTTTTGCGAGATGGTGTCTTGCTCTGTTGCCCAGGCTGGAGTGCAGTGGCACGATCTCAGGTCACTGCAACGTCTGCCTTCCGGGTTCAAGTGACTCTCCTGCCTGTTTCCCGAGTAGCTGAGATTACAGGCATACGCCACCACGCCTGGCTAATTTTTGTATTTTTAGTAGAGATAGGGTTTCACCATGCTGGCCAGGCTGGTCTTGAACTCCTGACCTCAAGTGATCCTGTCTTGGCCTCCCAAAAGGCTGGGATGACAGGCGTGAGCCACTGTGCCTGGCCTCAGTCTTTCATTGGGAATGCCCAGCATGGTGGCTCACACCTGTCATCCCAGCACTTTGGGAGGCCACGGCAGGATCGCTCGAGCCTGGGAATTCAAGACTGGCCTGGGCAAAATATTGAGACCCTGTCTTTACAAAAAATTAAAAAATTACCCAGGTATGGTGGTTCATGCTGGTCCTTGCCAGGGAGGCTGAGGTAGGAGAATTTCTTGAGCCTGGGAGGTCAAGGCTGTAAAGAGCCATGACTGTGCCACCACACTCCAGCCTGGGTGACACAGTAAAACCTCACTCTCAAAAAAAAAAAAAAAAAAAAAAAAAAGCTGGGGTGGTGGAGGTGGATAACTTTTATTGCTGTACTTTTACTGAACTCTTTTTTGTTTGTTTGTTTTGAGACGGAGTTTCACTCTTGTTGCCCAGGCTGGAGTGCAATGGCAAGATCTCGGCTCACTGCAACCTCTGCCTCCTGGGTTCAAGCGATTCCTGCCTCAGCCTCCCGAGTAGCTGGGATTACAGGCATGTGCCACCGTGCCTGCTACATTTTTGTATTTTTAGTAGAGATGTGATTTCGCCATGTTGGTTAGGCTGGTCTCGAACTCAGGTGATCTGCCCACCTTGGCCTCCCAAAGTGCTGGGATTACAGGCGTGAGCCACCATGCCCGGCCCTATTTATTGAACTCTTGGCCTAAAAGGGATCCTCCTGCCTTGGCCTCCCAAAGTATTAGGATTATAAGCATGAGCCACTGCACCCAGCCTATTTCAGTACTTTACATGTTACCAGATTTATTCCTTAGGTAAACTGTCCTTCTATCTCTTTTATTTTTATAGATGAAAGAAACTGAGGCTCTTTTAAACTTTCTCAGGTCACAAACAATGTAGAAGAAACCCGAACCGTCATTAACATAGACTATTACACATGGGGGAAAATGGGTTTTAAAGTAATATATATGGAAAGGCTTTTTGACACTGAAAGGTTGGGAATCTCTGTGATCTTCTTACACATGGGTCAGGCTAAACAATTTGCTTCAGGGTACATGAGCGCAACTGGTTATTTAGCTAGTGCATGATCCATACTCAAATGAGTCATTATTGAATGACTGGTGAAATGACAAAAAGCCTCATGTTCTACTAAGGCTGTGGATAGCACAGAGCACACTGGGGGCAGAGGCTGAGCGTGTTTGTGTAGGAGCACTCAATACTGCATATGTTTCAATAATTAACTAGTGTATTTAAGAAACTTCATTCTACGTGGGCATGGTGGCTCACGTCTGTGAACCCAGAACTTTGGGAGACCGAGGCAGGTGGATCACCTCAGGTCAGGAGTTCGAGACCAGCCTGACCAACATGGCCAAACCCCGTCTCTACTAAAAATACAAAAACTAGCCTGGTGTGGTGGTGGGCGCCTGGAATCCCAACTACTCCAGAGGCTGAGGCAGGACAATCGCTTGAACCTGGGAGGCGGAAGTGGCAGTGAGCCGAGATTGTACCATTGCACTCTAGCCTGGGCGACGGAGCAAGACTCTGTCTCAAAAAAAAAAAAAAAAAAAAAAAAAGTAACTTCATTCTAGCATTCGTAGGGAATGGAGAGGTGGCCACTATCCAAATGAAACTAAAAACCTTTTTCTTCCCAGACTCATACTCCAGATTATGCACACAGAGAATACAGAAAACTATGGGAAAACTGGACATTGCACATTTTCATATGACATCATCTGTTATTTTTTTTGTCTTGCTCTGTCACCCAGGCTGGAGTGCAGTGGCGCCATCTCGGCTCACTGCAAACTCTGCTTCCTGCGTTCAAGGGATTCTCCTGCCTCAGCCTCCTGAATAGCTGGGATTACAGGCGTGCACCACCACGCCCGGCTAATTTTTTATATTTTTAGTAGAGATGGGGTTTCGCCATGTTGGCCAGGCTGGTCTCAAACTCCTGACCTCAGGTGATCTGCCCGCCTTGGCCTCCCAAAGTGCTGGGATTACAGGTGTGAGCCACCGCGCCCGGCCGACATTGTCTGTTTTAAGGGAGGTATTCCTCAGCTCTTCGGTGATAAACTGCTGATGTATTGCACTGCCTGACAGTCACCAAGTTGGAACATGATAAATACTGCAGATGTGTAAGGCACAAAATGAGACTTATACAAAGTAGAGATGGAATCGCAAGAATTCCCAGGCCCTCTTTTTATTTACAGTGATACCAAACCATCCACTTGCAAATTCTTTGGTCTCCCATCAGCTGGAATTAAGTAGGTACTGTGTATCTTTGAGATCATGTATTTGTCTCCACTTTGGTGGATACAAGAAAGGAAGGCACGAACAGCTGAAAAAGAAGGGTATCACACCGCTCCAGCTGGAATCCAGCAGGAACCTCTGAGCATGCCACAGCTGAACACTTAAAAGAGGAAAGAAGGACAGCTGCTCTTCATTTATTTTGAAAGCAAATTCATTTGAAAGTGCATAAATGGTCATCATAAGTCAAACGTATCAATTAGACCTTCAACCTAGGAAACAAAATTTTTTTTTTCTATTTAATAATACACCACACTGAAATTATTTGCCAATGAATCCCAAAGATTTGGTACAAATAGTACAATTCGTATTTGCTTTCCTCTTTCCTTTCTTCAGACAAACACCAAATAAAATGCAGGTGAAAGAGATGAACCACGACTAGAGGCTGACTTAGAAATTTATGCTGACTCGATCTAAAAAAAATTATGTTGGTTAATGTTAATCTATCTAAAATAGAGCATTTTGGGAATGCTTTTCAAAGAAGGTCAAGTAACAGTCATACAGCTAGAAAAGTCCCTGAAAAAAAGAATTGTTAAGAAGTATAATAACCTTTTCAAAACCCACAATGCAGCTTAGTTTTCCTTTATTTATTTGTGGTCATGAAGACTATCCCCATTTCTCCATAAAATCCTCCCTCCATACTGCTGCATTATGGCACAAAAGACTCTAAGTGCCACCAGACAGAAGGACCAGAGTTTCTGATTATAAACAATGATGCTGGGTAATGTTTAAATGAGAACATTGGATATGGATGGTCAGATGAAAGATACCAAAATGTCAGACAGCCCATCGACTGGTGTTGCCATGAGATTCAACAGTCAACATCAGTCTGATAAGCTACCCGACAAGGTGGTACAGCCATGGAGATGTCACGATGGTAGGCAAAACAAGCAGACAGTCAGGCAGGATTTGATAAAAAAACAAAAACAAAAACAAACCAAAAAAACCCAGGCATTTCTGGCCTGTTAAGATCGAACCCCAATTCTATTCTATTCTGACATAATGCTCATAATGCTCCTAAAGGAAAAAAGTAAAATTGTTTATTTTCCTCCCAAGCAAAACAAAATGAACAAGTTCAATCAAAAACATCCCAATGGAAAAAAATCACACTAAGAATAAAACACTTACAGAACGGCAAGAAAACTGGGTTAACATATAAATTTGTGTCTGTTGAAACCAGAGTACATGCTAGAAAACATTAACACAGATACGACAGAGTGTGGTTTTTTTTTAGAAATGGGTAATTTCTCTCTCCAGTATCCTTTCACTTGTATGAGATATTTCTCCTCTCCTGTTTTCACAAACCAAGAAATCCCCAGGTAGGCCAATCCCAGAGGTGCCATTTAGCAGTATGCAGCAGCCCAGTTTCAGCATAACAAAACATGCCTTGGTAGTGGCTCTCTCATGCAAATAAAAGAAAGCTTAAGAAATTCTTGTTGTAGGTGGATTAGGCAAGGCTGCCATTCAGCTGGTATAAGCTAAAAGTAAAAAATCAAAACGCTCAAGAAAACGGACACAATTTTGGAATGATTAAAGATGTCTTTATAAAGTTTTTTTCAAGACTTCATTCTAAATACACAGAATAAAAAATGGTGTCAGCTCACTTGTAAGACACCAACCAGATTTTCCTTATACTGTCTCAAAATTTAAAGATCAATTTCCCCAGAGGGTGTGCAATGCATCATAAAATGGCCCTTTTTTGAGGATGGGAGAGGAAGGGTTGGGCAGGATGGAATATTAAATTGTAACATGATAAACATGCAAGACTGTTATCCAATCTAGATAATTTATATACATTTTGATGACTTAGGAAAACAAAGCAATCATTTGTGACAAGCCTAAAAAGCTTGACATATTTAACATACTTAGGAACTTTTTTTGTGCGGTGGGAATTCTCTAATTGTATCATGTGGGCCTTTTGAAAGTAACAAACAGAAGGCCAGTCTGTTGCAAGTTTGCTGCTGAACATCACATTCCACCCTAAGAAAACACAAGGTGGATTGCATCGAGGGTGGATACCTTACCTTAGCACAGAAGGAAAAAGTATGTCAGTGCAAAGTATGGACTAAACTGCTTTCAGGAAAAAAGTTGTAAAAATTGATACAGGTTGGAAAAGGGAATTTTCCTTCCCGGCTTGGAGTCCTCCCAATTTAAGGCAGAACCCATCCACTCCAATTTCTGCAGTTTAAAACTTTCTCTACTTATTTAGTTTTCTCCTCTGAGTTCAACCGCTGCTGGATTCGTTTGGCATAACTTTGTGCCATGGAGTTAATGATAGATAGGATGAAGTAACACACCATGACAACGACCAACTTTTCAAACATCCAGGACAACCAGTTTTCTCCCTGTAGAAATAAATGCAGAACAATGCAATGAAAAAGGCTTCATTAGTTCAGTAGTAAAAAGAGGATCATCTATAATGCTTGAAGTGTGTAACTTACAAAACCTAAAGAATTAAAAATGAAAAGTAAGCAACCCCAACTACTCTGAAATCTCCATTACTCTCCTTTTTACACCCAACTATCAAGATTTCACTTTGTTGGATGTAAAATCAGTGTTGAATCACATAGTTTAGAATGGGATGAGTGTGAGGTTAGCTCTTCTACTAGGACCTAAGAATAAACTCTTTGATTAAACTCAACTCTGAAGTCGCCATGCAGATACTCATGAGTATTGTCAAGACAGTTAAATATTTTTGTTCCAGTATTAGGAGCTGTTTTTAAAACACACAAATGTATCTGTTTCTGATGTCATGTTTGGTCAACTGAGGGCAGCAAAGGTCCATAAGAAGAGTGCAAGGCCATTAAAAAAAACAGTGCTCTGGCCGGGCGCGGTGGCTCACATCTGTAATCCCAGCACTTTGGGAGGCCAAGGCGGGCGGATCATCTGAGGTCAGTTTGAGACCAGCCTGGCTAACACGGTGAAACCCTGTTTCTATTAAAATACAAAAAATTAGCTGGTGTGGTGGCACGTGCCTGGAATCACAGCTACTTGGGAGGCTGAGGCAGGAGAATCGCTTGAACCCGGGAGGCGGAGGTTGCAGTGAGCCAAGATCGCGCCATTGCACTCCAACTTGGGCAACGAGAGCGAAATTCTGTCTCAAAAAAACCCCAAAGAACAAAAAACGAACCAAACAAAACAAAACAAAAAAAACCTGTGCTTCCCTCGAGTTTCCCATTTCAGGTTATTGTTTACTCATCCTCTTCTAGTCATTTCCCTTTGCCTCAGAATCGTTTACAGAAAAGACAGTCTAAGTTTTAAAGTTCAGCTATGGTAAGAGCCTTGGTTTATTAAAAAATTATCATTTTCCCATGGGTGAAAAGAAAAATAGAGTGAAAATCAAAAGGAGATATTCAAGTCACCTCAGTAAGTCTAATACTTTGTTATGCTGTAAGTTTTAACTTTTTAATCCACTTGGGAAGTATATCTACCAATACATCATTTAAGATCAAGGCAACAACTCATTCTATGTAACAGAACCATTACTTTCCATTGGCTCTACCCTTGTTTTTAGGAGAAGATGTACAGAAGTTACACTTTCTAGTCTAAGACAAAGACAAATTTCCCAGTAGAGCATACACAGACGCTCAACTTCTGTCAAGGAACACTGGCAAACCAACTTCACTTATTTGCCTAAAAATGTGAGTGAGAGCTGTGAATGTAATTTCAGCCCGAAACTTCCCAGAGGGGAGAAGAAACCGGATTAAAGTCTTACCTGTGGTGTGCCCATTTCGCTTTTGTGGTGAAGCTTCTGCCGTTGAGCCTCCAGGTACTCCTGAAATGGCTTCTGCAGAGATGGACCTATGCCGGGGACAGCACTGGAAGCAGGGTACAGTAGCCCAAAGAAAAAGACACATTTGGGAAGAAAAGCAGGAAAAACGTTAAAGAAAATGTACTTACCACCTGGACTCAAAAGGCAGGGATTGGATAGGAAGAGGAATAAAATATAAAAATCAGAGAACTGCTGAAATTCTGTGACCCCTTTTTAGTTAAAAAAAAAAAAAAAAAAAAAGAAAATTTACTCCATCTAACAACCCCTTAAAAACCAAAATCTCTCCCACCAACATGTCTGGGAGAAACCAAGAGCTGTAAATCAGAAACCGCTTCCAGCAAAAGAGTTAGTCCTCAGAGTAAGGTCAGCTCAGCTGATACTGTACTCTGGTATGGCACAAAGAATAAAATGAATGACTTCTCAGAAGTCCCACATTTATCACCACTAGTTCCTGTAAGAACTGGTTTGAACCAATTAATAAGGAAATGACTTATGCTTGTGTCATCCCTAGTTAAAAAAGAAACTGCCCGCCCTCTCTCTGACTTGTCCCCTCTTCTCAGAGGGGGCGGTCTTTCTCAATCTAAGTCCTTATTAGGACAATCTGTGCGTCATCCTTATCCAAAAAGAATGCATTAGCAAACTTGGGAGGCACCTCCCACTAGTCAGAAGTCAGTGATTAACAAAGGAACAAAGAAGGAACTATGAACTTTGAATCCTTTCATGGTTTATGGTAGACAGTTTGCACAGAAACTCCAGTACATTAGTAACAGCTTGTTCTGAGATGATTGGGATAGTGATCTTTGATAAATTTATGTACTCGGAGCTCCTTCTTACCCAGAATACATGGAGGCAGTGCTGTTAAACCGGTTTGGCAACTGTAGCTAACAGGCTCCTGTTTTAGACATGCTTGCAGGCGTTTTTAAAAACGGTAGCTTGGGGCAACTTAGAAAAATCAAACATCTCTATTTTCTGTACCTTTTAGTTTCTTACCTGTTACATAGGGCTAAGGAGGTAAATAAGTTCAAACTCTTTCTTAGAGCCAGCCAAAGAGATTCCGATATGTACTTGCAACACTGCCTAATGCTTGTCCTATTAAGTACACTGACTCAAATTCACTTCACTTCACTTTTTTTTTTTTGAGACAGAGTCTCACTCTGTCCCCCAGGCTGGAGTGCAATGGCCTGATCTCGGCTCACTGCAACCTCTACCTCCAGGGTTCAAGTGATTCTCCTGCCTCAGCCTCCCAAGTAGCTGGGATTACAGGCGCTTGTCACCATGCCTGGCTATTTTTTTTTGTATTTTTAGTAGAGATGGGGTTTCACCATCTTTGCCAGGCTGGTCTTGAACTCCTGACCTCGTGATCCCCCTTCCTCGGCCTCCCAAAGTGCTGGGATTACAGGTGTGAGCCACCGCGACTGGCCTTCACTTCTTTTCTAGAACAATTCCTTGCTGCTTTTTATAACAAAAAGCAGGAATAGAAGAGTTTTTGCTATTATATTTTATCAGATGCTAACATATCCCTAACTTCTGGCTGATTCTTTTCTTTAATCCTTTTTATCTATCAGTCACCAAATACTTAATTGATTCCTTTTGCTGGGAAAAAAGCCAAAAAAAAAAAAAACCAAACTGCCCACAAGGAACTTAAAATCATTTATGGGGATTTGGATTCAAAACATAGGCAGATGCGCACACATGTGTGCGCACACACACACACGAACTGATCTGTGAACAAAATAATTTACAATTCAATATTAAAGTTTTTGGTACAGAAGATATATACCGAAGGAATTGGAGGGAGAAAAGAGAGATCAGTGAGGGGTGAAGTTGTTAAAAAGGTCCTCTAGGCCATGTGTGGTGGCTCACGCTTGTAATCCCAGCACTTTGGGAGGCCAAGATGGGAGGATGGCTTGAGCCCAGGAGTTCAATACCATCCTGGGAAACATGGTGAAACCCTGTCTCTACAAAAAATACAAAAATGAGCTGAGAATGGTGGCATGTGCCTGTAGTCCCTGCTACTCAGGAGGCTACAGTGAGAGCCCAGGAAGCTCAGGGCTGCACTGTACTCCAGCCTCGGTGACAGAGACCCTGCCTCAAAAAAATAAATAAATAAATAAAAATAAAAATAAAAAAATAAAAAAAAGATTCTTTAATGAATACTGAAGGAGGTACAAAAGGCCTGAACAGACATATATAATAAATGTGAATACTGCACTGATCAGACTAGAAGACCTGTGACAGACATAAAAGATGCTGTGAACAATCGAGAAAACTCATTACCTTCAGACTAGCCTCTCACTGAGCCACCGCTCCTGGCCCTGACTTTTAAGCAGACTTATATTAGGGAGGCAGACTAGTAATCTTTCCTTATATATTACAGGTGGGAATGCAAATAGCTCATCCATTTAGACTAGAAATAAATGACATGAATATAACAAATATATAAAATATTTTAAATATTTAATATATTAAATATATATAATTAAATATATGTATTTTTGTGTATATAAATATATGCACAAAAAGGTTGACTTTGAAAACTGCAAATTTATGTGGCCGGGAGCAGTGGCTCATGCCTGTAATCCCAGCACTTTGGGAGGCCGAGGCGGGCGGATCACCTGAGGTCGGGAGTTCGAGACCAGCCTGACCAATATGGAGAAAACCCGTCTCTACTAAAAATACAAAATTAGCCAGGCGTGGTGGCACATGCACAGAATCCCCACTACTAGTGAGGCTGAGGCAGGAGAATCGCTTGAACCTGGGAGGCAGAGGTTGCAGTGAGCCGAGATCATGCCATTGCACTCCAGCCTGGGCAACGAGAGTGAAACTCTGTCTCAAAAAAAAAAAAAACAAAAAACTGCATATTTATAAGAACTTTCCTTCTCATAAATCAATGTTTTCACTTTAACAGTACTCTGGCCAGGTGCAGTGGCTCACACCTGTGATCCCAGCACCAGGGGAGGCTGAGGTGGGCAGATCACGAGGTCAGGAGTTCGAGACCAGCCTGGCCAACACAGTGAAACCCTGTCTCTACTAAAAATACAAAAATTAGCTGGGTGTGGTGGCACACGCCTGTAATCCCAGCTACTCGGGAGGCTGAGGCCGAAGAATCGCTTGAACCCAGGAAGTGGAGGTTGCAGTGAGCTGAGACCACGCCATTGCACTCCAGCCTGGGCGACAGAGTGAGACTCCGTCTCAAAAAAAAAAACAAACAAAAAAGCAAAAAAACAAAACAGCCTGGCCAACATGGTGAAACCCTGTCTCTACCAAAAAGACAAAAATTAGGCCAGCCATGGTGGTTCACGCCTGTAATCCTAGCACTTTGGGAGGCCGAGGCAGGTGGATCACCTGAGGTCAGGAGTTCAAGACCAGCCTGGCCAACATGGCGAAACCCTGTCTCTACCAAAAAGACAAAAATTAGACCAGCCTCGGTGGTTCACACCTGTAATCCTAGCACTTTGGGAGGCCGAGGCAGGTGGATCACCTGAGGTCAGGAGTTCAAGACCAGCCTGGCCAACATGGTGAAACTCCATCTCTACTAAAATACAAAAATTAGCCGGGCATGATGGAGAGTGCCTGCAATCCCAGCTACTCAAGAGGCTGAGATGGGAGAATCACTTGAACCCAGGAGATGGTGGTTGCAGTGAGCCCAGATCGCACCACTCCACTCCAGCCTGGGCAGCTCAGCAAGACTCCGTCTCAAAAAAAAAAAAAAAATTAGCTGGGCATGGTGGCAGGTGTCTGTAATCTCAGCTACTTGGGAGGCTGAGATGGGACAATCGCTTGAACCCGGGAGATGGTGGTTGCAGTGAGCCTAGATCGCACCACTCCACTCCAGCCTGGGCAGCTAAGCTAGACTCCGTCTCAAAATAAAAAAACCAAAAAAACAAAAAACCCCCCCAAAAAACAAAAGTAGCCAGGCACGGTGGCACATGCCTGTAATCTCAGCTACTAGTGGGGGCTGAGGCAGGAGGATCCGCTTGAACCTGGGAGGCGGAGGTTGCAGTGAGCTGAGATCATGCCATTGCACTCTACCCTGGGCAACAGAGTGAGACTCCATCTCAAACAAAAACAAAAACAAAAACAAGGCTGGGTGCGGTGGTTCATGCCTGTAATCCCAGCATTTTGGGAGGCTAAGGCAGGCGGATCACTTGAGGTCAGGAGTTCGAGACCAGCCTGGCCAACATGGTGAAACCCCGTCTCTACTAAAAATACAAAAAATAAGCCAGGTTTGGTGGCGGGCGCCTGTAATCCCAGCTACTCGGGGGGCTGAGGCAGGAGAATCGCTTGAACCTGGGAGGTGGAGGTTGCAGTGCGCCATTGTCCTCCAGCCTGGGGAAAAAGAGGGAAACTCCGTCTCAAAACAAAACAAAAACAAAAATAAAAAACAGTACTGTAAATTGTCATTTAAATCTACCAGGGATAGCCATAGTCAAGCCATTATTTAAGAGAAAATTAAGAACCAAGACCCAAATGTTACAAAGAGTATGTTTTTGTTGTTTAGGGAAATGAGGAAGGGACTGGAAATAATAATTCTAGATTCCCTTCAAAATAATTTGAAAAGGTAAATAATTTACCATTGTAAGTCCATTAAGAGATACACTTTATGTACCCATAATAATTTTAAAAAGAGATACACTTTAGCTGATAGATACATTTTAGCTGATAGAGTACATCATATGATGTGTATTCACATGATGTATAACTTATCTTGAGGATAATGCTGAGATTAATATACCAATTTGTTATGTGTCTCTATGGAGGTTTCCATGAAAGACTAGGAAAACAGTTGAAAACAGACAAGAGGTTAAAAGTTTTATTTATTATTATTATTATGTTTCTTTTTATATTTTGTAGAGATGGAGTCTCACTATGTTGCCCAGGTGGGTCTCAAATTCCTGGCCTCAAAAGATCCTCCCACCTTGGTTTCCCAAACTGTCATCAAAATTTTAGTTACTTCTGTTTTTCATTTCTCTACCTCTACAATGACTTAGGCTACTGATGCCTCAGCTTCAACAAAGTACTCTTATACTATAGTTTGCTTAATTATCACTAAAGCTATTTTAGTAACGGACTAGATAAAAATAGAAATTACAGCTCTCACTCTTAACATGCATTTAAGGCAAACAATAATGCCAGCTCTAAATCTCATGTGTCAAGTTATTCTCAAGCAGCAGACCAGAAGCAAGAGTCCATTCTGACACTTAAGATTAATTTAAAGTGCACACACGGTGGGAGTAATAATTTGCAACACAGTTCAAAGGCTTTCTATAGTTGGTTTAGGAAATACCCTAAATGCCATTCTCCCTAAGCCATTACATTCTTGCAACCCTGTGCACCTTGCTAAAGATGCTAATCTCATCCCATAGTTAAGTTGGGGAAGTCCTCCAATTTGCCCTTAAGCTCTGATTAAATTCAAAGAATTACCATTTCGGCCGGGCATGGTGGTTCATGCCTGTAATCACAGCACTTTGGGAGGCCGAGGTGGGCAGATCACCTGAGGTCAGGAGTTCGAGACCAGCCTAGCCAACATGGTGAAACCCTGTCTCTACTAAAAATACAAAAAAAAAAAAAAAAAAAAATATTGCCAGGCACGGTGGTGGGCGCCCATAATCCCAGCTACTCGGGAGGCTGAGGAAGGAGAATCGCTTGAACCCGGGAGGCGAAGGGTGCAGTGAGCCGAGATTGTGCCACTGCACTCCAGCCTGGGCGACAGAGCGAGACTCTGTCTCAAAACAAAACAAAACAAAACAAAACAAAACAAAACAAATAACTACAATTTTGTGACATAGAAGAACATAAAGTAGAAGGAGAACAAATGGACATAGAACTATTTTTTCAGTCAACTGCAGGACTAAAATATACCTAAACTAGCTATGTAAGTAGGTACTTGCTCTAGGTGAGAAAGCCTTAGAAAAACAAAAAAAGAAGTAGGTTGGGCACCATGGCTCAGGAGTTCGAGACCAGCCTGGGCAACATGGCGAAATCCTGTCTCTACTAAAAATATAAAAAAATTAGCCAGGTGTGATGGCACGTGCCTGTAGTCCCAGCTACTCGGGAGGCTGAGGCATGAGAATTGCTTGAACCTGGGTAGTGGAGGCTGCAATGAGCTGAGATTGCACTCCAGTCTAGGTGACAAAAAAAAAAAAAAAAAAAAAAAAGTTGATCTCATTTGCTTTTCCTTGCTGTGAACCTTGAACACAGTGGGTAGAAAAATCTTAGTGGGTAGTAGTATCTTCATATTTTTATTCCTGGCACAAACATAACAGCAAATGTAAGATTAAAAAAAATTTTTCCACCAGGCATGGTGGCGCATGCCTGTAGTCCCAGCTAATCTGGAGGCTGAGCAGGAGGCTCTCTTGAGCCCAGGAGTTGGGATGGAGGCTTAGTGAGCTATAATCACGCCTGTGAATAGCCACTGCATTCCAGCCTGGGTAAAATAGTGAGATCCTGTCTCCGAAACAAACAAACACATTTCCAACAAATGATGCTAGTGGCAATTTTTACACTTTTGTTATTGTTAACTTCTGTTAAAAAAAAAACTCAGGAATGCAAATAAAATTTTTTTTTTTATTTAAAGAAAAAAACACAGACTTGAAACCTACTCAGAGCTCAAAATTGGTTTCATGGGAACAATATTTTCCCATGCTTACATACCTAGAATCTGTTAAACAGACCTAAGACAAACTTCTTGGCAAGCTTAAATATTGTAAAAAAAAAAAAAAAAAAAATCCATTCAAAATAACATTTGGGCAAAATTCTGCCAAGAGCCCTTGCCAAATTGCAAACAAAATCTATTATTTTTCTATGGTTTTTAATATATATGTTACTCTGCTTCTGGAAATCACTTATGTGACAAGAAATCTGTATTTTAGGCTGGGTGTGATGGGTCATGCTTGTAATCCCAGCACTTTGGGAGACTGAGGCAGGAGGACTTGAGGCCAAGAGTTTGAGATCAGCCTGGGCAACATAGTGAGAACCCTGTCTCTACAAAAGTTTAAAAAAGTAGCTGGGTGTGATGGCAAGTGCCTGTAGTCCTAGCTATTCAAGAGGCTGAGATGGGAGGATCCTGTGAGCCTAGGAGTTCAAGGTTAAAGTAAGCTAGGATTGAACCACTGCACTCCACCCTTGGTGAAAGAGCAAGACCCTGTCTCTCTCTCAATAAATCAATAGATTAGATAGATAGATAATAAATAAGTAAGATCTGAAATCTGGCCAGGCAGGATAGGGTGGCTCATGCCAGTAATCCGAGCACTTTGGGAGGCTGAGGTGGGAGGACTGCTTGAGTCTAAGAGTTCAAGATCAGCTTGGGCAACACAGTAAGACTCCTGTCTCTACACCCACACAGAAAATTAACCAGGTGTGGTGCACACCTGTAGTCCTAGTTACTCAAGAGGCTGAGTGGGGAGGACTGCTTGAGCCCTCCTAGGAGGTTGAGGCTGTAGTGATCTAAAATCACACCACTACACTCCAGCCTGGGCTACAGAGGGAGAACCTGTTTCTTAAAACACCAACAAAAAAGATTGATTCACCTTGTTTAGCCCTATTTACAGAGTGTATACTTAAAGTCTAAGCAGTTGAAGTCTCTAAGCCTAAGAATATTTTACCAGCATTAATAAAGTAAATTTTTTATTTAATATAGGCTCTGCTCCTTTCTCAAATACTTTTTTGAGGATCTCAGCATTAATGTGAGCATATAGGTTATATTTACCCTCCTGAAAAACATTCTGACATAAATTCTAGTAAGGAGGCGATAGCCTCTTTACAAAGAGTAATAAGCCTTTTGTCTTAGAAAAAAGTCTGGGCACAACAGTTTTTTACCTTTATTTCATTGTTTGTGCTGGGTTAGTATTCCCTCTGATGATTAATCACAAAGTCTAAAGAATCTCAGGGTGTCATAAGTCAGATCCCTGAAAGCTTATAAATGAAAAAAAAAATTTTTCAGGAGAAGATTCAGGTCAGGGTACTTATAAAAAGAAAAGAGTGCTCAGCTTGGTGGCTCACTGTAATCCCAGCACTTTGGGAGGCCAAGGTGGGAGGATCACTTGAGCCTATGAGTTCAAGACCAGCCTGGGCAATATAGTGAGACCTCCTCTCTACAAAAAATTTAAAAATTGGCTGAGCATGCTGGCATGCGACAGGAGGTGGGAGGATCACTTGGGCCTGGGAGGCAGATGTTGCTCCAGCCTGGGCAACAGAGCTAGCCCCTGTCCCCGCCCCCACCAAATCTGGATAGCCCAACTTCAGGAGACTGAAAACCTGTGCCCAGAGTTATAAAATTTAATTATGTTCTAAATGAATATCAGGATCTTTAGAATTTTCTTGATTGAATGAGGACCACTGTATGTAAATCAATACATCAAATTTATCCTCTGACCCCAGAGAGTTCTATCAATTGAGATTTGGCCCAGGAGCACAGGAGTAGACTCCTATATAGAAAATGATCCTGTTCTAACTGAAGCCAACAACCGCCTCTTCTGCTGAAGAGACTGAATTTTACATTTAAGGCAATAGTAGGATACACTTTCAGGAATGAAATTAAAGCCCTTCCCTATCCTACTCCCATTACAAGCTGATCTGTTATATGTACAAAAGAGGAAAAGAGGGTGTGGGAGAAGATCAGCAACAAGACAGCCTAGCAATTCCCTTTCTCGGTAACAGTCTTGTAAATAATTCTCCATCTTCAGAAATGTGCACATTTTAGTCAAACATTATAGAGTTAAATTTTCCTTCCTACCCCCTAGGCAGTGATCTAAACAGGCTTAACGGCTAGTATTTTAATGAGTTGTCATTTCCTGTCTGATAAAGATTCTCACAGTATTTAACCACCAGTTTCCCTGGGGACCAACCAATACTAGAGCTCTATTCATAGTGACTCAGAATGGACCTCAGACTCTTGCCCTTATTCAAAAATGACAGATTGCCCTCCACATGAAACTGCCTTTCCTAGTAAGGTAGACTGCTCGGAAAAGGGTGGGGGAGTTTATCATGCAATCTTTCTGAAGAAGCCAAAGGCCATCATGCTGACTCATTAATATCTACAGCCTTTCAGCCCTTTATTAATCCAGAATAAGTAAATGAACAGGTGCTAACTGAAAATAAACACATATTTAACCTAGTAAAAAAGGATCTAGTTATCCTGTGTGACTGGAATGAAAGTGTTATTATCTTTACCATTTAACTGAATAGAACACATGAATCTTTTTGTTTTGTTTTGTTTTGTTTTTGGAGACGGAGTCTGGCTCTATCACCCACGATGGAGTGCAGTGGCGCAATCTCGGCTCACTGCAACCTTCACCTCCCGGCTTCAAGCGATTCTCCTGCCTCAACCCCCTGAGTAGCTGGGATTACAGGTAGGCACCACTACACCCTGCTAGTTTTTGTATTTTTAGTAGAGACAGGGTTTCACCATGTTGGTCAGGCTGGTCTCAAACTCCTGACCTTAAGTGATCCGCCTGCCTTGACCTCCCAAAATGCTGGGATTACAGGCATAAGCCTCTGTGCCTGGCTCAGTATATGAATCTTTGAAGCTGATACTATAAGAAAAAACTGGTAACTGATGTATTCTACTTGCTTTGGATCTGAAATGTGGTAGCCCCCTAATCATGTTTCTTTACATCCAGGATCTTGGAATGGCACCCCAACATAAAATAAATTCAGGATGAAAATCACACACTATACTAGAAAATCTAGGGCTTTCTCATATATACAAGTTTGGACTGACAGTCCCTGGCACCTTCTAAAATTCGTTGTGATTTGACCCCAGGATCTGGGATTAAAACATCTTGAATTTCATTCACATCTGTGCCCTTTCAAATGATTAAAACTTCTTTTGTACTTAAGTTAGTCCATTGTACGCAGAGTGGTATTATGAACACATGACACCATGGGTTTCTTTCTGGCTGTGTAGAAGGAAGACCATGCTTTCTCCAGGTGTATTTTATCAGGTACATTGTTTCTACTGCCTTACAGCATATTTTATCACAAAATAATCTGCAATTGCCCTAGCTTTTGGAGATTTAGCATTATTTTCTGTAAGAATCAGATTGGAGGTTAGACTTCCTTATCATTAGCAGCTACTCTTTGAAATAAGCTAACATTAAAGAGAAGCTCTAGAGAACAAAACCTCATTTCAGAAGGCAGACTTGAGCAGCAGGAGAAAAGCAGGCATTTGTGCTGATGAATGTGGCCAGAGCTAAAGGAGTGGTCTATAAGGACTAGGTAAAACTGATTGGTTGCCAAAACAAAACTCTGTTAAAAATCAACTGATTGCATTTATAGAAAATGACAGACTGGTGGCAGCTTTTTTTTTTTTTTTTAAAGAGGTTGTGTCTCTTGCCTCAGCCTCCCAAGTAGCTGGAACTACAGGCGAGTGGCACTGCACCTGGCCCCAGTGGCAGCTTTTTTTTGGGAACAGGATCTTGCTCTGTTGCCCACTCAAGAGTGCAATGGCACAAACACGACTCACTGCAGCCTTGACCTCCCGGGCTCAAGCAATCTTCCTGCCTCAACCTTCCGAGTAGCTGGGGCCACAGTAGCTAATTTTTAAATTTTTTTCAAGAGATGGGGTCTCACCATGTTGTCCAGGCTGGTCTCAAACTTCTGGGCTCAAGCAATCCCGCCTCAGCCTCCCAAAGTTCTAAGATTACAGGTGTGAGTGGGCCTGGTGGCAGCTTTTTATAGTGACAGATCTGCACTGGTTTGAAGACTCACTGAGTTCTAAAACTTAAAAATCAGGCCAGCACAGCGGCTCATGCCTGTAATCCCAGCACTTTGGGAGGCCGAGGCCTCCTGAGGTCAGGAGTTTGAGACCAGCCTGGCCAATATGGTGAAACCCCGACTCTAGTAAAAATACAAAAATTAGCTGGGGGTGGTGGTGCATGCCTGTAGTCTTAGCTGCTTGGGAGGCTGAGGCAGAAGAATTGCTTGAACCCAGGAGGCAGAGGTTGCAGTGAGCTGAGATCACGCCACTGCACTCCAGGCTGGGCGACAGAGCAAGACTTGGTCTCAAAAAACAAACAGACAAACAAAAAAACCAAAAAAGTGATAGTATTGGCAGGACACAGTGGCTCATGCCTGTAATCCCAGCATTTGGGGAGGCTGAGGCAGGAGGATCACTTGAGCACAGGAGTTCAAGATCAGCCTGGGCAACACAGCGAGACCCTGTCTCAAAAAAGAAAAAAAAAGTGACAGTATTGATTGAAATTCAATCTCACTTAAAAAAAAGTTATGATCTCTGTCCTCAAGGAACTCTATCTAGAAGGATGCTGGGAGAGGGGAAAAAATGCACTTAAATGTACACTACAGAAACCAGTAGGTTTTTCATTGAAAGTAACCACAGTAGTAACTAGCTACAGCTGCACACAGGTGGATGCACGTGTGCACAGGAGAATAGACAGAATTCATGCTGCATCCCTACCAAATTCACACAGCAGCTGTTTGAAACTGGTGCTCTAGTCTAAATTTCCAACTTCCAGCAAATGACTTCACTGGCTTCCAGAGTGCTCCCTCAGGAGTGTCCCCCTTCTCTGCCTCAAAACATCTTGGAGTCTTCACTCCAGTTTTCAAGAAAGAACTGGTTCATGAGGATAATCAATCCACTCCAGAATTGATCCTATCTCAATCATCTCTTATCATTTATATGAATTTAACTTCTCTGTAATAGTACCTAACAGGTTTTGTTATGGATATGAAATGAATATTTATGTAAAGCATCTGGCACAGTGGGTGCTTACTGAATGTTAATTTCCTTCCCACATCCTTCCCTTTCTTCATTTATATTTTCTATCTCTAGCATTTTACTAGAGTTTTTCCCTCAGCCTAAAATACACACTGGTCCCTCCTATTTAATGAATGAATTAATTCATCTGGTCAACAAATATTTACAAAACAATTAAAATGTGTCAGACATGACTTTCGCTTGACCTTTCCTCTAGCCCACAATTCCATGTAATCCAATATATTTGGGTTTTAATTTTCATCATGCTACTAAAATGCTCCATTAAATGGTCAACGGTAACTTCCAAATACAATGTACCCATTTCTCATCTAACAGTCTAACTCCAGAACTCCTGTTTTAACCTTTATGTGGTCTCCCAATATCCATAACAAACATATAGAAAGGTTAACTGTCAAAAGAGAAGGATATATAAACTACCACGGACAAGAAGAGAAAGGGGTTTTCCCAAGCTGCAGAAAGAGGTTATGTTAGACTGTATAACTGAGTCTCGGCAGCTGGGGTTTAAACCCTGTGTTAAGCCTTAAATTCTATCCTTTCATCAGATAATACAAATGCTGGGGTTCCACACTTCCATAACTTTTTCTGATTATTTTCAATGATCAAAGTCAAAGAGAATCAAATACATGGACCATTTTATCCTCTAAAATGAAAGGACAGATTTTCTTTCTGTAGAAGAAAAAGTCCAGGCCCACGTAGCTCATTCTGACCACTTTCCATAGAGTGAGGGATAAGAAACAACATTCGGATTCAAGCACTTTATTACTCACTGGTTAAAATGATCTCTCTTGCCACAGGCAAGCCTGACTCTGAGGTCAAGCATCAAGTTAGCTCAGAAATAGGAGACAGCAAAGAAGAGCATGGAACATTCTGTATCTGGTAAAAAGTCCCTGTTCCAGCCAACACCATCCCCCAGCCCTCAAGTTCAATGATTGAGTTATGGAAACTTTTCTTGTGTGGTAAAACTGGGGACTTTGTCTTCCAATAAGACCCTGGCAACATGACAATGAGCCAATGTTCTGCATATGGTTTGCTGCGAGTCATATGCTTAATGTTATTTTCTGGGAATTCACATCCCCTATTTGGTGAGAATATGGGAACATGTCATTTTAATCATAACTTTAAAAGTTAGATTTGGTTATGCTCTTTAAGAAATATGCACAGGTCTCTCCCACTGGAGAAAGTCTAAAATTAAATAAAAATTAGTATTAAATCGTAATTAAAAAAACAAAAAGGGCTGGGCACGGTGGCTTATGCCTGTAATCCCAGCACTTTGGGATGCCAAGGCGGGTGGATCATGAGGTCAGGAGTTTGAGACCAGCCTAGCCAACATCGTGAAATCCTGTCTCTACTAAAGACACAAAAATTAGCCAGGCATGGTGGCAGGTGCCTGTAATCCCAGCTACTCGGGAGAATCGCTTGAACACAGGAGGCAGAGGTTGCAGTGGGTCGAGATTGCACCACAGCGCTCCAGCCTGGGCAATAGAACAAAACTCTGTCTCAAAAAAAAAAAAAAAAAAAAAAAAAAATCACAACTAACATAATGCCTTTTGAGCTAGAAGTTCCCTAGTTCTTTGGTTCTATCACCTGACTTTGGGTCTCGCCATGTTCGAGACCAGGCTGGACTCAAATTCCTGAGAATTCAACCAATCCATCTGCCTCGGCCTCCCAAAGTGCTGGGATTACAGGCGTGAGCCACCATGCCTAGCCAATTTTTTTTTTTTTTTTTTTTTTGAGACGGAGTCTTGCTCTGTCACCCAGGCTGGAGTGCAGTGGCGCAATCTCGGCTCACTACAATTTCCACCTCCTGGGTTCAAGAGATTCTCCCACCTCAGCCTCTTGAGTAGCTGGGACTACAGGCACCCATCACCACGCTTGGCTAATTTTTGTATTTTTAGTAGAGATGGGGTTTCACCATGTTGGCCAGGCTGGTCTTGAACTCCTGACCTCAGGTGATCCGCCCACCTCGGCCTCCCAAAGTGCTGGGATTACAGGCGTGGGCCACTGCGCCTGGTCCTTTTTTTTTTTTTTTTTTAGAAGGAGTCTCCCTCTGTCACTGAGGCTGGAGTGCACTGGCACGATCTTGGCTCACTGCATTCTCCACCTCCCGGGTTCAAGTGATTCTCCTGTCTCAGCCTCCCGAGTAGCTGGGATTATAGACGCCCACCCCCACGCCCGGCTAATTTTTTGTATTTTTAGTAGAGATGAGGTTTCATCAGGTCGCCCAGGCTGGTCTTGAACTCCTGACCTCAGGTGATACACCTGCCTTGGCCTCCCAAAGTGCTGGGGTTATAGATGTGAGCCATCATGCCCGGCCCCAGCCAAAAGATTTTTGATACCCTTTTTTTTTTTTTTGGAGACAGAGTCTCGCTGTGTCGCCCAGGCTGGAGTGCAGTGGTGTGATCTCAGCTCACTGCAAGCTCTGCCTCCTGGGTTCAAGTGATTCTCCTGCCTCAGCCTCCTGAGTAGCTGGGACGACAGGTGCCTGCCACCATGCCCGGCTAATTTTTGTATGTTTAGTGGAGACAAGGTTTCACCATGTTGGCCAGCATGGTCTCGAATTCCTGACCTCAGGTGATCTGCCCAAAGTGCCGGGATTACAGGCGTGAGCCTCTGCGCCCGGCCCGGGATTCATTTTTCATTCTTCCTTGCCTTATTATCTCATAATTTTATTTTAAATTTCAACTGCTGCTGGCTTTTTTCTTGCTTGTCTTTTGATTTTGTTCTCTACCATGACAAGTTATCTCTCCTTTATTTGTGACTGCAAGGTTTTAAATATCCTTCAAAAGACTGCATTCTGAAGTTTACTAATTTAGTTTGATGATTTGCTATACCATTCAGCGATTTTTTTTTTTTGAGGCAGAGTCTCGCTCTGTCACCCAGGTTGGAGTGCAGTGGCGTGATCTCAGCTCACTGCATGATCCGCCTCCCGGGTTCACGTCATTCTCCTGCCTTAGCCTCCCAAGTAGCTGAGATACAGGTGCCGTCCACCACACCCGGCTAATTTTTTTTTGTATTTTTAGTAGAGACTGGGTTTCACCATGTTAGCCAGGATGGTCTTGATCTCCTGACCTTGTGATCCGCCCACCTCAGCCTCCCAAAGTGCTGGGATTACAGGTATGAGCCACTGCCCCCGGCCCGATTTTTTTTTTTTTTTTTGAGACATATCTCACTGTCATCCAGGCTGGAGTGCAGTGGTGTGATCTCGGCTCACTGCAACCTCCGCCTCCCAGGTTCGAGAAATTCTCCTACCTCAGCCTCCCAAATAGCTGAGATTACAGGCATGCGGCACCATGCCCAGCTAATTTTTGTATTTTTAGTAGAGATGGGGGTCTTACCATGTTGGCCAGCCTGGTCTCAAACTCCTGACCTCAAATGATCTACCCGCCTTGGCCTCCCAAAGTGCTGGGATTGCAGGCGTCAGCCACCATGCCTGGCCCATTCAGGGTTTTAACAGTGTGAAGGAGAGAACTAACAATTAAAGGAGAATGTTTATTTTCTTTCTTCCTTTCTTTTTTTCAAGAATCAGGGTCTCACTCTGTCGCCTAGGATGGAGTGCAGTAGTATGATCATGGTTCACTGCAGCCTCAACCTCCTGCCTCAAACAATTTTTCCATCTCAGCCTCTTGGGTAGCAGGGACTACAGGCGGGTACCACCATGCCCAACTAATTTGTTAGTGCGTTTTTTTGTAGAGACAGACAGAGTCTTACTATGTTTCCAGGCTAGTCCTGAATTCCTAGCTTCAAATGATCTAAAGGAGAATGTTTCTACAGCAGGTTAGAGACAGTGTATCTAGTGAGGAAATCCAGCTGTTCACCTCCTCTTTTCTGAAATAAAGTACTACTCTATTAATTATGATATGAAATCATATATTTGGGTCTACTAAAAATTTGTTCTCTTTATTGAACTTAATCTCCATTTTAGGTTTGGTGAGGCTACTTATTAATTTTCAATTGAACACTTGTATTTAAAAGCATTTCTGGCTGGGCATGGTGGCTCACACCTGTAATCCCAGCACTTTGGTGGGCCGAGGCAGGTGGATCACTTGAGGTCAGGAGTTCAAGACCAGCGTGACATGGTGAAACCCCATCTCTACTAAAAATACAAAAATTAGCCAGGTGTGGTGGTGCACACCTGTAATCCCAGCTACTCAGAAGGCTGAAGCAGGAGAATTGCTTGAACCCGGGAGGCGGAGATTGGAGTAAGCTGAGATCACACCACTGCACTCCAGCCTGGGCGACACAGCAAGACTCTGTCTCAGAAAAAAAAAAAAAAAAAAGTATTTCCTACTTCAAAACATAAAAAAACCAATCATGTCATGCTCAATTGGAGAATCTGATTAAAAGATAATGTTATTAATGACAAAGACTAAAAGGATACCCTTTGGGATCTGATAATAAAGCTTTACTAGCATCTGCTGAGTCTAATTATTTATACTGTTTAATATATTATCTAGAAAAGAATGGCCGGGCACAGTGGCTCACTCTTGTAATCGCAGCACTTTGGAAGGCTGAGGTGGGCGGACCACCTGAGGTCAGGAGCTTGAGATCAGCCTGGCCAAATGGTGGAAGCCCATCTCTACTAAAAATATAAAAATTAGCCAGGCATGGTGGTGCACGCCTGTAATCCCAGTTACTTGGGAGGCTGAGGCAGGAAAATCACTTGAATCCAGGAGGCGGAGGTTGCAGTGAGCCAAGATTGTGCCACTGTACCCCAGCCTGGGCGACAAAGCAAAACTCCATCTCAAAAAAAAAAAGGCCAGGTGCAGTGGCTCACGCCTGTAATCCCAGCACTTTGGGAGTCCCAGGCAGGTGGATCACCTGAGGTCAGGAGTTCAGGTGACCTGACCAACATGGAGAAACCCTGTCCCTACTAAAAATAAAAAATTAGCCGGGCATGATGGCACATGCCTATAATCCCAGCTGCTCGGGAGGCTGAGTCAGGAGAATTGCTTGAACCCAGGAGGCGGAGGTTTCGGTGAGTCGAGATCTGAGATCGCACCATTGCACTCCAGCCTGGGCAACGAGAGTGAAACTCCGCCTCAAAAAAAAAAAAAAAAAAAAAAAGAAAAGTAGCTGAGGTAATCCCTGTAGACAGTGCTAGGAAAATGATAAGGACATCAGGACATTCCAACATCTGTCTCCTAAAAATAATTTTTCAAATACGACACAACTCATTTAATTCAATACAAATCTGAATCCAGTAGGTCTTGAATATTTTAGCATAACTATATTCAAAACCATCTTATCTTTAAGAGTAAAGGATCACTGGAATTTTTTGAGGGGCCATGCCAGTGGGGTTTAAAATAAATTACTGACTTTGAAAGACGTAAGATAGGTCAGGTGCAGTGGCTCACACCTGTAATCCCAGCACTTTGGGAGGCTTAGGCAGGCGGATCATGAGGTCAGGAGATCGAGACCATCCTGGCTAACACCGTGAAACCCTGTCTCTATTAACAATACAAAAAATTAGCCAGGCATGGAGGCGGGCGCCTGTAGTCCCAGCTACTCGGGGGGCTGAGGCAGGAGAATGGCATGGACCCAGGAGGCGGAGCTTCCAGTGAGCCAAGATCGCGCCACTGCACTCCAGCCTGGGCGACACAGTGAGACTCCGTCACAAAAAAAAAAAAAACAAAAAAAAGAAAGAAAGACATAAGATATTCTGACTTAACCACATTGGCCTAAGCTTAAAGGCATTTCTATTTACCATAGATAAATAATATAATTTCATAAAAACTCTAAAGCCTGCGGAAATAGAAGAATCTGGGCTATACCAATGATTTTCTAATTTGTACTGGTCATGTGTTCACTTATTCAGCAGATTTACCAAGTGTCTGCTATATGTCAGTCAAGACGCCAGGACCAGTGGACATAACAGTAAACAAAAATAGACACAATCTTTGCCTTTGAGAAGCTTACAGGTTAACAGTAAAAAGACAGTAAATCACACACTCCTACAAACATAAGTGTAACAATATAACTATAAGTGCATGTAGTATACGTTGCTGTGAAGAAAGGCCCCTGGTAAAGATGGTATTAGATCAAGTCAGGGAATGCTTTCTGAGAATGCAATGGCTAAAATCTAAAGGACACTGTTTAGGCCAGTGATTCTCAATGAGGGTGGTGGTCTGTTCCCCATGTGACATTTGGCAATGTCTGAGACATTTGTGATTGTCATGATTGGGAGGTACTAGTAGCATGCAGTGAGTAGAGGAGGAAGATGATGCTACATCTCTTATAATGCACAGGACAGTTCCCCATAACAAGTAATTATCTGGTCTTTAAAAAGTCAATAGTGCCAAGGCTGAGAAATCTTGAACTAGGCAAAGAGAAAAGCACAAGCAAAGACCAGTGGTGGGAGACTCAAATATGGACAAAGTAGTTTGAGCAGAGGAAACTAGAGGGGACAGATAACACAGAGAGGGCTTATAAACCCTGGTAAGGAGTTTTGGCTTTATCTAAAGAATGAAGGGAAAAACAAGTAAGTGAAGGGTTTCAAGAAGAGGAGGAGAAAGGGAGTGAAGACAGTGGTGATGATATGCTCAGATTAAAATTTCAAAAAGGTTACTGACTGCAATATGGTGAACAGATTGGAAGAGAGTGAAACTGGATATATCGGTAGATGAAACAAGTAGCTAAGTAATGTAACTTCCTAGAAACTCCAAAGGCTGGGGAAACAGAAGGTACTCATGGTGAGGATGCAGGAGTAGCTGAAAAACTTCTTTCTATAAATGTTCAGTATAAGAAAAGAACAAATAATGCATGGTGTTATATGCACTGCGCTCTGCAGTCTCAAGGTAGAGTAGTAGTCTCTAAGAATAAATGAAATGTTTTCCTTACATTTAAAAAATAAGGGGTTGGGAGCGGAGGCTCATGCCTGTAATCCCAGCACTTTGGAAGCCCGAGATGGGCGGATCACCAGGTCAGGAGTTTGAGACCAGCCTGACCAATGTGGTGAAACCCTAACTCTACTAAAAATACAAAAATTAGCTGGGTGTGGTGGCGTACACCTGTAATCCCAGCTACTCAGGAGGCTGATGCAGAAGAATTGCTTTAACCTGGGAGGCGGAGGTTGTAGTGAGCTGAGATTGCACCACTGCACTCCAGCCTGGAGCGAGACTCTGTCTCAAAAACAACAACAAAAAAAACCAAAAACATAAGGGAAGCCAGGCATGGTGGCTCATGCCAGTAATTCCAACACTTTGGAAGGCTGAGGTGGGAGGACTACTTGAAACCAGGAGTTTGACACCAGCCTGGGCAGCAAAGCGAGACCCCGTCTCTACAAAAATGAATAAATAAATAAATAAAAAATAAGGGACAAGAATATTTTTTGTCTTTATGTGATATATGGTCACATATAAAATACTTTATTTGTAAGGATTCAGGCAGCAAAAAACTAGAGTAAATTTAATTTTAATTTTAAATGTAAATTTTAGTGTACAAGTTATAATCCACACTGATAAGCTCAGGAATTAATGAAACTAATGACTGGCTCCACTGAGTACAATCTCAAGAATATATTTTTTCCTTATTAAAGCTGAACTAGCAAATATTAAAAACTATTTTATTACAATACATAGAAAAGAATGAACATATATATGACCAAAAAAATCAATAGTCACAAACTCAGCATCAAGTGGCATTCTTTTTTTAAATAGCAAAAATTTCCATAAATGTTTGCTCTGTAAGTGGCTTTTAAGATAAAGATTTACATTAAAACTAAACAAAGGGCACTTAAACTTGACACATTTCCCCCGTGGGGCAGCTGTACTACTGAATGAAAAGAAAACCTCTCCCCTATAATAATGATTTAAAAACCTAACAACTTTTGGTTTTATTGCAATTTATTTTAATTAATTTTTTTTTTTGGGATGGAGTTTCGCTCTTCTTGCCCAGGCTGGAGTGCAATGACGCGCTCTCAGCTCACCGCAACCTCCGCCTCCCTCGTAGCTGGGATTACAGGCATGTGCCACCACGCCCGGCTAATTTTGTATTTTTAGTAGAGATGGGATTTCTCCATGTTGGTGAGGCTGGTCTTGAACTCCCAACCTCAGGCGATCCGCCTGCCCTGGCCTCCCAAAGTGCTGGGATTACAGGCATCAGCCACCGTGCCTGGCCAGTTTAGCCTTTTAAAATAACCTAATTTTTCTCTAGTGAAGTAATAGAGACCTGACAAATTTTGTTAATATTATGCCATCTAACATGACTTACTTAATTAAATACTAAATTTTCTTTTTTTTGAGATAGAGTCTTGCTCTGTCACCCAGGCTGGAGTGCAATGGCATGATCTTGGCTCACTGCAACCTCTGCCTCCCAGGTTCAAGCGATTCTCCTGCCTCAGCCTCCTGAGCAGCTGGGACTATAGGTGCCCGCCACCACGGCCGGCTAGGTTTTATATAAAATACTAAAATTTTATGTAAGATTTACATTTACATTAAATGCAGCTGTGTATCTGGCATCTAGTTTGGCCAAAAATCACAGCATTGTACTAAAGCACCATTAAACTGCAATGATATACACATATCTTTTATATAAAGACAATTTCTTATTTCTTTGGTGGGGCTACAGATTCAAACCCCAAAGCTTCTTTTAAACCCAGAATTATATGACTTGATAGATGTTTGGTTTACAATTAAACAGGGATAATGTAAGCTTTATCTTTCCCTACTATAGAACAAGAAAGTATTCTTCATTTACTAATAACAGCAAGTTATTTTTGCTCCTCAAAAAATAAAGAACTATGTCAAAAATTCTATTTCAATTCAGTCTTGTACACATTTACTCCCATTTAAAGAGTAATTATATTAATATTAGTCCTTGAAGAATTACTTACCCAATGAAAGCCACCATTTGCTCCACTATGTGCTTGCTGAATGTTATTATAACAAAAATTTTCTGTAAAGAAAACACCAGTTAAAATAAATTATTTAGTCATCAAAAAACCAACATAAATTCACAATTCTGGTAATAGTCTAAAGAGGTAAGATTGTGCCCCTAATTGCAATTTTTAAATTTCTTTAAAAATAAAATATAACATTTCCATCCTGTCCAACATGGTGAAACCCCGTCTCTACTAAAAATACAAAAATTAGCTGGGGGTGGTGACATGTGCCTGTAGTCCCAGCTACTTGGGAGGCTGAGGCAGGAGAATTGCTTGAACCCAGGAGGCGGAGGTGGCAGTGAGCCAAGATTGCACCACTGCACTCCAGCCTGATGACAGAGTGAGGAGACTCCATATCAAAAATAAAATAAAATAAAATAAAAGATAACATTTAATTCAAATGTTATCAACTTTGTATTCCTTTTTTTTTTTTTTTTTTTTTTGAGACAGAGTTTCACTCTTATTGCCCAGTTGCCCAGGCTGGAGTGCCATGGCGTGATCTCAACTCACCGCAACCTCCGCCTCCCGGGTTCAAGCGATTCTCCTGCCTCAGCCTCCCAAAGTACCTGGGATTACAGGGATGCGCTACCATGCCCAGCTAATTTTTTTTTGTATTTTTAGTAGAGATGGTGTTTCTCCATGTTGGTCAGGCTGGTCTTGAACTCCTGATCTCAAGTGATCCATCTGCCTCAGCCTCCCAAAGTGCTGGGATTACAGGCATGAGCCATTGCGCCCGGCCCTTTTTTTTTTTCTTTCTTTCTTTTTTCTTTTTTTTTTTTTGAGACGGAGTCTCCTTCTGTTGCCCAGGCTGGAGTGCAGTGGCGCCATCTTGGCTCACTACAACCTCCGCCTCCCAGGGTCAAGCCATTCTCCTACCTCAGCCTCTCAAGTAGCTGGGATTACAGGCGCACGACACCACGCCTAGCAAATTTTTGTGTTTTTTGTATAGATGGGGTTTCACCATGCTGGCCAGGAGGCCAGGATGGTCTCGAACTCCTGACCTGGTGATCCACCTGCCTCAGCCTCCCAAAGTGCTGGGACTACAGGCGCCCGCCACCATGCCCGGCTAATTTTTTGTATTTTTAGTAGAGATGGGGTTTCACTGTGTTAGCCAGGATGGTCTCGATCTCCTGACCTCGTGATCTGCCCACCTCAGCCTCCCAAAGTGCGGGATTACAGGCGTCAGCCACTGTGCCCAGCCAACAGTAGTCTTCTTTTTATCCACTCACTATGAATCTCAGGAACCTGGACAGGTTAGACTAACGTACATTATTTCTGGCAAGAAGACTAATAAGGCAAAGGTATACAATTGGTATGTGAATATTATGAAGCTAGCAAGGCTATTATTACAGATAATTTGTGAAGAAAAGCAGGGGGTCTATACCAAAAACCAGTTATTTAGAGCTATAAATCTTTTATTAATCAACAGAGCTAGTAGTTCTTGCCTTCCAGTGATTTCATCACCATGAACTTTCCCTACTATCATTTCTTAACAATCAAAATAAGCCAATGCCTAAATAATTGCACAATTTCAATGCAAAACAGCAAAACAAGATTTTCTTTTTGTATGTAGCAGCTTGAAAAGTCACTGTTCTGGGTTAGACAAAAAATGTGTCACACATTTAAGAACATATGTCTTAGTCTTTCAGGCAGGAGGTCTGAGTGGGAATTCTACAAAATAAATAAAAGGCACAGACCACGGAAGAGCCCTCTTAACCACATGCATAGAAGAAACAAAGGAAAGGGTAGAGGAGGAGGAAAAAAGACATGGGAGGGAGAAACTAATTGTGCTAGAATGAACAAAGATGGAACCATCTGTAAAAGAAGTCCTTCATTGGAAAGAAGAATCTTTTTTTTTTTTTTTTTTTTTGAGACGGAGTCTCGCTCTGTTGCCCAGGCTGGAATGCAGTGGCTCAATCTGGGCTCACTGCAACCTCCGCCTCCTGGTTCACGTCATTCTCCTGCCTCAGCCTCCTGAGTAGCTGGGACTACAGGCGCCCGCCACCATGCCCAGCTAATTTTTTTGTATTTTTTTTAGTAGAGACGGGGTTTCACCGTGTTAGCCAGGATGGTCTCGATCTCCTGACCTTGTGATCCACCTGCCTCGGCCTCCCAAAGTGCTGGGATTACAGGCGTGAGCCACCGCACCCGGCCAGAAAGAAGAATCTTAAGACAGATTCAGTTATTAAATATTGAGTGCCTACTATCTCCTGGATGCTATTCTAGGCATTATAATACATCAGTGAACCAACAGACAAAAATCTCTGCCCTCCTGGGAGTTTATAATACTGTGTGTGTGCTGGTGAGTGTGAAGGTAGAGAGATAAAGAACAGTGATGTATTTTAAGGGTACAATAAGTAAGTTAAATGGTACATGAAATAACATGAATGAGTATGTTGCTTTTCTTAATTATTTGGGACAAAGGTAATGTCTCTAAGGATACTACTTCTTAAAAAATTTTTTCTAAAAAGATACTCTTCTCATGCCTTTTCCTATCTAAGGATACTTCTACAGACAGAGTACTTGACTCTGTGCAGTGGAAGGGGAAATCTGATCTAACATTATAGGTAGATTGATTTGAATCTTTTAGGGGAAGGTTAAGAGGAAGACATCAATAAAAATAGCAATATTTATTAAAGAAGGTTGTCTAATTTTAAGCTGAGGAAAAAGGGAAGAAAGAAAAGCAGACAAGGAGACAGGTTTACTATTAGGGTAGAAAAAAATCGGTGTGTGTGTGGCTTTCCCACTATTATTTCAGAATGGTTAAAATGTTTATATTACTAATATTGTTTACCCACAGAATGAGAAATGTTTGTTACCCTAAGCTACATCTGGATGTACATCAAGTGACATGCCTTTACAAAGCATGTCACTATGATACGATGGAACACAGCAAACATATCCCACGGTCTTAGTTTAGTGAAGGAACTCAGATTCTTTCCTTTCAGAAACATAAATGGATTTTAGCTTTCTTTTTCTTTTTTGCTTCCACATAGATACAGGGAAAGAGCTTTATCTTTACAGAGCTTGGTTGGATTCTAGGGCCTTAGGCAAGTATTTTACCTTCTCTAACACAGTTCCCTCATCTATGAAATGTGGTTAATAACAACCTCTCAAGATTGTCTGCCATGAGATAACTACTGCAAATTACCTTGCACAGGTCCTGATCAATAGCAGGCATTAAACAATTCAGTTTCCTTAATCATATCAATACATTAAAGTTAAGAAGGCAATGCAAAAGAATGGAAAGAACACTGAACTTGAAGTCAAAAGACTTGGGTTCAAATTCCAGCTGTTACTTACTCTCTTAAGCAACTATTACTTATTAACCTCCCTACCTCTGAGAATTACAAAATGGGTATAGTAATTCCTCTATCCCAGGATTATAAGAATTAAATCATATAGATAAGTGCTTTAAAGTGTGAAGTTCCATAAAAAAATCACTCATCGGCCAGGCGCAGTGGATCATGCCTGTAATCCCAGCACTTTGGGAGGCCAAGGCGGGCAGATCATGAGGTCAGGAGTTCGAGACCAGCCTGGCCAATATGGTGAACCCTATCTCTACTAAAAATACAGAATTAGCTGGGTGTGGTGGCATGCGCCTGTAGTCCCACTTACTCTGGAGGCTGAAACAAAAGAATCGTTTGAACCTGGGAGGCGGAGGTTGCAGTGAGCTGAAATCACGCCACCACACTCTAGCCTGGGTGACAGAGAGAGACTCCATCTCAAAAATCAATCAATCAATCAATCATCATAAATTGAAAAAATCTGAGTATGTTTAAATATATACTAGTTTTAAATCTTTCTGAAATGAAAGGTCTGATAAGTTGCATATCTTACCACTACAGATAGGGTACTTATGGCATAATACGTTTTACTATAATTTATAGAAAGGCACTGCATTCAAGAGGTATAAAGCAGGACACATAAAACTTATGGATTACTAGAGAAGTTCTTGTTATGAAATAAAATAATCTGTTATTTTTCCTTAGGTATTAAGGACTGCAAGAAGCTAAATGACAGCTCTCTTCTAGAAACAACTCTAAAGATTAAAGAAAAACCTATTTTCAGATACATTGAAAATAATTTATTATTCACCATATTTTATTATTTGAAAAAATCCTGTATGGTATTAAATCTTTTTTTTTTTTTTTGAGACAAACTCTTGTTGCCCAGGCTGGAGTGCAATGGCACGATCTCGGCTCACCGCAACCTCCACCTCTCAGGTTCAAGTGATTCTCCTGCCTCAGGCTCCTGAGTAGCTGGGATTACAGGCATGCGCCACCACGCTCGGCTAATTTTGTATTTTTAGTAGAGACAGGGTTTCTCCATGTTGGTCAGGCTGGTCTGGAACTTCCGACCTCAGGTGATCCACCCGCCTCGGCCTCCCAAAGTGCTGGGATTACAGGTGTGAGCCACCGCATCTGGCCAGTATTAAATCTTAACCATAGTAACTAGCACTGTAATATTAAAAAACCTGTGTTCGTTGATTGAACAAAATACTTAATTTAAATGGGAGGAAATATATTCTTTGAAGTAGGAAAAACATCATGAAATTCTGAGTGATTATGGCAGGAAAATAGAGGACAGACGCAATAAACTTGACCCAAATGCCAAAATCTAAGATTATAAACTGGATAAGTAGAAGCAGCCGAAGTTTTCCTGTTTCATTCTTCCCTTCTAAGAACTGGAAGTAGAGAGGTATTAACATAGAAACTTTGGGGATAGACACACTTGTAATTATCATGGAATCATACAAGGGCAGAGAACTTCACTGTTCTTTCCTTTCTTTTTTTGAGACAGAGTCTTGCTCTGTTGCCAGGCTGGAGTGCAGTGGCGTGATCTTGGCTCACTGCAACCTCCACCTCCCAGGTTCAAGAGACTCTCCTGCGTCAGCCTCCCAAGTAGCTGGGATTACAAGCGTGCGCCACCACGCCCAGCTAATTTTTGCGTTTTCAGTAGAGACAGGGTTTCACCATGTTGGCCAGGATGGTCTCGATCTCCTGACCTCATGATCTGCCCACTTCAGCCTCCCAAAGTGCTGGGATTACAGGCGTGAGCCACCACGCTTGGTTGTTCTTTCCTTTCTTTTGGTTAATAACGTTCTTTGTTACAAACCATACTGATATAAAACAAATTCTTTCCAGGTTAATTTTTATTTTATTCTATTGAGATCTGCCCTTAGAAGGAAGTAATTCATATCACAGTTCTAGAAGCACATATCCATTTTCCCTTCGTTTAAATTGTTAACCTTTTCTCTCCTCTCTATTCATATATGTGTGCACACACACATACACATGCACACACCCTCCATCCTAAAGATTTTGTTAAGAGTGGCTTTGAGGACTAGCAGATTCTCACTTCTCTGACCACAACCCACATCTCCTCGCCTCTTCAGAGACCCTCTTCTTCCCCATTCTCCTCCCACACTAACATCTGGCTGTTTTTCGGTAAAGGATATTGGTAACATGGGAGGAACTGCTTTACACACTCTATATATATAGAGTATGTGAAAGAAAGTAAGAATTAGTGAATGGCAATATTCTCTCAGCTTGTGGTTGGTAAAACAAAACAAAACAAACAAAAAACTACATTTTTTGGGCTGTGTATATAAAAATGATGTGCATCTTTCTGCACACAAACACTATTTTTGTTTGGTGAAAGTCCTGGATAAATAGTTAAACAGGACAAAAAATAAAGAAAGAAAGAGAGAAAGGAAGGAAAGAAGGAAGAAAGGGAAGGAGGGAGGAAGAAAGAAGAAAAGAAAGAAAACAAGGAGATCACTAATTCCAAATGACATTCTATGTGGTATTACCTAAGTAAGCTACCAACCAAAAAAGCAGAAAGAATAACTAAATAATTCACTTAGGAATGAGCATGTTTCATTGTCTTGTAATGGGTTCATCATCATTAGGCAGTGAATCAGGGGGTATAATTACCTGGATATGCATTTTTATTATTGCTTTTCCAATTAGGGTTGCACCAAAGAAGGTCCAAAAAGGTACCAGAAAGTGTCCACACGTTATTCCAGCCAGATCAAATAAAGGATTTGGAATCTATAGAGAGAAAAAGAAGGACTTCCATATTATAATCCAAAGAACAATTTAATTTTATCACCCATTGATATGTGGTATTCTGCTTTCAGCCTGCTTACACTGCAAAGCAATATATGGGTTCCTTGATCACTACTGGATTGTTCAAAAGGAGGTTAGGCAAACATCCTAATGTGTCTAGAAGCTGGGTCTCATATTCACCTTAGGTGTTCAATCTGCTCACAGCAAACCAAGGTGTCCTTTTGCTTATATTACTCATGGCTAAGGCACTGTGTGTGTGTTTGTGTGTGTGCCCATCACATGAGAACTGGATAAAGTAAGTGGACCTGCAGGAATTTAATCCCGTTCAGTTGATTCCTGGATATTTGGTGGCTGTTTTCTAAGGTGAGGTATGAGTGAAGAAAGAGCCTTAAGATTGTTTCAGCAGTTAGGGTTCTAAAATCTTTAGCTTGAAATGTGAATATTATCTGGAAAGCACTCATATCATTAGCAAATATTTTAATAAATTCTCAAATACATTTATGGGTGGATGTGCTGTTATTCTCAACATAAAATATTAATAATTTGTATTTTATTTTACGAGAGACCAAGTCTGAGGGCTATGTGACACAATTTATAAAGAAGATCAAGTGTGGAAATATGAGATCACACAGATTCAGATGTTTTGAATACTCAGTCCCAGACAAAGAAGTAATTCACAACAAATACCTTTCCCAAACATTCCCACATTTTAAGAATGCTAAAAGACATTTCATGTAAAAATGCAAAGAAGCCACAAGCTGTTTTTGAGCACTTCATCCCTTCTTCTCCTATGAAAGTACTCTGACCTTGTGGCTGTTGGCTGAACCATTAATAAGCCAATTAATTTATATAATTTCATTTTTGAACTTTGAAAGAAAAGCCTAGTTATTTAAAAAATACTTGTCACATATGATCTTTAAAAAAGACATGACTAAATTAGAATTCAAGTATTCCTTTGTTAGTAACACTTGGATTCAATGACTCATTTTTGTTTTTCTCATCCAAATTCAAATGCTTTAGGATTATTTCATCTCTTACAACCATATAATAATATCATTTACACAGCATCACACCTGCTATTTGTTATATTTGCTCATGTGACTCTCATAATTCTATGAGTTATAACTTTTTTTTCCTTTATCATAAGGTTCCAACTCATGTTGAAATGAAAATGAATTTAAAGTATTTAAGATATGTAGGCTGGGCGCAGTGTCTTATGCCTATAATCCCAGCACTTTGGGAGGCCGAGGTGGGTAGATCACTTGAGGTCAGGAGTTCGAGACCAGCCTGGCCAACATGGTGAAACCTTGTCTCTACTAAAAATACAAAAATTAGCTGGGTGTAGTGGTGCATGATTGTAATCCCAGCTACTGGGTAGCCTGAGGCAGGAGAATCGCTTGAACCTGGGAGGTGGAGGTTGCCGTGAGCCAAGATCTCGCCACTGCACTCCAGCCTGGGTGACAGAGGGAGACTCTGTCTCAAAAAAAGAAAAACAAACACAAAAAAAGGATTTAAGATACGTAAATCAGAGTAGCCCTGAGCTAACATCGCTTTAAACAGGTTTTATATAAATTCTTCCTTGTAACTAATACTTGAAACTTTGGAAAAAGACTTCTTATCTATAAATTTGAGGAAAGAATGAAGTCATCCTTATTTGGTTAAATGTAGTTTAATTTGGTTAAATGTAGTATATTCTTCATTGGAAGAATGGATTTTGTCTCTTTTATTCTTACTGATTTAAGCCATTTAGGTCTGAAGTCATCACTACATGATGAAATACTTAAAAGCCAATAAACAAGATGTGAACCTATTCAACAGAAAACAGCTCATTTAATAAGTTGAATTGGGCTGGGTGCAGTAGCTCACACCTGTAATCCCAGTACTTTGGGAGGCCGAGGCGGGCGGATCACGAGGTCAGGAGATCGAGACCATCCCGGCTAAAACGGTGAAACCCCGTCTCTACTAAAAATACAAAAAATTAGCCGGGCGTAGTGGCGGGCGCCTGTAGTCCCAGCTACTTGGGAGGCTGAGGCAGGAGAATGGCGTGAACCCGGGAGGCGGAGCTTGCAGTGAGCCGAGATCCCGCCACTGCACTACCGCCTGGGCGACAGAGCGAGACTCCGTCTCAAAAAAAAAAAAAAAAAAAAAAAAAAAAAAAAAAAAAAAATTAGCTGGGTGTGGTGGCAGTCGCCTGAAATCCCAGCTACTTTGGGAGGCTGAGGCAGGAGAATCGTTTGAACCCGGGAGGTGGAGGTTGCAGTGAGCCGAGATTGTGCCATTGCACTCCAGCCTGGGCCACAAAAGTGAAACTCTTGTCTCAAAAAAAAAAAAAAAAAAAAAAAAAAAAGTTGAATGGGCCAGGTGTAGTGGCTCATGCCTGTAATCCCAGCACTTTGGGAGGCCGAGGCAGGTGGATCACTTGGGCCCAGGAGTTTGAGACTAGCCTGGGCAACATGAGATCCTGCCTCTACTAAAAATATAAAAATTAGCCAGGCGTGGGGGTGCATGCCTGTAGTCCCAGCTACTAGGGAGGCTGAGACAGGAGAATTGCTTGAGCCCAGGAGATGGAGGTTGCAGTGAGCCGAGATCATGCCACTGCACTCCAGCCTGGGTGACAAGAGGGAGACTCCGTCTTAAAAAAAAAAAAAGGTGAATGATTCACAAAATTACATACCCAATAAAAGTGATAGCACTTTTGTTAATTCAGGAGTATATATGGATCAAAATATAACACTACCACTTAGTAAAAGTTCTGTTTTAATACAATTCACTTACTGAAGCACAGGCCAAAATTCCAAAAAATCCAACTTTCTGTACTAGTTTTTGAACTGCCAGTTTGGCCCGGGAGGCAAAGTCCTGTAAAAAGGCAAATTTAGAAACATTAATGAGAAGTAGGAAAAGAAGGAAAGATGGTTCTTTCTAGAGTTTATTAAAGATCTCCCAATCTGATGACACTGATTAATAAGATGAATGATGAAAAAAATTACAGTAGGTTGTTCACTGAAACACAAGTAAAATAATGATAGACTATTACATCCTTAAAGTTAAGCTCTTACCACATTTTAAGAATAAACCAAAACACTGTAAATTTAAATTTAGTATTCTCTCTGGATATTCTAGGGATTAACAAAATACTGTAAACTAACCATGAACCAATTTATTATTTTGGAAACACTGGCCTACAACATCTACCTTTTCCTTTCTTCTATAATTTGCCAGACTTCATGAATACATCTCTGCCGATCACTAGCCAGAAGATGGAAAAAACAGTTATGTGGCAATAAGTAAGCATTCATTATCCCAGAAGCAAAAGAACATCCTACATTTGCACAGCTTGTGCTAGTTTTGTAAAACATTCTCACCATGATTTTATTTGAGCCTTCGATTCTGGTATGTAGGTATAGTGGATATTATTATAACCAATCTATAGACCACAAAACTGCAGCCCAGAAAGGGTAAGTGATCAAGATCATAATGTCAGTTAGGGACAAAGATAGGACATGATTCAATATTCAGACTGTGAAATCAGTGCTTTTTACTTCACTCTGTTACCTCCTCCCATGCTGAAACATGCATTCGGCTGGCTAGTTCTTTCGGCATGTTGATGCTACAAATATTTGACTTTAATTATTTTCTGGTTTTGAAATGGCATATATTCAAATCCAAATTCCAATGAAAATAGTTCATAAGACAAAAAATGAGCTAATGTGTAAATGCTTTATTTTTTGAATGTGTGTAAATGCTTTATTAATAAGTCTTCATATCATAGAACCTCTTCCACTCTCTTTAGTCCAACTTTCTTTTTTTTTTTTTTTTTTTGAGACGGAGTTTCACTCTTGTTGCCCAGGCTGGAGTGCAATGGCGCGATCTTGGCTCACTGGAACCTCCGCCTCCTGGGTTCAAGTGATTCTCTCGCCTCAGCCTTCCCAGTAGCTGGGATCATAGGCACCTGCCACCACGCCCAGCTAATTTTGTATTTTTAGTAGAGACGAGGTTTCACCATGTTGGTCAAGCTGGTCTTGAACTCCTGACCTCAGGTGATCAGCTCGCCTCGGCCTCCCAAAGTGCCAAGATTACAGGCATGAGCCACTACACCCGGCCTTTAGTTCAACTTTCTAAAAGACAATAAAGAGAATATAGAAGGTGGACAGATCCGGCCGGGCGCGGTGGCTCAGGCCTGTAATCCCAGCACTTTGGGAGGCTGAGGCAGGCGGATCACAAGGTCAGGAGATCGAGACCATTCTGACTAACACGGTGAAACCTTGTATCTACTAAAAATACAAAAAATTAGCCGGGCGTGCTGGCAGGCGCCTGTAGTCCCAGCTACTCGGGAGGCTGAGGCAGGAGAATGGTGCAAACCCGGGAGGCAGAGTTTGCAGTGAGCTGAAATCGCACCACTGCACTCCAGCCTGGGCAACAAGAGCGAGACTCCGTCTCAAAAAAAAAAAAAAACAAAAAAACAAAAAAGAAGCTGGACAGATCTATCATAGAGAGGAGAAACAAAGTTTAAAGCCAGAAAAGCAAACTAGTTGAAAAATATAGTTCTCTAATTGGCACAGAATCTGTGTATCCCCACTTACAAAAACATTTTGACAAATAATATTGTGTAGAATAGACCTACCAAATTACCACAGTAGTTAATACTGAAATTAAAGCAAAGAAACAAAAAACCTAACTCTACTTGTTGAAGATGATGAGAAAGTCAAAGAAACCAAACCAATAAACTATATTAAAAAAAAATATGATCAGTCAATATAAACACTTTCAAGTCCAAATACATAGGCTCTCAAAGTTAATCATTAGCTAAACTCTACAACAAAATTTAGCAATTTTATAATTTATTTCCAAAGAGATAATTATTAATTTTTCTTTTTGGGATTAGACTTACTTTTTCACTAAATCAGTTATATCAGATTTAATTTTTTTTTTTTTTTTTGAGACAAACTTTCACTCTTGTTGCCTAGGTTGGAGTGCAATGGTATGATCTTGGCTCACTGCAAACTCTGCCTCCCGGGTTCAAGCGATTCTCTTGTCTCAGCCTCCTGAGCAGCTGGGATTACAGGCGCCCGCCATCATGCCTGGCTAATTTTTGTATTTTTAATAGAGAGGGGGTTTCATCATATTGTCAGGCTGGTCTCGAACTCCTGACCTCCCACCTCGGCCTCCCAAAGTGCTAGGATTACAGGCATTGAGCCACCACCCCAGGCCTCAGATTTAATATTTTTAAACAACTGAACTACTGCAGCAAAGGGTATTTTCTATTTTTATTTAGATTTCTAGCTGAAGGTTAATTTTTTTCTTAGCATCTATTGCATTAAATGTGAAATACTGAGTTTTATTGATTTAAAACCATATAAGAATATATAATCAATCAGTTTTCCTATATAGCTTATTTTAAAAACAAATTACATTTCTATTTCTATTACATTTTATTATTTACTGCTCCTTTTCACTAATCCTATCCTTCTGCAAAATCCATTTATTTTTAACAATTTATACAATTAGTCCCCAAATTACTAAGTTTATAATCCATTTGAAGCACTAAATAAAAACTGGTAAAAAATGTTTTAATTGTCTAAAGTATCAACAGATACTATTAAATTAAAAACTAGTTATGAAATTTTAATTACTATAGCACAAGAATTAAATATATAAAATCAGGAAAATGCCTTCCTTTACAGCCCTTAAAATTTTCATAGCAAATCCACTTTTAAGAGAGGGAAGATTGTATTCAATTGCCAAGAAAAGGTAAAGTAAACAACAAAAAAAGCATACAAATTTTATTTTAAAGACAGCACAATTTTTATAAGTTTTCCAAGTCAGATATATGTGGGAATATTTTTCTATCAGCATTAATGTCACCTTTAATAGACACAATTATAGAAAATTAGTTTTTCTACATTAAATGGTATAGACAAGATCAACAAGTATTGTATTTAGAAGGTCTGGTGTCCTGCTTTCTTTTATATTAATTTCCTTTTTTTTTTTTTGCTTTTATTTTGAGTTTGCCAAAGAGCATTATCTTAATTTTAAGGCTTTAGAATTTTCTATTTATTTAAACCAAGTGACTAAGATTGTGCCATCATTTCAAACTGATGGCATTTTTCTACTCTATAGAATCACATATACACATACAAACTTAAATAGGAAAAGAGGTATAATTATACCAACTGGTTTATATAAAGAAAAAAATGATTAAACATTATGCAGATCACCTAACAATATCAAACATACTTAAGACTACAGAAGAACCAGAAAACATGGTTTAAAAAACATCCTGAAAAGAGGTCAAAACACAGTGATCATTACTAACAAAGAGGAATAACACGTAAGGAGCCATTTTTCCCTTTTAGGGAAGAGTATCTTTGCTTAACGGCAATTAGGCAAGAACGAAAAACAGACTTCTCGTTCTTTCAGATGCCTGGGTGCTCCTCATTAGTTATCCTTAAGGGAGCTTCAACAATCTTTTTTTTGAGCACAAAGAGTTAATCTATCCGAACACGTGAAGCTGAAACCTCCTTTTACCTTTTTTAATTTTTAAATTTGAAGCTGGCATGTATTATAAGGAAAACAAGTAAAGTGCCTTTTTAATGGAGAGCTTTACTTTTTAAAAAGAGTGAAAGTCATCTACTGAAAAAGGATTTCACAAATTTTATTATGTATTTAACATACACAGTGACCATGCTACTTTCAGTTCCCATAATTTTTTCCAGGTCTTTCACAATATTCTCAGAATTTAAATTACATTATATATCAAATAATCTACAAACATTTACTGAAATTATATTAATATGAAGTCTGCACAGTTGTTTTTATTTCAAGAAAATAAACATTAGCATAATATGCAGTTTGATGGACAGTATTTTCTTGATTTTTTTCCTTGCCAGTGTAATGAAAACAAAACCAGGAAAGCACTGCATTGGTATTTTAAAATAGTAAAATAACTAAAGTTTAATGTTTAGATTTGATAAACACGAACATATTTTATTGTTTCTTATTTTAAATTTATTTCACTTTTTTTTTTTTTTTTTTTTTTAGCTGGAGTCTCACTGTCGCCCAGGCTGCAGTGAGTGAAGTGGTGCGATCTTGGCTCACTGCAACATCTGCCTCCCGGGTTCAAGTGATTCTCCTGCCTCAGCCTCCTGAGTAGCTGGGACTACAGGCACACACCGCAACGCCCGGATGATTTTTTGTATTTTTAGTAGAGATAGAGTTTCACCGTGTTGCCCAGGCTGGTGTCAAACTCCTGAGCTTAGGCGATCCACCCGCCTCAGCCTCCCAAAGTGCTGGGATTACTGGCTTGAGCCGGTGCGCCAGGCCCAAATTTATTTTACTTTCAAAGCCACATGTATAAAACTTAGTTATATAGTTTTAACAGCTTTATGTAATAATTTTATTGAAAACATTATTCTTTTATTGTTCAAAATGTTCTATATGTTACGTGCAATTTTGCTTTCCTTGTTGCTCTGTAGTTTTAAAAGTTCTTTGTTTTTCTAAAAACAACTTCAGTATATTTTTTAATTATTTGTATAATTTGGCGGCTCTTATTGTGATTTTAGAATAATATTGTTTATGAACTAAAATATATATATTCTCATTTGCCTTTATAATGAGAATTTTATTCTACGTATATTGTTAATAAACTTGACTCTATTACTCACACACCTAACACCACCAAAAAGCTAAACCAAAACAAAAAAAATCCCTTTTATAAAATTAAAAAAAATTTTAAACAAATTTTGCTGTTCTTTTTAGTCCAAGTAAAATAAAAAAGCTGAGTACAAATACACACCAATAATAAACAATATTTTTAAGAAAAACTAAATAAAAGATTACAAACAAATTGTATGTTAGGTATTCAATGTTCCCATTAAAAGTTAAAAAAATTAATATTTCATTTGAATAGTTTTGGAGTATTGTGGGGAACAATGTAGCATGACCAATTTGATTACTTCCTCACATGTCATTTTTCACTTTTTCAAAAATCCATAAACTAAAAACAAACACCTTTTATTAGTTCCATTTCTCTGTATTTACATTTCACAACTTTTACCTATTTCACAACTTAAGTGCCTGAGATGATAGTTTCATTCTCTAAGTCTACTTAAATATGAAGCATGCATTTACAATTAGCAATTACAAATCATTTTCTACTTTTCTTTTTTCACAAAAATAAAACCAATTATAGGTAAATAAATTACCTTTCCTACCACAACCCATAGTGATTATATATGTAAACCAATCACGCTTCTGAAACAGGAGACGCAAGAAACATTTTCCCAAGCACTACAAGACTAATAAAAAAAAGTCACAGCAATTCCTTATCACTGAATTTCAAGATTAAATACAGAAAGACAAAGCCTTAAACTATGAATATGCCTGTACCATTGTTGCTTCACATTTCTTTTTCTTAAGAAAGATATTTATGATTGAGAGAGAAGAGAAACTACAAGGCTAATAACAGTCTGCAAAATATTGATCTTTGAATCTAATGATGTCAACATGAATGTAAATATACGAAGTAACTTTTATCTTCAAACAGTAACAGTAAACATTTTCATTTTCACGAGGAAGCCATATGAAAAGATCTCTTTAAAAGCAACAGAAGGCCATATGCGGTGGCTCATGCCTGTAATCCCAGCACTTTGGAGGCCAAGGCGGGTGGATCACCAGAGGTCAGGAGTTCCAGACCAGGCTGACCAACATGAAGAAACGTCATCTCTACTAAAAATACAAAATTAGCCGGGCATGGTGGCGCATGCCTGTAATCCCAGCTACTTGGGAGGCTGAGGTGGGAGAATTGCTTGAACACGGCAGGCAGAGGTTGTGGTGAGCCGAGATCGTGCCATTGCACTCCAGCCTGGGCAACAAGAGCTAAACTCTTTCTCAAAACCAAACAAACAAAGCAAACCCAGAAAATTAGCTAGGCGTGGTGGCTGGCGCCTGTAATCCTAGCTACTCAGGAGGCCTAGGCAAGAGAATCGCTTGAACCCGGGAGGCGGAGGTTGCAGTGAGCAGAGATCGTGCCACTGCACTACAGCCTGGGCGACATAAAAAAATGAAATAAAAGCAACAGAAAATCCCTAAACATGTAAAACCAATGCAATGTTACCGAAGATAAATGTATACTTGGTTAATATGTTATGGAAGTTTAAATTACCTGCCTTTATAACCCATTCCAGTCATGTGTGGCTTAACAACTGGCATATATTCTGAGAAATGAGTTGTTAGGCGATTTCATTGTCGTGTGAACATCATGCAGTGTATTTATACAAACCTAGATGTTATATAGCCTACTACACACTTAGGCTATCTAGTATAGCTACCACTCCTAGGCTACAAACCTACACAACCTGTTACTGTACTAAATGCTGTAGGCAATTGTAACACAATGTAAGTATATGTGTATCTAAACATGTTTTTATTTTATTTTGTTTTATTTATTTTATTTTGAGACAGGGTCTCGCTCTGTCGCCCAGGCTGGAGTGCAGTGGCGTGACTTGGCTCAATGCAACCTCCACCTCCTGGGTTCAAGCGATTCTCACACCTCAAACTCCAGAGTACCTAGGACTACAGGTGCGTGCCACCATGCCCAGCTAATTTTTGTATTTTTAGTAGAGATGGGGTTTCGCGATGTTGGCCAGACTGGTCTCGAACTCCTGACCTCAAGTGATCTGCCCACCTTGGCCTCCCAAAGTGCTGGGATTACAGGCGTGAGTCACTACACCTGGCCTAAATATGTTTTTTGTTTTGTTTTGTTTTGTTTTTGAGATGGAGTTTAGCTCCTGTTACCCAGGCTAGAGTGCAAAGACGCAATCTTGGCTCACTGCAACCTCTGCCTCCTAGGTTCAAGCAATTCTCCTGCCTGAACTGGGATTACAGGCACCTGCCACCACATCTGGCTAATTTTTGTATTTGTAGTAGAGATGGGGTTTCACCACATTAGCCAGGCTGGTCTTGAACTCCTAACCTCAGGTGATCCGGCTGCCTCGGCCTCCTAAAGTGCTGGGATTATAGGCATGAGCCACCTCATCCGGCCTAAATATGTTTTTAAATATAAAAAAGGTACAAATACAATATGGTATATAAGATATTTTGGGCCAGGCACAGTGGCTCATGCCTATAATCCCAACAATTTGGGAAGCCGAGATGGGAGGATCACTCGAGCCTAGGACTTCCAGAGCAGCCTGGGTAACATAAGGAGACCAAGTCTCTATAACTAATTAAAAAAAAAAACAATTAGCTGGGTGTGGTGATGCAAGTCTGTGTTCCCAGTTACTCGGGATACTGAGGCAGGAGGATTGCCAGAGCCCAGGAAGTTGAGGCTACAGTGGGCGGTGATCACACCCCTGCACTCCAGCCTGGGCAACAGAGCAAGATGATCTCCCCCTTCAACATACACACACACAAAAGATAAAACTATAGTATAGTAAATATATAAACCAATGACACATTTCATTTACTATCAAGTATTATGTACTATATATAACTGTATGTGCCATACACACACACACACACACACACACACACACACACACATATATATATATATATATATATTTTTTTTTTTTCGAGATGGAGTCTTGCTCTGTCGCCCAGGATGGGGTGCAATGGCACGATCTTGGCTCACTGTAACCTCTGCCTCCTGGATTCAAGCAATTCTCCTGCCTCACCCTCCTGAGTAGCTGGGATTACAGGCACGCGCTACCAGGCCCAGATAATTTTTGTATTTTTAGTTAAGATGGGGTTTCACCATGCTGGCCAGGCTGGTCTCGAACTCCTGACCTCGTGATCTGCCCACCTCAGGCTCCTAACGTGCTGGGACTACAGGCATGAGCCACTGCGCACAGCCTGTATGTGCTATAGTTTTATATGACTGGCAGCGTAATAGGTTTGTTTACACCAGCATCGCCACAAACATGTGAGTAATGTGTTGTGCTACATTACCATGTCACTAGGTGATGGGAATTTTTCAGCCCCATTATGAACTGTCAGACATGCAGTTCATCACTGGCTGAAAGGCTGTTATGTGGCATATGACTGTATATATTAAAACTACTGAGCTAATAATGCTTTCTTTTGGATTTGGAGCTGAAGTGATTTCACAGCCAATATTAAAAGCCTCAGAGCAACTGTTTCAATACTGATTCCTCATGTGTAATGGAAATTTATGTTAAAATATAGTCTATTTGTGAAGCTCTTGTGCCACCTAAAAATTACTTGCTGGTTTCTGCGTGCTAGTCAAATATGCACGCCAAGCAATGAAAACTCTATTAAGCAGAAATGGAATGACTTGTCATGATGACTTAATAATTTAAGTTTTTTCAGCATAGTAGACAATGAGTCTGAAACAATAACTTGTTATTAAGACCCTAATAACGTATCATTAAATATTTTCTAAAATGAAATACATTATACAATTAACTATTATCTTTATAGAAACTGCAATGTAAAACTTTCTGTAATGCAGTTATAACTTCAAATCTTTCTTGAACACAAAGTAAAAAGTGCCTTAATAACTATTTTCTACCCATTATCAGGGCTCTTTGAGTTATTTTAAAAATATAGAGCATTAATTGAATTCAAAGTGAACAAAATATTCTTACTGTTGACTTCCTCAACAATATCACTAAAGTAATTGCTTATATTTTAATTTTGCATATTTGAGTAGGTCCTCTTTAAATAAGCCTTTTTTTTTTTTTTTTTGAGAGGAAGTCTCACTCTTATCCCCCAGGATCTCAGCTCACTGTAACCTCCGCCTCCCGGGTTCAAGTGATTCTCCTGCCTCAGCCTCCCGAGTAGCTGGGACTACAGGGGCCTGCCACCACACCTGGCTAATTTTTGTATCTTTAGTAGAGATGGGGTTTTACCATGTTGGCCAGGCTGGTCTCAAACTCCTGACCTCAGGTGATCCTCCCGCCTTGGCCTCCCAAAATGCTGGGATTTCAGGCGTGAGCCACTGCGCCCGGCCAAGTGAAGCATATTTTTAAGTCACACATTATTTATTGTTATTGAATTATAACATAATAAGGTCACGGGATAAAGACTGTGGTTAGGAAATAAATTCTAGAATTACCAAAAAAGTAGGGATATTGTTGAAATAAAGTGATTGTAAAACAAAGAAAATAGTTAATAAATTTTAAATTACTAGCTATAAGATGTTGGATAACAAAATGCAAACCCATTTAAGAACAAAAAGTGATGAGAACTGAGTTGTGTAACTATTCCTGAAAATGAAACGTTTTAACATCCAGCTGATGGCTTACACGGTTAGATAAAGCCAACTGTAAAATCAGAGATGGTCACTGGTATTTCTATATATATTAGAAATTAGGGTAAAACTCTATAATACTGCAAGCAGAATACATCACATGAACACATTTCATAAAAGCAAGGATATTTTATTCTGAAAGTAACTTAGAGATTTAGAAGTTTTAAGAAGAGATTATATGTAAAACATGCAATATAAACATAAGTTCTCATATCTATCAAAATCAATGCAGGCATAACTAAAAACTACCAGAAGCAAAGAAGGATCTGACTATTCTCTGAAACAGTAAGAAACATTTATTTTGGCAACTAGCTAAATTTATTAAGTACTCAAAAACTAGATGTAACTAGAAATCTGAAAACAAAATTCAGTTTGGGTTTCTGTTTATACTCATATTTATATTATCTAGGGCAGTTTCATTAAATTAAAATGCGGTGTGAAAATTTAGTTGGTAACAAATTACATCTTGCTTTTTCTTTTTATTTTTTTCTTTTGAGACGGAGTTTCGCTCTTGTTGCTCAGGCTGGAGTGTAATGGCACAATCTCGGCTCACTGCAACCTCTGCCTCCTGGGTTCAAGCAATTCTCCTGCCTCAGCCTCCCGAGTAGCTGGGATTACAGGCATGCGCCACCACACCTGGCTAATTTTGTATTTTTAGTGGAGACGGGGTTTCTCCATGTTGGTCAGGCTGGTCTGGAACTCCCGACCTCAGGTGATCCGCCTGCCTTGGCCTCCCAGAGTGCTGGGATTACAGGCGTGAGCCACCGTGCCCGGCCTTACATCTTGTGTTTTAATGAACAGAATAAAATGGTGAGACCTCACAAGCAATGGAAGTAAATACTATTTCACGAAACATTTATTCTAGTTACACACAAATTGGCTCTGGGTTGCTAAGTACAATGTATTTTGTATTGTTGGCTACAGTTTAAAAAAAGAAGTAAAAAAGTCATTGATCTAGAGGCAGCTGTGACTGTAGTAGGTCTCATGATGCTTTATCCAAATTACACTTTTCAAAAGTTACGTGAGAACTGATCAACACAAATTTTTTTCATGTATACACACAGGAAATACATAATCCACTGTGAACACCACACATTTCAGAGTGTTGTGCCAAAAATAGGGAGCTATCAACTATTTCTGGGTCAAGATCAGGATTAAGTGGATTTCTCGATGTATAGATGTATTTCCGTTACCAAATTTACATGGGCAGGTTGCAGGAGAAAACAGTATGAGTAGTTTTTTAAACTAAGGCATAACGTATACAGTAAAGCATACAAATCTAAAATATACCTCTTAATGGAAATTTACAACACACCCATGTAACCACTACTGAGATCCAGATACAGAACATTACCGGAACTCCAGAAACCCTGCTGGTGGCACTCCTAGTAATTACTCCCTGCAAAATAACCACTAACATTGGCTTCCATTACCACAGATTTAGCTTTTCCTATTTTTGAACTTCGTTTTAAAAATTTATTTTATCATAGTTTATTTTACTTTTTTGAGATGGTGTTTTGCTCTTGTTGCCCAGGCTGCAATGGTGCGATCTTAGCTCACTGCAACCTCCTACTCCCGGGTTCAAGTGATTCTCCTGCCTCAGCCTCCTGAATAGCTGGGACTACAGGCCCATGCCACCACACCCAGCTAATTTTTGTATGTTTTTAGTAACGACAGGGTTTCACCACATTGGTCAGGCTGGTCTCAAACTCCTGACCTCAGGTGATCTGCCTGCCTTGGCCTCTCAAAGTGCTGGGATTACAGGCGTGAGCCACTGTGCCTGGCCTGAACTTTATATAAATGGAATTATACAGTATGTCCTCTTTTATGTCTGGCTTCTTTGGCTTAACATTATATTATGTCCAGGTGATTCATCCATGCTGTTGCATGTAGCAGTAATCAATTTGTTGCAGATGCTACATATTATTCCATTGTATAGGTATATCACAATTTATTCTATTGTTGGTGGACATTAGGGTTGCTTCCGCTTTTGAACTATTATTTAAAAAGTCTTTTTCTTTTTCTTTTTTTTTTTTTTTTGAGACAGAGTCTTGCTATGTCGCCAGGCTGGAGTGCAGTGGCATGGCGTGATCTCGGCTCACTGCAACCTCTGCTCCCGGGTTCAATCAATTCTCCTGCCTCAGCCTCCCCAGTAGCTCGGACTACAGGCGTGTGCCACAATGCCTGGCTAATTTTTGTATTTTTAGTAGAGACGGGGGGGGGGTTTCACCATGCTGGCCAGGCTGGTCTGGAACTCCTGACCTTGTGACCCGCCTGCCTTGCTCTCCCAAAGTGGTAGGATTACAGGCTTGAGCAACAGTGCCAGGCCTTATTTTTCCTTTTTAAGCTATCTCCTACAGGAAGGAAATTTTGAGTTACTATAAATAATGCTGCTATGAACATTCTTGTACATGTCTTCTGGCATATCCTTCTGGTGAGTATAGATTTACAAATGGAATTGCTGGATCATACAGTATGTGTATGTTTAACTGTAGTAGACAGTGCCAGTTTCCAAAAGTGACTGTCAATCAAATTATTCTTAATATTGCTTCCATTTTGCCAACTGATAATAACTGTCAATTGAAAAAAATCTAAATGATTTTCCTTTTGTACAGATGGTTCTAAAGAATGTGTTTGTCAGAATTAGCATGAGGATTGAGTAAGTTAAAGCAAGAAAACGAGGAATGAATAGCTTTAAATATTTTAAATGCTAAGTTTTAGAAAAACAACTTATAACATTTTGAAAGTTACTTCCAATTTCCTTAGGAAAACAGAGATAATTGCTTAGAAAAAAATGTACTTTTTGTGCACACTCAATTTGGGAAGACAAAATTGAAACCTTTTTCAGAAATCAGAATTCTTATTTAAAAGCAATTACATTTAACTGAATAAACCTGATAACTACTATGTGCAAGGTAATAAAGAATCCAAAGATGAGAACATAGTGATTCGTTCATACATTCATTCCGTATATGTTTAAAAAGTGTTTACTACATGCCAAATATTGTAGAAGTTGAGAACACAACGCTAAATCACACTGATAACAATCTGGAACCTCATGGAGTTTATATTCTAGTGGGAGGAGATGAAAACTAAATAGGACAGTCAGGAAAGGCTTCAGAGAAAAGGTGATCCAAAACATCAAAATTCTCAAGGAGGTGAGAGAGTAGGTCATGCTGACAATCTATGAGAAGAGAGTTCTGGCGAGTTTTTTCCCTTGGGAGATACCTAATTTAGGGTATGTGTATGGAAGCAGAGGGTGCAGTAAGTAAAAGGGAAGATGAAAGAAGGATGGATGAAACCTACAAAGCAAGAGAGAGCAAAAACAAGAAAGATAAAAAGTGCTATAGAGAGAAACAATACAAACACCAGCAATTCTATGGTTTTTAATGATATTAAAATGACACAGCATTGATAACACTAAATCTTTTAGGTTCTCTGAATCGCAGTTTGTTCATCTTTTCTGTAAAATGATGATAATAATGTCTACCACCATAAACAAAACTGAGTATGAGACAAAATTGTTTAAATTGAAGTTATACTGCTTAGTAAATGTCAAGAGACAAAAAACACCTGATACCCAATGAAGTAAAATATCTTGCCTGATTTATTTTATCTACTCAATCAGACCTTATGATAAGCACAATTACTACTGCAATCTTACAACGAAAATAAGAGATTTTTGTTTTGTTTTAAATTTTATTATTATTTTTTATTTTTATAATTTTTAAATGGTAGAGAGAGGATTTCACCATGTTGCCCAGGCTGGTCTTGAACTCCTGAGCTCAGCTGATCCTTTGGGAGGCCTCCCAAAGTGCTAGGATTACAGGCATGAGCCACCATGCCCGACCATTGTTTTTAATTTTAAAAAACAAAAGAAACATGTTCATATCAAAGATGTAAGGGGGCTGTAAAATGGAAGGGAGAGAAAGAAGGAAAATATATCAAAAATCAAAAAATTATCGGCCAGGCACAGTGGTTCACGCCTGTAATCCCAGCACTTTGGGAGGCTGAGGCGGATGGATCACTTGAAGTCAGGAGTTCGAGACCAGCCTGACCAACACGGTGAAACCCCATACCCCATCTCTACTAAAAATACAAAACTCAGCCGAGCATGGTGGCACATGCCTGTAATCCCAGCACTTTGGGAGGCTGAGGTGGGCAGATCACCTGAGGTCGGGAGTTCCAGACCAGCCGGACCAACATGGAGAAACCCCGTCTCTACTAAAAATACGAAATTAGCTGGGCGTGGTGGCGCATGCCTGTAATCGCAGCTACTTGGGAGACTGAGGCAGGAGAAGGTTGTGGTGAGCCAAGATCACGCCATTACATTCCAGCTTGAGCGACAAGGGCGAAACTCCGTCTCAAAAAAAAAAAAAAAAAAAGATCAAATCTGCCTTTTAGTGCCAACGATTAGTTTACCAAATCCTTCAACACAAGAAGGTAGAAATGGGTGCTATTACTTCTCCTGAATGCTTGTTCTTTAGGAGGAAATTGTTCAGTTATTTACACCTGTAATGATTATTTCACTATGATTACTAATCTTAAAACTCACAAACAACCTACTAGACATAAAACATTTCTTGTATAGTCTAGGAAGAAAGATGAGATGGAAGAAATACGGTTTCAGGAGGCTTTCTCGGGGGCTGACTCCAGTATTTATTACCATGTTCAGATATAAAGTAAGTAAATTATTCTTAGAAGTTCACACAAACATACAGTGCTCTCTCGCCCTCCTTTTCTTATTCCAGCCCAGTTACCAGCATTAAGATTGGCCAGTATCTGCAGCTTCCTTTCCCTCTGTCTCTCTCCCTACTTAGATTTTCGTTAAAAAAAAAAAAAAAAAAAAAAAAAAAAAAAAAATGCAGGGCGCGGGGGCTCACACCTGTAATCCCAGCACTTTGGGAGGCCGAGGCGGGCAGATCATGAGGTTAGGAGTTCAAGACCAGCCTGACCAACATGGTGAAACCCCGTCTCTACTAAAAATACAAAAATTAGCCAGGCGTGGTGGCGTGCGCTTGTAATCCCAGCTACTCACGAGGCTAAGGCAGAACTGCTTGAACCCGGGAGGCAGAGGTTGCAGTGAGCTGAGATCTTGCCACTGCACTAAAGCCTGGGCAACAGAGTGAGACTCTGTCTCAAAAAAAAAAAAAAAAAAAAAGGCCGGGTGCGGTGACTCACACCTGTAATCCCAGCACTTTGGGAGGCTGAGGCAGGCAGATCACAAGGTCAGGAGATTGAGACCATCCTGGCTAACACGGTGAAACCCTGTCTCTACTAAAAATACAAAAAATTAGCCAGGCGTGGTGGCAGGTGCTTGTAGTCCCAGCTACTCGGGAGGCTGGGGCAGGAGAATGGCATGAACCTGGGAGGCGGAGCTTGCAGTGAACCGAGATTGTGCCACTGCACTCCAGCCTGGGCAACAGAGCAAGACTCTGTCTTGAAAAACAAAAAAAGGGCAAATGCGGTGGCTCACGCCTGTAATCCCAGCACTTTGAGAGGCCGAGGCAGGCGGATCACGAGGTCAGGAGTTTGAGACCAGCCTGACTAACAAGGTGAAACCCTGTCTCTACTAAAAACACAAAAATTAAACGGGCATGGTGGTGCTCGCCTGTAATTTCAGCTACTCAGGAGGCTGAGGCAGGAGAATTGCTTGAACTCGGGAGGTGGAGGCCGCAGTGAGACAATATCACGCCACTGCACTTCAGCCTGGGCGACAGAGCAAGACTCCATCTCAAAAAAAATAAATAAATAAACACACACACACATGCGCACGCGTGCACACACGCACAAACATGGTAATTCTTAGGCAGCTGGCATCCACTCAAACTCAGGTGGGTGCCTGCCTAACTCCTACTAGAAATAAGAACGGACTCTGTAGCCCAAGAAGGACAAGTGCTCTAGACACTCAGGGAAAATATCTGAGTATGCAAGATTTATTACTGCATAGAAATAAGTAAACGGATATATTACACAAGTAATTTCCTTTTTCTTTTTCCTGTCTGAAGCCAGTAACTCCTCATATGACAATTTTTGAAAATTCTTTTTAAAAAAATTAATAGAGGCTGGGCATGGTGGCTCACGCCTACAATCCCAGCACTTTGGGAGGCTGAGGCAGGTAGATCAACTGAGGTCGGGAGTTCAAGACCAGCCTGGCCAACATGGAGAAACCCCATCTCTACTAAAAAAAAAATTAGAAAATTAGCTGGGTGTGGTGGCACATGCCTGTAATCCTAGCACGTTGGAAGGCCGAGGCAGGAGAATTGCTTGAACTCGGGAGGCAGAGGTTGTGGTAAGCCAAGATTGTGCCATTGCACTCCAGTCTGGGCAACAAGAGCAAAACTCGCCTCAAAAAAAAAAGAGATGGAGGTGTTACTATTTGGCCCAGACTGGTCTTGAACTCCTGGGCTCCAAGTGATCCTTCCACCTCAGCCTCCCAAAGTGCTGGAATTACAGGCATAAGCCACCATGCCCAGCCACTCATCTGATAATAATAATAATAATTATTATTATTATTATTATTATTTTTTGAGATGGCGTTTTTGCTCATGTTGCCCAGGCTGGAGTGCAATGGCGTGATCTCGGCTCACTGCAACCTCCGCCTCCTGGGTTCAAGCGATTCTCCTGCCTCAGCCTCCTGAGTAGCTGGGATTACAGGCATGTGCCCGGCTAATTTTGTATTTTTAGTACAGACCTCCATGTTGGTCAGGCTGGTCTCGAACTCTTGACCTCAGGTGATCCGCCCGCCTCGGCCTCCCAAAGTGCTAGGATTACAGGCATGAGCCACCGTGCCCAGCCTCATCTGATAATTATTTAGATCAAACTGAAATAAAAAAAATCAGTAGATGACAATCTGCTATGTATAAAACATAACAATAATACTAGTCTGTGAAGAAAAAAAGAAAAAAGTCAAAATAGTGAGGTAACTTGACTTAAGCAAGCAAAGCTATGAAAACTAAGTCTGTATGGAATTCACAAAACTGTCAGAGACAGGAAACTTAAGAGACTGAAAACAAAGGAAAAAGATAAATGGGAACTTCTCTATTATGGGAAATGTCAACAGTGACATTCTTTTCTGAGGTAGAACCAATCTTTTTTTGATTTTGAGACAGACTTTTGCTCTGCCGTCTAGCTGGAGTGCAGTGGTGCCATCATAGTTCATTACAATCATGACCTCTCGGGCTCAAGCAATCCTCCTGCCTCAGCCTTCCAAGTAACTGGGACTACAGTTGCATGCCACCATGTATGATTAATTTTTTAACTTTTTTGTTTTTAGAGATGGGGTTTCACTATGTTTCCTAGGTTGGCCTTGAACTCCTTGGCTCAAGTGATCCTCCTACCTCAGTATCCCAAAATGCTGGGATTACAAGCATGAGCCATGGCACCCGGCCAATAGAACCAATCTTAACAAATTTATAAATGGCCCTGGAAAAAGAAATGCAGAGTTTAAGTTCCAAATCTACAGTTGAAATTATATCTAAACTAGGAGATGCTAAATTCATGACAGTAAACTGAAAGATTTTGCACACTTCAGCAAGCAAGTGGCAGGTCATCTTCAATACAGACAACGGCAAGATAAAATGTTTGGGGAAAATTTATTTAAATATAAAACAATGGGGCCAGGCATGGTGGCTCATGCCTGTAATCCCAGCATTTTGGGAGGCCAAGGTGGGCAGATCATTTGAGGTCGGGAGTTCAAGACCAGCCTGGCCAACATGGTGAAACCCTGTCTCTACTAAAAATACAAAATTAGCCGGGCGTGGTGGCCTGTAATCCCAGTTACTAGGGAGGCTGAGGCAGGAGAATCACTTGAACCAGGGAGGCAGAGGAGTGAGCACTCCAGCTTGGGTGACAGAGTGAGACTCTGTCTCAAAAAAAAAAAAAAAAAAGAGCCGGGCACGGTGGCTCACGCCTATAATCCCAGCACTTTGGGAGGCTGAGGTGGGTGGATCGCCTGAGGTCAGGAGTTCAAGACCAGCCTGGCCAACATACTAAAACCCCGTCTCTACTAAAAATATAAAAAAATTAGCTGAGCGCGGTGGCAGGCACCTGTAATCCCAGCTACTCTGGAGGCTGAGGCAGGAGAATCGTTTGAACCTGGGAGGTGGAGCTTGCAGTCAGCCGAGATTGTGCCATTGCACTCCAGCCTGGGCAACAAGAGCGGGACTCCATCTTAAAAAAAAAAAAAAAAAAAAAGGGAACTGGGAGCAGTCTTAAATTGTTTATTAAAAATGTCAGCAAAATGCATTGCTAAACAGGCCCATGATTTTAGAAATATGAAAAATGAGTACAGTTATGTGGCAATTGCCTCTGGAAAATCATGTGCAGTTGTGACTTTCATCATGCGAAGTTATGATTTCATGCTAGGAGAGATATAAAAGGATTAGATAAAGATCCATGGAAAAAACAATTGAGATTTGGGGGCTGTTGGATATAAAAAGTGAATAATTACATTCTCTAGAAAGGCTTGAAGAGGAAGCTAAGTGAAATCTATAAAGCTATGAAAAATATGAGAGGAAATGAGAAGTATTTGACAAATTTTACAATATCAGAATAATTTGAGTGTAAACTTTAAAACTTTCTTTTTTTTCGAGATGGAGCTTGCCCTGTCACCCAGACTGGAGTGCAGTGGCGTGATCATGGCTCACTGCAGCCTCTGCCCCCTGGGTTCAAGTGATTCTCCTGCCTCAGCCTCCCCGGTAGCTGGGATTACAGGCACATGCCACTACTGCCCGGCTAATTTTTGTATTTTTAGTAGAGATGGAGTTTCACCATGTTGGCCAGGCTAGTCTCAAACTCCTGACCTCAAGTGATCCACCTGCCTCGGCCTCCCAAAGTGCTGGAATTACAGGCATGAGCCACCACGCCTGGCCAAACTTTATACCTTCAGAGAGGTAAATTTAAAACAAAATGGAAGCACTGCTTTATATGATGGGCTATAAACTTACTGAGTCTTTACTACAAGTAGTAAAAATACAAAGTTTTAGAAATTTGGATAAGTTAATTGATGCAGACCCATGTCAGGGAATGGGGCAAAAAAATCTAAAATATATCCCTACTTTTGAGGGGAGCACTGAATGAATTATCATGCCCATTTCTTTAGATCTCTTCATAGGGCCTTAGTTTAAAAGCATGATAGTCATATTTTGAAGTTGTAAGACCTGAGATAGCAAAAATGGGAAGGAGACTCTATTGAGAGAAATCTCCTTAAATAATAAGCAAGAAAGAACTGCAGATTGGAGCCAAACACGGTGGCTCATGTCTGTAATCCCTGCACTTTGGGAGGCTGAGGTGGGCGGATCACCTGAGGTCAAGTGTTCCGGACCAGCCTGGCCAATATGGTGAAGCCCTGTCTCTACTAGAAATACAAAAAAACAGCCGGGCATGGTGGCGTGTGCTTGTAGTCCCAGCTACTTGGGAGGCTGGGGCAGGAGAATCGCTTGAACCCGGGAGGTGGAGGTTGCAGTGAGCTGAGATCACACCACTGCACTCCAGTCTGGGTGACAGAGGGAGACTCCGTCTCAAAAAAAAAAAAAAAAAAAAAAGGGAAAGAAAGAAAGGAAGGAAGGAAGAAAGAAAGAAAAGAAAGAGAAAGAACTGCAGATTGATCATGACAAACAAAATATCTTGGCTAATTAGAAATAAAGGCACCTTTGCAATAGGAAATGAACATAATAGCTATTCTGCTGTCCAGGTCTTCCATTAAACTCTGATGTACCCCTCAAAGCACTCAGCACTTATAACAAAGGGTGGGTTTGTATTTAGCATGTTACTGATTTACAGACTCATAAGCAAAAACGAAGCGTAAGTAGTCTGTTGGTCCAAGTTTCAATACAGGGCCTTTTTTTTTTTGAGACTTGCTTTGTCACCCACGCTGGAGTGCAGTGGAGCGATTTTGGCTCACTGCAACCTCCGCCTTCCGGGTTCAAGCGATTCTCCTGCCTCAGTCTCCCGAGTAATTGGGACTACAGGTGCGAGCCACCACGCCGGGCTAATTTTTGTATTTTTAGTAGAGATGGGGTTTCACCATATTGGCCAGACTGGTTCCGCCCGCCTCGGCCTCCCAAAGTGCTGGGATTATAGGCGTAAACCACTGCGCCCAGCCAAAAGGGGCCTTTTTTTCTTTTATCTTTTTTTTTTTTCTCTCACTGCAATCTCTGCTTCCCAGGTTCAAGGGATTCTCCTGCCTCAGCCTCCAGAGTAGCTGGGACTACAGGTGCGTGCCACCACGCCAGGCTAATTTTTTGTATTTTTAGTAGAGACGGGATTTCACCGTGTTAGCCAGGATGGTCTTGATCTCCTGACCTCGTGATCCACCCTCCTCGGCCTCCCAGAGCGCTAGGATTACAGGCATGAGCCATGGCGCCCGGCCCAAAAGGGGCCTTTCTAAAGGCATTTTATAAAAGGTGTTTGAAACACAAACCTGAAAAAAAAAAAAAGACTTTAGTTTAACAAAGGTAACCTAATGCTTACCCAGTGCTTTTTCCACCGCCATATCTGCAAACAGGTGTGGAAGTGAAAAGAACAAGCAGACATAACACAAAATTATTTTCTTTCTTTCTTTTTTTTTTTTTTTAGATGGAGTCTAGCTCTGTTGCCCAGGCTGGAGTGCAGTGGTGTGATCTCAGCTCACTGCAACTTCTGCCTCTGGGTTCAAGCAGTTCTCCTACCTCAGCCTCCCAAGCAGCTGGGACTAGAAGCACCCGCCAGCACACCCAGCTAATTTTTTTGTAGTTTTAGTAGAGACGGGGTTTCGCCATTATTGGCCAGGCTGGTCTGGAACTTCCGACCTCAGGTGATCCGCTCACCTCGGCCTCCCAAAGTGCTGGGATTACAGGCGTGAGCCACCATGCCCAGCCACAAAACTATTTTCTTTTTTCTTCTTTTTTTTTTGGAGACTGAGTCTCTCTCCATCACCCAGGCTGGAGTGCAGTGGTGGGATCTCGGCTCACTAAAATGTACGCCTCCCGGGTTCAAGCGATTCTCCTGCCTCAGCCTCCTGAGTAGCTGGGACTACCGGAGCTCTCCAACATGCCTGAGTAATTTTTGTATTTTTAGTAGAGACGGTGTTTCACCATCTTGGCCAGGCTGGTCTAGAGCTCCTGACTTTGTGATCCGTCCCCCTCAGCCTCCCAAAGTGCTGGGATTACAGGCCTGAGCCAACGCGCCAAGCCCAAAACTATTTTCTACTCCAATGTGCAAAGCAACCTAACAAGAAAAACCTTAAATATTTATTCTTTTTTTCCCTGCTAATGACTGGACTGCATTAACCTCGTATTTTCATTTGAAAATCATCTTGTTTCAATGATAATTGCTTTGTCATCAAAACAAATAATTTTTTTAAATTTAGTTTGATGACTGACAGCATGGCTAAAACATAAACAATTTCAAACTTCATTATTGTATATTTTTTCCTGTGAGGAATAACTAGCTTCCACATTTTTTAGAATGTTTTTCTTATTTTGTTACAAAAGTGTAAGCCGAATAAAAGAAATTTTTAGGAGGTCGAGTTTAAAAGTTTTCACTAAATTAATTAATTAACTAATTAATTAATTATTTTTGAGACAAAGTTCACTCTGTCACCCAGGCTGGAGTGTAGTGGCACGATCTCGGCTCACTGCATCCTCTGCCTCCCTGGTTCAAGCAATTCTCTTGCCTCAGCCTCCTGAGTAGCAGGATTACAGGCACCTGCCACCATGCCCCACTAATTTTTGTATTTTTAGTAGAGATGGGGTTTCACCATGTTGGCCAAGCTGGTCTCAAACTCCTGACCTCAGGTGATCCACCCGCCTCAGCCTCCCAAAATGCTGGGATTACAGTCGTGAGCCATTGTGCCCAGCCTAAATTTATTTTTTAGATAAGTAAGTCTAGCTAAAGGTGACAAGGCTAAATACAGAAATGCGCATGTAAAAAGAAATGCACTTGGGAATGTATGTTGAGAAGACAAGTTTCCCACTGGCCATTCATTTAACAGCTTGCATCACATTGCAACTATCTTTCCTTGTTGATAATATGGGAATGAGTTAAAGAAATAGAAGAAATTAAAAGGGAGAAAGATTAAAGTCTGCGAGTGAGGTGGCAAAAGAGTTCAAAATAAAGTAAATGCTTCTAGAGAAAGCAAGTAAAAGGGGGCACGAAGAATTCCACTATAAATCATGCTAAGTGTGCTTAGACATCACAACTCCAGAATTACTCTAAGTGCTACCTTTTCTTGATGAACAAAGTGCAAGTAAGTGACCTTTGGTACCGACACCTAACTGTGCGAATAGTCAAAATATCCTGTAACAGAATCCATCAAGACCACTTAAAATTGCTTAATTTTGATGGTACTTTGTGATAAAATCATGAGCCAACTGTGAAAGACTATCTACCAGGCCCGCCTTTTCAAAAACTAAACATTATTGGGTGTGGTTGGTTGATTATGAAAAGAGAAACTACACTAATTCTTGGTAGTTTTGACAACGCCTTTAATGATAAAGAAGTGTGTTTAACATGTGTCTCTCATGTTCACTATGGTAAAGTTGATCAGTTTAACTCTTTGCAAACAAGCAAGAGATCCTGCAAGCAGGAAGCTTTTCTGTGGAACTCCTGACGCAACACAAACCATAACAGTTACTGCAAAGCTTAATGCAAACCCTCTAGAGTCCACGCTGACAAATTCTTTAACAAGCCCTGTGGTTACAGGGAAGCTGGTTTCACTGTGACTCACTCCTGCTCAAACAGTTTACTGGAAATGAAGGGGAGGGGGAATTTTCAGAGAAGTCATGTGATGGCCAGACAAACCACAACCAGTAAAGGTTCATCAGAGTCAAAAACAGGTCCCAGCAACAACTGACACCCAGAGTCTTCAAATGGTACTAAAGTGTATGAAAATGTGTCCTGTTTAGTTTCAGATCATCTACACCATAAACTCTTTCATGAATCTGTGTATGTAAAGGAAAAACTTCACAGCAGGAAAAACCAGCAGGCATTGACATGGTGTAGGCAACTGCAACCGCACACACTTCATAGGAAAATGTGCTTAAAAGAGAATAGCATTAGTGGAATGCCAAAGCACTTTCGTGAGTATTTAAATAATCTTATCAATTCCTTTCCCATAGTCTTTAAACTCAAATGATCAAACACATATTCTATCATTATCAAAAGAATCCTTCACTTTGACCCTATAGTTTGAAAAGGGATGTTCGCTAGATAAATGTCTATTTTGTTTTACTGCATTAAAAAAAAGGCATTGGCCATAAGAATGAGAACTACCATTACAACTAATAAACTGTTTTTTGGTTTTATATTTTCACTAGTAAAATAATGTAAATAACTCAAAACTTCTGAATAGGACAAAGATCCTATTAAGCTAAAAAATAAGATTTTTTTCAGCCTTAAATTTAATAGAAATTAGTAAGGTAAAAGATACTAGTATTAAAACTTAATTTGGGGATTTAGCTTCAACATACAGAGTAGGTAGCAATTATTGATTATTAATTACATTAATTACTATAGTCCTAAATAGAACCTAAAAATGTTCCCTTAAAAAAAGATTAAATTCAGAAACTATAAAATAGCCTTTGAGGAAATATTCAACCTAAAATGGTCGGCAGACTCATGAACGATACTCAACAGAAAGACAAGCTAATTGATATGAAAATAGAGGAAAAAAACTGATATTCTTTTTTATCTTTTTTTTTTTTTTTTTTGAGATGGAATCTCACTCTGTCACCTAGGCTGGAGTGCAGTGGTGTGATCTCAGCTCACTGCAACCTCTGCCTCTCGGGTTCAAGCGATTCTCGTTCCTCAGCCTCCCAAGTAGCTGGGATTACACATGCCTGCCATCATGCCCAGCTAATTTTTGTATTTTTAGTACAAAAAATTTTGTATTTTTACAAGGTTTCACCATGTTGGTCAGGCTGGTCTTTAGCCCCTGACCTCAAATGATCCACCTGCCTTGGCCTCCCAAAGTGCTGGGATTACAGGCATGAGTCATCATGCCAGGCCCCGATATTCTTTGAAAAGGTGAAGTTTTAAGACTTTTACATTTCTGATTTAATTTTAAATTTCCTATTCTGATAGCAATAATAAGAAGTAGGAAATTTCACATAGTCAGCAACCTAACACTGTGAGAAAGAATCCAAGTAGCAGGTCATTAAAACAGATGACATTTAGGAAAGTAAACTTATTCAAAACATATTCTTGTAAGTAAATATGTACCACAACGTTTCTACTCTATTGTGTAAGCTTTAAATACAAAAATACCACAACCACTCCCGGACTCCTCCATTATTTCAGTAATACTGGCTGCCCTAATTTTTCAGGATACATCATGCAAATAAGTTCTTTTATTTTTCAAATTATTTTATTCCTAAAGTATCTTTAATTTTTCTTTTTGGTTATACAGCTTATAGAATAAACAAGTCACAAGAATCTTCATTTGTTTCTAAAGTATATAATTTTACAAAAGTTGTTTTACTCAATGTGAATTAAAATTTGCAAGTCTAAAAAAATAAAAAAATTTTAAAAAGTAAAAAAATTTGCAAGTCATTTAACTTGGTGTCTTTTATATTATCTTCAGATGACAATTGCTCTCAGATGACTATTAAACTCAAAGATGCAATACAGTTAAATCTTCCTTTCTTTGTAAAATTACTGTTGTTCAATTACATTTTACAGCAAAATAAGACTGAATATTAATGGACATGTTTCATGTAATGCTACACTTTTTCTTACTGTTATTTCATCATCTATTCAAAGTATCCACTGCATGAGTAGTATGTGTAACAGTAGGCAGGCATTGTTGAAAATACAAACATTTTTAAGCCCCCTTCTTAAGGAGTTTAGACTCCTGGAGAGATAAGAAAAGTCTATAAATAGTTTTAAAAGAAGGTAGAATGTGATAAGTGACACAAGAAAGACATAGCTGGGCTGAGATAGGAATTCAGAGACAATTTGAGAGGAGTGAAGGGGGTGAGGTAGGGGTAGGAAGGGAATCATAAAATAGTTCACAAAGAAGCCAGCAGCACATAAATTGAAAGGTAAGAAAACTGAAAAAGTAGACATGCAGATGGGAAGAAATGACACACTAGGCAAAGTTACGAAAAAGAACAATACCGCATAGTGGTGGAGGAAAAAGTTAAATTATTCCAAATGATCAGGCTAGTAATTTTTAAACTTAAAAACTTCAGAGTTCTTTAATTAAAAGAAATCTCTCTCCCTCTCCCTTCCTCCCTCCAATCTCTCTCTCTCTCTCACACACACACACACACACACACACACACACACACACACACACTCTTTTTGATGGGTATTCTGGCAGTTTTTTAAAGTTCAACTTGAAAACCATCAATACAGAGGATAAAAAACTGTTAAAGGGAAATCAGAAGTAGTCGTAGGTTGGGGCCAAGTAATGAAGAAAACTGGGTTAAATAGTTTAGATTTCACTCTATACACAGTGGGAGGCATCACAGATTTTTGAGCAGCAATGTTTCATAAGTAGAGATATTTTTCAGAAAATTATTTTTGTTACTTTGTGTGGGAAAAGATTGGGATAAAAAACTAGTAAAGAGTAGACCTACTAGCAAGCTGCTGGCAATATTTAGGTAAGGGTTGATAAAGGCCTGAAACAGTAGCGGGAAGGGAGAAGAGAGGGCATGTAAGATACTATGGAGATAGAATCAACAGGCCTTAAAGAATTAATTACTGGGGATGGGAGGAAAGGAGGGAGTCAGATGACTCAGATTTTGACCCAAAGCGATTGTTAGGATGGTGATAGCATTAACAGAACACAGGAACAAAGAAGGAAAAGAAGATCATAAAGAGAATAATTAAACCTTGCATAAAACAGTCCACAAAGCACATAAACAGCTATCTAGACCTAACTTTTATTAATGATGCTAAAATTGCTCAAGGTCAGAGGAAGCTACATTCATTCATGTGTACCTCTCACAGACATCTAGTGGAAACACGATAGAAAGCCAAGAGCAAAAGGAAGTCAGCTTAGTGGAAAAATACTGCCTAATCTCAACATTGTACTCACAAAAATACAGCAGGTATCATAATAAATCAGAATACAAATAAATGCTTTAATCATCTTTTTTCCCCCTTAAAACATCTATAGTACGACATCCAACCATTAGTCAAGAATGGAATTTAAGTAAATAAAATTGTTTCATAACAACAATTTCTTTTTGTTTTTTTGAGACAGAGTCTCGCTCTGTCGCCCAGGCTGGATTGCAGTGGCGCGATCTTGACTCACTGCTAGCTCCACCTCCCAGGTTCATGCCATTCTCCTGCCTCAGCCTCCGGAGTAGCTGGGACTAGAGGCGCCCGCCACCACGCCCGGCTAACTTTTTGTATTTTTTAGTGGAGACGGGGTTTCACCATGTCAGCCAGGATGGTCTCGATGTCCTGACCTCGTGATCCGCCTGCCTTGGGCGTGTTGGGATTACAGGTGTGAGCCATCGCGCCCGGCCACAACAATTTCTTAGTAAAATCACATACACCATTTAACCTAGTTGGAAAGCACATGGCAAAGCAATGAAAGCCAAGTGGTTTTTTTTGTTTGTTTGTTTTTACTTTTTTGGCTGATAAACTTACTCTACTACAGGGCTTTACCTTCAAAAATAAAAACCCATATTTTCTAACTCATTCTCATGCAATCTTAAAATTTAAATTTCCACTCATAGTTACGGATTGATTTTACTTAATTTGCCGTTTTAGCTACAGTTGATTCAACTTTTCCGTATTTTATTGCTTCTATCAAATTGGAGGTTTTACCAAATACATGTTATCTACGAGCAGATCCCAGCAACAAAGTCAGATAAACTTTGAATCTTTGCTAAACTGATTACTATAAGAATTTGTAAATCATAACCAATAAGATGTGACTAGAAAGATGTCAGTAAAGTTATAGCTTAGCAAATAAGAACCCAGTATCTTTTTAATATACCATTTCTAACATTTATAAAAATATAATAGGAAAAAAGATGCAAATTAGAACAACAAAATATAAGACAAAACTAACATATTAAAATCACTTGGAAAATAGTGTTGGAACAATATACAATTAGTTAATTACCTAAGAAAGAAAAAAGTTAGATTCCTACATCATATCATATGTAAAAATATTTTCATAGATTAAAGACTTAAAAGAATAAAACCATAAAAGTACTAAAAGAAAATACAGGCCAGGTGCGGTGGCTCATGCCTGTAATTCCAGAACTTTGGGAGGCCAAGGCTGGCAGATCACTTGAGGTCGGGAGCTCGAGACTAGCCTGGCCAACATGGTGAAACCCCATCTCTACTAAAAATACAAAAATTAGCTGGGCGTGGTGACATGTGCCTGTAATCCTAGCTACTTGGGAGGCTGAGTTAGGAGAACCACTTGAACCCGGGAGGCAGAGGTTGCAGTGAGCCAAGATCACACCACTGCACTCCAGCATAGGCGACAGAGCGAGACTCTGTCTAAAAAAAGTAACATGTAACAAAACATACCCAGTAAATGACATGGAAAAACTACTGGGAATAAGGAATAATACTGGCAGCATATGACAAAGAGCATCTTCTTAAATATGTAAACCAGTAAGAAAATGAAAAATATATCATAAAAAAGATATATGCACCTGTTAGATGAACATTCTATTTCTTCTTTATTTGTATTTTCAGCATTTCATTATAATAAACTTACTTTGTAGTAAGAAAAAAACCCGTTATAGCAAAGATGTGAAAATATTTGATGGCGTGGAAAAATGTTCACGTTTTTAGATTCAAATCAAGTCACAAAACAACAAACAATATGATTTCACTCTTAGGTATATAAATATTTATAGAGAAAAGACTAAAGGGCACTCACCAATTTTCTACAATGAGATGTATCACTTCGTAATAAAAAATAATTTTATAATAACATTGGTATCACATGTCTATGATACTGTGAAAAAGGAACTTGTGACTAAAATTTATGGTATGATTCTAATTTTTATAAAAAGTTATGTATGCAAAGAAAGCAGTCTGGAATACAGTGATTATTACCCTACACTGGGGAGAAGGTGTGTGAGCTTTCACTTTTTACTTTATAATACTTTTGGAATGTAAGAATCTTATTACTAAAATTACTTGTATAATTAAAAAATATGCAGATCTGTAAAACATAAAATAAGCAAAGGGCCTAAAACAAATTCATGATTGAAAGCATTAAAAATCTTCTCTTTGCCAAGCCATAGCAAGAAACTCTCCTTTGAACAAGAATTAAAACATTAGTACTCTCTCAGATAATTTATAACATGGAAAACCGGCAACAGTCTCTTTCCACTTGTTCTCCCTCACCCCTTCAACTGCAAAACAACTATAAACAAATAAAAATTAAAAATCTTATACACCTTATCTGAAACTGGGAAAAAGTATGTAAGGAAAATTATATCCACATCCACTGAAATCTATCATAAGCCACAAAATTGATGGAAACTGGTGAAAAAATCATGAAAAGGAATGAAGAAAAGAAAAATCAGGCTGGGCACAGGGGCTCACACCTGTAATCCCAGCACTCTGGGAGGCCCAGGCGGGTGGATCACCTGAGGTCAGTAGTTCGAGACCAGCCTGGCCAACATGGTGAAATCCCATCTCTACTGAAAATACAAAAAATTAGCCAGGCGTGGTGGTGGACGCCTATAATCCCAGCTACTTGTGAGGCTGAGGCAAGAGAGTTGCTTTAACCCAGGAGGCAGAGGTTGCAGTCAGCTGAGATGGCGCCACTACATTCCAGCCTGGGCAACAAGAGTGAAACTCTGTCTCAAAAAAAACAAAAAACAAAAAACAAAAACAAAAACAAACAACACGAAAAATCCAATATAGGAGGAAAAAACTAGTTCTTCACTTTTTATTGCATTAACCTGGATGAAAATATTGCTACAGTATGATATGGTAAGCACCGTACTACTACCATGCCCAGCTAATTTTCTGTATTTTTGGTAGAGATGCGGTTTCACCACATTGGCCAGGCTGGTCTCGAACTCCTGACCTCAAGTGATCCGCCCACCTTGGTCTCCCAAAGTGCTGGAATTACAGGCGTGAGCCACTGCAGCAGGCAACAGTATATGATTTCTAACAAAGAACATGAAACAGTATGTGTGTACATTTTGCTCACTTGATTTTTCAATATAAATAAGCAAATATGAAATTAGGTACTGAGAAATGTACAGTTTATCTTAAAATAGTGATTTTAATTATTGGCTTTACAGGATGAAAATAGCCAAACCTCATAACCAACAGAAGTATTGTGTGCATTCTGGTTTCCACGACTCAAAGAAAAAGTGGTATCAGAGAAGATCCCCTCAAAAAGTAACTAATCAGGGACATAAGAGATGAAAGAAAAAGATTATTACCCCAACAGTAGATAGATAAAGACTGAGAAAAGAAATGGTCAAAGTCTTCAAGAGCTCAAATTACATGGATAAAATAAAGAATTCTTCATCAAATTCTAGAAGATCTTAGTTTTAGGAACTGAGCTTTTAGATGGCAATAAGCTTATGAAATTCATTCTTTAAAATTCCAAAATCAAAACCCTGCAAAGAATGAAATAAGTCTTCTACTCTGATATTCTAGCCAATGTAGGGTGTGCTATGGATGGGATCCTTGAGAGATATCACACAGAAACAAGGCACTCACTGCACTCTGTGAGCAATACGAATGACTTTTCTTAGTTTAAACCACTAAATGTTGGGGTGATTTGTTACTCAGTAATACACAACTGGAATACTCTTTGTTCTAAAAATAACCCCAAAACATAGAAAACAGAAATGAGAACTCAATCTTTGATGAAGTTAGCATTAATAAATGAGGACAGGACAAACAGAAGAAAAGATTATACCTGAGAGCGTACAGGTGAGGGATATGTAAGAGAAGCAAAATACTTTGCCCCACAAAACTCCAAAAGAGCTCTTCAGCAGAACTGCCAGAAGAGGCTGGCATAGGTCTGAAAACAAGGAGAATGCAAAAGACTCCCAGGTCCCATCCCTACTCAGCACAGCCAGGCAAGTCTCTCTCCCATATCAGTGGGAGACATAGTCTCTAGACAAAAGTGAATGTTCTGGGCTCAGGACATACTTGTGCTTGTGTTTGTGTAGGTATTCACAGATAGAACAGAAAGTGAGTTGAGCAACAGTCCACATACTAAATGGAGATCTCTAACCACTCTTCCCCAGTCTAGCTTTAGTGTGTCAGCAGCAAGGCTGATACAGATGTTCCTTGACTTACAACGGGTGACGTGTCTTAACCCCTTCGTACTGAATATATCGTAAATCAAAAATGCATTGAATACATCTAACCTACCAAACATCATAGCTTAGCCTAGCCTCCCTTAGACATGCTCAGAAGACTTACATTAGCCCATAGTTGGGCAAAATTACAGTACACTGCAGAGTATGGACGTTTACCCTCATGATCACCTGGCTGACTGGGAGCTGTGGCTCACTGCTGCTACTTGGCATTGTGTGAGAGTATGGTACCACATATCGCTGGCTGGGGAAAAGATCAAAATCCAAAATTCGACCTATGGTTTGTACTGAATGTGTATCAATTTCATACCATTGTAAAGGTGAACAATCATAAGTCAAACCACTGTAAGTTAGGGACTGTCTGCATTGCCTAGGCAAGAAATTGAAGGATCCATCATGGAGAAACTGAACTATCCCCAAGAAAAGATCAATAGACACTGATACATGGAGGTTCTCAGTAAATATTAAGCCTGGATGCCACTTGACTGTACAATAGGGAAGCCTCACCATCACTACACCTGGCCTGTACGCACATAGCTTCCACTTAGCTTTTAAGTGCCTTATTCTTTTTTTTTTTTTTTTGAGACAGAGTCTCGCTCTCACCCAGGCTGGAGTGCAGTGGTGCGATCTCGGCTCACTGCAAGCTCCACCTCCCAGGTTCACACCATTCTCCTGCCTCAGCCTCCCAAGTAGCTGGGACTACAGGCGCCCGCTACCATGCCCAGCTAATTTTTTTTTGTATTTTTAGTAGAGATGGGGTTTCACTGTGTTAGCCAGGATGGTCTCAATCTCCTGACCTCATGATCCGCCTGCCTCTGCCTCCCAAAGTGCTGGGATTACAGGCTGAGCCACTGCGCCCGGCCTTAAGTGCCTTATTCTTATATAAACATACAAATAAGGATTATCAGGCTTTGAGGAAAGCCTCGAACTCCAAATTGAACAAACAGAAAAGACGATGCCTGAAAAATACATACAAATTGCTTTTTGAAAATAAATATGTTAACAGCAGAAAAACATTTCGATATAAGACTTAGAAGATAAACTTGGGAAATCTCATAGATAGTAAAATGAGATAAATATTAGAAGCAAAAAGGTTTAAAAAATTAAAAGGATGGGCATAGGAGGCCTAACATTGAAGCAACTAGAATTCCAGGAAGCAAGAACAGAGACTAAAGAGGGAAAACTCACATAAAAAATACAAGAACATTTCCCCAAACTAAGGAACAAGTTTTCTGAGCACCTATCAGAGTACACTTTATTTGTTTTTTTGTTTTGTTTTGTTTTGTTTTGTTTTGTTTTGTTTTGTTTTGAGACGGAGTCTTGCTGTGTCGCCCAGGCTGGAGTGCAGTGGCATGATCTTGGCTCACCGCAACCTCTGCCTCCAGGGTTCACGCGATTCTCCTGTCTCAGCCTCCCAAGCAGCTGGGACTACAGGCGCATACGACCACACCCAGCTAATTTGTTTATATTTTTAGTAGAGATGGGGTTTCACCATGTTGGCCAGGCTGGTCTTGAACTCCTGACCGTAGGTGATCCACCCACCTCGGCCTCCCAAAGTGCTGGGATTACAGGCGTGAGCCACTGTGCCAAGCTCAGAATACATTTTAAAAAGACTGTACCTCAGATAATGAACCTAAAAGCTTCTAGAGAGGAAAAAAAAAAAAAGTAGACTGCTTATAAAGAGGACTCAGAAGGGCATCGGTCCTCTGGATACCAATTACAGAAACTTGAAGACAATTGAACAATGCCTTCCAAATTCTAAGTATAAAAAGTGATTTTCAACCCACAATCCTATATTCAGTTAATTAATTGTGAATGAAGAACATGCTAGTTTAGAATGTATGGTATCACATTTTCCATTTACTCACCCTTTCACAGAAAGCTACAGCAGAATATGTTCAAGCAAAACGAAGGTGTAAATTAAGAAAGAGGAAGACAAGAAATCTAAACCAAGACAGAAGCAACTGTGCAGAAGGGCAACTGAACAGCAAGTCCAGAATGGAGTGGGAGCATGGAGGGCTCCAGAGAGATGACTTCATGAAAAAAAATGGAATTGATATAATCTTATTTGTGTTACCGAGTGGAAAGTGGTATCATGAGATGTTTTTACAGGGCTGTTGGAGGGGAGAGAAGGCAAGCCAGAGATGTAAAGACTATGCAAATTTGAAAATGTTAATTCTAAGAAAAAAAGGTTTAAAAACAAAAGGAGAAATAATCATAGTACATTAGTTGACTTATGAGAGAACAACTCTCATACCCATTTGGAATCCAAGTCATAGCAAAAAAATGTATAGCTGCAAGCCACCTTATATTTATTCCACTTCAACTTGCTGATTTCATATAGATAAAAAAAGAATTTTAGAGATGTTAAATGACATACATTAGTTAGTGCCATAACTCAAAGAACTATCAGTTGTCACAAGTCTCACCCATCTGCTTCTGTGGACAGACTGGTTTCAGTAATCGGAATATACCAGTAATGCTGGCATTCTGAGTTTTTGTTCTACCTATAAGTATGTGAAATTTGGGAAGTAACAACTAAATCTACTGTTTTCTATAAAGTTAGAAGAATGGTACCTTTCCAAACTCCCTCAGAGTTAACACAAGGGTCATATTAAATACTGGATTTTTAAAATGTTAAAAATAATTTTAAAAGTTTATATTTGTAATAATTATTAGCATTAATATAAGCATTATGATGTCATGAGAGGCATAATATTTGGTTGGCAGATAAGGCAAAGCAGATACCAGGGCAATTTGCTCTTTCCACAAAGAGCAGATATTCATGGCTCTTTATTTCATTTGGTTTATATTTGGCTATTCTAAATTCATATTTGAAAGTTTTGTATTTAATTAAAAACTATAACCATACTTGGTTGAATTTTATTTCATAATGCTTCTTGTTTTTTTTTAGGTGGGGTCTTGCTCTGTTGCCCAGGGTAGAGTACAGTAGTGCAAATGCAGCTCACTGCAGCCTCCACCTTCTGGGCTCAAGCAATGCTCCTGTTTTAGCCTCCCAAGTAGCAGGGACTACAGGAATGCACCACCCTATACAGCTAATTTTTCATTTTTTGTAGAGATGAGATCTTGCCATGTTGCCCAGGCCGGTCTTGAATTTCTGGCCTCAAGCAATCCTCCTGTTTCAGCCTCCCAAAGTTCTCGGTAATAATGCATTTTTAAAAAGCCTATCTGACTTGAAGATGGAGATTCAATCTTTCAACAAGGTTTTTAGGAATTTTCCTGAAAACAAAACACTCTGTTGAGATAACTGAGATAGAGGCTGATACACAGATTGTGATTAGGTCAAAAAGCCTCAACCAATTATGTTACTGCTTGCCTAGGCCTAGCATTTAATATTTTTCTGTTTTGAAAGTTTACCTTGCTCATCTTGAGGACACTGTCTAGAATACTCCAGGGCATTCATTAATCTGACTGAGGCAAAGGCAAGTCTGAACTGCTGAATAGTTTGAACTGTTAAATATTATTCAAAAAGAAAGTTCAGGCCAGGTGTGGTGGCTCACGCCTATAATCCCAGCATTTTGGGAGGCCAGGGTGGGAGGATCACTTGAGCCCAGGAGTTTGAGGCCAGCCTGGGCAACATAGTGGGACCCTGTCTCTACAACAAATAAAAATTAGCTGGCCATAGTGGTATATACCTGTAGTCCCAGCTACTTGAGAGATTGAGGCTGGGGAATAACTTTGTGTTTTTTGAGATACTCCCATTCTGTCACCCAGGCTGGAGTGCAGTGGCACAATCAGGGCTCACTGCAATCTTTGCCTCCCAGGCTCAAGTGATCCTCCCAACTCAGCCTCCCAAGTAGCTAGGACTACAAGCATACGCCACTAGGCCCAGCTAAGCTTTTTAAAAAATTTTTTGTAGGCCGGGCGTGGTGGCTCACGCCTGTAATCCCAGCACTTTGGGAGGCCAAGGCGGGTGGATTGCGAGGTCAGGAGATCAAGACCATCCTGGCTAACATGGTGAAACCCCGTCTCTACTAAACAAAATACAAAATGTTAGCCAGGCGTGGTGGCAGGCGCCTGTAGTCCCAGCTACTCGGGAGGCTGAGGCAGGACAATGGCGTGAACCCAGAAGGTGGAGCTTGTAGTGAGCCGAGATCAGGCCACTGCACGCCAGCCTTGGCGACAGAGCGAGACTCCATCTCAAAAAAAAAAAAAAAAAATTTTTTTTGTAGAGACAAGGTCTCACTATTGCCCAGGCTGATCTCAAACTCCTAGGTTCAAGTGATCTGCCCACCTCAGCCTCTCAAAGTGCTGGGATTACAGGCATGAGCTACCACCCCCGGCTGGAGCCTAAGAGTTTGAAGCTGCAGTAAGCTATGTTTATATAAGAGTTTGAAGCTGCAGTAAGCTATGTTTCTATCACTGCACTCCAGCCTGAGTGACAGAGTGAGACCCTAAATCAAAAACAAACTAACAAAACAAAACAAAGAAAAGGAAGAAAGAAGCAAAGAAAGAAAAAGTTCTACTATTACTATTGTCATATATACTACTACATATTGCTTACTAGTTTAAAGTTTTAGTAACTACTTAAGAATTTGATATAATTCATGTATTTCCCTAGCAAACATTTCAGCAGCTCTGCACACTATGTGGAATACAGAATGAAGCTGCTTTCAAGGGAGGAAAGGGCCACTATAGATATAGCCATAAAATAAGATTTCTTTCTTTCTTTCTTTCTTTTTTTTTTTTAGAGAGAGGGCCTGTTGCTTAGGCCAGAGTACAGTGGGATGATCATAGCTCACTTGCAGCCTCAAACTCCTGCGCTTATGCAATCCTCCTGCCTCGGGTTCTCAAAGTGCTGGGATTACAGGAGTGAGCCACCACATCTGTCCTTTGATGTTATGTTTAACAATTAATTCAGAAGTTCTATTATTTTGGACTCAGAGCAGCAGTCTGCTTGGTAATACCTCTAAACAAATAATGGAGAAAGTAAGTTTCAGCTCCTTAACATCATTGGCAACATTAATTTACCCTGGTTTCTGACAAGGTGTTTTAGTGTATTAAGAGTTGTCTTATTGCATTTTTCTATTCTAAGATCAAGATTATCTTTTATATTTTGACCTTTCTAAATATTCTATCTCAAGCAATATTTTTCTTTCTTTTTTTTTTTTTTACTTTAGCAGTTTTCTTCTTCAGAGTAACTACTAACAATTTTACCTTAATAGCCTCTTTAGGAAGAAGTAAAGTGTTCTATTTTCTATCCCCACTGTTCTTACTTGTGCAGACTCTGCATGTTCCAGCATCTCTTCAAATTCCTGATACTCTTCATCATCTGGTTCAGCACCTGAGAGGCGAGCTGCTCTGGCCATGAAATATGGAGGCAGCTCTCCGATTGCTGTACCGATACCCTAGGTGAAAAACCAAAATACTTACAATGAGGTTCTGTTATCAACAGTGACACTTAATAGATCAAACCCATACTCTTCTATATCACCAGAAGCATTTTGAGATGCAATATATTGGGGGAAAGCATATGCTACATAATCAAAATAATAAAAGTTTGAATCCTGGCTCTAATTCTGACCTATCTGATGCTTGGCAAGCATCACATAAAACCCTTAAGACAAGCCAGGCACAGTGGGCACGCACCTGTAGCCATAGCTACTCAGGATGCTGAGGCAGGAAGATCACCTGAGCCCAGGAGTTTGAGGCCAGCCTGGGCAACATTCTGAGATTCCTGTCTATGAAAAAAAAAAAAATCTTGAGACAACACCTGGCTCATTGTAGACACTAAGTAAATTTTAGTTCTCTAGAATCTCTACTTAGACTCTGTTATTTTTATCATTTGCCCCCCCCCACCGCTTCTGATATCTAAATGATCTGGTAATAAGAATTCACCAGTGGCTGGGCATGGTGGCTCACGCCTGTAATCCCAGCACTTTGGGAGGGCGAGGCGGGCGGATCCCGAGGTCAAGAGATCGAGACCATCCTGGCCAATAGGGTGAAACCCCATCTCTACTAAAAATACAAAAATTAGCTGAGTGTGGTGGCACGCACTTGCAGTCCCAGATACTCTGGAGGCTGAGGCAGGAAAATTGCTTGAACCTGGGAGGCGGAGGTTGCAGGGAGCTGAGATCGCACCACTACACTCCAGCCTGGCAACAGAGCAAGACTCTGTCTCAAAAAAAAAAAAAAAAAAAAAAAAAAAAAAGAATTCACCAGTATATGTGTTAGATAAAAATTCTCTAGGAAATCCTCTGGAACTTCAGAAGTTGCTTTAATTTAAATACAACTTTTCTTCTGTTGAGTTAAAACTTTTAACAAATTGTAGTCAGAAAGCCCTTTGAAAACTAAACATTAGGATGAATAAGTTTTCTTTTTCTTTTTTTTTTTGAGATGAAGTCTCACTCTGTCACGAAGGCTGGAGTGCAATGGCACGATCTCGGCTCACCACAACCTCTGCCTCCCAAGTTCAAGCAATTCTCCTGCCTCAGCCTCCCTACTAGCTGGGACTACAGGTGTGTGCCACCACGTCTGGCTAATTTTTGTATTTTTAGTAGAGTCAGAGTTTCACTATGTTGGCCAGGCTGGTCTCGAACTCCTGACTTTAGGTGATTCACCCGCCTCGGCCTCCCAAAGTGCTGGGATTACAGGTGTGAGCCACCACGCCCAGCCAAGCTCTGCTAGTTCTTAAAAAGCAATGTTAAGCATTTCAGTTTGCTCTGTCTTATGGTTCTGCCTCCAAATGCTCTGAAAAGAATTCCCAAGGGACCAAATCAAATTCAAATATTTTGTATTCACAATGGGTGGAACCAACAATTTCCACGTGTAACTACATTATCCATACTTGAAACAAGAATTTTGAAAAAGAGTCCAGGCACAGTGGCTCACGCCTGGAATCCCAGCACTTTGGGAGGCCGAGGTGGGTGAACTGCCTGAGCTCAGGAGTTTGAGACCAGCCTCGGCAACATGGCGAAACCCCAACTCTACTAAAATACAAAAAATTAGCTGGGCATGGTGGTGCGTGACTGTAGTCCCAGCTACCTGGGAGGCTGAGGCATGAGAACTGCTTGAACCTGGGAGGTAGAGGTTGCAGCAAGCTTATGGGTGACAAAGCGAGACTCTATCTCCAAAAAAAAAGAAAAAAGAGAAAAAGAATACTTAACTGCCAAAAGATTAAGCCTACATTTAGTCAAAAAACAGACAGAGAAGGCAGGAGAGACATATATACATGGATATAGGCAAAAACCAAATCATATATATTGCTAAATAAGAAAAGTTGGTCAGACGTCATGGCTCGCACCTATCATCCCAGAACTTTGGGAGGCTGAGGCAGGTGTATTGCTTATGTACATGAGCTCAAGAACAGCCTGGGCAACATAATGAGGCTGTCTCTACAAAAAATTATGCACTTGTGGTCCCAGTTACTTGGGAGGCTGAGGTAGGAGGATCACCTGGGCCCAGGAGGTCAAGGCTGCCATGAGCTGTGATCATGCTACTACACTCCAGCTTGGGTGACAGGTGAGACTCTGTCTCAAAAAAAAAAAAAAAAAAACCAAAAAAACCAAAAAACACTGTAATGTTGGCCAACTTTGGAGGATGCTAGAGAACCAACTTATTATTTTAAAAACTGGTATAATAAAGATCAAGTATTTATCTTTTTCTGATATAAACTATATCTCGGGGTAACTAAATTAGTGACAAGGAAAAGTTTTCCTTCATCAAAGTATTATTTCAGACCCAGTACAGTGGCTCATGCCTGTAATCCCAGCAGTTTAAAACCGGCCTGGGCAACACAGCAAAACCCTGCCTCTACAAAAAATTAGCTTGGCATGGTAGCTTGTGCCTTTAGTCCCAGCTATTCAGGAGGCTGAGGTGGGAGGATTGTTTAAGCCTGGGAGGTCAAGGCTGCAGTGAGCTGTGATTGTGCCACTGCACTCCAGCCTGGTGACAGAGTGAGACCCTGTCTCCAGTTAATAATTCAAAAAAAAAAAAGGTGTAATGTAACTGGGATACTAATATTTTATAACCTCTAATAAAATAATGGACATATATAATAAAAAATCATCCATGGTGCTAATATCACAAAAAGGAAGGACAAACAGACATTGTATCTCGTGATAGAAATACACAAGGCTATGGAGTGTATTCCTATTTACAAAAAAAAAAAACACAATTTATCAACTCAAAGGAAACACAAGGAACAGAGCAACATGCTTAAATTATACTAATTAGAATTTAGTCAGTAAAATTCAGACCATGGGAAATTATTTAACAGTTTCTTCAGCATAAATGTGAAAAGAAATAAAATCCCAGCACTTTGGGAGACTGAGGCAGGAGGATCACTAGGTAAGGAGTTTGAGACCAGTCTGACCAACATTGTGAAACCCCATGTCTACTAAAAATACAAAAAATTAGCCGGGTATGGTGGTGTGCGCCTATAATCCCAGCTACTCGGGAGGCTGAGGCAGGAGAATTGTGGGAATACGAGAGGAGGTTGCAGTGAAATGAGATTGTGCCATTGCACTCCAGCCTGGGTGACAGTGCAAGATCCCACCTCAGAAAAAAAAAAAAAGAAATAAACGTAATCAGAAAAATTTGAACACTAATTGGATAATGAATTTTAAGAGACTACTACAGTTTCTTTTAGGTGTGATAATGCATTTTAGGCCCCAAGGCTGATATATTTACAGATGATGTGTATTATGATATCTGGGATCAGCTTCAAGATAATTGAGAAGAGAATGAGAAAGGGTATAGATACAACAATATAAACTATTAGTTAATACTAGCTGAACTTGAGTGAGAGTATATTAAATTCATTTTATAATTCTCTGCACCTTTGGAAAATCTTCCATAGAAAAAAGTAGGACAGAAAGTGTAACATCTTACTCAAAACATGAACTTCTCCTAAGTTCAAATGTTAAGTCAAATGTTCAACAGTTCTTAAAGCAATCATGTGATTGAAGCTCATGACAAATTTCCTAAAAGTTAAGAAGGAAGTAACATAATGGACTGAAATGAAATCAAGGGCTGTATACTGTCTTATACGTAGTTGACTATATTTACTGTTATATTTTAGTTTAATTCTCCTAGTGTTTTCCCATATTAGCAAGAAACAATGGGAATCATGAGTCAGTACTCTCTTATTATGCAAATAAATAACAAGGGAATTTAGTCATCCAGGCAGGTGTCCCAAAACACATTATACCCTAGACACAGACATTTATTTATCTCAAATTAGATACTGAAGTCTCATCATTTCATAATCCTTACAATTTTATGATTCTCTATAAAATTCAAATATATATTTGTATAAGATACAAAATTCTTTACATTTGTTTATATTCAAAACAAAACATAAATTGTGGAACACTGAAAACTGTCAGCCTAAGTTTAATTAAGGAGAGAGAATGACTGGCTTCCTTACTGCAAAATAAGTGGTATGTACAGTCAAGCAATAATTCAGAAAGCTCTCCTCCAAACCATCTACTACATACAAATTTATTACCCTTAAATCCTTCTTAAACTAGAGAAGAGTTTAATATGCACAAAATATGCAAACCAACTGATAACACAGCATCTTCTTGGAGTGCTAATTTTATTCAAAGATTCATTCAAAGATTTATTCAAAGACAAAAATTCTGAATTTGTACTTTTAAAAAGTTTTGTCAGGTGAGGTAGGGAAAAAACATTTTGTCAAGTGAACTCACAAGCAAATCTGCAGCAAGGTGCTTTTATATTAAGAAATGTAAGTTTAATGATAAAAATCTGGAGAGCAGGAATTAAAAAAATCTATCTTTTTCACCAAGAAACCCTGTCTCTACTAAAAATACAAAAAAATTAGCTGGGCATGGTGGCGCATGCCTGTAATCCTAGCTACTCAGGAGGCTGAGTCAGAATCACTTGAACCTGGGAGGCGGAGGTTGCAGTGAGTGAGATTGTGCCATTGCACTCCACCCTGGGCAACAAGAGCGAAACTCTGTCTTTAAAAAAAAAAAAAAAAAGTTTTCATTTTATTTATTTATTTATATTTTTTTGGAGACAGAGTCTCACCCTGTTGCCCAGGCTGAAGTGCAGTGGCACAATCTTGGCTCACTGCAACCTCTGCCTCCCGGGTTCAAGCAATTCTCCCACCTCAGCGTCCTGAGTAGCTGGGATTACAGACCTGCGCCACTACACCCGGATAATTTTTGTATTTTTGGTAGAGATGAACTTTCACCACGTTGGCCAGGCTGGTCTTGAACACCTGACCTCAAGTGAGCCGCCTGCCTCAGGCTCCCAAGTAGCTGGGACTACAGGGGCCTGTCATCATGCCCAGCTAATTTTTTTTTTGTATTTTTAGTACAGACAGCATTTCACTATCTTGGCCAGGCTGGTCTTGAACTTCTGACCTCATGCTCTGCCTGCCTTGGCCTCCCAAAGTGCTGAGATTACAGGCGTGAGCCACCGCGCCCGGTGAATTAATTCTTATATATGGTGTAAGGTAAGGGTCCAACTTCATTCTTTTGCATGTGGATATTCAGTTTTTACAGCATCCCCCTTGTTTTTTTTTCTTTGAGATGGAGAGTTGCTCTGTCGCCCAGGCTGGAGTGCAATGGTGTGATCTCAGCTCACTGCAACCTCCACCTCCTGGGTTCAAGCGATTCTCCTGCCTCAGCATCCCGAGTAGCAGTGACTACAGGCACCCACCACCATGCCCAGCTAAGTTTTATATTTTCAGTAGAGATGGGGTTTCACCATGTTGGTCCGGCTGGTCTCGAACTCCTGACCTCAGGTGATCCACCTGCCTTGGCCTCCCAAAGTGCTGGGATTACAGGTGTGAGCCACTACACCCAGTCCCCAGCACCATTTGTTGAAGACTGTCCTTGTAAATGTTGAGAACAATATTAACAAATTTAAACATAACTTAGTGTGTGCTGTATTTTTAATATAACGAGACAGTTACAAAGAAGGAAAGAAGAGCAAACATTTGACCTATTAATCAGTATTTATTGACATTCCTATACTACATGGAAAACTTTTTCAAAAAAATTAATTAATTTTTTTTTTGAGATGGAGTCTCGCTGTGTTGCACAGGCTGAAGTGCAGAGGTGCAATCTTGGCTCACTGCAACCTCTGCCTCCCGGGTTGAAGTGATTCTCCTACCTCAGCCTCCCAAGTCACTGAGAATACAGGTGTGAGCCACCATGCCCAGCTAATTTTTTGTATTTTTAGTAGAGATGGGGTTTCACCATGTTGGCCAGGCTGGTCTCAAATCCACCTACCTCGGCCTCCCATAGTGCTAGGATTATAGGAGTGAGCCACCATGCCCAGCCCTATGTGCAAAACTTAATGCTGATTACTATGATGCTAATACTTTTAAGGTATATTTAATATTTTTTAGGATCCTAAATATTATTTGGGGAAGAAAGCCACCATACCAGCCAAATTAACTAATTTAAAGCATGTGTAAAGCCAGGCCTAATAAGCACTACAGACAATATATACTACAGAAATTTGGAGGAGGCAGTTATCACAGCCAGCCGAGATAGTGGTTTTCATTTGTTGGCCTTAAGGTTAATCCAGCAATGTAAATAATTTTTGAAGAACAAAAGTATAATATTAAGAAAAAAAGACAAATTTACATACAAAGTCCCTTTTCTAGCATGTTCCAAGTATCTTCTGTTATTCTAACATTTTTTTCATCAAAAGACTAATGTCATCAAATTTATAAAGCATATGCAACTAGTATAATAAATTTGTTTCCAGTGTTTATAAAAGAGCAACAGGAAACATGACAATTTTTCCTGTCTTTCATATTCAACAAATTCAACATGATGGTATTTCCTTTATAATTCTTTTAAAGCAGAACACAATTGCTAACACTTAACTGTGTTTCAAAACTCTGCTTCTCCTGAGGGTATGGTATTCATGCTCATTTTAATGAGTTAAGATTTGTAAGTGATCTGTTCCATAATCTTTAATTTCCTAAGAAATTGTTAGTGGGAAAAAATTACAGGAACATAACAAATCCCAATGAGTTAAAAAAAAAAAAACCTCAAATGGTAAAAGAAATCTTTAACCCATGAATTATTCCTACGGATGCCTGAATAAATTTAGGCATACAGGGCTGGGTGAGGTGGCTCACGCCTGGTGGATCACCTGAAGTCAGGAGTTCGAGACCAGCCTGCCCAACATGGAGAAATCCCGTCTCTACTAAAAATACAAAAAAATCAGCCGAGCGTGGTGGCGGGTGCCTGTAATCCCAGCTACTGGGGAGGCTGAGGCAGGAGAATTGCTTGAACCTGGGAGACAGAGGTTGCAGTGAGCCGAGATTGCGCTACCACACTTTAGCCCGGGCGACAGAGCAAGACTGTCTCAAAAAAAAAGCAAAAAAAAAAATTTAGGCACACAAAAAAAATTGTGTGGATTAGAATCCATCTGCCACTTAACATGCTGTCCAAAGAATTTTGTAAAATAAACTTAAGCAAACCACAAAAAGAATAACTGGAACAACTGAAAGTAAAATTGCCATATACGATCATACAGCCTGATACGTTCACTATAATAAGGCTTGGTTTATATTAAGAAATGTCTGACCTTACTTTAGTTAGCATTATAATAACTCAGAAAATGAAATGAGTTCTCTAAGAACATAATATTTTCTTGTTGTTGTTGAGATGTAGTCTCGCTCTGTAGCCCAGGCTGGAGAGCGGTGGCGGGTCTCGGTTCACTGCAACCCCTACTTCCTGGGTTCAAGCAATTCTCATGCCTCAGCATCCCCAGTAGCTGAGATGACAGGTATGCGCCACCACGCCCGGCTAATCTGTGTATTTTTAGTAGAGGCAGGGTTTCACCATGTTGACCAGGCTGATCTCGAACTCCTGGCCTCAAGTGATCTGCCTGCCTTGGCCGCCCAAAGTGCTGAGATTACAGGGATGGCCACCAGGCCCAGCCAGAGCACAGTATTTTAATCTAAAAGTAAGACATACGGGAGGATCACTTGAGCCCAGGAGGTTGAAGCTGCAATGAGCCGAGATGGCGCCATTGCACTCCAGCCTGGGCAACAGAGCAAGGCCCTGTCTCAGTAAATAAATATATAAATAAATAAATGCATACATACATATACACACACACAATTTTTATTTGCCAAATAAATAAAAGTAAAATTTTAAATTAAAAAAAGTAAGACATATGACATTTACCAATCTAATATTTATATATAACTATATATTACCAATCTAATATTTATATATATTTTATATAACTCTTAGATAAATTCTAAAAGTTTATCAGGTATAGAAATACTAGAACAAATTTTATAATGTAGTATACAGTTGACCCTTGAACAACATGGATTTGAACTGTGCCAGTACAAGTGATAATGGGTGTGCCTCTCATGGCTCCCCATCTACCTCCTCCACCTCCTTTGCCTGTGCCACCCCTAAGACAGCAAGACCAACCCCTTCTTTCCCTCCGCCTCCTCCTCAGCCTCAGCCTCTTCAACATGAAAATGGAGTGGAAATGATGATCCGTTTCCACTTAATTAATAATAAATATATTTCCTTTCCCTTATAATTTTCTTTGTAATATGGTATACAATACTGTATTAACACATACAAAATATGTGTTAATCTACTATTTATCATTAAGGCTTCCGTTCAACAGTAGGCTATTAGCAGTTAAGTTTTTGGGGAGTCAAAAGTTATATGTGGATTTCCTACTGCACAGGGGGTTGGCACCCCTAACCCACACATGGTTCAAGGCTCAACTGTGGTTCCATCATCTGTACTCCCTTGCCCTGCTGGAGTCTACTTGGCCTCAGTTGCTTTGTGATACATATGGTTCATGCCTTTCTTCTCAATGCCATTCATGAATAGGAGATGCTCTAAAAGGTTTCTTTTGCCTTGGAAGTAGGTAGCTGGTTACTGACTGAATCATTTACTGACAAGGAATATGTTTAGATTCCATTTCAATAAGGTACACACACTATCAAGATGGTGAGGTTAGTTTTAAACAAATATGAAAATGCATATCTTACCCACATGCAGGCTTCAATCCTAACTTTTGAGATGATACTCCACAAAGAAATGGTTCCTTCAGTGCCCTCTTCATCTGGACAAATAATCTGATCAGGATAGGGTGGTTCGGGAAAATTAACTGAATTGCATTCATAAGCAGCTAATGTAACTGAGGCTATATGTGGACCCTATAAAACAAATACAAGAAACTTCTGATAAGAACTATTAAAAAATTATCAATACACATTATTTTAAAAATATATTAATTACTGTGTAAGAAAAATCTTAGCTTTCAAAGAACAAAAATAATTCTAAATAATTTCAAGATGCAGTTAGTAATATGAAGAAAATAATCCTTCCCAGAATCTCTTCCTGGTTGACTTAAAAAAAAATCAGATTTATTGAGGTAAAATTTACACATAATGAGTCACTTATTTGAGGTCTACATTTCAATTAGCTTTGACGAACATATTCAGCCATATAACCACACCAATCAAGATACAGAACATTTCCATTACTGCAAAAATGATCCCTTGGCCAGGCACAGCAGCTCATGCCTGTATTCCCACCACTTTGGGCGGCTGAGCCAGGATGACTGCTTGAAGCCAGGAGTTCAAGACCAGCCTGGGCTACAAAGCAAGACCTCATCTCTACAAAAATTTAAAAAATTAGCCATGCATTGTGGCATGTGCCTGTAGTCCCAGCTACTCAGGAGGTAGGAGGCATTGCTTGAGCCCAGGTGTTGGAGGCTGTAGTGGGCTATGATTGTGCCACTGCACTCCAGTCTGGACAACGGAACAAGGCCCCATCCCTTATAAAAAAAAATCCCTTGTGTTCCTCTGTGGCCAATTCCCTCCCTCAAGTCCTAGTCCCCGGCAACCACTGATCTAATTCCTTGCTTGACTTTTATTTTATTTATCTATATTTCTCATTTGTTAGATAATTCCTTTTATTAAAAAAAACTTCCTGAGCCACTGTTCTTTTAGGCACAATTTGAGAATATCACTTTACGTCCTTACTTAAAAACAGCTGGTGATCTACCACCTCATGTAACCTTTCCCAGTGAGATCATAAAGCAAAAATGTAACTGTGAAACCAGTATCAATGAGTTTTACACAATGGTTCCTAAAAGCACAAGATGAGGTGTCTGCATACTAGGGAGTTGGTTAAAATATAAATTCCTGGGTCCCTTAAGCATAGGTTGATAGATGTCCTCTAGCATACAGTAACTAGCAGCCATCAGCTATTATGAAGATAAATACTTTATTTGTAGAATAAAATTATTTACATATATATACACGAGATTTTATTACTAATTATATTGTGCAAGTATTTCTGAATCTGAAGGTTTCTATTAAAGATTTCTCCAATGATTTTTCATAAATGAGACAGTCCCACAGAAAAGTAAGTGGGCTCTGTGTATAAGAAAGTATTTTAAGATCACTTGATGAAAGAATCTGTGGTTCAAAGTACATAAAATCTAGTGATAAAAATAAAACTAAGACATTCTACTATCAAGATAATAAAATTTTGTTTGATGTTAATATACAAAGTTGTTCACACATATGTGATATTTATCTCTAAATAGAATCGGCATTTTCTGTTAAAATAATACCTAAAAAATGAAATCCTTGGAACTGAATCAGTTAATTATTAGTTTTTTCTGGATCAAAAAAATCGATGTGAAGTTTTAGCCTTTGTTCCTCTTTTTGGGGACTTTTAATTCTTGGAAATGCAGAAATATTAAAGTATTAAAATAATTATATAAGATTTTGAAAATACTTTGACTACTTAGGTTTTTGAAAACTTATGATTAACCATGAAATCTACAATCATTTCTTTAAATGCCAGGTGCACACAAGAGATTTCACACTTGGGGGAAAAAAGAATTATTTTGTGATACTACAAAAAAACCCCAAAGTTTGTGATATTCAGAATAACTGCATAGTTTGTGAAACATTTCTCCTCATACAATTATAGCTATCAGACATAATTAAAAAAAAAAGAAGAAATCAGCTGTAACTTCCACCTTTACTATTAGAAAACACAAAAGAGACATATGAATGCCAATAAGTGAAAAAGAAGAAAATTTAAGAGTTTGTCCATGCTGTCCCCATGTTACTGTCCTCTTTGGCTACAGGTAGTCTACAGCTAAAGTTAGAAATGAATTTCAAGTGAACAAAAATAAATTGCTCTGGGAGCTAAAATAATGAGATTTCTGGGATAGATAGGAAAGAAAAAGCTATATTTGCATTCCAGAAATATAAAAAATGTATCCTAACAGATTAAACACATTATCCAATAAAATAAAAGTTCTTTATAGTTTTCATTTTTAGTTATTCTGAAAAGGGAAATTTTCAACAATCTGATTTGAGAATGTTTTTTCAAGTCTCTGATTTGAGAATTCTTTCTTCTAAAGAAGTCTGTTCATTCACTCAACTAAACTGACATATATTTTCCATAACCACACTAGTAAGTCATGATTACTCAGCCTTTGAGGCAGATGTGGTGGTTCCCAGACAAAATGAACATTAACAACTCAGTTTCTTGTCCTTTGTTCATAGTTTAAACTATATTAAGTGATAGGAAACCTCACAAGTTCTATTCAACATTTTAGCTTAATGGTTTTTAAATATAACCGATTTGAATGAAAAAATATGTTTATATGAAAAATTCAAATAAAAAAATTTTTGATTAAAAGTTTTAAAAGTTACACATAATTCAAACTACTTTTAAAGTATATTTTCTAAAAACTACAAGTCTCACTACAATGTAGCAAATATGAGTCACATTTTTAACCATACTAAACAAAGAAACAAGAGGGTAAAGACCCAAACAGCTATAGTATTAATTGAAAAGCCTAACTGGATAAAACCTGCCACAGGATATAAAATTTATATATTTACTGAGCAGCAGGTTCCAACTCTTGTGGGAGCATGGGTTAGGGATCCTGGTCTATGGCTGAAGGTTTTCTGTCTCACGGCGGATGAAGTAACGGATACTAGACTTTCATTTCTATAGCAAACAATTAGAAAACTGGACAAAATATATGGGACAATTCTTTTTAGACATTGTACTACAGGCAGTACAGGGCTTTGATTACTAAGAGAAGGGATAAAAATGAAGAAACCATACATTGACTCTGGCTTCTTGTCTGTAGACACATTCCATGCCTGCCAAAAATTCCATGGTCAAAAGAGCAAGAGCCCAAACAAAGCATGTTGCTCCTGCCGAGTTGAGAATGAGATTGGGGTTCACGAGTTCAGGATTCAAGAAGGCTGAGGCAGTCAGAATTTATGAGGCAGTATACCAGAAAAGAGAAAGCTACACAGAGAAGGAACTCTAGAAATCTGCACAGGGGTCCCCTTCAGACTCTGGCACACAAAGCTGCATTGCATGCTAAGGTGAGACCACAAGTCCAGGCAAAGAACTACAAGAACTACTGGGAAAAGAATAATTACTGGGGATTTGTAAACTGACCAATTCCCAGAGTTCACACAGGCCTGGGAAACATTTGTGATCAACCAGCTAGAGTAGAGAGACTCAGCATTCAACCCAGAAAGGTCATGCCTGGGTAGGTACGACCTTTCCTTCTGGTCCTAAGGTGAAAGCTACTCTAGTCTGACCCTAACAGGGTTTAAAACAAGTCTTAAAAAGATCAAGCTGATCCACAGGTAACTTAATTGTCCCCTTCACCCTCCCCCCACATCAATGTTCTATAGTGGAAGACAAAATCCATACAATCAACAATTTAATACTACATATCTAGCATTCAATTAAAAATTACTAGCACTCAATATAATATTACTAGATATGCGAAGCAGCAAATTATAACTCATAACCAAAAGAAATATTGCTCAATAGAAACAGACCCAGATTTGATGAAAAGTATCAATCCACAGACTTAAGAAACTGAACAAATCCAGTCAGGATCGACACAAAGAAAATAAAACACATGGGCTGGGTGCGGTGGCTCACGCCTGTAATCCCAGCACTTTGGGAGGCCAAGGTGGGTGGATCATGAGGTCAGGAGTTCGAGACTAGCCTGGCCAACATGGTGAAACCTGTCTCTACTAAAAATACAAAAAATTAGCCGGGCATGGTGGCAAGTGCCTATAATCCCAGCTACTGGGGAGGCTGGGGCAGGAGAATCGCTTGAACCCAGGAGGCAGAGGGTGCGGTGAGCTGAGATCTCAACACTGCATGCCAGCACAAAAAAGAAAAGAAAAGAAAACATATAGGCCGGGCATGGTGGCTCACGCCTGTAATCCCAGCGCTTTGGGAGGCCAAGGTGGGTGGATCATGAGGTCAGGAGATTGAGACCATCCTGGCTAACATGGTGAAACCCCATCCCTACTAAAAATACAAAAATTAGCTGGGTATGGTGGTGCGCACCTGTAATCCCAGCTACTCGGGAGGCTGAGGCAGGGGAATGGCTTGAATCCGGGAGGCGGAGATTGCAGTGAGCCGAGATTGCGCCACTGCACTCCAGCCTGACGTCAGAGCAAGATGCCATCTCAAAAAAAGAAAAAAGAAAATAGAAAATAAAACATAATCAAACTGCTAAAAATCATCACAATCATGTCATAATGAAATTGCTATAATTCAATGACAAGAGGAAAAGTCTTAAAAACAATAGAGTAGATAAAAATAAAACATCTACAGGGAAAAATAGGTCAGACTTTTCATCAGAAATAATGCAAACCACAGGACATCAGAATTACTTCTTTAAAATGTCAAAGAAAAAAATACCTGTGAATCTGGGAGCTAGGGAAAATATATTTCAAAAAAATATATTTCAAAACAGTACTGTGGATTTACGACATATGAGGAAGTAAAATATACAAGAAGTAAAATGTATGACAACTAAAGCATAAATTATAAATTATGGGAGGAGGAAATGAAGAACACTATTATAAGGTTGTTATATTTTATACAAAATGAGAAAACAATACTTCATTGTTCACCCTGTAAGTTAATGGAGCATATTGCAAACCTTAGGACAACCACTAATTTTTTTTTTCTTTTTTTTTTTTGAGAAAGGGTCCTACCCTGTTGCCCAGGCTGGAGGGCAGTAGTGTGATCACAGCTCAGTGGAGTCTTGACTGCCCAGGCTCATGAGATTCTACCTCAGCCTCCCGAGTAGCTGGGACCACAGGCATGCATCACTACACCTAGCTATACCACTAAAAATTTTAAAAGAAGTAGAACAAACAAGCAAATAAATTCAATACCAAAAAAAAAAAAAAAAAAAACACCAAAAAACAAAACAAAACAAAACAAAACAAAAAAATCCTCAGTCCAAAAGAAGGCAGAGAAAAAAGAAAAAGGAATGAAAAATTAGATATGACAAACAGTTTGAGGGTAGACTTAAACCCAATCATATTGATAACTACATTAATTGCAAATGGACCAAATGTATAAATTCAGGCAGACACTGTCACACTGGATTAGTACACGCTGTCTATAAGAAACCCACTTTAAATATTAAGAACCCAGAAAAGAAAGAGTAAAGAAATGGGAAAAGAAAAACCATTTAAAAAATCCATAAAAAAGATAAAGTAGCTAAATTGATATTAGACAAAGTAGATTTAATGACAAAGAATATTAACAGAGATTCATAGGAACAAATGATAAAAGGTCTAATTCTCAGGAAGTCAGACCAATTCTAAATGTGTATACAACCAATAACAGAGTGTGAAAATACATAAAGCAAAAACTGACAGAACACAGAAATGAACAAATCCCCAATTATAGCTAGAAATTTCTTTATTTTATTTTTTTTGAGACAGAGTCTCACTCTGTTGCCCAGGCTGGAGTGCAATGGCACGATCCTGGCTCACTGCAACCTTCGCCTCTGGGGTTCAAGCAATTCTCCTGCCTCAGCCTCCCAAGTAGCTGGGGTTACAGGCACCCGCCACCACACCCAGCTAATTTTTGTATTTTTGGTAGAGATGTGGTTTCACCATGTTGGTCAGGCTGGTTTTGAACTCCTGACCTCAGGTGATCCACCCAACTGGGACTGCTGGCGCAAGATACCACAACCAACTAATTTTGTTGTTGTTGTTGTTGAGACAGGGTCTCTCATTCCATCACCCAAACTGGAGTGCAGTGGCAAGATCTTGGCTCACTGCAGCCTCAACCTCTAGAGTTCTGGTGATCTTCCCACCTCAGCCTCCTGGGTAGCTGGGACTACAGGTGTACACCACCACGCCTGGCTAATTTTTTGTAGAGGTGGGGTTTTGCCTGTTGCCCAGGCTGGTCTCTAACTCTTGGGCTCAAGTGATCTACCCACCTCAGTCTCTCAAAGTGCTGGGATTACAGGTGTAAGCCAGAGTGCCCAGCCCAGCTAATTTTTTTTCATTATTTGTAGACAGGTCTCCCTGTGTTGCTTAAACTCCTAGGCTCAGGGGATCCTCCTACCAACACCTCCCAAAGTGCTGGCATTACAGGTGTGAGCCGGCGCACCTGGCCCAGATAATTTTTTTTTTGTTATTTTTAGAGATGGGTCCCCCTATGTTGCCCAGGCTAGTCTCAAACTCCTGGGCTCAAGAGATTCTCCCAACAAGGCCTCCCAAAGTGCTGGGATTACTGGTGTGAGCCACCACACCTGGCCCCATCTAATTTTTCTATTTTTTGTAGAGACAGGGTCTGCCTATGTTGTCCAGGCTGGTCTCAAACTCAGTTCAAGGGATCCTCCTGCCTTGGCCTCCCAAAGTACTGGGATTAGAGGTGAGCCACCATGCCTGGCACATACATAGTTGAAAACGTCAACATCTATATTTCATTAATTGATAGAACAACTACACTGATAATTGTATGGACACAGAAGATTTGAATAACATAGAAAATACCACCCAGCAAGAGCCAAATATATATTATTTTCAAGTACACATGGAATATTTGCCAAGACAGACCATCTGCTGTGCTATAAAATGAGTGTGAACACATTTAAAAGGATGTGACATGTGGCAAGGTAAAGATCAATACAGGGAGTACATCTTAAAGTGGCAAATAGGCAAGGCAGGGTGGCTCATGTCTGTATTCTCAGCACTTTGGGAGGCTGAGGCGGGACACTCACTGGAGCCCAGGAGTTTTGAGACCAGCCTGGGTAACATGGAGAGACCCTCTCTCTCAAAACAAAACAAAAAATTAGCTGGGTATGGTGGTGTGCACCTGTAGTCCCAGTGAAGTGGAAGGATTGCTTGAGCCTGGGAGTTCAAGGTTGCTGTGAGCTGAGATCACGCCACTGTGACAGAATGAGACCCTGTCTTAAAAAAAAAAAAAAAAAAAAAAAAAGTGGCAAATAAAGGTCTGTTTTATTTTTGGTAACTCAGTATAGTTATTCTAGACGAAGTTAAATCAACAAGATAGCTTGGTTATTTGCAACATATTGGACATCTGGATTTGCTTCATTTCAGAGTTCCATATATCTAGTCTCATGAGCTGTATTACATTATATTTTCCAAAGATTGGTAATGGAATAATTTTGCCTTGTCCAGGATAAAAGATGTAGTGCTTGGCCAGGCAGGAGTATGTCTGGGTGAGAGCAAACTATACTTAGATGAAAGGGTAAGATTTCTAGTAAGAGCAGATGTAGGTACTTGTCTGTGGAAAAAGATATTTTATCTTTTAAAAACTCTTTTTACATAAGTTTAAAAAGTTACATTTCCATGATTTACATTCTTTCATGAGTTTTAGTGATTAGAAAAGTTTTAGTGATTAGAAAAAAACCAAACTAATTCTATGTAATCAATTTTTACTCTAGCTTTAAGAATAACAATACACTACTAGTTCTTCTAATTAAGAGAAACTTAGAATTCAAAAAAAATTGTCCTAGAAGGGTAAAATTATACAAAACCACATCTATCTATCTATCTATCTATCTATCTATCTATCTATCTATCTATCTATCTATCTCCATCCTAATCTGGTAGTGAAGAGTTTTAAGTAGTTTTCTGATAATAATATAGTATCTATGTTAAGCCCAGAGAAAGAAATCCTTGTGCCACAAACACTAATTAGGGTCATAGTAAGAAAGGGGTGAATATATTCATACTTGAATTTGTGAAAAAATCATATTAGTAAAATGATAAATCAGTATGTACACTGCTGCTTAATATTAAGTAAAACATTTTCTGGATTTTGAACTTTTCAAGTTTTCTGGATTTATACTACAGCGGCTCATGATTTACTATAATTGTACCTTCTTCACACACTTTGTAGCATTTAAAGGACTGAAAAGGTTATACTCATGTCTATGTTTCATCAAGAAAAACAGTATACCATCCAAAAGACCAGAGACAGAATACTGTTGGGTTTACTTTAGGGTCCTGTCTTACAGAGATATCTTTTAAAAACGAAAGACCTAAAATGTTCATATTAATTATTAGCCTAATTCAGGCAAGTATACTTATCAACCGAGATGAAGACTACAACATCACATTAAGAGTGCAGAATGTGTGTTGTGTGTGTATGAGTATTTTTAAGGAAGGCAAGCAGACAAAACAGACAGACAGACATTCTTCCACTCTAGACGGCTCCCTCAGAACTGATAAAACATTCCTAAAGACTGGAGTTGTTTGGACAACATCTGTAATGTCAATTCATAGCCTAATCCATCATCTATACACAGAAGTCAAGTGAGATCCCAAAGGCAAAATTTCCAATTAGTTTTGTCTGGAAAGTTTAGGGCAAAGGTAATAAAATCAAGAATCCTGTGCTGATTCACTGGGAAAACATTTATTTGCCATACTTCTTCACTAAGGAACAAAAGCAGTCAGTGGTTAGTCTGGAATGTGATTCATTAGGAATATCTGGGTGATAAATAAACAAAAAAAGATGAAAAATGGTTGTTTGTATGACTTGCAAAACCTTTGTTTTCTTTCAGGGGACTTCAGAAACCCTTTTGCAAACACAGGAATTCTCTTCAGAATTTTTTTAATCATTGTTTTTCTCATTAGAGTCAGAAAACAAGGTTATGGTCTACAGCAAATAATTCTAGAAGGCTAGAGTGTAAAATATCGATTCCCAATGGGCACTGACAAGTTTAACCAGTGTTTATATTCTTTTTGTGAAGAAGGTCCCAAGTTATGCCTCTGGTCTCTACAAAATGCAGTACAGGCTGGGAACAGTGTCTCATGCTTGAAATCCTAACACTTTGAGAGGCCGAGGCAGCAGGATCACTTGAGCCCAGGAGTTCGAGACTAGCTCGGACAACACAGTGAGATTCCGTCTCTACTAAGAAAAAATATTAGCCCAGTGTGGTGGCATATGCCTGTAGTCCCAGCTACTTGGGAGGCTGAGATGGGAGGACCACTCGAGCCCAGGAGTTCAAGGTTGCAGTGAGCTATGATCATGCCACTGCACTCCAGCCTGAGCGACAGAGCAAGACCCTGTCTCAAAAAAAAAAAAAACCAAAAACCAAAACAAAAAACAAAGAAACAAACTGTCAAAAAGCAGTAACCGGGGCATGCATTAATGTGGATTTCAGTTTTCTAAATCTGTTGGTAAATTACTGTTGGTAACTTCTATCTCTTCCTTTGTTTAACAAAAAGCCTAATAATGCTTGTTACCTAGGTCACAGGGTAGAAATATGAGATTATACTATAAAAGTGCAAATATAAAATTGCTGGCCAAAACAAAAGAAATATGAACTCTATAGTATTAGTTCATGCTCCAAGTTATAAGGTACTGTCTTTGAAGCTATTTTTATTATATTGAATTAATCCATATTAAAAGGCATGTTTGGCCAGGTGTGGTGGCTCACGCCTGTAATCCCAGCAGTTTGGGAGGCTGAGGCGGGCAGATCACTTGAGGTCAGGAGTTCGAGACCAGCCTGGCCAACATTGTGAAACTCCTGTCTCTACTAAAAATACAAAAAATTAGCCGGGTGTGGTGGCGCATGCTTGTAGTCCCAACTATTCGGGAGGGTGAGGCAGGAGAATCGCTTGAACGTGGGAGATGGAGTTTGCCGTGAGCCAAGATCGCGCCATTGCACTCCAGCCTGGGAGACAGAGTGAGTCTCCGTCTAAAAAAAAAAGAAAAAGAAAAAGAAAAAGAAGGCATGTTTCACCTTTGTTCTCTAGACCCAAGCAACTTTTGATCATACAGTTGACTTAAGTATTCAAGAGAAATGAACTACATATTTATGAGAGCTGTTAAAAAAGGGCGGGGGGGGCTAGTATAAATTGTTTAAAATGTATGCTCAACAACAAATTTAAGCTAAACTAAATTTTCTTGGCTTTCATTTAAGCATACATTAATAAACTTAAGGGCAGGAAGTTACCCAGTCTGTGCATACCCCTTTTCCTTGGCAAAAACCCAGCCTGATGTCCTGAAGACCTTGGTTTCTTCTTTTGATGTGGTGATGCTCAGCAGAGTTAATATATGAGTCATTCCTTAGGGAAAGACAGGGAGAAGAGCTTTCATGCCTTCATCAAACAAAAGGCAAATAGATTTTTTTCTAAGAAGGGTCTGTTGGTCTTCCTGAAACAGCACTGAGTCACTGCATGCTTATAGCCATAGTTATAAGCATCTGGTATCAAGTCACACCACAGCCTTAACTTTTGGTAATTTCTTTTTTGTCTTAAAAGGAGGATAGACAAATGAGCAATAAAGCAATAGTCAGAAGTCAAGCTGAATTGATAGGGAAGAAGCTGGCTAACAATTTTTTAAAAAAAGAATGATTCCACTTTATGGTATTAACTACTACAATATTTCACTTACTGAAACTATTTCACTATTTTATTTCAACCCATATGAATGCAGTTTTCCAAATAATATTTACTTTTAGCAATAGCCAAGAGTCAAAAAGTATCAGAAATGTCTATACTAAGGAAAAAACAGCTTTTAAAAAGTGCAGAATACTATACAGTACTTCCTCCTTAGGGTGCCATATACAGAGGAGGTCATAAATATGAAAAAGCAATTAAGATGTCAGATTTTTTAAATGTATAATTTTTTTTGTTTTCTTTTTAGTCATCAATTGACCTGTACTTCAGGGTAAATGTACAATTTTTAACACATATTTTAATAATGAAATAATCCCAAACTTTAAAGCAGAAACAGGCTCTGAATCTTACACAGGGGCACGTATCTCACAATTTTCTTTGTATCTAATTTATAACAAAAAGTACTTTTTTTCTATAAAAATGGTCATATGAAACAAAATGGCTCACAGATATCATTCAAAGGATAACACCTTGATGTTACAGCTTCTAATAAAACCTGATCTATTCTACAATGTAACTGAATAGTTCCCAACTTTTCTACTTCCAAACTGCTTCTAGAAAGTAAAACTAACACTTTAAACATGAGAAAATCCAATGGTTAAAATATATGGCAAACAGAAAAATTGTAAAATATATTCAGCCTTCTACTTATAGCTAAATATTTGGGTATGTTTTTAAATTATAAAATGATTGTCGATCGTTTTTCTTCTCTTTACAGTTCTTTGTCTAGAAGCTGGGCTTAACTGAAAGGGATATGGGGCTTTGTGAAGTCTTTTGCCAGGAAACTGCTCCACCTAGTGTCAAAAATTGTACATACATCACATTATATAGGAGAGTAAATTGTAGCCCATGGACTCCTTTGCTATTAAGAACAGGCTTTATAAATCCTTAATGTTACATACAGTTTACAAATGGTTCTTTAATCATCTTTTTGTCTTGTAACTTGATGAATCATAATGTACATGCATATAAGGAGCATGTCCAGAATACATTTCTCATAATCAAGTACCAAAGTTCCTGTTTTTGTTAACCTGGTTAATTACAGAATTATGAATCATATTTCTATTAGTGGGAAATAATTACAAGGTGGCTAATGAAATAACCCCATCACTTCTCCTAATTGTGTACAACATCTAAACTTTTTTTTTTTTCTTGAGACAGGGTCTCATTCTGTCGCCCAGGCTAGAGTGCAGTGGCGCGATCATAACCTCCCTGGGCTCAAGTGATTTTCCAACCTTGGCCTCAACCTCCACCTGAGTAGCTGGGACTACAGGAGCATGCCACTACACCTGGCTAATTAAAAAATTTTTTTCGTAGAGACGGGGTCCCACTAGGTTGCCCAGGCTGGTATGGTCTTGAACTCCCGGCCTCAAGTGATCCTCCTGCCTTGGCCTCCCAAAGTGCTGGGAATACAGGTGCGAGCCACTGCACCTGGCCTAAGCTTTTTAGAAATAAATTTTATTGTGCATAATTGAGGCTTACAATATGTTGTTATAGTATACATACAGATAACAAAATGGTTATACTATAGTAAAGCAAATTAACATGTTTATCATCTTACATAGTTACTTTTTAAAAATAAGAACAGCTAAAAATCTACTTAACAAAAATCCCTAATCCATTGTAATTTTACAACAGTGGTACCTTAGATCTTTAGACCTGTTCATCCTACACATGACATCTAAACTTAATCCATAAGTTATTTATTCCTCAAAATGGTTGCAATCTTGTAAAATCTGGTATTTAAGAGGAATTGAACATACCAGTGGTTACATGAAACTGGAACCAAATCTTCCTGTCATCAGACAGCTCATTTAGAAGAAATTCTTCTGCTTTTCCCTTCAAAAAAGCTTTTTCTTTTTACTCTTAATTTTTTTTATACAACTCATATATGCACAACTATATTCTTTTCTAAAGCATCATGTGAAACCTGTTATTTCTTGATCAAGAAGAGAGAAATGATAGTACTTATTTGGCAAATGGGTGAACCAAATACACAGATGTCATACAAAAATCCTTAGAAGACAGCTAGCTCTCTCATTAAGGCTCCCAGGCTCACTATGTCTCTTCCGGTGTACTACTGTCATTCAATGAGTTGGAGCAGGGGTTAACAAACTACAAACTGCAGACCAAATCCAGCCTGCTACCTGTTTTTATGAATAAAGTTTTACCAGAAAACGGCCGCATTCACTCATTTATGTACTGTCTATAATTGCTTTCTCGTTACAGTGACAGATCTGAGTAGTTGCACAGAGACTGGATAGCCCACGATGTGTAAATAGCTACGGATCTGATCCTTTACAGAAAAAGTGAGGCCGGATACAGTGGCTCATGCCTGTAATCCCGGCACTTTAGGAGGCTGAGGCGAGAGGATCTCTTGAACCGAGGAGTTTGAGACCAGCCTGGGCAACATGGAGAGACCCCGTTTCTACCCCTAAAAAAAACCCAGCTGGTGTAGTGGTGCACACCTGTAGTCCCAGCTACCTGGGAGGCTGAGGTGGGAAGATCTCTTGAGCCCAGGAGGCTGAGGCTACAGCGGGCCATATTCATGCCACTGTACTCCAGCCTGGCAACAGAGAGAAACCCTGTCTCAAAAAAGAAACGAAGATAAAAGAAAATGAAAAAGAGAAGGTATGCTCTGTAGCCCTAGGTTAGACTTTTTTTTTTTTTTTTTTTTTTTTGAGACGGAGTTTTGCTCTTGTTGCCCAGGCTGGAGTGCAATGGCGCAATCTCGGCTCACTGCAACCTCTGCCTCCCCCGTTCAAACAATTATCTCACCTCAGCCTCCCAAGTAGCTGGGATTACAGGCGCCCCCCCCACCACGCCCAGCTAATTTTTGTATTTTTAGCAGAGACAGGGTTTCACCATGTTGGCCAGGCTGGTCTCAAACTCCTGACCTCAGGTGATCCACCCACCGCAGCCTCCCAAAGTGCTGGGATCACAGGCATGAGCCACCGAGCCCGGTCTAGACCATTATTAAGATAGAAATTTTGACTCACAAAAACTGGCTGCATAGAGATGAACCAAAGAGGTCAACAGCAGCTATGTTCTCTTTATGCAAACATTGACTTACTATTCTTACTCTGGATATAATTTCCGCTACATGAGAGAATAAATAAGCATTCCTGATCGCTCATGTACTGGATCTTCTAAAAGGTAACCTGAATGCTTGCTAAGACTAAAATAAATCTGTCAATGGATTTTGGGGAATTAATATGCAATAAAAGAGTGCTTAAAAGGTGCTACCTGGCCGATCACGAGGTCAGGAGATCAAGACCATCCTGGCTAACACGGTGAAACCCTGTCTCTACTGAAAATACAAAAAATTAGCCAGGCATGGTGGTGGGCGCCTGTAGTCCCAGCTACTCGGGAGGCTGAGGCAGGGGAATGGCGTGAACCCAGGAGGCGGGGTTTGCAGTGAGCTAAGATTGCACCACTGTACTCCAGCCTGGGTGACAGAGCTAGACTCTGTCTCCAAAAAAAAAAAAAAAAAAAAAAAGGTGCTATCTTGGAAAAATCTGCCAGCCCCAGAAGCTTCTTTGCACCTAATCTACATACAAACTCAAATAAGGTAAATGAATGAAATTTGTAACTTGCACTACTTGCTAGGCAAAATTTGTTCAAGGTAGATATCAAATGAATGAACAAAAATATGCCTGCATAAGAACTAAAAACAGAGGAAATGCAGTTTACAAATGCTATTAATTTCTAATTTATTTAATATTCTTTATTTCAAAGTACAATATACCTCACTATAAAGATAAACCAGAGACAAGCATATTAGCATATGTTGAATAAAATTATTTTAAAAATCACTCATTGTGGGCTGGGCGTGGTGGCTCATGCCTGTAATCCCAGCACTTTGGGAGGCCGAGGTGGGTGGATCACCTGAGGTCAGGAGGTCGAGGCCAGCCTGGCCAACATGGTGAAACCCCATTTCTACTAAAAATACAAAAATTAGCCGGGTGTGGTGGTGGACACCTATAATCTCAGCTACTTGGGAGTGTGAGGCAGGAGAATCACCTGAACCCAGGAGGCAGAGGTTGCAGTGAGCCGAGTTCGCACCACTGCACTACAGCCTGGGCAACAAGAGCAAAACTCTATCTCAAAAAAAAAAAAAAAATTATTCATTGTGCCTATTTTTTGTCTAAATTTAAGTAAATTGAATGCAAAGAGCATAATAAAATGTTTACACAGCAAGAAGTACATGCACTTATTTGCTGGAGAAATAAAACGATTTACTAATATTTAATATAAAACTGTTATGCAAATTAAGAAAAAGCTATATATAGATTAGGTCATTTTTCATCAACTGTCACAAATAAGACTCAGATGTTAGGAACAGACTGTTTTGCCAATAAAAGAAGTCGAATTATTTTATCTCTCATAGGCTTTGCAAAGATTCTATTTTACATTAATATATTCAACATATATTTGTTGAGCACCTATTGAGTACTAGGCTCTGTTCTAGACAGTTGGAATACAACAGTAAGTTAAGTAGAGATCATGTAAAACCTAGGATGATTTTACTTTCCTCCAGACTAGTTTGCTTCTAGTGGGTAGACGGGCTGGGCCACTCACAGTTCTAAGAAGATAATAAGATTATTTTAACTTGAGGCAGGGCATGGTAGCTCATGCCTGTAATCGCAGCACTTTGGGAGGCTGAGGGGGGCTGATCACTTGAGGTCAGAATTCGAGACCAGCCTGGCCAACATGGTGAAACCCCGTCTCTACTAAAACTACAAAAACTAGCCAGGTGTGGTGGTGCATGCCTGTAATCCCACCTACTTGGGAGGCTGAGACATGAGAATCACTTGAACCCACGAGGTGGAGATTGCAGTGAGCTGAGATCACACCACTGCACTCCAGTTTGGGTGACAGAGCAAGACTCTGTCTCAAAAAAAAAAAAAAGATTATTTAAACTTGAGCTTCAGTACCGGTGAAAGTTGATTTATATCTAGTTCATCACATCTTTTAAAGTGTGGCCCTTTAGAGTTCAAATTCAAAGCCTGCAGGTTTATCAGGGCCTATCCTTGGCCAGTCTCTCTTCTTTGGGTTTTCTGTATAACTTAGATCTTGGTCTTATAATTCTTTTACTCTCTTTAAACATATATACAAATACTCATATATACATATACTCACCTTTAAACATATATTTAAAAATTTATTGGCTGGGCATGGTGGCTCACGCCCGTAATCCCAGCACTTTGGGAGGCTGAGGTAGGCGGATCGCGAGGTCAGGAGTTCAAGGCCAGCATGACTAACACAGTGAAACCCCGTCTCTAATAAAAATACAAAAAAAAAAAAAAATAGCCAGGCGTAGTAGCGGGCACCTGTAATTCCAGCTACTGGGGAGGCTGAGGCAGGAGAAACACTGGAACCCAGGAAGCAGAGGTTGCAGTGAGCCGAGATCGCACCACTGCACTCCAGCCTGGGATCCAGCACTGCACTCCAGTGCTGGGATCACAGGCATGAGGCAGCCTGTGACAGCCACTCAAGACAGAGTGAGACTCTGTCTCAAAAAAAAAAAATAAATAATAATAATAATAAATTTATCCACTCTTTTAAGAAACTTTTATGGGAGAGTTGGTCCAAATTGCCTAGTCATCATTGTTGGAAATGAAATGATCAGTGGTTTTCAATTATTCTATAACACTGTACTGAAATCAATTGTGGGAAATGTTCCTAATTTGTTAAGACCAGCTAAAGCATATAAATTGAAAATTATTACATTTCAAAAATAAATCAGAGTAAGCGTAGTGATATTGCTAATTATAATAGCAGCAATCATTTATTGAATACCTTGCATTTACTAGGTACTGAGCTGAAAACTGTACAAGTAATTTCATTAATCCTCAAAACAGTCTTATGAGATGGGTACTATTATTATCACTCCCATTTACAGTTGAATGACTGAGGTTTAAAAGTTAAGAAATTTGCCAAATATCACACAGCTAGTAATATTGTACTAGACATTCAAACCTAGCTGTTTTACTCTGAAGAGGCCCTATTTCCTATCATAGGAATGAAGGATTTAATGAAAGATTTTATTCTTTTAACAAAATCGGTTTCAATCACTTGCATATTCCTGAATATTAAAGAAAAGATTGGACTTAAAGTTAGTATGTTTGGTATTACACCTGACACTGGGCATACCATAGGAGTTATGTCCTCCATGTAAATATGTGTATCAAAACGAAAGGAAAGGTTTTTTTTTTTTTTTTTTTTTTGAGACGGAGTCTCGCTCTATTGCCCAGGCTGGAGTGCAGCGGCATGATCTTGGCTCACTGTAAGCTCCGCCTCCTGGGTTCACGCCATTCTCCTGCCTCAGCCTGCCGAGTAGCTGGGACTACAGGCGCCCGCCACCACACCTGGCTAATTTTTTGTATTTTTAGTAGAGACGGGGTTTCACTGTGTTAGCCAGGATGGTCTCGATCTTCTGACCTCGTGATCCGCCCGTCTTGGCCTCCCAAAGTGCTGGGATTACAGGCGTGAGCCACCGCGCCTGGCTGGAAAGGCTTTTTTTTTTAAGAGACAGGGTTTCGCTCTGTAACACAGGCTGGAGTGCAGTGGGACAATCATAGCTCACTGCAGCCTTAAACTCCTGGGCTCAAGTAGTCTTCCTACCTCAACTTCCTGAGTAGCTAGGACGATAGGTGTTCACCCCCACACCCAGCTAATTAAAATAATTTTTTTTTTAAAGAAATGGGGTCTTGGCCAGGCACTGTGGCTCATGTCTGTAATCCTAGCACTTTGGGAGGCCAAAGCGGGTGGATCACTTGAGGTTAGGAGTTCAAGACCTGCCTGGCCAACATGGTGAAACCCCATCTCTACTAAAAATACAAAAATTAGCTGGGCGGTAGTGGCACGCGACTGTAATCCCAGCTACCTGCTAAGCTGAGGCAGGAGAATCACTTGAGCCTGGGAGGCAGAAGTTGTGGCGAGCCGAGATTGTGCCACTGTACTCCAGCCTGGGCAACAGAGTGAGATTCCATCTCAAAAAAAAAAAAAAGAAAGAAAGAAAGAAAGAAAAAAACCCGGGGTCTTGCTTTGTTGCCCAGGCTGGTCTTAAACTCCTGGCCTCAAGTGATCCCCCTGCCTCCCTCTCCCAATGTGCTGGGATTACAGGCATAAGCTGGCCAGAAAGGTAGACTATTAACTGCTGAACTAATTAATGAACGAATGCGAGAAACTATTAAGAAATGCTCTTTTTACTTACATGCGTAGACTGGTTTTAGGTAGGCATGAATACAAGTAAATAACAGAATATGTCTCCTGGCTTAGTAGAGCCATTTGATGGCTTGGTTTTTGGGTGAAGTTGCTCTACACACATATATTTATCCAGACTAGAAACTGCAAATACAACAGTATATTGGCTGTATTAGCAATGCCACCTAGTGGCAGCCAAATATAGATATATTTTGAAAAAAGTTGTAGAAGAATGGTTCTTAACATTTCACAGTCTTTGGAGAACCTGATGAATACTACAGGTTCTTTCTTGCTAGAAAAAAAGCTTATTTGCAATGATACATAACAAGTACAGTGCTTTCAGAAATTAACAGGCCTCCTGAAACCCACCTTTTAACTATTAAAATTAATAGAACAAAGCAAGTAACCTAGTAGCCCAACCAACTCTCCGTAAGCCATCAGCAGAAAAAATTTATTTATTTCCCCTTCATCTCCTCCTTTCTGGTTAGCAACCACTATTCTTGCATAAACAGTATCTTAACTTGTCCCTCTGGGCTAGGTACTTGGTCTCTGCAAATTACTTGATTTACACTTTACTCAAATCGATTTACAAAACTTGATGGTTAGTAATTTTTCCCTGATGATTTTCATTAAATTTAATGATCAAATAAACAGTAACTTTTATTTGTAACATTTAAAGAAGTGATGAGGACTTCTAAGATATCTTAATTTCAAGTTATAACCTTTCAGTTATATCTAAAAATATTGCCGGGCATGTTGGCTCACGCCTGTAATCCCAGTACTTTGGGAGGCTGAGGCGGGTGGATCACCTGAGGCCAGGAGTTCAAGACCAGCCTGGCCAACATGGCAAAATCCTGTCTCTACTAAAAATACAAAAATTAGCTGGGTGTGGCGGTGCACACCTATAATTTCCAGCTACTTGGGAAGCTGAGGCACTAGAATTGCTTGAACCCGGGAGGCGGTGGTTGCAGTGAGCTGAGATCACAGCACTGCACTCCAGCCTGGGTGTCAGAGAGAGATGCTATCTCAATAAATAAATAAATAAAAATATAAATGAAACTGTTTACGGATAAATTTAAGACAAATTCTCCATTTTAAAGCCAAACACGTAGGTATCTAATATTTTAGGAAATTTAGTAAGTCTTTTAGGTGACTAGTATACAACCAATTATAACTTACTAAATGATACTTCCAAAAAAGATACCTTCCACACTCTAGGAATCATTCATTCTAAACACAAATTTCAAAAACCTAATTGGGAAATTTTGCCTATGCAGAAAAAAAATTCATATTTCACTTTTAAGCTACGATTTCCAGTAAAGAGAGCCATAATAAATAATGAATTACATTTTTTTCTGTTAAAATTAGTTTCTTTTTCACCACAAACTGTTATCAAAAGGAGGCCCATATTTTTCACCAGACTACTCTCCCAATATGATCATTTATTCTCTTTGTTGAGGGTTAGTTATATGGGTATATTGCAGAGGTGCCTGTTTCATCAGCACATAATAGAACATGAGAATGTCACATTTCCCTAAGTGAGGATTATGTTAAGCCTGGAAAATGAAAGTAAGTGTAATTAGGATATCCTAAACACAACTGCATTTCCTACATATAAAAGAAAAGAAATGGTGACCAATAAGGATAAAATTCTGTTGATCACTAATCAGCAAGAAAATGGCATAAGCTTAAAAAAACCAGAGATTATTTGAAATTGTTTCTATTAAGTAAAAACCCAGATCAGATTTTGAAACCTTTGACTCTGCTTTGCTTCTGGTTTCTTATTTTACTCTTTTCTATAATTGCCAAAGTTCACAAGTAAATAGTTTACGCTTATTAATTAAAATTTTTACACTTGTCACACTATTGGTTATTGACTAGCTTGGCTCTTGGGAGGCCTAAGTGAGATAATTCATTTAAAGTGATGCTCACAGAGACTACCACCTAGTAAACATTCAATAAATGTTAGCTGCCTATCAGTCAGGATAGGTTAGATTATGACGTAATAACAAACAACACAAAGATCTCAAGCAACATCTATCACTTATGCTCACATTTCATTGGTCAAAGCAAATAATATGGCTGGAGTTCAGTAAGGTAGGGATGCAAAATCTTCCCATAGGAATGGGTACCACAAAATGGCCACCAAACATGAATAAAAATAAAAGAACTGACCAGCTAGTATTAGCATGAGTATGACAATGATGTTTGCCTTTTTTGTTGTTAGTAGTGCTTAACCTCTTGCAAACTGATTTCCACCCCAACCAGTCAATTAAAAAATAAAGACTAGTGATATCTTTTGTTTTCCTTTTGCTTTTCTGCAAATTATATTTTATAAATGCTCTTTCTTCTTCATTCTTTCTGTTAAACCCAGGGGATCCTAAATGGAAGTCAGGATCAAAAAGGTCTAAGAACTAAAGGTCATTTGGTCAAATGGAAATGGCATATACTAGATCTCTCTTTATATTTCTTTTATATTTAACAGATTTCTCCCCAAGCTTCTAAATATTCAATTTCTTTCCTTCCTTCCTTTTCTTCTTTCTTTCATCTCTCTCTTTCCTTCTGTCTCTCTCTTTTTTTTTTTTTTCTGGTAGAGATGGGGTCTCATTATGTTGCCCTGGCAGGTCTTGAACTCCTGGTCTCAAGCAGGGATCCTTCCTTGGCCTCTCAAAGTGCTGAGACTACAGGCATCAGCCACCATGCCTGGACTTTATTTCTTTTTTAAATATTGACTTTTTTTTTTTTTTTTTTTTTGAGATGGAATTTCGCTCTTGTTGCCCAGGCCGGGGTGCAGTGGTGGAATCTCGGCTCACTGCAACCTCCACCTCCTGGGTTCAACTGATTCTCCTGCCTCAGCCTCCTGAGTAGCTGGGATTACAGGTGCCTGTCAACACGCCTGGCTAATTTCTTGTGTTTTTAGTAGAGACGGGGTTTCATCATGTTGGCCAGGCTGGTCTCAAATTCCTGACCTCAGGTGATCCACCCGCCTCGGCCTCCCAAAGTGCAGAGATTACAGGCATGAGCCACCGCGCCTGGTCAAATATTGGCTTTCTAGTCACTATCATCTAAAACAGTGGGTTTTGGGGGACAAAATCCAACAGATTCATGATTTAAAAAAAAAAAACAAAAACCTCAGCAAATTTGGCACAGAGGGGTACTTCCTCAACCTGGTAAATAATATCTACAAAAACCTACAGCTAACATCATACTTAAGGGTGAGAAACTAGAGGCCTTCCCATTAAGGTTGGGAACAAGGCAGGATGGCCCCTTCATGACTCCTCTTCAACATTATTTTGAAAACCTAACCAATGCAATAAGACAAGAAAGGAAATAACAGGTATACAGATTGGGAAAGTAGAAAAACTGTCTTTGTTCACAGATGACATAATTATCTATGTAGAAAATCATAAGGAATCATCAAAAAAGTCTTGGAGCTATTAAGCAATTACAGCAATGTTGCAGGATATAAGGTTAGTAAACAACCTTAAAAAAGCCAAGTTTTTTCTATATATTAGTAATTAATACTCATGTTCTATCAATAGAGTATATATTATACTCAGGATCTATCAGAAAATATATGTATTTATAAATATAGCATATATATAGCATATATATAATATAGCATATATATATATAGAGAGAGAGAGAGAGAGAGAGCAGTTTTTTAAAAATAATTGCCAAACAGGAACAAACAAGATATCCTTCAGTAAGTGAATGGATACACAAACGGGTGGTACATCCATACAGAGGAATATTATTAAATAGTGATGAAAAGAAATGAGGTATCACACCAGAAAAAGACAAGGAAAAACCTTAAATGTATATTGCAAAGTGAAAGAGGTCGGTCAGAAAAGGATCATACCCTATAATTCCAACTATAGTGTCTTCTGGAAAAGGCAAAACTATAGAAACAGTAAAAAGATCAGTGGTTGTGAAAGGTTTGGGGGCAGGTGGGGAAGTGGAAAAAACAGGTGAAGCACAGGGCATTTTTAAGACAGTGAAACTATTCTGTATGATACTATAGGTATATACATGACATTATGCATTTGTCAAAACCCATAGACCTGTATAACACAGAGTAGATCCCATAAACTATGGGTTTTAGTTAATAATGTATCAATATTGGTTCCTCAATTGTAACAAATAAATTACACTAATACAATATGTTAATAGTAGAGGAAACTGTGTGGTGGGGAAAGGTGTTATGGCAGTGGTCCCCAACCTTTTGGGCACCAGGAACCAGTTTCGTGGAAGACAAGTTTTCCACAGACCTGAGGTGGGGGATGGTTTTGGGATGAAACTGTTCCACCTCAGATTATCAGGCATTAGATTTTCATAAAGAGCATGCAAGCTAGATCCCTCGTATGTGCAGTTCACAATAAGGTTCGAGCTCCTATGAGAATCTGATGCTGCTGCTGATCTAACAGGAGGTAGAGCTCAGGCAGTAATTCGAGTGATGGGGAGCGGCTGCAAATACAGATGAAGCTTCACTTGCTTGCCAGCCCACTGCTCACCTACTGCTGTGTGGCCTGGTTCCTAACAGGCCAGGGACCAGTACTGGTCTGTGGCCTGGGGATTAGGGACCCCTGGTGTATTAGAATCCTCTGTCTTTTCTGCTCAATTTTTCTGTAAACCTAAAACTACACTGAACAATAAAGCCTATTATTATTATTATTATTATTATTATTATTATTGTTTTTGAGACAGGGTTTTGCTCTGTTTCCCAGGTTAAAGTGCAGTGGTGCAATCACAGTTCACTGTGACCTTGAGCTTCTGGGCTCAAGCAATCCTCCCTCCTTAGCCTCCCAAGGAGCTAGGACCACAGGCACATGCCACCACACCCAGCTAATTTATTTATCTTTTATTTATTTATGTGTTTTTCAGAAACGGGGTCTTGCTAGGTCTGCTCTTGAACCTGTGGTCTCAAGCGATCCTCCTGCCTTGGCCTCCCAAAGCACTGGGAGCACAGGAATGAGCCACTGTGCCCAGCTCTAATAATTTTTTGTTTTGTTTTGTTTTGTAGGCGTTCTCAGTCCTTTATAAATTTCCCTTCTCTTTCCATTCAACTACGGGCACCAGCAACCTACCTGGATAAAGTGAGGATCTCATTTAACTTGCAGCATAATTACAGTATACCTTTAAATTTCTCTTTTCACATACTTTCACATAATATGTAATAAATGTGAACAAGTGAACAAATAACTGTTTTCTATACAGTTAATGGCATCAAAATCTACCCAGTCACTCAGTAAAAAACCAGTAACTACACAGAAAAATGTTGCAAGATCTCATTTATAGAGATAGAGATGGGAGGAGATGTAGATCAAAGGATACAAAGTAGCAAATATACAGGCAGAACAAGTCAAAAGATCCAATGTACTCTACATACACTATGAGGACTATAGTTAATAACAATGTGTTGTATTCAGAGTTTTTGCTAAACTAGTAAATTATAGCTGTTCTTGCCATGAGGAGTAAAAACGTAAAAATGGGTAACTACATGAGATAAAGAATATGTTAATTTTTTCCACAATAGTAACCATTTTACTATATATATTTATATCTTATAACATCATGTTATATACCTTAAATACACATAAAATATATTAAAACAAAACAAAAGGAAATCCAAGAGTTATCTTTCATTCCTTCTTCCTCCATAATAACGTACCACACTCTTGATTGTACTTCTAAAATTTCTGTCATATTTGTCCTTTTTCATCCCAAATGCTATTTCCATTCCAAGCAATCTTTTAAAACATCAAAGATCTATACCATCTTTTGTCTTCATTTTGCTTGACTTCTCTCTACAAGTTCTCTTTATAAATACTCCTTGCTATCCATTCTTCCTATCACCTCCTGGGAAGCTTGTGTCTCTCATAAGGATAATCCTAACTGCTCCTCTTCTCTTCCACCTTCAATCTATCTCCCACACTATAGCCAGGATTATATATTCATAAATTGCAGATCTGGCTGTTTTATATATACTTAATTTTAGGGCATTTAAAATAATTTTTTTTTTGAGACAAGGTCTCACTTTGTCACCCAGGTTGGAGTGCATGGTGCAATCATAGCTCACTGCAGCCCCTATCTCCTGGGCTCAAGCCATCCTCTCGCTTCAGCCTCCTGAATAGCTGAGACTAACAGTCCTGTGCCACCACACCCGACTAATTTTTGTATTTTTTATAGAGATGTAGAGATGTGTTGCCCAGGCTGGACTTGAACTCCTAGGCTCAAGTGATCAGCCCGCCTTGGCTTCTCAAAATGCTGGAATTACAGGCATGAGCCATAATTTCAATCTCTTTTGACATTCAGCAGAGTCTGCTATCTGGGTTGCTTTTCAGAGGCTTCCAAATTAATTAAATGCTACAAATGAGTTTCTTAATCTGGTTTTCCCAAGGAATATGAGGACAGGTCTAGACACGAACAGAAAAGTATCCTGTAACCTGTAATTCCTTCTTTTCCTCTCTCCCTCAACCTCTACTAGTGAATGTAGTGTTATTCTACTACGAATGCAGTTATTAGAAAAACAGTGATATGAGTTAATTCCCTAGGATTTATGTCCCTGTTTGAGTTAAATCACCAAGCAAACATGAACATAATTCTAAAGTTCCAAGTTTTAAACTCCCATAAACTTGGAGAAATGATATATTATAGATTAATTCCCAAAGCATTCGTCAGATCATTAATCCAGTACCCTTCTGAGCCAAGCAGACAATCATTCCTTAATACTTATCCTAGCTGCTTCAGAGATGAATTCATTATAGCACAGAGATTGCAAGTGCTTGTAGTGATGAATTTTATTCAGCAATGGGTACTGCTTGACAATCTTTCACCTGTTTTTCCCCAATGAAGATCAAACTGCTTTCAAATATGGAAGTGTTTTCAATTTATTATCTAGGGACAGGAACAGCAAGAACAAGCAAGGCACATGGGGCACAAAATTTAATGAGGCACTTATTCATCCATTCTGTATCTGCATGACCCTGAGAGTGCCTATTTATATTTTGTGCCCTCAGTATCTAACTCAACCTCTCCCTAGTTCTAGCTCTGACATTATTCCAGTATATTTGTGAATGTTCAAAGGAAAATTGATCTTCATTCTCTCTTATTTCTTTTTCTTTTTCTTTTTTTTTTTTTGAGACGGAGTCTTGCTCTGTCGCCCAGGTTGGAGTGCAGTGGCGTGATCTCGGCTCACTGCAAGCTCCACCTCCCAGGTTCACATCACTCTCCTGCCTCAGCCTCCCGAGTAGCTGGGACTACAGGCGCCTGCCACTAAGCTCGGCTGATTTTTTTTGTATATTTAGTAGAGACGGGGTTTCACCATGTTAGCCAGGATGGTCTCGATCTCCTGACCTTGTGATCCGCCTGCCTCGGCCTCCCAAAGTGCTGGGATTACAGGTGTGAGCCACTGCACCTGGCCATTCTCTCTTATTTCCACTAGTAAAAGAATATTTTTCAGAAGGGGCACTTTTTTTTTTTTTTTTTTTTTTGAGACAGAGTCTTGCTCTGTCGCCCAGGCTGGAGTGCAGTGGCGCCATCTCCACTCACTGGAAGCTCCGCCTCCCGGGTTCAGGCCATTCTCCTGCCTCAGCATCCTGAGTATGTGGGACTACAGGCACCCGCCACCACGTCCGGCTAATTTTTTGTATTTTTAGTAGAGACAGGGTTTCACCATGTTAGCCAGGATGGTCTCGATCTCCAGACCTCATGATCTGCCCGCCTTGGCCTCCCAAAGTGCTGGGATTACAGGCGTGAGCCACCACGCCCAGCCCAGAAGGGGCACTTTTTATACTTTGGTTCAAAGGACTCAAGAAAGCATTTAGTTCTACATGTTAATACTCCATCAATTACATTCAACAAGAATACCAAAATAAATATCCAAGTATGTAAATGATGTTAGAGGATGTAAGGGAAGACATTTCTCACATGGAATTTTGCATATTTAAATGGACTTCATTTATTAAAATAACAATTGCTTAAGCAATTAAATCTAGAAAGAAAAGAAAAACCTTCCACGCTAAACTAATTTAAATAAACAACCTTATTTGCTTAACTGGGGTTTTCTCTTTGCTTTTTAAATACTAACCCTAAAGGAAAAACAAAACAGAACTCTAAGTCAAACTTAAAGCACTGATTGGAGGATCAGAATGCTTACAAAACACAAAGGTAATTAAAACAAATCTTAGAATTTTTACTTCTGACATAAAAGCACCAATAAAAAGATAGGAAATATCATTTTTGCTTATTAAAATAAAATTATTCTTACCAGATAAAGCAGAAAGGTGTGCAGCCCTGTTCCAAGCCCAACAGAAGACAAAATTCCTAAGCCTATCCAGTAGGCATACAAAAGAAACTGTTTCTCTATACGTTGCACATACTGAAAAAAAGGGATGAGGTGAAAACCGTGAATTCTCTATACAGAAATGCGGTATTTATAAACCATCATCAAAATTAAATCAACTAAAGTAAGTTTCAAATAGGAAAAAACTAATAAGATTAAAAACCCATTGAAGAGGCCTAATTTCTTTAATACACAATGGCAAAGATGACAAAAAAATTAATCTAACTGGAATAAAGGTCTTATTTCTAAACCTTTAATAAAAGCCTTGTTTCTAAACTTTTAAAGTCCTACTATTTACAGGACACAGGAAAAAGCAAATTATGAATAAGATAATTTTGAGGATAATTTTAGATATATTTAAAATAAATGCATTTAGAACTGTAAAAACTTCTCTGTGATTAGCAGTAAACTGTTTTAAAATACCATTCTAGAGTCATTTCAGTGATTGGCAGTAAACTGTTTTAAAATACCATTCTAGAGTCATTTCTGTGATTGGCAGTAAACTGCTTTAAAATACCATTCTAGAACCATTTCCTGTTAAAATACATTAATGTTTTGCTATTTTAACAAAAGAGGTTAACAAAGCATCCTATTTTCCCATCAGTAATGTTGTACATGTAGACTACAGGCAAATGAACCTGTCTTTTTATACAAATAAAACGTAATCATCAACCTTGGATGAGAGGCCTACCTATTTGGATGGGTCACAAAAGTATGTTAGAGAAAATAAGAAAACTTTGGCAGTGATTAACGGATTCATGCTGCTGTGACGGAAAACCTTCAGGAAAGTTACATTTAAATCTTTGATTACAGGCAGAGTGGCCTGTAATCCCAGCATTTTTGGAGGCCAAGGCAGCCAGATCACCTGAGGTCAGGAGTTTGAGACCAGCCTGGCCAACATGGCAAAACCCCATCTCTACAAAAATACAAAAAAAATTAGCTGGGTGTGGTGGCAGGTGCCTGTAATCCCAGCTACTTGGGAGGCTACAGCAGGAGAATTGCTTGAACCCAGGAGGCAGAGGTTGCAGTGAGCTCAGATCACACCACTGCGCTCCAACCTGGGTGACAGAGCGAGACTCTGTCTTTAAAAAAAAAAAAATCTTTGAAGGTAAAAGGAATCACACACACCACATATAAATCCTCAGCAGCCATAAAACATCACAAGAATATTTTTAGTGTATGCCTTTAAAAGTAAAACATTTGAGATACTAGTTATGAGATAATGTTGAGGGTAGAAATTCTATAAAACCCACATTCATCCCATTTGAAACTGAGATTAGAGAATTAGAGAATGTGCAAGACTAGAAACAGAATTGCTCGACCTCTCACCTGTTGATGCACTCCTTCAACATAATACGTAGCTATAAGCACAGCAAGCAGCAGTAAAAAAGACACCACAATGCTTTGACGATGCCATAATCTTAAAAACAAATAAAAAAAATAAATATCTCACAGTCTCACTTTCAGCATTCATCATTCTCAGAACAATTTCTTGCTGAAACAGTTAGGTTACCTAGCTCAGCTGGGCTGAGCTCTTTTCCTTACACATCATGGCCTCTTGGAGTAACAGAAGGGGGTCAAGGGAAGATACATAGGCAGAGAACCCAAGTTCTTATCATAACCCCCACTGTAGCCTTTTCCTTACCCAAAGCCTGATCTTATTAAACCTCAACTTATAATATGGAGAAGCATTATAGTATAATAGAAAGAGCACTGGCCTTCAAGTCAGAGGACCTGGGTCAGAGACCCTTCATGTTGCACTTTCAGCCAGACACTTAACCAACCTGATTCTGTTTCTTGTTTTTATAATCTTTATTTACTTATTTTTATTTTTTTTTGAGATGGAGTCTTACTCTGTTGCTGGAGTGCAGTGGTGCGACCTCAGCTCACTGCAAGCTCCACCTCCCGGGTTCAAGCTATTCTCCTGCCTCAGCCTCCCAAGTTGCTAGGACTATAGGTGTGTGCCACCATGCCCGGCTAATTTTTGTATTTTTAGTAGAGACGGGGTTTCACTATGTTGGCCGGGCTGGTCTTGAACTCCTGTCTTAGTGATCTGCCTGCCTCGGCCCCTCAAAGTGCTGGGATTACAGCCGTGAGCCACCATGCCCGGGCTTTGTTTCTTTTTTTCAGAGACAGGGTCTTGCTCTGTCACCCAGGCTGGAGTGCAGTGGCATGATCTTGGCTCACTGCAACTTCCACCTCCTGGGTTCAAGCTATTCTCCTGCCTCAGCCTCCCAAGTTGCTAGGACTACAGGCGCACGCCACCATGCCCGGCTAATTTTTGTATTTTTAGTAGAGATGGGGTTTCACCATGTTGGCCAGGGTGGTCTCGAATTCCTGACCTCAGGTGATCCACCCACCTCAGCCTCCCAAATGGCCTAAAATTCCACCTCCTGGGTTCAAGTGATTTTCCTGAGTAGCTGGGATTACAGGCATGCACTACCACGACCGGCTAATTTTTTTTTTTTTTGAGACAGAGTATCGTTCTGTTGCCCAGGCTGGAGTGCAGTGGCATGATCTCGGTTCACTGCAACCTCTGCCTCCCACGTTCAAGCGATTCTCCTGCCTCAGCCTCCTGAGTAGCTGGGACTACAGGCACATGCCACCACGCCCGGCTAATTTTTATATTTTTAGTAGAGACGGGGTTTCACCATGTTGGCCAGGTCTCGAATTCCTGACCTCAGATGATCCACCCACCTCCCAAAGTGCTGGGATTATAGGTGTGAGCCACCACGCCTGGCCTAAAATGTTTATAATAATGTACTTGTTTTACCTTCTTTATGGAGTTGCCCTAAGGATCAAAATCAGCTGAAAATGTTACAAAATACTTTATAAACTCTTAGTACAATAAAAATGTTAAGATAATAGTACAGAGAATAACTTGGAAGGGCATGCCAGAAGATAAGGCATGTAAAAGTTCAACTTGTTCTTTATGGTACTTGAAACAGGGCTTACAAGTACTAAATTTAAAGACAACACATTTCCATGGCAGAGTTCTTTTTCATTGGCTCAAACTATCAGTAAAACTGCCACATATGCTGAACCTTGCCCTGCTAAAGAATCAGTGTATCTAAATTACACAGACCTGATTTCTCCCAATGGTAAAATCAGGAGAGAAAATAAAAATCGTATTTTTCAGTGTTCTCCACTGCAGATTCAACATGAAAAAACAGTGGACAACTGTGATAATCCAGTAAGCAAACAGCAAATAGCAATGTCTTTCCCTAATCTATTTTTCTTCAACCTAAAGAAAGGAGAATAAATATGTTCCTATGGTAATATTCTAAAGGTAATTAATCCATTTTGATGGAGTAGAGGGCAGAAAGTAAGAGATTACTGAGGATTTTTTAAATGAGTAAATGAGGTGTATGTAAAAGGTAGTGGGAGAAGACTCTTTACTTTGAGGTCCATTCCTTCAAGATTACAAGGATTTCCAGAGAAAAATACTGCAAGGTAATGAGCGGCTGTCTCCACAGGACAATATTCTGCCTTTCTTCCCGCTCCCTCCTCTTCTTTTCATTCACTGAAGAGGGGTCTGAAAAACAATAGTGCAGAGATTAAAACAGAATTTCTAACATTTATGCTTATTCTCTTCAATCACTTTAGATGAAAAGAGTTTTATCTCCCAAATAACAACTAATAGCAAGTCCTAGAGTCTTGTGAAAAATGGCAACTAGTAGTACCTATAATCTCAGCACTTTGGGAGGCTGAGGAGGGCAGATCACTTGAGGTCAGTAGTTCAAGACCAGCCTGGCCAACATGGTGGAACTCCGTCTCTACTAATAATACAAAAATTAGCTGGGCATGGTGGTACACGCCTGTAATCCCAGCTACTCGGGAGGCTGAAGCACAAGAATCCCTTGAACCTGGGAGGCAGAGGTTGCAGTGAACTGAGATTGTGCCACTGAAGACCAGCCTGGATAACAGAATGAAAGAGACTCTGTCTCAAAAAAAAAAAAAAAAAAAAAAAGGCAACCAGTCCCAACTCAGCATAGAAAGAAGATGAATGACAGTAGTTCCCCCTTATCTACAGTTTCAGTAACACATGGTCAACTATGGTCTGAAAATAATAAATGGAAAATTCTGAAAATAAGCAATTCATAAGTTTTATTGTTTTAAATTTATTTTTATTTTTTTAAGAGACAGGGTCTCCATTCCGTTGCCCAAGCTGGAATGCAGTGGCATAATCACAGCTCACTTTAAACTCCAACTCTTGGGGTCAAGTGATCCTCCCACCTCAGCCTCCCAAGCAGCTAGGACTACAGGTGTGTACCACCGCACCCAACTAATATTTTTGGTTTTTGTGGAGACACAGTCTCACTACGTTGCCTGGGCTCATCTGAAACTCCTGACCTCAAGTGATCAGCTCGCCTTGGCCTCCCAAAGTGCTGGAATTACAGGTGTGAGCTACTGCAGCCAAGCCCCTAAGTTTTATATTGTATGCTGTTCTGAGTAGTATAATAAAATCTTGCCAGTCCTGCTCCATCCAGCCTAAGACCTGATTCATCCCTTTGTTTAGTACATCCGCGTTGTATATGTTACCCCATTACTATATACAGAACAACACAGTGTTTTTTCCTATATCCACTAGGGGTCATGGAATGTATCCCTCATGGATAAGGGGGCTACTATATTATAGTTGCCATTTCTTAATCAGTGTTACCTAGAGAACAACTGAGGCAAAACCAACTCCCTGCCTTGATAAACATCAGAATCTTTTGTAGAGGATGTCCTAAAGAAATGGTACTGAAAATTCCAGCAGTTGAATTTGGGATAGAGCTATAGATTTTGGGAAAATTACTGAAATAAGTCTAAATTGGTCCACCTTCTATGAAGGGCATTCTATCAACCTAGGATCATATTACAGAACAAAGTGGTTTAGATCGCAAAAATGGTGAGGCAAACTAGTTGGTTCCAATCCTGGCTCTGCCTTCTATTAGTCACGTGATCTTGGGCAAGTTAGTTAATACTTTTGTGACTCAGTTTTCTCTTCTGTAAAATGGGGATCACAATAGTACATACTTTTCAGGGTCATTTTAAGGATTAAATGAGCTCATATATGTAAAGTTCTCAGAAGAGTTTAACACTTAGTAAGTGCCCAATTAAGTTTAGCTATTAATTGTCACCATCTATTGAAATTACAAAATGCTTTTGTTTTTGTTTTTTTTGAGACAGGGTCTCATTCTGTTGCCCAGGCTGGGGTGCAGTGGTAGCATGATTTTGGCTCACTGCAACCTCCACCTCCCTGGTTAAAGCGGTTCTCCTGCCTGAGCTTCCCGAGTAGCTGGGATCACAGGCATCTGCCACCACGCCCGGCTAGTTTTTTTTTGTATTTTTAGTAGAGATGAGGTTTCATCATGTTGGCCAGGCTGGTTTCAAACTCCTGACCTCAAGTGATCCACGCACCTCCGCCTCCCAAAGTGCTGGGATTACAGATGTGAGCCACCACGCCCAGCACAAAATGCATATACACTGTAAACCGGTAATTCCATTTCTAGGAATGATTAGGTATAAGGTGAAATGACTTGCACAACTTTATTGACCACAGCATTATTTGTACTAGCAAAAAATAATCAATAACTTATATATTACCAATAGAGGACAGAAGAGTGATTAAAGTACAGCACACTCGTACAATGGAAAGAAAAACTAAGCAGCCATAATAAAGAATAAATTTTTTTTTTTGGGGGACAGGGTCTTGCTCTGTCACCCAGGCTGGAGTGCAGTGGTGTGATCGCAGCTCACTGCAGCCTTGTGGGCTAAATCGATACTCTCACCTCAGTCTTTCCAGTAGCTAGCTAGAACTTGAGTAGCTAGCTAGAACTACAGGCGCATACGATCACATCCAGCAAATTTTTAAAATCTTTTGCAGAGATGAGGTTTCCCTGTGTTGTCCTGGCTGGTCTCAAACTCCTGGGCTCAAGAGATCCTTCCGCCTTGGCCTCCCAAAGTGTTGGGATTACAGGCGTGAATCACCACGCCCAGCCTAAGAATCAGTTTTTCATGTACAGTTATAGCATAATCTCTAAAATATTAAAAAACACCTGGTACAGAAGAGTAAGTTTGACATGCTAATGTTAATTTTAAATTCCAATGGGGTGAGCAGAAGAGGAAGAATATACAAATGTATGTGCTCTCTAAAAGGAAAGAAAAAAATAGCACACAAAAGCTCCTAATGGGAAGACACTATGATGTATGCAATGCCCATCTCTGAATCCTGAAACTCTTGGTGAAATTGCCAAGTTTACTGACAACCAAAGTAACCCAAAAGTCAGATCAGTGCTGCAAAATGTCCTCTGCAAGGCAATATGGTGATTAACAAACAAATGAGGCCGGGCGCGGTGGCTCATGCCTGTAATCCCAGCACTTTGGGAGGCCAAGGTGGGTGGATCACCCGAGGTCAGGAGTTCAAGACCACCCTGGCCAACATGGTGAAATCCCATCTCTACTAAAAATACAAAAATTGGCTGGGCGTGGTGGCGCATGCCTTTAATTCCAGCTACTCGGGAGGCTGAGGCAGAATTGCTTGAACCTGGGAGGCGGAGGTTGCAGTGAGCCAAGATCGCACCATTGCACTCCAGCCTGGTGACAGAGTGAGATTCCGTCTCAAAAAGCAAACAAACAAACAAACAAATGAAAACTACTATTTCAGATTCCTTGCACTTCCTCTAAAAGTAGAGGATTGCTGTGAAAATATTACCACACTAGAGTATTATTTGCCATGTGTTTGAGATGTCAAACAATTCAAAAGCTAAAAAAAAAGTATGATTACAACAAAAGTAAAACTTTTTTTTCATTTTCCTTTAAATGCATGAAGGAAAGTTTCTACTTAAATCATCCATATTAATAAAAGTCATCATTTTCAGGGTAACTGTATAAACAGGAGTCAAATACACTGAAATTTACCACAAATTCCAATTTGGTTAAAATATGAGTTTATTCATCTCAAACGATAATTTTAAAATAAATTTTTAAATAATATTCACATTCTAACTTTTTTGATAACTGTATATTTAAGAACAGTGTAGTAAGTTTATAATCTACTTCTAGAATTACAAAATAGCACAATAAAATTGAGCACTGAGCAAAGCCAAATAAACACTGACCATACTATAAGATTAACAAGTAATAATCTTGTACTTGGAACACTGTTTATGTGATTGTGGCCAGGCTCCTTCTGCCATCACTGTGAAATATCACCTTACAGGCCCTGACTGACCCATAATTTAATTTACTAAGAAGATAATATAAGATTAAAAATAAAAGAAGTAATATATCTCTATTTTATTCCAATGAAAAGTATATCATTTAAACCCATAGCACTCCTCCCTGCAAACCATCAAAATTTACCTGTGAAATTTCCATTATGATGTTCCTTGTTCATTGCTACACGTCTCTGGTCACAATTTTTTCCATTCTCTGCCATTTCATAGATCAGTAACTCTTGAGGAGCTAATACAGCAAAATAAAATCCAGCAATACATTACAAACTTCTGCTGTGTAGCTGTGACTGAATAAAACTGAATACAGGAATAACATCACAGTAATAAGCCACATGATATGTATGATGTGTTTACACTTTTTTTCTTTTATAACCAAAATTTGAACAATTTAGTTATTCTATTGAACAATTTATATAGATATTCTAATACAAATAGTAAAAATATAAAAGCCATATAGTTGTAAACCTTTTCCTAGTAGTTATTTCAGGGATCTTCCAGATTGAAATTTGGAGGTAATCTGTCCACAGAAGGAGGATATCAAGCACTAGTAACTCCAAATGTTAACACACTATAAAGTCTAACTCCTTCTAATTTACAATTAAATATCATACTACTGTGTACTCAAAATTAATCTTATCATTTTACCTTTTTACAGTTTTCTTTCATATTCCCTTTAACATTATTATATAAAAATAGAATATACTACAAAAGATGCTGCAACTGTTGATACATAAATCTAAGATCATAGACCAGTTTTATTTAGGAAACAATTCTACTGAATAAAATGATATGGGCAAAAAAAAAAACCAAACTTGAAATGTTTAAGATAGTTAAATGTACTTTATTTATAACATGCTTCATTTCATACTACAGGTATCAGTGCTTTTACTTTAATGTAATACAACATATAAAAACCAGATTGCCTGTGATTGTATCATTCTTCAGGTGTTAGTAAAGCAAAACTTTCTACTCAAAAAGCACATCACTTCAATAAAAGGCTAAAATGCTGAGTCCTTAATACAATAAATGCTGAGTCCTTAATACAATATTAAAACTTGCCCAGACACTTATAAAAAGACAACTGGGGCCGGGTGCAGTGGCTCATGCCTATAATCCCAGCACTTTGGGAGACCAAGGCAGGATGATCACTTGAGGTCAGGAGTTTGAGCCCAGCCTGGACTACACAGTGAGATCCCATCCTACATAAGATAAATAAATTAGCCAGGAGTGATGACCCATGCCTGTAGTTCTAGTTGCTCAGGAGGCTGAGGTGGGAGGATTGCTTGGGCTCAGGAGTGAAAGGCTACACTGAGGTATGATTGTACCACTGCATTACAGCCTGGGCAAAAGGGAGACCCTGCTTCAAAAAAAAAAAGAAAGTGAAAATAAATACAACCCACAGGAGAAAGTATTTACAAATCACATATATTTCATAAGAAGCGTGTATCGGGCCTGCAAACTCTTACAACTCAGTAATAAAAAGCAAATAATCCAATTAATAAACGGACAGAGGAGCTGCACAGATATTTCTCCAAAGATACACAAATTGCTAATAAGCACATAAAAAGATGTCTAACATCTTTAGCCATCAAGGAAATGCAAATTAAACCACAATGAGATACAATCTCATACCTGTTAGGATGGTTATAGTAAAAGACAGATAATAGACCAGGCGCAGTGGCTCACGCCTGTAATCCCAGCACTTTGGGAGGCCAAGGCAGGCAGATAGTGAGGTCAGGAGTTCAAGACTAGCCTGCGCAACATGGTGAAACCCCGTCTCTACTAAAAATACAAAAATTAGCCTGGCGTGGTGGTGGGTGGCTGTAATCCCAGCTACTCGGGAGGCTGAGGCAGGAGAATCGCTTGGACCCCCGAGGCGGAGGTTGCAGTGAGCCAAGATCGTGCCATTGCGCTCCAGCCTGGGTGACAGGAACAAGACTCTGTCTCAAAAAAAAAAAAAAAAGAAACAAAAAAAAGATAATAATAACAAGTGTTAGTGAGGATGTGGAGAAATCGGAACTGCTGGTGGGAATGCAAAAGAGTTCAGCTGCTTTGGAAAACAATCTGTCAGTTCCTCAAAAGGTAAAATACAGTTACCATATGACTCAGCAATTCAGGAATGTTCATAGTGACACTGTTAACAGACCAAAGGTTTTTTTTTTTTTTTTTTTGAGATGGAGTCTCTGTCGCTCAGGCTGGAGTGCAGTGGCATGATCTTGGCTCACTGCAACCTCTGCCTCCCGAGTTCAAGTGGTTCTCCTGCCTCAGCCTCCCAGGTAACTGGGATTACAGGTGCCCGCCACCATGCCTGGCTAATTTTTGTATTTTTAGTAGAGACGGGGTTTCACCATGTTGGTTAGGCTGGTCTTGTACTCCTGACCTTGTGATCTGCCTGCCTCGGCCTCACAAAGTGCTGGGATTACAGGCGTGAGCCACTGCGCCCAGCCTATAACCCAAATGTCTTATCAACTGATGAATGGATATAGGAAATACGGTATATGGTATACCCAAACAATGAAATATTAGCCATAAAAAGAAATAAAGTAGTAATACATACTACTGCATCAATGGAGTCTGAAAATATGCTAAGTGAAAGAAGTCAGTCACAAAAGACTACTTGTTATGATTCCCATTTATATGAAATTTCCAGAATATGCATATCCATGATAACAGAAAGTGGATTAGCAGATGAGCTGGAGAAAAATGGGGAGTAGCTGCCAATGAGTTGTGAGTTTTTTTCTGGGGTGATGATAATGTTCTAAAATTGTTTTGATAGTTGCATAGATGTGAATATACCGTTTAAATGGGTGAATTATATGATATGTGAATTATGTTTCAATAAAGCTGTTTAAGAATAGTCACCAGCAGGAACTATCCAAACTTCCAAATATTCATAGGAAATATATGTTATGAATACATATGAATAATATATTCATAGATTATAAATAAATAAATAAATAAATAATCTCATTTATTCATTCATTCATTTAGTTATGTTGCCCAGGCTGGTCTCGAACTCCTGGCCTGAAGCGATCCTCCTGCCCCAGCTTCCCAAAGTGGTGGGATTCCAGGCATGAGCCACTACCCACGCGTCTCTATATTTAATAGAAGACCCAAGAGTATTAGGAGTATTCTCATGGCCAAGTGGCTCAAATTTTTATATTTTATGAGCGGATTCAGTGACAATTTAGAATTCAAAGTCAGATATATGAGTTAGGGGGTTATATTATTAAGAAAGAAAATTCATGAAGTCACTTGATAAGATGCTTGTATAAGGTTTGTTTACCTATTCACTGAACAAATACTAACTGAACACTTTGTATGTGCCAAGAGTCATGCTAGATTTATATTTAGCTGATCAGAATATGATATGGTCATGGGTCCAATCTTCCTGTAGTTTGATAGCTGGTGCTAATTTATTCCTTGTCTAAACTCTAACTATTGTAACTATTTTCAAAATTTATGCCTCATAAAGGAAAACAAGTGAAAGCCTATAAAAATCACTAGAAAAAAAAGCACACATTCATCACTGTAATATTCTCCTTTTTAAGATACAATCCATTTGTGTATACCTTTGTTTTGTTGTCTTCAATGCTGAATAAGCAAATAAACACATCAAGAAATAAAATATAGGTTTCTATTAGTATAGATAGCCTTAAGTAGACAATCATAAGATTTAAAATCTGAAAAATCTGGATTTGATCCCAGATTTGCCACTGATTAGTTGTGTGATCTTAAGCAAAGTTTCATTTTCTTTAGTCCTTCATTGTTTGGATTCACAAAATGAGGACAATAATTGCCACTTTCAAATGATTGATGTGTAGATGAAATAATCTATGTATGCATGTGTATGTTTGTTGATACGCATGCATGTGTGACTATAAATACCAATACATCAAAAGAGTAGGAGGTAATAAACGTACAAAATGCCTAAACTATAAAAAACAACTTCACAGCACATGCCTCATTGTTATTGTATCAGTGATGCCAGTGTTGTTCATTCAGCTCTCATTTTAAAAGTTCGGGGGTCTCCAATGGGCACTGAGGATACAAATATTAATAGGATAAGGAGGTCCCTGTCCTCAAGAGGATCACAGTCTGGTAAAGAAGCCAAATGAACACAAGAAATCAATTATAACAGAATGGGATGAAATAGGCATTTTAATAAAATTAGATGAAAAGACAATGTTTTAGTCAGGTCTTAAGAGTCTAACAGGGCCAGGCATGATGGCTCACGCCTGTAATCCCAGCATTTTCGAAGGCTGAGGCGGGCAGATCACGAGGTCAGGAGATCGAGACCACCCTGGCTGACACGGTGAAAGCCTGTCTCTACTAAAAATACGAAAAAATAGCCAGGCATGGTGGCGGGCGCCTATAGTCCCAACTACTCTGGAGGCTGAGGCAGGAGAACGGCATGAACCCAGGAGGCAAAGCTTGTGGTAAGCGGAGATCGCGCCACTGCACTCCAGCATGGGCGAGACAGAGCAAGACTCCGTCTCAAAAAAAAACAAAAAAAAACAAAAAGTCTAACAGACTGGAGAAATTTGTAAATCTCTCTAAACATCAGTTTTTCTTAATTTGTAAAACAGAGATAACATGACACACATCAGAGGGTTGAGGATTAAACAAGATAATGTACATAAAATACTAACATATTGCCTCACCTTTCACGTGACCTCAATATATACTAGCTATTATGAAGATCGTGAAGTAGAAAGCACTATCGGAGCTCACAGGACAAAATATTCAGACCAGTTCATAGAAGCTTAAAGTTTGACTCTGCAAACTTAAGTCATACTTGTGTGAAGATTCAGCCAAAAGATAATGTAGCCCAAGCAATTACAAAACAATAACAACAAAAACCAAAGATGCTAGAGCATCACAATAGGTTTACAAAATGGAAATCTATTTCACAAATCTGAATTTTATTAATAAAAAAATCAACTGAGGATGTTTGAAATGGAACCATATAAAAAAGTTAATGATTTTCCATCTGCCAGTCATTTAACTTGAAGCTATACTTAAGTTCTGCAAATACTTAAAACTATGTGGGTTTGGCCAGGTGTGGTGGCTCATGCCTGTAATCCCAGCACTTTGGGAGGCTGAGGCGGGCAGATCACCCGAGGTCAGGAGTTCGAGACCAGCCTGGCCAACATGGCGAAACCCCGTCTCTACTAAAAATACATAAATTAGCTGGGTGTGGTGGCTTGCGCCTGTAATCCCAGCTACTCGGGAGGCTGAGGCAGGAGAATCGCTTGAACCCAGGAGGTGGAGGTCGCAGGGAGCCGAGATTGCACCACTGCACTCCAGCCTGGACAACAGAGCAGGACTCCATCTCAAAAAAAACAAAAAAAAAAACAAAAAAAACTATGTGTGTTCATATTCAGCCAAATCCTATAGGCAATATCTTTTAAAAAATATTTTGAAGATATTTAAACATTTGTAAATATCTAAATATATGATAAATATTTACAAATAAGATATTTAAGGATATTTAAGATATTTTAAAGCCAGCCATTCATCTCTATCACAGTAAGTAAAATTTATTTAATTTGTGATGAAAAGATAAACAGGGCACAAAAAGGTTTGCCTTATAAATAACATTCTAAAACCTTTCTCCTACAAAACACTGATAATTGAACTCATTTGCCCCTATTTACTCTTTCCCATAGTGTCATTGTTTTACCCAAAACATTTTGGGTCTATGAGTGCGTACTTATAACAATGGTATTGCACAATTATTTGAAGGTTTTGTTTTTAAGCTATTGCAACAGGGGTTTTCATTTGAGCAAATAATGTGCTCTTACACAACGTGCTAAAAAAGAACAGCATACTGACATTTCCTTCTCCAAAATTCTCTCTGGAAAACATAATAGTCTGAAATTTTGTTTTGTAAGAAATAACCCAGGGAACTAAGTTATTTTCATCAGTCTATTTCTTCATAAACAAAATAAATTTGCAGTTTAAAAAACAACTTTTCAAAACCTTCTTGCCATTCCCAAAAGAAGGAAATATAGCATAAGGCCAAACAAGAGAGCCACTGAGGTTCTAAACAGTTAAGCTTATAAAAGCATCAAAACCCTTTTTTTTTTTTTTTTGGCATTTTGACCATTTAGCATGATTTAAAACCATCCCAAGTATGAAACAGCCAAAATAAAAGACCCACTAGTGTTTTAATAGTTAAGCTTATAAAAACTTCAAAGCTTTTCTGCATTTTAACCATTTTCTAAAGGATTTAACATTTTTCCTTGCCTTTCAAAATTCCCTTGAAAACATCCTCACTTTGCCTCTTCTTCCCCCAATCATACGTACTGTAAAACTTTGTAAAACTGCAGTGCCTCCAGAATCATCTGCATTCTTATGATCTGTCTAAGAAGCTGAACATAACTGAAGAAAATCACACAATTACAAAGCCACTTCAAATTCTTAATTCAACAAATATATACCAACGGTCCATTATGTGCCAGTTATTATTATTATTATCATTATTATTTTGAGACAGTCTCGCTGTGTTGCCCAGGCTGGAGTGCAGTGGCACAATCTCGGCTCACTGCAACCTCTGCTTCCCAGGTTCAAGTGATTCTCCTGTCTCAGCCTCCCAAGTAGCTGGGACTACAGGCACCCACTACCACACCTGGCTAATTTTTGTTGTTTTTTTTGTTTTTTGTTTTTGTTTTTTTTTTTGAGACAGAGTCTCATTCTGTCGCCCAGGCTGGAGTGCAGTGGCACCATCTCGGCTCACTGCAAGCTCCACCTCCCGGGTTCATGCCATTCTCCTGCCTCAGCCTCCCGAGTAGCTGGGACTACAGGCGCCCGCCACCAGGCCCGGCTAATTTTTTTGTATTTTTAGTAGAGACGTGGTTTCACTGTGTTAGCCAGGATGGTCTCCATCTCCTGACCTCGTGATCAGCCACCTCGGCCTCCCAAAGTGCTGGGATTACAGGCGTGAGCCACCGTGCCCTGCCTATTATTATTTTTGAGACAAAGTTTCACTCTGTTACGAAGGCTGGCGTGCAATAGCACAATATTGGCTCACTGCAACCTCTGCCTCCCGGATTCAAACAATCCTCCTGTCTCAGCCTCCCAAGTAGCTGGGACTACATGTGTGCACCACCACGACAGGCTAATTTTTATAGAGATGGGGTTTCGCCATGTTGTCCAGGCTGGCCTCAAACTCCTGGGCTCAAGTGATCTGCCCATCTCAGCCTCCCAAAGTACTGGGATTACAGGCTTGAGACACTGTGCCTAGCCCAGTTATTAAGATGCCAAAGCTCAAACCTAAAATTGATGATTCCTGCTAATAAACTTTTTTTTTACTTTGACAACTATTTCATTCTTTGTTTTTGCTCCCAAAACGTTTTACCCTCCTTTTTCCTTTCTTATTTTCAGACATTGACTTTCTTTTTTCTTTTTCTTTTCTTTCTTTTTTTTTTTTTTTGAGACAGGGTCTCACTCTGTCCCCCGGGCTGGAGTGCAGTGGTGCAATCATGGCTTACTGCACCCTCGACCTCCTGGGTTCAAGTGATCCTCCCACTTCAGCCTCCCGAGCAGCTGGAACTACAGGAACATGCTAACATGTCCAGCTAATTTTTGTATTTTTAGTAGAGACTGGGTTTCCCCATTTTGCCCATGCTGGTCTTGAACTCCTGGGCTCAAGTGATCCCCCTGCCTTGGCCTCCCAAAGTGCTGGGATTACAGGCATGAACCATATCCAGCCCTGTTACATTTTTTTAAATAACAAAAGCAGTGAGAGAATTCACCAATCCCACTACTATTAAGCCTACTAAAATATTTACACTTCACCCATGTCAGCATTTTTCTCTCTTTATGACTTGGCAGTGTCCTCTACTTACCAAAGGCCATTATGTCAATATATATATATCATTTCCTTCCTCCTTCTCAGGGACTTTGCTCCTTCTGTTCTCACTGTGTAATCAATCTTTACCCCTTTATTCTCACCAGAAAATTAAGTACTCAGTATTTCCCATTTTTCATTCCTTCTTCATAAACAGTGCTCAAAAGAGTTGCCGACATATACAGGCTCCACTTACTCATCATCAAATTTCTGCCTGATCCATTGTGATATGACTTCTGCTCCGACAAATAAAAATAAATTGCTTTTGTGAAGATTATCGATTACCTCCATTTGCCAAATCCAAAGGACATGTCTTACTGAATCTCTTACCTTCGCTGAACACAAGTATCCACTCCCTATTTCTTGAAATACTTTCATTTTTCCTCCTATTTCTCTGACGGCTCCCCCTGCTCTATGTCCTGGGGTTCTTCAAAGCCTGGTCCTAGATTCCTTTTTATGTTCCTTTATATTCTCTCCCTAATGATGTCACCTATTCACTCAGCCTTAAATACCCTCTACATACTGACAATTCTTTCTTTCAAAGGCAAAATGATGTTGCCATACTGCTTTATGAAAGTGCTTTATGAATATGCTGTAAGAATAATTAGAATCACAGAAGGAACTTTAGAGAATATCAAGCCTATTCTACTTATTCACAGATAAACATCTCAGAGGTAAGGGACTTGTATAATGTCACAGAACAAGTTAGTGACAAACCTGGAGGCAGGACCCAGATACAATGGTGATCTTAGGAGTACACTGACCTACTGGGAAGACAACCCCACCCTCCAAACTAAGTCAAAAATTATTTTTCTGAGAATTTTGAAAGGGACAAGCTCAATCTAGAAAAGTGAGGTAATGTAAGAGCTGGCCCCAAAATGTGATTTAGGAGTTAAAGACTCAAATCTTTTTTCCTGAGACAGTCTTGCTCTATCACCTAGGCTGGCATGCAGTAGAGCAATCACAGCTCACTGCAACCTCCACCGTCAGTGGAGCTATCACAGCTCACTGCAACCGCCACCTTCCAGGTTCAAGCCATTCTCCTGCCTCAGCCTCCCCACTAGCTGGGATTACAAGCATGTACCCCCATGCCCGGCTAATTTTTTTGTATTTTTTAGTAGAGATGGGGTTTCACCATGTTGGCCACGCTAGTCTTCAACTCCTGACCTCAGGCGATCTGCTAGCCTTGGCCTTCCAAAGTGTTGGGGTTATGGGCATAAGCCACTGTGCCCAGCCTAAGACTCAAATCTAATCAAATTGGGAGTACAGGTTGCTGTACGTTTTTTATGTTACACTGGGGGGCATTATTAGGCTGGGCTCATAACCATAAAATTATTAACTAAACTGCCTGAAAAAAATAATTTAAGGGGACTGGTTTTATGATAAAAGAGAAGTTCAACAAAACAAAATAGAAAGTCTATCTCCAGCACAGTGCAGCAGAAGTTAGCCTATATAAATCTCCTATCTACTGGGGCACACAGCATCATGATTACCAACGGCTTTGATCATCTTACCATCCACCTTTGAGTTCATGCTCCCAAATAGTATTTTGTTTATAATCTGACTTCTCATGCTGATTAGCTATAAGGAGAGTATATGCTTGTAATGGGCTGAATTGTGCCCCCCCAAATTCATATGGTGAAGTCCTAACACTCATGTGACTATAATTTGGAGATACTGCCTTTAAGAAGGTAATTAAAGTTAAATGAGGTAATAAGGGTGGTACTCTAATAAGGACTCACGTCCTTATTGGAAGAAGTACCAGACAGCTTTCTCTTCTACCTGGACACAGAGGAAAGACTATGTAAGGACACAGAGAGAAGGTGGCTGTCTGTAAGCCAGGAAGAGAGTCCTCACCAGAAATAAACCCTGCTGGCACCTTGATCTTGGACTTGCAGCCTACAAAACTGGGAGAAAAACAATTTCTGTTGTTTAAACATAGATGGGGTTTTGCCATGTTTTGTCTGTGGTATTCTGTTATGACAACCCTGGCAGAGCAATACAATGTTGATTAGTATAAATAAGGGTATCCAGATTGCAGAATTGTTTTGTTTTGTTTTGTTTTGTTTTGTTTTGTTTGTAGAGACAGAGTCTCACTATGTTACCCAGAGTGATCTTCTGGGTACCAAGTGCTCCTCCTGTCTCAGCCTCCCAAAGTGCTGGGATTACATACAGGTGTGAGCCATCTTGTCTAGCTAGACTACCTTTTATCCAGAAAAACCTGATGTATTTACTGTATGTGTCTTCAAACTGCAACAGTGACTAATCTAGCATCAACATACCCTGTTAATCTTACTTATTATCATCTTCATCATGACCCATTTTATAGGGAAAAAGGAAAACTTGGTGGCTGAAAGCTGCCAATACGTCCTGACTTACTAGTTTTAGGTTAAATAATTTGCATTTGTGCATATTTGTAAAATATCCCCATCCTTATTTTTCTTTTTTGAGACGGAGTTTCGCTCTTGTCGCCCAGGCTGGAGTGCAATGGGGCGATCATGGCTCACTGCAACCTCCAGCTCCTGAGTTCAAACGATTCTCCTGCCTCAGCCTCCCGAGTAGCTGGAATTACAGGTGTGTGCCACCACACCCAGCTAATTTTTGTATTTTTAGTAGAGACAGGGTTTCACCATGTTGGCCAGGCAGATCTCAAACTCTTGACCTCAGGTGATCTGCCCACCTTGGCCTCCCAAAGTGCTGGGATTACAGGTGTGAGCCACCGCGCCCGGCCCCCATCCCTATTTTTATATCATGTTTTTGTTTTGCTTTGGGGGACTCTCAACAAGTTAGCTTCTCTACTTTAAGATAATTTTTTTTTTTTGAGATGGAGTTTCGCTCTTGTTGCCCAGGCTTGAGTGCAATGGCACAATCTCGGCTCACCGCAACCTCTGCTTCCCGGGTTCAAGCGATTCTCCTGTCTCAGCCTCCCAAGTAGCTGGGATTACAAGCGTCTGCCATCACACCTGGCTAATGTTTTGTATTTAGTAGAGACGGAGTTTCACCACGTTGGTCAGGGTGGTCTGGAACTCCTGACCTCAGGTGATCCACCTGCCTCGGCATCCCAAAGTGCTGGGATTACAGGTGTGAGCCACCACGCCCAGCCAAGATAAATAATATATAAGTGCACTACACAGTGACTGGCACATAGCAGTCGCTTAATGTTAGTTTCTCCATGCTGTTTAATATTTTTAAATGCAGTATCATACCCATCAATCTCCATGCTTCTCAAATGTCACAATTTTCCAAAAAAATCATGGTAAATGCTGCCCTGAGTATTCACTTACAGGTACTTCCTTTCCATATTAGTATGCTATACAAAAGCCTATGTAACTGGTTTCCATAGCCTACATAACAGAAGTAGCCACAGATTTAGAACAATCTTAGTTTATGTTGAATAACAAAAATGAATTATTATTCATCAATCTAAACATCTTGAAATGTAAGACAAGGACAATCCGTCAAAAATTATTATGAGGTAAAAGGGTTCTAGTCTATCCACATAGCTAAAGTAAGATGAAATAATCATTTTTAATGAGAGCCACTTTTCAAAATTCAATAAAGTAGCAATAATTTTTGAAATCTGTGATGATACAATGTCAGTGAGATTCCTAGATGTAGGAGTAAATCCAAGTATTCCTAGTCTGTTTAAAATGTTGAAATGTCCTCAAACAGAAATCTAACACATATTCTTGACCTTCAATGGCATCTACTTTGCACCGAGTGCACGTATGTAAGTTAGTTTTGTTTGTAAGAATGAGGTTGCTGAAACAAATCTTATAGGTCTGTGGATGGGGTTGAGAACACAAACCGGGCAGAAGCATAACTCAAACATCAAATAATTTTCATTTTGAACACTTATATAGATACAAGAAATGCATTAAAAGAGTGTAACAGACCTTAACTGCAGCTGAAGCATTTAAAACAGAGTTAACATTAAATGTGGGGTTTTTTTTATTTGTTTCCTGCAGAAGTGCTTAGAAAACACTGCAAAAATCAGCTCACAAAGGTTCTTTGTAGGCTGTATATCCAGTGCTAAGACTATAATACTCCATTCATTTTAAACATTAGTCACACTTGTAATACAGAAACAATGTGCAAGTAAATTACTGAGAGTCCCCCACCAAGCAAAACAAAAAACATTTATGGATAACATGATAAAAGCATCTCCCTGAGTAACATAAGAGTTATTGGAACAGTTAACAAGGTAGAAAAGGAAAAGAAAGTGAGAGTAACAAAACCATTGATTTTCATTTTCTTGGCAACATCATCCCAAAATAAAACGAACATACTTTCTTTAAAAAAAAAAATCATCTATCCAGATGAATTTTACTTTCTCAAAAAAAAATTATGTCAGTGTGCTCAATAAAACACATTGTTCTTCATACAAGGCACACAAAGATAGCCAATAAGTATTATGCTTCTCAGTAACCTTTCTTGCTTTCAGAAGTATCTATTTGTTTGTTTGTTTGTTTGTTTGTGACAGGGTCTTCCTCTGTCACTCAGGCTAGAGTGCAGTAGCATGGTCACAGGTCACCACAGGCTGGAACTCTTGGGCTCAAGCGATGCTCTGGCCTCAACCTCCAGAAGTATCTTTTCTTAATTGGATTAGACTACTCCAAAATAGCTGTAGATTTCCCTAAAACTGTTAAGATTAAGGAATTGTGATCTACTCTTGGAAACAAAATAACTAATCTGAGTAATATATCTTGACAAACGAGGCTTTGATATAGTTTTCCACTTGTGCAGGGGTATAAGGCCAAAGATAATTCAAATAAAATGCACAATATCAGAGTAACTATCAGACATATCAGAGTGTCATCTGATATGTCTATCTGTGGTATATCTATCATGTGGTTGTTCCAGTTAAAGAATGTGTACTCTGAAAATTCATAATAATGTGAATGGGGATATATGAAAAAAAATTCTTGAATTTTTTTCAACTTTCTAAGGTCTTGGGGAGGGCTGGGTGTGATGGCTCACACCTGTAATAACCCTATCGTTTTGGGAGGCTGAGGCAGGAGGATCATTTGAGGCCAGGAGGTCCAGACCAGCCTGGGAAACACAGTGAGACCCCATCTCTTAAAAGAAAAAAATGAAACAAAACAAACAAACAAACAAAAACAATTAGCCAGGTGTGGTGGTATGTGCATGTAGTCCCAGCTACTTGGGAGGCTGAGACCAGAGGACTGCCTGAGTCCAGGAGCTTGAGGTTGCAGTGAGCTATGATTGTGGCACTGCACCTCAACCTGGGTGACAGAGTAAGACCGTGTTAAGAGAAAGGAAAAGAAAAGAAAGGAGGGGCCGGGCACGGTGGCTCACACCTGTAATCCCAGCACTTTGGGAGGCCGAGGCGGGCAGATCACGAGGTCAGGAGATTGAGACCATCCTGGCTAACATGGTGAAACCCCATCTCTACTAAAAGTACAAAAAATCAGCCGGGCGTGGTGGCAGGCGCCTGTAATCCCAGCTACTTGGGAGGCTGAGGCAGGAGAATGGCGTGAACCCAGAAGGCAGAGGTTGCAGTGAGCTGAGATTGTGCCACTGCACTCCAGCCTGGGTGACAGAGCGAGACTCCGTCTCACAAAAAAAAAAAAAAAAAAAAAAAAAAAAGGAGGGAGGGAAGGAAGAAAGGAAGTCAGTCAGTCAGTCTTGGGGAATTAGACAAAACCCCAAATTAGGATGCAATTTAAAAACATTCAGAATCTCCATTAATCTCCCAATAATGGATCAGCAGGTAAAGAGGGTATTTCTGGCCTAAAAAGTTCCTCAACTTAAATCTAGTGATGTATAAAATACACTCAACTCATCACAGGTTTCTAATTGTTGAAAAATTATAAACTGCCCTGGGTCTGATTTTTTTTTTTCTTTTTAAAACAAAGTCTTGCTCTGCTCTGTCATCCAGGCTGGAGTGTAGTGGTGTCATCTCGGCTTACTGCAAACTCCACCTCCCAGGTTCAAGTAATTCTCCTGTTTCAGCCTCTGGAGTAGTTGGGATAACAGGCACGCACCACCATGCCTAGCTAATTTTTGTGTTTTTAGTGGAGACAAGGTTTCTCCATGTTGGTCAGGCTGTTATCAAATGCCTTACCTCAGGTGATCCTCCTGCCTTGGCCTCCCAAAGTGCTGGGATTACAGGCATGAGCCACTGTACCAGAGGTGGGAGGTAGGAGGATCGTTTGAGGCCAGGAGTTCCAGACCAGACTGGCCAACACTGTGGAACCCTGTCTGTACCAAAAATACGAAAGTTAGCTGGGAGTGGTGGTGCAGGCCTGTAGTCCCAGCTCCTTGGGAGGCTGAGGCACAAGAATCGCTTGAGCCTGGGAGGTGGAGGTTGCAGTGGGCCTAGACAGTGCCACTGCACTCCTGCCTGGGTGACAGAGCAAGAGTGTGTCTCCAAAAAAAAAGAGATTAGAAAAAGAAAAATCCCATTTCTCATTTTCTCTTAATCTACTTCTAAATGTTCCTGCAGTTTTTCATAACCAATGCAATCTTAGCAAAACATTTTCATCAAAAAGATGGCGGACCGGCCGAGCGCGGTGGCTCATGCCTGTAATCCCAGCACTTTGGGAGGCCGAAGCGGGCGGATCACGAGGTCAGGAGATCAAGACCATCCTGGCCAACACAGTGAAACTCCGTGTCTATGAAAAATTAGCCGGGCGTGGTGGTGGGCGCCAGTAGTCCCAGCTACTCGGGAGGTTGAAGAAGGAGAATGGCGTGAACCCGGGAGGCGGAGCTTGCAATAAGCCGAGATCGCAACGCTGTACTCCAGCCTGGGCGACAGAGCGAGACCCCGTCTCAAAAAAAAATAAAAAAAAATAAAAATTGGAGGACTAAGAGTAAGGTCAAGAATTAAGATAATGAAGGAATACCAGACTAGAGTTGGGAGATTTGGCTAAGAGTGAGACCTTGGCATTGTCACTTCACATGCCTGATTCTCTTTTTCCTCATTCAGTTATTAGTCACATGGAGTAAATGAGTGCAATAATTTCCTTTCTAGTTGTAAAAAAAAATTCCAACTAGCACAAGGGTAGAGTTTTGGATGTATGTAATAACAACTACTTTTGTATAGTGATTTATAGTTTAAAAATAGGTTAACAAACATAATGCTAACAGCCATCTGTAAGGGACTGTTATTTTTATCCTTGCTTTTAGCAAATGAGAAACTGAGTGCTCCAAGGGCCCCAAATAGCAAGTCGGCAGCATATAAATGTCAAAGCAGGAGTTCAACCTCGCTTTTCCAAGTCCAAATTCAATAGTTCTTCTACTATACAAAACAGTCCAGTGAGAGGATTTTCAGTGGTCACTGAGGAATTCCAGAGTCACATATACACACAAGATGAAAAAACAGTCCCAGAAGTTTAGCTTGTCCTAGTATTTTCAAATGTTCCCCATTACTAGAATTAACAGAACACTCATCCCTATTGATTCTTAGTACTTAAAGTATCTACGAAACTCACGTAGTATCTATGAAACTATCTGAAACTCCCTACTTTACTGTCCCTAAATACCTGGGGCATTTGCACTTGTATAACTGGGGTGAAAATACTCTCACTGGACTGTTGTGTACACTAAAGTAGAAGAACTACCGAATTTGGACTTGGAAAAGTCTGGGTGAACACTTGCTCTGACATTTATATCCTCTATTCTTTCTACTCTAAAGCAACACCACTGTAGGGATACTGAACTTTTTCATGAGCCACACTTATGAATAAGCTAAGAAACAAGTCTCAAAAAATTGCTAAGAATGGGCATTATAAATGACAATCTCTGATAAGCCAGAAATTATGTCAACCTTTAGTACAAAAAAAAAATAAAAAATTTTCTAGGTAGTTAGAAGTTAATGCACACAGTCCTAAATAACACAGGCCAAAATAAAAGAAAAATTTTAAATGCTCAGAACTACTAGAACAAAGTGAATTTAGCAAGGTCACAGGATAAAAGATCAAAACTAATACTTTCCACCATATACTTGGAATAAAAATTGGACTATTACATACTTGGAATAATTTTTTAAAATTTCAGATTCAGTAACATCTGAAAATATAAAATATTTAGAGACAAATTTAACAAAATATAAGCAAAATCTAAAACGAAATAAAGAAAGAAAATAAATTATACAGAGCCTAAATAAATGATTAGCATGTTTTGTTGATTGTTTGGAAGACTTGATATTGTTACTATGTCAATTTCCCCTGAAACGGTTTGGCTCTGTGTCCCCACCTAAACTGTAATCCCGATGTGTCCAGGGAGGGTCCTGTAATCCCCACATGTTGAGGGAGGGAGGTGATTGGATCATGGGGGCCGTTTCCCCCATGCTGTTCTCATGATAGTGAGTGAGTTCTCACGAGATCTGATGGTTATGTGTTTGACAATTCCTCCTTCACACTATTTTCTCTTCTGCTGCCTTGTGAAGAAGGTTCCTGTTTCCCCTACCACCATGATTGTAAGTTTCCTGAGGCCTTCTCAGCCATACAGAACTGTGAGTCAATTAAACCTCTCTCCTTTATAAATTACCCAGTCTCAGGTAGTACCTTTATAGCAGTGTGAAAACACACTAATAAATCCCTCAAAGTGATGTATAGCCTTAATGAAGATCAATCAAATTCAAGCAAGCTTTATAAAAAAAGCAATTCAAATATTTATAGAAATGCAAAAACTTAGAGTAGCGAAAACAATTGGGATAAAGAACAAAGTTGAAGGACTTGCACTAACTGATGTCAACAATTACTATAAATCTACAGTAATCATGACAGTGTGATATTGGTAAAAGGATAGTTAGAAGCCAATGGAAAAGAATAGAGAATACAGAAATAGGCCAGGCACAGCGGTTCATGCTTGTAATCCCAGCACATTGGGATGCCAAGGTGAGAGGATCACTTGAGTGCCAGAGTTCAAGACCAGCCTGGGCAACATAACAAGACCCCATCCCTACCAAAAAAATTAAAAAATTACTCCTGTGTGGTGGCATGCACCTCATGGTATCTGTGGTCCCAGGTACTCAGGGGGCTGAGGTGGGAGGATTGCTTGAGCCTAGGAGGTCAAGGTTGCAGAGAGCTGTGATCGTGCCACTGCAATCTAACAATCTAGCCTGGGTGACAGAGATCCTGGCTCAAAGCCCTCTCCCTGCACCGCCCCCACCCCCCACCAAAAACAAAAACAAAAACGCAAGAACAACTTTCATGTGCTTTAAAATAATTATATATATACATTTGAAAAAGGTGAAAAACCTTGCTCCCCACTCTCCCTGCTAGATGTAACCACTTTTATTAGTTTTGTGTATCTGACCTTTCTTCTTTCAAACACTCCTATTATTGTTTGAGTATGTGTCCCCTCCAAAACTCATGTTAAAATTTAACCCCTAATGTGGCAGTAGAGTGAGACAAGGCCTTTAAGAGGTGATTGGGTCACGGAGGCTCTGCCCTTATGAATGAATTAATCCATTCATAAATTAATGGGTTAATGGATTAATGGGTTATCATGGGGGTAGGACTGGTTGCTTTATAAGCAGAGAAAAAGAGAACTGAGCTTGCACACTCAGCTCCCCCTCCATGTGATACTCTCGGCACTCTGCAGAGTCCCTCCAGCAAGAAGGCCCTTACCCAATGTGGCCACTCGATCTTGAACTTTTCAGCTTCCACGGCTATAAAAATTAAATTCCTTTTCTTTATAAATTACCCAGTTTCGGGTATTCTGGTATAAGCAACAGAAAACGGACTAAGAAACCTTCTTTTTTTTTTTTTTTTTTTTTCCTTTTAAGACGGAGTCTCGCTCAGTTGCGCAGGTTGGAGTGCAGTGGCACGATCTTGGCTCACTGCAACCTCTGCCTCCCGGGTTCAAGCGATTCTAATGCCTCAGCCTCCCTAGCAGTGGGGATTACAGGTGCCCACCACCACGCCCAGCTAATTTTTGTATTTTTAGTAGAGATGGGGTCTCACCATGTTGGCCAGGCTGATCTTGAACTCTTGACCTCAAGTGATCTGCGCACCTTGGCCTCTCAGTGTTGGGATTACAGGTGTGAACCATTGTGCCCAGCCCTAAGATACCTTCTTAGTCTCCGTTTTGTTAAAAAAAAAAGTCTCTCTTTTTTTTAACAAAAAAAAAAAAAAAAAAAGAGAGATGGGGTTTTGCCATGTTGTCCAGGCTGGTCTCGAACTCCTGGACTCAAGCGATCCACCCACCTCAGCCTCCCAAAGTTCTGGGATTACAGGAGTGAGCCACTGCATCCAGCCCAGATCTTTCTTTTACCTGCCCTTGGCCCTCTCCTCTCCCTATCTCCCCAGGTGACTCATCTGGTCCATGGTTGAAAATACTATCCCGTATTTGTATTTCTGGTTTTGACCTCTAGATTTATATATGTAAGTGCGTGACTTGGATGATTTATTATTATTATTATTATTATACTTTAAGTTCTAGGGTACATGTGCACAATGTGCAGGTTTGTTACATATGTATACATGTGCCATGTTGGTGTGCTGCACCTATTAACTCGTCATTTACATTAGGTATATCTCCTAATGCTATCCCTCCCTCCTTCCCCCAACCCACAACAGGCCCCGGTGTGTGATGTCCCCCCTCCTGTGTCCATAGATGATTCTTTAAGTGTCTCAAAATTAACATGTCCTTTTCTCCCTACACCTACCCACCTTCTTGTAACAAACAAACCTGGTCTTCTCCAAACCTCCCTTCTCCCAGTACCTGGCACAACCACCCACCCAGTCACTAAATCCAGAAGCTTAGTCATCCCTGACACTTCCCTTTTTCTTACCACTCATCTAACCCAGGACCAAGTCCTATACCAAATATATTTGGTATCCACACACAACTGTCCATCTTCTTTGCTACCCTTCTAGTCCAGACCATCTTCATCTTCTTCTTGGACTATGCAGTGGACTCTCAACTTCTCTCTCCATTTCTGTTCTTGCCCGCTTCAATTCATCCTTCACACATGAACAACAATGAACTTCTTATAAATCCTATTACTCCTCTACTTAAAATTGTAGAATGATTTCCTACTGCACTCAAAATCAAATTCAAACTCATTCCCTTGGCCTGCAAAATTCTGCATGACCTGGATCCTGTATATATTTCCTATATCATCTCATGTCAATGTATTCCAAGTCTATTATGCTCCAGCCTCAAATAAGCATATATCCACATTGTTAACTCTCTCTTAGACCCTCATGTGCTGCCTTCCTAACAATTCTTATTTCCCATTGTTTTCCCCAGAACCTGGTGTAAGGCCTGGGACACAAAATGTTTGTTCACTGACTGGATAATGAACAGATAAGGCAATAGATGTCACTGGAAAATGATCTTTCCATTCCAAGAAAGTGCTAAAAGACATCATGAAACATCAAAAGTTTCAATTGCCAAATTCTGTGTTATGGCTTACACAGATAATGTAGTCTGTTAATACCAAAAAGTTAACAGAATGGCCCAAAAGAATGCCTCATTTGGTTAAGAATCTCACATATGTTGTAAAATATAGACAAAGTGAAGTGTATACTCAGATATTTATTTACTGGAACTTCATTAATAATGAGCAAACAATAATTAAGTAAGCAGCAACATAAAGCTATGCTTTTAAAAGAGGGCTGGGAAAGAGTTCTTGGCAATAGCTTAGGGGGCCACATGATGATAATGATCACAATCATGGTTAACTATATGCTACAGACACTGTTCTAAATGCTTTATTTAAACCTATTCATTCAATCCTAACAAGAAGGGTATTGACTTCATTGTCCAGGAGGAAACTGAGATAGCAAGAAGTAAAAAGTAACTAATCCAAGAGTTGCATAGTAATAGAGCTAGAATTTGAAAAAAAGCAGTCTAGCTTTATAGCCCTGGCTTTTAACACTACCTGCCTAGTCCTTCCAGGTAATCTATAAAGAACAAAGTTATCATTAAAAAACTCAAGGACAAGAGAAAATACTCCCATGAACTACTGAAAAGATTAAGTAGTTCAAGAATACAAACAAACTCTTGAGCAATTATAGGTATATTAGCTGTGATATAATTACTCAATAGATTGCCCTTGCTTAATTTAAATATGCCTTAAACTTTAAGTATCACCTTTTATCTGACACAGAAAATTATCTCCTGTTCAAATTTCCTTGATGCTGCAAATCAAGGAGCATATTTTAAAATAAGCTTTATATAAGGGCCTACATAATACCTAACTTCAGTTCAGCAAACTCCATCCAAAGCTGCTTTCCCATATAAAATAAGGAATTTCTTGAGGCAATATGCTCTTAGCAATTTACTATTCCTCAAAATATTTGCAAGGCTTTGTGAAAGCAGAGTAACAATTTACAAAACCACGACAAAGTTATCACTTCAATTTGTCCTGTTTATTAGGATTCTCTAATCTAGAGTTCATTTCCACACCAAAATGGGAGACACAGCAAGGGCACTTGGGCAAAAACAGGAATGACAGTAGCACCTAGAACTATCATCTCCGAGAAAGACTAAAGAGACTAAAAAGTTTGTTAAATCAATGGAACCAAAAAAAAAGAGTACCCAACAATGCAAAGAATTAACTCTTCTACAATGGCTATTTACCCAGAATAAAATAACTAGAGAAATGGCTCTATATATAATAGATAATTAACATAACAAAATATTAAAATTACAAACAGCTTGGGGAGGTTTTTTTTTTTGTAAGAGCAAATAATACAGTTCTCTCCTACTGCTTTTCTTTTATTTTCTTCTCTTTTTTTTTTGAGATGGAGTCTCGCTCTGTTGTCCAGGCTGGAGTGCAGTGGCGCGATCTCGGCTCACTGCAACCTCCGCCTCCCGGGTTCAAACGATTCTCATGCCTCAGCCTCCTGAGTAGCTGGGATTACAGGCGTCTGCCACCACACCCAGCTAATTTTTTTGTATTTTTTGTAGACACCGGGTTTCACCATGTTAGACAGGCTAGTCTCAAACTCCTGATCTCAGGTGATCTTCCCGCCTCGGCCTCCCAAAGTGCTGGGATTACAGGCGTGAGCCACGGCGCCTGGCCAGTTCTCTCCTACTCTTTAGCAACAACATTCACAGTAGACACGTGTTAAGGCTCCTCCGTCATTTCCACTTGCCAGAAAGATAACTCAACACATGACAGTCATGAAGCATGAACTCAGACAAACTATTCTGAAGAATATAACTGATTTTCTTTCCTTAATCTATTACACTTCAAATCTAGCCAAGCACAGTTTTTGTTATGCTACAATTTATAAGACTAAACTAGCTAAAGAGGGAAAAAAAGTTTGTAAATAAGGCTTATGTGCGTATGTGTGTATTTACGTGTGTATGTGGATAGATCCCTTTAATACCTAAGAGTAATTATTTTCATGTGAACTTGGAAATATTACCAAACCATAATAAGATGCCTGGATACAACCTTGTTAGAACAGAAAGAACACTTGAGACCTTACAGTTCAGGTTCTAGCACTACCTAAGCCAGATGACCTCAAGCAAGCCAATTACTAATTACTGATTGTTTCTGAGCCTTAATTTTCTCCTCTGTTAAATGGGAATCTACTTATACATTCACAGAGATTCCTTCTAATTCTAAATATTGGTTTCAGTGAAATAATAATGTTTCTTTTTTTTTTGAGACGGAGTCTGGCTCTGTCTCCCAGGCTGGAGTGCAGTGGCGCAATCTCGGCTCACTGCAAGCTCCGCCTCCTGGGTTCGCGCCATTCTCCTGCCTCAGCCTCCGGAGTAGCTGGGATTACAGGCGCCTGCCACCACGCCCGGCTAATTTTTTGTATTTTTAGTAGAGACAGGGTTTCACTGTATTAGCCAGGATTGTCTCGATCGCCTGACCTCGTGATCCGCCCAACTCGGCCTCCCAAAGTGCTGGGATTACAAGCGTGAACCACCGCGCCCGGCCCAATAATAAGGTTTCTTATTTAATGTAAGTAAGATAGGACTACTTCTACTCTTTAGTTAACTATACGTAGGCAAAAAACTTCAGCTTTTTCTGCACTTGGAAGTTCTGAAGTGACAATACATGACGACCAAAAAGGATCAGATTTAAACTCCCGAATGCAAAACTATACTCATTTTCCAGGAACCTATTTATTAACCATGGTGACTAATTCAATGGATCACGGTATCAAACTATTCTTTGCTAACTTTCAAAGGTGGGGCAAAGATCATCTCAGAAAAGTATGTGATAATATTTTCAGATAATGATGCAAAGTAACAGTATTCTACACTGACATATCTCCAGTTCTAAGAGTAAAGTGATACCATATTTTCATATTTAATAATTTCATGTTTACTAGCTCATTTAATCTTTGTGACAGTTGTATGAAAGAAAGTGAGCAGAATTTTTATCAACACAATCTAGACCAGCTCAGAATGTTAGGTAACCTATCAGCCATTACTTAACAAGTGTTGGAGCCCAGACTTCAATCCAGGTCTTCTGATTTAAAGTTTAATAGTTACCAAAATCCTAAAAAGTGGTGATTCAAGCCAAAAGCGAGAAGTTGGAAAAGTGAGAAAAACTGGATAATCAGTCCTTCAATTGAACATAAAGAAGATAAGATCAGATTTGGCAGTTATATAATCAAGAAGCAAATTTACCGAATGTTAAACTAATGATACATCTATCATAATTCCATATCTCAAATTTTGTCACCTTGTTTCAAAGCCAAGCGTGAACAAATTTTCAAACTCAAAATAAGAAAAATATGTAAACTGACAAACTGATTTAACTAGCTATAGGTAAACTGGTAAAAGGCATCATGGTTCTATGTATATTTTCTTCTGGAATGTGACTCATAGAAATTAAACTGTATTAATCAATTGTAATCAAGTAGGATATATCCCTCAAAGGAAAAAAGTAACCTTCAGTGCCTTAAGATAATGTAGGCAAAGTAGTAAAATATAAAATTTCTACTCGAGAGAGTCACTTCATACCTACACAAATCAGTCACATTTGTCTAGGTACCACCATCCCTCTTCCACAGTAAAAACATAAGCTACAATGCATACAATGATGCCTAGTAAGTAAGTTTCTTCCTTTCATCATCTATGCTAAGAATACACAACTAAAATCAGAGCTAATGACAATACAATTACTAGGTAGTAGCAACTGGAATATTAAATTCTATCATGACAACACCAGAAACACTTGTACAAGCTTCTTCAAATGATCAATGTAATCTGTCCACAAAAATCTCTGACAAGCCCCAAAGTAGAAATGAAAGACGTTAACATTAGGATAAGGAGCGATGCTGCCAAAACACATCAACAGTGGCCAGTCTACGTGTATTATTAGATTTTTACATGGAGTTGCAGGTAAATAAAAGATGATTGTGTAAAATCTTCTGGAGGTCATAAGTAATCTAGCAGTGTGACACAGGGCCACATATGGTTTCTGGAATTTTAGAGATTAAGTCGACCTTCACGTTTTACTGCAAATACCTCCACTGTAATAAGATATAGAGGTCGGGGTTCAGGGGTTTGGAAAGGCAGACAACTCTTTTTCATTAAAGCAGTGAAAAATCTGAGAAGTTCCTCTCCAAGGGCTCTGCGGAGCGAAGGCCCATTCCCTTGGCTACCCTGTACCACCAGAGCTTTAGATGGCACTTGCACGCCTGGATTTCGTTTAGGAGCGAATACATCTAGCATCATGCGCCAGAGGTTCGGGAGAGCAAAAACCAAACTGACAGATCCTGAGAAATAGCTCAGTCATCAGCAGGGAAGACCTTCTCCACTTACTCCAAGGTCCTGGACATCCCGGGACTAAGAGGTTCTCTAAAGAAGCCTAGCAAGGCTTCCAAGTACGCGGAGAGGAGAACGAACAGCCCGGTGTCTGGGTTCAATGTCCGGGTGACCAACCATGAGAAGGTGTCCCAAATAACCTGGCTACCGCCAGCGTGAGACATCCAGGGTGAGACATCCAGTCAGCAGCGTCCTAAAACACTGCTGGAAGTCGGAATCACAGTGCCCCAGATCCGCAATGCCTAAGTGGGAGAGCTCCGGAAGACGCCAAGCTCTGAGGACAGCCTCAGGCTTCGGTCCCCAATTCCCTGAGTTAGTTTACCTACCCGCTCCGACCCCGGCTGCTCCGGATCTCAGGATCCTGGAAGCTGCTCCTTACGGACTCTCACACCCGCCGCTGGGCTCCAGACAACCGGAACCCGCTCACGTCACTTCCGGTCCGGTCCCTCTGCCCCCTGAGACAGCCTCCAGAAGGGATACGTTCCTCCCTCCTTTCGGCGAGCTCGGTTGATCCTCGCGGGATTTCAGTTAGGCTCTTAGTGCGGGCCCTGTGGGTGTGGCAAGAGGAAGAATGACTGCTCGCTTTGTGATTCTTGATCCGGAACTTGTCACCCAGGAACCCCGGAAGAGGTAGCTCACGCGATAGAAACGTGTTCGCTGCCCAGAAGAAGGGAAGGCGCGAGTGAGGAAAGGAGGTACTGTAGGTAGGTTGGTTGGCTCCTTACAGGGCGAAGGAGACCAATATCATTATTCATTTTCTCGCCAGTAGGAACGTTTCTTTTCACCTCGTTGCATTACCCACCTTCTTCATTTTCTCCTTTATAAACTGTCTTCCGCCCAGGGGCCGCTGAGCCCTCTGTTCCTGTTCTGCGAACCGTCCTTTGGAGGAAAGGAACAGGCTGCTGGGGAGGGGAAGACTCAGAATTTCTAGTTCCCAGCAAAGCCTCCAGGCAGGCAGTATCGATGCGCTCTCTCCGAAATTGATAAAATAGCGAGCAGGCCTCATACCCTCAGCTGGGCACTTATGAATATCCCCAGCGTTTCGAGCTGTCGAGCTCTGCGTGGAAAGAATTGGTTTCTAAGAATATAGTCGAAAATTTGGGGCCGGGCGCGGTGGCTGACGCCTGTAATCCCAGCACTTTGGGAGGCTGATGTGGGCGGATCACCTGAGGTCAGAAGTTCGAGACCATCCTGGCCAACATGGCGAAAACCCATCTATACTAAAAATACAAAAATTAGCCGGCGTGGTGGCGCGTGCCTGTAATCCCAGCTACTCGGGAGGCTGAGGCAGGAGAATGACTTGAACTCGGGAGGCGGAGGTTGCAGTGAGCCGATATCGCTCCATTGCTCTCCAGCCTGGGCGACAGAGTGAGACTTCGTCTCAGAAAAAAAAAAAAAAGAAAGAAAAAATTTCCCCCCTTTTTCACACAAAGAGATTAACTAGAGAGGTATTAATCCTTACTGACATACCCCAGGCACCATACTAGACTCTGGGAATATGTTATACAGGGAAAGTGGGGCAGTGGCTTAAGGGTCAGAGAAGATTTGGGAAAGGTTTGTTTGTTTTTTTCGGTTGTAAACTGCAGACCCGGCGCGGTGGCTCAGCCTGTAATCCAACACTTTGGGAGGCTGAGACAGGAGGATTGCTTGAGCCCAGGAGTTTGAGAACAGCCTGGGCCACATAGGGGGCCACATAGTGAGACCCTGTCTCTTAAAAAAAGATTAACGGGTGGAGCATGGTGCAGAAGGAGGTAATGGGATCAAGAGCACTACTGAAATGGGTTTACTGAGGCAGGGGAATTAGAAGGCACCAAGAAGAAGATTTTATAGGATGTACTTATTTTGTTCTGCTGTCATTGCCCAGAATTATTTATGAGACAAAGAATGGTTATTTGTTTTACCTTAGTCTTAGGCACTAGGCTTATTGATACGCTTGTCGTAAGTGTACAGAAAAAGAGACAGACATGTTGTTTTAGAGGAGTTAGATGATAATCTGATCAGATTAATATGAGATTAGAACATCCTAAAGAACAAAAATATGTGTTAATTTTAGCATTTTTATGATTAGACACTCCATTGAGATATGGGACATAATAAATAAACTTGGTAACTTTTGGAACTTTCACTGTCCTGTTTTTGATCTTATTGGGTTTTTTTTTTTTTTTGGAGACAGGGTTTTGCATTGTTGTCCAGCCTGGGGTGCAGTGGCACGATCATGGCTCACTGCAATTTCCACCTCCCAGCCTGAGGTGTCCTCCTACCTTATCCCCTGAGTAGCTGGGAGTATGGGCATGTGGCACCACATCTGGCTAATTATTTAAATTTTTTGTAAAGATGAGGTCTCACTGGGTTGCCCAGATTGGTTTTGAACTGGACTCGAGATGCTGCTGCCTCGACCTCAAGCAACTCCTTGAGGCCAGGAGTTCCAGACCAGCCTGGGCAACATAGCAAGACCAAGTCCATACAAAAATAAAAAATTTTTAAAAAATCAGGAGGGTGTGGTGGCATGCACCTGTAGTCCCATCTACTTGGAAGGCTGAGGTAGGAGAATTGCTTAAGCCCAGGAGTTTGAGGCTGTAGCGAGCTATGATCATGCCACTGAACTCTAGCCTGGGTGACAGAGGGAGACCCCTTCTCTTTAAAAAAAAATAAAGAAAAAGGCAACTTCTCTGTTTGATCCTCATATTTCTCATCTTTAAAATGAGGCTAATATATCTTCCTTTTTATGTGTTCATAGCAACAATAAATGAGGTAATGGATATAAAGGATTTAGTATGTTATCCAGCACATAATAGCTTCTCTATGTAGAGCAGTTCCTTCTCCAGATAGTACCGGAATGTAGTGTATGGGATATTTGGTTACTTTGCAGCCTAGAAATTATTTCAGAGAATCCTAATTGCTGACATTGCATATTTGTTCAGTTTGGAGTCTGGTTGTTAGATTATCAAAGAAAAGTCCTGCTGATATGTAAGCATCAAATAGAAACTTGGCCAGGCATGGTGGCCCATGCCTGTATCCCAGCACTTTGGGAGGCTGAGGCAGGCAGATCACTTGAGGTCAGGAGTTCGAGACCAGCCTGGCCAACATGGTGAAACCCCGTCTCTACTAAAAATACAAAAATTAGCCAGGTGTGGTGGCGGGTGCCTGTAATCCCATGTACGTGGGAGGCTGAGGCGGGAGAATTGCTTGAACCCGGAGGCAGAGGTTGCAGTGAGCTGAGATGGCGCCACTGCACTCCAGCCTGGGTGACAAAGTGAGATGCCGTCTTAAGAAAAAAAAAAGAATTCTCTGTCTTTGTCTCTTTTAGGGGGTGGGGGCTGTAAAGGCACTAGAACCATAAATACTATGTCTGTGCAGCCCTGTCACCGTATTTAGGCACTTGAGTGGAAGAGCACTGAAACTAGGTGCACTACAGCTTACCCTATGTGACCCTCCTACTCCTGGCCACTCCATGTCAGTCTCCTTTGATTCCTAATGTTCATTTCCTCAGGATTATGTTTTAGTCCTTTCTTCATTCTACATATTTGTCCAAGTGGCCTCATACTCTTCCATCTCTTCAGTAACTTCAATTATATGGTAAGGTCTCTCAAATCTATATTTCCAGCCCAGACCTTTCTGACTTTAAACTGATATATCCTAGACCTTTCTGTCCTTTAAGCTGATATATCCTTTTTTTTCTTCTTTCTAGATATCTCTGAGATGTCTTTTGTTCAGAACAAAACTAATTCATTATCTTTTCCATTCAAACCTGGTATTTCACCAAAATTCTCCATTTGTTCAAATCTAGCTGTCATTATTAACTTCTCCCTTTCTTTTGCCACCAGACTTCCTGTCAGTCACTAAATCAGACAGGTGTACCTTAGACACTTTTTTTATTTCTCATTCCCACTACTGTTGTCTAAATGACCATCATCTCATCTAGACTGCTGGGAGAGGCCTGATATAGTAATGTTAAGAACAAGGGCTCGGCAGGGCATGGTGGCTCACGCCTGCAATCCCAGCACTTTGGGAGGTCGAGGTGGGTGGATCACCTGAGGTCAGGAGCTCGAGACTAGCCTGGCCAACATGGTGAAACCCCATCTCTACTAAAAATACAAAAATTAGCCGGGTGTGGTAGCACATGCCTGAAGTCCCACCTACTTGGGAGGCTGAGGCAGGAGAAGCACTTGAACCCCAGAGGTGGAGGTTGCAGTGAACCAAGATTGCACCACTGCACTCCAGCCTGGCAATAGAGTGAGACTCCGTCTCCAAAAAAAAGAACAAGGGCTCGGCAGGGCATGGTGGCTCACGCCCGTAATCCCAGCACTTTGGGAGGCCGAGGTGGCTGGATCACCTGAGATCAGGAGTTTGAGACCAGCCTGGCCAACCTGGTGAAACCCCGTCTCTACTAAAAATACAAACAATTAGCTCGGTGTAGTGGCGGGTGTCTGTAATCCCAGCTATTTGGGAGGCTGAGGCAGGAGAATCACTTGAACCCAGGAGGCAGAGGTTGCAGTGAGCCGAGATTGTGCCATTGCACTCCAGCATGGGAGACAAGAACAAGACTCTGTCTCAAAAAGAAAAAAGAACAAGGGCTCTGGATTAAGACGACCACTTATGAGCTGGGTGAATTTAGGCAAGCTATAACTTGTGTACCTCATTTTTCTACATCCGAAAAATGGGGATCATAATTATATATAGATGCTTCTCAACTTAGGGTGGGGTTATATCCTGATAAACCCATCATAAATTGAAAGTACCATAAATTGAGAGCCAGGCACAGTGGCTCATGCCTGTAAATGTAGCTACATGGGAGGCTGAGGTGGGAGGGATCATATGAGGCCCAGAGTTCGAGACCAGCCTGGGCAACATAATGAAACCCCTGTGTCTTAAAAAAAAAAGTTTTTTTTTAAATTAGCAGTGTGTGGTGGTATGTGCTTGTAGTCCCAGCTACTGGGGAGGTTGAAGTGGGAGGATTGCTTGAGCTCAGGAGTTCGAGGCTGCAGTGAGCTATGATCACTCCACTGTATTCCAGCCTGGACAAAAGAGTGAAACCCTGTCTCTTAGAAAAGGAAATAGAAGTTGGAAATAAATTTAATACACCTAACCTACCAAACATGGTAGTTTAGCCTAGCCTACCTTAAAGGTGCTCAGAACACTTAATTTATTAGCGTACAATAGGGCAAAATCATCTAACATAAGGCCTACAAGTGTTGAATATCTCATGTAATTCGTTGAATACTGTACTGAAGGTGAAAAACAGAATGTTTGTATGGGTAAAGTTTCTACTGAATATGTGTTGCTTTTGAACCATTGTAAAGCCAAAAAGCTTAAGCGAAACTACAGTAAGTCCATGACCAGCTCTATTTACCTTGAAGTGCTGTTAGGCACATTAAAGAAGACAATTCCTATAGAGTGTTTAGCCAGTGTGTAGCAGAACACTTCATAAATGTTAACTATTACTACATTATAGCAGCCTCTGAAATGATCTCCCTGTATCTATTGCCAACTGCTAGTCAAGGCTCAGGTATCTTTTAGAACAGGCGTCCCTGTGGCCTGTTAGGAACTGGGCCGCACAGCAGGAGGTGAGTGGTGGGCAACTGAGTGAAGTTTTATCTGTATTTGCAGCCACTCCCCATCGCTAACATTACCTCCTGAGCTCCGTCTAATTAGCGACAGCATTAGATTCTCATGCGAGTGTGAACCCTGTTATGAACTGCCCATGCGAGGGATCTGTGTTGTGTACTTCTTATGAGAATCTAATGTCTGATGATCTGTTACTGCCTCCCATCTCACCCCCGATGGGACTGTCAAACACCTTTTTATAACATTTACCAGTCTTGCAATTATTTGTCTTCACTACTTATCTATGAACAGCTGACAGTGGCCCATATTCATCACTATATCCTCAGCTTAACAGGGTGTATGGCTGGCACATAGATAGCCAGTAAACATTTGTTTTATTGAACTTAACTTCTCTTGGTCTGAATTTCTTCATTTTTGATATGGCAGTAATCCTCACTTCTCAGTGGATCAAATAACAATACATGTCAAAGTATTGTGGAAATTTTGAGCTATAAAGACAAAGTTTTGGCCGAGCACAGTGGCTCACACCTGTAATCCCAGCACTTTGGGAGGCCGAGGTGGGCGGATCACGAGGTCAGGAGATTGAGACCATCCTGGCTAACACGGTGAAACCCTGTCTCTACTAAAAATACAAAAAAAAAAAAAAAAAATTAGCCGGGTGTGATGGTGGGTGCCTGTAGGGAGGCTGAGGCAGGAGAATGGCATGAACCCGGGAGGCGGAGCTGGCAGTGAGCTGAGATCGCGCCACTGCATGCTAGCCTGGGCGACAGAGCGAGACTCCATCTCAAATAGACAAACAAACAAACAAAAAAACCCCAAAGTTTTAAAACAGCATGAAAGAAATTCAAAATTAGGATTGGACCATTTCAAAACCATTGCTAAAATGTAAGCTTCATTAGAGAAAGGACTTTTTCTGCTTTGTGCACTCCTGTATCCCTTAGATTCTAGAACAGGGTCAATCAGTATTTGTGGAAGGGAAGCAGTATATCATAAAACTAAAAGAATTGAAAAAGTAGAAAGTAGTCACACTTCTATTTCAGATACCCATTCCTATAGCTATGTTCTTTGTAATTGTTCGTCTCCAAAATCAAAACCCTATGCATCGCTCTAAGTCTTTCCAGTTTACTTTCATTACACCTGTTCTTCAACAGCATGTCTAGATAAATAGCATGCATCACTTTATTGTCCATAAATCAGTCTTTGATAATACAGGTTGCTTTTTATCAGGTAGGCCAAAAGAGAAAAATGTAATAACACAGGTTGCATGGTCTATCATGTCAAACATTCTTACCCTTATCCTAAATTCCCTTGTACCACTGTGTCTTGGGGCGTGCTCCTGGCATAATTTAAACTTGGATACATCCAACTACCATTTCAGTAGGAGGGGAGAGCAAAGGATGAGTGTGGATGGAGGTTAGTTTGTATGTCTGGAGGAAGTGATTAGTAGTTTTAGTCTTTTGGCTTCTAAGTACTACTGGAGAAAATCACAAATAGTATGTTGCCATTAAAAAGTCATCATTAATCTTAACCATGCTTTCAATATTCCTCTGCAATCCTGCCATATTTTGCCACACCTTTTATTTCCGCCTTTCTCTTCTCTACTCCATTTTAACTTCTGTCTGAGCTCCTTCCCTCAGGGGGAATACTTTCCTGCCTTCAAATCCGTGGACCTACTTGATTTAAAACTGAAATTGGGAAAGGTGTCCCTTTTCCTTTCCAAAACCACATCCCTTTATAAAGTCTTTCTCTATCTTGAGCATTTACCTGCCTTTCTTCTGGCTTCATCCTATTAACATTTAAATATGCTTATCCTTTCTTCTTAGGAGAAAAAAAAAATTGCTTTCCTCTGTGTCGCCTTATATCCATTGCTTTTTCTTTTTGCTCTATCTCTTGACCCCACCTCAAACGAATTTCTGCCCCACCAAAGACAGTAACCCCTTTTATGTTAAAATTAGTGGAAAGAATGTTAATATAATGCCCTAACTTTAAAGAAGAACATAAAGGAAATTTATAAGTACTTCCAGGGCTGTCATCTATGCCGTGCCAATCATGCAGTGCACAATTCCAAGGGCACCACTTTACATTACAAATACAGTGCATTACAAATATAGTGGCCCCATGTTTATAAATGCTTAGATAATACTCCACTAGAAAAAGAAACTGATAGTTGCTTGCCACATAGAAGCACTGTGAATCCAGCAGCCTCATTTGTAGACTGATATAAGTGTCTTATTGGTGACTCAAATATTATGAACAGCTTTGCCGAAGTAGCAAGATTTTCTAAAATAATAAAGGATGACATTCCTTTGTTTTATGATAGCTACACTTCTGGAAAATTCAGTATGGACAGTCTCCGACTTAGGATTTTTCAACTTTAGGATGGTGTGAAAGAGACACCCATTCAGTAGAAACTGTACTTCGAGTTTTGCATTTTGATCTTTTCCTGGCCTAGTGATAATGTGGTACAGTACACTCTTGTGATGCTGGGCAGCGGCAGCGAGCCACAGCTCCCAGTCACCCATGTGATCACGGGAATCAACAACCCATCCTCTACCGTGTACTGTGTTGTCAGCTTTTTTGGATATTGTGTTTTGTGTTTTCACATTCCATCATGTCTACAAAATGTCCATCAGTGTCTCCTGTTTCTGGTGAGATGAAGAAGAGGAAGGCAATTACTCTTGAAATGAAACTCAAGATAATTGCCCAGCATGAAGGTGGCAAGCCAGTAATGGCCATTGCACGTGAGTTAGGACTTTGGCAATCCACGATTTCAACCATCTTAAGGGATAAGAAGCAAATCAGTGATGCAGCGAAATCGTCAGCATCAGTTAAATCCACTGTCATCACAAAGAAAAGGGCTGGACCAATTGATGATATGGAAAAATTACTTGTTATGTGGATGGAAGACCAGATACAGAAGCGTATACCACTTAGCCTACTGATGATCCAGGCTAAGGCAAGAAGTCTTTTTAATATGCTAAAAGACCGTGCCAGTGATCCTACATATACACAAATGTTTAAAGCAAGTCATGGATGGTTCCAGCGCTTCAAAAGGCGTCATAATTTTCACAATGTAAAGATCACTGGTGAGGCAGCACGTGCTGGTAATGAAGGTGCCATAGCTTTTAAGGAACAGCTGCATAGGATAATTATGGCTAAAGATCTTTGCAATAAGGAGCTGATTGCACTGGAGGAAGAAAGAGGTAAAGGCGTTGAGGCAGTGGAAGAAGTTACACCCACGGCACCTAGAAAGTTCACAGCAAAGAAACTGGCAGAGGCATTTGCTGCTATCAGCAGTGGCCTACACGTTAGAAGAAATGGACGTCAATTACGAGAGATTCGCCACAGTTGACAGGCGCAGATACAGGATGCTCTTGCTTGCTACAGAGAAATATATAGTGAAAAGAAGAAACAAGCTGTACGGTCAAAACTTGGTATCTTCCTGAAGAACAACACTATGCTTGCTAAACCATCAACTAGTGTTGATGTCCCAATGCCTTCTACCACCTATTCTCGATGTTCATCAGAAGAGAGAGAAATTGAGGACCCTGTTGCATCCCCATCATCCAGCAATTAATTCTATTTCAGTGCTTCAAACATTTTTCAGGACCACTGTGCTTTCAGCTGTGTAAATTAATGGTGAGTACCCATACAACCATTGTTTTCCACTTACAGTATTCAATAAATTACAGGAGATATTCAACACTATTATAAAAGAGCCTCGTGTTAGATGATTTTTGTCCAACTGTAGGCTAATGTAAGTGTTCTGAGCACATTTAAGGTAGGCTAGGCTAAGTCATGATATTCTGTAGGTGTATTAAATGCATTTTTGGCTTACAGTATTTTCAATTAATTGGGTTAATTGGGATATAACCCCATGGAAAATTGAGGAGCACCTGTACATAGTAAAACTATGCAAAAAATATTTTGTGTTCTTAAGTAAAATGATGTTGAGTTCTCATCTCAGTTATTAAGTTTTTCAGCTGCACTCACGTCCAATGGGACAACTCTTCATTTTGTAAGGTTTTTAGCATCCTTGCTCAGGCTTAGTAAATTTCAGTAGTGCACCTCACTCCAGGCCCATTAATGTGACAGTGAGGTTCTTCTGAGGGTAACTGATTTGATACCATCTCCACTGAGAACCACTGCATTGTGAAAACACCGATTAGCACTGTATTCCAGGAAAGGGTTATTTTTGGTTTCTTTAAATCTTAGGCATCTTGGTAAAACGGAACATCTCCACAAGACTAAGGGAAGACTGAGGAATAGAGTTTTTGAACTTTATGCAACTTCGTTTACATCAAGATTCAAAATGACCTAAACTGTTTCATGTGGATGCTTGAATCTTTTCTAGTACACTGGTGGTGGGCAAGAGGGTGTTGGAAACAGGGTGCAGGCATAAGATCAAAGGTGTGTTTTGCCTTTTTTCTGGATGACCATTAAGTGTATAGTCAAAATGTTTCTCTGATAAGCCTATACCTCTGTAAGTTGTTACTGCCGGATAGTGATAACTGTTTTCCTTTCCTTTAAGATGCCCTCCAAATCCTTGGTTATGGAATATTTGGCTCATCCCAGTACACTCGGCTTGGCTGTTGGAGTTGCTTGTGGCATGTGCCTGGGCTGGAGCCTTCGAGTATGCTTTGGGATGCTCCCCAAAAGCAAGACGAGCAAGACACACACAGATACTGAAAGTGAAGCAAGCATCTTGGGAGACAGCGGGGAGTACAAGATGATTCTTGTGGTTCGAAATGACTTAAAGATGGGAAAAGGGAAAGTGGCTGCCCAGTGCTCTCATGCTGCTGTTTCAGCCTACAAGCAGATTCAAAGAAGAAATCCTGAAATGCTCAAACAATGGGAATACTGTGGCCAGCCCAAGGTGGTGGTCAAAGCTCCTGATGAAGAAACCCTGATTGCATTATTGGCCCATGCAAAAATGCTGGGACTGACTGTAAGTTTAATTCAAGATGCTGGACGTACTCAGATTGCACCAGGCTCTCAAACTGTCCTAGGGATTGGGCCAGGACCAGCAGACCTAATTGACAAAGTCACTGGTCACCTAAAACTTTACTAGGTGGACTTTGATATGACAACAACCCCTCCATCACAAGTGTTTGAAGCCTGTCAGATTCTAACAACAAAAGCTGAATTTCTTCACCCAACTTAAATGTTCTTGAGATGAAAATAAAACCTATTCCCATGTTCTATGGTTGGCAGTTGTCATCTTGGGCTTAAAAACAGTACTGTTGGTTAAATGGTCTTGGTGGTTCAAGTGAGAGGCTGAAACAGATATTTAAGATGAGAGAAACAGGTCATGATACAATTGGATTAAAATGGAGGAAACAGCATTTCCCTATACATGGTTAGGTCCCTTTGTGTTGGTAGCCCTTCCCCAAGACTATGCTGCTGTCCCCCTGGAGGTCGAGGTTCAAGGGTATTCCCACTAGAGGCAAGCTGCAGTTTGTTCCCCTGCTGTCACTTTTTGGGTGACTGATACAGCCACCCTCAATGGAGTCCCATGGTTTATAACCTGTTTAAATTTTGTCTCCAGGTTGAGTTTTATAGCATTGATACAACCTACTGTGCAGTGTTTCATGTTCACCTTCCCTGACCCATACTGGCCAAAGGTTAATCAGCAGTGGTTCTAAATCACAGCCTATTAAAGTTTCTCACTTCCCCCCTTTCTTGTAACAATGAAGCCACTGAAACTTGAGTAACCTTATGGACCTTAACAGATGGAAATGGGTGGGCCCAAGTAAGAATTTATGGTAACTGTAAAGTGAACGTAGTTTGTCATCCCTGCTAGTATTTTTTCCTAGAACTAACTTTGACAATTAAGGGTGCCTTTTTTCCCTTTTGATCTTTAGATACACTTGATACAATCCTAATAATTACTATGTTATACCAGTTACCCAGAATATGAGGCAGAGGGTCCCAACTCCCCAAGCCACATAGCTTCCTGATAGTCATCTTGTTAGAAACTATTTAAGCCTTCTTTTAGGAGGATACTGACAGTAATTTCTAAAATCAGTGTATCCCCAAGAACTGTAATGATGCCAGGGAGAATTTTGGTAATAGGCCCATTTTAAGTGGCTCCACCTCTCTATGGTTAACTGCAATATAAGCAGCGTTATAGCACCATCTCAAGGTCTAAGGTCATTGGTGGAGTATTGTGGGCAGAACACTAAAGACAGCCTTGAAATTTCTAATATTTGATTCATTTAATACACTTCGCACAGGCATATGACAGCACAGGAGAAAAATTGCAACTGTGAATGATGCCACAATAGCAACTATTTCTAAACAGAATGTTTACTGGCTGCAAAAGTGATGCAACAAAATGCAACGTTAAGACTGAGTTGAACTCAGTGCTAAGTGCATGATTCTGGCTCAGGTAATTTCTGAGGTTTGCCTCAGATAGACTGATGGCTCCAAATTCAAAGGTAGTGGCATTCCCAACAGGATGGCATGGGGTGGCTAAGTAACTGTCATGGCATATCTACTAAAAGGAATACTATGAAAATTCTGGTAATTGTGGATATATGCTTGTTTTCTAGTTCATCTGTACTTGGTATTTTATAGAACTCATAATCTTATAGTTTTCAAAGTATACTCTGCAGAACCCACAGGGTCTCCACAGAGTCAATGTTTTCATAATACTATTATTATTTTTTTTTTCTCTGTGTTGATATTTGCACTGAGGGTGCAAAAGCAGTGGTGGGGAAAACTGATGGCACCTCCCACAAATCAAAGCAGGGGCACCATTGTATTCTTCACTGACCTGCACTCACATTAAACACTTTCACTTAATGTCCTGGATGAAACTAAATAGGTTTTTTTGTTTTTTGAGACAAGAGTCTCATTCTGTCACCCAGGATGGAGTGCAGTGACGTGATCTTGGCTCACTACAACCTTTGCCTCACAGGTTCAAGTGATTCTCATGCCTCAGCCTCCTGCCTCCTGAGTAGCAGCTAGGATCTTATAGGCATCCACCATCACACCTGGCTGATTTTTTATTTTTAGTAGAGATGGAGTCACCATGTTGGTCAGGCTTGTCTCGAACTCCTGGCCTCAAGCAATCCGCCTGCCTCAGCCTCCCAAAGTGCTGGGATTACAGGCATGAGCCACCACACCTGGTGGGACAGGGATTTTAAGTTTTAAAAAACTCTTCTGTGGAGCTTATGTTAGGTAATTTGCCTAAGAGAGTTGTAAAGCAGTGCAAGACTAACTAGGCAAGGGGGTATGTGTAGCTATTGAGGATTAAGGGATAGTGAAATGAACTTTAGGAACATTCTCAGCCATAAGCAAGAGCTGGATTCACACAACCAATTTTTGAAAAAAATCAAGATACCCATAATTTGGGCACCTTTATAATTCATGATGAGAAAGAGCATGTTAACTACATGTTTAAATATATTTTATTTCAAGTTAATATAACAGCCATGATTTGTTCATTTAAGTGAAATGCTTCGATAAAAACCTCGGTGTCACTTGGTTAAAATATTGGAGACAGATTAAATGTTAAGCCACTATAGTAGTGACTCTGGTTCTTTAGACTATTGCATGTACCTTGTTAATGAACTACAGGAATGCACATTGATATAATGCACAATGTCTTCACATGTCTCAATCCTCATTCCTCTTCCTTTCATGCCTCCCTAATGCCTCAGTATCCAATATAAAACTACAAAAACTACTGTTCTTTTCGTTTGAGTGGTATTTAATTAAAACTTCAATTCTATGTTATTTCCACAGTCCAGTAATTTATTTTAAATTTGAGTAATTTCAAATTCCACAAACAAAACTGAAGAACAGCAATATTTTGTTTGAATTTCTCTCTTCTGTACACTCAGTGATCTAAAACACCACAATATCCAACATACACAAACCTCAGGGAAGGGTTAGTAAACACACACAAGATTGGAATCATGGTGCTCTTTGCTCCTGAATGGAATGGTCCCACAGAAAAAGCACAGGATACAGCACAACATAAGGGCACCTGTTACATATGAAGTGAGCAAAACATACTAGCATTTTCTATATGCATAATGGGGAAACCTGCATAGGTTAGAGGGCCTTTTACGCTCATTTAAAAATCAGGCAAGTTGTCTGTAACATTTTTCAATAATCTGGGAAGCACTGCAATCCAGTGTACGATGTGCTGATTAGTGTTGTCTTTGTTGGCACTGACAGTCTTGCATGGTCATATGCCAGTGTTTTTGCTTTAGCTTTTCTTTGAATAAAACAGATTTAAATGCATTTAGACAATACGTATTTGTAAGCTGTTTACATACACTAAATTTAAGAGATTCAATATTAGAGTTTCTTTGTTTCTTTAAACACTACAGAGTGCAAATCAGGTTCTTCACAACAGATTGAATATTGAGCAGTTCTTTAAAGAAAGAGGGGGAAGAAAAAAAGCCCAAGTGAATAAAACATTGAAACTATTCCCCTTCGAAAATAAATTCTAAAATGATGTGGAATGTGAAATAAGGTTTTAACATAGGTGATCCAAGTTTATAGTTAGAAACAAAAAGAAGTCCTTCATGAAATAAAGGTTACAAGAACACGTTGCCTGTTTTCCCCCATTATAAACTGAGAAGTGGGTAAAGACGATGTTTCAGTACGAAAATAGGTGACTACAGGATCAGCGCTTCATCTCACATGCTGTACCCAAAGCCAGGCTGTGGCTGTCCATACGGTGGTGCGGTATAACCATAACCAAAAGGTGCCTGGGGAGGGACGGCAACACTGGGTCCTGCTGTCAGCATCAACTGGGGCTGACCTACAGTAGAAGAAAACAAAAAGGAGCAGGGGGCAGGGGCAAGGAGGCAGGACAAACTGTTAGCATTTAGAACACTCCAATCTCCTCCACTCTAGCAACATAATCTCAACCTCAAATGAGTTGTATGGGGGGCACATTTGATTGCTACAATTTTAGCATGACAGTCTTACTCTAAGAAGGTTCCTACCTAAAAAGCCAACAAACAGTGCAGGGCCAAAGGCCAGAACTGCTTATGACTGAACACCGTATGCCTGACACTCTGTATACTTGACACATACCTACATGCATATTACACTTCATGACACAATAAAATCAGCACAATAAAAGAATTTTTTAAAAGACTTTTTAAAAAAAAAAAAAAAAAAAAGAATCTGGCTCTGTTGCCTAGGCTGGAGTGCAGTTGTGTAATCTCGGCTCACTGAAACCTCTGCCTCCTGGGTTCAAGTGATTCTCGTGCCTCAGCCTCCCGAGTAGCTGGGATTATGGGTGTGCGCCACCATGTCCAGCTAATTTTTGTATTTTTAGTAGAGACAGGGTTTTGCCACGTTGGCCAGGCTGGTATTGAACTCCTGGCCACAAGTGATCAGCCCATCTTGCCCTCCCAAAGTGCTGGGATTATAGGTGTGAGCCACCATGCTTGGTCTAAATGACATGTTTTTAACATAACTTTTAGAGTTACATTTAAATTTCTGATTTAAACATGTCTAAATGGCAATGAAACCAAATTCATTTATAGAAGATCCAGTACTAATTTAGAGACAGCAGTTAAATTAAAAATAAGACACATTTGGGCCGGGCGCGGTGGCTCACGCCTGTAATCCCAGCACCGTGGGAGGCCGAGGAGGGTGGATCATTAGGTCAGGAGTTGGACACCAGCGTGGCCGATATGGTGAAACCCCGTCTCTACTAAAAATACAAAAAAAATTAGCCGGGCGTGGTGGTGCATGCTTATAATCCCAGCTACTCAGCAGGTTGAGGCAGGAGAATCACTTGAACCCAGGAGGCAAAGGTTGCAGTGAGCCGAGATCACGCCACTGCACTCCAGCCTGGGTGACAGACGAGACCCCATCTTGGGGGAAAAAAAAAGACATATTCAGACATTCTTTAGGTATGAAATACATTAGAACATACACCCTCTATCAAATACTATGTTGACACTCTTTCTTATAAAGTTTAAATAGTTGTTGGCCATATACAGAAAACATGACCTGTAGAGAACTTGGCTTAGAGAGCGAAAACAAGTAACACCTCTCTCTACCCCTACAAAAGTATTTTTAACATCCCACTACAGTGTAAACCTAGATCAAGATTTCTCCTACACAAAGGACTTCATGTCTTTGCTTTTTGTGGTTAACAACCAAAGCTGTCTTCAGCAAACAAATTATTATTGGAAACCAGTTTATTATTATTTTTTGAGACGGAGTCTCGCTCTGTCGCCCAGGGAATGCAGTGGTGCAATTTTGGCTCACTGCAGCCTTTGCCTCCCAGGTTCAAGCAATTCTCCTGCCTCAGCCTCCCAAGTAGCTGGGACTACAGTTGCATGCCACCATGCCCAGCCAATTTTTGTACTTTTAGTAGAGATGGGGTTTCACCATGTTGGCCAGGATGGTCTTGATCTCCTGACCTCATGATCCGCCCACCTTGGCCTCCCAAAGTGCTGGGATTACAGGCGTGAGCCACTGCACCCAGCCAACAGAAACCAGTTTTTAAAAAGTCATCCCTAATCTTGATAATGACATCTACTTGAAATTCCAACCCAATTTTCAACTACCCATGAAAACACCCTGAAGGCAAGCCAAATTCAGTAGGTAACCCCAAAGTATTACACCCATCTTTTTTTTGTTCCTACTGTGTTTCCTATGTCTTTTTCACCTTTAAGGACTTGATGTGTTTCCTATCTCAAACATGTCAAACATCTTGCTCCCATCTCTAAGAACCCACTTTATCAAAACTATCCTGTCCTCTAAATTCCTAAAGTACTTTTTATCTACAGTAAAAAGGAGACAAAACCATAATAAGTGTATATATTATTATTTGTGTCAGTAGCCTGATATATAATGGTTATATATATATATATGTATATATATATATATATTTTTTTTTTAAGGCGGAGTCTTGCTCTGTCACCCAGGCTGGACTGCAGTGGCACGACCTCGGCTCACTGCAACCTCTGCCTCCCGGGTTCAAGCGATTCTCCTGCCTCAGCCTCCCAAGTAGCTGGGACTACAGGCATGTGCCACCACGCCCGGCTAATCTTTTGCATTTTTAGTAGACACGGCGATTCACTGTGTTAGCCAGGATGGTCTCAAGCTCCTGACCTTGTGATCCGCCCGCCTCAGCCTTCCAAAGTGCTGGGATTACAGGCATGAGCCACCGCACCCAGCCATAATGGTCATATTTTTATGTTCCCTCACCTGGTTATTGTGCTTCTACCTATACTCTTCAAAGTGATTGTTCAAATGAATCTGTTCACCAACTATGAAATGGAAAGGAGCAGTAATTCAGACATGTAGGTTTAAGAAGACATGAAATTGTCTTAAATATTCACTTGAGAGTTTGAAGATCCTATCTCTCTGGAAAGTTCTCAAATGGAAACTCTACCCAGTTCTCTGCCCCAGTTAGAATTTAAAATGAGGATGTATTCTTTATGTAAAGCATACTAAAGACAGCCTTGGCATGTTCTCTCACCTTTTGCTCTTTTGAAAATGGAATTCATCAATATTTCTTTTTCAGTAATTTATGAGCAGGTAATGCGTGAGGGACCAGATGATAGGAAAGATTCATGTTATGATTTTAAATGACTATTTTTGAGTTTTCTTGTATTTAAGATTATTTTAGTGAATAATATCAACACCTGCTTTATGACTTCTCAGAAAAAAAATCAGACAGTAGAGAGCAGTATTTCTTAGAAAGCCTTTTGCACTTTAGAAGCTTGTTGTATTCTATTTTGAGGCACAGTCTCTAAGTAATTAAATATTTGTCTAATGAATTTTTTGAGGTTACAGAGAGAGATTACCATAAACAATGGGTTGTGTCTCTGTAGCTTGTTCTTCTTCTTTTCTCAGTGATTCTGAAGCATCTAATTTATCCACCTGGAGAAAAACACATCATGTTAATTAGCACCCCAAAAGTATTATAAACCTAGGTTTATGGCAGAAAGTGGAAAAGCCTTAGTATGTTAAATTCTGTCAAAATAAAACAGACTAGAAAGAACATTCTCAGTCCCCCTCAAATTCAATGGCAATGTTCATACTTCAGTCCAGGTGGTTTTCAGCACTGTCATTATAAACCCTCAGGAAGGAGGGATTCAAAATGCCATAAAAGCTCATGCCAGACTAAAACTGGGCATGCTAGGATGCAGCCTGAGGGAGGGAGAAAACGAGAAGGAACCACTTTTCAAATGAAGTTTAAAACTGATCAGAGGTAATAATGAATTCATGGTCTGGCAATACTTCCCTCCCCAAAGCAAATGGTATTCAAAAAAGTGAAATGATCCTAGTGACTGGACAAGTATTTGGGCAGAATAAGCTATTCTTTTGCCAATTGTGTATAACTTCTGATGATATTGGTTATAGCTGCAGACTGAAGTTTAAGATTCAAGTGGCTCCATATTCAATCTTTTTGCATAAAGAAAGGCTGCATGTTTTAATACTGTGTGGGCTCTGTTATCTAAGAAGTAATCAGGAAAGCCTGATTTTGTCCCAAAAATGTTTGCTTTTAATTGAGCCAAAAGTAAATGGCTACTATATGCTAGCTACTCTTCAAAGTGGATAGTATCAGACAGAAGTAATTCTGTAGAGCAGGCCAAATGTATTAGTGAAAGAAAGGAATTAGAATGCCTGGATCCTTCCACTAACTAGTTGTGTGACCTTGGCAAACCATTGCACTGGCCCTCAAATTTCCTTTCCTATATAATGAGAAGATTGAACAAAATGATCTGCAGTTTCTTCTAGGGCTAACATGATTTGATTCTGTAATTCTGTAATGAATTAGACAGAAGTGACATTACAACCCTGGGACTAGAGAATCTCCTTCACTATACAAATTCCATTGCGCCTTTTACACTATATTTGTCTTTCAATATTTAAAAGCTGGTCTCTCAACCAAAGCCTTATACTTGGTCTGTCATTATACCTAAGTAAAACTAAATTTCAAATCTCAATGTTATCTATTACTGGTGGTTTTCAATGTCATAAATGTGCTGCATGAGACGGGGGGCCAAGGTGCAGGGGGAAACACTTTATGAATGCTCACTGCATGTTCTTCAAAAAGGCAAATTATGAAAAATCACTCAAAAAAAAAAATTGTAGACTTCAGTGGAAAAGTTTCTAAAAACCAGGTCCTAAAAAGATTAAGGCAGCACCTCATTTCTGTTTGAAACTATTAAAAAAGTATCTTTCAGTCTTCACATAGGCCATTAAGGTTAGGGCACTGTTTTATATTTAATTGTTTCATATTAAATACCATAAATATGAGTCTAATCCATCTTAATTTGTTAGGGAACTGAAAGTTTGAGAAAAGTAAGCCTAAGTAGGCTCCTTCAGATGAAATGTGGTTTAATTTCTAGCCTAGGAAGATGGATTAGTTTACTTTTATACACTATTATCCTACTTTATAGTCTAAATGATGTGTTACAAATTACCCTAATATCAAATTAAAGACTATTATGTAGTATAAGTACCATATGAAATGTCCATTTTTTGGCATCCACACTTAGAACAAAAATTATTAGTTATAGAACTTAAAGCACAGCTCTGTGCCATCAAGGATCAGATGGGGTTTTGCTAACTAACCAGTATTCAAGAAAGAGCTACAGAAGTTATAAAGAAAAATACATGGATGCCTGTATATTAGTAACTTCTAAGAAAAAAGAAGAAAAATGAAACAACCAAAAAGCCACCACTGCATAATACATTTCCGGACTTCCAGGGAAAAGAATCTGAAGTGAACATGTGTTTAAAAGTTAAGGTCTGAATCAGATGTTGAACACAGAAGTCCTATTAGAGAAACACATGGAAGACTTAGAAGAGCTGGCAATATCACAATGCCCTGGCATACACATAGGAAGTTTGGGCGTAGGGGGAAGAATTCTGAAGGAATAGCATCAAGCTAAGCAAAAAGTTTGATTCTTCTATATAATGGGACAGCCTCTGGCACAGGGACTTTCAATTTTTGTTTCCACTGATCCAATTTAGATTGCTCAAAAAAAAAGCAGAGAAGTCTTTTAAGAACACAAGCTTTTGTTAAGAGCTGTAACTAAAGTTTCTGATCCTTGGATTTAAAAAGAAAAATTACAGGTAAGCATGTCAATGAATTCAGTTCCATCTGTACTACTGAAAATTCACTAAAATGTAAAAGGCTTTTCCACAAAGACTGCAATGTGCTGCAGAGGAAAAGTAACATGCAGTCAGTTATTTTGGTGTATGTGTGCATGAAAAAAAGGCAAAAGTACTGAAGCAAGAAGTGAGGTCTGAAGATGACTTGCTATACAGGCTCTCAAGAAACACACACAGCCCACAGCAATGCTATAAGAGTTTCAAAAATAGTATGATGTAATTGCAATGACTGTTGTACATGCTTCATTTAAAACAATGCATAACACTGCAGTTCAATTACCTGTTTTTCACACACACGCTTTCTAACTGCCTTGCTTACTAGCTGCTGAAGGGTCTCACACACAATGCATTTTACTCAGGTTTGCCCTAAGTTCCAGTGGTGATTCCAGTTTGGTTCAACATAATCCCAAGGCATTGTCCCCCACCCAAATTCTTTTAAATTTGTTTCAACTCTCCTTTACCTTCCCACCCTTTTCTAACCACAATTTGATAACAGACGTAAGTTTGTTTCATTTATATTGGGATGGAGACAAGCCAATGAAGGAAGCAGCAACCAAAAGGTGCCTGAATTTGACATCCTTGGACAAGCCAACTGATAAATAGGAGAGCAAATTTTAGGTAGCTTCAGAGGTATGCCTTATTACAGAAAGTAGAAGTTAATACTTTGTTAAAAATAATTCATGTTGCTTAGCAACAATTATAGCAAGCTTGGCTCTCATGATTAAAAAGGTTTTGATTCCTCTTAAAAATGGACTAGCACCATAAGAACTGGACACCTGGAGAAACATGAGGAAAGTCTCTTCGGAAGCAGCTAGTATCTCTCGTATCTACTTTCAGCAAAAAATTAGTAAGAATCAAGAGATCAGAAACTGGATCACAGTCCTTCAATACAAAAAAAAAAAAACCCCAAAAAGCCTTTTAGGGCATGTATATATACATATATAAATTCGACAACTGTCAGGCAAGCTCACAAAGTAAAACCAGAGGCTGTTTTAATTTACTTCAAGGATTATGACAGTCCTATTATGGTCCAGATACCCTGACAGGGAAGAGAAATTTCCTGTTACTTTGAAATTAATATGGAAACTCACCATACTCAGTTTTTCATAATATATTTAAGAGAGACTGTGAACCAACTACTGATTAGCCTCCTGCCCTTCCTAAAGCCTATTAGCCGATTAGTAGCAAACGTCTACTAATGTCCTACAGCTCTATTAAAGTTATGTTTCAAGGGACTTGCAGAGGCTTTAGTGAAAATTTATTGGGGGGAAAAAGCAGCAGCAGCAGTGTAGAAGAGGAAGGAAAAACATCATGCAAATTCCTTAGACTTAGTCCTCCAGACTTAAAGATGTTAAAGAATCAACTTTCACCTTTTCCTTTATTGCATCAACCTGCAAAGGAATTCAGAAGGTGCAGCTTAGAAAAAAAATCAATTCCATATTGAGCATAAAAAGGTAGAATCAGCAACAAAGGTTTAGGGAAGAAACATCTAACCACTAAAAAGGTATGAGAGAAGTGAAAATAAAGGGCATACTGGAAGCAAAATTTAGAATTTTGTGTAACTTCAAAGCTTAATGCAGAAGAATTTATGCTACAGTATGAAAGAAAGCAGCTTAATCACTAGAAAAATTTACAGCACTTAGGTTAACAGCAGCTTAAAGACAGGTCTCACAAGTTGGCATTATGTTTAAGAAGCTATTCTCATCTATGGCTAAGATAAGGCAACATGTTTTTTCTCTTACATTGAATACAGAAAATGTTAATTCTTTAAAAACTTTAAACAGACACAATGGTATCTAATTAAATGGTATCCTGAGGAAAAATTCAGTATGGGAGGGGTTGTTGGTAGCGCTTCTTCACCCTCCCATCCCCCCAACTCAGGCAGGCTGAAGGAATCAGATGTGAGACTCTGATTTTAATCATGTTTTTTGCTTTGACGAAAAGGATCCTCTAAAACCATTTAAAAATGTTCTACAGAGAGACAGCTAGTAACTGCTGAAGATAGGGTGAGTAAATTCATACATCAAAAAAGGACACTAAGACGAATAGTGAATGTTATAAGGCAATTAGACCCCCAGCTTGTTTTTTTTTTCCCATGTTCACCTCCTATGGTATTTTTAAATCAGGGGTTAAACTATCAAAAAAATTGTGAAGATTAAAAGGATGTTAAGAATATACATGCAGCTTCCCCAGGGGAAACAGGCATAGACATCATTAAAGTCAGGAACCAACCAAATAAAAGGGAATCTACAATACTAGTCATGAATATTTGAGTCACAAGAACTGATTTTGAGAAAAATACTATTTTGAAATAAAATTTATCAAAGTTTTTTAAATAAAAAAATACATAGATTATTTTCACCCTCATAAATACACTGAGGGTAAACAGCTACATTTGAGTTCCCCTTCCAATCAGTGTCATTTGTCAGCTATTAAAAAAAAATTTCAAAAGAACAGGAATATTTTATGATCGACTAAATGACTTACTTCTACTAAAGAAAAAAGCATTTAAAAAAATTAATGTGCATGTAGAATTTTACATGCAAGGAAACTAGTTCTGAATACACTTAGAAGAGTCATTACCTTTGTCAAGTACTCCTTCATGACCTGGATGAAATAGGGCATGGCAAAATCCATGATATTGTGCCTCCATGCAGTTTCTAGGACGACATCTGGCCTTAAAAGATCGTAACAGGTAAACAGACAAGCTCCAAAGCACTCTCTTTTTTCTTCCTGCAAAAACCACTGCAGGAGTTCTTCAGCCAATTCAGTATCTTTAGATTCAGAAGCATACTGCATTGCATCCTATTCAAAGAAATAGTGAAAGTCAAAAACATTAGACCCCACATACTGAACTAGTAAACCAAGAAAAACAATGGAAACTTTCCAATATAAATCTGGTTTTGCAAGGGGAAAAAAGCCTCCTAGTTGTATCATTTAAATTAAAATTTTCAAAGAAGAGATAAGCTAAAAGCTTTTTTTTCCCCAGACAAGTTTGACCTTAACATAAGAGAGCCCCTAGAATCAAGAAATCCATTAACTTAAATTGCCTTAAAGTCAGCTCTCATATTCACAAAACCAATACTTTTATTTATAGATTATAATCACTTGTAACACCATTTTAGGCCTGGTTTAAAACAGCCCCTGCCCCGCAACTTTATCAACCTTGTAAAGGCTGTCTTTCTTGCACAGCTCTACACTCTGTTTCCAGCGATTGTTGCCTTTGAAGAGATAAGCAGCAATTCTCCTGAACTCAATGAGTTCATGTTTTTCCAAACGCTGAGCAAGCGAGATATTGTCAAAGTTGTCATAAGCATCTATTGATGTTCGCAGAGCCTTAAAAAAAAAAAGCCATCCAAATGCCAGATCAGTATTTTGTTTAACATTATATTCCGTTCTCAATCAATGAGCCCCTTAGATGGTAACATGTAATATGACACCTAGATTCAAGCATCAAAAGGTATGATTTTTCATTTTACCTAAAGATACCATTTTCTCCAAGATTTTCACTATCAAGGACTAACATATGGCTATGAAATGGACAATATTTCTAATTTGGAGGGCAAGATTTTTTTCTTTTTTTTTGAGATGGAGTCTCCCTCTGTTGCCCAGGCTGGAGTGCAGTGGTGATGCAATCTGGGCTCACTGCAACCTGCCTCTAGGGTTCAAGCGATTCTCCGGCCTCAGCCTCCCGAGTAGCTGCTACTACAGGCACGTGCCACCACAACCGGCTAATTTTTTTGGTATTTTAGTAGAGACGGGGTTTCATTGTGTTAGCCAGGATGGTCTCGATCTCCTGACCTCGTGATCCGCCTGCCTTGGCCTCCCAAAGTGCTGGGATTACAGGCGTGAGTCACCACGCCTGGCATGGAGGGCAAGATTCTGTGCTCTAGAGAAACTTCTGATAAAACTCAGCATGGCAGCAGTACAGATCTGCATGCGCTGAGCCTCAAAGAAAATGAAGAGAGAGAAAAAAAGGCAAGTAGCTTAAGCTTAACTCTACTTCACTTTTGCTTGTGAAATCCTTCATAAGAGAAAGTTTATACAAACACTAATAAAACAGTAGGCAAGAAAAATGGTGAATAAATATAGTTAATACCAAATAAATTTTATGAATTAGTTAAGTGGTCAAAGACATTTTTGACTCTACCTACAATCTAGATGTTAGAGATAAAGTAATCATATCATTTTTTTCAAAAGCAGTATCTTATACAAGATCTGAGCAAAATTCTGAAAACTTGGCACTTAATTAGAAGATTTATCAATCCTGAAATCTTACTAAATTTAGATCCTAGGTATGCAAGCACCTACTGTTTACAATCCTAAAGGATAATGGCTTTTTTAAAAAATGGGAAAACATAACTTTATGAGTCTTGAGATTATGTGCAAGAATCAAAAGGTTTTACCTGATAATCTTCTTCTGTAATAAAAAGATTGTTCAATGATTCATTCACAGATTTGTTGTTATGGTTCTGAACTGAACGCAAATACGGTTTCACCAGTGGTAGCTGTTTAACCTTTAAAATAAAGAGTTTGTTACAAATATAGCACATTATTGAAGTCCCAGGGACAAAAGTTATCGAAGTATGTCCTAATTCCTTGCTATGAAGCTTTGGTTTAAAATTATTACTTTACCTTGCTGAAATAATTGACTGCACGAGTGTGATCCAACCGTGGAGACAGCACCATCAGCAAATCATTTAACAACAGAGGCTTGAATTCTAAGTAGAACTGTATTGCTCTGTAGTATAGTTCCACATTGGCAACCTACAATGGGAAAATCCATACATAAGTCAGTTACTTCCTAATGAGCTTTCTCCTTCTGAATCCTTTATCTTCTGAAGAAAGTACACACCTTGGTAATGATATCTTTGAATTGCCCTTCTTTCCAGGCATCAGTTGGATGATTCATCATGGTAATTATGGCATTATCATATTCTTCATACTTGTCATACAAAAACACCAGTTCTGCCCAAAGATGAGCTTGTTCTGCAGCTCTTAGCACCTGCATAAGAAAGACTTAATTGCTTTAGATATGAGTCTAGCTAACAGCCTTAAAAAGAATAAGATATTTTGAAGCATTAGTTTTAACTACACAGTTGCTTCACTGTGTTACAATGACTGGTTACCTTGGGAATATTCACTCTAGACCAGAACAGCTCCAGGTGCTCCCTCATTTTCTGAGGCTTAAATTTAGAGTATAGAATAGCTAATTCAGTAAACATTCCCATGTGAGCTCGCTCAAGTCCCAGTGCTGCTTCCAACATGGTGATCAGCTCTTCAAAATAGCCACGATCCTGAACAAGAGAAATGTGCAGTTAAAGATAAGAATATCTATGGTAAAAGATCTCAGGTCATATAAAAGTCTCGTTAATACCTGATAGTAGTTGATAAGTTCTTCTAATTCATCTGCATGTACAACAATATGAAGTCCACACATCTGAGCAAGACGGAATTCTTTCCCATCTACACAGGCGAAGCAGACCTAGAATAAACATTTCCTTTCTGTGAACTCAAATGTAAAACATGGCTAGTTATTTAAACTAATGTTTAAATAGCGTTTCTTTAATTCTTCACTCAAACTTGGGTTTAGATTACCTCTTTCCATGTTCGAGTACTGTTAGCTTTCCTAGCCCCATCAACAGCTGCCTGATATTCACCCAGGTGAACCAGGGTAGATGCCAAACGTCCAAAATTGGAAACATTATTGTACAACAACTTAGCAGCATCATACATTTTTTCATCATAACAACGGTCACCAACCTGGAAAAAAAAAGGTAACCCACATTCAGCAAGATATTAGTGTGAGCTTAATCCTCTTTTCAAATTGATATCTTCACAATGAGAAAGAATTTGTTTTCCTATAGATTTTTCCTTGGAATTCTTCAGTTATGATGTTTTGATCCTACCAAGCTAATCAAGTAGCCCAACTAGTTTTTCTTAAATCTGAAAAGGAAACCCACTTGTTGGATATGAGCATTATTTGGTCCATTGATAAATTCTTCTAACTCTGCAAGGCGGTTTGTTTTAGCCAGTGCGAATATCAGTTCTGTCTCCACATAGGACTCTCGAGCCTTCTTACGGGCCATCTGCAAGTACTTCACCAGTTCTTCCCAGTTTCCTAAGTATAGAAAAAGAAAAAATATATCCAAACACTAACATCCTAGTTTATCTTTCACCCAAGTAAATGAAAATTGCATTCATTTCCTTTTCAAGGAAACATGGATAATGACAAATGTAAACCGTGCAATATTTCACTTCTGTATTATCACGGACCAAATGAATAGATGAATTCTTTTTCCTTAAAGTTTTAAGATTAGAGCACTATCAGGATTTTATGAGACTTCAAAAACAGAAGATTCATCTTCCCCACTTGTAAGTTTTGTGAACTTACAAATTCACAAAATACAGCCTCTTTTTATCTGGACTAAGATGGAGCACTAAAAGAAACCATGCAGTATCCAACTCTTCTAAAATTCAGAATAGACAGATATCTTAATGCTTAGCTTAATCATTTTATGAGGTTTCAATACATAAGGTAAGAAGTCATACCACTAGTATTGGCAGCCTGAACAACTTCCATGTAGGAGGAAGGATCATCTGCTTTGATATAAGAATCAATGGCTTCTTTCACCATTCCTTTCTGCAACTGGGCTTTTGCAAGTTGACTCCAGACCGCAGGTTCATTGCAACGTTCAGCAAACTCATATGCCCGATCCAAGTTTCCAATATGCTCAATTAAGACCTAAGTATCCAAGTTTGAAATTAGGGTTAGAGTAAAATCAATCCTACCCAAAGCAATTACATTTAAGCTGTTAGTATTTTATTGCTGCTCTATTGCCGTAGCAACCAATTAGGCCCACCCTCATAGCACAGTGTTTAGTAATTCAACTTAGGTAATCTGAAGATTTACCTGAACTGCTGAAGTATTGACATCAAATTTCCGGAAAATGGCAAATGCTTCTTCAAACAGCTCATTGCTGATGGCGATATTGGCAATATCTGGGGCATCATAATTATCCAGGCGGTTAATATACTCCATAACACGTGTACGGTCAGCCTTAATTGCAGTGAGGATAAGGAGGTTTTGCAGATTCCTTTAAGAAAAAAAAGAATATTTTAAATGCAATATTTTAAGTTTATCCGACATAAAAAATAACCACTGTGACTAACGGAGAGGTTTTTGTCTCAAGAGGTAGGGTAGGGGGGAGGATATTAGAAGAGTGAGAATTCAGGCAACTTTCTCTGATCTTTTTGTTCCTTCCCAAAACTGATGGGCCATAATTTATTAAAGACTGACTATAAATAGCCAATGGATCCCTCTGAAAGCATACCTGTGTTCACTGAATACAGAGTTATCAAGGACAATTTTCTCCAGCAGTTCAATGAGTTCATTAGGAAGGTCTGCAGTCATGAAAGCCTTTACAGTTACTGACACTTCTTCAGGGTCCTGAGTCTCAGACAAAGCTGTTTGTACAACCTACAGAGGATATATGGGACATAAGTACTGAGAATCAAGTTGGTTTTAAAAAAGCGTAAGTTGGCCTCTCATTAGAAAACTTGAAATAGGCAGAAAAGAATGAAGTAGGAAAAAGACCTTTAAATTTACATAGAGAGGTCTTTCTACACAAATCTATACAATATGTATAATTGTGTTGAAAAATTACTCTAATTATATAATTTCTATCTTTTCCCTGATTAAAACATTATCCAGGCTAGCAATCATCATTATCACTTTAATGGCTACACATAATTCAAAATTCAGCTACACAGATGTGGAATTAAAATATCGGTAATTCGTCTGGTTTTGGCTATTTGCTTGGTTTTCTAGATGCTGCAATGATTTCCAACCATCGCCCCCACCCCCACAACCTTCCCCTAGGAAGCTTTGTAACTACTTGGGAATGTTGCTTAGAAGTGCTTCCTAGGAAAGGAATGAAATATTAATAGCCTTCAACCTATTCGTTTCCAAAATATTTTATTTATACTTATCTCAGGAGAATTTAAGACTCATTATAACAACTCTTCTATTTTTAGAACTTTTAAAATATGTTGTCTATTTTATTTAGGTATAAAACCCCATCTCATTTGCAGTTCTATACTTCTTATTAGTAAGATATAACACTGATGCACTTGGTCTTTTGTATTTTCTCTTATCCTTATATTTTTCTGACTTATTATCTTGAAGTTTCCAATCAATTTAGCCACTTAAGTGTTAATAATAGCAATCTTTAATGTTTAGTTTGTTATTTTCCTTTTAAACTATGATGAACCAAGAGAGTTTTATATAATTAAGTCAGGTCTTTTGGGATGTATTTTCTTTTTCTTTTTTCTTTTTGTTTTTTTGAGACAGTCTTGCTCTTATCACCCAGGCTGGAGTGCAATGGCGTGATCTCGGCTTACTGCAACCTCCACCTCCCGGGTTCAAGCGATTTTCCTGCCGAGTAGCTGGGATTACATGCACCTGGCTAATTTTTGTATTTTTAGTAGAGATGGGGTTTTACTACGTTGGCCAGGCTGGTCTCGAACTCCTGACTTCAGGTGATCCACCCACCTCGGCCTCCCAAAGTGCTGGAATTACAGGCGTGAGCCACCGCACATGGCTTATTTTTCTTAATGTATGTTATATACATATTTATACTTATATAAATGTACATTCATTTGTATATAATGTATATAATCAATTTACATTCATTATATACAAATGAATGTAAATTGAATATATATAAATTTTAATTTTCTTCTACTTTGTATTGCTTTCTCTCATAGTTATATATGATCCATTTGAGTACATGATGAGGGAAAGGATTGTATTCATAGTTAAAAATGTATAATTTTTACTGACAGCCATAAACACATTTGCCAATGTTACCTGGTCAATTAGGGGTCTCCTGTAAGGATTGCTTTCCAGCAGCACGCTGCCCCACAATTCTGGATCCTTTCGACGTACCAGGTAGCGAGAAAGACTTTTGAAGAGGGAATTCTCATTGCAAACCTAAAGAAGATATGATAGATTAATTTCAAGGTAAAAAGTAAAGGACTTTTTATAGCATTTTAGAGGGTATTTCCTATCTTTTAAACTATGTTTATTGATAATCTTACTGATATTGGATCTAGTTTTGGACTTTGATTCATGTACCAGTAATATACTGTTTTAATTATATAGACTTTGTAATACACAGTTCAACATCTGGTAGGACTAGTCCACTTTTACAGTTTTCAGTGTTTTACTAGCTGTTCTTGTGTGTTTATTTTTCCATGCGTATATGCACATGTATGTACATAAATGAGCATATGTATGTACATAAATGTAACTAAGCCCTGACCACTGAAAGATCTTAGAAGCAAATACACTAAAGCTCAGATCTTGACTTCTAATATTTTCAGAAAGTAGGAGTCTTGCTCTGTTGTCAAGGTTGGAGAGTGCAGTGTTGCGATCATAGCTCACTGCAACATTGACCTCCTGGGCTCAAGTGATCCTCCTGCCTCAGCTTTCTGGGTAGCTTGAAACCAAGTGCATGGCACCTCCCCCCAGCTAATCATGTAATTTTTTGTAGAGACGGGGGGCTCGCTATGTTGCCCAGGCTGGTTTCAAACTCCTGGGCTCAAGTGATCCTCCTGCCTCGGCCTCCCAAAGTGCTGGGATTCTAGGAGTGAGCCACTCACCTGGCCCAGATCTTGGTTTCTAATGCCCCAGTAAAAGGTTCCCTAGGGAAATGACTGACTTCAGGGCTGCTGAAGGTACAAAATGAGCTTGGTGTATTGTGTGCCAGAAAATAAGTTAGTGCTCAAAGAAAAATGAGCCCATGACACAAAGACACAGACTGAAGAGGTTCTCACCAGTCAAAACTGGGACAATTTGAGCATCAAAATAAATAGTAGTGAATTGTAGCCCATCGAATAAAATCCAAGAGTTCATGAATGCATGAGTGCTAACTGACAAATGTGGAGAAACTGCTGGAGTTTGAAAAATTTTCATTTTGCAACCAACACATTAAGAATGGTTTAAGCAAGAATCAACAGATGCTAAATTAAGGGAGAGGGTAAGAGGATATTTGCATAGTCTACTACAGACTACTTATAGACTGTTTAATATCTCCAAGAGGGTAATAATTATGTAATAAAGACATGTTACAACTTGATAAAAACTGACAAAGGGGACAAATGAACACTGCGTGCTTCCGGATATAATACCAAGAGAAAAACAAACCACCACTGAAGCAGTACTCTGGGTGGAAATGTATAATCTAAATCTAATCATCGGGAACCATCAGAGGAACTCAAAGTGAGACACATTCTGTTTTTTAAAAAGAGACTTTACATTTAGATGAAATATAGAGAATAGGCAAATCCATAGAGACAGTACAGTCTGGTGGTTGTCAGGGGCTGGGAGGAGGGGGTATGTGGAGGAACTGTTTAATTAATACAGGGTTTCCTTTTGAAGTGATGAAAACTTGTAACTAGATAAAGGTGATTATATAACATTGTGAATATACTGAATGCCACTGAATTGTTCACTTTAAAATGGTTAATTTGATGTTGCTTGAAATTTCACCTATATAAAATAGTTACAAATAGAAAAAGCAACTATTGTTTACAAAGATATCAGCGTCATAGAAAACAAAAGACTGAAGAACCATTCCAAAGTACAGGAGACTAAAGACATGAAAACTACATGCCATATATGACCTTAGACTAGAGGGGAAAAAACTGCTACAAAGGACATCATTGGGTAACTGACAAAACTAGAATAGAACAGATTTTTAAAGGTATCCTATCAATGTCAAACTGACTGAAGCTGGTATCTTTCATGTGGTTAATGAAAGAGAACATCCTTATTCTTAGGCCATACACTCGGAAGGGGTATAAGGCCATGATGCATTCAAGTTATTCCCACGTGGTTAAAAAATAGTATGTGTGTGTATACACATATGTATGAATGGTGTGCCTGAGTGTAAGAGTGTGAGAACACAAATGGTAAGGCTAGTGGGGTTAAAACATTAGCAAGTCAATCAGAATAAAGGGTATATAGACTTTATCCACTATTTGGCCACTTTCAGATTCACAATTATTTCCAAATAAAGTTTTAAAAAAGCACCCACCGTCCCCAAATGTCCCATATTACCTAAAATTACCCTGAAACTCTCATGTAACAGGTTTTTAAAAATGCAGCTTCTCTACATATTCAGCTAGCAGTACTCACATTAATAAGTTCCAGATCACATTGGCCACGTTCATAAGCAACACAGGCCAGATGTGGATCTCTCTTCTCACAATACTTTCCAACAACGCGACTGTCATAGTAGGGATTTTCACGAAGAAATCTCTCCGGGTTGTTATTACTGTCTATGTAGATTTTGGCTAAGGCATTGTGAGTAGCAGGCTCCTCACAGCCCTCATGAATTCTGGCCTCTAGCCAAGGCAGAAGCAGTTTCAATCTAGGAAAAAAGGAAAAAAACCTCACACACACATACTGTATTATAAATAACACACTCTTGACATGCTAACTATGTAAATACCTTATGGTCTATAATGTGCTTTCACATACTTTTTCCCCGCCCCCCGAGTATTGCTACATTGTCCAGGCTGAAGTGCAGTGGCTATTCACAGCCACAATCATTGTGCACTACAGCCTTGGGCTCAAGTGATCCTAGTACCTCAGCCTCCCGAGTAGCTGGTACTATAGGTGCAAGCCACTGTACCTGGCTTTACATTAATTTTAATTATCAGTGATCCTATTATAAATTGGGAAATTAAGACTCAAAATATGATTGAGTTGTCCAAGAATAAAAAGAAGGTATATAAGGCTATTTTTCACTCTCCCAGGTTTATCTGCTATATGATATACTTACCTCCTTATATCTGAATAAAAGATTAGAGATTCATACAGTGTCCTTTCTTTATAACACACAAAATATCTAGACTTCAGAAAATTTTGTTTGTGGATAGGATGGGGATGTGATATTACATAGGCCAGATTATCTGAGAGTTCTTTCAGCTTTAACACAATTAACATACAGCATTACCTACAGCCAAACCCTAAATACATATTGGGAATAAAATCTGATAGCTTTAGAAGCTCTGGGTTTAATAGTTGCAGCTGTCATATAAACACTCCATCAAGGAGCACAGTTTTGCTATACTATAGCTTGTTTCGATAGTCCTGATGACCATGCCTCCTTTTATTTTTATTTTAAAGCCAGGGTCTTCTGTTGCCCAAGCTGGAGTGCAGTGGAGGGCTCACTGCGGCCCTGACCTCCTGGGCTCAAGCAATCCTCTCACCTTAGCTTCCCCAGAAGCTGGGACTACAGGCACAAGCCACTACGCCTGGCCCAAGCCTCTTTTACCAATGATTTAAACATTAAAAGCAGCCAGAGAAAAAGCATTATTCGTTATTTTGGCTATATCAAATTCACATGGTTATTATGAACCCTCCCATTAGGGAGAAGACAATTTTAATAAATAGAGGCAAAAATCCAGCTCCTATAAACATGTGCAATCCAAGATACGCCATGTCAACTTAAGGAATAAAAATTAGCTGAGGCATGTCTAGACTAGTGACTTAGATGTGAATCTAGCTTTTCACAATATAATTTGTCACTTAAAGACTAAATTATCTAACTGTAACTGCCATTTGCTTGGAATATGCAGTAAGATTATTTTCAGGTAATAGATTCAATAGGTTCAGACTCAACTGAACCTCTTATTAAATGTTAAATTGTTATGACATAAAATCACTTGAAACTAGGCTCAAACCTTTAGGTCAGTATTAACTGCATATCTCTATTACCCTTAAATGCAAAATTTTTCCATGTTTGAAACATTCTAATATAAATTCTAAGAATATAATTAGTAGATCACCTATATCAACTCAGGTTAAAATGAAACCCACAGACTTTCTTAATTTCTTCTCATAAACAGCAGAACTTCCCACTAGCATACCACCTCACCAAACTCATTTACATCAGTACTTCCTAAACACTAGTTCCTCAGAACGTTCCAGCTAAAAAAAGACTTCACAGTCTGTAAGTTTTAGAAGCACTTATACTATATTCTATTGGAAATCCATATTATCATGTTAAGGTACTGTAAATTAAATATCAATTGAACTCAAGAGTTGCACAGGGAACTCTTTTGCCTCACACTTAAACACCACACTGTTTTTTTTAATCAGCTTTCTCAGGTTGGAAACACCACATGATTGATCAGTACAGAATTAGTTGTTAAATACACAGGTATCACACCTAAACAGGAGACTTAGTACATAGTTTATATAAAAACATATAAAGTCAAACCACATAGCTGTAATTATAAACATGCCAAAAAAATGATCAACCAAGTTAACAGATCTCCTATGACAGCTATAATGTTTCAGAAAACAGATTTTTTCCCAGTGCTATTAGCTAGCTTATCACCTCTATGTTAGGTGTCTTCAGGAAATTATTCTCCATGTGTTATTTAGTAGCTTTGGAACAAATGACTACCTATATTTTTATCTATTGCCATGTTAAGAAAGAGTAACTTATCCCTGTTAAAATGGTACTACACCTGTTTCTTTTTTCAACCTCAGCAACAAGCTCATCAGTAGAGAATTGACCTCTTACAACAAGAATCAAGTTTTTTATGACATCTTCAGAACAGTCAACATCAAGTAATCCTCCAATAACTACAGGAAGTCGACTTGGATTCACCTGTGGTTAAAAAGAAGTAGAAGAATGTTATTATGTTATTAAAAGCAAAGAGGAATTTTAAAAAAGCATTTATCTCTATCGCTTTTAAGCTCAGTTTTTTTTTCTTTAAGTTCAGTTTTTAAATTCAGTAATAAACTGAGGGTCTAAATTTGCAACTAGATAGAGGAATTTAGCAGGAAGTCCAGCTAAAAACAAGACTTCATGGTTTAATAAGTATTGAAAGCACATATACTATATTCTGTCTCTACCGGTTTGGTTAGTTACCGAAACATTGTTCCATATGATAAATAAGTCCAAAGAAGATACAGTCAAAGATGACTATGCAAGACTGTCTAATAAAAAGGCTCCCATTATAGCAATACTGCCTGTTTCTACAGTTAGAAGGTGAATTATCTAATATCTGTATTTAAGATGGTTTGAAAACTCTGCTTTGGAGTCTACATGGATACCTCAGGGTCTATCAAGTTAGTAAGGCCCTAGGCCACCCAACTTTTTCAATAATAGCAGTTCTATTCTTATATTTTACACACTTGGCATGCATGTTTTTTTTTTCCCCCTTCCCTGAGTCGGCTTGCTAGGGAAGCACGTAGAATTTTATTCCAAGAAAGGATTCTGCTGGGGAAAAAGTATTAAAAGCAGGCTGGGCATGGTAGTATGCACCTGCAGTCCCAGATACTTGGAGGCTAAGGCAGGAGGACTGCTTGAGCCCAGGAGTTTAAGGTTAGAGTGAGCTGTGATTGTGCCACTGTATTCCAGCATGGGTGACAGAGCAAGACCCTGTCTCCAAAACAAAAACAAAAACAAAAAATCCCACGTTAAAAGCTGCAGACCACTCTTATTGAGCACAGAGTTTCAAAAGGATTTCCAGAATATGAGAAATAAAATCTATAGTAAGATTATACCTTTACATTACCTACATATTACTTACCTTCTGTACATATATCTCTATATACTTTTGAAGATTATTTCTATATAAATAGAGCACCAAATCATGGACAAAGTCAAATCGATCACACACAATGATAAGTGGTAGCTGATCTGTTAGTTTTGCTTCCTGAAAAAAAGACAAACAAAAGGAAACTTTAAATTTCTTCTATGAGGTATCAAATCTGTGTAACATATGAGAATTTGTTCTACGCTAACAAGAGAGGCTCACACAAACATAGCTCTTCTGTTAAAGAAAGAATGTCCCAATAGTTGAGTGTGTACATCCCAGTTTCAGTAAATTTTTACTAAGCAATACTTAGATTCACACAGCAAGATACCAAGTCTTTCCCATACACACCCTTTACCAAAAAACAAGAGTAACAAATTAAGATACCTGAGCCAGTGGCTCTCAGATGATAAATTCACCATACTGGGACTTTCACTGGTAATAACACTTCTACCGTATTTAAAATCAACTTAATAACTATAGTCACATTGTCAAACATATGGCATAAATGGCTTACATTTGTTTCAAACTAATGATTTTCTATCCCTCCCCACATCCAATCTATACAACCAGCCTCTAATACTCTATTATAACAAAGCCTACAAGGAGCAGCATGATGGTGACCACATGTGGCCATAAGAAAACCCACCCCCTACAAAAAAAAAAACCCAGCATTTAAAGAAAAGATATCTTTAAATTGCCAACTGCTTTTATCATTCCATTACAGATACCAAACTACAATCCTACTTATAGACTGACATAGAAGATGTTATAGACAGGTAAGTAAAACCTGTACTGGGCATTTACCTGATACATGTCCTGTTACATTCCACAGACATAAGGTAGAGCACAAAAAACAACAGTTTCCATCAGGAATTCATTTATACACAGTGAAACATTCCTCAATAAATGATTCCTCTAACACAGTCTACTAGGGAAGCAGAACTAAGTAGGGTAGAACTTTCCCCAGTGATGGCCACTAAGAACATTATTTTCAAGGTTAGAATTAAATGGCTCCTGAGACTAGGGGATATTAGTTACTCGATTATAAATAATACGAAGACTAGTCTATGAAGTGTCCCAAGAACACCAAGGTAAATCTTAATTTTAATATAGCCATCCTAAATTAAAAAATAAAAATGTCTGTAAAGCTGCAGATTTTCCACATTAAGGAAGGTTTTCTAAAATAAGTATTGTTTAACACCATGGAAACTCTGCACTAATAGCTGTTACGATCATTTCTAGAATCTGTCTGCATCTATCTATGTAAAAATTTTAGTATGTCATGTTTTTCCTACTAAATGAACATCAAAAAAGTATGGATCAACACACTAGTCATCTTACCTATACACATATAAAATATTTTTGTTATCTTTATCACTTACAGATAATCTAGGATTACTTATTCTGTTTTCATGCATAGGTGTTAAAATTTCTGTGGCAAATAATTCCACTTTTGTGGAATACTAACTGTATTCCAAAAGAAAATTTCAGATTTAAAAAGTAGACAAAATCTAGGTTATTTTCTTGATTGCTAAAATTTGCACATGATTTTATACATGGTAGAAATGTTAACATTTTAATAATATTAAATTACTTACTAAATGTTTAATTAACCTCCAGTTATAATGGTTAAAGATTTTAAGATCAAACTTGAAATTATATTAGCATAGTCAGAGGTTTTCTTCAACATAAATTTGTTCATTTAACAAATATTTATGAGTACCCAAGTATCAGACTCTGTTCTTAGGTACTGGAGATACAGCAGGGAACAAAGGAAGCAGAGTCCATTCTCTCAAGGAACTTACATTCTAGTGGGAGGAGACGTTTCATAGTGGTGTTATAAAGAAAAACAAGCAAAATGGGGTAGGAATGGGTTCTATTTTACACAAGGCAACCTGAGACATCCTCTCTTCTGACATTCAATCAGAAACCCAAAGAAGGTAAAGGAGAAAGAAGGTCATGAGAGAATAGTAGTACAGGGCACAAGCAAAGGCCCTTCGGCAGGACAAGGTTAGGGGAGTTCCAGGAATAGCTAGCAGGCCAGTGTGGTTGAAGCTAAACCAGGAAAGAAAGAAAAAAAGAAAGGTAGAAAATAAGATCAAAGGTAGCAAGGAGCAGATCATGGGTCTGATGAACAGTTATATGCTTTCTACAGAGAGCTTACAGTTCTACAAACTTAGGGCATGAGTCAAATGATGCTAATGACACAATTTTATCCTGCTCACAGGGTACCTTAAAGGAGAAGTTATGTTCTACCAATCTCTTTATTCCTGGTGGCTAACACACAATTGGCACTTGAATATTCAAGATCAGAGTCAGGGTATTTTTCTTATGACACAGGGTTTACTTACAACACCAGTAAATTATCATGTAGCTAGTACCTCTAAAATTAAGTTTAATAACAGTGATAAGAGGCATCATAACCCTGTACTGGAGGTTAACAAGGAATCTAATAAGTTCACTCTCAACACTGGCATCAGAGGATGAATGTGATAGTTGCATCTTAGTATTGAGCTCCCATGTCAAATTATGTAGACGTAAGACCCTAAATTCACCTCTAATCCTGGCTGGAAGTAAATTCCTTCAAAGAGTCAAGTACAAATTGATATCAAAGAGAAATAAATACTTGCCTGACAGAAATCCCATTTAGGCTGACTCCACCTTTTTCCAAGGCTTATCACTTATCAGTAATAGTTACTGCCTAAACATCTATAGTATACAAGGTACTTGATAAATAAACATAGCTTATGGTTGAAGAAACTGAGGCTGAGGCATATTCATTAACTTGCCTGAGGTAACAGCTAGACATATACTGAATGAACAAACAATGGCTAAGTAGAATTTGAAACAGGTCTGACTGACTCAAAAGCTCATAATCCACATCCACACCCCTACTATATCAGGCTTGTACCCAGTTCACAAGTGTGGAGGGGAAATCTTCATCTGATTAGATCCCATGGGCTATGCAAACCTAAGGCAGTACCATCCTAGTACCCAGAGGATTGTTTTTCATTTCTTTACTAGAGGATTTTTTTTAAAGCTCAAAAATGTGATAATTAAATAATAGCTAATTTCATTTTGCTTTCCATATATATATAACTCAAATATTAAAATCCAAAGCTAAAGAAGTTACAATTTAAGCATAGAAGCTGAGGGCTCAATAAAAACAAAAAGAAATCATTTAAGAATCTGGTAGTATTAACACAGGAACAGAAAACCAAATACTGCATGTTCTCACTAGCAAGTGGGAGATAAATGATGAGAACACATGGACACAGAGAGGAACAACAGACACTGGGGCCTACTGAAGGGTGGAGGATGGGAGGAGGGAGAGGATCAGAAAAAATAACTAATGGGTTGTAGGCTTAATACCTGGATGACGAAACAATCTGTACAACAAACCCCCATGACACAGTTTACCTATATAACAAACCTGCCCACGCACCCCTGAACTTAAAAGCTTAAAAAGAAAAACAAAAAAAAAAACCCAACACCCCCTGCCCCCAAAAGAATCTAGTAGTAGTTTTTTTTGTTGTTGTTTTTTTTAAAGGAAATAGTAATGATACTCAAAGAAGGAAGTGAATCAGTAGTATGGGTACACTAGTCAAGCACAGAGTATCAAATCTTTCTCATTTGGAGGGGTTTTTTGACACCAGAAAGTTTTGGTCCAAACATAGCACAGCTAGGTTACCCAGAATATTCATGATGGCCAAGACATTTTAAAGCTATACTTTTTTGAAAAGTGTATCTTTTAATCTAAAATGTAGAGCAGTTTCAACATTTTGACTACTTCATTACACTAAAACCCCTAAGGGTTTTGCTATTTAATCTAGAGCCCAGGTAGTAAATTCTTCAAAAGAACAATCTGCCAATGCAACCACACACACAAATGATGATAATCTGGGAGTAGGAAAAGCCTACTTTCTATACTGTGTTCTACAAAAACATTTTGGTTTTACTTGTAATGTAAAATTCTTCCAAGACAAAAAATACTTCAGAACTTTCTATAAAGTCTCAGGAATCATTATATATATATATAGTGTACACACACACACATAATAGGCAGTGAGAGAGCAGTAATCTAAGTGTTCTGTAGTTTTCCTAGCCTTTTATAGATAGCTATCAATTTTAAAGCTTTATTTCCATCACAAAGTAACTGGCAGTTACAAGAATAAAGCTAAAGCTAAGTTAAACATTAAACAAAATTAACTGCCCTTAGGGATGTTCTAGAGTTCAGAATCTCTCAACCATTACTCCTCCCTGCAACACAGGTGGTCCTTACTCCTCTCTAACTGATTTAATGTGTCACAAAGCTGAGCGTTTTGTTTGATCTTACCTTTATGAATTATATATGAATAACAATATTTTAGTTTCTAGAGTTGAGCAAACTTGATGAAAGAGGTAAACCTATACATTCCTTAGACAACAGATCCCTTTGCCTACAATAGAGGCTCCTCAAAATGGTATGAAGAGCAAGCTGATGTTAATATTCAAAAGCCTAAATGATTCTAAAATGACATTGAAAGTATACAACCACTTTTCTAAATTTTTCCATCCAAAATTAAAATAAAGGAAATTCCTTTGAAATAGTGCTATTTTTTTTTTCTTCTTTTAAACAGATGGTCATTCTTACTCACCAATTTCCTTCCGTATTTCAAAGGAAACCACAGAATATTATGTTTGGAAGAAATAATCCAGCACACAACTTAAGAATGCTAACAACTTCACATTTAGGGAAAAAATATTTTTGAACTATGACCAAACCCTTGTAGAACTGCTAACCTGGAATCCAACCAGAAAACACATTACTCAAAACCACTTACCTTAAGAAAATTCTTGACTCGCTCAGGATCGTAGCAGTTGCTTTCTCTACAGATTCTTTCTACTTCTTTGATTTGCCCAGTCTTGCAAGCTGCCTGAATATATTTAAAGTGCACATCTGGGTCCTGGCTAAAGTTAACAATGGATCCCAGAAAATAAAAGAGACCTTAAAGAAACAAGTAATTACAATTAAGCATAGGCACACTTTTGAGAATGACTGAAAAACATTTATGTAATTAAAAAACTGTTATATTGAATACTCCCAAATATAAGTTGGTTGCTTAAAAAGCGCGATAAAAATACTAACTATTCCATTAATCAGATCAGTAAAATGGATTGCACTTTAATCCTGAAGAATAGACAATTCAACCCAATGTTTCCTTTTTTTCTTTTTTATTGAGGCAGGTCTCTGTCACCCAGGCTGGAGTGCAGTGGCACGATCATAGCTCACTGCAGCCTCAAACTCCTGGGCTCAAGCAATCCTCCCACCTCAACCTCCTAAGTAGCTAGAACTACAGATGCATGCCACCATGCCAGGCTAATTTTTAAGAAAATTTTTGTAGAGATGGTGTCTTGCTATGCTAGCCAGGCTGGTCTTGAATTTGTGGCCCCAAGCACTTGGCCTCCCAAAGCACTGGGATTATTAAAGGCATACACCATTGTGCCCCTATATGGGAAATTTTAAATGAAGACCCCAATACCTGGTGTTTTTCAATATGCAATTTATAGGAAACATACAAAATAATTTGGGAAGAATTTAGTGCAGTATTGTCCAGAAGAACTTTCTGCAATGATGAAAATCTTATCTTTGCCTTCCAATATAATAGCCACTAAACACATGTGGCTATTAAGCACTTGAAATGTGGCTAGAGTGACTGAATAACTAAATATTAAATTTTATTTCACTTTAATAACTTTCAATGTAAATAGCTACTATATGTGGCTAGTGACTGTACTAAACAGTGTAAATTTAGTGCACAGTTAACATTTTGAAACTGGGAAAATTAAGAAAAAATTAAGAAAACTACTAGACTCTCTTACCCCTTCTCAATAGAGTACTACTAGTACAGAGAGGAGAGAAAGGCAGTTGGGGACCAGAAGTTAGACACCCAACAGTGATTACGTTAGTACCCTGTATAGCAGTGGTTCTCAACTGAGGTGATTTTCCTCACAGGTGACACTGGCAATGTCTGAAGACATTTTTGGTTGTCACAACTGGTGGAGCTGACGCTACTGGAATCTAGTGGGTAGAAACCAGGAATGCTGCTGAATATTCTACTAAATATTCTACATGTACAGGAACACCCCTCTACAATGATTATCCAGCCCTAAATGTCTATAGTACTAAGGTTAAGAAATCCTGCTAAATAGCAACAAATCACAAAATGCCCTTAGTGAGAATCACCTGCTATTATAAGAGTCAGACATATAAGCATAAAATTTTATTATACCTGATCATTAGTACAGACTGAGTATCCCTTATCCAAAATACTTGAGACCAGACGTGTTTCAGATTTTGAACTTTGGAATATTCGCATTATAATTACCTGATCAGCATCCCTAATCTGAAAATCCGATTTCTGAAATGCTCCAACAAGCATTTCCTTTGAGCGTTATGTTGGTGCTCAAGAAGTTTTGGACTTTGGTGCATTTTGGATTTTCAGATTAGGGACACTCAACCTGTATTTTCATTTTATACAATTTCAACACCACTACATATTTTTCTCTTAAAATTCTACCTTTAATTCATCTATAAAATATCCAAACAGATGGTCTGGTTCACTGCATATCCTTAGAATCCAACATAAAAGGGCCTTGACATATATTGAATAAAACTTAAAAAATTAAAATGTCCCATAGAACCAAATTTTTAGAAAAACAAAATTTCCAACAGCCTGATCATAAGCATACCTCTTCTTGGCTACCTTAAGTACTTTTTTTAAAAACTCAAAAACTCCTAATTACCTTCAAAACTCTTGAAAGATTCAAAAAGTTCAATCAGAGACTGAGTTGACAGTTGTTCATGATATTTAGAAGCCACCTGAACACAAATCTGCAGATTCTGACGGATGTTGGCAGACAGCATGGCTCTGAGACATTCTAGGGAGTCTTCTACTGATAAGGAACCAAAGTAGTTGACTAACCACTACAAGACAAAATAAATGAATGAATGAATAAATGAAATAATGTTGAACCTCATGGTGGTATGAAATTATTAATATTTAGTACCACAAACACATTTTCAGTGTACCTATTAATCACAACTAACACCATCTATTAGGTAAGAAACTGAAATACCTCAGGGTTAAGAAGATGGGTGTGAACCACTGCACGTTTTATATCATATAAATCAGTGAAATGTTCTAATGCACGCTGCAGTAGGCCAGCCTTTTCACACAGTTGAGCAATATGAGCCCGGTCATAATGTGTGAACATCTGATTGCCTAGAATAGCATCTGCAACCTGTAAAACCACAAACAAGGCAAGTTTATTGTCCACTCCACTTACATGAGTAATTCAATATCCGTATTACAGATTAAGGTTTAATAGTGAACTGTTAAAGTACAAAAGAATATTATAATAGCTACATTTTCTTTAATAAGGAGTAGGCCCCTCAGTAGCTTTGCATAACAATCTGAGAGGCGCTGCACAATTACTAAAACAATGTTGGAAACATGCCTAAAAAGCATTAAAACACATACTTGAGGCGCATGCATAAGGTTCATCTCAAGTAACCGCGTCTGTAAAGGACCTTCAGATGGGCGATTATTCTTCAGAGCATCAAGCAAGAATGCAGTACACTGCTGAATTAGATTGTATTCCATAAAGACATCTACAATCTACAAAAAAAGATTTAAAAGAAATTGTTTTAAGATACTATGGAGAGTATGTAGACAAAATTATGCATGAACTCTTTCTTTACCTGAGAATTTTATTTGGACAATATAAACACTTAAGAACAAATTTTTGTCCTCTAGGGATCATAGTTATTTTGAGTTCTGATAAAAACAACTACAAAATATTTCAAGATATTACATAACAGCAGAATACAACTGAACCGACAGACCTTTATTTTATTTTATTTATTTATTTTATTTTTTTGAGGCAGAGTTTCGCTCTTATTGCCCAGGCTGGAGTGCAATGGCACGATCTCAGCTCACTGCAACCTCCACCTCCCGGGTTCAAGCGATTCTCCTGCCTCAGCTCCTGAGTAGCTGGGATTACAGGCGTCTGCCACCACACCTAGCTAATTTTTTGTTATTTTTAGTAGAGACAGGGTTTCGCTATATTGGCTAGGCTGGTCTCAAACTCCTGACCTCAGGTGATCTGCCCACCTCAGCCTCCCAAAGTGCTGGGATTACAGGCCTGAGCCACCGCACCCAGCCTGACAGACCTTTATTTTTATGAACTTTAGAAAACCAATAGCATAAATATGAAGGACTCTGACTCACACTTACAAATGCATCTCTTCCCTCTCCCCACACCCAGTGGCAACCACTATCCTGTTTTATCATCCCCATGTATTTTTCATATTTTTAATACACATACATCTCTAAATAAGATGTTTGTTTTGCATGTATTAAAACTACATGCAGATGGTTTCATACTGTCCATTCTTTTGCAACTTGCTTTTTTTGCAAGGCATTTGAGGTTTATCCATATAGAGTGACAAAGCTTTAATTTCTACAAACTGTAAGTTTTCCTTTTTTTTTTTTCTTTTTGAGAGTCTCACTCTGTTGCCCAGGTTGGAGTCCAATGGCACGATCATAGCTCACTGCAGCCTCGACCTCCCAGGCTCAAGCTATCCCTCCACTTCAGCCACCCGAGTAGCTGGGGCGACAGGCATGTGCCACCACATGCAGCTGATTTTTAAATTTTTTGTAGTTACAGGGTCTCACAATGTTGCCCAGACTGGTCTTGAATTCTTGGCCTCAAGCAATACTCCCACCTTGGACTCCCAAGTCAACCACCATGGCTGGCCCCCACTCTCCATTTCAATCAGCTTCTACAAAATATATTTTAATCACATTACCTGTGTGATGTCAGCAAGAGGCTCTTCATCTTGAACTAACATTTGGGCAAACTGCTGTCCCTGATCTGGACTGATTCGCATTACATTTCTCAGCAGAAATATCCAATCTGGAGTGTATCCAACCTATAAACAAACAAAGACTTAAACGCTGCTCCTAAGTTTCAATTTTATAGCATTTAAAGACTTTTTCTACTATAAAATCTCACTAATATAGAACTACTGGTGAAAGCACAAATTCATTTTCAATTTAAGGTGCCCAGTTAGACCTTGGTGATGACATATTTGAACAAACATCTGTCAATTTTTATAACTGGCTTATCCATTTTCTTTTCTTTTCTTTTCTTTTTTTTTTTTTTTTTGAGACAGGGTCTTGCTTTGTCATCCAAGCTGGAGTGCAGAGGTGCAATCTCGATTCACTGAAACCTCTGCCCCCTGGGCTCAAGTGATCCTCCTACCTTGGCCTCCTGAGTAGCTAAGACCACAGACACACCACCACGCCTGGCTACTTTTTTGTATTTTTAGTAAAGACAAGGTTTCACCATGTTACCCAGGCTGGTCTCAAATTCCTGAGTTCAAGTGATCTGCCTGCCTTGGCCTCCCAAAGTGCTGGGATTACAGGCGCAAGCCACCACACCTGGCCTGGCTTATCCATTTTCAATAAATGAATATTTCAAAAGTTTGTTCTAACATGTTAAACGTGCCTGCTATCTGAAATTCTGATAAGCCATGCAAAAGTAATTTTCTCAATTTAACAAGTATGAATTTGATATGAGGGGTAAGAGAATTTTTATACATTTCAAAGTAAATCAAAATGAAAGGAAATTCACTATTAAAGTAATCAAGAGTTAATACAGGCTAATTTCTCTGTCAATGCTTCAATGAATTCATGCTGAGAATGTGTTTCATTGAACTCACTTTTTTAGCATATAAAACAATCTTTTGGACTTGACCTGTTTCTGCAAAGCACTGAATGACTTTATTTGGGACGTTAGCCCTTAGGTACACACTAAGTGCCAATGTAGGGTCCACAGATTTCACAAGATCACCCAGTTCTTCAGAACATTCCAGCTGTCCAAAGGAAAAAGAGATTGTTTAGTGATCCATGAACTGTTTTAGAAATGAGCAGTTGACACTATGTCCACTATAAGTAATAACTAGTATGAAAGGTACTTAGTTTCACAGAATATATTATAAATATGCAGGGGTTGTGGTTGGTAGACTCTTAATCTTGTGTTCACAGCAATGTCTCAGTAGAATTCTCCACAAATCCTGTTTAACGATAAAAAGCTCACCAAGACTGCAATCTTATAGATACTATCAACTACCTTGTTAAGGATTTAAGTACTTCAAAGTACAATCTTGTACCTCTTGTACTTCTAGCTACTAAGAATATTCAGATATCAGACTCACATCACATGGCCCCAATTTTTCAAAAACAAAAAGCAACTTTTAATGTAATGTTATCAACTGAAAATTTGATAATGAAGGAGCCAGATGAGGTTTACCATAAGGACAGTTATTAAACTCACAGTGTAACCTATATATGTCTGAGGGATCTAAGCACCACTATCTTCTTGACTTGGATTTAAGCTTATAGGGCAGGAAGGACACTCTTAAGAATTTTTAGGTAGTATACAGGCAGATACTGTCTTCTGTGTTATTCAGTCTGCCTTACTCATTCAGCTGCCCAATCTGGAAATTCATTTCCTAAGAGTTCTGGTTTACATACTATAGTAGATTTTCTACTTTGGGGACTAGCTCTTATAAATGATATTTAGTGCCAAAAATAAAAAGTTGTATCAGAGTCGATAATCTTAACTGAACATGCTAATGAATAGTTGATTAATGTCTCTTTTATTAATACCACAAATGGTCCCATATGACTGTTCACAGAAAAGGATAATGATACCTAAAAAGCTTTCACCCTGTTACGTAGGTCAACTCAGTTACCTTGGCTGTTCTCACCCTCCCTTATCTTTTTAAAAAATATTGTGTATTTATTTAATAAGGTCTCGCTGTGTTGCCTAGGCTGGTCTCAAACTCTTTGCATCAAGTGATCCTTTTGCCTCAGCCTCCCAAAGTAGTGGGATTACAGGCGTAAGCCACCAAACTCAGCCCTGCCTTATCTTAATCAATTAGGATGGACCTCAAATACTCGCTAGTGTGGCTATTCTTCATCAGAGACTCCTGTCCAAGTATCCCAAATCTGATGTAGTATTCTCTGGTATCTTACAAGATTGCCAGAAACTGGGTCAAGAAACAAGGACTTAGAATTAATAATATAAAAACAGTCCTAACATATACTAACGCTGAAAGAATAATAACATTAAATGTTATTCACTATTCAGAGTGCTTTAAACAATACTACTTCAGTTCTTGACAATGGCAATTCCATACTACAACTTTGAGGAGAAAGGCTTTTTTATGTGGTGGTGTGAAAGGAATTAACACTAATGGACAGCTAAAACTTGTTTGTTATCCTAGAAACAAACAACATCCTTTGGCTGTTTCTCAGTCACTATTCCACATAAGGAATAATGTGCTCAGGAAAACATACTACCATTATATGCTCTCTGTAAAGAGAAATAAGTACTGAGTGAATATAAAAGGCATGGAGAAGACCTACAGTAAAGAAAGCTAGTTAACATTTAGAAAAGGTTCATATTTAAATAAATTTCAAGAAACCAAGTTAAATATTTTTCCATGTAACACCAACTAACATTCTGTGAAATCTCTGGGAAACAGTATCTCATTGCTAATTAGATAGCCATCCTGTCTTACTAAGATCCAACTTTTTTTTTTTTTTTAAGACCGAGTCTCGTTCTATCACCCAGGCTGGAGTGCAGTGATGCAATCTCAACTCACTGCAACCTCTACCTCCCGGGTTCAAGTGATTCTCCTGCCTCAGCCTCCCAAGTAGCTGGGATTACAGGCACCTGCCACCACGCCCAGCTGATTTTTGTATTTTTAGTAGAGACGGGGTTTCTCCATGTTGGTCAGGCTGGTCTCAAACTCCTGACCTCAGGTGATCCACCCACCATGGCCTCCCAAAGTGCTGGGATTACAGGCCTGAGCCACCATGCCCGGCGAAAAAATATATATTTTTTCAAAAGGAAATAAGTGAATCCATCTTATGCAATGTGTGTTTTTGTTCTGTTTCTACCAGCAGTAATGGAGACATTGTGGTGCAGCCTAAATGATTTTAACTTGCCAATATCATATTTAATGCAACCAAAGCAAGATTATGTCAACATAATTTAACGTACCTTATCTTCTTTTAACCATTTCTCCAAAAGCTGTTTTCGCCCTTGCTGAAGTACAGGCCTACAAAGCTCTAAGGATTCGTATTTGTTGAGCTGTCCCTGGTCCAAAAGGATACCAAAGTACTGAAGTAGAGGAGAAGTTTGACCTGGCTGGGCTGGGACACTCTGGAACCGACGGATAGTGTCTGGAGTACGAAGAATTCCCTTTAAGAAGGAGAAATGTTAAACGCTCTTCGAAAGTGTAAGAAGGAGAAATGTTAAACGCTCTTCGAAAGTGATCCAAACATCACACTAAACACCCTGTAGAGATCAATCTCTTAGGTCAATCTTAAAGGAATGAATCCATCTATTAACATCAAGTTAGGAAGTTTCAAATCTTTACCATCTGGAGTAAATATTTAGTCACTGTCTTTCATACCCCTGGTTCAATGTTATAAGATTATCCAGAATTTGGAAAAAAAAAAAAATTATCCAGAATCAAAAATACATCAACTTAAATTACAATGTCAGTGTGTAAGAGAATAGTTATAATCATAAAACAGTTATAGCTAAGTATTATCCCAAGTTCATATTAAATTAAGTACAAATTTCATAATGAATATTGGTCAGGAATGTAAGGTGTTAATTCAGTCCACCATAAACTAACATCAAAAGTGATAAGAATAAATTCAGCCTAATTTTGACAGCTCTACCCACTATAAAATTGGACAGTATGTATTTCATGTCCAAGTTATGGAAATAAAATCAGTAACTATCATTTATGAGGTCAAACAGTATAACACCTAAATGACTAAACATTACTACATCTATGTAAATCAAAAGCTTGCTAGACCCACATATCCTTCTAACAATCTGGGTTTTAAAAAACTAATCAAATCCAGAGAAAATTAACCAAATCTAGAGGCATTGACAAGGAATTCTACTAAAGGAAAATGTAACCCAAATGTAATCTAAAAACAGTTTATCTGTAGGAAGCTGGTTCCTTTTCTAGTAATATAAGAAACAGAATATTAACAATGGATTAATGTCATGACAACTTCATTTTCATAACTCTTTACCTTTGGTGCATTAGCAGCCACCTTTGCTGCCTCCGAGTAATTTCCCTGGGCAAAAAGAGCATTAAATTTCCGGGCAAAGAGTTCTTCAGCACCGGCTAAGTTATTACGTACAGCCATTCTCAGAGCCAAATCAGGATTTTGTAGAACATTGGTGATGTAAGGAATTATGTTTTCTTCTTCCACACACACTGACAGAACCTGCAATTTAAAGAATAAAATGTAGCTGCAATGTGTTCATTTGGATACAAATGATACCAAATCTGTTTAGAACAGGTTAATACTGAGTCACAAAGGTAATGAAATTGTGACAGCTGTTTTCTTGCTGCCATTAAAAAATAATGAAAGGAAGGAAGACAAGGAGAAAAAAAATTAAGGAGATTTGAAAACAAATGTCATAGGGTGTTAGGCCATTATGTGGTTCCTAAAATATGGCTATTCTATAATCTAAATAACTTACTTCATTGTCCAAACTAACTGCTTTGATACCATCTATTCATTCTTAACACAGTCAGTATCAAAAATTAACATTCCCACTTAATTGAGCTCTGAAAGACAACTCCACATAATTTAAAACTTCTTGAGGACTTCAATCTTGATAACCTACAGAAAATGACACTGAAGAAGCTATGATATCTAAATGACATTTAGGGTTCACTTGCAAGTTGTTTAAGGTATACTCCTTTTAATTTTAGGATTTTTCTTTACAAGAATTTTTTGGTAATTTTCGTTAATTACATTTTCATTCCTAGAGAGCAGATTATATACTCAATGAAGGGAGGGACCACTGAATCCTCAAGCAGCTAACATAATACAAGGAACATGGTAGGTGCTTGAAAAAATAGGCCGGGTGCAGTGGCTCACGCCTGTAATCCCAGCACTTTGGGAGGCCAAGGCAGGTGGATCATGAGGTCAGGAGTTCAAGACCAGCCTGACCAACATGGTGAAACCCCACCTCTACTAAAAAAAAAATATAAAAATTAGCCGGGCATGGTGGCACGCGCCTGTAGTCACTAGGGAGGATGAAGCAGGAGAATCGCTTGAACCCAGGAGGCAGAGGTTTCAGTAAGCCAAGATGGCACGACTGCACTCCAGCCTGGGCAACAGAGGGAGACTCTGTCTCAAAAAAAAAAAAAAATTAATTAAAAATAAAAAATAAAAATAAAATAATAATAATATCAGTAAAGGCCAATTTCTAATTGCTTGTTTGGAAAATTACCTACCCTCAAACCTCTCAATGCCACAGAATATTTTCTGGCTTGCCCCAAAAGCTGAACTACTGTCAACTGCCATAGAGAAAGGGAGTCCTTCTCTACCCATCCATCCCATTCCCCAGTGCAGAACTAGTCATATGCCCTAGCTTATAAACTACTCATATTACCCCAACAGCACTTCTCAACCTAATATAATTGTATAATTTTTTCTCAGTTACTGTTCACATGAGGAAAGGGGGTTTGTCTTTGTTTAACTGTATTACTAGCAATATGCAATTAGTATAGCATAAAACGTATTTAATTTGTTGAATAAATGAATATAGGAAATTTCTGTCCCCAAATCAGTAAGAATTGAAAAATACTTGAGAACTCAGTGAACCAAATAGATAGATAGGTAACAGTCTGCCCTGCCAATTCTACTACTCCTTTCAGGGAAAATGAAGAAATTTCAACCTCCAAGATTTTACTTCTATAGGTCCGACCTCCATCCTCAAGGCTTATTTAAAGGAAGTAATAATTACTTTCTTTATAGTTATTTGCATTCCTGAGCCCCAACCTTAACTCAAATCTTACCTTAGGTTTCCCCACATACTGAATCCACAGTTTTATCGTTATCATACTTAAAGACTGTTCTAGCAGATTTCTAGCAACCAGTCCTTAGTAAGATCTGCTACAGGAAACAGAAAAGGCTCCAGTGTCTTCTAAAGTACTCAGTTCTATCAAATTAAGAATTTAAGTCAGATGTTGACTATAATATCACTTTAATTGATTTTGCTTTTTCAACCCATAGAAGCCACTTACTCATTCCTTCAGGGAATATGCCAAGTTGGTAGACTTTAGCAAAGAGTAGAAGAAAGCCCTAAGGTTACTGTAAATACTCATCTCTTTACTCAAAGTAGCTGGCACATAAAATTTGGGAGGAAGGGAAAGTAACAATCAACAAGTTCCCAGAATTAGAGTTATGAACACCAAGAATGTGTCATGAAATTATTTAAGGTTAAGCGCTATCTTAAAACAGCACAACAGCAGAAACAAAAAGTGGCGAGGCGTGGTGGCTCATGCCTGTAATCCTAGCACTTTGGGAGGCCAAGGCAGGAGGATCGCTTGAGCCCAGGAGTTCAAGACCAGCCTAGGCAACATAGCAAGACCCTGGCGCTCTCTCTCTTTTTTTTTTTGAGACGGAGTCTCGCTCTGTTACCCAGGCTGGAGTGCAATGGCACAATATTGGCTCACAGCAACCTCTGCCTCATGGGTTCAAGCAATTCTCCTGTCTCAGCCTCCCAAGTAGCTAGGACGACAGGCACCTGCCACCACACCCAGCTAATTTTTTTTCGTATTTTTAGTAGAGACGAGGTTTCACCATATTGGTCAGGCTGGTCTCAAACTCCTGACCCCAGGTGATCCACCCACCTCAGCCTCTCAAAGTACTGGGATTACAGGCGTGAGACACTGTGCCCAGCCCCTGTCTTTTTTTTTATTTTTTTAATTAATTAAGAGTTTAAAAAAAAAAGCCCCTGGCTTCACAACTTCATGATTATTAAATTATCACTAATCTAGTTCACCAAAAGACCAATATATTCTTGATTTTCCTTCTTTTTTTTTTTTTTTTTGAGACAGAGTCTTGCTCTGTCATCCAGGCTAGAGTACAGTGGCGCGATCTCAGCTCATAGAAACCTCCGCCTCCCAGGTTCAAGTGATTCTTTTGCCTCAGCCTCCCGAGTAGCTAGCATTACAGGCATGCACCACCACAGCCGGCTAACTTTTTGTATTTTTAGTAGAGACAGGGTTTCACCATGTTGGCCAGGCTGGTCTTGAACTCCTGAGCTCAGGCAATCTGCCCGCATCGGCCTCCCAAAGTGCTGGGATTACAGGTATGAGCCACTGAGCCTAGCCTTATTCTTGATTTTTCTAAGCAAGACACTCATAACTGAATATCTGAAAGCTACTGAATTTTTAAAACTGCTTTTGTCCCAGACACTGACTGGTGCTAGAAATATAATTTACTAAAGACAATCCCTTTTTCTAATGATGAATAGTGACTGCAACAGCTTAGCGAGCAATTTTAATAAGTATGGTAAATGTTATGAGGAGAAAGCCCTAAGTTCTAGGAGTACAGAGCAAAAGCACCTAACCAGGTCTGGAGTTAAGGTGGGGCATGGGTAGGTAGGGATGCACTCCCTTTCCCTAGAGGAATTGTCTCTTCATATACATAACATTTTTCAAAAATTAACTGAATGAAGGAGAAACAAAATCTATCTACTTCCTTTGCTTATTATCTGGGAAAAATACTAATTTGGAAGAAAATGAGTAAAAGGCAAGACCAGTAACAGTATTTTTAAAATGTTTAGCCATTTTTCAGAAAATTAACATAGCTCCTGGTAAAATATTCTTATTAATATTAAAATAGGCTGTGCGCCGTGACTCACGCCTGTAATCCCAGCACTTTGGGAGGCTGGGGCGGGTGGATCACAAGGTCAGGAGTTTGAGACCAGCCTGGCCAAAATGGTGAAAGCCCGCCTCTACTAAAAATACAGAAATTAGCCGGGTGCAGTGACTCACATCTGTAATTGCAGCTACTTGGGAGGATGAGGCAAGAGAATTGCTTAAACCCGGGAAGTGGAGGTTGTAGTGAGCTGAGATCATGCCACTGCACTCTAACCTGGGTGACAGAGCAAGACTCCATCTCAAGAAAAAAAAAAAAAAAAAAAAAATTAAAATAATAAGATGACAGATAAAGAATCACTTGCTAGATGGTATGAAGAGGTTTTTCAAAAATGACAAATTTAGAACGGATAATATTTTTCCTACCAAACTGATTAGCTTTCCAGGCATCCCACAAGAGGTACTGAAACATATCACCTTCTAACATGTAATAGTAATGCTTAATTAAGGAGCTAGGAAAAGGGATGTAGGTAGAATTCTTTTCCCTGTAGTTGATAATTGCTCTGCCTTGGAGATAACAGAAAATTCCTTAAAAAAATAGTCTGTCAAATATGACCCTAAATTGTTTCTTTGCATGGGGAATCACTTCTTTTGACAGTAATGCATCTATACAGTCCTAGATGGCTATAAACCAGTTTCTCTGAGACAGGATTAAAGAGAGACTTTGTATTCATACACATCTCTATTTTTAGGTATATATTATTTTCTTTTTTATCAGCTTACATCGTGCTTTGATATATATTATTTTCTAATATCCAAAGTTACTATTTACTTTTTGGAAAAAAACTAACAGTAATATGTTTATTTTCTATTTTTTAATCTTGGGGAGTAATTTCTCAAAAGGACAGGATTGTTCCCAACTCATCAGGTTATCTTATTTTATTGCTTAAGTTTCAAGGTTTCCTTACTTGTCCCTTTCTGTTTACTCCAATTATTCCAGCTGTGGCTTCATGAGGTGCAGTAACAAAAATTGTTTCTCCACTGATTCTATTCATGTAGATGCAGGTACCAGTCTCAAGATCATAGAGGTGGATATAACCATACTTGGTTATCAAGAACACCACATCATGCTTTTCACTGATCTACAGAAAGAAAATCAACACTTTAGTAAAATAATGAATCTACAAACAGAAAATAAAAACATTCAGTCTAATTCCATTTTAGAGATGGTAAAATTCCAGAACAAGAGGGTTATTTGAAAAATTATAAGCTAATATTTAAAGTTTCCTTCATTTCTACAGCACATTTAAATATGGATATCCCAAGCTCTTATATAACATGAAACTGATAAGAGGAAAGACAATTCAAAACTTAGATAGCACAGTTTACGTATTACAGGGATACCTCATTTTACTGCACTTTGCAGTGCAGATGAATCTTTACGAATGGAAGGTTTATGGCAACCCTGCATCGAGCAAGCCTATTGGCACTATTTTCCAACAGCATGTGCTCTCTTCAGTGTCTCTGTGTCACGTTTTCATTAATTCTCACAATATTTCAAACCTTTTCATTATTGTATCTGTCATGTTGATCTGTGGCCAGTCATCTTTGATGTAACTATTATTTTGGGGTGTGATGAATTGCACCCACATAAGACAGCAAACTGAACTGATAAATATTGTGTGTGTTCTGACTGCTCCACCAACCAGCTGTTCTCCCGTTTCTTTCCCTTTCCTCAGGCCTCCCTATTACCTGAGACACAACAATATTAGGCCAATATAATAACTACAATTGCCTCTATGTGTTCTACCTCTCTTTTTAAATCGAAAGCTAGAAGTAATTTTAAGTTTAGTGAAAAAGACATGTCCAAGGCCAAGATAGGCTGAATGGTGGGCCTTTTGACCTAGCCAAGTTGTGAATACAAAGGAAAATTCTTGAAGGAAATTAAAGTGCTACTCCAGTGAACACATGAATGATAAGAAAACCTAACAGCTTTCTTGCTGATATGCAGAAAGTGCACTGGTGCAGTGGCTTACAAATGTAATCCCAGTCTCATTTTCTCACATCTAAGAAACCTACCACAGACAAAGTCAAACTCTAGGTACTTGCCATATTGAGATAATGTTTTGCAGGCCAAAGAGAAATAAAACGATTCTACTTTTGAATTTATGTAACTATCTAAATGAGCAGTTTTTTTCTCTTTTAAAATGTTATAGGCCAAGTGCAGTGGCTAATGCCTGTAATCCTAGCACTTTAGGAGGCCGAGGTGGGTGGATTGCCTGAGCTCAGGAGTTCGAGACCACCCTGGGCAAAACAGTGAAACCCTGTCTCTACTAAATACGGAAGAAATTAGCCAGGCATGGCAGTGTGCACCTGTAGTCCCAGCTACTGGGGAGGCTGAGGCAGGAGAATTGCTTGACCCCGGAGGCGGAGGTTGCAGTGAGCCGAGATGGTGCCACTGCACTCCAGCCTGGGCGACAGAGTGAGATTCCGTCTCTAAAAGAAAAATGTTATACACAGCTGGGTGCAGTGGCTCATGCCTGTAATCTCAGCACTTTGGGAGGCTGAGGCAGGTGGATCACTTGAGGTCAGGAGTTCGAGACCAGCCTGACCAACACGGTGAAGCCCTGTCTCTACTAAAAATACAAAAAAATTACCCAGGTGGGGTGGTGCGCGCCTGTAATCCCAGCTACATGGGAGGCTGAGGCACAATAATCACTTGAACCCGAGACGTGGAGGGTGCAGTGAGCTGAGATTGCGCCACTGCACTCCAGCCTGGGTGACAGAGCGAGACCGTCTCAAATAAAAATACAAATAAAAATGTTATACACTAGCCAGGTGCAGTGGTATGTGTCTGTATCCCAGCCACAGAGGAGGCTGAGGCAGAAGGATCACTTAAGGCCAGGAGTTTAAGACCAGCCTGGGCTGGGCATGGTGGCTCACGCCTGTGATCCCAGCACTTTGGGAGGCCAAGGTGGGCAGATCATTTGAGGTCAGGAGTTCAAGACCAGCCTGACCAACATGGCGAAACCCCAACTCTACTAAAAATACAAAAATTAGCCAGGTGTGGTGGCGGGTGCCTGTAATCCCAGCTACTCGGGAGGCTGAGGCATGAGAATCGCTTGAATCCAGGAGGCAGAGATTGCAGTGAGCTGAGATTGCGCCACTGCACTTCAGTCTGGGCAATAGAGAGACTCAGTGTCAAAAAAAAAAAAAAGACCAGCCAGGGCAACACAGTGAGACATTGTCTCTAAAATATTTTTTAAGTAGCCAGGCGTACTGGCATGTACCTGTAGTCCTACCTACTCTTAGCTACTCTGGAGGCTGAGGCAAGAGGATCAGTTGAGCCCAGGAGTTCCAAGGCTGCAGTGAGCTATGATCACAGCACTGCCTTCCAGCCTGGGCAACAGAGGGAGAACCTATCTCTTTAAAGAGGGAGAGGGAAAGGGAAAGAAAGAGGGGGAGAGAGGAGGAGAGGGAGAGGCAGAAGGAGAGGGAGAGGAGGCCGGGCGTGGTGGCTCATGCCTGTAATCCCACCACTTTGGGAGGCCGAGGTGGGTGGATCACGAGGTCAGGAGATCGAGACCATCCTGGCTAACACCGTGAAACCCCATCTCTACTAAAAATACAAAAAATTAGCCGAGGGTGGTGGTGGGTGCCTGTAGTCCCAGCTACTCGGGAGGCTGAGGCAGGAGAATGGCGTGAACCCAGGAGGCGGAGCTTGCAGTGAGCCGAGATCGCACCACTGCACTCCAGCCTGGGCGACAGAGAGAGACTCTGTCTCAAAAAAAAAAATAAATAAAATAAATAAATAAATAAATAAACAAATAAATAAAATAAAAGATCCAACCAGCTACAACATTCTCTTAAGCCAAAGCCTAATCTAGTTTAAGGCCCTAACTCTCCTCAATTCTGTGAAGGCTCAGAGAGGTGAGAAAGCAACAGAAGAAAAATTTGAAGGTAGCATAAGTTGATTCATGAGGTTTAAGCAAATAAACCATCTCTATAACATAAAAGTGCAAGGTGAAAAACCAAGTACTGATGTAGAAACTGCAGCAAGTTATATGGAAGATCTAGCTAAGATCATTGAAGGTGGCTACACTAAACAACAGATTTTCTCTACAGAGAAGTCAATGCCTGGCTTTAATGGACAGGCTGACTCTCTTATTAGGAACTAATGATGCTGGTGACTTTAAGGTGAAGCCAATGCTCATCTGCTATTCCAAAAATCCTAGGACCTTCAAGAATTATGCTAAATCTACTTTGCCTATGCTATAGAAATGGAACAGCAAAGCCCTGATGACAGCACATCTGTTTACAGCATGGTTTACTAAATCTTTTTATGCCTACTGTTGAGACCTACTGCTCAGAAAAAAAAAGATTCCTTTCAAAATGTTACTGCTCATCGACAATGCACATAGTCACCCAAGAGCTCTAATGGAGATATACAAGGAGATTAATATTGCTTTCATGTCTGCGAAGACAGCATCCACTCTGAAGCCTATGGACCAAAGAAGTAATTTTGACTTACAAGTCTTCTTATTTAAGAAATATTATTTCATAAGACCACAGCTGCCCTGAACAGTGATTCATCTGATGGATCTGGGCAAAGTAAATTTAAGTGAATCTGGAAAGGATTCACCACAGTAAATTTAAGTAACGGTCAATCTGGAAAGGATTCATCATTCTAGATGCCACTAAGAACACTGATGATTCATGGGAGGAAGTCAAAATATCAACATTAAAAGGAGTTTGGAAGAGGCTGATTCCAACCTTCATGGATGACTGAGGAGTTCAAGACTTGAGTGGAGCAAGTAAGTGGAGATGTGGTAGAAATAGCAAGAAAACCAGAATTAGAAATAGAGCCTAAAAATGTGACTGAATTACTGTAATCTCCTAGTAAAGGAGCTGCTTCTTAAGGATGGGCAAAGAAAAGAGGTTTCTTGAGATAAAATCTACTGCTGGTAAAGGTGCTGTGAACATTGCTGAATGACAACAAAGGATTTAGATTATTACAGAAACTTAGCTAATAAAGCAGTGGCAGGGTTTGAAAGAACTGACTCCAATTCTGAAAGATCTACTGTGGGTAAAATGCTATCAAACAGCAATGCACAGAGAAATCTTTTGTGAAAGAGTCAATTGATGCAGCAAACTTCTTTGCTGTCTTATTTTACGAAACTGCCACAGCCACCTCAACCTTCAGCAACCACCACTCTGATTATTCAGCAGCCATCGACATTGAGAAAAGACTTTCCACAAGCAAAAAGATTACAACTCACTAAAGGCTCAAATAATCATTAACATTTTTTAGCAATAAAGTATTTTTAAATTACAGTATGTATACTGTTTTTCTAGACAATGCTATTTCACACTTTACAGTAGACTACAGCATAGTGTTAAGTGTAACTTTGATCTGCACTGGGAAACCAAAGAATTCTTATGACTCACTTTGTTGTGGTATTTACTTTATTGTGGTGGTCTGGAGCCAAACCTCATAATAGGCCTAAGGTAGTCCTGTACATGAAAAGCCAAGGTATTATTTTACAAAGCTTCACTAATAAACTTTAAAAAAGTATTCTTTTAAGCATCACTTAAATTATATCTACCATGAATAGTCTTTGGGTTAATTTCTTTTAAGAGGAGAGATTTTTAAAAAGTCATTTATTTTGCTTAAAATACCTGCATTGCAACAGGAAAATCATTTTGTGCTTCTGGAGGAAAGAAGACATCCACTGCCTTCTTTGGAAAGGGCTGGTTCCCTGTAGGTGGTGTGCCAACTTCAATAATATGTAACTGTTCAAAAGAAAATCAAAATGTATATAAACCTATACATTAGCAGTTGATCACAGCAGCTTTATTTGTAGCCCCCAAATGGAAACAACCAACATGTTCTACAGAAGATCAATGTTAAATGGTTTTGGTTACATCCATACCATGGAATACTTGGTAATAAAAAGGAACAAACTTTCATGAACATTATGGTGAGTGAAAAAAAAGAAGCCAATCTTAAAAGGTCACATACTGTATGATTCCATTTATGTAACATTTCTAAAGTGACAAAATTATAGAGATGGAGAATAAATTAGTGGTTGCCAGGAGCTAGGGATGGTGTGAGAGAGGGGGAGTGGGTGTGACGCTACAGTCATAAGGGAAATCACTGTGGTGATAAAATAGTTATCTACTCATGATAAAATGACACAGAATTATACAATTGTACCAATGTCAATTTCCTGGTTTTTCTACTGTACTACAGCTGTGTAAGATGTAGCCATTGGGAGAAACTGGGTAAAGAACACAGGGGACTGTTCTGTACTGTCTTTACAGCTTCCTATAAATCTGTATTATTTTAAGATAAATGCATTTTTAAAAGTCAGCTGATACTCGGGAGGCTGAGGCAGGAGAATCGCTTGAACCCAGGAGGTGGAGGTTGCAGGGAACCGGGATCGTGCCACTGCATTCCAGCCTGGGCAACAGAGCAAGACTCCATCTCAAAAAAAAAAAAAAAAAAAAAAGTCATCTGAATATCTGAAATAATCATACCTCAAATAATCTACCTGAAATAAATGGTATAGAAGGGTAATACATTACCTACAATGGTACTTTTCTCCTAGCTTTAAATTTTAATTTAGTATTTCCAAATAGAAACCTAAGTTGTTAAATTCTTCTCTACCTATACATATACACTAAAACAGAATGAATGTATATACCTAATTTGAGTTGTCTCTCTAATCACAAACATCCCATAAACTAAATGAGAACATTTTGGTTTAAAATATCCAATGCTGCACATAAGCCAGGCAAGAGAAAAGTAAATAATCTCAATGAAAAAGTACTATATATTTTCCTTAGTCATGCCAGAAATGAACTCAGACAAAAAAAAATTCAGTTTCCAAGACACATACCATATGAATGTTATAGGGTCTCATCATCCTTCATTAGGATGACTAGCCATACTGAAAAACTTGGTATCTTCCTTCAAAAGCCATGGCAGACAGGATAGCACCATGTATGAAATAATAGGCTCAATAACCTATAAACAGGTTTCCAGATACTGTTCAAAATGACATTGAAACTTTTTTCTAGTAGAACTTTTCAATAAATGTCCTGCCTTATGTTTTAAGGATAATATCTAATTTCTAAAACTATGTGTTTTTTTCTGTTTAAATTTCATCTATTCAGATCTAAATATCAGTGCTTTCTACCACTGTCACATTGAGGTGTTGGTAGCATTATCCTCAATTCAGGGGCTATCGTGAAATTTTAAGCAGAATTGTATGTCATTACTTACTGTTTCCTCTCTCCTGACAGGCTACAGATGATATCTTAAGCAATCTCTATCTCAATTTTTAAAAACTGCTTACTTACAAAGAGAGAGACACATGTCCTAACAAAAGTGAAGTTCAAATTTTTTGGTCTGCCTAGAATCTAAACCCTCTTCCTGATGGGACAACAAGAGGGAAGATACTCTTTACAAGTTTTGTTGGTGGTAGAACCAGCCTTCTGTTTTAGGAGCACCAAACACCAAATAATTATTTCCAAACCTCTCAGACATAAGATGTGGGCATCTGATCTTGCCTAAAACTAGACTTTGAACAGGGAGCTAGGAACACAAAAGTATTAGGATTTCAGAGATGCTACTCTGGTAGTGGAAATAGTAGTCAAATCGAATTTCCAAGCATCCAGAAATGCAATCATGGATCCAGAAGTGTCCTCAGAGTTCTGTGGAATAGTTGTTGGCTGGGACCCTGACCACTGCTCATTTTCCATTATTTCTCCTCATTTCCCAGTCTTGGTTTTACAGCCTCCCCAGCTGTTGTAAACTATCCAATATCCTTCACTAAACAGACCATTGCTCTAATCAACCAGACCTTGTTTCTATTACCTGCAACTAAGTCTAATATACAAAGTACTACAATCTGTCCAGGCGATTCCAATGTGTAGTCATGGTTGAAAACCTCTAACTTAAGTCAGTGTTATTCACCTGTAGTCTACATTGCCTCTATATCAAGCCATATAAGGTATTTAAAATGCAGATTATATTGGGAGACCAAGGCGGGAGGATCACTTGGACCCAGAGGTTTGAGACCAGCCTGGGCAGTATAGTGAGACCCTGTCTCTACAAAAATACAAAATTTAGCCAGGCATGGTGGCACATGCCTGTAGTCCCAGCTACTCGGGAGGCTGAGACAGAGGGATCACTTGAGCCCAGAAGGTCGAGGCTGCAGTGAGCCCATGACTGCGCCACTGCACTCCAGCCTGGGCAACAGAGTGACACCCTGTCTCAAAAAGCAACAAATAAACAAAAAAAATTATAGGCAACACCTACTAAATCAAACTCTCTAGATGTACAGCATATAAATGTGCACTTTAGCAATCAAAGAATATAAACAGCCAACAGAACGAGTTGTGAAAGAACATTATTCATTTTAGACAAGTATCACTAGATGCAAAATTTGAACAAATTAAGTCACCACAAATGTGAATACTAAAATTACTTAGGAAGGGAGAAGGCTATTTTGAAATTAGATGACTAATTCATAGCAGAAAGCCAAATACAAGTTCTCATTAAAATAATTACCAAAGCCAAAACTTACCTTCCCTCCAGCTTGGCCCCGAACTGCAAAACAAAATAACGTTGATTCTTCTGCATTTCCTTCCATCTTAAACTGTGCAAAGCTAGCTGCATGTCCTTCAATGGGCTGAGACACTTTCCTATCTACAGAATATAGCTGCATAGCTCCCACCACACGATTTTGCTATAAAGGATCAAAGAGAATAACGTTTGAAGACCCATAAATCAAAAACTCTCAGATTCATCAAGTAATGAAATAATTAGAATGCTTTGTCATCTTTAGCAGGATTTATAATTATTTGTCACTTCATCTCTCACTGTAGATTTGATACTTCTTAACTTAAAATCAGCCCCAAACATTATCTTGTTAAAGCCTAACATAAATGTTTAAAATATGCCTCATATACGTCTTAAACAAAAAGGTATAGAAGCATTCATTCTGCAGTAAATACTCCATAATAAATCCCAAATCATTCTTACAGAAACTCAATTTCTACTCAATCTCCACAGAAGAGCTAAAAACGCTTGGTAAGAGCATTCTGAAATTATATGTCAGTATAGCAAGGGAGCGAGGAAGAAGAGAAGGGAGGGAGGAAGGAGAAGAGAAGGGATGGGAGGAAGGAAAAAAAAAGTCTTCCAAAATAAGTGAAATTCAACAGGATTGAGTATAGAAAGACCTAATTTCAAAATCAAACTGCATTCTGGGCACAACCGTGTTCTAAACCTCTTCTTCATAAAAAAATAGTTAAAATGTTACCTGTGCAGATATACCAGTCAGAAGTAACCACTTTTGTTTTGCATCTGTACGGTAATTGATAATCTGGCACCCTGCAAGGCTAGAATGGCGATCAAACATTTTCACTGGCTGAGACTCTCCTTCCATACTCCAGTGATAAACTGCATTATCCGTAACAAGAGCAACCGTATTCAAAGAGATCCATTTCCAAAAGGTGACATCATCAGTCATGGTATGAGCCTTCATTTTACTTTTCATTTCAATGTTAAAAATCTGAAGAGTTTTCCCAGCTAAAAACAAAATCAAGAATTATAAATCATTAAAAGAGTAAAGTTTAGAATGAATACCTACCTAGACTAGCTCTGTCACTTCCAAACAAAAATAGTTCTATTACGAGACGAGTTGCATCGATACAGCAGCAACCATTAAAGAGGTAACAGCTAAGACTAAGCAAACAATCTACATCTACGTTTTAAGCAAAAACTACATTACCTCTAATAAACACACTTTAAACAGATAGTATGACTTCCATGGAATTCTAAATCCCAACTGAAAATAAGCCTAATGAATAGTTTTCTTAACAATAATTGAAAACAAAGCTGTCACCTTCATACTTGTAATTAAGTATGTTTACTTTACACATAAACTTAGTTGCATGTACACAAGACAAAGCAACTCTGATAACAAACACATGGGGGAAAGAAAATGTATTTTTTTAAAGGCAGTCATCTCTCATCTAAATAAATCTTGTGGAAACTGCTTTTTAAAAAGAGGATCTGCTTCAATTCTGTCTTGTTGCCACTAGCACGTAAGAGAAGTGCCTGCTACATTTAACCGGCTTAAGATAACAAAGGGAAGGTAGAGGTGCTGGAGGAAAGGAGAGGGAGACAAAGGAAGAGGATAGTTTCAGATGCTGTTAATATACTGGAGATAAGAACAAAGTGCAAGCTTCATCCAATTAAGAAAGCAAGCATTTAGTTAAAAAAGGATGAAATTTGCCTTGAGTGTTAAGAGTCCACTGAGTCAGATGCAAAGGCTTGTACTTGTAGTTTGAAATCCATCAGTTCAAAATGTGATTTGGTATAAATTAATAGAGGCCAAAGCCTACAACTATCACTAGGCTATCAAGATTAGTCTTTAAAGACTAAGAAAAACACCATTCCTGAGACACAGAGAATCTGGCTCCTGAAGGACCAAAATTTTAAGATTCGGGTGCTGGGGGGACAAAGAAGGGGGGCAAAACATACAGCTTTGTACTACAACCCTCCGTAACACATGTGCAAAAATTTCTTTCATAAAATGAAGAATGTTATTCCCATCCCACACAGTATGTAAACCACAACCAGACTTGAAAAATTGTGAGAGTTACAGTCCTGTTTATAAAAAGAAGCCAAGGGGTTCAAAACTGGCTTCAGAGGGAAGCAGTATTTTGGAATGACTTACTTTCCTTTGCTGCCTTCCTCAACTCCCAGATTATTAGGGGTTGGAATATATACATAAGTGGGGTGGTCTTGGGGAGGGGGACAAGGGATGACAGCTTGACTCCATAGTGCAGACATATAGGGACAAATCTATGATGTTATTGTACAATGCTCCGAAAATCTTTTCAATTTATTCTTTTTATAGAACAGGACAATAACTAATACAATCTAATTTAAGATAACTCACCATCTGCACACATAAGAAAGCATTAAGAAATGTGATAAGATAACAATAACATTAAAAATAGAAAAGAATTTTGGCAAAATTAAAATGATGGCCTTTTAATAGAGAGGCATGGGAATTGCTAAGGACCTGAATTTAAATTCTTTAAAGAGTCTGAAGGAAGCTTAATACCCTAAATAGAAGTAATAGAAGTAAAACACTTACTGTCACAAAACATCTGGTCCTATGTGAAAGCTGGACCATTTTTCCTCGAGATGAGATGAGTTTCTATCTTAGATATGTGATAGTGACTTATTTGTTTGAATATCCTAGTCCTACCCAACCCTATTCACTCTCCAACTAGTATTATTACTATATACAAAGTTTAAATCATGTAAAGAAAAGTCAAAGTTCAGCACCTCTAATAACTTAGTCACAAATTTATCAACAAATTACTGCGAACTTGAACTCTTCTTTCTTCTATCAAAATGAAAAACAAAGCAGGCAATCGAATGCCTTTTTAAGAGTCAGTTTGTCACCGAGCCCTCTTAAAAACATCTGTTTTAAAGGGTCAATTAGTCTCATTCTAAAGTTCAAAGGAATACAGCTTCCGTGACAGTCTAAGAGTCTTTGAACTCTGTTTAGACTTAAGCTGCACAGTTCCCTTGTTGGGACAATTAAAAAGTTAGTCTGAATAAACTCAAATACCCTTCACTCAAGAGCTTTAATATCCACCTAAATACAAACACACTTTAAACAATTACTGTAAATTCAAGCCATTTCTAGAACCCAATAATCTAAGTGAAACACAAGCCCGAAGTATAAAAAAAAAAGCACAGAATCAAAGGCAAGTTTATCATCATAACAAAATTCTGCAATGTTTAGGTGCTAATATTAGTAAAGTATGTTCTATTCCAGAATATGAATCACTAATTTCTTTCCTCTGTAGAGAGATATGTTTAGCACAGTTTTATACCAGATACAAAATTTAAATGCATTTATTCTAAAACTTAAAATTATTCTAAGTAGATATATGTTAAGACATTCCACAGATACATTCCAAGTAAAAGTAATTAAAGTGGTTTAAATCAAGTTCGGTATTAGCAGATCTATTTTCTTTAACCAAACTTAATCAATATACTTAAAAAGGTAAACCCTAGTTATTGTACTTGCATAAATACATAGGAAGAGCTGGCTGGGCGTGGTGGCTCACGCCTGTAATCTCAGCACTCTGGGAGGCCGAGGCAGGCGGATCATGAGGTTAGGAGTTCGAGACCAGCCTGGCCAACATAGTGAAACCCCATCTCTACTAAAAATACAAAAAAACTAGCTGGTTGTGGTGGCAGGCACCTGTAATTCCAGCAACTCGGGAGGCTGAGGCAAGAGAATCGCTTGAACCTGGGGGGTGGAGATTGCAGTGAGCCAAGATCGTGCCATTGCACTCCAGCCTGGGTGACAAGAGTAAAACTCCGTCTCAAAAACAAACAAACAAACAAAAAAAAAACAAAAAAAAACAAAAACATAGGAAGAGTTTTAAGGAAAACCCACATTCTTTTATACCTTTCAGTGCAATTACTTTGCTAGCTGGATTCATGATGGCGCTGTCTGCTGAAATTGGTCTTCGAATTGGATTACTTGGGTCATTCATATCAATGATTACCACCTGGGCCTGCTCTCCTACTTTTTCTCTAATGCAGATGAATTTGTCAGACTCCATAGTCAGGGTACTGAAGCCAATGTTTGCTGGGTTGATACCCAGGTTCTGGAGCTAGAAAAAATAATAAGAAACCATGTTACCAAGTGGATTCCAAAGACTTGACATTCATATATGCTCATCAACACAAATCCTCACTTAACATTAATGCTTCAAGGTCACAATAACATCTACATTATGTTAATTAAAGAGAGACTATTAATAGCCAAGTATTGGACCTTCTCTTCTTCAAACAAACATGCCATTCAACTGTTTCAAATAAGAGGCAGAACAAATACAGATGAAGTTAAAGGAAAGAGCAACATCTGCAAGGTAGCATGCATGGTTCAAGGGATTTGAGGTAATTGAGTTTCTTGATTTATTTTAAGACCTTGGAACTATTGGACCAGTCCTCTCTCACCCCCCTTAACATGTAGCAGTTATTTGTTCACGCTTCAAGAAGCTGAAAAATTAAGTTACAAGCATAAAAAGATCTAAAATGTCACAGAATTCTTGATCTAAATAAAGGAACTTGAATAGCAAGAGCAAACAAGTTCTAATTCTGTGCAAAAAGTGCCAAAACAAAGATATGTAAGAGGGATCTTGTCAAAGGCTACACAGCTAAAGCAATGTGTTCAAAGGAGGCAGGCGAGAGAATTCTCAACAGAAAGAGCATGTGGTAAAGCACAGAGACGTAAAAGTGTGGTTGGCTAAGGGAACTACAAGTACTTTTGTAACACTATAGGATTGAGGGAGTACACAATTAAGGTTAGAGAAATGAGCAAGGGCCAGACCAACAAGCTAAACATACCTCAGTAAGAATCCTGAGTTTATTCTACAGGCGAAGGGAGCTACTTAAGGATTTTAACAAGGAAAATAATGGAATTAGATTTGCTTTGTGTACTCAGAAAATACTAAAGTATCTGCTAAACAAATATAGTGGATCTAAAGATGGTAGGTCTTTGCAAACCAATTAAGTATGTAAGAACAAAAGTCACTTGTTACTAGGAAGAAATCTCTACCATAGTGGGTTATTAATACTCTGGGTGACTAACTATGTTGTAACAGATTAAGTCCTACTAAAAGAAGCTACATGGAGGCTTTATTTTATTAGCCTTGGCCAGACTAGTTTTATCCCCCTTTCCTCCAAAGGTAATATAATAAATTCGCATGGTACAAAATACACACACACACACACACACACACACACACACACACCCCAGAAAAGAAAAAGCATGGAAAAAAAAAAATCAAGTCTTTCTGTCACCCTTGTCCTCTAGCAATACAGTTTTCCTCCACAAACACCACCACTGTCACTATTATCTTATGGACTAAACCAGCCAAGTTAACTGTATTTTATTTAAATTCTCTTCTGAAACTCTTCTGCTAATAGTGCTTAAACATAACCAGGCCAGGCTCTGAATAAGATATAACATAAGACTACAAGGCTACATTTTACTTTCTCTTCACTCTTCTATCTCAATTACTACTGGTATTAAGTTATTAATGTTATAACTCAGTTATAAAGTGTAGTTACAGTAACTCAGTCACTGAATATAGGGGCAAGAAGTCAAACAACTCTCTAACCATTAATACAAACATCGTAATAAAGTAGATTAACCTGCTTTACAAGCTCAAGTATATGCTGTAATGCAAGGCAAATACACTAGCTTTAAAGTATGTAACTTATAATGTATTTAGTTATAGTAAAGCCTTATAAACCATTAATTTTAACTTCTTCCTGACTTTAACTTTTCTTTTGAGACAGGATCTCACATCTATTTTTCTGAGTAGAGGGTCCTTAGACTCCTTAAGTTTAATTGATAATTATCCTTTCCGATAATTGGAGAAAACATTCCAGTGGGCTCATAAAGTTCATAGAGCTATATACCTAAAAGCAGTAAGTTATGCTGTAAGAATCCTAAGCTACCCTGTAAGAATTCTATGTTTCTAAGTCTCTACCAAGCCTTCATCTAAGGCACTGAGTTTCACCTGTCACAGCTTAAGTCCCACAGTGTTTGAGGAAGTCGGAGTAAAAATAGTGTTAGTCAAATAGTGAAATTAAATTCAAAACCACAAAAGGAAGCAAACCACAGACACTACTAACTGAACCCCAAGTGATTCTAACAGATTCCTTCCTACTTCTCAACTTCAGAGGCAGGTGGAAGATGACTTTAAGAAAACACTATCAGAAAACAATGAGGAGGAAAAAGGAAAGTCAAAAACCTGTGTTTCCAATTCCTTGTTAGATCCCCAGAAAAAAAGCAGTAAGAAAAACACGCTGCATCAGTTAGCAATGACCTTCAGCCTCAGGGTATTTTACTTGTAAAAAAAAAAAAAAAAAAAAAAAACAACAAAGATTTGGCCTGGCACCTTGGTTCACACCTATAATCCCAGCACTTTGGGAGGCTGAGATGAGAGGATCACTTGAGCCCAGGAGTTTGATACCAGCCTGGGCAACATAATGAGACCCCATCTCTGCAAAAACTTTAAAAAATAAGGTAAATAAAAGATCTGGCTTTAAAGTGACAGAACTGCCTGCAACCCTAATCTATGTAATCCTTATATTACTTTCTCATTAAACATATGCTACCAAGAGAGCTATGCATATATATCTTTGATCTCCTTCAGGAATGTATTGGTACTAATCAAAATAGTCCATGTGGAATAGATATACTTTATTTAAAAAATGCAAAATTAAACAGGAGGCAAGTGACAAACTCTTTTTTTTTTTTTTTTTTTTTTTTGAGATGGAGTCTTGCTCTGTCGCCAGCCAGGCTGGAGTACAGTGGCTCGATCTCAGCTCACTACAACCTCTGCCTCCTAGGTTCAAGTGATTCTCCTGCCTCAGCCTCCCGAGTAGCTGGGACTACAGGAGTGCGCCAACATGCCCGGCTAATTTTTTGTATTTTAGTAGAAATGGAGTTTCACCATGTTGGCCAGGATGGTCTCGATCTCCTGACCTCATGGTCCACCTGCCTCAGCCTCAGTCTAGACAAGTCAGTCAGCCTCAGTCTAGACAAGAACAGAAAAGTAGCCTGTAACCTGTAATTCCTTCTTTTCCTCTCTCCCTCAGCCTCTACTAGTGAATGTAGTGTTATTCTACTACGAATGCAGTTATTAGAACAACAGTGATATGGGTTACTTCCCTAGGATTTATGTCCCAGTTTGAGTTAAAACACCAGCAAACATGAACATAATTCTGAAGTTGCAAGTTTTTTGTTTTTTTTTTTGAAACCGAGTCTCGCTCTGTCACCAGGCTGGAATGCAGTGGCATGATCTCGGCTTACTGCAACCTCTACCTCCCCAGTTCAAGCAATTCTCCTGCCTCAGCCTCCCAAGTAGCTGGGACTACAGGCGTGCACCACCACGTCCAGCTAATTTTTGTATTTTTAGTACAGATGGGGTTTGACCACGTTGGCCAGAATGGTCTCGATCTCTTGACCTCATGTTCCGTCCGCCTTGGCCTCCCAAAGTGCTGGGAATACAGGCATGAGCCACGGCGTCCAGCCGTGTCAAATTCTTAATAATGGCACATGTTTAAACATATTAAAAAAGCACACTTAAGTGGTGGTCATTTACACAACTGAACAGGACCCTGCTCCTTCCTATATAGCCTTCCTAATTGTGAGGAAAAAAAGACAGGAACTTCGGCTGGGCGTGGTGGCTCATGCCTGTAATCCCAGCACTTTGGGAGGCCAAGGGGGCGTGGATCACGAGGTCAGGAGATCGAGATCATCCTGGCTAACACAGTGAAACCCCGTTTCTACTAAAAATACAAAATATTAGCCGGGCCCATGGTGGCACACGCCTGTAGTCCCAGCTACTCCAGAGGCTGAGGCAGGAGAATCGCTTGTACCCGGGAGGCGGAGGTTGCAGTGAGCCAAGACCGCCCTACTGCACTCCAGCCTGAGTGACAGAGCAAGACTTTGGCAAAAAAAAAAAAAAGAACTTCAAGTGACCGTATTGGCTAAGAGAAGGTTAAATTTGCTTCCACCTCTTCAAATAAGGTAGGTAAGATTGTTTTCCTTACTGATGTTCCTTTTGAGTGAGAATGTCTAGAACACTCAGCAATTCTTCCCATATTTTCCTGTTATATACTCAAAAGAGAAATATGCCAAAGCACACAATAATAGGACAAGTCACTCTTATTAACTGCAAGTCTGGTTTAGGTATACCCTTACAGTAGGAGCATGTAACAGGGTGGCCAAACTATATAACTATGTCTAGTAATATCAATATAGATTAAAACTTTTAAAATGCAACATATTTTTAAACAGGTTTTATTTTCAAAACAGCACATAGTAACCATAAAGTATTCTCAGTCAGTTATAAAGGTGTGATGGCATATAAGCTATACCACAGAAACTGAATTGTATTTTTATTCTTTATTTATTGAGACAGGGTCTTGCCCTGTTGCCCAGGCTGGAGTGCAGTGGTACCACTGCAGCCTCGACCTCCCAGGCTCAAGTGATCTTCCTACCTCAGCCTCCTCAGTACCTGAGACTACAGGCGCCACCATGCCTGGCTAATTTTTTTTTTTTTTTAAGAGACAGGTTCTCCCTATGTTACCCAGGCTGGTCTCGAACTCCTGGGCTCAAGTAATCCTCCCAGCTCGACCTCCCAGTGTTGGGATTACAGGTATGAACCACTGTACCCAGCCATAAACTGAATTATACACTATGGAACTAAGCATGGATAAAGTCAAAGGACATATACAACATTCTCTATAAACTTGCAGGTATTTTCAGAGGACATATCTGAAATACATGTAATATATCTGGATACATGTATCCAAACTACAGCTACATTTTATTATCCTCTCAATCTGCAAAATGCCATTAGTGTTGAAGCTGGAGATATCCTATTTTAACATATGCTTGGAAATTCCTATGATAAAGTTTTTTTTAACTTAAAAGAATTTTTATTTTGCTGTTATAAGAATATGGAGTCAATAAACTGGGTCCAAAAAAAGGGGCTTGTTTTTTTGAATAGTTATCACGTGCATACAGTAAAGCACTAAAATCTTACAAAAGGTTATACTATGAAAAGTCACCCACCCCGTCTTTCCAGTAATACCCTTCTCCCCTAAGCAATTAGAGATACTTTTGCATTTCAGAGTTATCCTGTAGCATATGAAAGTATGTATTTCCTCCGCCCTTTTCCAACAGAATGGCACAAGACACAAAAGTATACAAATAAACTGCTTCCTTGTTTTTACAGAAAAGCACCCAAACTTTGTAACTCATTTGGTTTCCAGATTCGATTTTGGTCTGCAAGTGGCACTACTTTAGGACTTGACACCTAAACCTGGATCTAAAAAGGCAATTAAACAAATTTATTCCCTATTTATTCTTTAAAACTCTGAAGTACCCTGGAGTTACATGTTACAAATGATTTTAAAATGCATCTCCTTCCTTCTCCATTCCAACTTCTATTAACAGGGGGAGGTGGGGAGTAAAAGGTAGGATTCTGTTTTTATAATGAGAAAATAGTACTTCGGCTTCCCCATAATCTAGAGCAGGGATCCCGAACCACAGGCCGCAGACCAGTATTCCGTTAGCAACTGGGCCACACAGAAGAAGGTGAGCAGCCAATGAGCAGTCATCACCGCCTGAGCTCTACCTCCTGTCATTTCAGCCACGGCATTAGATTCTCATAGGCACGCGAACCCTATTGTGAACTGTGCAAGCGAGGGATCTAGGTTGCTCACTCCTTATGAGAATCTAACGAATGCCTTGTGATCTGAGGTGAAACAATTTCATCTGAGACCATCCCACCCCCACTCCCACCCCCAACCGGTGGAAAAATTTTCTTCCACAAAACTGGTCCCTGGTGCCGCCAAAAAGGTTGTGGACCACTGATCTAGAGAACACAGGCTGTGTTTATGTTTTCTCATATGAAACATTTGAGATGACAGTATCTATCTCAGAGGTGTGAAGATTTAATGTGAATGCAAAGAACAATGCCTGACATCTAACAGCTCAACAGATATTGCCTTCTGTTTTTTTTTAAGAGACAGGGTCTTGCTCTGTCACCCAAGCTGGAGTGCAAGAGATAGGGTCTTGCTCTGTCACCCAAGCTGGAGTGCAGTGATGTGATCACAGCTCACTGTATCCTTAAACTCCTGGGATCAAGCAACCCAGAGCTCACTGATATTAACTATTAATACATACAACATATCAGTACTTTAAGCCAGCTCAAGGTTAGCTTTTTTGCATTTGCATTTTATTATCTGCTTAATTCAGCTGTCCATAGGTTGGCTGAAACTCTGGGTGTGAATTTCTTTCAACTACTGATACTAGATTAGTGGTCTCTGGGTGCTTAACTGCCTCAGACACTATGAAATGCCTTTTTTTTTTTAAAGTTTGTTTTTGTTGGGGAAGTGAGGAGAAAAGGAAATTACACTTTAGGACTTCCAATTCTTTTTTTTCTCATACAGGGTCTTGCTCTGTGGCCCAGGGTGGAATTCAGTGGCACAATCATGGGTCACTGCAGCTTCAACCTCCTGGGCTGCTTAATTCAGCTGTCCATAGGTTGGCTGAAACTCTGGGTGTGAATTTCTTTTAACTACTGATAATAGATTAGCCTTCCAAATAGATGGTACCACCCATACGCCACCATGCCCAGCTAATTTTTTTTTTTTTTTTTTGTAGAGATAGGCAGCACTTTGTTTCCCAGTCTGGTCTCCAACTCCTGGGCTTAAGGGATCCTCCCACCTCAGCCTCCCAAAGTGCTGGGATTACAGGCATGAGTCACTGTACCCGGCTAAAAAAAAAATTTTTTTTTTTTTTTTAAGAAACTTCAGGCTGGGCACGGTGGCTCATGCCTGTAATCCCAGCACTTTGGGAGGCCGAGGCGGGCGGATCATGAGGTCAGGAGATTGAGACTATCCTGGCTAACACAGTGAAACCCCGTCTCTACTAAAAATACAAAAAATTAGCCAGGTGTGGTGACGGGCACCTGTAGTCCCAGCTACTCGGGAGGCTGAGGCAGGAGAATGGCGTGAACCCAGGAGGCGGAGCTTGCAGTGAGCCGAGATTGTGCCACTGCACTCCAGCCTGGGCGACAGAGCAAGACTCCGTCTCAAAAAAAAGAAAAGAAACTTCAGAGACATAACTGAAAGCAGTATGAGCTTTCTTGGATTCTGATTTAAACCAAACAACATTTAGGGACAATGAGGAAAATATGAATATGGACTGGTTTTCTGATATTGTTCTTAAATATCAGGGAGCTATAAATAATATTATGATTATAAGAAAATGTCCTGGCCAGGTACGGTGGCTCATTCCTGTAATTCCAGCACTTTGGGAGGCTAAGGTGGGTGGATTACCTGAGGTCAAGAGTTCAAGACCAGCCTGGCCAACATGGCAAAACCCCATCTCTACTAAAAATACAAAAAAAAAAAAAAAAAAAAAGAATTAGCCGGGCATGGTGGTGGGCACCTGTAATCCCAGCTACTCGGGAGACTGAGGCAGGAGAATCGCTTGAACCCGGGAGGCAGAGGCTGCAGTGAGCCAAGATCGTGCCATTGCACTCCAGCCTGGGCAACAAGAGTGAAACTCCATCTCAAAAAGAAAAAGAAAGAAAATGTCCTTATTTTCTAAAGATGCAAGCTGAAGTGTTTACAGGTAAAATATGATAGCCTGACTTTATTTAAAATGTTTAAGCAAAAGAAACAAATACAAGCAAATACAAGACTGGGTATGGTGGTTCACACCTGTAATCCCAGTGCTTTGGAGGTTGAGATGGGAGGATAGCTTGAGGCCAGGAGTTCGGTTCAAGACCAGCCTGGGCAACAAGGGAAGCAGAGGTTGCAGTGAGCTGAGATCGCGCCACCGCACTCCAGCCTGGGCGACAGAGCAAGACTCTGTCTCCAAAAAAATAAAAAATAAAAATAAAAAACACATCAGCAATGAGACTCAGAAATCTACGTTGAATGCTCATCAGTTTTTAATGGTTTAAACTTTGTTTTTCCTGTCTTGGTTTTAAAAATATACTCCATTTGATTGTAAATATGGAAAATGGAAAGGGAAAAAAAGTATCCATCCTTACTTGAGAGGGAGCAAAGCAGCATGCCTAGGTGCTCCATGAAAGGTTAAGGTGATTTAACACACATCAAGCACTTAGTGTGGGAGCACAGAGCACTCCATTATTTGATGAACTTCTAGTTCTGGGACTATGGTATTATGATATAGACTGTTTTTTTTTTTTTTGAGACGTAGTTTCGCTCTTGTTGCCCAGGCTGGAGTGCAATGGCACGATCTCGGCTCACAGCAACCTCCACCTCCCGGGTTCAAGCCATTCTCCTGCCTCAGCCTCCGGAGTAGCTCAGGCTGGTCTCGAACTCCCGACCTCAGGTGTCTGCCTGCCTCGGCCTCCCAAAGTGCTGGGATTACAGGCATGAGCCACCACGCCTGGCCGATATAGATTGTTCTTAAACAGACTGGTTTTAGCATCATGCTACTGTTATATACTCAAACCTTACCTGGGCCAATTCGCTTTGTTCACATGCTCCTAAAGACAGAATGGGGAAACCCTGATACATCAAGGAATCAGGAAACTTAATGGTGTTGTATGAGCATCTTAACAGAATATATTAGTGATCAAACTATGAAAATATTGTTAAGAGGACCAAAGAGGCCATGGTCCTATTAATATATTTAATTCAATACTATATACCTTAAGAAGGGCAGAAAATGCTAGCTTAAGACATACAACCAAATAAAACCATAATTTTTTCAAGGCCCAATTCTTAAACTATCTAAAGACAACTCTCCATTAGCACCAAGGCACACTCTCAGCAATCATTCATAATCTATCTGTTTGTGCCTACAGACGCCACATAATTAAAGGAGTAATAGGTTTGCTTTGAGCCTACTAATTTCAACCAGCAGTTCTCACATCTGATTAGTTAAGAATAAACTCATTGGAAATTGGCTTCTCTGTAAGTATACCTAAGGAGTTTGCTTCCTAATGAATCATAGATTTGTAGTATAACTCATTTACCAGCTTTATCAGCTGAAAATCAAACTACATGAAAACTGGTTTATGACAGCATTACTAAGGACTTATGTTTCACAATTATTGCTTGGCTTCACATTTTCCAGATCCTCCTTGTTTCATCTGAATAGGGAAAATGTAAAGGAAGTATGTATGAGCTACTGTTTTTCAGATGGAGCTATTTTCTGCAAATGAATCTTGTATCTTACCAAGGACTTTAGAAGTGTTACCACTGTAGAGTTAATAGGTCAACAATCTGAGAGACCTGCTGATACTTGTATGTCATTCTGATACCATTCATCTCTCAATACAAGCATTTTTAAGTCAGTACTTAAAGATTTGGTTAACTTCCTAACCCAAGTATTTCACTAAACATAATTTCCTTTAAAAGCTCCTAAACATCCTCTACCTTCTCTAGTATCAGTCGCGGTGAAAAAAGATGCTGACAGCAGTCACTTCATTGAGCCCTTCCTGGAAACTAGCAGAATGTCAAATAAAAACTGCAGTTGCTGTATTCTACAGGAAATAAGAAATGCTGAGAATGCAGCATTCCTTTAGTTCTTCCATCAACAGGATACCAACCACTGTTTTCTGTAGGCTCCACAGATTTCAAGCAACAAATAAAAATGCCTTTAACCCTTGCTGTCCCCACATTTAAACATATAGTTTTTTTCTACTCCATGTTAGCCTTTGAGAGAATCACTGGCTCTTAGAATTTTTGATTCTGGTCACAAACTCCAAATTTAAGCAATATATTCAGGAAGCAACCACAGTTGGAGAGAGGTTGTCAGACTATTATTAGCTTTGGTAAACTACCAGGAGACTCAAAGAATTTTTCCTACTTGTAATCAACTGCTGATTGGAAATTTTCAAAAACTTTATATTTAATGCATTCTTAAAAAATAAGCCAATAATTAGATGATATCAGATCAATTAGGCCAATGTTAACCAAGCTGCAGGGAAATACAGGAGTTTTTATGCCCCAAATCTTGGAGATGGATATGACTTACCAAGATTATGCCCCCCGTATAAATGCAATTCAGCAGCACAAAACAACCACAGCTACATTCAATGGCAGGGGTGAGAAGTTGTGCAGAATATATCCAAACCTACCAAATGGGCTTACTTTGAGGGTTCAAGGCCAGGCATAGTGGCTCATGCCTGTAATCCCAGCACTTTTGCAGGCCAAGGTGGGAGGACCTCTCGAGCCCAGGTGTTCAAGACCAGCCTGGGCAACATGGCGAGACCCTGTCCCTACAAAAAATAAAAAAACTGTCCAGGCGTGGTGGTGTGCACCTGTAGTTCTAGCTAGTTGGCAGGCTGAGGTGGGAAGATTGTTTGAGTCCAGGAGGCAGAGGCTGCAACAAGCTGTGACTGCACCCCTGCACTTCAGCCTGGGTGACAGAGCAAGACCCCATCTCAAAAAATATATATAATACTTATTGCTGACTTAGCATAAAGGATGTTATAAATGAATGTAACCAGGGAGACATTAAAGGCTTGGTTTCCTGATATGAATAAAACATCTGGACAGTCTCCTTAATATTCAAGTTATAAAGATCCTTGATAAACTTCATTCTATGACACAACTTCCCAGCGACTTCACAAAATGTACATTTAAGTGGGAGCCTAGTGTTACATTCTGTCAACCCCATCACTATTGTACATATTCATGTTATCTTTCTACCCTATACTGAGGGACCTGCCAGGAAATTAGACATTATGCTCTATCCCACATTATTCTAGTTAGATCAATCATTTAAGGCATACTCAGTCTACCAGGTGCTACAAGTTATAAGACTAGAACCATTTTATTTTACAATTGAGTCACTAGAGTATTTTTTTTTCTTTTTTTGAGATGGAGTCTCGCTCTGTCGCCCAGGCTGGAGTGCAATGGCATGATCTCAGCTCACCACAACCTCTGCCTCCCGGGTTCAAGCCATTCTCCTGCCTCAACCTCCTGAGTAGCTGGGACTACAGGCATGCACCACCACGCCCAGCTAATTTTTGTATTTTTTCAGTAGAGACGGGGTTTCACCATGTTGGCCAGGCTGGTCTCAAACTCCTGATCTCAAGTGATCCACCCACCTTGGCCTCCCAAAGTATTGGGATTACAGGAGTGAGCCACTGCACCCAGCCTGGAGTGTTTTCCTGTGAGCTTAAATGCCACAAATACTGTTTTCAAATGAGTGAATGAATTAACTAACAATCAGCATGAGGAGTTACAGATTATCTCAAAATGATTTAATATTAACAAATTCAGGGAGTTCAAAATGACATTAAAATGATTAAAATGACATTAAAATGATTAAAATGACAACCACCATGATTTGCTTTCAATTAATACATATTGAGCATCCATTATTTAGCAACTTAACACAAACTCAATATTTTAAGTACAATTTTTGTGTGAAACTGTCCCCTTTGCTTATTTTGTGCTAAGATTATAACTTTGTCATTACTAGTGAGGAAACAACCTATAGGAGAAAAAACAGGTTTTAGGCTCTCAGAGGCTCTTTGGGGGTTCAAATTGTGATTCATGTCTTCTAAAAACAAGTGAAGACACTTTCCATCTCAAAAACTATAGACACTGCTTCACTATCTAAAATTCAGGGTTAAAAAACTAGTATTACTTTGATTTTTTTGGTCAGGAAGAGGATGTGCCCTAGATGCTTATAGTTTTAGGGATTTTTTTGTTTGTTTTTGAGACAGAGTCTCGCTCTGTCGCATAGGCTGGCATGCAGTGGCGCAATCTCGGCTCACTGCAACCTCCGGCTCCTGGGTTCAAGCAATTCTTGTGCCTTGGCCTCCCGAGTTTGTTTTGTTTTTTTAAATTCATGGTATTACAACTTCTTCAGGCCTGTTCCAAACACTAAGCCCTTTTAATTTTGGTTCTTTCAAATTACAAAAGTTTTCTTTCATTGAAAAGAGCTTCCATTCCAATTATTTTGGTTTCTAAAAATCTTTTTTTTTTTTTTTTGAGATGGATTCTTGCTCTTTCGCCCAGGCTGGAGTGCAGTGGAGCTATCTTGGCTCACTGCAAGCTCCGCCTCCTGGGTTCACGCCATTCTGCTGCCTCAGCCTCCCGAGTAGCTGGGACTACAGGCACCCGCCACCGCGCCCAGCTAATTTTTTGTATTTTTAGTAGAGACGGGGTTTCACCGTGTTAGCCAGGATGGTCTCGATCTCCTGACCTCGTGATCCGCCCGCCTCACCCTCCCAAAGTGCTGGGATTACAGGCGTGAGCCACCACACCCAGCCCGGTTTCTAAAATTCTTAAATTTGTAACCTATTCTGTCACACACACAAACACACACACACCACTTTTACTTAATTCTGGGATTTACTTCTAAACTAAAATCTTTTTTTTTTTTTTTTGAGATAGGGTCTCACTCTGTCCGCCAGGTTTGAGTGCAGTGGCATGACTTCAGCCTACTGCAACCTCCACTTCCCAGGCTCAGGTGATCCATCCACCTCAGCCTCCCAAGTAGATGGGACTACAGGCGCATGCCACCACACCTGGCTAATTTTTTATTTTTTGTAGAGATAGGGTTTTGCCATGCTGTCCAGGCTAGTCTCGAATGCCTGGGTTGAAGCAATCCACCTACTCTGGCCTCCCAAAGTGATGGGGTTACAGGCGTGAGCCACTGCACCCAGCCTAAATTCAAAATCTTTTTAAAAAATCTTGTTACTCCTTCCACATTGCTGATTCATTCCACAGAGTATGAATTCCAGTTCTGCTCTTAACTGATTTCAGAACCAATTGTTTATGTATGTTTTCTGTTATTACATCCCATTATCTCCATAGGTCTTTCTGTTCCTTTTACATCAACTTTTGCTGCATGCCACAGATGATGTCAACAATTTTCTAAAGTTTTCTTTGCAGAAAAAAATTTCTAGTATTTCTTCAGATCTCTCCCTAGCTCTGTAGTTTTCCCAATAATCATATACTTAAAAAATGCCTGAGCAGCTACTGTGTGCCAGACACTACACTAATGCAGAGAGTTCTACAGCAAATGAGACACTCCCACTCAGTATACGTAACAGGTACACAGCAATTACAAAAATGCCATGAAGTTACAGGGATGTATGCCTAGCACAGATACATGTAGGGGTATATGCAGTGTCTCAGAAGAAACGGAAACAATCTGAAACAGGATACACAATATAAGGGAGGGCAGGGCTACAGAGTTTGGGAGCAGACACACAGAATTAAAAATACCATATAGGCCCAAATAAGGTACTTATTTTCCCAATTAGACGAATCATCCCAACACCCCAAAAAGCTGTCAGAAGATGTGAAGAAAATGGAACTCTCATATATTTCTAGTGGGCATGTCAAATGGTGCCACCACTGTGGAAAACGGTTTCGTGGTCTCTCAAAAAGTTGAAACAGAGAAATTACCATATGACCCAGCAATTCCACTTCTAAGTATATATCTAGAAGAACTGACAACAGGCATTCAAACAAAAACTTGTACATGAATGTTTGCAACACCACTAGTCACAATAGCCAAAAGGTAGAAAGAACCCAAATGTCCACCAACTGATGAAAGGACAAATAAAACACTGATATATCCATTCAGCAAAGTATTATTCAGTCATAAAGGAATGAAGTCTGATATATGCTATAACATGGATGCTTAGTGAAAGAAGTTAGAAACAAACGGTCCTTTATTGTATAATTCCATTTATGTGAAATATCCAGAACAGGTAAATCCATAGAGACAAAAAGCAAATTAGCAGTTGCTAGCGGATGGGAGGAGGGGGATGGGAGAGGGACTGCTTCACGTGTATGGGGTCTCCTTTTGGGGAGATGAAAATGTCTTGGAACTAGATACAGGTGTTGGCTGCACGACACTGTGAATGCACTAAATACCACTAAATTGTTCACTTTAAAATGGTTAATTTTGTTATGTGAGTTTTATCGCAATTGAAAAAGTTTTGATCCCTTTTCATTATAAACTCTTAGGGATTAGATATATTTAATGTACAATTCAACTAGTCATTTTGCTTACTTTACAGACATTTAAAATTATAAAATTAGGCCAGGCACAGTGGCTCCTGCCTGTAATCCCAGCACTTTGGGAGGCCGAGGCAGGCAGATTGCTTGGGCTCAGGAGTTCGAGGCCAGCCTGGGCAACATGGCCAAAGCCCATTTCTACAAAAAAATACAAAAATTGGCTGGGTGTGGTGGCACACGCCTGTAGTCCTAGCTACTTGGGAGGCTGAGGTGAGAGGATGGCTGGAGCCTGGGAAGTTGAGGCTGTGGTAAGCCATGATCTCGCCACTGTACTCCACTTGAGACAGAGCAAGACCCTGTCTCAAAAAACAAAACACACAAAATTATATTTAAACTCTGCATATGCATTTTTGACATCAGCACTGGAAAGTCATCTCCATTTCACAATGCTTTTCAAAAATCCATTACAGAGCAATCATAATGGTGCAGTTTTGTAACATCAAATCTATTTGCGTTATCAGGAGAGTTGTTTTTCTCTTATCTTTCTATGTAAATTATGATCTCTAGGCTGGGTGTGGTGGCTCATGCCTGTAATCCCAGCACTTTGGGAGGCCAAAGCAGGCGGATCACAAGGTCAGGAGTTCAACACCAACCTGGACAACATGGTGAAATCCCATCTGTACTAAAATTACAAAAATCAGCCAGGCATGGTGGCGGGCACCTGTAATCCCAGCTACTTGGGAGGCTTAGGCAGAAGAACCGCTTGAACCCGGGAGGCAGAAGTTGCAGTGAGCCAAGATCATGCCACTGTACTCCAGCCTGGGCGACAGAGCAAGACTCCATCTCAAAAAAAAAAAAAAAAAAAATTATGATCTCTAGAAACATGCCCGAATGGACTGCTTTTCACGGGATATTTAAATCATCTGCTTATAACATCCAACAGTTCCAACTGTGAGGCCATACACAGGAGAATTTTAGATGTGTAAAATTTGTCTCTCACTAATCCAGTTGATTTCAAGCCTACAGCAGCCTTTGCCAAACAGCATTCTGGTGCTCAGAACAGAAGCAACTGTGAGAGGACACAATACTATGGAGATTCAGTAAGGCTTTTAATAAGGAGACTCTTTCCTGAGGATATCTGTGGTAAAATAAAGAAACCTGCCTTAGATTTTCATAGTTCAATATGACCAAATATAGAATATTGCAGAGACTGGAGAAAGAGATGGGTTTTTGTAAACCATGTTCTCTCTACACGTTTTTCCCCCTTATTATTCATCTTTAAATAATGAGATCTATCCAAAGTCAGCTGTTTGCCAAGCAGAGCATATATACTGACAGTCTTTAGCTTCAGTCTGTCCACTTTGGTGGTTTTTTTTAAGCCACCTTTCTCAGATGAGCAGCTAATCAGAAATAAATGCAAGTTGGCCAGGCACGATGGCTCACGCCTGTAATCCCAGCACTTTGGGAAGCTGAGGAGGGTAGATTATTTGAGGTCAGGAGTTTGAGACCAGCCTGGCCAACATGGTGAAACCCCATCTCTACTAAAAATACAAAAAAAATTCGCCAGGCCTGGTGGCGGGCCCCTGTAGTCCCAGCTACTCAGGAGGCTGAGGCAGGAGAATTGCTTGAACCTGGGAGGCGGAAGTTGCAGTGAACCAAGATTGCACCACCGTACTCCAGCCTGGGCAACAGAGTCAACTCCCAATCCAATTCTCGTTTTTTCGTCTTCTATGACTCCCAGTTTCAACCTAGGGTCATGAAAAACTGTCATCCCTGAGACCCCCAGTGTGCATCACTGAGGAACTCCAGAAATCGACGGATGCAGAAAATGAGAAATTAGAGAGTCTGGTGTAACTTCAAGATCTTGGCTTCAATAACTGGGTAGATGGTAGTTTTTCTCCTTTAGTACGGCACATATATTCAACTCAAGTGGACAAAGGGAAACTCTTCCAGGGTGGAGGGGAAGAACTAATATTCGAGTGCCTGTAAGGGGTTAAGGGGCTAAATATTATACTACAAATACAAAAACATACTGTAGTCTAACTTTAAAATTGCCAGGAAATATTGTTTTAATAAATGAGGAAGTTGAGACAAGTTGAAAACCTGACATAATCAATAGATAAGCCCAGATTAAACATCTGAGACATTTTCCAGAATAGCACACTGCAGAGTTTTTTAATGTGACAAAATATGGCTTTAATGGATCTGGTTCCTATTCTTTCAGCAATAATCTTTAAAACCGTCTTACTTCAGAACTTGAAGAAAATCCTTATTTACCTAAGGATTAGGAACAAGAAGTATTAACAGTACTGGCAGTCTGCCTCCAAAGCACAACCCTACAAGTCTGTAACCATTTTCCTTTCTACCATGATGCTACTCAAAATGAGCAAATATATTCCATTGTCACCTTCATTTCCTATCCCTTTCATGCACAACTGCCTTCGTTGAGTTCAAGCTTCTATTTCTTGGCATAAACACAAAAACATGAATTTACAGTAAAATAGAAAGCAGAAGTTTCCTCCTTTCACAAGTGGCTTCAGACTGGAACACACTCATTCTTTTCAGTAAGAAAAAGTCTATAGAAAAGTGTGACAAGTTCAGTCTTATGAGAGGGATGCAGACAATCCTGGTTACAAGTTAACCGGATCCCAATCATCCTGCACAATTTTCCAATAGGAAACAGGATAAAGTCCTTAAAAAAGATACAGCTAAATAATCATTCAAGGCATAAAGTCAGATGTTAGTTTGCTGTCTCCTACTTTTCTCATAATATAAAAAATATTTCACGATAAACAAACGACAGTACTACTAGAATCAAAGAACATCACAGCATAGATATAAACAATTGTGGTACATTTTGCAATTCAAATGATACAGACCATTTACCAAATGAGGCAATGAGCCAAATGAAAGAATAAATATTAAAAGTCTGACTGCTCACTAGCTGTGTGACTCTAAAAGTTACCTACTATGAACTTCAGTTGCCCAATCTCTACAATAAGGCTAATCTGACCTAAGCACAAGGGTTCTCTTGCTAATTAAATGAGATAATAAACATTAAATATTTAATACAGTTCTTGGCACGTAATAGGTGCTCAAACAACTATAATGGCCCATGTATTTTGATTTTATGGATTAGATTACAGGACAATTAAGATTTGAATAGTTACTGCCTCAAAAATAGGACAAGGCTTGGTGTCTCACACTTGTAATTTCAGCACTTTGGGAGGCTGTGGCAGGTGGACTGCTTGAGCCCGGGATTTTGAGACCATCCTGGGAAACATGGCAAAACCCCGACTCTACAAAAAAAATACAAAAATTAGCCGGGTTTGGTGGCGCACGCCTGTAGTCCCAGCTATTTAGGGAGCAGAGGTGGGAGGATTACCTAAGCCCAGGGAGGTCAAGGCTGCAGTGAGCCTTGATCATGCCACTGCACTCCAGCCTGGGCAACAGAGTGAGACCCTGTCCCCACCCCCCAAAAAAAGTAGGACAAAAATATCTTAAATTATGTCTTAATTTAAGGAGATAATACAAAAGAAGAGACTCACAAAAGTCTGACAGATGGGTTTTGCATAACACATTTAGGTCCAAGCTTTCAGCCATCTTTTGAGTTAAGAGCATTAGCCATAGGCACTTAACCAAGAAGCAAAGACAAGACACCCAGAGCTGTAAACTTTGCTGTGGCTCAGAAGACAGGTTTATTTCATGAAGTAGTTTTGGCATGGCATATAGTGCATGAACTTAGAGAAACAGCCTCATTCTAATATACAGGACTAAAATATCAGCCATGAACCTACTGCTCATCTAAGTGAGAAGATTCACTTCAACACTACCACCCTAAAAAAGGACACATACAACACATACAATAACTCTAACAATCGCCTGACCGGCATTCCATATGGGTATTTTATCCGATATGATTCATTAAGTTTTTTTTTCAAATATGTCTGTTCAAGGAACCCTAATTTAAAATGTACCAGTGGCACACAATGAGACTCGTGGAACATAATAAAAGATTTATTTAAAAGTTTCTTTTTGGGGGGCAGTTTCAGAGTGTAATCAACTTTGTATCATATCAATATTTGTATTAAACTGTGCACAATATCAAATGTTCGAACACATAAAAGATCCACAATCAAGTAGACAACATCAATGGTTGGAATAACAAGTGTACAGCCTTTGCCAACTCATCAATGGAAGCATGAATGCAAGGTGTAGTCCATCTTGTTTACCACCTTGTCCCTAGAGTCTAACACAGTTCCTCATCTGCAGTAAGTACTCAAATCTTAGGTAAATGTGTTAACCCCAAATACTTATACACCATAAAACACTGGATCTGTAAATGAATATTGTGTCATTGGTTGAGATACCTGAATAAAATGTACTGGACAAAAATTATTTAGCCAATAATTAATGCTCCTAAAATGCTACGTAAAGTACTTTCACATACATGATCTCAGATCCTCATAATAACTTTGTGAGATAAGTATGCCCATTTCCCAGAGAAAAAAAAGCAAGAGGTTAGACTTAACCTGTGTTGTCCAATATGGTAACCACAAGTCACAACCTACATACCATAATGAGCACTTGAAATGTGGTTACCGTAATTTTAAAGTAATTAAAATTAAATAATAACCAGTAAGTGATTCAATTACTGGAAAACTTAAGTATGTTTGGGATCACTGAAGTATTGCATATCTGCTTTCCTTTTTCTTCATTTTTGTTTGTTTAATATAGAGACGAGGTCTTAACTCTGTTACCCAGGCTGGTCTTGAATTCCTGGGCTCAAACAATGCTCCTACCTTGGCTCACAAAGTGCTGAGTTTACAGGCATGAGCCACTACCCCCAGCCCCAAATCTGCCTTTCTAACTGTAAATTTTATGAACTCTAAATACGGACCAGGATTTCCAAAGAAAATAGGGTCTGAATTGATATATGCTCTAAGTACAAAATATACATAGCCGGGCACGGTGGCTCACACCTGTAATCCTAACACTTCGGGAGGCCGAGGCAGGCATTTCACGAGGTCAAGAGATTGAGACCATCCTGACCAACATGGTGAAACCCCATCTTTACTAAAAATACCAAAAAATAAAAATAAAAAAAAAATAGCTGGGCGTGGTAGCACGCGCCTGTAGTCCCAGCGACTCGGGAGGCAGAGGCAGAAGAATCACTTGAACCTGGAAGGCGGAGGTTGCAATGAGCCGAGATCCACCATTGCACTCCAGCCTGGCGACAGAGTGAGACTTTGTCTCAAAAAAAAAGAAAAAAAAACCACACACACTAGATTTAGAAAATTTAGTATGAAAAAGAATGTAAGGTATCTCATTAGTAAATTTTATACTGATTACATATTGAAATAATATTTTGCATATCCCAAGTTAAATAAAATATATTAAATTTAATTTTATCTGGGCATGGCATGGTGACTCACGCCTGTAATCCCAGCACTTTGGGAGGCCAAGGCGAGCAGATCACTTGAGCCCAATAATTTGAGACCAGCCTGAGCAATATAGCAAGACTCTGTCTCTACCAAAAAAACCCAAAATTAATTAATTTTATGTTTTTTCACTTTTAATATGGCTGCTAGAAAACTTAAAAAATTATTTATATGAGGCCAGGAGCAGCAGCTCATGCCTATAATCCCAGCACTTTGGGAGGTCGAGGTGGGCAGATCATTTGAAGTCAGGAGTTGAAGACCAGCCTGGCCAACATGGTAAAACCCCATCTCTACTAAAAATGGAAAAATTAGCCAGGCATGGTGGCAGACACCTAAAATCCCAGCTACTTGGGAGGCTGAGGCAGGAGAATCACTTGAACCTGGCAGGTGGAGGTTGCTGTGAGCCGAGATCGCACCACTGCACACTAGTCTAGGTGACAGAGGACAGAGTGAGACTCTGTCTCAAAAAAAAAAAAAAAAAAAAAAAAAGTATGTGGCTCATATTATTTTTCTATTGGACAGCATTTGTTTCAACAACCCCTAAAGCCCTCCCTGTTCTGTCTACTATACCACATTGTTAATCTATAAACAAGTAGAGAGAACTCACCTCTCTGGGCCTAAGTCCAACAGACAAAAAGCACTCTAGGATACTGTATAACTTCTTTTTTTAAGGTCAATTATCCAATTTCTTTGAAATATTTTGTGTCAGAAGACTCAGGTACACATCCCATTCGGACAGCATTCCCACTACTTTATGAGTCTCACTTTTTAGAAAGGTGTCTGGGGGGATTGAGTGAAGATCTGAAAGTACCTAGCCAAATTTACAGCACATAATAAGGTCTCAAGAAGTCTGCTGCTAGTCATTGTTCATCACCACCACTTTCCAAGACAGACAGTATTCAGTTAAAACTTTTGAACAATGAGTGTTTTAATTTTAGCTAACGAAATATTCTAAATACATAAACATGAGTGGTGAGATAAATCTTCAAACTTACAAAACACATCAGCATGGCCTATAATTGTGCAGTCCAATGTAGGAGTCAATTGTCACATGTGGCTATTTACATTTAAATTAAAAAGAAATTAAAGCAAAAATTTAGTTTTTCAGTCACATCAGCCACATTTCAAGTGCTCAATATCCCTATGTAGCTGGTAGACAGTTCCATCATTGAAGAAAGTTCTACTGGACAATAACTCAAAGAGAAAAAGCCACAACGGTAACAATGACAGGGAAAACACCTTGTTAAATATAATTTGAATAACATATAAACATATGTATGGAAAAAACAATTTTGCAAAGAAGCTGAGGATTCGATATAAATGGAATCTTTTAAAAGCAAGGTACAAATTCCAATTATGGTCAGAAACAATTGTTCAAGAGCAACTACCATGGTTCCTGAAATGTGAATTTTCCTAAATACTCAAATGAAAATGATTGTGTTCTACATACACACCATTCTGTGTCTTATTTCCTAATCAGAGTGAAAGCACTTTCACTAAAATTAACCACACACTTTAAGCTGGGTAAACTGACCATCAAGAAAATTCTGAAGAATATGATACATTTTAAACTTAGAAGCTATTCCCAGGAGACTGCCGCATAATTCCAGGAAGTCTACCTCTTCCAGAGAGTACAACTAAGCATGTAGTAAATCCCAGTACTTAGCATTGCTTTCTATTCACAATCCGAACTAACTATAGCAAGAACCCCTAACATTTGACTCAACAACACATTCCATGCCTGCATCTATGGATCAAAGGGGAAAGAACAGGGTAGGGAGATTTTTAATTGAAGACCCAAAGAATCTAGGAATACAATGGAATGTGTCAAGTGGCCTAAAGATACTTAATGTGCCAGAAAATTGAAAATCACCAAAAAATTAAGAATCACAGGCAATATTTTATATATGTAGCCTAGGATTTTTATAGAATCTTCAATTCCAACAGTATCTTGCTCAAATAGGCACTCATTTATTAACTGCTATCAGTCTAAACAGTCTAGGAAAAGAGAAATCTTCATATATTCACATTCATTTGCTGTAGGTCCAAGCTTTGATGACAAGAGATCCTTCAGTTGGACAATGTAGTTAAAGGGTATAAAAATAAGTTCATTTACAGTTTCACAAGGTAACTCTACACTCACACTTAAGTTCCCCATTTCTTGTTTCCAGTTTTTATCCTACGTGTTTCAGAAAGTTTTCTGCTACTTAGCAAACTGGTAGAAGCTCAGAGGTCAAAGACCAAAGATGCCAATTAAAATAATCCTTATTAGTTGGGCTCGGTGGTTCACACCTATTATCCCAGCACTTTGGGAGGTCAAGGCAAAGGATTGCTTGAGCCCAGGCATTCGAGACTAGCCTGGGCAACATGAAACTCCATCTCTACAAAAAATACAAAAATTAGCCAGGTGTGGTGGCTCATGGCTGTAGTCCCAGCTACTCAGGATGCTGAGGTGGGAGGATGGCTTGAGCCCAGTAGGTCAAGGCTGCAGTGAGCTGTGATGGTGCCACTGACCTCCAGCAAAAACCCTGTCTCCTCAAAAAAACAAAATGCTTATTAATTTTTAAAAAGGGAGGAGATAATGATATGAAGTTAGGAGATATATTATCATGAAAGAGGCTGTAGTTATTTGGGCTCCACAATTAATCAACTGGAGCACAGTCATATTAGCTAAGCAAGCTTAAGTTTAGGCATGACATAGCAATCCAAAACACAGAGGACTGAATTTTTCAATTTGCAAATCGCTTTATATTCAAAATCTTCAAATTATTTGAGAAGAAAATGGCTTCATTCAAGCATCTGCAGAAACTTTGATCCAGTTACAAAACAGACATGTATTAAATTTGTCTTTAATAAGTGACAAGGTTGGGTTCGAATCTTTGGGATCATTTAACAATTCTTGTCTCCTCTTTAAAAGAAATGAAAAGCTATTACTCCAACCACCACAAGATTTAGTAGTGAGCTACACATCTGCCGTGGAAAATAAAGAGCAGCTGTACTTGATTCTCTGTGTGGTTTATAAACATTTGTCTGCAGAAAGATATTTCAGATGCAGTTTAATATGAAAATAAGCCCGCGTTTTCCCCTCACACTTAAGAACAGCACCCCTCAACTCTCCACATTCATTTGCCACCCCACTTTAACAAAAGCAACCACAGCAACTAAACTTGGATTGATCAAAAAAAAATGTCCATTTTGTTATTTAACATTTTTAACCCTCTGTAAAAGTGTTTTTATTGCCAAGGTATATTCCATTACTTCAGATGAGTTATTTGAAAATTATAGATGACTGAGGAAAGTGCATTATTTAACTCATTTTATGGGTAAAAATTTATTATTCTTTACATTTCAAGCCTTAAAGGAAAATAAGTCCTTGCTAGTGCAAACATGGTAATACTTGCAAAGAAATATGAAATTATGTTACTTATAGCCTGAATGTTAAAACCTTTTATTAACAAGAATCCTTTATGTATGCTATGCCAATGGGGAAATGTAAATAAAAATGGTCTTCAATGGTAAAGTGTCTAATAGGTCACTGATATCAGTGTCATGTCAAACCACTGCATTCCCTGTCATTATGGAATTAGCCCTTCAGACGACTGAGCTGAGGCAGGTTTCTTTAAGGGGATATTTGGGAAGAAAGCAAATTAATAGGAATAAATTATTTAAGCTACAGTAAAAAACAGGATTGGTGACACAGGAAAATCAAAAGCTCTGAAGAGGTTTAATTCAGTGAAGCCTTCCAATGGTCACCTGCCTAGGCCCGCCACTGGCATGTTGCCAGATAACAATATGTTGCCTCCAGGATAAGGAACCATGGGGAAGAACTCTAGAACTTACTAAAGGGAAGCCAGTCACAGACCAAATAGCCCTGCAGGTCTCAGAGCAGCTGTGCTGTCCCCAGGGCTCTGTTCAATTCCATGCGATCCTGAAGAAGATATTCAAAACTACCTGCTACTACTCGAGAAGACTAAAAGATAACCTCTGTATCACTCTTTCCTACCTTCCAGAACCAAAGAGGGGTTAAGAGCCACAACATCCCCAGAGAAATAAAAAAAGGGGGAAGGGGAGGCGAGTTTCCTTAGGGAGTTTGACCGCACACACTCTGAGATTGACATAGCTCTAAGAAATGCGTTCTCCCATTCTACCCTCGTTCCGTTCTTTCAGTGACCTTCTGTCCCTACTGCCTCAGGGAAGGCAAGAGAAAAGCCACCGCCTCACCACCACCCCCAACCCCCACCACCGGAGAAGGTGCCTTTCTCAGTTGAGAGCCGCAGAGGGAGGGAAAAAAAAGGTTGCTCCTCCCCAACCCACCCGCCCCACAACTCCTGGGTGCAGACACGATGAGGGAAAGAGGAGAGCAATGGAAGGTGACAGCCCCGCACTGGCCCAGGGGATAAGAATCCTTGCTCTGGTAGAAACAAGGGAGAATCCCCCTCCCACTCCCCTACCCAAATGAATGAAATGAATAAAATGGGGAGAGAGTTTGTACGCGCAGTTCTGGCCATCCAGGAAGCAAGATCGAGAGGCCTTTGGATCCAGGCCTGGTCCTTGCAGCTCTTTGCACCCCAACTCCTGTCCTTTCCATCCAAGCCCCACATCATTTAATATTTTAAGCTTTCCAAGATAGTGCCCCCTCCTCCACCTACCCCAATCACCGACAACCCCCCCGCCCCTCCAGCTCCGATACTGCTCGGGCCCAGACTCCAGCGTCTTCCATCCTTCCTACCACCTTCTCCACAGCCCTCACCAGCCCGGGCCCGGCCGCACCTGGAGATGCTCCTGAAAACGAATTGGCAGAATCTGGGCCATGGCGCTGTCGGGGGTTATGGTCTCCTCCTGTCACTGGGGCTGCGGGGCAGTGGCTGCCCGGGCTCTCCAAGGGAGAGGAGGAGAAGGGGAGGGGGGAGGCTGGGCTCAGCAGGATCCTCTCCGGGGACGCAGGAAACTGGCAGGCAGACGAAAGAGCTCGGGTCGGGGGCGGAGGCTCCAGGGGCCAGGAGAGCCGCAATGGCGGAACCGGGCGCAGCGCAGACTCCGGAAACGGCTGAGCCCAGCGGAAGGATCCCGGCGACAGAACTCCGCCCAGTCGCCTCACCCCCTCCGCCTTATGTACCCCTCCACGGAGCGCCGCGCGCGGCGGGCGCAGGAATTCGGGGCGCAGTGCGCCCGGTGCCTCGCTTCCTGACGCCACATGGGGGGAAACAGAGGAACCGGAGGGACTACTTTTTTAGACTCATCACTTTCGCCAGTCTTCTCTTTCTCCCCCCACTTTTTTTTTTTCATTTTGCCACATCATGCGACTCGGGGCGACCGACGTCACTTCCGTGGGCGCTTTAGGTCCCACCCACGTACTTCCAGGTGCACGTGATACTGATGGGGAAGGGTCGGCTGATTGCTGCCAGAAATGGAGAGCTCGTTTTAAGGAAATGCGGCGTCTCCTGGGAGTGAAGAGGCTTTTGGGCCACCTTGAGGCATGACGGGTGCCGCTTCGTTTCCCTGCGACCGCTGCCTGTTTCGACTGAGCCCCTCACAGGAGGACGTGGCGGGGGCAGACGGGCGCAGCCTCCCGCCCTCTCCGTGACTCAGGGAAACGGCCTCGCCGCAGAGCGCTCCCTCGGCAGCTGGCTGCAGCACTCCTCCCCCGCCGGGCTTCAGAGTGGGTGGTTTCCTACAGCCTAGGGAGGGGGCCTGAAACGGGGTTTAAAATCTTCCCTGCCCTCACACAAGCCCTTCTGACTGTTGGAGAACCTGACGCGCGGATTCTAACTAGAACTGGCACTCTCTTCGGGTGTTAGATAATTAACTCAAAGGACAGCGAAGGCCTTTTATGATGTCTTTCAAGCTGGCCTTATGACAGCTTTTCTTAACGTTTCTGCGGACATTTTGGCGGACTTGTGTCGGCCTAGCTCAGTGATCAGTTTCGTTAAAGAATTTGAGTATCCGAACATTAAAGGATTGGACCTAAATTCTAGCAGGAGGATTTTTAGCCACATCAAATAATTTACGTCTCAAAGATTTAGATAATTAGGGTAAGGATGCTTAGTAAAACCCGAAGGTTCCATCGCGCCACTGCACTCCAACCTGGGCGACAGAGCGAGACTCCGTCTCAAAAAAAAAACAAACAAAAAAAAACCTGAAGGTTCCTGGAGGAAAGAGATGAACTATTAGCCGTGTATTTCGGTGGGACCACCTCAACATAGGTTCCTGTAGGTTAGCAATGTAGAAATGTAGCGCTTCAAAGCCGGAGCATCCTGTCTTCAAAGAGCATGAAGGTATCAACGGCATTCATTGTCGATTAATAATAACCTTTCTGGTACTTTCTTGCTAAAGTATAAGCCATAATAATATTTCATAATCGCACCAATACAATAAAGGATGAAAGACGTTAGTTCTGTGCCTTTTATCTTTGTAAGAGAGGTGATTCTCCCCCCCCACCCCCCGCCCCGCCGAAAGAGAAAAGCTCAAGTCCACAATAATTATTTTTAGTGTCCTTTTCAGTTAAAGGACATAAAACCCTATTGGGTAGACGATAGTTTTGTATGCTAAGCAGTTTAGGTTACAGTGAGAAGTTTGCCAATCATTTTAGTTGCTTTTAGTGTTTTTCCCTTTACTTAACTGTCTCACATACTGAGCATGAGAGAAGAGTCTGGCAGGTAAGAGGGCAAAGATTGTTCTGCAAAGAAAAGCCTTGCCACCATGTTGTAAGAGTGAATATTTATGCTTGCAAAATTTCTTTTTGTATTGTTAAGCTAAATACACGAAGATCCTCTGTTCCGCAACATTTGAAATAACCTAATGCCAGTCTAGTAATAACTGCTTTAAACCCTTTTTGGAAGTAGACAAATTCTAAATTAAAATTCTAAGGGAGTAATTGTTTTATTACAGTAATTCAATAGCTTGATCAAGTCACCTTTTCAATCTCAGAATCCGGAGATAAAAGAGCCGTATCATGAATGGGCCACCAAAATTTAATTAGTGTCTGGCATTTTCATACAGACCCTGTAACTTTAAGTACATTTAGAATCCCAAAAGCAGTTGATTTTAGCTATTTGGAGTGGAATATCTAACCAAAAAGTGCGCTGAGGTTGTTAGTGACTGCTACGTCATCACACATAGAAATTACACTGTTTTGAGAAATAATTTAGGAAGAGGAAAAATAGATCGTGATATCCTGGGTCATTTTGAAATGATCTTCAAATTAATCCAAAAATTTTCAAGAGAAAAAAAAAGTCAAGATGATAAACATTAAAAAAAAACCCTATGCCTTTTTAAAGATGAATAATTTGAGTAGGGTAATAAGAGTTTTTTTTTTTTTTTAATGGGAGTCTGCTGTTCTTGGTAACAGTATAAAGGCAGTTTCACTGGTTTCACTGGTTTAGTTACCTAAGCAATACCTGAATGGCACTGTTTTCAGACATTACCTCAAGTTAGAAGGGAGAACAGATAACCTAATAGACCAGGAAGCAAATCCTACTACCCAGAATGGCTTTTTCTACGATACAGTATGACATAGTCTTTTAATAAGACAATGCTATGAATGATCACTCTAGCTTTTGGTTTCAGAAAATGTTTTAGCAAGGTAGCCATGTTAATCAATGGTGAAGTGAAAGCTATTTTAGTTGGAATGCTCATCAACAGTAGACTATCATGAGTCACAGCAAGTGCCATTAGCAAAAACTACATTGCTTGGTCTGTTATTTTGAGGACTGCTAGTTTCTGAAAACCTATACAAGAAACCTGTGTTGTGTCACTAATTTTAATGTTATGCCAACAATTAGGATGGAGATATATACATATATATATATATATATATATATATATATATAAACACTCAATAGAATGACACCTCAAAACACAAACAAAAAACAAAAAAAAAAACAACCCCTTTCACTGTAGGATTTCTCCATTAGCTGTTCATCTTCAAGCAGCCCTAGCACTAATGCCCCTGCCTTTTAAAAACTTGACCTTTTAAAAACAGCCTGAATTCACTGCACTGCAAAAGTCACAAAGAAAAGGCATATCTCACATACTCAGAAATTAATTTTAAAGCAGAACTTTAATCCACTGTACCAAATGTTTACAATTCAGATTCCAATAAAGCCATAAAGGACATACTTTAGTATTATCCAAGTAAGATACTTGGTTTTGCCATTTAAACAGTAGCTTTGAAGCATCTCAACCCCCTGGGGCCACTGATATGAATCCCAGCAGGATTAGACTGGCTAGGTCTTTATTTTTTCATGCAAGATAAGGAGCAGCCTATCAAATGCCAGTAAACAAATGTACAAGTCACTGACTATCGGCAAGGCTCCCCGCTCCAAAATGAAGAAAAGAAAGCAGCATTTACAAAGCAAGAACAATTTTTTTTTTTTGAGACGGAGTCTTGCTCTTGTCGCCCAGGCCAGACTGCAATGGTGTGATCTCGGCCCACCACAACCTCCGCCTCCTGGGTTCAGGCAATTCTCCTGCCTCAGCCTCCCGAGGAGCTGGGATTACAGGCACCAGCCACCATGCCTGGCTTATTTTTGTATTTTTAGTAGAGACAGGGGTTTCACCATGTTGGGTAGGCTGGTCTTGAACTCCTGACCTCAGGTGATCTGCCTGCCTCAGCCTCCTCAAGTGCTGGGATTACAGGCATGAGCCACCACACCCAGCCCCACAAGAACAAAATTTTAATGGCATTTTAATTTTACTATGAAACGTACTTTACTCTTGACATCCACTGCGCAGGCTTGTTTTAAACCTTTAAATATTTAGACAAGTTTTATAACGTACGATGGATAGCAATAAGATCTATAGTGAATCTTTACTTTGTATCAGCATTGGGCATGTTCCAAGTGAAAAGCCAAGACTAGCTTTGTGGGGATCCAATGTAGAATGAAGTCACATTATATAGGGCCCACCCATGTTTTTGAAGGGTTAAATAAGACCCTGGCAGAGGAATGAAGTGGTTCATGACATTACCTTAAAAAGCCATTTCACAAAAGTTGGTTTAGGCAGGACATGGTGGCTCAGCCTGTAATCCCAGCACTTTGGGAGGCCGAGGCGGGCGGATTACCTGAGGTCAGGAGTTTGAGACCAGCCTGGCCAACATGGTGAAATCCCACCTCTACTAAATATACAAAAATTAGCCAGGCACCGTGGCAGGTGCCTGTCATCCCAGCTACTTGGGAGGCTGAGGCAGGAGAATCGCTTGAACTTGGGAGGTGGAGGTTGCAGTGAGCCGAGATCACACCATTGCACTCCAGCCTGGGTGACAGAGCGAGACTCGGTCTCAAAAATAAAATAAGTTTCTGGATGCCTTCAATTTCCCTTTTGTTTTTTGAACCCCCCTGCCTATTTCCCTTTCAATTCTAGACAAATTAAAGGAAACATTCCTATTATAAGCATACTTTTATATAGCACTTTTAAGAAAGGTGTTTATTAATAGGGGATTTCATATCAGAGGATCAGATAAATATGTCTTCATTTGCCACTCTACAGTGTGCCACTGCACTCCAGCCTGGGAACAGAGCAAGATTCCGTCTCAAAAAAAAAAGCTAGTTTAAATATAGCAATTCACAGAACATTGTGGATAGGAAAACCCAGGAGGATTTTAACCCTGCTGATCAATAGGGAGTCAGATGCCATGTCACAACATCTTGCAACAAAAGTCACAAGAAGCTTGAGAGCATCTATAGAATGAAGAGGTAATGAGGGTGAGAGTGTGGGATTAATTGTTAAGGGCTATTTCTTTTTTCTATTTCTAAATATGTAGAACGTTCTGTGTTCACCTCCTAGAGTTACTACTGTCTCCAAAGCAAAACATGACCCACAGATATGTTCCCTTGGGAAATGTAGAGTTTTGCCACTCTAGGGATAGTTCTGCCAGTAGCAGTGTACATCTGCAGCCTTGTTAATGGTAGTAAACTCTCACTTCTTCGCAACAGAATAGCTAAGGACTGAGATTTGGTAAAGTTTTGGTTAACTCAATAATAAAGTTTTAAGGAATAATTAATTTCTTCAACAAATATTTTCCAGTACCTGCAATGTAAAATTAAATACTCAATGTTAAATTATTTTGTAAAGCCTTTTTTGAAAAAAAAAAATTGATATAGGGAAAGCAGTTCTGAACCTTAAAGGCCTCAGATTCATCAAAGTGAACAGTTGTTGTATAGTACTCCTGCAAATGTAACCTAATCTGAGTAGTACCAAACCTAGGCAATACTAGGAATTACTTTTTTTAAAATGCCATACCTCATCCTGTCATGACTACTAAAAGTAGATTACTATGTAAATCAAACAAAATACCTGGTTATTTTCTTTTCCTGGTTGCTCATATTCCAAATAACTATGAGTTTAATGTTGTATAGTATAAAATCCATACAATTACTTTTCATTCCACAACACTGCAGTGATGAAAAGTATGCAGCATTCATATAAGCCTACCTTAGATTTATTGATATAAATTGTTTTTCTTTTCCGAGTCAACCTTTAAACCTAAAAGTTTAAAGAGTCATGAAAAGGTCTCCTTAGGTTAACTCCACCAACCAGTCAAATATGTAGTCCTCCATTATCCACAAGGGATATATTCCAAGACCTCTACAGAGGATGCCTGAAACCACAGCTAATACTGAACCCCATACAGTATACACTATGTTTTTTCTATACATATATACCTATGATAAAGTTTAACTTATAAATTAGGCACAGTACGATATTAACAATGAAAATAGGACAATTATAACAATGTACTATAATAAAAGTTATATGTGAATGTGGTCTCTCAAAATATCATTGTAGTTACCTATTTTTGGACATAGTTGAACACAGGTAACTGAAACATCAGAAAATGAAACCTCAGATAATAAGGGACTACAATATAAAGCATTCTACATGCATGGTGAAAATAAAAACTAATGATGAAGACAGCTGTTACAGTCTATTTTAGTTACTATATAGTTGACCCATCAGATCAGATGGAGAGATAAGATTATACTCATTACTGAGGAAGGCTTAAACATTCCATTATTAATTTATTAAAAAAATTTAACCTTTGCACAGAAGTGATAAAAATTCCATTTTTAAAAAAGGAACTAAATGAAGTAGCAGACACGTACACAATGGCACATGATAAAAGGAAAATCCCGGCCCAAGCTACTTTAAAATTTTTCTATCTGTAGGAATGAGTGACACTCAAATTATTCTCCATTTGACTTACTAGTGTTAACCCAAGATACAGAATGGACATTGCAAAACCCTTCCAAAAAATCCTTCTCAAAGTGACACCAAAACCTTTCCATTGTTTACATCTGGTTCCTCTCCCCAACCCCACAAATTGTCTTTTTGTTTCAGTGCAGGTCCTACTCTTCCCTCAAAGACTCAGCTTAAAATCCATTTATCGGCAAGGCACGGTGCCTCACGCCTATAATCCCAGCACTTTGGGAAGCCGAGGTGGGTGGATCACTTGAGGTCAGGAGTTCAAGACCATCCTGGCCAACACGGTGAAACCCCGCCTCTGCTAAAAATACAAAAATTAGCTGGGTGTGATGGCGGGCGCCTGTAGTCCCAGCTACTCAGGAGGCTAAGCCAGGAGAATTGCTTGAACCGGGGAGGCGGAAGTTGCAGTGAGCCAAGATGGCGTCATTGCACTCCAGCTTGGGCAACAGAGTGAGGCTCTGTCTCAAAAAAAAAAAAAAATTCAATTTACCTTACTTCTCCAGCTATTAAAGCATTTATTGATTACATGACCCATTTAATTTGAAGCCTAGGCTACTTTATGTTGTTAGTAATCGCATCTGGAGTTGGCACAATCATTTATAAATACCTCCCATATACAAAGCACCAAACTGGGTGCTAGGCTGTATTTTGGGTTCACTCATCTCATTTCCTGTATTTTAGCTGAGAACCAAGTAATAATATTAATAGGTGGGAAAAATATGTGGATTTTATCTGGACAAAGAATGTGACTAATCATTGTCGTTTTTTTCTGAGACAGAGTCTTGCTCCGTTGCCCAAGCTGGAGTGCAGTGGTGCGATCTCGGCTCACTGCAACCTCCACCTCATGGGTTCAAGCGATTCTCCTGCCCCAGCCTCCTGAGTAGCTAGGATTACAGGCACGTACCACTGCACTCAGTTAATTTTTTGTATCTTTAGTAGAGACGGGGTTTCACCATGTTGGCCAGGCTGGTCTGGAGCTCCTGACCTCGTGATCCGCCCACCTCGGCCTCCCAAAGTGCTGGGATTACAGGTGTGAGCTACCATGCCCAGCTGTGACTAATCATTTTCTTTGAAAAATCTTTAACAGCTTCACAAGGGAATTTTGTATTATTCATGTATTAAGTTTAAAGGAACAGCTAACAAGTAATAAGGATTACTTTAAAAATCTTTGGGTGATTAAAGATTACTATTTAAATTTATTGATTCCTTGATATTATGTTTAGTCTCATCAACTCTGCTATGAAGAAAAAGTAAAAGCCAGAAAAATCTGACATTTCATTAAGACCTCTTCTTGCAAATGAAGTGATCATTTAAGTTAGAATGGGAATATTAAAAAGTAGCTTTTCTAGATTCAAATACAAGTGGTAAAAAACTGAAACTGGTGGGCGTGGTGGCTCACACCTGTAATCCCAGCACTTTGGGAGGCCAAGGCAGGCGGATCACTTGAGGTCAGAAGTTTGAGACCAGCCTGGCCAACATGGGAAACCCCATCTCTACTAAAAATACAAAAATTAGCTGGGTGTGGTGGCACGTGCCTGTAATCCCAGCTACTCAGGACACTGAGGCGGGAGAATCATTTGAACCTGGGAGGCGGAGGTTGCAGTGAGCCGAGATCATGCCACTGCGCTCCAGCCTGGGCGACAGAGTAAGACTCCATCTCAAAGAAAAAAAACCTGAAATCAAAACAATAATCCAGTCATTCCTTAGTATCAGCTGGGGTTTGGTTCCAGGACTTCCCCCTGAGGATACCAAAATCTGGTTGATGCTGAAGTTTCTCATATAAAATGGGTAGTGTCTGCATATATGCACATTTTCCTGCATACTTTACATCATATCTAGATTATTTATAATATCTAATACAATGTAAATAGTTGTTATACTCTTTTTTTCTTTATCTTTCATTATTGTATTATTTTTATTGGATTTTCTTTGGAATATTTGAAATCTGTGGTTGGTTGAATCTGTGGTTGTGGAACCCCAGATACTGAGCCCCCAGATACAGGGGGCTGACTGTATTTGCTGACATGTGAAATTTGAATTTCATTCTCCATAGTTTTATTGGAACAAAGTGATATTCATTCATGTACTGTCTGTTGTTGCTTTCATACTACAACATCAGAGTAGCTGCAACAGAAATTACATGTCCAGAAAGCCTAAAATATTTACTATCTGGCTTATCAAATTCAAATCAGATAATTTTATTATTCCCTACAGTTTGAACACATGGAAAAAGCATTAAATATCTAAATATGTAAATTAAGATAATGAGGCACCTTTTTGTCAATAATTAGAAGACTGAGGAACTATGAGGTGTAGTAAGACTGGCATTTTCATATATTGCTGGTTGGAATATGAACTGGTTCATCTGTTCTGCTAAATAGGAGTACACATCAGGAATCTCAGAAATCACTTTCACTGCTGTAGGATTCAACAGTAAGAACATATCACAATTTATTAAACCTTTTCCCTACTGATATAGCTATATATATATGTGCTGTTTTCAGATTTCTATTAGCAACAATGGTGTATTTCACATTGTAATGAATGCTGTATTTAACATTTTTAATGTATTTATCATCAGCAATTAACGCTAAATCTATAGGAGTCCAATTTTATGAGGCACAGAATATTGTATATAGTCTGAGAGTTCCTAGTCTAGAGAAACCCCTAAGTCTAAATGTGGACTTACTGGGTCCACCCTAAGTAAACAAAACTAGTATCACCAATAAGCGGCAAATGCCATGTACCTCCAGATGTGATACGCTAGTCAAAGACCACCTACGTCTAGAGGTGGACTTACTAGGTATCAGGTTGTACACAGCTTCAACTTTACTAGATATTGCCAAAATGTTCTCTAAAATAAGAGCTGGCCTGGGCATGGTGGCTCACGTCTGTAATCCCAGGATTTTGGTAGGCCAAGGCAAGAGGATCATTTGAGCCCAGGAGTTCGAGACCCAGCCTAAGCAACATAGTGACACCCCATATATACAAAAAATGAATTTTAAAACAACCAGTCGGGTGTGTTGGCACACACCTGTACTCTCAGCTACTCAGGAGACTAAGGTGGGAGGACTGCTTGAGCCTAGATCAAAGAAGTAGTGAGCCATGATCATGCTGTACTCCAGCCTGGGCAACAGAACTGTATGAAAAATTAATTAATTAAATAAAAGCAATTTATTCTTCACCACCAACACTTTTCAGGAGTATTAATTATTGCTAATCTGATGGAAATGAATGCCGTCTCCCTAATTACAAGTTAGGTTCATTGTCTTTTATTTACTGACCCTTCCTCCTGTTTCCCCTTTTATAAAAGGACCGACCATGTCCTTTGCCCATTTTTCTATTATAACATTTGTCAGCTGGATGCAGTGGCTCATGTCTGTAATCCCAACACTTTGGGAGGCCGAGGTGGGCAGATCACGAGGTCAGGAGTTCAAGACCAGCCTGGTGAAACCCCGTCTCTACTAAAAACACAAAAAAATTAGCCAGGCGTGGTGGTACGCACCTGTAATCCCAGCTACTCGGGAGGCCGAGGCAGGAGAACTGCTTGAACCCGGCAGGCCGAGGTTGTGGTGAGCCGAGATCGCACCATTGTACTCCAGCCTGGGCAACAAGAGCAAAACTCCGTCTCAAAAAAAAATTTGTTTTTGATTCTGTTTTGTTTCATTTAGTAACTTGAAGGTGTATTCCCATTCTTCTAAGAACAAACTCCTCCATAAAACCCACCTTTCCTGCAAGGCTGCTTCCATGTTCTTGCCTTAACTAGATCCAGCATTCCCTTGATACTACTGCTCTCACAGTCCTCTCAATGCAAACTGAGATACAGAAATTTTTTATCAATAACACTATCACAATTATCCCAAAACTGTAATGATGTCCTTCCCTTCTAACAAATCCATAAAATAATTCCAAATTCTATAGATTGGTTTACAAAGCCTTCTGTAATCTGACCTTAACAGTTTGAGCCACCTACTCTCCTATATATATTCTATGCACCAAGTAAACTCAACTGTTTGCCACCATCTCAAACACCCCCTGGGCTTTCTATAAATACTTCTCTGTCTTGATCCATGCTCTTCTTAGCACCCACCCGTTTATCAGACATTCATCCTTCAAGGAAAACTCTTCCTTACAATATAATACCAACAAATATAGAAAAGAATTAGAAAAAAAAATCACCATTTTGCAGCCATAAGAATAAAATGGATTCAGGCAAGAATCATCAATTGATGGTAAATACAAAATGTCATATTTTATGAGGAACGAGATATTTTATATAATGTCAAAGTATCTCTCCCTCAAATTATTTATGAATTATAAGGATAACCAGGTTGATATAATTTAAAAAGCACCCTAATAAGTAATTAACATTAATAACACCAGCAAGGGGAAAATGCCATGTACCTCCAGACGTGATACCATGACACTATTACTTATGCAGTATTCCAGTTAAAAATGCATAACCATGAAGAAACATTGGAGAAACCCAAATTGAGAACATTCTATAAAATAACTAGCTTATATTATTTTAAAATGTTAATGTTGTGAAAGACAAGGACTGAGGACTTTTTCCAGATTAAGAGACTAAATACAATACGTGATCCTAGACTAAATCTTGAACTACAGAAAAATGCCATAAAGGACATTACTGAAACAACAGATATAATTTGAGTGTGAGGTGTAGATTCAGAATATATGCTTAATATTTACTAAACTAGAAGAGCTCTCATTCCAAGAATCCACACACTCCCACCACATCTGAGGATATGCCCTTATACAATACACCTGAGAAGAGAAACTGACAGAACTAAATGATTAATATGTGCTAATAACAGTGTCTAGAGCACTAAAGATAAAAATGAACAAATTAGGCCAGGCGCGGTGACTCACGCCTGTAATCCCAGCACTCTGGGAGGCAGAGGCGGGCGCATCATGAGGTCAGGAGATCAAGACCATCCTGGCTAACACGGTGAAACCCCGTCTCTACTAAAAAATACAAAAAATTAGCCAGGCATAGTGGTGGATGCCTGTAGTCCCAGCTACTCGGGAGGCTGAGGCAGGAGAATGGCGTGAACCTGGGAGGCGGAGCTTGCAGTGAGCCAAGATCATGCCACCGTACTCCAGCCTGGGCGACAAAGTGAGACTCCGTCTCAAAAAAAAAAAAAAAAAAATTAACAAATTAAAACACTGGAAAGGTTTAGAGAAACCATCATCACTCACCTTACTTTAGGGACAAATACATGAATTTGGGTCCTTGTGATTTTTGATAAAGATTTCAAGTTTCTATTATTGAACATAAAACTAGATTCCAAAGGAAATAACTAGAAGAGTTACCGATAAAAAATTTAGATTCTTAATTTTTACACAAAATATCTAAAAACACACATTATACTGTCTTTTGAATTTTAATGACACTAATAGCTTTATTTAACAAACACTGAGTGACTACTATGTGCAAAGCACTATGCTAGGTGCATGAAAGATACAAAGATGAAAAAAGACACAGTCCCTGCCCACAAGGAGCGTATAATCTAGTGAGGGAGACAAATACACAAATAACTAGAATACAAGGCAGTAAACAAGAGTGGGCAAGTGCTGAGTGTGGCCTGAGTGTGATACTAACTAGCCTCAAGGTTCCAATTTGAAACACGATGAAATAGTGTTGTCTGCTTCGAAAATCCCATCCCAAGTTTGGCATAATGGAAGTTAAATGGCCCTACCCAAACAGGTGGAAATAACAGAGTAGGCCAGGTGGAGGCGCTGTTTGAAAGTACTATCACACCTACATACATGGTGCTGATATAAGTACGTAGGTACAGCTAAAAAAGAACTTATATATATATATATATCATATATATATATATCATCTGTCCTTTGGTTAATGGCTATAGCTACTGTTTTAAACAATATACTTTTATATAAAAAGGAATTTGTATAATCCCAGAAAAATCAATTTAAGGATTAATATTAATTCAAGAAAGAATCCTGCCATAGGCAATTTTATTTACTAATTGATTAAGTCTTTTCTCTAAATATCTATAAAGCTCTGTAGCAATTAAACAGTTAGACATCTAAGTATTGCTGAGTAGAAACCTCTTATGTTCAGCCTTCTGAAATAAATGGTCACATACCTGATATATAGCACTATTCTAACAGCAACAAGAAGGCCTTAAAGAGATTTTAAGAAAAATAATTTTTAATGCTTCAATGCAAATGGAGTACACGCTGATTAAATACAACTCAATGTTCTTTGAAAACATCTCAATGACAGCGTTTGATACCAGTTAAGGCCAGCAAAATTGTACTGAGGAAAATATTATTACATGTACTGTCTTTCATTGGTTTCATGTATCATTGCTTATGACTATGGCAACCAAATCTTTTCTTTGACAACTGCATTTATGGGAACTGATGAGCTTTGATTTATGAGCTTTGATTTGCTTTTAGTTCATAGGCCAATAACAAGTGCTGACCACCTCCTCTTGGTAGTGCTGTCTGAAATAACTGGCAAAGTAGAAGCACATTTCCTGGCTCCTTTTCCCACTTCCTGAATTGGAGGGTTCACCACCTTAGCCTGTTTCCTTTCGTGTGTCACTGTGGTCCTGGGTCCTCTGCTGCTTTCTCTCAAGGAAACGAGCCCGTGCATCAGATATGGATTTGTCATCATTTCTTCTTTGCATTTTCTTTAAGACGTCTTTCGATATTCCATCTGAAAACATTACAAATTAATCCAATAAAACTTAGCTTTGAGATTCAGTACTAGAAATGTTAAGAGAAAGAGAAGCCCTGATTTTTCAGTGTTAACAAAGTAAAAACAATAAAGAGAAAAATTAAATTTTGCCCTTTCAAAAGCAATGTAGTCTATGGTTACAAAATTAAGAGCACCAAGGCCAATGAGTCAGAAAAACTGACCCTAATTCAAGCATGTGGCAGTGTTATTACACTGTAATAGAACACCTAGTGGCTAAGATTTCTTTTCTTTTTTTTTTTTTTTTTGAGACGGAGTCTCACTCTGTCGCCCAGGCTGGAGTGCAGTGGCGCAATCTCGGCTCACTGCAAGCTCTGCCTCCTGGGTTCACGCCATTCTCCTGCCTCAGCCTCCCGAGTAGCTGGGACTACAGGCGCCCGCCACCACACCCAGCTAGTTTTTTGTATATTTAGTAGAGACGGGGTTTCACCGTGTTAGCCAGGATGGTCTCGATCTCCTGACCTCGTGATCCGCCCGCCTTGGTCTCCCAAAGTGCTGGGATTACAGGCGTGAGCCACCATGCCTGGCCTCCCTAGTGGCTAACATTTCTAAAGATTTTTCTATGATTTATTCGGCAAAACTCTTCACCATTCCATTTTGCAGTGATGTCAAATAAAGAAAATACAATATGCTTCATCATTCAGCCTCAAAAAGCTTTACTAAGAAGTTTTCTGTGTATGTGAGCTGAAAAACTTTCTGTCCTATTTCAGTACCACAACTATTTATGCCTCCCAACCAGGGTCCTAATTATTTCATAGAAAAAGCCCCTTGGATATACAAACTTAGCCAGGCGTGGTGGTGCATGCCTGTAATCCAGCTACTCAGGAGGCTGAGGCAGGAGAATAGCTTGAACCGGGAGGCAGAGGCTGCAGTGAGCCAAAATCACACCATTACACTCCAGCCTGGGCAATAAGAGCAAAACTCCGTCTCAAAGAAGAAAGAAAAAGAAAGAAAGAAAGAAAAAGCCCCTTGGAAACAAAGGGGATTCTGAGTTAATAATGCATAAATCATCACTTTTTTTTTTTTAGAGATAGTGTCTCACTCTGTCACCCCCAGGCTGGAGTGCACTGGTGAAATCACAGTTCACTGCAGCCTCAAACTCCTGGGTTCAAGCGATCCTCCTGCATCAGCCTCCCAAGTCACTGGGACTACAGGTGCACACCAACATGCCTGGCTAATTTTTATTTTTATTTTGCTAGAGATGGGATCTCACCACATTGCCCAGGTGGGTCACAACATTTTTATAAACAAAAATAGTGAAGTACTACTGGGAAGCAGTATGGCATAGTGGTTAAGAGTAGAACAAATGATTTACTCACCCTTTAGCTGCTTTACATTTTCCTTATTTGTCCATCTCCTTCTTGCATCTTCTCTCACTTCACGTCGGGCCACACTGCTCAAATCATGTGCATTAAATTCATGCAACTTGGGTAACAAGTCTCTTACCCATTCATAACGGATTGGGCATACAATTCTTGCGTAGACTTTGGTGGTAACCAATACCTCATGAAAAATGATCCATTCAAGTTTGGTTTCCTGTTCATGAAGCTATACAAAACATTTCTTTTAATGATGGTAACTCAATAACCTGCCCTATTCCACATTAAACCAACCAAATAGTCCAAATCCTTCTCAATTAATTCCTATCTTCTTCAAACAGGAGGCACAGGCCAACCAATACCCTTATAGATCTATGTAATATAGATATATGTAAATTTAACTCCAAAGTGAAAAGTAGAAGACATTTGTATATTACTTATTTCTACAACTTTACAAATTTCTTCCCTTTATTAAAAATGAAGTACTTACTGCTGAGGAAGGATGAATGTGAACTGGGCTTCCACGACCATCCATTGTGCAAAACGTTCTCCCAACAGATCTATAAACAGAAAAACAAAATGATAAAGACTACAACAGTAAAGCAATGAAGTAAATGGAGCATTACATTCAGCAATGAACAATTACAATATGTTCTACTACAAACAGCATTATAAGCAGAGGTTTACATTTATTCAACTGTCACTACAAGCTCTCTACCAATTCATCTTAAATTAATTATACAGGTTAAACAGTCACTACAATTAGGTATAAGTCACTACAATTAGGTATAAGGAATCAGTACAAATATTAACAATAATCTATGAGCTTTGAGAGCCAGGAACTTTATTAAAAAGTCAAAACTAAAATTCAAATAAATTAGCTAGACTTCTCAAGATCACCAGCGCTAACGCATGGTAAAACCAAGTCCTAAACAGTTCTTCTGACTTAAATATGGTTTCTTTATGTTATACTATGCTGCATCTCTTTTTAAAGGGATGATTTTTTCACTACTCTAAAACTTGACAATTAATCTATCATTTTTCCGATTCATGCCCTTATTTTCTTCTACATTACCCTACCTAAATGTCATTCCAAAAAACTTGTCAAAAAAATAAACCTAGTTCATTTGTCATAATTTATTTCCTATAGTACTTTGTATATATTCATAGTATAACCCAGATCAGACTGCACTGTAATTATTCACTTACATATCTGTACCCTCCATTAGACTCAGGTATCATCAAGAATGATGTAAGGACTCATGTTACTCTACTTTTCTATTTTTAGTACCTGCCCAGTGTTTGGCATACAGAGGGTAACCAAGATATACCATATTTTTAAAAGTGTGAAACAATCTAAATTTACAGAAAAGTTGAGAGTAAAAAAATTTTTACCTGAATCATTTGACAGCAAACTGCCAACCTAATACCCCATCATCCTCAAATACTCGACTGTGCACTTCTTACAATCAACAATCAAGAACATTCTCCGACATGACTATAACCATCAAAACCAGGAAATTAACACTGATACATTACTAACAATTAATCCTCAGACCCCACTGACATTTCACCAATTTGTCTTAATAATATCCTTTATAGCAAAAGGATGTAATTCAGAATCATACATTGCCTTTATTTTTCATTTCCCTTTGGTCTCCTTCATTCTGGAATACTTCCTCAGTCTTTGACTTTCATGATCTTGGCACCTTTAAAGATGTCAAGGCTAGTTACTGTGTGGTATGTCCCTCAGTTTGAGTTTGTCTGTTTCAGGATGATTAGATTCAGGTTATGCATCTTTAGCAGGAATATCACAGACATAATGCTGTGTTTTTCTCATTGTATCCTATCAGGAAGAACATGATTTTTATTTATTTCATTATGTTCACTTTGATTGCTTGATTTAGGTCACATATGCCAGGATTCTCCACTGTAAAGTTACTTTTTGCTTTTGTAATTAACAAAAATTTTATGGAGAGGTGCTTGTAAACAATTCCATTTCTCAATAAACTTTTACTCATTTATTTATACCACGATAGACACGATTTCACATTTTATTAAGTGCATAATAATCCGCTACTATCACTACTTATTTTGATGCTTAAAGTGTCTCATATTTGATTACTTGGGGCCTCTTCATGCTGGCTCCTATGTTCTTCTGACGTGGCCTCAACCTTTGTTAATCACTTCTTTACTTGCTGGCAAAATAAGATATTCTGGGCTCATCTTGCATTTTCCCAGCCCCATTTCTCCAAAGACCCCTGACTCCTTTAAGTGGCAGATGGATGTCCCAAGTCAAGATCTGGGCACTATGTCTATTCATTGTTATTATCTCAGAGCTAGGGCATATATACATATAAATATTTACATACATACAAATACATTCTATATACACACACTAACATCTATTTTTATTCCAGTGTCCATCCATGCATCCATCTATAATGAAACCCATAACTTCATCATGATACACTGAAATTTCAATCCAACAGCACAGAGATCATTCCTATTTTCTCACTTTCGCTATTTCTAACTCCCTTCACCATTATCACTCACAGAGTTATGTGTTCAATTCCTCTGTATTTAATGAATCTCCATCACCATCACTGTTACCCCTTTCTCTATAAAGATGCCTTCCTCACTACACTCTGACTGATGCCCCAAACCAAATAACCCCTCCCCACCTTGCTCAAGCCCTAGCACTCCATGCCAAGCTACCCTTCCTCAGGGATGCTATGCTCAACCTACTTGGCTTTCACACTATACACAGGGCCACCTCTCTGAAAGAAAACTCTTGTTACTTGCCTTAAGTGAAGATAACCCATGCTGGACAGCCACCCTACAAACATACCCCTCCTACCCTACTTGAGCTCTAATACCACATTCTGAGCCACTGCAGCTCTCCCTCGTCACTGTAGCTCTCCCTCGTCACTGTAATTCATGTCATAATCATCACAGAGCTTAAATCAAATCTTCAATGTTTAATATTAAATAGTCCAATATTATAGTCAAATACAGTATTATATCTTGATCCATCTCTCAAGTCTTTATTGCTTACCTTCGAGCTACATTTTTGAAATAGCCCGCACAAAGACATCTTCGTAGTACTTCATGTTTAGGGCCTTCAAAGGTCTCTTTTGGGAAATCACTTTGCTATAAAAAGAATATGTAGAGAGTGGTAAATCTCATAGTACAATTTGAAATAATCTTTTATTTTGAAAAATCCACATTTCTAAAGACCTCTGTTTCTGGCCAACATAGATTAAGAGAGACCAGATTTACCCTTCCACCTGAAACCAAAAAAATGGAAAAAATACATGAAATAATGATTTCCAAAACACTGTAATATCAGGCAATAAAGGACAGAGACAGGAAATAAACGCAGTACGCCCAACAACTGCCCCAACTTCAGCCTTGATAAAGACTGCAGACCAAGGTACAGGGAAGTAAAGCCCAAATGGAACTCAGAGAACTCCCTGGGTTAGGGAGAGAAAGCTGGGAGTCCAGGAAGACCAAGGTGGCTAGAATTCACAGGACAAGAGTTCAGGAGAGAAGAGAAGTGCACAAAGACACAACTCCAGAGAGATGCAGAAGGTCCTCCTCAAGTGTTGAGCTGAGTAGTGATTAGCACATGAATGTGAGGAAACTACCAGCCCAAGAAAAGAACCTCTTAAAAGGATAAGTAAGGGCATGGTGTTTTCACAGGGCTAGTAATGGCGCCTGTTCCTATAAGCCACATGAGAATACTACACTACAGTAATTCATGTGATGTTAGGAAGAGTACTCAGATGGGCCTTGCCTCAGTAGAGGGGAATAACTAGCCCTGCACTGAGCACTGCTCTGATCCCACCTAACAAATCATGCAAGCAAGACCCAACAAGAAAGACCAAAGACCATTTCCAAGTAACTAGAACACAAAAATATCCAGCACCCAACAAGGTGAAATTCACAATGTTTGGCATCCGCTGAAAAATTATCAGGTATGATGTAAAGAAGCAAAAAAACACAATCCATAATGAGGACATCTATCAAAATCAACCTAGAACTGACACAGATCTAATTATATTTTATTATAATTTTCTGTATAGCTGGATTACATATGTTCAAAAAGTAGAGACCTGAAAAATAAAATGTAAAAATTTAAAGACTGAAATCCAACATCTAGAGATGAAAATACAACACCTGAGATGACAAATATACTAGATGGGATTAATGGCAGATTAGACTAGACACTGCAGGAGAAAAGATTAATGAACTTTAAGATAAGGCAAACAGAAAACACTCATAACGAAACAGAGAAATTATAACAGTGGTTTCCAGAGGCTGGAGAAAGAAGATAATGGGTAGGTTTTTTTGTTTTTGTTTTGAGTCAGGGTCTTACTCTGTCACCCAGGCTGCAGTGAAGTTGTGTGATCACAGCTCACTGTAGCCTGGATCTCCTAGGCTCAAGCAATCCTCTACCTCACCCTGCTGAGTAACTGACACTACAGGTGTGTGCCACAACGCCTGGCTAATTTTTTTTTTTTTTTTTTAGTAGAGACAAGGTCTCACTGTGTTGCCCAGGCTGGTCTCAAACTTGCTGGGCTCAAGTGATCCCCACACTACGGCTTCCCAAAGTGCTAGGATTATAGGCGTGAGCTACCATGCACTGTCGGGAATGGGGAGTTATTGTTGAATGGTTATGGAGTTTTATTATAGTATGGGATGATAAAAAAAAGTTCTGGAGATGGAGAAGTGGTAAGGGCTGCACAACATTGTAAATGTTTTAAGTGTGCAGTGACCTGTACGCATAAAAACAGTAAAAAAAAAAAAAAAAAAAAATTTTTTTGAGACAGGGTGCTGCTGCTCTGTTGCCCAGGCTAGAGTGTAGTGGCATCATACCTCACTGCAACCTCAAACTCCTGGACTCAAGTAATCCTTCTGCCTCAGCCTCCTGAGTAGCTAGCACTACAGGTGTGTGCCAACACAACAAGCTAATTATTTTAATTTTTTTGTAGAGACAGGGTCTCACTGTTTCTCAGGCTGGTCTTGAACTCCTGGCCTCAAGTGGTCCTCCCACTTCGTCCTCCCAAAGCATTGGGATTACAGGGGTTAATCATCAATGCCCAGTAGAGGTAAATTTTATATTAATTATTTTACCAAAATAAGATATATAAATTGAAAAACTAATAATCATGAGGAGTAAAAGATGCCAGACCAAAAAAAAAAGAGCATATACTGTTTGATTCCATTTATGTAAAATGCTAGGAAATGCAAACTTATATACAGTAAGTCTTCAATGTCAATGATAAGTTCTTAAAAACTGCAAAGTTAAGCAAAATTTTTAAGATTTTTTTTTTTCTCTCATCAGTGTTAAAACAATGGTGAATAAAACAATATTTTTCTAGGGCCTGCTGTATATCATTTTGCTTAAACTCACAGTTTCCAAGAACCTACTGATGACATTAAGTGAGGACTTACTGTATCATGACAGAAAGCAGATTAGTGGTTACCTGGGTTGGTGGGGCAGGAGGGCCTAGTAGGTGAGACAATGGATTATGAAAGGGAATGAGGACAGGTGCAGTGGCTCATGCCTGTAATTCCAGCACTTTGGAAGGCCGAGGCAGGTGGATCACTTGAGGTCAGGAGTTTGAGACCAGCCTGGCCAACACGGCAAAACCCCATCTCTACTAAAACTACAAAAATTAGCCGGGTGTGGTGACGCAAGCCTGTAATCCCAGCTACTTGGGAGGCTGAGGCAGAAGAATTGCTTAAACCTGGGAGGTGGAGATTGCAGTGAGCCGAGATCACGCCACTGCACTTCAGCCTGGGTGACAGAGTGAGACTCCATCTCAAAAAAAAAAAAAGGTGGGGGGGAGGATGAGAAAACTGGGAGATGATGGATATGTACCATTATCTTGATAGTTGTTTTACGCAAATGTCAAAACTCATCAAAGTGTATACATTAAATATGTGTAGGTTATCACACGTCAATTATATATCAGGAAAGCAATTTTTAAATATCTTCATTTCTGTGAAGACAATTCTTTTATCACTACTAGGAATGTTTCATGGGGTCAAGGAGGTCATAGAAACAAATAGAATGGAAGGGTGGTAGAATAGAAAGGGTGCTAATGTACATCAATGAAACTTCAATATGAAATATATAGGTCCAAAATGCTACTCAAGAAAAAAAACATTACGGCAATCACCTGTTTAAGCTTCCTGATTAGTTCTCGAAGTTGAGCTTCCACACGAAATGCAGAAAATAAGCACCTCCAATGAATCCAGTGTTTTTGGCACCATGAAGCTGGAGCTCCACTGCAAAACAAAAAACTGGTATCTTTAAAATATCTTCTCTAAGTAAAAGACAATCTAAAATTCTCATTTCTATTACAAAAGTGGAAACCCATAAACAACTGTCAGTTCCTTCAGGAGACCTGTCCAAGTACTAAAAAAGAATTTTAGGAAACTTGAAAAAAACATTTAAATTAATGAATGTGCCCCTGACTAAATTAAAAAATAATTTGTAAATGGATTTCTTTACTTATATATGCAATAACAAATATCCAATCATTTTTTAATCTAGGCTACCTATATAGAAGCAAAATTCTATAAGGTCATTTTCAGTAAAGGTTTGAGGAGAAAAGAAGAGAATCAATGTTATATAATAAATGCCTACTAAGCAATAGTCATCTGACATAGATAATTTCACTGAAATTCAAAATACCTTGAAGTCAATATCATCTTCACTGAACGTTAGTGTCACAAGCCACATCATAAGTACGTATTGGAACTATACATCAAATTGACATTTTTCAGGACAAAGGACTACCTTACATACCTTGATTTGCATTGTTCAAAGATGACAGCTAAAGTTGCAAAGTCATTAAATCCTCCAGCTTTAGCTGCCAATTCTCGATGTCTCTGTTCTGCTTCCTTCTGGTACTCTGGATCAACTAAAAGAATTGGAGAGGCAATTCAGTTATACTTTGCATTAAGTGCCTACAATCACTTTGCTTTCAGAAACTCATTAAAATCTGCCTCATCCTCTGGGGTGAAGTAAGGTAGAACTATATTAACTCTTCTTAACTTCTCTTAGGAAGCTCTATTTCTCCCACAATTCCTTTTTTTCTTTTCATATCACTTTGGAGATTTTACCTGAATAGCAACATTACTTCTCCCAATCTATTTGCCTTTTAAAAATAGTATTTGTAATTTACTTTTTAAATTAGTTTTGTTATAAGAGTAATCCATGCTTACAGAAAAAAAAATGTAATGGTATAAAAGAATATCATGTAAAAGTTCAATGTTCCCCAGTCACACTACCCATAAACCAATCCTCAAGACAAAGTACTGTTCATTATTTAGTGTGTGTCCTTCCAGGTAATTTCTATGTATATATAAGCATATGTACATAGTGTTTCATTTTTCTATAAATGGAATATATAATCTGAAAATTTGTTTATTTAATAACAACTCCATATCAGTACATATAGAATTATTCTTTCTCAAAAATAGCAATATAGGGCCAGGTGTGGTAGCTCACACCTGTAATCCCAGCAATTTCAAAGGCCAAGGCAAGTGGATCAATTGAGCCCAGGAGGTCAAGACAAGCCTAGGCAACAAAGCAAGATCCTGTCTCTACAAAATATACAAAAATTAGCCAGGCATGGTGATGCATGCCTGTAGTCCCAGCTACTCAGGAGGCTGAGGTGGGAAGATCGCTTGAGCCCAGGAGGTTTTTTTTTTTTTTTTTTTGAGACGGAGTCTCGCTCTATCGCCCAGACTGGAGTGTAGTGGCGCGATCTCGGCTCACTGCAAGCTCCGCCTCCCGGGTTCACACCATTCTCCTGCCTCAGCCTCCCGAGTAGCTGGGACTACAGGCGCCCGCCACCGCGCCCGGCTAATTTTTTGTATTTTTAGTAGAGACGGGGTTTCACATGTTAGCCAGGATGGTCTCGATCTCCTGACCTTGTGATCTGCCCGTCTCGGCCTCCCAAAGTGCTGGGATTACAGGCATAAGCCACCGTGCCCGGCCCAAGCCCAGGAGGTTGAGGCTACAGTGAGCCGTGATCGCATCACTGCACTTTGGCCTGGGCAACAGAGTGAAACCTTGTCTAAAGAAAAAAACAATGATATGGTATTCCCCAGGAGTATGGGGAACATAACACAATTTAACCAGTTCTTATTTATCCAATTCCCAATTATGGGCAATTAGACATGATCTCCATATATGCAGAACTGACCTACTACGAACATTTTCTTTTTTAATGTAATATTGAAGTATAATATGCATACAGAAAATTACACAGGACGTAAGTGTGTAGCTCATATAATATTCACAAACACAACATACCAATGTACCCAGATCAACAAACAGTATCACCAGCATCTCAACAGCCCCCTTTTATGCCCTCCTTCGAGTAACTACCCATTCCCTTCCACAAGAATAACTATATCCTGACTTCTAATCCTACAGATGGGTTTTGCCCATTTTTAACCTTTGTATAAATGAATCGTATAGTATGTACTTGATGTGTCTGTTTTCTCTTGCTCAACATTACGTTTTTGAGATTTATCTGTTAATTACTTCGATACCACTTCCCCTGATCCCATTCAGGACTCATGTGCTCTCTGATTGCCCAAATTCCCCATACAGCACTTTATCCAGGGCTAATCTTTCAGAGTGCCATTTTTTCAAAACTGCATAGGGATCCTTTCCTTCAATCTAACACGTCACATCACAATTCCTATTCCCTATACCTATCACAGCTAGATCTAGCAGAGGCACAATGTTGCCTGAATCCAGGGAGCAGCATTTACTATAGAATACGATGTGAATCTGCAAAGCAGCAGTTCCTGTTACTAGGAGGAAAGTAATTTGATTAAAGAAAACACTGATGAAGGTATAAAGTCTTCTATCCCATGCTTTAAGTAGCTTCCAACTATGTTACCTAGGTAGCAACTGAATGAAGCAGCTAGAGACAAAAAAATAAAAAAGAATATGATTTATCTCAGACCATACAAACATACAAATGACCCTGGTAAGGAAAAGATATAAATGATTATTAATCTCCATTTCTTGAACTGCTCCGGGAGACTAATTTTGTTTTTTGTTTTGTTTTTTGAGACAGTCTCGCTCTGCTGCCCAGGCTGGAGTGCAGTGGTGCAATCTTGGCTCACTGCAACATCCACCTCCCAAGTTCAAGGGACTCTCCTGTCTCAGCCTTCCAAGTAGCTGGGACTACAGGCACACACCACCACACCCAAATAATTTTTACATTTTTTAGTAGAGATGGGGTTTCACCATGTTGGCCAGGTTGGCCTTGAACTCCTGACCTCAGGTGATCCGCCCGCCCTGGCCTCCCAGAGTGCTGGGATTACAGGCTTGAGCCAACACGCCAGCCAGGGATACTAATTTTTAACCCAAAATATTTCATTTCAAGCACCTAACTGCCATCCCCCAGAAGATATCATGCCAAAAGTCAAATTGCCCTAGACTCCAGCATCGACCCCATCCTGGCTCGCAATACCAGGAGAAAAGCCTACCTGTGAGTCAGTGCCTCCTGGAATCCCTAGAATCATGGCACCATGCAGTCTGTGTTTGCATGCATTTTTGATAAATTTTAACTTTTTATAATAGATTTGTGTATATTTTATGGTAGTAAATTATAAAACAGACTAGTACTGGAACAGGAATTAAAAGAAATTAAAGACTGTATAAGCAAAAACTCAGTTGTATGTAAGAAAACCCAATTCCCCGAGGAAGAGAAAGAGCTGGAGTCCTTTAAAATTAACTGCCTGTTTTTCTCTCTGTGGCTAGTGAGCCTTATCTCACCCCTTCCCAGGCATTGTGAAGACTCTCGAGCTGTGCAGCTTCAAGGTCACTAGACAGATAATCTCAAGTCGTAAAACATGTTGTTCCTTGAAAAGTAAGAAATAATGTAATGCACGTCTTAATTAAATAACTGTCTTTGTTTCTCACTTCTGTAATATGCTTCCCCCTGCACAGATCTCCCCCCGCCCCACGAAATGCTTAAAAGGTAGCTTGACTCTTTGTTCAGGGCTCAGTCCTTTGGATGTTAATCCAACTGGGTTGGTGCACCTAAATAATTAAATAACTCCTCCTCAACCCCTCGGTCTCTCTGATTCCTTAATTATCCTGCAGCATTTCCTACACATAGTTTATGTTTTCATGACATACTTTTTCTTAATTTTTTTGGTATTTCCAGGCTACGGAGTTCATCTGTGAGTTTTTTCAAAGTGTCACAAATCTCCGAAAACTTTTCCAATATATTTATTGAAAAAATTGGCCGAGTGCATGGCTCACGCCTGTAATCCCAGCATGTTGGGAGGCCGAGGCAGGAGGATCACCTGAGGTTGGGAGTTCGAGACCAGCCTGACCAACATGGAGAAACCCCATCTCTACTAAAAATACAAAATTAGCTGGGCATGGTGGCACATGCCTGTAATCTCAGCTACTCGGGAGGCTGAGGCAGGAGAATTGCTTGAACCTGGGAGGTAGAGGTTGTGGTGAGTTGAGATTGTGCCACTGCACTCCAACCTGGGCAACAAGAGCAAAATTCTGTCTCAAAAAAAAAAAACAAAAAACAAAAAATCTACAAATAAGTAGACCTGCACAGTTCAAACCTGTGTGTTCAAGGGTCAACTGTACTGGGAATGGTGATGTGAGGAGTTAGGTAAAACTTCTTTTCTAGAGAGACATCTATTAAACTAGTCAAAATTACCAAAGACAATCATTCAAAGTCTCTGGAGATTGATTAAAATGCTTAAGACAAGCCTAATCTATGGAATTCGGTAAGGACAGTAGGAAGAATGCCCCACTCTCAACAGCTGTGTGTGTGGAAGGGCTATGCGAGAGCCTTCAAGGCAGCCTGAAAGCGGCACCCTTTCCCTGACTCCTAAATGCTACTCGGTAGGGAAGATCAAAGCATAACAGATAATGACAGCCTACGCAGTCCTCTATTCCCCACAGCTCTGTGTTGCAGAAGAGTTGTTCCAATGGGTTCAGCAGCTCAGTGGTAGTTCCCACTACTCCCAGTTTCCTAGAGCTATTCCAGGTTTGTACGTTTGCAACTAGTGAACATCCAGAGATTGCATCTCAAAAGGCTTTGTGCTGAGGAAGATGCAAAGTGAGCCACAGTATCAGCTCCTAACTCCCCAACCCCAAGCTTCTGCTATTTAGGGAGGACCCAGATAGGAGAGCCACTGAAGAACAGGCCCCCATTACCACCACCACCCTCTCCAACTCCTGCTCCATAGCACAGAGATTGTTTCCAGGAAAGGATGGGGAAAGGATTATCAAAGACGGGCAATACCTTGCCCCTGCCGAGGTGCCCAACTTTATTTGGATCAAGACTATGGAGCAATTTATGCTCTGGGCACTGTCAAAAACAACAGAGCCAGCAGCTAGCAATCAGTGGAGACTAACAGCTTGCTGTGACACCAATAGAGACAGACCAGCCAAAAATTCAATGAAGAAATCAATGAAGGAAACAGAGACCTGCTAAGAGCATAGTCTTCCTGGTGTTCTAGAAGATTGTTCTCATGCCCAAAGCTGTGCCTTCTGAGAAGTAAATAGAGAGGGAATGTCTGAGCCTCGACTCCTTGGCTGAACACAGTACAAATTCATCAACTCCCTCAACCATGAAAGTAGTCTCCTAACCAGAAACACAGATTCAACAGTAAAAGGTGAAAACATCACTGGCTTAAATTAAAAGGCTTAGCTAGGTACAACCTCCGACCAATCACTGACTGACCGCTGGAGTTGACAAGGACAAGAAACAAAATGGAAACTGCCATAGAGGGGCTCAACAGTAGATCTGGGCTGGCAGAAGAAAGAATCCACGAATTAAAGTTTTTTTGTTTTTTTTTTTAATTTAAGACAAGGGGCCGGGCATGGTGGCTCACTCCTGTAATCCCAGCACTTTGGGAGGCCAAGGTGGGCGGATCACCTGAGGTCAGGAGGTCAGGAGTTTGAGACCAGCCTCCAACATGGCAAAACCTCGTCTCTACTAAAATTACAAAAATTAGCCAGGCATGGTGATGCAAGCCTGTAATCCTAGCTACTTGTGAGGCTGAGGAAGGAGAATTGCTTGAATCCAGGAGGTGGAGGTTGCAGTGAGCCAAAATCATGCCACTGCACTCCAGCCTGGGCGACAGAGCAAGACTCCGTCTCAAAAATAAAAAGACATGGGCAAAATATTTTAAAAGACATCACAAAGGAAGACAGAAAAATGGCCAATAAGCACATGAAGAAGTGCTCAACATTATTAGTCATCAGGAAAATGCAAATTAAAACCACAAAGAGGTACATAATAGAATGTGTAAAATAAAATGATTGGCAATACCAAATGTTGAGAGGGGTGTTTAGTGCAAGCTGTACTCTCAAACATTGCTGATGTGATTTTTAAATGGTACAACTGTTCAGGGAAAAGGTTTGGCAGTTTCTTAAAGATTCACATATACCTACTCGATGGCACAGCAAATTTCTTTCTTAGGCATTTACCTTATCTAAGAAAAATGAAAATAAACACCTTCAAATTTTTGTGCAAGAATGTTCAAAACAACTTTACTCAAAAATAGAACTAAACAAGAAGCAATTCAAATGTCCATCAACAGGATAATGCACAACTGTATGTTCATAAAGTGGAATACTAGTCAACAACAAAAAGAATAAAGTATTCATACATACAACAATATGAATAAACCTTAACATACATTATGTTGACTGAAAGAAGCCAGACACAAGAAAGGAGAGTGTATAATTCTATTTATATGAAGTTTTGGGCTGGGCACAATGGCTCACACCTGTAATCCCAGCACTTTGGAAGGCTGAGGCCGACGCTGATGGATCACCTGAGGTTATGGGTTCGAGACCAGCCTGGCCAACATGGCAAAACCCCGTCTCTACTGAAAATACAAAAATTAGCTAGGCATGGTGTCGGGGACCTCTAATCCCAGCTACTCCAGAGGCTGAGGCAGGACAACTGCTTGAACCCAGGAAGTGAAGGTTGCAGTGAGCCGAGATTGTGCCACTGCACTCCACCCTGGATGACAGAGCAAGACTCTGTCTCAAAAGAAAAAAAAAAATTCTATTTATATGACGTTTCAGAAGAGGCAAACTAATCAGAAAAAAATAAGAAAAGTGTTTAACCAAAGGTAGGTAGAGTGATATCTGACTAAGAAGTGGCACTGAGGGAACTTGCTAGTGATAAAAATGTTCTATATATTGACAGGGCTTGGGTTACATGGGTATAAGCATTTTACAGAATTCATTGAATTATACACCTAAAATTTATGCATTTCACTATATGTAAATTTTACCTAAAATTAACTGTAAACAAATATCAAACTGTAGTTATATAGGGTTGTTTTTCACAGTACTGTAACTTACCAATTCTCAAACTACTTTCTGTAGATTCTAGGGAAAATGGACAATTTCAATATGGATTCTGGATTAGATAATAATATTGTATCAAAGTTAAATTTCCAAACTTTAGGCCGGGCATAGTGGCTTACACCTGTAAACCCAGCACTTTGGGAGACCAAAGCAGGAGGATTGCTTGAGCCTAGGAGTTTGAGACTAACCTGGGCAACATGGGGAGACCTCATCTCTACAAAAAATTTTTAAAAATTAGTCAGGCATGGTAGCATATGCATGTGGTCCCAGCTACTAAGGAGGCTGAGGTGGGAGAATTGCTTGAGCCCGGGAGGTCAAGGCTGCGGTGAGCCATGATCCCACCACTGCACTACTGCCTGGGCAACAGAGTGAGACTCTCTCTCAAACAAAACAAAACAATTTCCGAATTTTGATTAATGTACTATGGTTAAATGAGAGATTGCCCTTGTTCTTGCCTAATACAGATGTAAATATTTTGTGGTAAGGGAGCACAATGCTTCCAATTTATTCTTAAATGATTCAGAAAAAGAAAAAAATCCATTTATATATACATATATAGAGGGAGACAGAGTAATAAAGCAAAGGGGGTAAAATGTTAAAAATTGCGGAAACTGCATAGAAGGTATAAAGGAATTCCTTTGCTATTCTTATTTGAAATTATATAAGAATAAATGTCACCCAAAAAAGGCTAACACCACACTGATTTTATCTATTTAAATATTCCAACATGGAAAAAACATTTTTCTTTTTCTAGCCTTAAAAGACTATTAGAGTTGGTCACCTTAATCCAACTTCTTGGTTTTACAAATGAAAAATGAAATCTAGAAAAACTAGGGCCATGGTCAGATAATTAGGTAGTAGTGGAGCTGGACAGAACCCTGCACTCTTAACTCCTACTTCAATACTCTGTAATAGGTTTTGAAATATTTTAGCTTGTTTATTTCTTTCTTTCTTTTTTCTTTTTGGGGATGGAGTCTCACTCTGTCACCCAGGCTGGAGTGCAGTGGCACGATCTCAGCTCACTGCAACCTCCGCCTCCTGGATTCAAGCAATTCTCCGCCTCAGCCTCCCCAGTAGCTGGCAACACAGGTGCACGCCACGCCTGGCTAATTTTTATATTTTTAGTAGAGACAGGGTTTCACCATGTCGGCCAGGCTGGTCTTAAACTCCTGACCTCAGGTGACCCACCTGCCTCAGCCTCCCAAAGTGCTGGGATTACAAGTGTGAGCCACCACACCTGGCCTATTTTTTAATTTCTTATCAGAGATGGGGTCTTGCTATGTTGCCCAGGCTGGCCCTGATCTCGTGGGCTCAAGCAATCATCCCACCTCAGTCTCCCAAGGAGCTGGGATACCACTGTGCCCACTGGTATTTTTAGCTCTGATACTGCCTCATGAAAACCAGTTAACATTACTTATTTTTATACAGCATTTTATTAGAACAAAAAATTGCAATTAGGGGTATTACCAGAATTAAAATTCTGACATTTCAGACTGCAACTGCTGGGTGCAATGGCTCAGGCCTGTAATACCAGCATTTTAAGAGGCCAAGGCTGGTGGGTCACTTGAGCTCAGGAGTTTGAGACCAGCCTGGGCAACAGAGTGAAACCCCATCTGTATAAAAATACAAAAAATTAGCCAGGCATAGTAGCAAGCATCTGTGGTCCCAGCTGCTGGGGAGGCTGAGGTATGGGAGGATCACTTGAGCCTGGAAGGCAGAGGTTGCAATGAGCCAAGATCACGCCACTGCATTCCAGCCTGGGCAACACAGTGAGACCTTGTCTCAATAAAATTTAAAAATTTTTTAAATTAAAAAAAAAAGACTGCAAACTATTTGAAACAGTATATTGATTAGAGTATTTTTATAGAAAAATGTATCCTCCATTATAATCATGGCAATAATAAATTAATCTGGACCCGACACTTCCAGCCTACAAAGGTATAAAGCCAGTGAGCTAACCCATTCTGTTGTCTGGCTGCAGACAAGGTATACTGTTCACTTGGAAGCTCCTTGAAAGAAAAAATTACTCCACTGCATGAAAACAAATCTAACATATGTCAAATTAAATTGTGTCCTATACTGACACACCAAGAAAAGAAAGAAGCAGAAGTTTAAAGACCTGGAAACTTCAAAAGAATTCTCTAAGGATGCAAGGGCTAAACTACCTTTTCTTTTGATCCTACAAAAAAAAAATTAGTAAATTACTAATGTACTATAAAAGCACTATCTTCCTTTACTAATGAAAGGAAATTAACGCCGGGCTGGGCGTGGTGGCTCATGCCTGCAATCCCAAGGCCAAGGTAGGCAGATCACCTGAGGTCAGGAGTTCCAGACCAGCCTGACCAACATGGTGAAACCCCATCTCTACTAAAAATACAAAAATTAGCCAGGCGTGGTGGCCCATGCCTGTAATCCCAGCTACCTGGGAGGCTGAGGCAGAAGAATCGCTTGAACCTGGGAGGAGGAGGTTGCAGTGAGTCCAGATCACACCATTGCACTCCAGCCTGGGCAACAAGAGTGAAACTCCATCTCAAAAACAACAACAACAAAACTTGTTTATCCTTAGTTTTCTGTCCTAGGGCTAAGGCACGGTAAACCCTCAGTAAATGCTCAATGAATTACTGGCAATCTAAATAAATGAAGAGATATTCCATGTACATGGATAGGAAGACAATACTGTCAAGATGTCATTTCTTCGCAACTTAATCTATCTTAATTAAAACATAATCCCAATTAAAATCCCAGCAAGGGCCGGGCGCGGTGGCTCACGCCTGTAATCCCAGCACTTTGGGAGGCTGAGGCGGGTGGATCACAAGGTCAGGAGATTGAGACCATCCTGGCTAACACAGTGAAACCCTGTCTCTACTAAAAATGCAAAAAATTAGCCGGGCGTTGTGGCGGGCGCCTGTAGTCCCAGCTACTCGGGAGGCTGAGGCGAGAGAACGGCACGAATCTGGGAGGCAGAGCTTGTAGTGAGCCGAGATCAGGCCACTGCACTCCAGCCCGGGTGACAGAGCAAGACTCCATCTCAAAAAAAAAAAAAAAAAAAAAAAATCCCAGCAAGTTCAGCAAGTTATTTTGTGGATTTCAACAGACTGGTTCTAAAGTTTATATGAAAAAGACCCAGAATGGCCTAAACAATTTTGAAGAGGAAGAACAAAACTTCAAGAGTTACTATAAAGCTCCAATAACCAGGACAGTGTGGTATTGGTGGAAGAACAAACAGACAATCAGATAAATGGAACAAGATACAGAGCCCAGAAACAGACCCATATAAGAATAGTCAGCTGATATTTAACAAAGAAGCGAAGGCATTTCAACAGAAAAAGGACAGTGTTTTGAACAAATGGTACCGCAACAACTGTACGTCCAAATACTAAAAGACAATAGAAGAGAAAATCTAGATGACTTTGGGTACGACAATGACTTTTTTAGATACAACAATAAAGACACAATCTATGAAAGAAATAATTGATAAGGTAGACTTCGTCAAAAATAAAAACTTCCGCTCTGCAAAAGTCAATGTCAAAACAATTAGAAGATAAACCACAGACTGGGAGAAAATATTTACAAAAGATCTATCTGTTAAATAACTATTTAAAATATGCAAAGACCTCTTAACAATAAGAAAACAACCCGGCTGGGCGTGCTGGCTCACGCCTGTAATCCCAGCACTTTGGGAGGCCAAGGCGGGCAGATGACCTGAGGTCAGGAGTTCGAGACCAGCCTGGCCAACATGGAGAAACCGCGCCTCTACTAAAAATACAGAATTAGCCAGGCGTGGTGGCACATGCCTATAATCCCAGCTAAAACCATATAACACAAAGAGTGATCCCTTTAGTTAATAATAATGTGTCAATATTGGCTCACCAATTGCAACTTATATGTCATACAAATCAAAGATGTTAATAGGAGAAATTGCTGTGGGAGGTTGAGGGGATGAATGTCAACCCTCTGTACTTCCTACTAAATTTTTCTGTAAACTTAAAAATGCTCTAAAAAATAAAGTCTATTAATTTTGTTTTTGGTTTTTTTTTTTTTTTTTTTTTTAGTAGAGATGGGGTTTTACCATGTTGGTAAGGCTGGTCTTCCAACTTCTGACCTCAAGCAATCCACCTGCCTTGCCCTCCCAAAGTGATGGGATTACAGGCGTGAGCCACCGTGCCCAGCCAAGTCTATTAGTTTTAAAAAACACAACTTAAAATAAACATCTTACCAGGTCTAATGAAGACGTTTTCCACAGACAACATTGCTGCTATTGGAAGTAGTAGATCTTCACAATCCAGGGAAGCAGCTTTTATTACTGCACATGTCAGATGTGGAGGCAAAGGAAACTCCACCATAGACAAACCCAATCTGGTGACATGGCCACTCCTTAATACAAAGAAAAAGTTTGTAAGTCTTTCTACACTAGGAGAGTACAAATGTAACATTCATCATTCAGAATAAATCAGATATAATTTACGTTACCTCCAATCACCTCCAGAAGTTCAATTCAATTTAAGAAAATTAGGCCAGGCGTGGTGGCTCATGCCTGTAATCCTAGCACTTTGGGAAGCTGAGGCAGGTGGATCACCTGAGGTCAGGAGTTCAAGACCTGCCTGGCCAACATGGCAAAACCCCGTTTCCACTAAAAACACAAAAATTAGCTGGGTGTGGTGGCATGCGCCTGTAGTCCCTGCTACTTGGGAGGCTGAGGCAGGAGAATCACTCAAACCCGGGAGGCAAAGGTTGCAAAGCTACTAAGGAGGCTGAGGGGGATTACACCTGTAATCCCAGCACTTTGGGAGGCCGAGGCAGGTAGATCACTTCAGGTCAGGAGTTTGAGACCAGCCTGACCAACATGGTGAAACCCTATCTCTACCAAAATATAAAAAAATTACCTGGGCATGGTGGTGCATGCCTATAATCCCAGCTACCTGGGAGGCTGAGGCAGGAGAATTGCTTGAACCTGGGAGGTGGAGATTGCAGTGAGGTGAGATTGCACCATTGTACTCCAGTCTGGGCAACAAGAGTAAAACTCCGTCTCAAAAAACAAAAAAAAAGAAGATGTCTTTGAAGACATGAGAGAATAATAATTTTATTTTTTCAATTTTACCGTTTTTTTTTTTTTGGAGACAGGGTCTTGCTCCGTCTCCCAGGCTGGAGTGCAATGGCGCAATCTCCTCAGCTCACTGCACCCCTCACCTCCGAAGCTCAGACGATCCTCCCACCTCAGCTTCCCAAGTAGCTGGGACTACTGGCATGTGCCAACACCATCGGCTAATTTTTGTATTTTCAGTAGAGATGGGTTTTACTATGTTTCTCAGGCTTGTCTCGAACAACTGGGCTCAAGCAATCTGCTCGCCTTGGCCTCCCAAAGTGCTGGAATTACAGGCGTGAGCCACCACGCACATCCAAGAGAATAATAATTATTAATATCAAACCTAACCACCCCATCACACAAACATGAAAACAAGGACTCTGGCTCTCTTATCATTTTTATGTATCCAGCATAATGCTTAGCACTGAAATGGTACTCAGAAATTACTTGTTAAATAATACCAATATTTATTAAACAAAAGGGATTATACCGTGCAGTTTCTTTCTCCTTTTTTTTTTTTTCAGATGGAGTTTCGCTCTGTTGCCCAGGCTGGAGTGCAGTGGCATGATCTTGGCTCACTGCAAGCTCTGCCTCCCAGGATCACACCATTCTCCTGCCTCAGCCTCCCGAGTAGCTGGGACTACAGGCGCCCACCACCACGCCCAGCTAATTTTGTTTTTGTATTTTTAGTAGAGACGGGGCTTCACCATGTTAGCCAGGATGGTCTCGATCTCCTGACCTCATGATCCACCGACCTCGGCCTCCCAAAGTGCTGGGATTACAGGTATGAGCCACAGCGCCCGGCTGGTTTTTCAATCAGAATTGTGATGAAAGACTAACAATCCATTCAATTTAAAGAAATTATTTTCTACTGTTAGAGAAAGGTATTTAGAGCCCTGTTTAAAAAGAGATCAATATCTGTTTTGATTGTGATTTTTTTTTTTTTTTTTTACCTGTCAATAGCATCACACTGGTAAAGTTGTTTAAGAGCTTCTAAAATAAGTCTCTCATTAGGTGGATCCAAATAGGGAAACCTGTGTGTTTAAATGAGATATGAAGTGAGAGGCATTCCTTGAACATGGTAGGATTTTATATAGACATGACGAAAATTTCTTTAAAAGGTTTTATTTCTATTTTTCAAGTCATCTTCTTTTTCTAAAAAAAAATTATATGATCATGATCAGCATTTGGCAAAAGAGGAAATAATTTTTTTCTGAATCACACTCCTCTACTTCAAGAAGTGATTCTTTTTGACTCCCCTTAGCTGAAATACTCTCACCAGTCTACTTATCCTAATCCTGCCCCACCCATCCTTCACAGCCTGTCAAGTCTACTCTTTTCTGCAGTCCATAATTTTTTTCCAAACTTTTATAAAAATAGTAGAGAAATATTAATAGTAGAGAAATATTAATTAGTACTGAAAATTATAAATTGTTCAATAGTACCTCAAAATGCTTTTTTTTGGAGATGGAGTCTCGCTCTGTTGCCCAGGCTGGAGTGCAATGGCACGATCTCTGATCACTGCAACCTCCATCTCCCAGGTTCAAGCAATTCTCCTGCCTCAGCCTCCCGAGTAGCTGGGACTACAGGCACATGCCACCACGCCTAGCTAATTTTTTGTATTTTAGTAGAGACAGGGTTTCACCATGTTGCCCAGGCTGGTCTTGAACTCCTGTGCTTAAGCAATCCGCCCGCCTCGGCCTCCCAAAGTGCTAGGATTACAGGCGTGAGCCACCGCACCCAGCCTCAAAATGCTTCTTAAATACAATTTAATTTTTTTTTTTTTTGAGACGGAGTCTCACTCTGCTGCCCAGGTTGGAGTGCAGTGTGGCAATCTCGGCTCACTACAACCTCCGTCTCCTGGGTTCAAGTGATTCTCCTGCCTCAGCCTGCTGAGTAGCTGGGATTACAGGCACCTGCCACCATGCCCAGATAATTTTTGTATTTTTAGTAGAGGCGGGGTTTCACCATATTGGTCAGGCTTGTCTCAAACTCCTGACCTCAGGTGATCCACCCACTTCAGCCTCCCAAAGTGCTGGGATTACGGGCGTAAGCCACCGCACCCGGCCGGACAAAATGCTTTCATATAAATGGGGAAATATATTCAATTAATTTAGCCATATTTGTGTCACATATGTGTACATGTGTATGTACTTATTTTCTGCCAAACTATCTCAGAATAAGTTGCAAATACAATGCCATTGCACACTTACAACTATCTCGGCATGCATCTCCTGAAAATAAGGACATTCTCTTACATCACCATAATGCGCTATTAATAAATATAATAAAATTAACAATTAACAATAATATTCAAAAGGGATAGCATCATCAAACATGAATATATATTTTTTAAAAACAGGAAAAATAATTACTTGATATCATCTGCACTGGGTTATTTTTTCCACCTTAAATCTGGATATGAAAAATCATCTACTCCAACTTCTCACCTTGAAAAAAATCCAATAGAAGACAAAAGGTCCAATACCTTATATAAAATGTCCATTCCAGGATTGATAACCCTATTTAAAAATAAATAAATAAAACAAGGCCAAGGATGGTAGCTCACGCCTATAATTTCAGCACTCTGGGAGGCTGAGGCAGGAGGACTGCTTGAGCTCAGGAGTTTGACAACAGCCTAGGCAACACAGCAAGATCCCATCTCTTATAAAAAGAAAAAATAATAAGCAAACAATAATCTCTTACACTGTTCTACTGCCAGCTTTCCTACAATTTGTACCAATAGGTCCTGGTAGCTTCTACAGCAAGAATTGGTAAACATTTTCCGTAAAGGGCCAGATAGTAAATAGCTTAGGCTTGCAGGCCATATGGTCTCTGTCACAATTACTCAACCATGCTATTACAGTGAAAGCAGCCACACATAAACAAATGGGTATGGCTGCATTCTAACATTTTATTTACAAAAACAGTCAGTGAGATTAGACCACAGTTTGCCACCCTTGTGCTAGAGCAATACCAAACCAGTCAGCTGCTTCTTCTATATAAAAGGAAAAACTACTTATTCTAAAATATTGCAATTAATTTCCCCCCTTGATTCCTCCAATTACCAATTCTGTCAACCACTCCTTATAAGTTACTTGGTTTCTAAGAGATCTACCATACCTAAGTACCATTCTCTAAAAACACTAGTATGTCAAACTCCTCATAAAACTTGATTATATCCAAAACTGAACTCCAAATGTTGAGTGACCAACACATAACAGGAACGCTGTAATTCCCCATCACCTAGTTTATTAATGTAACCAAAGTCTATGCCAGTGGAATTAAAAAAAAAATTTTTTTTTTTGAGACAGAGTCTTGCTCTGTCGCCCAGGCTGGAGTGCAGTGGTGCGATCTGGGCTCACTGCAAGCTCCGCCTCCCGGGTTCACGCCATTCTCCTGCCTCAGTCTCCCGAGTAGCTGGGACTACAGGCGTCTGCCACCACACCCAGCTAATTTTTTGTATTTTTAGTAGAGACGGGGTTTCACTGTGTTAGCCAGGATGATCTCCATCTCCTGACCTCGCAATCCGCCCACTGTGGCCTCCCAAAGTGCTGGGATTACAGGCGTGAGCCACCGCACCCGGCCTAAAAAAAATTTTTTAAACAGAGCCATACGTATAAGCCAATATTAAGGTTGTGATGATCTGATAATTTCAGATCTCTACCACATGTATTTGCTATTGTACATCCCAAACACAGGATATAAGATATATCCTTTCAAATTTACACCCTGTTGATTTTTGCCCATGGTTCTAATCTGTTAAAGTCATTTTAAAGCTTGGTCATCTACCTATTAGATATTAAGATATTTTCCAGAAAAATATAATCATAACTTCAATATTTTTATTCAGTATCATTAAAAATGTTTATCAAGAAAAAACTAAGTTCAGCACAATACCAGTAAAAACTTCATCTAGTCTACACTAAGCAATTAATTAATACTTTTCTAGACTGGGCTATCTGGCAACTATACTCAGCAGTACTGTCATCTACAGACTACTTTTTTATTCACAAGATATCAAATGCAGTATTGTTAAATACTGTGCTGAAAATAAAAGACATTAGGTTAAATTTCAATAAATTCTTGTGGAGCACCCATTATGTGGACGGTCCTGTCCTCAAACTGAAAAGGAAATGGCTTATAATGACATATTTGGCCGGGCATGGTGGCACACGCATGTAATCCCAGCTACTCAGAAGGCTGAGACACGAGAATCGCTTGAACCTGGGAGGTGGAGGTTGCAGTGAGCTGAGATTGTGCCACTGCACTCCAGCCCGGGTGACAGAGTGAGATCCTGCCTCAGAAAACCAAAACCAAACACAACAACAACAAAAAATGACATATTCATTGTGAACTTTTAAAATTCATACTCATTAATCGTCATTAAATTTCCTTAAACCATTTTTCAATAAACTGTACTAGAGTTCGCTAGTAATCAATGTCAAGCTTACTGGGTAGTTGTTTCCAGAACCCGCCCTTTTTACCAAATGAAAAAAATTAAGACTTTTGCCTTTCTCACCATTTTCTGATAACGTATTCTGCATAATTTCTCATAGATGACCTACAGTGACTCTGACGCTAAATCTGCAAGTTCTTTTAACACCACGGAAATAATGTCTAAATGCTCAAGACAAAATCACTTATGGTGGTAGGTTTTCCCTCATTATTTCCTTCCACCTTAGTCATCAATTCCTTCTTATTCAGACCTGTTCTTGCATTTTCAGCTTTAAAATTATTCTTCCTGATGGAAAAGAAAGGGAAAGCAAAATAATAATTGAGAAGATCCATTTTCTTTCTGTCGTCTATGAATCCTATACCATCTACCCCAAACACTGGCTCTACCTCTCCTTATTCTTTATACAACTTTTTAAAAAGGAAGTCTTTGTTTTTTGTTTCAAGCATTTTGAAACATAATTTTGCGATTTTTAGTACACTATGGCTTTTAAGACTTAAGATGGAAAAATAATTCAATGCAGATGATATTAATTATTGTTCCTATTTTTCTAATATATACTCATTCTTGGTTAGAGGCTGCTCTGCTATCCTTTGTGAATATACTAAGAGTCAATGTCAAACTTACTGAGCAGCTATTTCCAAAAATGGCCCTTTTTCCCCAAATGAAAAAAATCAAGACATTATTTTAATATCTGGGTTCATCTGAAAGTTTTCTATTGGGCTCTTTGGATTTCTTTAAATGGCGCTTTCCTTCTTTTCATTGGTATAATTTATTGCTACAGTCAGAATTTCATTTATTACATGCTTTTCTCTTTCCAGTATCTACATATTCTCATTCAGAAAATCTCTAATCTAATGATAACTATCAAAACATTTTGAAATTGGCAAATTGGCTTTCCAAGAGTATACAATGAGTATTTGTGGGTTTTGGGGTTTTTTTTTGCTTTTTTTGGTTTTTTTTTTTTTTTGGAGACAGAGTTTCGCTCTTGTTGCCCAGGCTGGAGTGCGATGGCGCAATCTCGGCTCACTGCAACCTCTGCCTCCCGGGTTCAAGTAATTCTCCTGCCTCAGGCTTTCAAGTAGCTGGGATCACAGACGAGCACCACCATCCTGGCTAATTTTGTATTTTTAATAGAGACAGGGTTACACCATGTTGGCCAGGTTGACCTCAGGTGATCCACCCGTCTCGGCCTCCCAAAGTGCTGGGATTACAGGCGTGAGCCACCGCACCCGGCCTACAATACATATTTGGATGCACCTAATAATCACTTACTATGAATTTAAAAACTGCACGGTTACCATCCCCCAAAATTCCTGAGCAGTTTTACATTCCAAGGCAATTAAGACCAAAATAAAGAAGATAGTACTTTCCTCCATTAATTCCCCTACCATGTATGATAGAAATTTCTATCTATAACAATATTCTATCTTATACCAATAAATTATATTAATATTTGGCTAATTTAACTGTTCTTCCTTTATTTCACGTGTCTGAACCTTGTTTTCCTAATATAACTTAAGCTTAGTGAAAGCAAAAAACTACAGAGTATTACTCTGTCTTTCATGGTATATAGTATGATGCTGGCCATACAAAAAAAACACTCCACTTTCCAACTGTATACCCTTTTGTTTTGTTTTGTTTTTTTTGAGACAGAATCTCGCTCTGTTGACCAGGCTGGAGTGCAGTGGTGTGATCTTGGCACGTTGCAGTCTCTGCCTCCTGGGTTCAAGTGATTCTCGTGCTTCAGCCTCCGGAGTAGCTGGGACTACAATCACGTGCCACCAAGCTCAGCTAATTTTTATATTTTCAGTAGCTACGGGGTTTTGCCAGGATGGCCAGGCGGGTCTCAAACTCCTGGCCTCAAGGGATCCGCCCACTTTGGCCTCCCAAAGTGCTAGGATTACAGACGTGAGCCACCACGCCCAGCCCCCTTCTTTTGAAACAGGGTCTCACTCTGTTGCCCAGGCTGGACCGCAGTGGTGCAATCATGGCTCACTGCAGCCTCTACCTGCCCGGCTCCAGCAATCTTCCCGTCTCAGCCTCCAAATATCTGGGACTCAAGCATGCACCATATCAGACTTTTTTTTTTTTTTAATTGTAGAGACAAGGTCTCACTATGTTGCCCAGGCTTGTCTCGAAATCCTAGGCTCAAGCAACCCTCCCACCTTGGCCATCCAAAGTGCTGAGATTACAGGCATAAGCTGTTATGCCCAGCTCATTATATACCTTTCATTACAAATAAACAGTGGTCACTAAGTGATCCACATAAACATCAGCACAACCCCCTAACCCCGCCATTAAGCCAAGGTTAAACATGAGCAAGAGATCCTACTAAAGCAATGCAAGGAAGTCTTCTGTGTTAGTTTAGTTGAAAAGCAACCAATAGAGCCAGGCACAGTGGCTCACACCTGTAATCCCAGCATTTTGGGAGGCCGAGGTGGGTGGATCGCCTGAGGTCAGGAGTTCGAGACCAGCCTGACCAACAAGGTGAAACTCCATCTCTACTAAAAATACAAAAATTAGCTGGGCATGGTGGCAGGTACCTGTAGTCCCAGCTACTCGGGAGGCTGAGACAGGAGAATTGCTTGAACCCGGGAGGCGGAGGTTGCAGTGAGCCGTGATCGTGCCACTGCTCTCCAGCCTGGGCAACGGAACAAGACTCCATCTCAAAAAAAAAAAAAAAAAAAAAAAAAGAAAAGAAAAGCAACCAATATAAAAACCAACCTGTAAAAGAGGTTAGCCTCAACTCTCAGGGATGTATCAGTCAAATATTTCAAAATAATTTTTGAGCCAATAACTTGGTTCCAGGCTAACAAGTTTTTCCTTTTTTTTCTAGTTGTCTACATACCTTATGACATCGTGTATGGCAAGGCACTTTAAGGTCAGAACTACAGATGTCAAACTAGTTCTCTTAATTTCAGGGATCACATGGTCAGGCATACACTGGTTCCAAAAATCTTTACTATAGATCCGAAAGCATTTTCCTGAAGAAGTCCTGCCAGCTCGGCCACTTCGCTGTAATGCCTCGCTCCTACAAAAGGAAAAAAACCCAAAAATTCCCCAAAATGTTCTGTGGGTTTCTCAGGTAATTTACTTTGTCTCCCCAAAACAGCTAGAAATTACCTAATCAGTTGTTCTTTGAATAAAAAGATTTGACATAGAGACTTACTTTGAAATTGGAACCACCTCCAGGATGTCCAACCCTAATCTGGGGTTGTGATTTAACTGCTTCACGAAGCCACCATCTACCACATATCTAAGAAGAATCAAAGCAAGTTAAGTTTCTGGAAAATAAAAGAAGACTTGTTAATTGTTAACCACTTTGGTTTCTCCTTTTCTAGCAAACTAGCAGGTACACAATGCCTTTTATGTTAAGTGTAAAACTTGAAAGTCAAGAAATTGGAACCCTCGTATGTTGTTGGTGGGAATGTAAAATGGTTCAGCCGAGGTGGAAAATTGTTCGGAGGTCCTCAAGAAGTTAAACACAAAATTACCATATGATCCAGCAATTCCATTTCTAAGTGTACACCAAAAAGAACTGAGAACAAGTACTCAAACAAATACTTATAGACCAATGTTCATATCAGCACTATGAATCACAGCCATAAGGTAAAAACAACCTAAATGTCCATTAACCATTAATGGAAGAAGGGATGAACAAATTGCTTTGCATATATGTATGTAGTATATATACACACGCATATATACACACACAATGGAATATATATATATATATATACACACACACACTATGCAATATTATTCAGCCACAAAAAAGAATGAAGTACTGATACATGCTACAATGTGGACGAACCTCAAAAATATTATGCTAAGTGAAAGAAAGCAAACACAGAAGGCCACATATTATATGATTCTATTTGTATGAAATATCCAGAATAGAAAATACCTACTGCTTCCTGCTGACACATCTAAAGAATTTTTTAAAAAAGAAAATACGTACAAACAAAAAGTAAGACTGGTAGTTGCCAAGGGCTGGGGTCAAGAGGGGAATGTGGAGTACCTGCTTAATGGGTATGGGGTTTTATTTTGAGGTGTTGAAATATTTTAGAACTAAGCAGAAGCAGTGGTTGCGCAATACTGTAAATGTACTAAGTACTACTTAATTTTTCATTTTAAATGATTAATTTTATGTGAATTTTGCCTCAATACAAAAATACACAAACTTGAAAGTCAGCTTCAGACCATTTAAACAGATTCAGAATCTAATTTCAACTAGCCCTTAACATGCCATTCTAAGCCAATTAAATGGTGAACAAGTCAGGTAAGGAACCAAAGTAGGATAGCAGTAACAAGACAACATTCTGAAACATGCTATTTAATGGCTTTTGCCTGTGCAGGAAACAGAAAATTACAGAGGTTAATTTACCCAGGAGAGCACTCCCTTAATCCCTTAGTGAAACCATTATTTTTAAAGTAACGAAGAAAAGCAGAGGAAATTAGACTTCCTCTCAGACCTGGGTGATCATTTTACCCAGAAGAAACACACAGGATCTTTGAGATTCAGGTTCAGCCTTCCGGAGACAGACAATCAGACTTAGCTAAAGAAATAAAATATATTCGGTAAATGATAAATAACCCAGTCTTAAAGAACTTTGCATTAGTTGTCAGTCCAGACTTAAAATTTCTTAGTGTTTCCTTACTAAATTTACCCAAAAATTTGATAGCACTATTTACTACATCCAGAAAAGATAAGGGACCTGAATCATAGTTAATTTTCACAAAAAGGTAAAAAGTCAGAGACAATACATCCAGATAAACACTGGATATACAAACTAACTCTACCGAGTGAGGCTGCAAGGTAGAAGGAAATATCAAATCATCTAAGGTATATGCTTATAATGGGAGTACAGAAAAATAGGTTTGGCTTCCTATTTAGTGAAACCCATAAAGCATTATACATAATCTTAAATTTGAAAAGAAGCTTCAAGTTGCCAAGTAGTTAAAAAGTGTGAACAGCCAAGTACGGTGACACATGCCTGTGGTCCCAGCTACCCAGGAGACTGAGGCGGGAGGATTGGCTGATCTCCATACAAGGCTGTAGTGTGCTATGACTGCACGCCTGTGAATAGTCACTATATTCCAGCCTCAGCAACATAATGAGACCCTGTCTCTAAAAAAACAAAAAGTGTGAATAGGAATATAGTATGTACCTCCTACTCCATTTCCTGCTCAAAGCAATCAATAATTACAAAACAAAATAGGTGATTACATGTTAAGAACATCAAAAAGTAGGAGAGAAGGGAATTAGTGGAGGGCACAGAAAAGCAAACTCAGTAATGTTTAGCTAATGTTTAGTAACGATAGGCTTCCTTGACTTTAAGAGAAAGTTCAAAAGTTTTACCTGATTCCATCTATTGTCAAAGACGTTGCAGAAATATTGGTGGATATGACACATTTTCTAATTCCAGGTGGTGGTGGCAAAAATATCCTCCTCTGTTGATCTGAAGTATATATAAAAAGAAAATACCAATTTACAACATGCATGTGTCAAACTCGAGTTTTGAAGAACTTAATTTTTCATTACAAGTCATGTTTCTAGGCCGGGCGTGGTGACTCACGCCTGTAATCCCAGCACTTTGGGAGGCTGAGGCGGGAGGATCACAAGGTCAGGATATCGAGACCATCCTGGCTAACATGGTGAGACCCTGTCTCTAAGAAAAATACAAAAAATTAGCAGGGCGTGGGGGCGCGCCCCTGTAGTCCCAGCTACTCGGGAGGCTGAGGCAGGAGAATTGCTTGAATCTGGGAGGCAGAGGTTGCAGTGAGCCAAGATCGCGCCACTGCACTCCAGCCTGGGCGACAGAGCGAGACTCCATCTCAAAAAACAAAAAAAAAAAAACAGAGGCAAGAGAAAATCCAGAACATTATTTTCAATGTAGCAGTAAAAAAGAATGAAATTATTTACTCTGTATAGAATAATATATGTCTATGTACATATTTAGTTAATGATTAATAACAAACCAAACATAATGGGTTTTTATCAGTTTCAATGTAAATTATAAAAGCATCGGTGAACCAAATCTTGAGAAAACAATGAGAACCTTAAACAATGATCCTAAGAATTTCCCTGAAGATGACAAAATCTAAAATAGATATCTATGCTTCAATAGAGAGTAAGAAGCTAATATCATCATAAAAAAGATTTCCAAAATAGCACATCTATGTTCTTTACTGACACATATATTCCAAAACTTTGTTAATATAGGGATAAGAATCACCCAATCAACAAAAGCTGTTAATACGCATACATGTAAAATATAAAAACATTCAAATGCTAATTCCAACTCCAAATAGGAGGCTAAGGTTAATTTCCCTTTAACTTTACAAGTTAAATTCCATAATAAAAGTTTTATAAAACAAATTCTAAACCTCATTCAACAATATTTACTATAACCAAAATGTCAAATCAAGAGTTTGCATTTGCTCTTGGAATTCACCAAAGAACAGGATCATTCTTGAAAAGCAGACTAAGGCATGGCTACTTTAAAAGGAAAATGATCCACAGCCAGGCATGGTGGCTCACATCTGTAATCCCAGCAATTCTGGAGGCCAAGGCAGGCAGATGACCTGAGGTCAGGAGTTTGAAACCAGCCTGGCCAACATGGCAAAATCCCATCTCTGCTAAAAAAAAAAAAAAAAAAATACAAAACTTAGCCAGGTGTGGTGGCGAGCGCCTGCAATCCCAGCTACTTGGGAGGCTGAGGAAGGAGAATCGCTTGAACCCAGGAGGTGGCGGTTGCAGTGGGCTGAGATTGCGCCACTGCACTCCAGCCTGGATGACAAGAACGAGACTCCATCACAAAAAAAAAACAAAACAATCCACTGTGTTTAGACTTAGATATAGCTGGATATACACAATTTCTAAAAATTCTGTGGCAATGGCAAATTAGGTTTTGACTTACAGTAATACCAGCAAGAAACTACTGTCCTCATTTCAAAGAATTCTCACCAATAGTTTTGTTTTGCTGGGAGAAACAATACTCTAAACGATAATAAGGGGGATATCCACGACTCTCAAAAAAGTGAATGTAAAAAGACTTCAGGCAAAAATCACTACTGTCAAGGAATGCTGGTTCTCACTGATTTGTTTCATGATCTGGATGTGGGTTACAAAGGTGAGACTGGTTTGTGAAACTTACCTAAGCACTTAAGATCTGACTGCTTTTCTGTAAACACGATTATTCAATAAAAAGTTTTTTTAAAAAATCAAATTTTCTATTCTAATGAGAAATTACCTGTTGTCATTGATCCATAACACGGCAATATTAACAAGCCATCGAGGGTGGTATCTTGAACATCATAATCATAATCAACAGACTCTGCCATCTGAAAAAGTAACTCACAACTTTTTTCTATTTCAAACTGGCCTAAAATGGGAAGAAAAAAATAACTTCAGCAACTGAACAGAAAAATTAATTTAAAAATAAAGAAAATGTCAAGATTAAAATTAATTTTGCCTAAAAGTTATTGTAAATCTCTCATTTAATGTAAAGGAGATGAACACATAAGCTGTACCATATTTCAACAATAAAATTCGAAGTAGAAGAAACATCAGTTTCTAAGAAACCTAAATCTCTAAAGGAATAAAAATATTTATCATCGTCAAGCTTTTCACCCTGTATTTGAGAAGACTCACCAAATTGTTAACAAAGGAGAAAAGCTAGTCCAGGTGCTATTGCATTTGGTTAAATTTCAAAATACTTAAGTAATCTCCAAAAAGGCAAAGATTGTGACAATCCCTCACTTCTGACATTAGTACAAGGCAGAGGAAAAAGGTAAACAAGGAAACTACTAATTCCTATTAGGAGGGTGCTGCTATTTGAAAAGTTATGCCACTAGTTTGGGATTTAACTATTTTATTTTTGATCTCCAAAAATGCCACATGCTTGTCTACGACACATAGATTCTACACCTTATGTGTTGTTATCACACAGTACAATGCCACCACCCAAAGAAGAACCTGGTGAAATGTCCTTTGAAATAATGGAATTAACTCAGGTCTGTTTAGTCAGGTTACATTTCTATCTAAGACAGACCAACAAAAACAATATTTCACTATTTAATTTCTTTCTATTAAAAGGTCAGTGTGTTTTACATATATTTACTAATGAGCCTGATGTCTTTGACATTTGACATATATGTGTGTGTATATATACATATACACTATTACGTCTTTGACATATACTACTATGTCTTTGACATAAAATATATATACATACTATTATGTCTTTGACATAAACATATGTCTTTGACATAAATATATATAATCCTCTTTGGCAGCTAGCTTACAATTTTTATCTATCTTTTACCTAAAATTATTCAGATAATCAGAAAAAGCTAGGGCAACACTTGAGAAGGGCACAGAATTCCCAACAGAGGTAGCACTCTATCTGGGTGCCACATTCCTTACTTACAAATACTTAAGTTTTTTAACTTGATACTGAATGCTCACCAGTCAGAAAAACCAAGATGTCTCCAGCCATTTCATTCAAATGGATATCCATGGTGACTTTCACAATCTAAAGCAAGAAATGCAGGCATAATATGCTAGTGGAAATACAGTCATTCCCTTACCACCACTTCCCTTGCCCCACAGAAAAATTAAATTTGGTTCTTAAAAGTTCTAGGACCTGTGAGGACTGTCATTAAAATAGTAGTGAACAAATGAATTATCAAACCACCCAATTAGTAAGAATCATAGATATTTAAAAAAGACATTAAATGAATGCCAAGTAATACCGCTTGAATATACGCAGTATTTTCTCTGTCTCGTGGACCAATCAAATTGCAGAATTTCTCTCTGACTGGATAAAGCCTTCCAGGTATATCAAATATTGGACAATTTCCAAAGAATGCAGAGAGCTTGGCTAATTCCATAGTTGCTGACATTACCACCACTTTTAAATGCTCCTTCCTATTAGGAGACTTCTCCTGAAATAGCTTCTTCAATAAACCAAATAAGATATCCTGAAAGAAAAGTAAATTTCTAGTAAGTCACAAGTACACTTAACAGCCAAACTATTTTAGATACACTGCTATTCTAACCAAGGAATTCCTATTTTAATACATTAAAATATAAGTAGGAGCCAGGTGCAGTGGCTCACACCTGTAATCCCAGCACTTTGGGAGGCCAAGGTCGGAGGCCAGGAGGTCGAGACCTGCCAGGGAAACAAAACGAGACACTGTCTCTACAAAAAATATTCTTAAAAATTAGCCAGACATGGTGATGCACGTCTGCAGTACCAGCAACTCAGGAGGTTGAGATGGGAGGATCACTTGAGCCCAGGAGTTCAAGGGTGCAGTGAGCTATGATCGTGCCACTGCTCTCCAGCCTGGGTGATGGAGCAAGACTCCATCTCTAAAAAATTAAATTAAATTAAAAAGTAAGAGGAGGCAATTCTCTACACAATAAAAAGCTACCCAAACAAACTACTTGCTAATAAAAAAATAATAATAAATTAAAATACTCACTGTAGTTAGAGTTCTTTCATGGGCTTCATCCAAAATAATGACACTGAATTTGGTAAGATTTGGGTCTCCCAGAATATGTTTCAGTAAACATCCATCAGTCATATATTTGATTGCTGTCTCCTAATGTTCAAACAGCAGTGTCACAGGAATTCACCACTATTTTCCCAACTAAATTTTTCCTCAAGAGGTACAAACATTAAGTGATCAAACCACTCTGACTAAACAAAAGGGTACATAAAAATAGTCTAACTTATGTATACAAAATGATGGTAAGTTACAAAACATGCTGTCTATACAGAAAAAGGGACAAATAACTCACTTGGGTATTCTTGGACAAAGCAACAAAAATCACCAATAAGGAAATACAATAAAGTCAGAGGAAAGTGGCAAGATGATGCAATGGCATTGGGTAAGCAAGTTGTGGGAAACAACAGTGAAATGAGATTTATCTTTCTGACTCAGCCCCTATTTTAGAGGATTCGGGGGAAATGAGAAAATGGTAGGTGCATACTTTCCACCCACTCTCTCCTCTTCTCTATTAAAAAATGTGTTACTTAGGTCAGACACGGTAGCTCACGCCTGTAATCCCAGCACTTTGGGTTGCTGAGGTGGGCGGATCACTTGAGTCCAGGAGTTCGAGACCAGCCTGGACAACATAGCAAAACCACATCTCTAATAAACATATAAAAATTAGCCAGGTGTGGTGGGTCACGCCTGTAGTCCCAGCTACTTGGGAGGCTGAGACGGGAGGACTGCTTGAGCCTGAGAGGCGGAGATTGCAGTGAGCTGAGATCACGCCATTGCACTCCAGCCTGGGTGACTTAGTAAGACACTATCTCCAAATAAAAATGTGTTACTCAACAAGCATTAAAACAGGGTGAGAAAAAGGTCCAAAGGGTAGGAATAACAGCAACGACATCCATAAAACAAGGGAAAGAAGAAAGAAAAAACAGTGACCACTAGGAAGGCAAAAAGATAGTATTTTGGGGAGTCATCTTGTGCCACATTTGATGGCCATTCCCATTAGGGAACATATGTAAACCAGGGATCGTTTTGTAGCTGGACAGGATTAAGAAATCCACAGGGAATGTAAATTATAATATTCACTATTAAAAAGAAAATTTTAAATTTGTTGGTGCCATGAATATAGAAGATGCTTTAACACTTGCTGATTTTGTTAATTGGCTGATTTTGTTAATTCAGCTTTCCATTGACTTCAAGAATACAAACACATAAAATAAATCAACCTGAAAACATGCTCAGTGAAATAAGAGTGACACGAAGTACAAAATATTGTGTGATTCCACTTGAATGAGGTACCCGGAGTAGGCAAATTTGTAGAGACAGAAAGTAGAACAGAAGATACAGCAGGGCGCGGTGGTTTACCCTGTAATCCCAGCACTTTGGGAGGCCGAGGTGGGCAGATCACAAGGTCAGGAATTTGAGACCAACCCCATCTCTACTAAAAATACAAAAAATTAGCTGGGCGTGGTGGCAGGAGCCTGTAAACCCAGCTACTTGGGAGGCTGAGGCAGGAGAATCACTAGAACCTGGGAGGCAGAGGTTGCAGGGAGTGGAGGTTGCGCCACTGCACTCCAGCCCGGGCAATGGTGTGAGACTTCGTCTCAAAAAAAAAAAAGAAGTTACCAGAGGCTAGGGGGAGGGAGAAATGGGGGTTTTAATCTATAAGAGTTTCTGTTTGGGATGATAAAAAAAGTTCTGAAAGTAGAAATGGTGATGGTTACCCAACATTGTGAACACATTTTTTTTTTTTTTTTGAGGTGGAGTTTTGCTCTTGTTGCCCAGGCTGGAGTGCAGTGGCGCGATCTCAGCTCACCGCAACCTCCGCCTCCCGGGTTCAAGCCATTTTCCTGCCTCAGCCTCCTGAGTAGCTGGGATTACAGGCATGCACCACCGTGCCCAGCTAATTTTGTATTTTTAAAAGAGACAGGGTTTCTCCATGTTGGTCAGGCTGGTCTCGAACTCCTGACCTCAGGTGATCCACCCGCCTCGGCCTCCCAAAGTGATGGGATTACAGACGTGAGCCATCGAGCCCAGCCCATTGTGAACATACTTAATGGCACTGAATTGTATACCAAAATAGTAAAATGGTCGATTTTAAGTTATATATATTTTACTACAATAAAACATTTTAAAAACCTACATGTCAAGAATCCTTACAGTTAAAAAACATAAATAAGAGAATCCTAAGAAAATAAACTGTCATTTATAAACTAAGGAAGGAGAAAATGGGATGAACATCAGACACTTGAGAGCTAAAGCATTAACAATGAACAACAAAAATAAATTCTTTAAAATATATATTGAACTTTGAAGTTAAAAATCTTTCAGAACTCTCTCCACTCTTTCTGTTAAGTTTATAACATTAGCTGGGCATGGTGGCATGCTCCTGTAGTCCCAGCTACCCAAGGGGCTGAGGTAGGAGATCACTTGAGCCCAGAAGGTAGAGGCTACAGAGAGCCATGATTGCGCCACGCACTCCAGGCTGGGCGACAGAGCAAGACCCTGTCCCATAAAAGAAAAGAAACAAATACCAACAAGACTTTTGTACCTTAGAACTGCAATCATCAAAACGAACTTGGTATCCTACTTTGGATCCCAAAGTGCATTTCATTTCTTCAGCTACTCTCTGAGCAACTGATATAGCAGCTACTTTTCGTGGTTGAGTTACACCAATCATACCATGTTGTGAAAACCCTATCAAAACCAGAGATAAAGAAACACAACAATGTTAGCAATTGTCTTCCTATTAGAGCTAAATTGTTTTTGGCCAATCAACACAAAACTGCTTGAATGTTTCCAAAAGAATATCTCGCAAATTAAAAACACACTGCTATGTTTGCATCATGGAAATTTAAATATTAATTTAAAATAATACATATTAATAACCATGCAAAAATATATTATATATATAATATATAAATATATATAATATAAATCCAGTTTATATTATATATATTTATATATTATATATATTATATACTAATATATATTTAATATATAATATATATTATAATATATTATATATTATATATATTAATATATAACATATTATATGTATTATATAATTTATAATATATTATATATAAATATACATTATAATATATTATAATATATACTATATATTATATATAAATATACATTATAATATAATGTATATTATATATATTTAGACAGAGTTTTGCTCTTGTTGCCTAGGCTGTAGTGCAATGGCGCAATCTCGGCTCACCGCAACCTCTGCGTCCCAGGTTCAAGCAACTCTCCTGCCTCAGCCTCCCGAGTAGCTGGGATAACAGGCATGTGCCACCATGCCGGGCTAATTTTGTATTTTAGCAGAGACGGGTTTTTTCCCTGTTGGTCAGGCTGGTCTTGTACTCCCAACCTCAGGTGATCCACTTGCCTCTGCCTCCCAAAGTACTGGGATTATAGGCTTGAGACACCACGCCCAGCCAAAACAAAAAAAAAGAAAGAAAAAATTATATATATATCTATATATATATATAGATATATATATATTTTTTTCTTTTTTGAGACGGAGTATTGCTCTGTTGCCCAGGCTGGAATGCAGTGGCGCGATCTCGGCTCACTGCAACTTTCACTTCCTGGGTTCAAGCGATTCTCCTGCCTCAGCCACCTGAGCAGCTGGGATTACAGGCGCTTGCCACCAGGCCCAGCTAATTTTTTTGTAAAAAATATATTTTTTAAATTAGAATTCAGGCTTTGTCTGTTTTTTTCTGTCTAAAAATCTACTCTAAAGGTAAGCCAAGAATTTTGAAACATAAGAATTCATAAAATTCCACACACTTCCCAAAATAAATTTACTTTTGCCACAAGAGTAAAACTGGATTTATTTATTTATTTATTTATTTATTTATTTATTTATTTTTGAGATAGAGTCTTGCTCTGTTGCCCAGGCGGGAGTGCAGTGGCACAATCTCGGCTCACTGCAACCTCTACCTCCTGGGTTCAAGCAATTCTCCTGCCTCAGCCGCCTGAGTAACTGGGATTACAGGTGCGCGCCACCACACCCAGCTAATTTTGTATTTTTAGTAGAGATGGGGTTTCACCATGTTGGCCAGGCTGGTCGCAAACTTCTGACCTCAAGTGATCCATCTGCCTCAGCCTCCCAATGTGCTGGGATCACAGGCATGAGCCACTGCACCCAGCCTAAAACTGGACTTAAATATGCCACCTTTCTGCTGGGAGCAGTGGTACACACCTGTAATCCCAGCTACTCAGGAGCCTGGCTACTCAGAAGGTTGAGGTAGGAGGATTGCTTGAACTCAGGAGTTTGAGATCAGCCTGGGCGACATAGTAAGATCTCATCTCAAAAAAATAAATAAATATATATATCTATATTTATATATATATATATATGCACCTTCCATATACCATTTTAATATATTTGGGAATGGAGCTGCATCTTAAAATCGATGGCGCATTTCCATTCTTACTAATACAGTAGTCCCTCTTTACCTTTGGTTTTGCTTTCCAATTTTTCAGTTACCTACAGTCAGTGGAGGTCCAAAAATGTTACAGTACTTTGAGAGACAGAGAGAGACCACATTTACAAAAGTTTTACTACAGTATATTGTCATAACTGCTCTATTTTATTGTTGTTGTTGTTAATTTCTTACTATGCCTAATTTATAAACTAAACTTTATCAAAAGTATGTATGTATGTATAGGAAAACACATAGTATATGCAGGGTTTGGTATTATTGGCAGTTTCAGGCATTGAGTGGTCTTAGAAGGCATCTCCCAAGGATAAGAAGGGATTACTGCACATAAAATAGTGATATATCTTAATAGATGGCACCTTAGATTGAAGCATTAGAATAATACATTTGTTATTTTTTAAGGCAAATCATATCCAATATAATACTGCTCTTTACAAACCTTATGACAGAAAGTTCTGTCATACTGAATGACACTTGTCAAAAAACAAAATTACAACAAATTTATTTTATTTTTATTTATTTTTTTTGACACAGAGTCTCACTCTGTTGCCCAGACTGGAGTGCAACAGCACGGTCTCAGCTCACTGCAACCTCTGCCTCCTGGGTTCAAGTGATTCTCCCGCCTCAGCCTCCCAAGTAGCTGGGATTATAGGCGCCCGCCACCACGCCTAATTTTTGTATTTTTAGTATAGACGGGTTTCACCATGTTGGCCAGGCTGGTCTCGAACTGCTGACCTCATGATCCACCTGCCCTGGCCTCCCAAAGTGCTGGGATTACAGGCTTGAGCCACTGCGCCCGGCCTAAAAAATTTTTTTTTTTTTGGAGACGGAGTCTCACTCTGTCTCCCAGGCTGGAGTACAGTGGCACGATCTCGGCTCACTGCAAGCTCCGCCTCCCAGATTCATGCCATTCTCCTGCCTCAGCCTCCCGAGTAGCTGGGACTACAAGCGCCCACCACCACGCCCGGCGAATTTTTTTTTTTTCTATTTTTAGTAGAGACAGGGTTTCACTGTGTTAGCCATGATGGTCCCGATCTCCTGACCTCATGATCCGCCCACCTCGGGCTCCCAAAGTGCTGGGATTACAGGCGTGAGCCACTGTGCCCAGCCAAAACTTTTTAATTGGCTTTTGTGATTCTAACTCTGGAATCACATCAACCCATCGTCTCATAAAATAGAATCAGTGTTCCAATGAGCTGAGCAGAGGAGGCTGATTGTATAGACAGAAAAGGGCTGAGGAAAGCAGAAACAGAAAACAAAAAGCAGATTGCTCATTTCAAAGTTACTTTTCTTGTCAAAGTTAAAGCAGAGGAAACTTCTTGATGCTCCTAAAACTGGTCTGTTTGGGGATTTGGCTATTATCTCTTTCTCCTGATTTCTCAGTAGATGAAAAATTTAGTTTCTAGACTTGGTGGCGTGGAACTTCAGTATGAGTAACTCCATTTTGGTTTGGTCTGTTGGGTCTAGTGCGGGGGATCAGTCCAAACCAAAGGCCTCCTATTAACTTTACTTAACGTATTTTAAAGGTAATTTGTTAGTTGGCTTGCGCTGGCAAAGTCAGGGGATAAATATTTACCTGATAATGCTCTAGAGAAAGAACCAAGAAGTACTAATGGCAGCAACAGATATCACATATCTCTTACCCCTCAAAATTATTTCAGTATCCAATGGTTAATAGTCTACTGCTAGACAACTTTATTCTATAAAATGGAATATCTAGATGTAATTCTATTTGAGATTATTATGGTAATTAAAAATGGGAAAATTTGCCATCCCAACTAATTCTTGAACCTGAAATAGACCATAAAGAAGCAAAGGAGACATAGGGGAAGGGGGTGTGCCAAGAGAAGCGGGACTATAAAGCAAATACTGGGCAATCATGGAGTACAGAAGTCCTACTGGCCTTTAAAAAGAGGATATTTTTAAAATATTTCCAATTATTACAACAGAAAAAAATCACCTGCTTCATATAGATATTTTGGGAGTTGAGTTGTTTTACCACTTCCTGTATTTCCAGTAACAATAAGGAATGAATTGTCCCTCACAGCTTGAATAATCTTTTTTCTTTGTTTCTGAATAGGAAAAGTTGGAGTAGTTCCTCCCTCCTGGGACGTGCATCCTTTCTCTTCTGTAATAACAGAAAAACAAGTCAATTAAAAGACTTGTAAAGATATCTCTGACTCAATTTCTCATGACTAAAACCAGAAAGGCAATAGAATTTTAGGGCTGGACGGGATCATCCATGACTTCTCAGTTAAATCGCTCATGTAAGTGAGCGTTAATGAGCGCAATTTGTAAGTGAGGGTTAATGAGCCCAGAACAACTTTTTGGTGAAATCCAGCAACTTGAGCATTTGTTCACGCATAACTCAAAGTACTTTTCAAAGCAAGTATAGCTCAAGGCAACGTATACACATGCATACTTACACAGAAGCACAAAACTCAATTTTATTTAACAATAGACCAAAAACTGGAACACAGCAGAAAATTCTCAGCTGGATTAGAAGCCACCTGTGTTTGCTTCTGATTCATGGTTCAAGTTAGGTCCCTGTTCAGAGCGACTGATATCCCAGAAGGCCAAGTGGTGGGTAACCATGGAAACTGGCTCCTGGAAACTGGCTCCCTTCATACTGTACCCAAAGGCAGGCTGGCGGCCCGACGAAGGGTGGGGGGGATGAATGGGTAGAGAACAAAGGGTCTATGAGCCTGTTTAAGAACAGAATGCATTTCGGGCGTTGGGGTTCACTTTTTCGCCCCCCAGTAAGGTTTTCGCCTAACTTGAATCTGGGACCGCCCCCCTCTAAGGCAAAGTGCTCATTGGACGCAAAGTTCGCCTCGGGCTTGGAAAGCCAGGAGAACGCCACGGCTTCCTCACTACTCTTCTCAGCCTGCCAAAGGCGTACTTTCATCCCCCCACCAAAACCCCCACGCCGTAACTCCCGCTGGCTTCCGTACCGTCCCGCGGACCGCACCTCTATCGGCGATGCAAACAGCCGAGAGCCGCTCTTCCTGGAGGTCTCTTGACCGCTCACCCTCCTCCTGCCGCCTTGGCGCCCTGCCCGCGACTGCGGGAAACCGGGACATAGACCTGGCCCCGAGTGGAGGCGAGCACGTCCACCGATCTGAGGAGATGGGAGGGGAAAGACGAGGACGCGCCCTGATGACGTAGAGGTGTTTACTTCCGCGCGTGCGACTTGTAGCAAGGGGAGGGGGAGCTGCTCGATGACGTGGTACGGGGCGGCCGGACCTCGAGCCGAGGCTCCACCCCCCAGGGATTTCCCGCCAACTGCCACGTGCGCTTCGCCTTGGGCGGCTGAGCCATACCTGAGGGCCCGAAGACCCCCTCTTGTTTCGCCTCTCCGGCGCCGAAGGTCGCGACGACACCTCTTTTCAACGCCACAGTGGTCTCTGCAGGCTATTCTGCCTTCACACACTTGACACGATGTAACCCTCTGCCCGGAGCTGGAACCATGATCCCAGAGTGCTGCGTTCCTCAACTCATTCTCACCTTTCCTAATCTGATATGACCTGTCCAAGGCACACAGCTACTGAGTTGTGGAGCCGAACTTTTAGTTATGTTATTATCAAAACTTAGGTCACCAAGGCTGTTCATTTCCCTCATAGGACCCTGCATTTTAATTTATTTGCATGTTTCCTCTTCTGCCCAGCTAGATTGTAAAGCCCCCCCCCACAAGAGTCGAAATATTAAAACACTGCTACATCCAGGGCCCAGCACAGTGATTCAAGGTGGGCTGTCAATATTTGTTGACTTTGCTGGAATGGAGGAATAATAATTGACTTCCTTAGGAATTAAGCTCATTTTTGATAGAGGTGCATTCCTTGGAAACCACAGTAGCTGAAAAGTTCAACAGATACACAGCATCTGAGGCAGGGCAACTTTTTCAGAAAAGGTACTTTGGGGGCAGGTCTTTCTGGTCTAGAGCCTGCCAATTTTTAAATTAGTGTCAACTGTAACAAAATCATTGCAATGTGAACAAGATTGTTTGTTGGACTCCTCAATTGTTCCTGCTGTTAGAATTAGCCAACACTTACTACCAAAGAAGACAACTCAAAACTGTCACTTCACCATCACCTAAAGACCCTCTTGTCTGACCAGGCTTCAAAAGATGTACCATAAGGTTGTTGGGCCCCCAGATTTTTCTGTGCTCATTTGAAGTGAAGTCATGGCCATGCATGGTGGCTCATGCCTGTAATGCCAGCACCTTGGGGGGCCAGGACAGATGAATCACTTGAGATCAGGAGTTCGAGACCGGCCTGGCCAATATGGTGAAACCCCGTCTCTATTAAAAATAAAAAAATAAAAAAAATTAGCCGGGTGTGGTAGCACGCGCCTATAATCCCAGCTACTCGGGAGGCTGAGGCAGGAGAATCGCTTGAACCTAGGAGGCAGGGGTTGCAGTGAGCCAAGATCATGCCACTGCACTCCAGCCTGGGCAACAGAGCGAGATTCCACCTCAAAAAATAAAGTGAACTCATACCAACTGCTTTTAAATGGAACTGATCAACACTTCTTAAAATGCAAGCTCATCAGATTTTGAATGATACCAAATAAGTTGGAACTTTGTAACAACTTTATATCTCAAAACCTGGGTATGAGAGGAAGCAATCTGGTAAATAGGAGAACATTCCAGGTTTCTCTCTTTCATTAGGAGCATCTCCCAGCCTTCTGGATCATGTTAGGAATTCAAAATATTATAGAAACAGAAAGCAAAATGGCAAAAATACATTTGTGGTACAGGCAAGGTATTGGTAATCTCAGTATTTCAGTATAGGGCATCTCTATCAGTGATATAATAAAGTCACTTTCTAAAAATCATCATTTCAGACCAATGATGATTACCACTTAGCTCATAGTAGTCAAATCTTTCTGATACAGTTGACCCTTGAACAATACTGGTTTGAACTTCGCAGGTCCACTTGTAGGCAGATTTTTTCTTCTGCACCTGCTAAGCTGGAGATAGCAAGATCAACCCTTTGTCTTCCTCCTCCTTCTCTTCAGCCTACTGAACAGGATGGAAACCTTTATGATGATCCACTTAAACTTAATGAATAGTAAATATATTTTCTCTTATGATTTTCTTAATGTTTTATTTTCTCTAGCTTGCTTTAAGAATACAGTATATAATACATATACAAAATACGTATTAATTAACTGTTTATGTTATTGGTAAGGCTTCCAGGCAATAGTTGGTATTAACAGTTAAGCTCTGGGGAGTCAAGTAATACAGATTTTGGCCCAATGCAGTGGCTCACACCTGTAATCCTAGCACTTTGGGAGGCCAAGGTGGGCAGATTGCCTGAGTTCAGGAGTTCAAGACCAGCCTGGGCAACATGGCAAAACCCCATCTCTCCTAAAAATACAAAAAAATTAGCTGGGTGTGGTGGTGCGTGCCTGTAGTCCTAGCTATTCGGGAGGCTGAGGCAGAAGAACCACTTGAACCTGGGAGGCGGAAGTTGGGGTGAGCCAAGATCGCGCCACTGCACTCCAGCCTGGGTGACAGCGAGACTCTGTCTCCAAGAAAAAAAAAGAAAAGAGTTATATGCAGATTTTTACAGTGCAAAAGGCTCGTGCTCCTAACCCCACCTTGTTCAGGTTTCAACTGTAAATTATTTCCTCTATTTTTCACAAAAACTCATACAGTTAGGTTATTACTATCCCTAATTTTTGTGTTAGAAACTTGCCTGTGGTGACAAAACAAAGAACTAAGAGGGCCAAGATTCAAAGTCACACTAATAACCACTAAACTGCATTGGGAGATGGAAGTATTTAGATTTTGGTACCAAAATAATGTATTTTCTTCCAATGTTTGTAACTCTAATAGAACTGACCCCATTCTTGTATGAGAACCACCTATTGAGAGTATAGAATATAAAACCTGCAAGCAAAGAATGAAGAAAAATAAAAGTGAAAAATTCAAGTGATGTTTAACATTGTTCATTTTATAACCAAGGACATTTAAAGCATGTTACCATGATAACCATGTGCTTGGGGCTATTCTAAATTAGAAGATCAACAATTATTTCCTACCCAGTGAGTTTACAAATTACAATGACAAACAAAACTCAAGTACAGAGTAAAAATAGAAAATAAATGGGTTGAATCTGGGAAGAAAGGTCAGTGTCCCTAACGACATTGAATCTATTTCTTATCTTTGGGTTACATTAAAAACCTGAGACCAGGCCTGTAATCCCAGGACTTTGGGAGACTGAGGTGGCCAGATCACCTGAGGTTGAGAGTTTGAGACCAGCCTGGCCAACATGGTGAAACCCCATCTCTACTAAAAATACAAAAAATTAGCCTAGGGTGGTAGTAGCCACCTGTAATCCCGGCTACTTAGGAGGCTGATGGAGGAGAATCTCTTGAACCCGGGAGGTGGTGGTTGCAGTGAGCCAAGATCTCACCACTGCACTCCAGCCTGGACAACAGAGTGAGACTCTGTCTCAAAAAAAAAAAAAAACTCCTGAAAGAACTGGTATTTAAAGAAGTGTGAGAAGTCTGAATTGCACCCTGCTGCTATTGCCTCATAAGCAGTCTTTCAAAATATTCCACAATCCAAGCAACCTGTTTCAGAGCATCCAAAAGAGACTCAACATTACAGATTTACAAAAATGGAATGGAATTTTAAAATCATCTTCAGGAAAGAAAGAAAAGTATAGGACCACTGTTGTGATGGTTAAAAGGAGTAAATAAAGCAAAAAAAAAAAAAAAGGAAAATTATCAAAGATATTATTACAGTCAGAACCAGAAAGTTTAAAATGCTAGAAAAATGGTGATATGTACAAACCTAATTAATAACAGAACCTAATTGTTCACAGAAGGAGTGAGCAATGGTATCAAGCTACATGGATTTTTTAAAAGCTCATTAATTGGACCAAAACAAGACTTGTCTTGGTAAAGGGAAGCAGACAGAAGCCATATTGTGAGTAAATGAGAATTCGCGAGCAAACTGAAAATGTACCTAATACACTTGGGGATGGCTGGTTAGAATCAACTAGGGTAAATGAAAGGGAGAGAAAAGAATAGCTGGAAAAAGATGCCGCTACTACAGTGTGTATGTGGTGATTAAGAGAAGACTTGGTCAATGAAAGTATTGGGGTACAATTAGAAGATTTGTTTAGGAGAGTTGAAACTGATACTGATGAGGGAGAAATACCAAGTTCACATTTTGAGGAAAGATAAAGGACTGGAGGAGAGAGAACAAACTTTTAGCCCACATAGGTATTATAAACTTGCATTTGTGGTGGATTTGTATCCCAAAATGTGAATCCGATTGTTTCTCTGTATTTTCCTCCCCTTTTTCTATCTCACTGGTAACCCATGGGCCTATCTTCCTGTTCAGCCCTCAACAAAGCAGAAACAAAAATCCAAAGACACTGCTGACATGAGGTCCCAAATCAGAGCCTTCTGTGCATGCTCAAATTACTGGTTACTTCCTCTCTCAGATGGATAAGGCTGGGCCTAGGCAGAGGGCAGAGAGTGGAGAGGATATAATGAGAAAGGAAGGACTGACAGAAGGGATAAACAGCCCTCTAGGGGGCAGGAGAAAGATCATCTTTTGTTAGAAAGTTCTAATGGGGCCAGATGTGGTGGTTCATGCCTGTAATCCCAACACGATGGGAGGCCAAGGCAGAAGGATTACTTGACACCAGGAGTTTGAGACCAGCCTGCGCAACATAGTGAGACCCCATCTCAAGACTCATCTCTACAAAAAATACAAAAATTAGCCAGGCATGGAGGTGCATGCCTGTATTCCCAGCTACTTGGGAGGCTGAGGCAGGGGGATCACTTGAGCCCAGGAGGACAAGACTGCAGTGTGAGCTGTGATGGTGCCACTGCACACCAGCCTGGGTGACAGAGTGAGACCCTGTTTCAGAAAAAAGGAAAGAAAGAAAAAAGAAAGAAAGAAAATTCTAATGGAAGGAATTCAAGGAGATAAACCATTCTCAAGTGTGGACCATTCCCTTCTCCATTAAAAAACCAGAAACAAACATCTATGACCAGTTTTTCATCTAGTAGTCCTGGATACATGTAGACCTTGAAAGAGAGAGAGGGGAACTTCATTCTAGAGAGAATGTAAACATGAAAGAAAACCTCATGCCCTAAACTAAATGGAACTAGACAAAAAATTTGGGAATTTTTCTGAGTCATGTATTGGTGGACTACATGCCACGGTTACATATTTTATTAATAAGCTTATAGTATATTAGCAACTTGGGGGTTTAGAGGAAAATAATTAGATGGTATGGCCATATCACAAAACAAGAGAAATATCTCACGTTCAGTCCAAAAGTAAAAAATAGCAGCCAGGTGCTATGGCTCACACCTGTAATCCCAGCACTTTAGGAGGCCGAGGCGGGCAGATCGCCTGAGGCCAGGAGTTCAAGACAAGCCTGACCGACATGGTAAAACCCCATCTCTACAAAAAAATACAAAAGTTAGCCAGCCGTGGCGGCGCTCGCCGGTGATCCCAGCTTACTCAGGAGGCTGAGGCATGATAATCACTTGAACCCAGGAGGCAGAGGTTGCAGTGAGCTGAGATCATGCCACTGCACTCCAGCCTGGGTGACAGAGTGAGACTGTCTCAAAAAAAAAAAAAAAGTAAAAGATATCATCACACTTTCTTCTCTTTAAATGTCTAGATATTAAGATTTGAGTAGTTATCACAAAGCCAGTCACCAAATAGTCATTAAATCATTCATCAACAATATTGTTTGAGAGCTTAATAGAGATTGAGACACTGCTAGTTGTCAATGAAAATTGTGCTTTTATATGTATGCATATAGTCTTTAATAAATGTGTAGAATTCCCGTTAATTTACTAGTAAAATGGGACCTCTTCCAAGTGAAAGCTCAATGTTTACTCTAGCTTCCTATTTATTCATTCATGTGTTCATTCAGTAAATATTATAATGCACAATTCTTTTTTTTTTTTTTTTTTTTTTTGAGACAAAGTCTCACTTTGTTACCCAGGCTGGAGTGCAATGGCATGATCTCAGCTCACTGCAATCTCCGCCTCCCGGGTTCAAGCAATTCTCCTGCCTCAACCTCCTGAGTAGCTGGGATTACAGGCGCTTGCCACCACACCTGGCTAATTTTTTTATTTTGAGTAGAGACGGGGTTTCACCATGTTGGCCATGCTGGTCTCAAACTCCTGACCTCAGGTGATCCGCCTGCCTCCGCCTCCCAAAGTGCTGGGATTACAGGCATGAGCCACCGCGTCCAGCTAGAATGCACAATTCTTATATGCACCTTTTTTAATAGCCACGCAGAGGCATAAAATATGTGTAGGACATGGTTATTACCTTCAGTGAGATTACAAGTAATCAAGGAAATAAAATATTTAGAGGAGGAAAAACTAGCTAGAGTGATCAGTGAAGGCTTCTAGGAGTTAGTGACATTTGAACTGAGCTTTGAAAGTTGGGAAGATTCCAGTAAATGCTAGGGAAAGATTCTAGATAGAGTGCATTTGACAAAGGCACAATAGAGTGATCAAGATATTATTAATTATGGATTATTGAGAAAGATGCAGTATTAGTGTTCTGACTATAGTCTCTGTAAATCTTTCAGTGACCTGAAGGTGGCAAGCTGGGTTTACTTGAGAAATTTCAGATCAACATTATTTAAAAGAAAAATGAAACAGTACTATTTCTCTGAAAAAAATTTTTCATTGACATTTAACTCATAAAATCAAAAAGTGAAACAGATTGAAACATAAATAAACATTTACTGCATGTCTTTAGTAGGACTTACCTTAAGGCACATAGATTTTGTATTGCAAATTCTTTCCATTTTATTTATATTTATTTATTTATTTATTTATTTATTTTTGAGATGGAGTCTCACTCTGTCACCCAGGCTGGAATGCAGTGGTGAGATCTCGGCTAATTGCAACCTCCACCTCCCAGGTTCAAGCAATTCTTCTGCCTCAGCCTCCCCAGTAGCTGGGACTACAGGCGTACACCAACAGGCCCGGCTAATTTTTGTATTTTTTGTGGAGACAGGGTTTTGTCATGTTGTCCAGGTTGGTCTGGAACTCTTGACCTCAAGTGATCTACCTGCCTCAGCCTCCCAAAGTGCTGGGATTACAGGTGTGAGCCACCACACCTGGCCTTATTTTAATATCTTAATTTTTATTGTCCTTATTGATTTCTCAGTTATGATACAATTTTTTCATAGGAAAAAAAAGGAGCTTACATATTTAAGTATTGTAAGAATTAAAGAAAGAGGAAAGAAACATTAAAAGCGGCTCAACAGTCAAAGACAGGTTTATTTTAGAGAATAAGCCTGAGAGGGGCTTTTGGCCGATTTCAGTCAGGGGCCCTCTCTTACAGACTAAGATTATTTAAGAGTTCAGGGCAAGAGAATTTATCACAGGCTTGTAATATTTCTGTGTCGGGGAGAAGTTTATTGCGGGGTTGGAATGTCTCTGGTTGGAGGGAAGGTTATCTTGGGGCTGACATCTCTCCAGTCGGGGAGGGGTTTATCTTATGGTTGGAAGGTTTCCGGTCAGAGATGTCATTTGCGGTTTATGGTCATGCTGACCTTAGCCATTAGGCTGATGCCTTTTGGATTAGGCAGTTTTTGATCAAGGGGAACTTTAGAATAGCAGTGCTTGTCCAAGATGGCAATGTTCCTGCTCTGTCAAGTATTACCATTAAAATCTGAGGAAAGACCAGCAGCGGTGGTTGGCACCTATAATCCCAGCACCACTTTGGGAGGCTGAGGCAGGTAGATCATCTGAGGTCAGGAGTTCCAAACCAGCCTGACCAATATGGTGAAACCCCGTCTTTACTAAAAAAATGCAAAAATTAGCTGTGCATGTGTCGCGCGCCTGTAATCCCCGCTATTCAGGAGGCTGAAGCATGAGAATCGCTTGAACCCCAGAGGCAGAGGTTGCAAAGCCCCAAGATCTCAGCACTGCACTCCAGCCGGGCGAAAGTGCGAGACTCCATCTCAAAAAAAAAAAATCTGTGAAAAGCATTGTGAGAAGGCTTTTGAGGGGGCGGTCAGGTTATTGGGGCATAATTTCCAAATGTTATAGTTTTAGTGTATAGTTTTGTTACCCACACAATGGGTGGGTTTGATCACTTAGCCAGTGACAGTCCAATACCACAACCAAGGAAGATTTAACAAGGGGATTTTATTACTTACAATAAGTAAGGAGGATATCGGGGATAAATCCCCAAAGCAGTGTCTCCCTAAACAAAGGTGATAAAAAGGCTTTTATTAGGCAGGTTAGCTGAGTTATCATATGTAGAGGTGGAGTAGAGCCAGCTCAGGCCCAGTCTGCGATCACGCCTCTACATACAAATGGAGAATAGCTCCTTCCTGGGTGGATTTTTAGTATGCTAATGAGGAGAAATCTCCAAAGTTCATCTCCAACTCAGGCATCTCTGGATCCAACTGGTTTTTGTTTTGCTGTGGCTGGGTTTCTTCCTTGAACTTTTTTTTTTTTTTTTTTTTTTTGGAGATGGAGTCTCCCTCTGTCGCCCAGGCTGGAGTGCGGTGGGGCGATCTCAGCTCCCGGGTTCAAGCGATTCTCCTGCCTCAGCCACTTCAGTGGCTGGGATTACAGGCGCGCGCCACCATGCCCAGCTAACTTTTGTATTTTTAGTAGAGATGGGGTTTCACCATGTTGGCCAGGATGGGCTCGATCTCTTGACTTTGTGATCTGCCCGCCTTGGCCTCCCAAAGTGCTGGGATTACAGGCCTGAGCCACCGCGCCCGGTCCCTTGAACTTTTCTGAAACAATAAAAACTCCAGCAGTTACAACTGGGTGCTTTTTCTTTTTCTTTATCTTTTTTTTTTTTTTTTTTTTTGAGACGGAGTCTCGCTCTGTCGCCCAGGCTGGAGTGCAGTGGCCCGATCTCTGCTCACTGCAAGCTCCGCCTCCCGGGTTCACGCCATTCTCCTGCCTCAGCCTCCCGAGTAGCTGGGACTACAGGCGCCCGCCGCCACGCCCGGCTAATTTTTTGTATTTTTAGTAGAGACGGGGTTTCACCATGTTAGCCAGGATGGTCTCGATCTCCTAATCTTGTGATTGGCCTCCCAAAGTGCTGGGATTACAGGCATGAGCCACCGCGCCCGGCACAACTGGGTGCTTTTTCATAATGTGTTCTGGAAAAGGAAAACCCTGGAAAAGGGTTACAGTTTTTTGAGTTTTACCAGTTTTGACAAGTGCATATGGTTGTGTAACCACCACTATAAATATAAGATAAAAAATGGTTTCATAACTTTAACAAATTCCCTTGTACCCCTTTATGGTCCGCTCCTTCCTTTACCTCCAGGCCCTCAAAACCACTAATTTGTTTTCTGTCTGTATAGTTTAGCATCTCCCGAAATGTCATATGAATGAAATTGTATAGCATGTACTCCTTCTTTGGTCTGCCTTCTTTTATCTTCAGCATTATTGCTTTGAGATTCATCCATGTTGTAGTGTATATCAATAGTTTAATCCTTTTTATTATTAAGTGGTATTCCATTGTATGGATGTACCACAATTTACTTATTAATTCAGTAGTTGAGAGATATCTATGTTGTTTCCAGTTTTGGGTGATTATGTGCAAATTCACTATAAACATTCATATACAGGTTTTTAAGTGACAAAGTTTTCATTTCTCTAGGGTAAATACGTAGGAGTGGAATTGCTGGGTCAAAGATAAATATATGTTTCTAAGAAACTGCCAAACTGTTTTTCCAAAGTAGCTGGACCATTTTGCACTTCGATCAGCCATGTATGAAAATTCCAGTTGCTCTGCATCCTTGCTAGGACTTGATATTGTCAGTGTTTGTTCGTTTGTTTGAGCCATTCTAATAGGAGATAATGGTATTGTTACAGGTAGTTAGACAGGCATGAGCAGAGCAGGAGAGAGCTCTCCCCACCCACCAGGAATGTCAGGAAATGGTTCGGCAATTATCATATTGCCTTTCTAAAAGTGACAAATTGGCAGCAGTGACACATTGGCATAATTAGATGGCATGGCCATATCATAAAACTTAGAGAAATTCCTAACTTTCAGTCCAAAAGTAAAAGATATCATATCATCATCACAATTTCTTCTCATTCTTTTTGAGTGTCCAGATATTAAGATTTGAGTAATTATCACAGAGCCAGTTACCAGTCATTAAATCATTCATCATCAATATTGTTGATGAGAGGCTGATAAATTGCCAGGGAGAGGCCATTTCCTGATGGTTTACACCTGTCGCTCTAAAAGATTAGTTGAATGCAGACACCAGGGAGAGGCAACTTCACAGGCATGCACATTGGGAAACAAAATGACGGAGTATGACCTTCCTGGGCACTCCACTGGAAAAGGAAAGAAAGCTTCGGATGGGCACGCCTACAGCTTCCTAAACACACTGTGCGTGCTCACCTCCCAAGCATATAGAGGGTATTGCGCCTGCGGGCAGCCCACCCTAAGGGAAATATCATGGGAAAGGGGTACTAGACACCAGAAGTGGGCCAGTCTATAAAGTTCTAGGATTGGCCTGGGACGGTGGCTAATGCGTGTAATCCCAGCACTTTGGGAGGCTGAGGCGGGCAGATCACGAGGTCAAGAGATCGAGACCGTCCTGGACAACATAGTGAAACACCGTCTCTACTAAAAATACAAAAATTAGCTGGGCGTGGTGGCTCACACCTGTAGTCCCATCTACTTGGGAGGCTGAGGCAGGAGAATCGCTTGAACATGGAAGGCGGAGGTTGCAGTGAGCCAATATCCTGCCACTGCACTCCAGCCTAGTGACACAGCAAAACTCTATCTCAAAAATAAAATAAAATAAAATAAAATAAAGTTCTAAGATCAAGGTTAAATGTCGCACTTGACCTTCTTGGTGCCCATTTGGGTCTCTTCCAAGTGTACTTTCCTTTCTTTCCTGCTCTAAAGCTTTTTAATAAACTTCCACTCCTACTCTGAAACTTGCCTCGATCTTTTTTTCTGCCTTATGCCCCTCAGTCGAATTATTTGTTCTGAGGAGGCAAGAACTGAGGTTGCCGTAGACCCATACGGATTTGCCACCGGTAGCTTGGACTACCTTCCACTGATAACAGTATCTTATTACAGTTTTAATTTGCATACCTCTATGACAATATCAAACATATTTTTACAAAAGGTATTGATTTGTAGTCCATACAACTTTTTCATAAAGTGTGTGTTCAAAACGTTTGCCCACTTGTATGTGTGTGGGAAGGGTTGCTTATTATCTTACTGAGTTTTGAGAGTTCTTTATGCATTTTGAATACTAGTCCTTTGTCAGATATATGCTTTGCAAATACTTTGGCCTAGTCTATGTCTTGTCTTTTAATTTTCTTAATTGTGTCTTTCAAAAAGTTCTTAATTTTGATAAAGTTCAATTTACCAATTTTTTTCCTTTTATAAATTGTGCTTTTGGTGTGGTATCTTAGAAATCTTTGCCTAATCCAATGTCACAAAGATGTTTTCATATATTTTCTTATTTATTCCTTTATTTATTTTTAATTTTTCTTTTTTTGAGACAAGATCTCTCTCTGTCTTCCAGGCTGGAATGCAGTGGCACGATCACACAATGAAGCCTCGAACTTCTGGGCTCAGTGAACCTCCCACTTCAGCCTCCTGAGAAATTGGACTACAGGCATGTGCCACCATGCTTGGCTAATTTTTTTAAAATTATTATTATTTTATTATACTTTAAGTTCTAGGGTACATGTGCACAACGTGCAAGTTTGTTACATATGTATACATGTGCCATGTTGGTGTGCTGCACCCATTAACTCATCATTTACATTAGGTATATCTCCTAATGCTATCCCTCCCCTCTTGCTTGGCTAATTTTTGTACTTTTTTTTGTAGAGACTGTTTATTTTTTTCACATTGCCTAGGCTGGTCTCAAACTCCTGGGCTCAATGGATCTTCCCACCTCAGCCTCGAAGTGATGAGATTACAGGCATTAGTCGCTGCACCTGGCCAATGTTTTCTTCAAGTATTTTTATAGTTATAGAATCTTACATTGAGATTTGCAATGCATGTTTAGTTGAGTTGATGTTTTTACATGGCACAAGGTATGGGTCAAGGTATACACACACACATACATACACACACCTATATACACACACACACACACACACACACAATTGTTCTAGCACCATTTTTTTCCATAAGTGAAAATTTTAGCCAAGGAAGGGACTTACACTCTTTTTTTTTTTTTTGAGATGGAGTCTCACTCTGTCGCCCAGGCTGGAGTGCAGTGGCATGATCTCTGCTCACTGCAAGCTCCACCTCCCAGGTTCACACCATTCTCCTGCCTCAGCCTCCCAAGTAGCTGGGACTACAGGCGCCTGCCACCACGCCCGGCTAATTTTTTTGTATTTTTTTAGTAGAGATGGGGTTTCACCATATTAGCCAGGATGGTCTTGATCTCCTGACCTCATGATCCACCCACTTCGGCCTCCCAAAGTGCTGGGATTACAGGCATGAGCCACCGTGCCGGGCCAGAAGGGACTTATACTCTTAAAATTTACAATTAAAATCTGAAATAGGTCTTGTCTGAGAGTTTCTTCAACTTTTTTTGGTTGATTTTTTTTTTTACTTTATTTTCCAAACATTACACCCTATTTAAAAGGAACAATTTGTATGATGTTGGTTCTTTTTTTTTTTTCAAGGCAGAGCCTCACTCTATCACCCAGGCTGGAGTGCAGTGATACCATCTCAGCTCACTGCAACCTCTGCCTCCTGGGTGTTAAGCAATTCTTTCTGCCTCAGCCTCCCAAGTAGCTGGGATTACAGGCACCCGCCACCATCTCCAGCTAATTTTTGTATTTTTAACAGAGATGGGGTTTGACCATGTTGGCCAGGCTGGTCTTGAACTCCTGACCTCAGGTGATCCACCTGCCTTGGCCTCCCAAAGTGCTGGGATTACAGGCGTGAGCCACTGCACCTGGCCATGTCTTGGTTTTTATCCCTTTCATTTTATTCCATTAGAAGTATCAGGATTTTAAGACATTTTCAAATGACACTGTCTATCTCTGCACTATCTAGAATAATGCAATTTTAAACTATAGAGACTGCCATCCCCACTTTGTAGAGATGAAGAAACCAAGACTTTAAGATCTTCAATGACTTGCCCAAGGTCATACAGCATAGAGGCAGAGCAAAGTCTAGGGTACAGCTTCCCAAATCTCTAGGCCATTGCTTTTTCCGCCAACTGTTTATGGGCTTCATATTGATGTTTCACTAACTTTATTTCTATGTATTAAATATAGACAATTGCTTCAATAGTAGGCTTTTATCTAAAATTTCATTTTTGGTGCTTCCCTTCTAGTACATAAAGTTCAATAAAGCAAAATTAAACAGAATTCTTACAAGATACCTCTAAGGTTTACCCAATGCCACTGGGTTTACAATCTCATTATAAAGTAAGCACACACACAAAAAGGAAACAGTCTAGACACTAGGGATTACCAAAATGCTGACATTTTAATTCATAATTCTAAGACTTTGCACAGATGCATAATTTTTACTTTACATATTAAGTTAGCTATACCTCTTCATTTAATTGTAAATTAGACAGAAATTTTACCTTTTTTGCTGCATGGGACTACAAGCAGTCTGGTGAGTTAAATCTGGATGATCCAGTCTCATCTGATGCAACAAAAATATAGATATGCTTGATAAAATATAAGAATCTTCAGATGCCAGAAATGAAGAGGGAATGCAAATTCCCGAGAAAATGCAAAGCTATTCTGTGGGTACAGTATCCTGTGAGGAAATGGAGGATGGGATGGGAAGCCTCAATAGATGTCTAAAAGGAGTTCCAGAGTAATGGAAAATGTCTATTTGAATAGGAAAGAAGTAATATTTGAGTAGATAATCACTGAGCCCCAGACAGGAAAAATTAAAAACCATATACACCTGACCAAAATGAAACATGGACCACGCTGGAAAGAGAGAAATTCTTTTTTTTTTTTTTTTTGAGACGGAGTCTCGCTCTGTCGCCCAGGCTGGAGTACAGTGGCGTGATCTCGGCTCACGGCAAGCTCTGCCTCCCTGGTTCAGGCTATTCTCCTGCCTCAGCCTCCTGAGTAGCTGGGACTGACTACAGGTGCCCGCCACCAAGCCCGGCTAATTTTTTTTTTTTTTTTTTTTAGACGGAGTCTCGCTCTGTGGCCCAGGCTGGGCGACAGAGTGAGACTCCGTCTCAAAAAGCAAAAAACAAACAAACAAAAAATTTCCTACGAAGGAACAATAACACATTATCAGCAGATTTCTCAACAAAAATGGAAAAGACAATACAATGATGGGCATCTCCACATTGTTAAGCGAAAATAATCAAGAAGTCTGTACTCAAACTAACATTCAAGAGAGAATTCAAGATATTTTCTGACAAATACTAAAATAATATATAGTAACAAGTCATTGCTTTAAAAAATACACTCAAATATTCCCAGCACTTTGGGAGGCCGAGGCGGGCGGATCACGAGGTCAGGAGATCGAAACCATCCTGGCTAACACGGTGAAACCCCGTCTCTACTAAAAATACAAAAAAATTAGCCAGGCTTAGTGGTGGGCGCCTGTAGTCTCAGCTACTCGGGAGGCTGAGGCAGGAGAATGGCGTGAACCCGGGAGGCGGAGCTTGCAGTGAGCCGAGATCGCGCCACTGTACTCCAGCCTGGGCGGCAGAGCGAGACTCTGTCTCAAAAAAAAAAAAAACACAAATATACACTTAAAATGAAAGAAAGTAAACTGGTGGTCAGCCCTGCTGCACCAGGCCCACTCTGCCTGCGAAAGAAAGAAAGAGAGAGAGAGAGAGAGAGAGAGAGAGGAGAGAGAGAGAGGGAGAGAGAGAGAGAGAGAAAGAAAAGAAATTAAACCCAGGAGAAAGGACCCGCTGTAAGTACTAATGGTGAACAGAGAAGTTAGTAAAAATACTGGTAAATCTATATTAATATTAACTGTTAAAAAGCAATAATAGACCAGGCACAATGGCTCATGCCTGTAATCTCAACACTTTGGGAGCCCAAGGCAGGAGGATTGCTTGAGGCCAGGAGTTAAGAGACCAGTCTGGGCAACATAGCAAGATCCAGCTCTACAAAAAAAAATTTTTTTTTTAATTAGTGCCATGTGGTGGTACATACCTGTGGTCCCAGCTACTCAGGAGGCTGAGGTGAGAGGACTGCTCAAGCCCAGGAAGTCAAGGCTGCAGTGAGCTGTGATTATGCTACTGCAGTCCAGTGTGGGTGACAGAGAGAGACCCTGTGTCAAAATAAAACAAAATAAAAGCAATAATAATAAATACTCAGGCCAGGCACGGTGGTTCACATCTGTAATCCCTATACTTTGGGAGGCTGAGGCGGGCAGATCACTTGAGGTCAGGAGTCCGAGACCAGCCTGGCCAACAAGGTGAAACCCTGTCCTACCAAAAATACAAAAATTAGCCGGGCATGGTGGCGTGCACCTGTAATCCCAGCTACTCGGGAGGCTGAGGCAGGAGAATTGCTTGAGCCCGGGAGGTAGAGGTTGCAGTGAGCTGAGATCACACCACTGCACTCCAGCCTGAGCAACAAGAGCGAGACTCCGTCTCAAAAATAAATAAATAAAAAATAAAACAAAAATAAAAATAAATAAATTAATACTCTAAGTTGAGAGGGTTTTTGAAAAGGTGAAACCAAATTACTATAATAACAGGAAGAATGGGAGGAATAAAGTTTCTCAGATTGTATACTGTTCAAAAGAGGCTGACAGTATCTTAGACCAAGTTGAGCCATGCATGTTACAAATTTAAGAGTAAACATTGATTCAGTAAAAGGAAGTGATATTGTTCTTATAAATAAAAAAAGCAAAAGTAAGTTCTTGTTAATTTTACCACTGTGAAGAAAATATACTTGGTAACTGTGAACTTGCCACCAAAGGTAAAGTATACAAGGAAAAATGGATAAAACAAACTTAAAAAAATTTTAAGCTTCTATGTAATTACAATGAGGAAAAGATTGATTTCAAAATTGTGTAAGCCTGTAAGAAAACAACATGCTTTGTTTACTGATACATTTTTCTATATCACATAAAGCTTTACGTTATAAACCTGAAACCCCACTTTTTTATCAGAGAAACTCCTTTTTAATCGATAATAAGTAAAGGTTAATTTTTTTAACATAACTTTCAAGTCAGTAAGGGTGAAAAATAAATCAGTAACTCAATAGAAGGTAGGAAAGTATAAAAAAAGTAAATACATGGTAGATAAAAAACATTAAATAAAAAACAATAGAAATAAATTACTTTTGCAACTTTTCTGATATAATAGAGAACTTATTTCTACTATGTAAATAACTTAGTCAGAGATATGTGAAGGAGTGAAGAATGTGCCATCCCAAAATATTCCGGATTGGTATAGTAATTATTTGAAATTGAAAACAGTTGAGAAATTGTAATTTCATGCAGCAAGAGATACAGATGCCTCTGGGAGGGGCACCCTCTGCATACCAGAGCGAGCAAACCCTTATCACCAGAGACTTAGAATTGGAGGCTGCAGGCCAGGCGGGGTGGCTCACGACTGTAATCCCAGCACTTTGGGAGGTACAGGCGGGCAGATTGCCTGAGGTCAGGAGTTCAAGACCAGCCTGGCCAACATGATGAAACCCCGTCTCTAAAATACAAAAATTAACCGGGCGTGGTGGTGGGCGCCTGTAGTCCCAGCTACTTGGAAGGCTAAGGCAGGAGAATCACTTGAACCTTGGAGGAGGATGTTACAGTGAGTGAGATCGCACCACTGCACTCCAGCCTGGGGTGCAGAGTGAGACTCCATTTCAAAAAAAAAAAAAAAAAAAGAATTGGAGGCTGCAATGGATCGAATAAATGTACTTGACGAAGTAACCCTTTTCTTCCACCTGTTTTACATCCTCCATACATGTCCGAGTGACTCCCCTAGAAAATTTACTGCCCCTGGCCAGATACTCTTTGTTCTGTCATTTCTTTTCAAATGTAACATTTTTTGTCTAAAAATACAAAAGCATCTTGCTTTGGCTACTTATTCAGACTTCATGCTCTTGTGAATACCCCCATGTACATGTAGAACTAATACAATTTGTTTGCTTTTCCCTTGTTAATCTGCCTGGTGTCAATTTGGTTTCTAGATCTAGCTGAAGAGGCCACTAAGAGCAAAAGGGGGTTGATCTCTGGCTCCCCTAAACATGCACTCTGGTATAGAGACAAATTTGATCCTGAGACCCCCACATAGATCTGAGGCCCTTCCTCTCCTTGCCACCCTAGGTCACAAATCCCTCTGTACAGCTAGACATTATTTTGAACAGAAGCAGAGGGAAGCAGGAAGAAATGTGAAAGATTCTGGATTTAACCAAAAGAAAATTTGTTATTCAAAAGTGACTATTTATTTATTTATTTATTTATATTTTTTGAGACAGGGTCTCAGTCACTCAGGCTGGAGTGCAGTGGCACAATCATAGCTCACTACAGCCTCAAACTCCTGGACTCAAGAAATCCTCCTGCTTTGGCCTCCTGAATAGCTGGGACTACAGGTATGCACTGCCACACCCAGCTAATTTTTAAATTTTTTCTAGAAACGGGGTCTCGCTATGTTTCCCAGGCTGGTCTTGAACTCCTGGCCTCAAGCCATTTTCCTTCCTTGGTCTCCCAAAGCACTGGGATTAAATAGAGAAGTAAGCCACCATGCAGGGCCAAAATAAACTATTTAAACTAAAAAAAGATTGTTGCCTGGAATGACAAGTTTAACGTTTGGTTGGTTTTTTTCCTCTTATTATAGAGCAAGGTGGAAGCTTGCAAGGAAAAATTAGGTCCATGATAGAAATTAAAAAGGAGTATTTTCTTTGCATGTATTGGAATTATAATGTGGGTAAATGTTTGACCCCACTATAAACATTTTTGTAGGATTATTTTTCCACACTGTGTTTTTTCTCCTGGTGTTAATATTTTTCTGCGATTTGCATGCATTACCCCTTTTTAAATTAATTGTAGTCCCCATTGCATTGACCAAGGCGCCACCAAAGCGCCTTGTCAGTCTGGAAATGGCAGGTGTAAAGCATAAAGCAAGGGGCAGAAAGGGTAAGAATAGACCCAGTTCTTTGCAATCACAAGAAAGTGCTCACCCAGCCATTCTGCCCTTTTTAATTTGTTCCTTTCCTCGGATCTAAATGCACTGACAATTAGGACTATAGAAAACCATATGCATCGTGACCATCATTACTCACCGCCCTGACCATTCCCCTGGGTAACACAGAACATTTAATAGGCCTGTCCCAGCATCTGATAACAAAGGAAAAACATATGGCAGATCACGATAATGATTTTGTGTCTTTCTGTAATGATGAAAGAAAAACCTGATCCTGCATAATAATCGCTTTGTTATTCATAGAAGTTAAACGGCATTTCCTCATGAATTTTAATGTGCCATCCATTTTCTCACTACTTATCCCCACAATTCTTTGTGAGCCTTTGCAGAACATTATTCTCTTATCTCTTTCTTTCTTACAGTGATGTAATTATTCTGTCTAAACCATAAGACTTCAGGATGTTGTCTTTTTACTGCATTGGTCACACAGTGCTGGTCTAGGTTGCCATAAATAATCTGAAAAGATCAAGCTGTGCACTTAGGATTTCTGCACTTTTGTTTCCTGTATGTATGTTACTTAATTTTAAAGAGTTTACTTTTTAAAAATTATCTGGAAATCCTGTAATCATAAATTTGTGCCTTTTAAAATAAATTATAATTAATTAGTGGCACTCATGAATCTTTTGTTTACTATTCTAAAAGTTCAGGAACCATTTACAATATTTTTTCTTCCTTATTCTTCTTTAGTGGGCATAATTCATATTGAAATTCAGTCCCATATTATGTGTAGACAGAGTAATCTCAAAATTACATACGACTAGACTAGATTTTTAGCTATTTAAGGACATAAACTGAGTCTTACTTATCTTTGTATTCTATGAAGTATCTATCTAGCTCAAGGACTTCTAAGTAGAAGGCCCTCATACCGGGCATGTAAAGGCGTGAGCCAGCACTTTGGGAGGCCGATGGGGGCGAATCACGAGGTCAGGAGATCGAGACCATCCTGGCTAGCACGGTGAAACCCTATCTCTACTAAAAAATACAAAAAATTAGCCAGGCGTGGTGGCGGGCGCCTGTAGTCCCAGCTGCTCAGGAGGCTGAGGCTGGACAATGGCGTGAACCCGGGAGGCGGAGCTTGCAGAGAGCAGAGATCGCGCCACTGCACTCCAGCCTGGGCGACAGAGTGAGACTCCGTCTCAAAAAAAACAAACAAAAATGGAAGGCCCTCATAAATATTTGCTTATAAAGTAAAAAGTATCTTTTGCAGAAAACAAATCAGTGGTTGCCAGGGGCTGAGGGTAGAAGGGGAAAATTGCTTTCAAAGAGGTACAAGGGAACTTTTTACAGTGAGAGAAATATTCTACATATTGATTGTGATGCTGATTACGGTGTGCATTTGTCAAAAATTATACACTGAAAATTGGTGAATTTAATTACATGTAAGTTATATTTAATTATATGTAATTATAATTAATTTATACCTTAATAAAGCTGATTAAGGAAAAGATCTTGTGATGACATCATCATTTCCTTATGGGAAATAACTAACAACAAATGCTATTAACAAATAACTACCACATTCTTTACATGAACAAATAACCTGGTTTCAGATCAAGCCTTTAAAAATGCTTAATTTCTTGATTGAATGACCAACAATTTATTAAATATTACCATGTATCTGGTCCTGTACTAGATTATTTATTTATTTATTTTATTATTTATTTTTTGAGACAGGGTCTCACTCTGTCACCCAGGCTGGAGTGCAGGCTGGATCTCAGCTCACTGCATCCTCAACCTTCCAGGCTCAAGCATCCTCCTGCCTCAGCCTCCTGAGTAGCTGGGACTACAGACACATACCACCAGGCCCAGCTAACTTTTGTATTTTTTGTAGAGACTGGGTTTCACCATGTTGCCCAGGCTGGTCTCAAACTCTTTGTTCAAGTGATCTGCCCACCTCGGCCTCCCAAAATGCTGGGATTATAGGCATGAGCCACCACACCCGGTTCTCTTTTCTTGTACCAATAAATGCTGTCAAATGATTATTATTTCTGATTTTTACAGGAATAACAATTTTACACTTAGGCTCTGAGAGGTTAGGTAAACTTGTCTGAGTCCAGATATTTTATTTTTTAAAAAATCAGCTGGGCATGGTGGCTCACGTCTGTAATCTCAGCATTTTGGGAGGCCGAGGAGGGCGGATCATCTGAGGTCGGGAGTTCAAGACCAACCTGACCAACATGGAAAAACTCCATCTCTACTAAAAATACAAAATTAGCTGGGCATGGTGTTGCATGCCTGTAATCCCAGCTATTCGGGAGGCTGAGGCAAGAGAATTGCTTGAACCCTGGAGGTGCAGGTTGTGGTGAGCTGAAATCATGCCATTGCACTCTAGCCTGGGCAACAAGAGTGAAACTCTGTCTAAATTTAAATTCAACAAATAAGTATTTACTTTGTGACAGGACTGTACTAGATATTTCAAGAACTATAATGCTAAAAATATATAGACTTTGCTTTCAAAACATATACCACATTAGTCAGGCACCATGGCACATGCCTGTAGTCCCAGCTACTTGGCAGGCTAAGGCAGGAGGATCCCTTGAGCCCAGGAGTTCGAGACCAGCCTGGGCAACATAGCAACAGAGCAACATAGCCTCTGCCTCTTAAAAGAAAAATCATATGCCATATTAAATGGATATGAGATGTGCAAATAAATAGCAATAATACCAGACAGAGTGTAGGGCTAGAATAAGACTAGAAGTAATTTTGGGCAGGGTGCAGTGGCTCACATCTGTAATCCCAGCCCTTTGGGAAGCAGAGGTAGGCAGATGTTTTTTTTTTTTTTAGACGGAGTCTCACTCTGTTGCCCAGGCTGGAGTGCAGTGGTGCAATCTCAGCTCACTGCAAACTCTGCTCCTGGGTTCATGCCATTCTCCTGCCTCAGCCTCCTGAGTAGCTGGGACTACAGGTGTCCACCACCACTCCTGGCCAATTTTTTTTTTTTTTTTTTTTTTGTATTTTTAGTAGAAACGGGGTTTCACCATGTTAGCAGAGGCAGACAGATCTCTTGAGGCCAGGAGTTCAAGACCAGTCTGGGCAACATAGACCTCGTCTCTATTAAAAAAACAAAAAGAAAAAAAGAAGTAATTTTGCATTCAAGAAGGAGGAAGTACCTTCAACTTTGGCTAAATTGACTAACCAGCCACAAAGAATAATTTAGGAGACATTCAGGCTTAGATGTTTTTGTGACAAAAAAAAAAAGAAGAAGAAAGGCAAAAACTTTTCTCCTTCTCTTCTCTATTTATTTATTCTCAATTCAAAGCGAATCTGACAAACAACCTATGAGTATATGTGGCTAAAGTAGATGCTATTTCATAGACTTCTACACTGATACCTCCCTCATTCTGATCTCTGCTTAAGTTTCCTTCCCAGAGAAGCCTTTCCTGATGATGCTACCTAAAAGAGTGTCTCATCACTCTCTATGCTCTCTTCTTTATTTTTCTTCTAATCATTGATTACTATTTGATATTATATTGTTTTTTTTTTTCGAGACGGAATCTCTTTTTGTCACCCAGGCTGGAGTGCGGTAGCACGATCTCAGCTCACTGCAATCTCTGCCTCCCGGGTTCCAGCAATTCTCCTGCCTCAGCCTCCCGAGCAGCTGGGATTACAGGTGCGTGCCACCACGCCTGGCTAATTTTTGTATTTTTAGTAGAGATGGGGTTTCGACATGTTGACCAAGCTGGTCTCGAACTTCTGACCTCAAGTGATCTGCCCGCTTTGGCCTCCCAAAGTGCTGGGATTACAGGCGTGAGCCACCGTGCCCGACCAATATTGAGTATTTTTGTATTTATCATTTGTCTCCCCACATTGTTTTTAAGCTCCTTTCAGAAGGATCCATATGTCTTGTTCACTGTTGTGTCTCTAGCACTTAGATTAATACTTGGCATTCTGTTGAATGAATGAATGAATTTGACAAAAGGGTCTTTCTGACTACAACAACTCATCTCCAACTATTCCAGTCTTCACTTGAAGTTCTACCAGTTTTTCATTTTACGGTTATTTGACTTTTGCTACAGATTAATATCTTAACTATATTGAAGTAGAAATATACAGTTTTGAATCAAGGCACATGAAAGAAGATTTGAACCCTAAGACATGCCTGTGGTTTCATGTAATCTTTTGAAAGTGAGTTGTTTCAGAATACTTCCCTCTTCTCTAGGCTCTAGCTTGGGTTACCCGGAAAACAGAACCTAAAAAAACGCTCATAGAGCTCATTTTTATTGTATGTGGGGAGAGGGAGGAAGATGAGTACCATCCTAGAGAAGGAGGAATCGGGGCTACAGCTTCTCAAAGAAACACAACTGGTTGCCTGATCAAATGAGAACATCTCTGGAATGGCTGTATGGGTCTCAATAATCTGTTGGAGGACACAGAAGAAGAATAAATAATTCATCTCCCATGAGTCGTTACCTGACTTCTCCAAGAAGCCACTGGGGAAGCCAGAGCCTGCATACGTTCAGTCATGAGAAAGTAGGTTCCGGAAACTGCTGCTGCAGCCCAGTCCTCACCACCAAGAGGTTGCCTCTCCCTATTCCCTTGGTTATAAAACCCTGGACTCAGCTACCATCTCCTAATACCCCTCTGGCAAGGAAGAAAGCCAAGTGACCGAGATCCTGAGAGGAAGACAGAGCCAAGCAGATCAAGGAGGGCATTTTTTGTTTGTTGCATTTTTTGTTTGTTTGTTTTCAGACGGAGTCTCACTCTGTCGCCCAGGCTGGGTTGCAGTGACTGCAATTTCTGCCTCCCGGGTTTAAACAATTCTGCCTCAGCCTCCCGGGTAGCTGGGACTACAGGCACAGTGCCGCCATGCCTGGCTAATTTTTGTATTTTTAGTAGAGATGGGGTTTCGCCATGTTGGCCAGGATGGTCCTAACCTTGTGATCCACCCACCTCCGCCTCCCAAAGAGCTGGGATTACAGGCGTGAGCCACCGTGCTCTGCCAAGGAGGGCATTTATAAACACATCCCCTCCCCAGAAATTATTCAGGGAAATTATTTCTAGCAACCAAAGCCCAGGCACATGTGTGACATATGGATACATGTAGATTGTCTCCAAGTGCTCACTCTTCGGTGGTATTTTTAGTATAAATTCCCTAATTCTACATCTTGTTTGTTCTAAATGCCTACATTCTCTTCCAAAGTAGTAATGTTTGTTTTTGTTTTTTAACTTTGAGAATTTTGTTCAGCAATTTGAAATGATGAAAAACCCTGTGCATGGTAAAGTTATGCTTGAATATCCTTTCTTATATCAATTTGGCATCATTAATTCATTCAACAAATATTTAATGAGCACCTACTATATTTTAGATTCTATACTAACTGCTAATACTACTACTGCGAATAAAACAGACAGACATTCCTGGATCCCTGAAGCATACATTTTAGTGAAGGGAATCACAATAAACAATGTAAACAAAATATGTGTATTATGTTGGATGATTATAAGTGCCAGGAAAAAAAATAAAGAATGGTGATTTTCTTTTTGATTCAGTGATCTTTTGAATACACAATCTACGAAAGCCTTCAGGGAGAGAGGAAGAAGATGTAAATGGGGCATTTAGACAATGAAGTGTTCAGTAGGATTAGAACTCTGAGTTAGGCCTGTGACCAGGGAGTAAGGAAGTAGCATGGAAGATGTAGAGCATCGTGGCGTCTCTGTACAGGACACAACTTTTCATAACTTTCTCCAAGGAAGTAATAGGCAAGACACATGACACAGAGCAATGTATCTGTGTGAGATACAATTGCTATTAACTCAGCTTTACTCCACAAACAGATTATAGAAAGTACATACTACAGAGAGCTGGATTCTATCAGTTATACAGAAGGAAAATATACATTTTTTTCTATATAACTGATGAAGCCGCCTGATAACTCTAAGTTACTCTTCATGCTTACAACATGAGGTGTAAAGCTACAGAACTGGAGTTCTGTACTGGAGTGAGATACTGAGAAGCAACACTTAATTCTCCAAGATTTCTTGAAGTATGTGCTGCACCAAGTTTTATGTTCCTTCTCTACAAATACTAGAAACTGAGCTATCATTTCCAAGCAGGGCACCTGAAATGCCCTTAACCATGAGAAGAACTTGGAGAACCTACAAACGACCCATATCGTTGGTGACCAAGAGAGCTGAGGGGAAGAATTCTCATATGGTAAATATCAGGTTGCTCTCTTAGGTGGAGATGAAGGACTTTTCAGAGAATCAGACAGCAGATGTCAGTCATTGATGACCTGTTTGATGTGGACACCTAGAAATGAATATCTTCAAATAAGGCATCATGTAAGCTGAACAGGTATTTGATTCCAGAATGGTAGAGCTGAATGGTCTTAACCAAACTGGATGATCAATTCTCATGATGCCAGGGCTCAGAGTAAAGTATGGAGTTCCAGAAGCCAAAAAGTACAAATATTAAAGCTTACTCTCTTAGACCACTGGGTAGATAATTCATTTCCCAATGAAGGATCTCATTTGTTCATGTATTCAAATAATCATAAGTGCTTACAAATTACCTGTGCCAGGTACTTTGCTAGCTGTTGGAAAGACAAAGGTGAGCAAAAATTAACGTGTATCTTGCCCTTACAGAGTTTATAGTTATAACTATAATTCTAACAAAGGCCATTAAGGAAAGCTTGAGACGGTGCTGTGGCTCATGCCTATAATCGTAGCACTTTGGGAAGCCGGGTCAGGGGAATCGCTTGACTTCAGGAGTTTGAGACCAGCCTGAGCAACATAATGAGACTTCTCTACAAAAAAATTTTAAAAAATTATCCAGGCATGGGGTGCATGCCCGTAGTCCCAGCTACTCAGGAGGCTGAGGTGTGAGGATTGCTGGAGCCCAGGAGATCAAGGCAGCAGTGGGCCATGATTACACCACTGAACTCCAACCTGGGCAACAGAGCAAGACCCTGTCTCAAAAAAAAAAAAAAAAAAAAGATAGAGAGAGAGACTAAGGATTCAAGGTTTTTTTTAAAGTCATTAGTAATTTTGATTTTTATTCAAAGATCAGTTGCAAATCTATTACAGGTTTTTAAGTAGGAGATTTGAATTTTGAAATGATCACTCTGGCTGGGCGCGGTGGCTCACGCCTGTAATCCCAGCACTTTGGGAGGCCAAGGTGGGCGGATCACGAGGTCAGGAGATCGAGACCATCCTGGCTAAAACAGTGAAACCCCGTCTCTACTAAAAATACAAAAAATTAGGTGGGCGTGGTGGCAGGCGCCTGTAGTCCCAGCTACTCGGGAGGCTGAGACAGGAGAATGGTGTGAACCCAGGAGGCGGAGCTTCCAGTGAGCCGAGATCGCGCCACTGCACTCCAGCCTGGGCGACAGAGCGAGACTCTGCCTCAAAAAAAAAAAAAAAAAAAGAAAAAGAAAAGATCACTCTGGATGTTCATGGACAGAAGATTGTAGATGGATAGGAGGGGTTCAGAGACACCATTTAGAAGGCTGTTGCAGTAGTTTCAGGCAAGAGATAACAGTTGCTTTGACCAGGGAAGTAAGCCACTTACTTAGCAGAATTGCTTTTGAAGTGAACTTTGTAATCAGCATTGTTCTTCGGCCTCCATCTCTTTCCCACCATTCCCCCATTTACTTTGTGTTTGTTGTTGTTTTGTTTGTTTTTGAGGCTCCAGGCTGGAGTGCAGTGGCACGATCTTGGCTTACTGCAACCTCCGCTTCCCGTGTTCAAGTGGTTCTCGTGCCTCAGCCTCCTGAGTAGCTGGGACTACAGGCACATGCCACGCCCAGCTAATTTTTGTATTTTTAGTAGAGATGAGGATTCGCCATGTTCACCAGGCTGGTCTCAAACTCTCGGCCTCAAGTGATCCGCCAGCCTTGGCCTCCCAAAATGCTGGGATTACAGGCATGAGCCACCATGCCTGGCTCCCCATCTACTTTTAAAACTTGTTTACGGCTGGGCATGGAGGCTCACGCTGGTAATCCCAGCACTTTGGGAGGCCGAGATGGGGGGATCACCTGAGGTCAAGAGTTCAAGACCAGCCTGATCAACATAGTGAAAACCGTCTCTACTAAAAATACAAAATTAACTGGGCATGGCGGCACATGCCTGTAATCCCAGCTACTTGGGAGGCTGAAGCAGGAGAATCGCTTGAACCTGGGAGGTGGAGGTTGTAGTGAGCCGAGATCGCACCATTGAACGCCAGCCTGGGCAACAAGAGTGAAACTCCGTCTCAAAAAAACCCAACCAACCAACCAACCAAACAAACAAACCTGTTTACAAGGGCATCCAGCCCTTTCCTCTGTGAGGTCACAGCCCCCAAAACACAGATTATTAAAGGTTTTTAAATGTCTTTGTCTCCGTTTTTTACTGATTCCAATAGATGCTCTCTACAAGCATCCATGCATTCTATGAGGTCCTTTCAGGCTAATGTGAGTTCCTTGAACAGTACTTTATTGCTCTAAATAAAAAAATTGAGAGAATGTAACATAATATAGGATATTTCGTAAGAACTTAAATGGAAGGTGTTGCCCTCTTTTCTGAGAAACTCTTTAAGGAAAAATTCTGCTTTCTATTCAGTCATATAAACCACCTGCTTACTATGGACACTGTACGACTGTAAGAACTGAGGTTGCAATGGTTAAAAATAAAAATAAATGAAAAATTTAAAAAACAGCCCTTACTCTCACAGAGCTTATATTCTAGAATGGGAGGAAATTGTAATAAAATACATTAAGCACTATAAGATATGAAGTACAGGAGACTAAGGAGACAGGATAACTAAATGCAATATGCTATCCAGGATTAGATCCTAGAACAGAAAAGGGACATTAATGAAAAAAATTAGTGAAATCTGAATAAAGTCTGTAGTTAATAGTATCATAACTGTGTTCATAACTTAGTTTTGATCATGGTACCATGGTTATGTAACATGTTAACACTGGGGAAGCTGGATGAAGGGTACATGGGAACTCTGTGTACCATCTTTGTAGCTCTTCTTTAAATCTAAAATCATTTCAAAATTAAATATGTACTAGAAGAAGGAGAAGGGGAAGAAGACAGAAGAAGAACAAGAATAAGGAGAAAGAAGAAGGAAGAGGAGGAAAAAGAAAAAGAAAGGAAGGAAGAAGAAAGGGAAGAAGAAGAAGGAGGAGGAGGAGAAGGAGGAGAAGGAGGAGAAGGGGAAGAAAAAGGGGAAGAAGGGGAAGAAGAAGAGGAAGAAGAAGAAGAAGGAAGAAGGAAGAAGAAGAGGAAGAGGAAGAAGGAAGAAGGAAGAAGAAAGAAGAAAGAAGAAAGAAGAAGAAGAAGAAGAAGAAGAAGAAGAGGAAGAAGAAGAAGAAGAAAAATACAGGATGATTTGGGAGCTCCTAGCAGGGCACTCAGCCTAATCTGGGGGTGGGGGAGGCTTTCTGGGGAAGTGATGTTTAAGCTGAGACCTGAAGGACAAATAGAAATTAACCAGACAAGAGATATTGAAAAAGACATCCAGAAATAGTATGTAGAATGTTTACAGTGCCAGAAGCAAGAGAAAGCATGACAAATTGTAGATATTAAATAAAATTAAGTATGGCTAGAGCTTAGAATAGGGTGGGGAATGGGAAGGAGAGGAGTGGTAGAAGATAAACCCGGAGTGGTAGGACACCAAGTGCCTTAAAAATCATGTTGAGGAGTTTAGAGTCTAAGGACAATTTCAAGAAGAAATAAAAATGACTAATAAAATGTATATTTTAAAACCTTCTTTACTGGTAGTCAAATAAATGGAAATTAAAGTAATTGGATAATATTTTGACTTACTCATTTACCAAATATTTTAAAATTATAATATTCTTTGCCACCAAGAGTAAGAAAAGAGAATTTCTTACTTTCTGCTGATAATATTAATATTTCTGGAATGCTATCTGGCAATTTAAATACAAAGGTCCAACAATGTTCATATCCTTTTATCCCTTCAGTTTTATGTCTGGGATGTTATTTTAAGGAAATAGTCAGAAATCTATTTTTAATTAACGTAAAAAGATGTTTCTTATCATTATTTATAACAGTACACAATTTAAAACAAAATTTAAAAAATTTAAAATTTAAAACAAAATAGGGACATAGTTAAATAAATGATTATGTTTCCATATGATGAAATAGTATGTGTTAAAAATAACATTTACAGCTTTGTGCAGTGGCAGTATCGTAGCCAATGAGGTTTATCCGAGGTGCTATTACTGCTAATTGAAAACTTTTCCCAATACCCCGCCATAATGACTTGAAATATAGTTGGCATTCGCAATTTTTGACAGTCTCTATGGAGACTGAACAAAAAAAAGAAAAAAATAACATTTACAAAGAATTTTAATGACACAGATTATACATATAATGTACATATTATATATAATATATATCTTACATATATGTTATTATATATATAATTAGTATGTGCATCATCTGTAGACAGAACTGGCTGTGTAATTTGCAGGGCCCAGTGCAAATGAAAATGCAGTTCAAAATTATTAAGAATTTTAAGAAAGCAACAACAGAACCTCAAATCAAGTGTGGGACCCTTCTGAATAGGGGCCCTGCGTGACCGCACAGGTTGTACGCTCTTGTAACTGGCCCTGTCCCTAGAAAAAAAGATGAAAGGAAATATCCCAAAATGTCAGTAGGGATTATCTTTGGTTTGGGGATTACTGATGATTTTTATTTCATGAGTTTAAACAATTTTTCACAATAGACATATTTTATAATCAGAAAAAAAACCAGTATGCATCTTTTTTTTAAAAGCCCCAAGTTACACTAAAAGCAGCACTACAATGAATTACATTATATTTTGCTTTTAGGCTCTTTTAAATATCCCTTTTGGGCCACTGGGAATAACAAATTCTATTTTTAAAGTTTCTATATTGTGTTTTTAAGTCACTGTAGAGAATAGAGCAGGATATAAAAATGAAATCAGTTCTTTGCTAAGTTTAAAAAAAAAGCAAGCACAAGCTGAACTACAAATAACACATTTCCATCTATTTTTGTCCCATATAGAATTAGCTATTTGGTTGGACATTGAACATTTGCTTGAATGGTATAATGCTGAAAATTCCTTCTCTAGCATCCTTAGACCTATATTCATATAATTGGCAGCCCACACTGGCAAAAAGAAGGCCTGCAAGAAGTCTATTGCATCCTTGTCCAATGAAGAATTTAGCAATATATTTTTTATTTTAATTTTGATTTATTTGTTTTTGAAATGGGGTCTCACTCTTTCACCTATGCTGGAGTGCAGTGGAGTGATCTTGGCTCACTGTAACCTCTGCCTCCTGGGCTCAAGCGATTCTCCCACCTCAGCCTCCTGAGTAGCTGGAACTACAGGCGGCCGCCACCATGCCGGGCTAATTTTTGTATGTTTTTGTAGAGATGGAGTTTCACTATGTTGCCCAGGCTATTTTTTTTAATGAAGAAAGGTTGCATCTGGAAGGCGATAAAAGACCCCTTAAATGAGAGAGCATTAAGTGACTTAAAAAATCATACAGATGGGCTGAGCACAGTGGCTCACGCCTGTAATCTCAGCACTTTGGGAGGCCGAGGCAGGCAGATGACTTGAGGTCAGGAGTTCGAGACCAGCCTGGCCAACATGGCGAAATCCTGTCTCTATTAAAAATACAAAAATTAGCTTGGCGTGGTGGCGGGTGCCTGTAATCCCAGATACTAGGGAGTCTGAGGCAGGAGAATTGCTTGAACCCAGGGGGCAGAGGTTGCAGTGAGCCGAGATCGTGCCGCTGCACTCCAGGCTGGGCGACAACAGCAAGACGCCGCCTCAAAAAAAAAAAAAAAAAAAAAAAAAAGTCATACAGATGGTATCTGCAACGTGAGAAAGAAAGAAACTTTTTATCTGAGAAATGCAAGCCCCGCTTTAAATTATCAGGCCCAGAGCATTGAAATGTAACAAGAGTCACGCTTCACTCCCCCTTGAGCTAGGTAATCACTTCATGAAGCTACTTGCTATGTGGGCTCTAGATTTACTGACCCCAAGTAGCTATAAATAAACCTAACAATGCCATACTCTGGACACCATAACTCATACTCTATAGTTCAGCAATGTATATTGCCAATCGTTAATCAATATTATTTCTGTAAACCAATGAAAATTCCTCACAAGGTAGCAGTGAGCCGAGATTGCGCCACTGCACTCCAGTCTGGGAAACAGAGCAAGACTCTGTCTCCAAAAAATAAAAAATAAAAATAAAAATAAAAGAAAATTCCTCACAAACGACTTCTGTAATCACCCCCTCTCCTGATTCATTATTTTTTCTTTAAAAACGTAAGCCTCAGCCAGGCTCAGTGGCTTACTCCTGTAATCCCAGCACTTTGGGAGACTGAGGCGGGCGGATCAACTGAGGTTGGGAGTTCGAGACCACCTTGACCAACATGGAGAAACCCCGTCTCTACTAAAAATACAAAATTAGCCGGGTGTGGTGGCACAGGCCTGTAATCCCAGCTGCTCGGGAGGCTGAGGCAGGAGAATTACTTGAACCCAGGAGGTGGAGGTTGCGGTGAGCCAGAGATCGCGCCATTGCACTCCAGCCTGGGCAACAACAACGCAACTCCGTCTCAAAAAATAAATAAATAAATAAATTAAATTAAATTAAAATTAAAAAAATAAAAACGTAAGCCTCTCCTTTATTCTCTGGAGCACTTCCCAACATAACTAGGAAGTGTTTCCAGGCTGCAGTCCTCAACCTTGGCCCAAATAAACTATATTAATTTTGCCTCAGTTTCTTTCTTTAGGTAGACAAATGCATTCTTTTAGAAGTTACACAGAGAAGCCTTAACAAGTTGAGTTGTCAATTACATAACTAGCAAGTTTGGCACAAATGAAAGCCAAGGCAAATCATTTAATACTTTTAGTGCCCCTAAAGGACAATCTGTCTAATTACACAGGACTGTCCCTGCAGACCTCTTGAGTACAGGCTTCGTATTTTGGTATATGAGTACAGGCTTTGTATTTTGGTATCTGAGTACAGGCTTCATATTTTGGTATATGAGTACAGGCTTCATATTTTGGTGTATATATATATATATATATGTACACACACACATGCTTATAAATATATACATTTATAAGTTATACATATAAAACAAAACTATATATATCATTTTGTTTTGTTTTTTGAGACAGGGTCTTGCTCTGTCACCCTGGCTGGAGTGCAGTGGCACAACCAAGGTTCACTGTAGCTTCGACTAACTGAGCCCAGGTGATCCTCCCACCTCAGCCTCCCAAGTAGCTGGGACTACAAGCACACACCACCATGCCTGGCTATTTTTTTCTTTAATTTATTTTTTTGGAGAGACGGGGTTTTGCCATGTTGCCCAGGCTGGTCTCGAACTCCTGGGCTCAAGTGCTTCACCCACCTTGGCCTCCCAAAGTGCTGGGATTTCAGGGGTGAGCCACCACACCCAGCCTTTTTGGTATATTTTCTATTGTTTTGTGCTAAATGCACTACTGTTTTACGCACTCAATTAATCCTCTGCCCCACTTTGTGTAATCTCAGACAGAAGGAATATGAAAAAGAAAAAGAAAAATGATTATTTGTCATCCCTTCCTGTCTCCCATATTCTATTAATTGTGTATCCTGAAGAAAAGCTTTTCTTTAGAGTAGTTACTGGGGAGGTAGAGATGCAAACTGAAGAACCCAAAAGGGGGTCACTTGTTTCACTTCAGAAAAGGGAAGAGACCTACAGGGGAAGATAACAGGGAAAAAGAGGAAGAGGAAGAGAGGAAGTACGAGGGTCAAAGACCGGGGGGGAGGCTGAACAGATTTGACAGAAAGAAGAGAGAGGCCGGGCGTGGTGGCTCACACCTGTAATCCCAGCACTTTAGGAGGTTAAGGTGGGCAGATCACTTAAGTTCAGGAGTTCGAGACCAGCCTGGGCAACATGATGAAACCCCATCTGTACAACAAATACAAATTTAGCTGGGCATAGTGGTACGCATCTGTGCTCCCAGCTACTCAGGAGGCTGAGGTAGGAGGATCATTTGAGCCCAGGAGGCAGGGGTTGCAGTGAGCTGAGATTGTGCCACTGCACTCCAGGCTGGGTGACAGAGTGAGATTCCATCTCAAAAAAAAAAAAGAAAAAAAAAAAAAAAAAGAGAGGTGTGTGGCTCTCTCTCTCTAGGGAGAGAGAAATGCTTCAGGTAAGAATTGTTTGTTTGTGTGTTTGTTTTGAGATGGAGTTTCACTCTTGTTGCCCAGGCTGGAGTGCAGTGGCGCAACCTCGGCTCACTGCAATCTCCACCTCCAAGGTTCAAGCGATTCTCCTGCCTCAGTCTCCCGAGTAGCTGGGATTACAGGCATGTGCCACCACGCACAGCTAATTTTTTGTATTTTTAGTAGAGACGGGGTTTCTCCATATTGGTCAGGCTGGTCTCCAACTCCCGACCTCAGGTGATCCGCCTGCCTCGGCCTCCCAAAGAGCTGGTGTTACAGGCATTAGCCATCGCACCCAGCCTCAGGTAAAAATTTAAAAGGTGCTGGTAGTAGTGTATTTCATAACTTCCTCTTCTGTTTCCCTTGAAACCTTCAGTAAAAACATTACTCTCCAGTATTTTTGTAGTGGGATTTGCATTGTTTGGATGAGATGACATTTGAGAGGGGCCTTCCTAGGGAATCACAGAGTGCCGAGGAGGCTCAGGTACGTTCACATTACAGATCAGAGAGGGGAAAGGAAGGACTCCATTCTTTCATGTTTATTTGTCACAGACAAAGAGGAGATGCACACTCATTTGTGTTTAAATTCATCTAGTCTGCAAATGTGCACACATTTAAATTTCATTCATTCACTTATTACTCATCAGCTTAACAAATATCACTGCAGCTCCTACTGTTTGCCAGGTACTGTGCTAAGTTGTTCCTAGGGATAAACACCAAGTAATACAAACCTGCTTGCTGTCCTATTGTAGCTTACAGTTTAAAACTATATAGTCTAGTGTGAGGACAAGACCCAAAAGAAGTTATGAATAAATATAGTGTCTAAAGATACTATAATGTATGTTGTTGTTGTTATTTTTTAAAAAGCAAAACTGGCCGGGTGTGGTGGCTTACACCTGTAATCGCAGCACTTTGGGAGGCTGAGGCGGGTGGCACACCGGAGGTCAGGAGCCTGACCAACTTGGTGAAATCCCGTTTCTACTAAAAATACAAAAATCAGCCAGGCATGGCGGTGGGCGCCTGTAGTCCCAGCTACTTAGGAGGCTGAGGCAGGAGAATCGCGTGAACTCAGGAGGCAGAGGTTGCAGTGAGCTGAAACCGTGCCATTGCACTCCAGCCTGAGCAACAAGAATGAAACTCTGTCTCTCGGCCAGGCGCGGTGGCTCACGCCTGTAATCCCAGCACTTTGGGAGGCCGAGGCGGGCGGATCACGAGGCCAGGAGACCGAGACCATCCTGGCTAACGCGGTGAAACCCCATCTCCACTAAAAATACAAAAATTAGCTGGGCGTGGTGGCGGGCACCTGTAGTCCCAGCTACTTGAGAGGCTGAGGCAGGAGAATGGCATCAACCACCCAGGAGGCGGAGCTTGCAGTGAGCGAGACAGTGCCATTGCACTCCAGCCTGGACGACAGAGCGAGACTCCGTCTCAAAAAATATATATAAAAAAATTAAAAAAAGAATGAAACTTTGTCTCAAAAATAAATAAAAATTAAAAAATAAAAAAGCAAAACTTTTCAGATAATTTAGTTATAAGCAAATTGCAATGTTTTACTACAATCTGACTGCAAGGAAAAGGCCTCTAGCAGACCAATCCAAAGATTCACTCTTGGCAGAAATATTTTATAGGAAAACAGAAAGGTTAATCACTTTTAGATTAGATACAAAAGAATGTTTGTTTAAGGTCACTCTACTTAGTTAAATGGCCAGGTGATTGGTTTTCCCAGAACAAGTCGTAATTTAAAGTTCAGAAAAATTCCTTAAGTATTTTATCAGGAATGCAATTCTCTCCCCAGAAGGAGCTTGTGAATTATATTCCAAAAAATATTCCATCCCAGTCCACGTTTGGAACAATTTTTCTCCTATTGAATATTTTAAAATGTAGTTTTACAAGATGGTTCAATGTACTTATTCATCTCAATTTTTAGCAGCAAATACGTTTCATTTCCTTATGTCTGTCCATACTTAGAACATAGTAATTGTTCCTTTCAGTTGTGAAACAAACAAAGGGTTAAGTTGGAGAATCACAATGGAAGTCCTAGTTTAAATAGAACGGACTGGGAAGACCTCTCTGAAGGGGTAAATTTGAGTTGCAGAAGTCATATTTAAGTTGAGGTCTAAAGGGAGACAAAAAAAGCTACTCAAGTGAGATGATAAGGAAACACATTTCACAGGGAAACAGCTTTACAGAGGCCCTTAGGAAAGGAAAGTGACTTTGAAGATGGTATTACCTGAGGAGGCCAACACAGAAAGTTGAAATTGATGCAGAAAGTTCAGAGATGGGTTCTGATTGGTCCATTCTGATGGGTTTTCTCTTCAAAGCAACCCTTCGAGGTACAGTACTAAGAGTAGTATGGGAAGAACTAGGATGAGGTGCTATTACCAGAGAAAAGGGGATCAGAACCCAAGAAATGGGGAGGCAGAGGGAGTGACTCTCCTTAATATTTCCATATCCACAGACAAAAAGGAGACTTGTAGAAATAGACTCCCTGGGGGGTCCACACTGCACTATCCGTGCCTGCTCTTCCTTCAGGGAAAGATGAGTGACTTACCTGATTGCTGACATCAGGACAAGCCATTAGAAGCAGGAACCAGGAGCCATGCACTGAAAAGGGGGTTTGTTCTCTCACATATGCTTGCTATGCTATCTCTTCTGCAGTGCCAGGGTTTATGAAACAGATCTTGATCCTATGCACCACTGGCTTAAGGAGTGTCTTCCTGGCAGAGCCAACTTTTTCTAAAGATAGATTGGAAAGCCTGGATGTGAATAGAATTAGTGAAAGCCCTACTTCAGCTTTGGACTTAAGCCACATTGCTTCAACACAAGTTACAAGGAAACCCTCCCCAGATCTGCTTTCGGAGGGGTGGGATAGAGCTTGAAGGGAAAGAAAAAAGAAGAGCTTAGCCCTCAGACCTCTAACATGTGGATTTTGGTTAGATATGTGAATTTCCCTCCCTCCCTCCCTTCTCTCTCCCTCTTTCTTTCTTTCTTTGATGGACTCTCACTCTGTCGCCCAGGCTGGAGTTCAGTGATGATATCTTGGATCACTGCAACCTCTGACTCCCAGGTTAAAACAATTCTCCTGTCTCAGCCTCCCGAGTAGCTCAGACTACAGGTGCACCCCACCACACCTGGCTAATTTTTGTATTTTAAGTAGAGATGGGGTTTCACCATATTGGTCAGGCTGGTCTCGAACTACTGACCTCAGGTGATCCACCCACCTAGGCCTCCCAAAGTGCTGGGATTACAGATGTGAGCCACTGTGCCTGGCCAGATATGTGAATTTCTTGAAATACAGGGCTATATTAGTTGGGACTCTTCATTATAAGGACAAAAATTCAACTCAAAGTAGCTTAAGCAAAGCAAAAAAAAAAAAAAAAGTGGTTTATTGGCTCACCTACTGGGAAGGACAGGGTTGTATGTGTCATTATGACTTTCTGCCTCTTCTTTGTCATCTCTACTTGGCTTGGCTTCATTCCCTGATTACTTGGTGCCTTCAAGCTTTCTTCAGGGTGACTTTAAAGGTCGGGGAAGATAGCTCCAGTAGGCCCAGGCCTACATCATAGCCTAAGTACCTCAGCTTTTCTCTCCAAACATGTACACATCGAATCCTAGGGAAGATCTATGGATCAAATGGGTAAGAGTTAGTTCCCACATGGTAAGGGGCACTCAATTATCAAAATACGGGGACGAAAAGGGCTGGGCACTGTGGCTCACGCCTGTAATCCCAGCACTTTGGGAGGCCAAGACACGTGGATTATTTGAGGCCAGGAGTTCAAGACTAGCCTGGCCAACATGGTGAAACCCCATCTCTACTGAAAATACAAAATTAAGCCAAGCGTGTGGTGTGCGCCTGTAATCCCAGCTACTTGAGAGGCTGTGGCACAAGAATCAACCTGGGAGGCAGAGGTTGCAGTGAGCTGAGATCATGCCACTGCACTCCAGCCTGTGTGAGAGTGAGATTCTGTATCGAAAAAAAAAATGGTGATGGGGGGGTGGGGAGGAGGAAAAAGATGCTAAAGAGACAAAAATGACAAAATGTGGAATAATAAAGGAAGTTAAGTATAAATTGTCTTATGAGAGCAACACAAAAGATGTGTAAAAATTACACAATCCAGCTTGGCTTTACTCTCCCAGCATCCACTTAAAATACTCTGCCTAAAGAGTAATTTTTTTCATGAAATGAAACTCACGTTATTGAGAAAATGCAGCAGGATGGGAAATAATCTTGCTTTCCTCAGAGGTGTAGAGAAGGGCAAGAACTGGAAGAGAGTTCCTCCACCAAGGTAAAACAGGCATGGAAAGGGACAGCGATGGGCACAGGTGGGGTGGGGGGTAAATCTACCTTGGGCAGGTACAGCAAGAGACATTAGGTAACAGTCCAAGAAAAGTCAGTACCCACAGCCTGGGCAACATGGAGAAATCCTGTATCTACAAAAAATACAAAAACTAGCCGGGTGTGGTGGTGCAAGCCTGTGGTCCTAGCTACTCAGGAGGCTGAGGTGGGAGGATAACCTGAACCCAGGTAGGTCAAGGCTGCAGTGAGCTGAGATTGAGTCACTGCACTGCGGCCTGGGCAACAGAGCACGACTCTGGCAAAAAAAAAAAAAAAAGCCAGGATCAGTGGCTTATGCCTGTACGCCTGTATTCCCACCACTTTGGGAGGCCGAGGCAGGTGGATCCCCTGAGGTCAGGAGTTCGAGACCAGTCTGGCCAACATGGCAAAACCCCATCTCTACTAAAAATACAAAAATTAGCTGGGCATGGTGTTGCACGCCTGTAATCCCACCTACTCAGGAGGCTGAGGCAGGAGAATCGCTTGAACCTGGGAGGCAGAGGTTGCAGTGAACTGAGATCGCGCCACTGAACTCCAGCCTGGGTGACAGAGCAAGACACGGTCTCCAAAAAAAAGAAAAAGAAAAAGAAAAAAAAGAAAAGAAAAGAAAAAATAAAGAAAGAGGAAGGAAGGAAGAAAAGAAAAGTCAGTACCTGTCATCTCAATACAAAGAAGATGGAATGTCTCAGGTGGTAGATGTTAAGTGTTTCCCTGAATAGATCTCCAAATATGGAGAGTTATCTGTCAGATATTTAGGCTGAAGTTGTGGAGCACACCTTCTGTCCCTAGGTATGATAAGAATAGAGACTGATAAGAACAAGGCAGGCCTCCAGGTCTAAAGAAAGTGTGGTTCTCAGTAGGTTTCTAAGTCAGGGATCCAGGCACAGGGAACAGACAGGGATGTAGTTACAAAAACTGGTTACCAGAAAGCCTGGTTTTGGAGACAAGTAGGAAGTCCAGTTATTGGAGCATGTCAGAGCTAGCCTAGCAATGAGTATGACTTTGTGTGCCAAATCTCTGAATGACGGACATGAGTGCCCTCCTGGGGCTGAGATTTGTTTTAGGGGCTGGAAGGTTGGTATCTGTTGGGAGATGAAGGATATAGAAGTAAGGAGTTAGGCAGGTTCTGACAGACACAAGGAAAGATTTTACTATGCAAGTTGAATAGCATGTATTTTGATCAGCTCAATTCTGAAGCTATAAAGTACAATAAAGGAGATGTTTAAAAAATAAGAGGCCAGGTGTGATGGCTCACACCTGTAATCCCAGCACTTTGGGAGGCTGAGGTGGGTGGATCACTTGAGCCCGGGAGTTTGAGATCAGCCTAGGCAACACGGCGAAACCCCGTTTCTACCAAAAATACAAAAAAATTAGGCAGGCATGGTGGCGCATGCTTGTAGTCCCAGCTGCTCTGGAGGCTGAAGTGGGAGGATCGCTTGAGCCTGGGAGGCCAATGGTGCAGTGGGCTGTAATCATGCCACTGCACTCCAGCCTGGTCAACAAAGTGAGAACCTGTCTCAAAAAAAAAAAAAAAGTGGAAGAATCCACATCTAATTTGAAACACCCAGAGCTGTGGGAATATGATAACCAGAGCACAAGAGGTACAATATTGGGGCACTTAGATAAGGGTAATTTGTATTATTGATTTGTATTCATCTCTAAGATGTGCCTCTCACTGTGAAGTTCCATGGATAAAGATTTGGCTTCAGTTTCTGTCTGGAAACCTGGCACCATTTACTTACAAATTAAAAATACAAGTGAATCATTTACATATCTCCTAGAAACCAAAGAGTTTGTATGTTATACCTCAAGTAATTTGGATAATGCCGTGGGTTGTGTTTTTTTCTTTTTTTAAATTCTAATTAAGCCGTCCATCACTTCAAGGTGATAATTTTCTCAAGTATGCTCTTCTTAAAACGATTGCATTTTATTTAGTATCTTACAGCGTGAAGAATTTTGACTCCTAGGGAAAATCTCATGTAAGTGATCATCTGTTATCTTGAGGGGAGGAGGATGGGGAGGAGTCTTTTCTGATCCTCTTCTTTTGAAAGCTATCACCCTCCCACTCTATGGGATTTAGGTGGGTCTGTCAGATACATGGGTTTAAATCCAGAACCTGCTTGATTCCCAACTTCTGTATCCTTTCTCTCCCCACAGATACCAACCATCTGGCCCTAAAACAAATCTCATCAGTTTATGAACCAGGCAGCCCAATCACAGTGCCTAATTCTCCCTATCACACAATTGGTCAAGGAGGGAGCAAGTGACATAATCTAAATTCTTTCCAAAGATGGATGCAAATGCTGGGAAAGCAAGAGTTGAATTGCTAGCCATGAGGAAAACGTAAGCCTGAGCTGTTTGCTGGCCATCTTTGCTTCCACATGGGGATGGCCTGCCTGGAAATGAAGCCACACAGAGAAAACAGAAGAGCAGTGAAGAGAAGGGTAAAAGGAGAGATCCCATGACATGATTTGCACTCTTAGATCCAGTTATGCCTGATGCAGGACCCACCCCTTGGACTTCCCATTTCCAGGAGCTAAAACTAGACTGAGTTGAGTTTCTGTCACTGACAGTTGACAGAAAATATCAACAATCCAGCCACATGGAGCCTCATGGCAGTACCACTAACCCTGGTCACCACATGAATACTGACCAGAGGTAAGCATTATTCGTTTCTGCTTTGTTGGAGGAACATTTGAGAATCTATTTTGTGTTATGTAATCTTACTTTTTGCCTCCAATGTCTACTTGTTGCAATTGCATGCAATGAAGGAACACAAAATAGACTGAATAATAAATGGGTTTTATTTTAATTGAGCACCAAGGAGTTAATATCAAGCCACAAAACTTTAGACGTTAACTTGCTTTGCTAATCATTTTTGATGACAATATTTTGAAAGAATTTAGTTCACATATGTGCTTGCAAATAAGGTGTAATCTTGCAAGATATTCAAGATTGCTCTGTCACTGGGGGTGAATGAAAAAGGTTTCTCTGTATCACTGGACATTTGAAAGAATGTATAAAAAGTGCAGGATGACTCCTTACTGGAATATAATGTTTCCAACTTTGCTATTCTAAAGTTCAAAGCCAATCTGACTCTTGATCCTTGAGTATGTGTTTTTTCTCCTCTCCAGAGGCTTTGAAGATCCCTTTGTCTCTGATGTTCTGAAGTTTCACAATCGTGTGTGTTGGCATGAGTCTTTCCCCATTCTTGTTCTGAGTGGATCCTTACACTCTGAAAATTGATTTCTTGCAGAACTATTTATTGATGGCCTACTGTGTGTCTGGTTCTATTCTACGCAATGATCAAACATACAAAATCCTTGCCATGCAGGATTTCACATTATAGGCAGGTATTGGACATTCTGCAGTGATCCAATAGGTTCCTTATTTTTTTTCTCTTCAATTTCCACTTTCTTGTCTTTTTTTTCTTCTTTCTAAAAGAGTCTTCAATTTCATCTTCCAATTCCTTTATTAAAGTTTTTGCTCCTGCTATATGTTCAATTTCCAAGGGCTCTGTATTATTTCATAAGTGCGTATCTTCTCTTATCTCTCTGAAGACGTCTTTAACAGTTTTATTATTTATTTATTTTACTTCTTGCATTATCTCAATACCTCTACATTTTGTTGTCCTGTTTATTTGTTTTGGTCTCTGTTTTTTAATGATAAAAACTTTCTTTCTCACTTGTATGTAGGGGGCTACAGAACTAAGAATGTACTGACAGCTCTGTCTGAGACTATGGGACTTGTGAATTGAGCTTCATTTGTAAGGTGATTGGGCGAAACTTAAATTTCACTGAGGTTTTCCTCCCTCCATATTGTCTTATCTATAGTTAGTTGCTAGTGTTTACACATGATGTTCTAGCCTCAAGGTGGATTTACTCTAAAATTTATTTTACTCAAGCTTGACATAGAATGTTTTAAATTTTTGTTTGTTTGTTTTTTGAGACTGAGTATCTGTCATCCAGGCTGGAGGGCAGTGGCGCAATCTTGGCTCACTGCAACCTCTGCCTCCTGGATTCAAGCAATTCCCTTGCCTCAGCCTCCCAAACAGCTGGGATTACAGGCACCCACCACCATGCCTGGCTAATTATTTTTGTATTTTTAGCAGAGACGGAGTTTTGCCATGTTGGCCAGGCTGGACTTGAACTCCTGACCTCAGGTGATCTGCCCACCTTGGCCTCCCAAAGTGCTGGGACTGCAGACGTGAGCCACTGCACCCAGACTTTAAATTTTTATTCTACATAATAAAATCAAATTACAGAGCAGCTGCCTGGTACGATTTGTATAAAACAACTTATATTTGGGCCGGGCACGGTGGCTCACACCTGTAATCTTGGCACTTTGGGTGGCTGAGGTGGTTGGATCACTTGAAGTCAGGAGTTTGAGACCAGCCTGGTCAACATGGCAAAACCCCATCTCTACTAAAAATACAAAAATTAGCCAGGCATGGTGGTGCACGCCTGTAATCCCAGCTACTTGGAAGGCTGAGGCAGGAGAATTGCTGGAACCCAGGAGGCGGAGGTTGCAATGAGCTGAGATAGTACCAGTGCACTCCAGCCTGGGCAACAGAGCAAGACTCTGTCTTGAAAAAACAAACAAACAAAAAACAAAAACCGCTTATATTTGGAGAGTAAAAAAAAACCACAAAACAAAACAAAAAACAAGACTTTATTGCAGAGCTGCCCAACAGGTATGCCACAAGCGAGTTATAAATGTCCTGAGGTATGGACCCCTTCCCTCGGGTCAATAAGGTGAAAGTACATGTGTAACAACCAGCTCTCCAGGAAAAAAAGGCTTGATTTGTAGCATTTGTTAATTTCATCTTACTTTTTAGAGATAGAGTCTTACTATGTTGCCCAGGCTGGCCTCAAACTCCTGGGCTCAAGTGATCCTCCTGCCTCAGCCTCCCAAAGCGCTGGGATTATAGACGTGAGCCGTTGGGCCCAGCTTGTATTCGATAATTGTTTTATTTCCGTGGTGTAAGTACTCCTACCATGGACAATTTCAGACTACCAGCAAGCTGTCATTAAGTGCAAATTGGGGAAGATATATACACATTTGGCTCTTGGGATCTGGTAGGAGCTGGCTCGAGCACATTTCTGAACACTTTAAACTCTTGGGAGTTCTGGTGGATGTCTCAGGTGCGCAGTGCCTGCCCTGGGTTATTGCCTTCTGCTGAGAGCAGTCTTGTCAATTTACCCCAATGTGCTGTTCAACTACTATCATTCATATATATATATTCTTCTCATGACATGAGAAAGGCTGGGAAGCCCTGCTCCATCGGATTTTTGTTTTTTGTTTTTTGTTTTTGAGACAGAGTCTCGCTCTGTCACCCAGGCTGGAGTGTAGTGGCACAATCTTGGCTCACTGCAACCTCCATCTCCTGGGTTCAAGTGATTCTCCTGCCTCAGCCTCCCAAGTAGCTGGGATTACAGGCATGTGCCACCACGCTTGGCTAATTTTTGTATTTTTAGTAGAGACAGGGTTTTGCCATGTTGGCCTTGCTCGTCTCAAACTCCTGACCTCAGGTGATCAGTCTGCCTCAACCTCCCAAAGTACTGGGATTACAGGCATGAGCCACCGCACCTGGCCGGATTTGTTTATTTCTAAAATATTGTGTGTTTGTATCTGTCTCCACACATGCAACTCAATTCACTAAAATATATTAATATTTTCTTATAAGTGTATAGATGATATTACTTTTGTGGCCATACAAGAAGTTTCTTGAAGTTCGAAAAACAATTCATACAGAATATTCGACAACCCTGTTTTTCTGGATAAAACTTGAAACCGTGGAGAAACAAAACACTATCCTACCCTCAGAGAGCACACAGTCTAGGAAAAATGATTCCATTTGAAATAACTCAAATACATTTTAAGCTCAGTAGGTTTATTAATATTAGGCAACAATAAACGATGCTTAATATTCTTCATTTTATCCTTTAAAAATTTTGGCATTTCTATTTATCGTTATTAAATAATATACATTAAAAATTGGAGAGGGAAAATGTCTTTTAACCTCACTGAATAAAAGAAAATAATTGAAACTTTAATTTTCATTTTAAAAGTAATTACATGCAGTGATAGCCTAATTTTGATGGCATGGTAGTTAACAGACAGCTGCTTTTATTTTAAATGGAATTGCATTTTTAACAGAAACTACTCTCAGTGTTTGCTTTCATCTTCTGAATAGGAAAGCCAATTTGAGGGTTGAATATTTGGTGAGTTTGATGGAGCCAATTAAGATAATTCAGGTCAATAAAAAAATAATTTAATATGTTTCTCACTTAGCTGACTCATAAAGTTGACAATAACTCCTATCTACAATAGCTATACCAAAAAAGTCCACGATAAATTCAGCCTTCTTCTTAAAGGAAAAGCAGAATACTGTAAATTTTATTCAGAACTTATATTTTTAAACTTCATTAATTGTACACAATAAATTGAAGTGACGATATTTATATAATATAGATTTCAAGATTATCTTCTCAGCACGTATGAAGATTTATTATGATGTTTTCATTATAGCTATGCACCTACTTACATTAAAAATTAATGTATCACAGCAGTGTCTTTCAGGCAGTAGTTAAAATAAAGAGAAATTCTCCACTAGATAGGATAAATACTAACAAGAGGTTGCTGCAAACCCCAAAGTGCAATTTTTTTTTTTTTGAGATGGAGTCTTCCTCTGTTGCCCAGGCTGGAGTGAAGTGGCGTGATCTCGGCTCACTGCAACCTCTGCCTCCCAGGTTCAAGTGATTCTCCTGCCTCAACCTCCCAAGTAGCTGGGACTACAGGTGCACACCACCACGCCCGGCTAGTTTGTATTTTTAGTAGAGAAAGGGTTTCACCATGTTGGCCAGGATGGTCTCGATCTCTTGACCTCGTGATCCACCTGCCTCAGCCTCCCAAAGTGCTGGGATTACAGGCATGAGCCAATGCACCCGGCCTGATGATTGGGTGTCTTAATTTTTACCTGGGAGGCTAGAGTCACTCGTGTGACTACATCAGGGTGGCTATTTGGTTATTTTCGTGATTGTTTAATGTCTTTGTCTGTGTTCATGTTCAGATTGAGTAAGTTGCAATCTTGTTATTGTCTTGTTCCACCATGGTTACGGAGGGACCTTGTCTGATTATTGTTGTTATTCTGTGAAAACTGCTTATCTTGCGTGAGGGAACGCTAGATAGCCGCCAGCTGCAGGCTGTCAGGGTCATCCTGTTGTGTATCACATTCTCAACCCGCTATTAAGCTTGGACTCTGACATGTGCTTGTTTCCACATAGGACTTTACGAAACCCAGGTCACAACGTGTGACCAAGAGTTGGGAAGAGGGATAGTCCCCCTGTTTCTGTAGAGTTTCCATGCAATGACTGAGAGTTTGCTGCTTCAGGAATGCTCTGGGCCTGATGGCAGCATCCTCTTCAGGGCTGGGGTCGGGGGTGAGAGGGAGCTGCTGCCCTCCAGTGGCTGTCTAGGAAATTACATCAGTGACTCTTCCCCCAAATCATGCTTAGATTTTCTGGGAACTTCCCCGAACGTGGCAAGGCAGAGCAGAAGGAAAGAAGATTCGCCTGGGAGTAAAAGCCAGCAACTTTTGGGTATTACTGTTAATATGGCCCCATGAGTACTCTCAACTTGGTGAAGCCTGGAAAAATGGAGATTATGTGACTTGTAGGTTTTTGATAATTATATATTGTGTTGCTTTTATAATCAAAGAAGGTATCTGTTGAAGATAGAAGAATAAGAACTTAAATATTTGTGGCCAGGCACGGAGGCCCATGCCTGTAATCCCAGCACTTCTGGAGTCCAAGGTGGGAGGATCGCTTGAGGCTGGGAGTTTCAGACCAGCCTGGGCAACAAAGCAAAACCCCACCTCTAAGGAAATTCTTTTTTAAAAATTAGATGGACATGGTGGTGCATATCTGTAGTCCTAGCTACTTGGTAGGCTGAGGCAGAAGGATCTCTTAAACCCAGGAGTTCAAGGCTGTAGTGAGCTATGATCATACCACGGGACTTCAGCCTGGATGACCGAGCAAGACCTTGTCTCTCTATAAAAGGACCATGCAACTTAGAAATACAGCATAATTAAAGATAAGAGGGTTAGAAAAGTTTTTACTATCAAGGGTTACATAAATAAAGATTAAAATTTCACTTAAGTTGGAGAGGATGCTGAGAAATTGGAATCATTGTGCATTGCTGATGGGAATGTAAAAATGTGAAGCTGCTGTGGAAAACTATGTCAGTTCCTCAAAAAATTAAACACAGGATTATCATATGATCCAGCAATTTCACTTCTAGGTATATGGCCAAAAAAATTGGGAGCAGGGATTCAAACCGACATCTATGTTCATGGAGGCATTATTCACTGTAGCCAAAAAGTGGAAATAATCAAAATGTCCATCGACAGATGAATGGATAAATAAAATGTGGTATATCTATCTATTCAATGGAATATTATTCTGCCTTTTCAGAGGAAGAAAATTCTGGTACTTACTACAACATGGATGAGTCTTGAAGACATTATGCTAAGTGAAATAAGCATAAGCAAAAGGACAAATAGTGTATGATTCCATTTATATGCGCTACCTAGCACGGTCGAATTCATAGAGACAGGAAGTAGAATGGTGGCTGTCAAGGGATGGGGAGGGGAGAATAGGGAGTTACTGATTAATGGGTATGGAGTTTCTATTTGGGAAAATGAAGGAAGTTCTGGAGATGGGTGGTGGTGACGGTTGCACAACAATGTAAGTGCACTTAATAACGCTGAAGTGTATACTTACAAATGATTAATATAGTAAATTGTATGTTTTGTATATTTTGCCACAATTAAAAAAACAAAAACAAAAAAACCCTGATTCTGAGCCCTAAGCCAAACCAATTGAGTTGGGGAGAACAAAGGGGGAACAAGGGGTCAGGGTCTGAGTGCAGGCTTTTTAAAAAACTTCTCAGCCAGGCACGGTGGCTCACGCCTGTAATCCCCGAATTTTGGGAGGCAGAAGTGGGTGAATCACCTGAGGTTAGGAGTTCAAGACCAGCCTGACTAACATGGAGAAACCCCATCTCTACTAAAAATACAAAATTAGCCAGGCGTGGTGGCACATGCCTGTAATCCCAGCTACTCAGGAGGCTGAGGCAGGAGAATTGCTTGAATCTCGGAGGTGGAGTTTGCAGTGAGCTGAGACTATGCCATTGCACTCCAGCCTGGGCAACAAGAGCAAGACTCTGTCTCAAAAAAAAAAAAAAAAAAAAAAAAAAAAAGCTTCTCAGGTAATCCTCCCATGCGTAACGAAAGTAGAGTACCCCTGACCCAGATGATGTCTAAGATCCTGTTTTGCTTCAGCCGTCCATGATTCCAAGTAAAATGACCCGACAAGACTGCCAACATTTTGCCCCAGTTTCATAAATACAAGTAGCAGCTTCCTTTGACAAATTGTCTGAATCCAAATTGCTAATGAACGTACACTGCTTTTTTAAAGCTATTTTTTCTGCATATTAATTTTACTTATTTTCCTAAAATGAATTGATCTTTTCCACAAAGTTTCATTTGACAGATGTACAAGTTTCCACTCAAATAAGACTTTTATATGCAACAACAGATTCTAACATAAGTTGTTCTTATAGAGAGAGGATACTGTATGTCTACATTCAGCAAGATGTTTCTTTGCCAAAGCTAATCTGTTTTGAAGCCTGGCATTTCTGTTTTACTTGTCACAAATATCCAAATATGTTTTTTACCCAAGGCTTTAGAGTAATACTTTAGAATAATTTTTTCTCAATAAATTATTGTAAAATAATTGATTAGTAAGCATTAAAAGTACTGAGAAAGTTTTCAATAATGAACATTTGAAGTGACATAACGGAAGAAAAACATGGGTTATTTTTCCAGAAGTTTAATTGTTTTATAAAATAGTTGTTTTGAAATATTTCATCGTCCTGATGCAATAATCACAGAATGTTGAGAAAGTCTACAAAATCAGGGCTAAGTCAAATTAAAGATGAAATGGAAAATATTTTTAAATGTTTCATACTAAAATGAGAGAAATGATGCATGTGAAATAAAAAGTAATAGCTTTCCATTCTAGGAGATTTTTTAAATGTACATAACATATGCATCTTTTTTTTTTTTTTTTGAGACGGAGTCTCGGTCTGTCGCCAAGGCTGGAGTGCAGTGACGCGATCTTGGCTCACTGCAACCTGCACCTCCCGGGTTCAAGCAATTCCCTGCCTCAGCCTCCCGAGTAGCTGGGATTACAGGTGCCCGCCACCACGCCCGGCTAATTTTTTGTATTTTTAGTAGAGGCAGGGTTTCACCATCTTGGCCAGGCTGGTCTTGAACTCCTGACCTCGTGATCCACCCACCTCGGCCTCCCAAAGTGCTGGGATTACAGGCATTAGCCACCGCGCCCGGCCAACATATACATCTTCTAATGAGTTTCTTTTCATTTACTAATGAGTTTTGAGTAAAAATTATTCTTAGCAAAACAAGCTTAATTGAATTCAAGCTTCTAGAAGTCAATATTTAAAAATTTTTGCCTTTCTCTGTTAAAATTCTGACTTGAAAATTTCACTTTAAAACACATAAGTTCTCAGTGAACGATGTGGCTTAAATGTGCTTTATCCCGATGATAGCTATGGAATTATTGAATCAATTTGCACTAACAAAGGAGCATATTTTTGTGCTTTTCAACCACATCAGCTACTGGATTCAAACAAGGCATTTTTCTTGAAATCAGTTCAGAGCAGTCAAAAGTCCTGATAATGAAATGTATGATTTAGCTGCTTCCTGTCCTAGAAGAAAAAAAAAGTATGGTTTCAAAGAATAAACATAGTATTCTCTCTCTCAATCTCTCTTCCAAAAAAAATTTATTGGACATTTATGTGCCTTTGCTCACTCCTACGTGTACAAAAAGAATATATCACATTCTTTGCCTTCAAAGAGCTCACAATGAAATGGAGGAAGTAGACAAATAAACATATAATATGCAACGATGAGCATAAACAAATAAATACATAATACGCGTATGCAATATGTTTAGATGCTCACGGTATTTCAGAAGCACAGAAGAGAGGTACCTATACTGGGAAGAGAGAAAGAGAAGGAGGCAGAGAAGGCTTCCCTGGAGCAGGGCGCATCTGAGCATGTACTATTTCTTTGAATGAATATAGAGAGTTTCTTATAATTTGTGATTAAAAAGCATCAAAATATACTTTTTTTTTTTTTTTTTGGAGATGGAGTCTTGCTCTGTCGCCCAGGCTGGAGTGCAGTGGTGCGATCTCAGTTCACTGCAACTTCTGCCTCCTAGTTTCAAGCAATTCTCCTGCCTCAGCCTCCTGAGTAGCTGGGATTACAGGTATGCGCCACCCTGCTCGGCTAATTTTTGTATTTTTAGTAGAGACGGGGTTTCACCATGTTGGTCAGGCTGGTCTCAACCTCCTGACCTTGTGATCCGCCTGCCTCGGCCTCCCAAAGTGCTGGGATTACAGGCCTGAGCCACCTTGCCCAGCCAACATACTTTTAATGTATTTTGGGGTTTCACTATTTTACATCTAAACATTAAGCTCTGGTTTTGTATAGAAAGCATTTAGTCTTACAAAAACAAAGTAGAATGTCCTCTTTGGTTTGATCAGAAAAGGTCTCAAGAAGGCAATGACAGCTGCTCCAGTCTTTCTCAGCCATTCGCTGTGAGGCCCACCTCTCTATCTGGGCTCTCTCATTTTGATTCCCTTCACTAAAATTACCACCTCTGTTCCCAGCAGTGTGGCCAATGCCCTTTTGCTGAGAACCAGAGAAACAAGCCTCTCATTCCTCCATGATACTCCACTGAGTCTTGTCTAAGGAAAATTTAAAAGGAATTAATTTCAGTAAATAGGCCAAGCACAGTGGCTCATGCCTGTAATCCCAGCACTTTGGAACACTGAGGAGGGCAGATCGCTTGAGCCCAGGAGTACAAGACCAGCCTGGGCAACATGGTGAAATCCTGTCTCTACAAAAAATACAAAAATTAGCCAGGCATGGTGGTGCACACCTGTGGTCCTAGCTACTCAGGAGGCTGAGGTGGGAGGATCTCTTGATACCAGGAGGTTGAGGCTGCACCACTGCACTCCGGCCTAGGTGACAGAGAGACCCTGTCTCAAAAAAAAAAAATTTCAGTAAATATAAATATAACAATATATTATAGTATACAATATATAAATATTATATACTAATGTATAAATATATAAAATATGATATGATAATATATAAAATAGAAATAAGAACCAAGGCAGTCTAAAAAGCATCTCCATCAATCTATATTTCTTCACATGGCATTCCAGGATTTTCATAGCCTGGCCCTCACTTTCTCTCCAGCCTTATCCCTTGCTATTTCTCTTTGTATATTTTGACTTCCACAGTGTCTGATTGCTCTCAGTGTCCTAAATAGGTCAATGTTTGCTCATACTTTCACACCTTAGAACACAAGGGTAGGGTCCCCTGCTGGGGTGTGAAATAACTTCTGTTCCTGCACCTCCTCTTCAGCTGTCACCTTCTCTGTGAGGCCATCCTTAACTCCCCAGGCTGAGTAGACACCCCACCTTAGGTTTCTCGAGCATTTGGGCACACACCTTTACATCTATGCTTCCCAGACTTTCCTGAATATACGACTCAACTTTAGTGTTAGTTAAAAAACAGATTCTAGGCCAGGTGCAGCGGCTCATGCCTGTAATCCCAGCACTTTGGGAGGCCGACGCGGGCAGATCACAAGGTCAAGAGATGGAGACCATTCTGGCCAACATGGTGAAACCCTGTCTCTACTAAAAATACAAAAAAAAAAAAACCTAGCTGGGTGTGGTGGCGCGCACCTGTAGTCCCAGCTACTCAGGAGGCTGAGGCAGGTGAATCGCTTGAACCCGGGAGGCAGAGGTTGGAGTGAGCCGAGATTGCGCCATTGCACTCCAGCCTGATGACGGAGTGAAACTCTGCCTCAAAAAAACAACAACAACAAAAAAAAAACCAGATTCCAGATTCTAAAACCTCAGAATTTACATGAGAAAAGTCTGGTAAGTTAAGTTCCATATTTCACAAGCGGCCCTGGGGATTCCCATCATTAGAAAAGTTTTGAAAACATTGCTCTGTATCATGACACTTCTCATATTGCATTACAACTATTTGAATTACTGGACTCTCAATAGCCTGTGACCTGCATCTGTTCATTATTGTATTCCCAGTCCCAATACAATGCCCAACTCATGGAAGGAAGCAAAATATGAATGAATGAAAATTCAAATGTGTATGTTTCATTTATTCATTTTTATTTTATTTTATTTTGAGACAGAGTCTCACTCTGTCACACAAGCTGGAGTACAATGTCATAATCTCAGCTCACTGCAACCTCTGCCTCTTGAATTCAAATGATTTTCATGCCTCAGCCTCCTAAGTAGCTGGGACTACAGCAATGTGCCACCACTCCTGGCTAATTTTTGTATTTTTAGTAGAGATGGGGTTTCATGATGTTGCCCAAGCTGGTCTCAAAATCCTGGGCTCAAGCAATCCTCCCACCTCAGCCTCCCAAAGTACTGGGATTACAGGCTTGAGTCACTGCACCCAGCAAGTTGCTCTAAATATGTTTGTTCCTCTCTCTTAGCACCTCAACTAGGGACTTCTTTTCCAGTATCCAGATGCTACACATCACCAAAAGCTCACCAGTGGTGGGATTATGACTCAGTTTTCTTTGTATGAAGAGAACGTTAATAGTTCCTACTTCATGAGTTTTTTTTTGTGAAAAGTAAATGGAATAATACACGTAAAACACTTAGTACGATGTCTAATATTAGGAAGTACTAAGTAAATGAGGTAATAATAATGACAAAGACCAGTCAGACAGAGTCACTTGGGAGATGTCATTCCCCTTGTGAAGCCAAAGTACAAAAAAGGAGCCCACAAAGTCATGCTTTCAGCCGTCCTGAAGGGTACACTGCAAGATTTAAAAAACCCTTTCTGGCAGAGCACGGTGACTCACACCTGTAATCCAGCACTTTGGGAGGCTGAGGTGTGCTGATCGCTTGAGCCCAGGAGTTCAAGACCAGCCTGGGCAACATGGTGAAACCCCGTCTCCACTAAAAAGACAAAAATCAGCAGAGGAAGGTAGTGCATGCCTGTAGTCCCAGCTACTCGGGAGGCTGAGGTGGGAGGATTGCTTCAGCCCAGGAGGCAGAGGTTGCAGTGAGCTAAGATGGCATCACTGCACTCCAGCCTCAGTGAAAGAATGAGACCCTGTCTCAAAAAATAAATAAATAAAAATACAAACCCTTTCTTCTGTTGCCAAATGTCAACATCCTTTCTGATTCAGCCTCTCTTCCCCATCACTGTAATAACCCACATTTCATGGCAAAAAATAGTATTATCAAGAGAGACAAGAATTGTTGGCACACGAATACAAACTTTGTCGCTATCTGGAAGAGTTTGTTCTTGGAGATTTTCTCTAAATATTTGTCCTTCGCATTCTTAGCTTCTTGTAATGTTTAGTACCTTCCCATAAACACTGATTTCCAAAGGATCAGAACTTTAATCACCATCTTGACATCTCCCCACAATGTCCGGTACCAATACATCAATACCAGAATGTCATTGTTTCTGTGCTAGGGGAAAGATGATGGCCAAATATTCTGGGTCCAAAGAGAATGCAGGTTATTGACTCTTTTTAACAGACAAAGAAATGCAAAATGACAGAAGGCCACATTGTTGCCTAATCCTGGACAACAAAGGAGAAGAAACATTAACCCAAGAGATTTGGCCGCATGCCCAGGCTGCTTAAGTGCTAATGCAGAATAGCTCTCAACTCTAACTGGTTATCCCACCCCCTTTTAACCTCCTCACTCAGCATAATTTTCCCCTGCTAAAGGCCGATCTCCTTGAAAATATCTTTACCTACTTTAAACTGCCAAGATCCTTTAGTAGCTTCCTAGTTAACCTTTTGAGGTTGACACTTCACAACATATTTGCAGAGTCTTTCCAAGCCTTGGCATCTGCTCCAGCCTACTCTGGTGCCTTCTGTAAGATTCAGATCAGGCTGACCTAGGAGAAGATCTAGGTCTAGGGGGAGTCGTCTCCCCAAAGTATACCTATCTATCTTATTATATTATAATGTAATGAGATTTAAAATATAGAATCTATAAGACACAAGGTACTTTTTAAAAGCCTGAAAGCCGGCTGGACAGGGTGGATAACGCCTCTAATCCCAGCACTTTGGGAGGCCAAGGCGGGCGGATCGCTTGAGGTCAGGAGTTCAAGACCAGCCTGGCCAACATGGTGAAACCCCGTCTCTACTAAAAATACAAAAATTAGCCAGGTGTGGTGGCGCATGCCTGTGATCCCAGCTACTCGGGAGGCTGAGGGAGGAGAATTGCTTGAACCCAGGAGGTGGAGGTTGCAGTGAGCCAAGATCGCACCACTGCACTCCAGCCTAGGAGACAGAATGAGACTTTGTCTCAAAAAACAAAACAAAACAAAACAAAACAAAACAAAAGCCTAAAAGCTATTACATTTTATTTATTTATTTATTTTTGAGATGGAGTTTCGCTCTTGCCCAGGCTGGAATGCAGTGGCACAATCTCGGCTCACCACAACCTCTGCCTCTTGGGTTCCAGTGATTATCCTGTCTCAGCCTCCTGAGTAGCTGGGATTACAGGTATGTGCCACCATGCCTGGCTAATTTTATATTTTTAGTAGAGATGGGGTTTCACCATGTTGGCCAGGCTGGTCTCAAACTCCCGACCTCAGGCGATCCTCCCACCTCGGCCTCCCAAAGTGGTGGGATTACAGGTGTGAGCCACCGTGTCCGGCTAGCCATTACATTTTAATGTGAAACCACCACAATAGCAACACTATTTGGAATATGTTACCGTCCTTATCCCATCTTGAGACACACTCAAGTGCTTTTAGTTGGAAATGCAGCTGCTAGCAACACTTCCTTTTTTCTGGTATTTAAAGTTGTGAGACTGAATTTAGACAGAGTATAGACAGAGAAAAGACATAATAAATCACTTCTCAAGTAAATGAAACTTCCTATATCAAATGACTTAATTATCTGCATTCAATTTGTCTGCCATTGTGTGGTCTGGCTCATGTGACCCTTCCATATTTACAAAGCATTTATTGAGTACATGTTATGTACTGGACATGGTTCTGGGTAAAATCTCAGACATTATCTTATTATTATCCATCACCTTTTAAGCATAAGGAAACAAAAGCTTAGTGAGTTTAAATACCTTGTCAGATTCTAAACGTAATTCAAAACTGGTGCTACACCATTACTTCCTCTACCAAAATATAAAAAGCAAGATATCTTTGTACAAAGAGGAATTAAGAAATAAAATTTTCTTTTCCTTGTTTTCATAATTTTTTTTTTTTTTTTGAGACAATGTTTTCGCTCTTGTTGCCCAGGATGGAGTGCAATGGCACAATCTTGGCCCACTGCAACCTCTGCCTCCCGGGTTCAAGCGATTCTCCTGCCTCAGCCTCCCGAATAGCTGGGATTACAGTGCGCCACCATGCCCGGCTAACTTTTTGTATTTAGTAGAGACAAGGTTTCACTATGTTGGTCAAGCTGGTCTTGAACTCCTGACCTCAGGTGATCCACCTGCCTCGGCATCCCAAAGTGCTGGGATTACAGGCGTGAACCACCGCGCCCAGCCTGTTTTCATAATTTTTTCATTCAATAAATTTTTTTTTTTTTGAGAGACAGAGTCTCGCTCTGTCACCCAGGCAGGAGTGCAGTGGCGCAATCTCGGCTCACCACTACCTCTGCCTCCCGGGTTCAAGCAATTCTCCTGACTCAGCTTCCCAAGTAGCTGGGACTACAGGCATGCGCCACCATGTCCAGCTAATTTTTGTATTTTTTAGTAGAGATGGGGTTTTACTATATATTGGCCAGGCTGGTCTCGAACTCCTGACCTCAAATGATCCATCTGCCCACCTCGGCCTCCCAAAGTGCTGGGATTACAGGTGTGAGTCACTGCGCTGGCCCATTCAATAATATTTAAGGAATATTTATTGAGCACTTATTATATGCCAGGTACTGTCCTAGACACTAGGAATGCAGTAGCAAATGAAATAGAATGTCACAGAGCTTACAGAGCTTACATAAGAATGGGAGGAGACAGAAAAAAAGCAAATGTCAACAGGTAGTATATAAATAAGATAGCAGTAAGTGTTAAAAGCTCCACATTGCTCAATCTAGTAATAAATTTCCTGTCCTCATTTTTCTTGTCCCAGAAATCAGCACCTAGTGCACCTGGTAGACAGCTGATCACTCCCTCCTTGATGCATTTTCTTCACTATATATAGCAGCAGCTACCCCAATGGCTATTCTTTCTCAGTCTGCCTTATTGGTTCCTCCTTATCTTCCTGACCTCTAAGCATGGAGTCCCAGGACTTGGCCCTCATATCTATTCTTTATCTATGCACATGTTTCATTCAGTCTTGCAGCTTTATTTTATTTTATTTTGTTTTGAGACAGAATCTTGCTCGGTCATCCAGGCTGAAGTACAGTGGCATGATCATAGTTCACTGTAACCTCAAACTCCTGGGCTCAAGTGATCCTCCTGCCTCAGCCTCCCAAAGCGCTGGCATTATGAGTGTGAGCCACTGCACTGGGTCTCATTCAGTCTCACAACTTTAAATACTATCATGCACTGATGAGTCCCAAATATATATCTCTATCCTAGTCCTCTCCTCTGAATGTCTGACTGTCAGACCTTGGCTATCTAATAGGTATCTAATAACTAATGAAAAAGAACCAGCCAGGCGTGGTGGCTAACACCTGTAATTCCAGCACTTTGGGAGGCCGAGGCAGGTGGATCACTTGAGGTCAGGAGTTCGAGACCTGCCTGGCCAACATGGTGAAACCCCGTCCCTACTCAAAATACAAAAAGTTAGCCGAGTGTGGTGGCATGTGCCTATAATCCCAGCTACTCGTGAGGCTGAGGCAGGAGAATCAATTGAACCCAGGAGGCGGAGGTTGCAGTGAGCCGAGATCATGCTACTGCACTCCAGCCTGGGCAACAGAGCGAGACTCTGTCAAAAAAAAAGAAAAAAGAAAAAGAAAGAGAGAGAGAGAGAGGGAGAAAAGAAAAGAAAAGAAAAGGAAAAAAAAGAAAAGAAAAAGGACCGAAACTTTATCCCAAACTTCCAGTTACTTAGGCCAAAAACTGTGGAATCATCCTTGACTCTTCACTTTCTTTCATCCCAAAATCCAATTTATCAGCAAATCCTGTTTATTCAGCCTTCAAAATATACCTCTTATCTGTCCACCACTCTTAATTTCCACTGCTACCACTCTGCCCTAGACACCATCTGTCATCCAGATCATTGCAATATTCTCCTCCCTGGATTCCTAGCTTCTGCCCTTGCCCCCTCCATTCAACAACCAAATTAATTCTTTTAAAATATGTTAGCACATGTCATTTAAAAAAAAAAACCTGCCCAATGGATTCTCATCTACGTTGAGTAAAACCATAAAGCTCCAATGGCTGTGAAGGGCTTGGATGGTTTGAACTTGTTACTTCTCTGACCTCATCTTCCACCCCACCTTCTTTCCCACTGCACTTTTAACACTCTGGGTTTTGTTTTGTTTTTGTTTTAGTTGAGGCAGGGTCTCACTCTGTTGCCCAGGGTGGAGTGCAGTGGTTCAATCGAGACTCAATGTAAGCTCCAACTCCTGAGCTCAAGCCATCCTCCCACCTCAGCCTCCCAAGTAGCTGGGACCACAGGTATATGCCAATGTCTCCAGCTAATTTTAAAATTTTCTGTAGAGACAGAATCTTGCCACATTGCCTGGGCTGGTCCTGAGTTCCTGGGCTCAAGTGATCCTCCTGCCTCAGCCTCACAAAGTGCTGGGATTACAGGTGTGAACCACCACGCCTGGCCACGTTTAACACTTTGGCCTCACTGTTCTGTAAGCATATACTCAACTCAGGGCCTTTGAATTTTTTGTTTCCTCTTGCTGGAACCCTGCTACCACTCATGGCTTACTCTCTCACATATTTTAGGTCTCTTCTGAAAGTCACCATATCTGTGAGATGTTCCCTGAGTCCCTTATAACACTTACTTCCCCTTGTCCAGCTTACAGAACTTGTCATAACTGATTCACAATATACACATTTACTTTTTCTCCTTTTCTTCTCACTAGAATGTCAGTTTCTTTTTTCTTTTTTCTTTTTTGAGATGGAGTCTCATTGTGTCGCTTAGGCTGTAGGGCAGTGGCATGATCTCGGCTCACTGCAACCTCCACCTCCCAGGTTCAAGTGATTCTCCTGCCTCAGCCTCCTGAGCAGCTGTGATTACAGGCCTGTGCCACCACGCTCAGCTAATTTTTGTATTTTTTTTTTTTTTTTTTTTAGTAAAGACGGGGTTTCACCATGTTGACCAGGCTGGTCTCGAACTCCCGACCTCAGGTGATTTGCCCACCTCAGCCTCGCAAAGTGCTGGGATGACAGGCGTGAGCCCCCACGCCCGGCCGAGAATGTCAGTTTCAAATGCAAATCCAGGCCCACAGGGAGTTGTATGTCTTGTTGACTGCTGTTTTCCTACACTTGGACCATACCTAGCACACTGAAGGTATTCAATATTGACTGACTGAATGATTCACTGCTAGGAGTTAGTTTCAGGTAATAGAAATCCCAGCTGAAACTATTTAAAGCAGCAGTCCCCAGCCTTTTTGGCACCAGGGACCCGTTTTGTGGAAGACGATTTTTCCATGGACCGTGAAGGATGGTTTCTGGATGAAACTGTACTGTACTGTTGGCAGTACAGTACATCAAGCATTAGTTAGAGTCTCATCAGGAGCCTGCAACTTAGATCTTTTGCATACTCAGTTCACAATAGGGTTTGTGCTCCAGTGAGAATCTAATGCCGCTGCTGATCTAACAGGAGGCGGAGCTCAGGTGGCAATGCTCGCTCCTGTTTGCTTGCCACTCACCTCCTGCTGTGCAGCCCTGTTCCTAACAGGCTGTGGACTGGTCCATGGCCTAGAGGTTGAGGACACCTGATTTTTTTTTTTTTTTTTTTTTGAGACAAAATCTCACTCTGTTGCCCAGGCTGGAGTGCAATGGCATAATCTCGGCTCTTGCAAGTCTGCCTCCCAGGTTCAAGCAATTCTCCTGTCTCAGCCTCCCGAGTAGCTGAGATTACAGGCATGCACTACCACACCTGGCTAATTTTGTATTTTGAGTAGAGATGGGGTTTCTCCCTGTTGGTCAGGCTGGCCTCAAATTCCCGACCTCAGATGATCCGCCCGCCTTGGCCTCCCAAAGTGCTGGGATTACAGGTGTGAGCCACCACACCCGGCCAAGGACATCTGATTTAAAGGAAGAAAAGGGAATTTATTGGCTTGCAGAACTATCAAAGAACAAACTTGCAACAAAAAAGTTTAAAGATCCAATTGGCTTTTGTTGGTAATTCATGAATTGGGCAGCGTTTCTTCTATGAAATACAAAGGCACCCTGAGGAGCTGAGCAGAGGAGCTGGGCTTTACAGGCAGAAGAGGCAGAAGAAAGCAGAAATAAGGAACAAAAAGCAGTTTGGTTGTTTCAAAGTCCCTTTTCTTATAGAATTAAAGCAGAAGGGACTTCCTTATCATGCCAGCTCAGGTTGATGGGGCCTCTTTGGATTGGTTGCTGTGAATCTTCCTTTTTTTTTTTTTTTGGAAAACTGATCCACTTCTAAGTTCAGTTTGACTACGTAACAGCTAGCATGAGTGACTCCATTCTGGTTTGGTCTGATCTGTTGGGGCCCAGCGCAGGAGCTCAGTCCAAACCAATGGCATCCCCATAAGTTTTACTTAACAGAACTAAAAGCCAAGGGATATACAGGCTTCAGGTATATCTGGAATCAGGGGCTCAAATGATGTTATCAGGACCACTGCTCTCCTGATGTCTCTGTTTTTCCTGCCTCTGTTCTGGCTTTATTCTGAGGCTTACTTTCATTTTATGGGAGGAAGATTGTGACCAGTAGTGGCAGGTTTATGACCTTATAGCTCCAGGCAGAAAAAGAAAAAGCTTTTCATTGCCATCAATATAAAGTTAAGTCTAAGCTGGGCTTGGTGGCTCACACCTGTAATCCCAACACTTTGGGAGACTAATGCAGGTGGATCACTCAAGCCCAGGAGTTTGAGACCAGCCTGGGCAACATGGCGAAACTCTGTCTCTACACAAATTAGCTGGGTAGAGGGGCATGCAACTGTAGTCCTAGCTACTCAGGAGGCTGAGGCGAGAGGATCAATTGAGCCTGGCAGGTCCAGGCTGCAGTGAGCCGTGGTCACACCACTGTACTCCAGCCTGGGTGACAGAGCCAAGACCTTGTCTCAAAAATAAAATAAGTTAAGGCCTGACATGAATTGGCCTGGATTGTAACATGTCTCCTTTCCCCAAAACCCATCACTGTGGCTGGGAATGCCATGATCTAATTATCCAGGTGCCAAGCACATACCCCCTCCTGGAGCTGAGGGTGGAGCCAACACCGCAGAATTCCATGGATGAAAACCATGATGCTGCCGTTGACTAAAGGCAACTTTAGTCAACTGATAGATGCTGAGTCAACCAATAATGATTGTCCGTTAGATCACCTATTGCTCACATTAGGCAGTCTCTAGTCTCTAAAGTAGCCACACAGCAAAATCGCAGTGGTAGCAAAATCATAGGAGAGCCCAGCCTAACTGCTGGAATGGGAATCCACAGGAAAATTGCAGCCTGGCTTTGCTTAAACGGGTCAGCCACAGTGCATTTTCAGTGTTGGCAGTACAGTCTAAGGATGTGACAAGATCCTCACAAGGTGACTCACAGCCACATGACATTTCTAAATGTGAGGAGAAAAGCGGAATATCCCGGTTGTGGCCAACAACTTATTGCCACTTTGAGGATAAAATAATTCCCAGCTTTGGTTTCCTCCTCAGGAAACTGCAACTGGTAAAACCTACCTTGTGAGTTATTGCAAAGATTAAAGAGAGGATCATGAGAAAATAGTGTTACAGTGCCTGGAAGAGAGCAGTCATCTGATAATAGTTTCCTTTCCCTGGACTTAAATACTCTGCTCTATTTTAATGTAATGTATGCGAGTCATGTGTTTATGACATGCTAAACAGGCAACAGTTATAGGGCACTGACGAACTGTTGGCCAATGGTCTAAGCACTTTACATTCAATAATCCATTTAATTTTTGGTCCCTCCCCACAAGTCTTTGGGGAAGAAAACATTATCCCCATTTTAGGAGATGAGGTGCTGAAAGGTTGAATAACTCACCCACGGTCTTACAGCTAGTTCGTGGCAGAAACTTATTTCAAATGCAGGCATTCTGACTGTAGGGCAGATGCTCGAAACCAGGACAGCATACAGCCTCTTCCTGAGAACATCTATTTCTTCCACTCTGAGCTGTTGTCTTATGTCTCCTGTCAAAGGATGCCACACAAACCAGCACTTAATAAATGCGTGGAAATATGATGGGGTGACAGACATGGAGCCTTTTCTGTCTCCTGCCAAGAAAGAATTCGAAGTTCAGCTTTTGGCCATTGTCTCCTTGGGTAGTCACTAGCCAATGACAGCACAGCAAGAATGCTAGGGCCTAGCCATTTCTGTTCAACACAGGACTCCTCCAATGGGCAATCTTTGCCATAGAGCTCCCTGTTGGGTTGGCAGAGACTTTATAATATCTGCTCACTATTCTAACACTCTCCTTGCACAATCCGGCCTCCTCTCTTTTATCCTTCACAGACATTACTCCCTCTCCCAAGGAATCACCTGCATTCCTAACTCCTTCTCAGCATCTGCTTTAAGGAGTGGTGATAAGAGAGGGTTTGGGGACTGGACCACTCACCACTTAGCCTGCAAGGACCCCATCCAGGGTGGTATGTGGGACGTGAAGAGTTTGTGGCACAAGGTGGCAGCCCAGTTGGTAAAACTTTCACTGGAGGGGACTCGGGAGAATGTTTCAATGAAGGGAAATGCCTTGGCTGATGCAACAATTTGGACTTTTGTACAGGGTTGAGGGTGAGGGGAGCATGGGAACAATGCATACAAGGACAGTGAGTTGGTTGGTTATTATGAAGTTGCACTGATGCTCAATGAAGGTGGGATGTGAGGATAATGAAAAGCCAAGATCATTAACAAACAATTGAAAACTACATATGAAGGCCAGAGGGTCTCTTTGGAAGTTTACAAAGAGGCCCTTAGTCCTGCAGTGGAAGGATAGAAAAAGCTAAAGGCCAAACTCCAGAATTAGCAATTAAGAGTTGCAGAGCTTCAAACCTGATTGATGCTCAGCTGAGTCAGTCTGTTATGCAATGATCAGGGCCCTGGTATGTAAAACCTGGAACCTGACACATGGGATGGAGCCGCCTGGCTGCATACCTCTAACCGGTTTGATTCCCTGGATTCCTCTGAATCTTCAGAGGCTGCAGAGTTGCTCCTCCTGCTTCCCTCTCCCAGTAAGAGCTTGCATTCCCCAGTGTGAAAAGATACTGTAGAAGCCTCAACCTCACAGGACAACAGGAGTCCCCTTCAACATATGCCTCATTTTCTCTCCCAGCTGTAGGTGAACAACTATGTTAAATTGCAGCCTAATGTAGGTGGGATTGGTAGCAAGGAAGGGATTATACTCAAGTGGAGCTTCAAGCATAAACTGGAACATACCTGAAGGAGTCAGAGTACTTGTGGGACTGGATTTTGAGGGTGCCTGATGAAGGGGCCAGGACATAACATTGGCTGAAGGAAAGTTTGTTAAAATCTCATACGCCTACTCTCCCAGGATATGGGATTTAACATCCTGGCAAGGGCCCTGGGGGGATGGTGCAGACCTACTGCTAGGGTGGCTCTTAGAAGCATGGAGAAAGCAATGGTCCATGCTGAGCAAAGTTATCATATCAATATTGCCCTGGCAGATGGTAGAGGAAGGAATAAAGATGCAGAGGGAAGTGGACATGTTGGAATAGATATCTTCTGTGAGGCCAGAAGACCCCCAGAGGATTATGCGACACATAGGCCCAGAGCTTATGCTTCACTTGCCAAGGACATGAGGAATACTCCAGGGAGGGGATGCCAGCATCAGGGAGAAGTTCAGTGCTGGCGAGGGCTGTGGGTAGGAGATGCTGTCACAGAGCTTGGCTCATGGATAGCAATGAGCATGGTGGGCTCCTGAAGCAAGAGGCCAGGGGCGGCACTTAACCACTAGAAGCCAGAGCGTTGTAATTATAGTAATGACCAGCAAAACAGAATGGCAGCCAAGGGAGCTTGATCCAAAGAAAGTTGTGGAGATAGTTCACAGAATATGGTGTCCCAAAGGACAAAGTCAATGACCAGCCAATGGAGATGTTGCTTAATATGCACCATCAAAAGAAAGCAAGAATGAGGCTGGGCACGGTGGTTCACGCCTGTAATCCCAGCACTTTGGGAGGCCAAGGCGGGCGGATCGCCTGAGGTCAGGAGTTCGAGACCAGCCTGGCCAACATGGTGAAACCCTGTCTCTACTAAAAATACAAAAATTAGCCAGGCGTGGTAGCGGGCACCTGTAATCACAGCTACTCGGGAGGCTGAGGCAGGAGAATTGCTTGAGCCCGGGAGGAGGAGGTTGCAGTGAGCCAAGATCGTGCCACTGTACTCCAGCCTGGGCGACAGAGTGAGACTCTGTCTCAAAAATAATAATAATAATAATAATTAAAAATAAAAAAATTAAAAGAAAGCAAGAATGGAGGAGCAGGAGGCTGCAAGAGGTTGCCCTAATGAAACGTCATGGTTGGGGAAACAGCAAGAGTTCCATTTGAACTATAAAATATGGCTCCTGCCCCAGCATTTTGAATTCTTCGTGTCCATGAACCAGCAGGTAAGAAGAGTTGCCATCTTGGCAAGGGTAATTGCCCCTGATTAGCAGGAGGAGTTTGGGCTGCTGTTACAAGTGGGGGCAATGAAGAATATGTGGAGAACTCAGGCAGTCCAGTTGGGTGCTTTATGATACTCCCTGGCCCAACTGAGAACATACATGGATGAGTACAGCAACCCCAGCTTGAGATAAGTATGGTTACCAGTGGCTTCATTCAGAAATGAAAGTTGTGTCACACCACCAGCAAGTTACTGAGACCACTAGAGATGATAACTGAGGGAGAGTCAATTTTGAATGGATAGTGGAGAAGGGAGAGGATAAGTATCAGTTGCAATCCCAAGACCAACTGCAGTGACAAGGGCTATAGTTCATCCCACTGATCTGCCTCTTTTAAGTGTCTCTGCAAGAGAGGCACACTGGAACCCTGGAGTAGCTGTTCCCTAAATGGGAGGGGAGCTGCATGGTGCATGGGGTGAACTGTGGCAGTTGTGAAGACACACCACTTGGCTCTCCATTCGAGAAAGAACTTCCATTCAGCTGCAAGGAGAGTGGTTAGTTGACAGCCTCCAGCTGCAGCAGCTTCACACCACCTCAGTTTTCAAGCTAAGGCCACACTCTTCCTGAACGGTCTCCAGATAATAACTGAACATAGTGGAAGTACTAGGGGCTGGCTATTTCTGGCCAATGTGGATATCTTCCAATCGGCAATCTTTGCTCTGGAGTTTCCCATTGAGTTGGCCAAAACTGTCAGGTGTGCATTGCATTCTGAGGTGCTCCTGTTCAATCCTGTTTCTTCACCACTATTTTTTTTTTTTTTAAACAGAGTTTTATTTTTGTTGCCCAGGCTGGAGTGCAATGGCATGATCTCAGCTCATCGCAACCTCTGCCTCCCGGGTTCAAGCGATTCTCCTTCCTCAGCCTTCTGAGTAGCTGGGATTACAGGCATGTGCCACCATACCTGGCTAATTTTGTATTTTTAGTACAGATGGGGTTTCTCCATATTGGTCAGCCTGGTCTCGAACTCCCAACCTCAAGTGATCTGCCCACCTCAGCCTCCCAAAGTGTTGGGATTACAGGCATGAGCCACCGCGCCCAGCCTCTTCCACACTTTTTTTTTTTTTTCACAAGTGTCAGATTAATATAATGGCCTAAAGGCTTTATCTGTCCAAGCTGCTGATTCTCCCTTTTTTCTTTAACAGGCATTTCACCTGAATCAACTGTTTGTGTTCTTAACTCCATCTCCTCATCTGCTTCCTGGAAGACCCAACTGACATAGATGGTTACAAGAAATGATTTCCTCCTTATAAAACTCTAGGTAAATAAACTCTCTGAGCTTCAGCTTTCTCCCTGTAGAAGGAGCATATTAACTCTCTCACTGGGTATTTGGGAGGCTTAAATATATACATTTTAGATTTTTATGAGAATTAAATAAGGCAATGCATGTAAGATGTTTTGCAAACAACCTTGCACATAGTAAATGCAATAACTTATTCAAATGGAAGAGATAAAGCCAACCATGTGTGGAAACGTATTAGCTTTCTTCACTCCTGATGGATATGGCCATTTGCCTGGCACTGGAGAAGTGTTATTTTTTTTCCCCATTGCTATTAACATCTTTACCTTCAGTGAGAAGTATTGGTTATGCCAAACCAAGAAGATGAGAATAGACCTTAAGTACAAGTGATTGTAGTGGTTTTTAGAAATACATATATATAATATTTAGAACATATATATACATATATATTTTTTTTGAGATAGGGTCTTGCTCTGTCTCCCAGGCTGGATGGAGTGCAGAGGCACGACCACAGCTCACCGCAGCCACAAGCTACCAGGCTCAAGTGATCCTCTGAGGTTAGCCTCCCAAGTAGCTGGGACTACAAGTGCATGCTACCACACCCAACTAGTTTTTAAATTTTTTGTAAAGACAGGGTCTTGCCATGTTGCCAGGGCTGGTCTTGAACTCCTGGGCTCAAGTGATCCTCCTACTACGGCCTCCCAAAGTGCTGGGATTACAGGCATGAGCCACTGTGCTCGATTATATATTTTTAAGTGATATAATAATGACAATGAAAATTTGAGATGAAAATTGAATTGTGATTATATAACCAAATGATTTAAATCTACAATGTTTAAACAGGAAGAACACTATACATTTTCCATATCTGAAAACTCTATTACAAGATTGGGTAATTTATTCTTCTGCAATGAATTTTGATGTAGTATTCACGAGTCCATAACCAAGATATATTTTAGTTTTCAATAATATGTGGTTTCCTTTTTAAATCAAAACTTTTCATTTGATTTCATTCTCATGTATAAAAATGTACACATCACTTTTGGCTAAGTTTTTGGCAAAGCTAGAAAGTGGAATACCATTAGGAACTTTATCCAAATGCTTAGAAGAGCATAGCTCAGCAAAAAAAAATTTACCCATCTAGAGGCTATAAACTGCCTATGGTAAGCTTTGTGCTGAGTTTAAGTCACATCTGAAGTAAATTTATGGTACAGGTATTTATTAAAGTATTTATTACTGCCTCTAGCAAGTCCTTCAGCTAGTGGAATTTTAAGACATGTAACCTGGAGTACTGACTTAATTATATTCTGTATTTGATTTTAATGGAGAAACTAATCATTACAGTGCATGAAACCATAAGATAGAAATAACCATCCTTTAGGAGACAGGCTAAGCTTTTTATGTTTAATTTGGTAATTTTCTGACAGCCACACCATTTTCTGCACCTGTTGTTTTAAAAATTAATTTGGAAGAAATTTCCTTATTGTAGGTGGACAATTTGAAAATGAAAAATTCTTACCCTGTGAATTTCTCATCCAGAGCACTTTCTTTAACTTTTCCACCAAGGACGTCCCCCTCCCTTCAACTCAAATTAATGAATGAACAAGTTTGAATGCACACGCTCTTCCTGGGGAAAAAAAAAATTTTTTTTTGTTATCTCTGTTGGTTTTGCCAGTTAGAATGAGAAGACTGCTTTTTCTGTTTCTTAGAATATTATCCTAAATTTCTGTTTCAACCACTGTCCTAATAACCTCCCTGAATGATCAGTTGGATATAAAATCATAAAGACACGCCGGGTTTGGAATAATCACATTTCCCCCACCCTTCTACTTTATTTTATTTTTTTTTTTTTTATTGATCATTCTTGGGTGTTTCTCACAGAGGGGGATTTGGCAGGGTCATAGGACAATAGTGGAGGGAAGGTCAGCAGATAAACAAGTGAACAAAGGTCTCTGGTTTTCCTAGGCAGAGGACCCTGCGGCCTTCCGCAGCGTTTGTGTCCCTGGGTACTTGAGATTAGGGAGTGGTGATGACTCTTAATGAGCATGCTGCCTTCAAGCATCTGTTTAACAAAGCACATCTTGCACCGCCCTTAATCCATTTAACTCTGAGTGGACACAGCACATGTTTCAGAGAGCACAGGGTTGGGGGTAATGTCATAGATCAACAGGATCCCAAGGCAGAAGAATTTTTCTTAGTACAGAACAAAATGAAAAGTCTCCCATGTCTACTTCTTTCTACACAGACACGGCAACCATCCGATTTCTCAATCTTTTCCCCACCTTTCCCCCCTTTCTATTCCACAAAGCCGCCATTGTCATCCTGGCCCGTTCTCAATGAGCTGTTGGGCACACCTCCCAGACGGGGTGGTGGCCGGGCAGAGGGGCTCCTCACTTCCCAGTAGGGGCGGCCAGGCAGAGGCAACCCTCACCTCCCGGATGGGGCGGCTGGCCGGGCGGGGGGCTGACCCCCCCACCTCCCTCCCGGACAGGGCGGCTGGCCTGGCGGGGGCTGACCCCCCCCCATCTCCCTCCCGGACGGGGTGGCTGCCGGGCGGAGAGGCTCCTCACTTCTCATACGGGGCGGCTGCCGGGCGGAGGGTCTTCTCACTTCTCAGACGGGGCGGCCGGGCAGAGACGCTCCTCACCTCCCAGACGGGGTGGCGGCCGGGCAGAGACGCTCCTCACCTCCCAGACGGGGTCGCAGCTGGGCAGTGGTGCTCCTCACATCCCAGACGGGGCGGCGGGGCAGAGGCGCTCCCCACATCTCAGACGATGGGCGGCCGGGCAGAGACGATCCTCACTTCCTAGATGGGATGGCGGCCAGGCAGAGACGCTCCTCACTTTCCAGACTGGGCAGCCAGGCAGAGGGGCTCCTCACATCCCAGACAGGGCGGCGGGGCAGAGGCGCTCCCCACATCCCAGACGATGGGCGGCCGGGCAGAGACGCTCCTCACTTCCTAGATGTGATGGCGGCCGGGAAGAGGCGCTCCTCACTTCCCAGATGGGATGGCGGCCGGGCAGAGACGCTCCTCACTTTTCAGACTGGGCAGCCAGGCAGAGGGGCTCCTCACATCCCAGACGATGGGCGGCCAGGCAGAGAGGCTCCTCACTTCCCAGACGGGGTGGCGGCCGGGCAGAGGCTGCAATCTCGGCACTTCGGGAGGCCAAGGCAGGCGGATGGGAGGTGGAGGTTGTAGCGAGCCGAGATCACGCCACTGCACTCCAGCCTGGGCGCCATTGAGCACTGAGTGAACCAGACTCGGTCTGCAATCCCGGCACCTCGGGAGGCCGAGGCTGGCGGATCACTCGCGGTTAGGAGCTGGAGACCAGCCCGGCCAACACAGCGAAACCCCGTCTCCACCAAATAAATACGAAAACCAGTCAGGCGTGGCGGCGCGTGCCTGCAATTGCAGGCACTCCGCAGGCTGAGGCAGGAGAATCAGGCAGGGAGGTTGCAGTGAGCCGAGATGGCAGCAGTATCGTCCAGCCTCGGCTCGGCATGAGAGGGAGACCATGGGGAGAGGGAGACCATGGGGAGAGGGAGAGGGAGCACCCTTCTACTTTAAAAAGACGTTAAACCTTAACATCATATAATCCATATATTCCATACCTAGTCATTAGTTGCTATTTCACAAAAGTAAAGTCACCAACATGTCACTTATGTAATATTTATTTCTGTTCCACTGCCCCTGCCTGCAACTGTTTAGAAGCTCTTCCTATCCCTGTCCTTGCTTCCAACATTGCACACATTTTCTTCTCGTGCTTAAAAATAAATGTCAAGTTCTTGATCTTTTGTTAAAGATTCATTGCCAAAGATGGTTTCACAGCAGGAGCCTTCCTAGGGAGAGAGTTGGCTCACATTCCTGCTAAGAATGTAACCTGGGAATGATGGAAAAATAATTATAATCAATGTCAGAGAGCATATGGGTTTCTACCGAGAAGGCTGCCAAGTAGGACCTGCACTAATCCTTTCCATCCATTATCAGCCAGTTGACTCTAGCAGAAAAATTCCTCATATTTGGATAAATGAAAGTCCAAATCTCACACATATTTCTCCCACATCTGAGAGGTTTCTGAGTGAAACCAGTGAATGCCTTGCATTTCTGAAGCTTAGTTTCCATAAAACTACATTATTGTTTGTTTTCTTGTCTGTAAATGTGGGATTGCCTTATTTCTACCACATCCTTTAATGTAGGTGACCCACTAAGGTCAGTACACACATAGTGAAAGAAATGAGGCCATTCTAATATGTACATTGAAAAGAACCACATTTTAAAAGCTTTGTGCTGATGTGTGTTTCGGCTGGATATACCCCAACAGTATGTGTCGTTTTCTAAAAGAGGAATTATGCTGAGTTAATTAAGTGGAAGCAGAAACACCTGGTGCATATCATTATGGCATAAGGCCCTGGGTGATTTAATTAATATCTTTATTGTTACCAAGTGGCTTTCCAAGTATTTTTCCACTGAACTTATATTTTACTTTGCCCTCCACCCTGCTTCTCTTCAGATATATGCCAGGTGGTATATAGTTCCTTTTTTTTTTTTTGAGACAGTCTAGCTCTGTTGGCCGGGCTGGAGTGCAGTGGTGTGATCTCAGCTCACTGCAACTCCTGCCTCTCGGGTTCAAGCGATTCTCGTGCCTCAGCCTCCCAAGTAGCTGGGATTACAGGCACATGCCACCAAGCCAAGCTAATTTTTGTATTTTTAGTACAGATGGGGTTTCACCATGTTGTCCAGGCTGGTCTCGAACTCCTGGCCTCAAGTGATCCACCCATCTTGGCCTCCCAAAGTACTGGGACTACGGGCGTGAGCCACCGTGGCTGGCCGGTATACAGTTCCTTTTAGGAGAGAATTTTGTCTCTGTAGAATCTCTGAATACAGGCAAACCAGACATGAATTTGAATTCTCCTTATAAGCTTCTGTGCTTAAAGGATTAGAGCAACTTGCCTCTTTTCTACATAGCAAAAAGATAAATTTCAGCCCGCCCTAAACCAACATTCTCTTATTTTCTAAGCATCAATAAATCAATAAACACAATAAATATGGCTTCTTGTTAAAAAAAAAACACAGAGTAGACAAAGCAGGGGCATTCTGATTTAGAATAGATGATTCTTCCAATATTTAGAACACCTCAAGCAAGGAGAAAAATGAACTGGAAATGAGGTTGCTGTTTGCTAGTATGGAGTTCCATTCGTAGATCTAGCACTCAACACAGATACAATAAATTGGGCAGCGGCCTCTCAGTCCTCTCTGCTCCAGTGGAAATATTCGGTATGGCTGTCCAGCTCTCAAGTCATATTCTAAAACAAAAACTTTAAAAGACGAATCATATATTGATATTGTGATGCCACTCAGCCATATAACTTGGCCCCAGATCCCACTGCTAGAGTTATAAAGATGAAATGATTTTTGGCTGGGAACAGTGGTCACACCTGTAATCCCAGCACTTTGGGAGGCTGAGGCAGGTGGATCACTTGAGTCCAGGAGTTTGAGACCAACCTGGGTAACATGGTGAAACCCTATATCTATTAAAAAAAAAAAAAAAAAGAGAGAGAGACTGGGCATGGTGGCTCAAATCTGTAATCCCAGCACTTTGGGAGGCTGAGGCAGGTGGATCACTTGAGCCCAGAAGTTTGAGACCAGCCTGGCCAACATGGTGAAACACCATCTCTACTAAAAATATAAAATTAGCTGGGTGTGGTGCTGTGTGCTTGTAGTCCCAGCTACTCGGGAGGCTGAGGCAGGAGAATGGCATGAACCTGGGAGGCGGAGCTTGCAGTGAGCAGAGATCGTGCCACTGCACTCCAGCCTGGGTGACAGAGTGAGACTCTGTCTCAAAAAAAATAATAATAATAAAGAAAGAAAATGAGGGATCTACCCCAATGCTGCATTATCAGCTTTCAGGAAGACTTGTATTTTACTTCTTATTCACCCGCCCTCCCACCTTACCAGCATATATCTATAAAACCTATGAAAACTTCAGGGTGACCAATATCCCTAAAATACACCTGGGTGCAATTCTGTATTTGTAGAGTAAAATGAGTCAGATATGGACATCCTCACACAGCAACTATTCAGAGGAGGATGAAAACCAGAACTCAAAGACTTAAAGCATTTTTAACTGAGAAAAAAAATTCTAGCTATATCTCTGCAACTGGTTTGACAGAACCTAGAAATCAAATTTGCCAAATACTGGTCCCATGTGTTTTGTGAGGATACTACGTATATCATCAAAAGGCTCCATAGTTCGTTTGGTGTGGTGGCCAAATAAGATTATAGAAGTTTTCTTTTTCTTGAGTAGGCAGTACTGTGCTTATTAATAATAAAAACACTTCACCCACTTGTTCAGTATAAAGGCAGGCTCTAACGCCCTAGTGAATTGTGTCGTCAAGTTTATTAGTAAGTTGATTATTTAGAAATCAAAATTCCATAAACCCAGTGGTATAAATGGTAGTTAAATTCCAAGCATAAATCCCAAATAGGATTGACTTCTAAGTCATGGGAGCAAAACCAAGGCTGAGTTCCAGCTGCTGGGAGTGAACACCTGTGCCGGTTCTTCTCCATTTATCATCTGCTCAGTGCTCTGGAAGGCCAGCTTCCTACAGACTGATTTGTTCACCTGGGCTCCCTTGCTGGCTGGCTTTCAGTTGGCTTCAGCCAAGAAGGGGCACAGACTAGAAACAGGAGATGGGAGAAGGTGGGGTATTTCTTCATCTGTTCCTCTCCTGCTTAGCTGCCAGCAACTGGCAATGGCTATGTCCCTTCAAGACTATATTTCTAGCTGGGAAGCCTCTTCCACAGCCCCAGCCCTTACTGGGCTCTGAGAATATGGTTCCTTCCCTTTGGCCCCCAGTCTTGGGGGTATAACAGCTCCTTGCTCTTGCTCCTCGCTGGTATCTGAACATCCTGTGTTGGTTTTCTTAACCCTGTCTATGCCTCAGAGAATAATCTCTTCATTACAGTTTCTTCATTTGTACCATCTAAGGAGAATTTCATTCATCAAGATCCTGACCAGCTGGGCGCAGTGGCTCACGCCTATAATTCCAGCACTTTGGGAAGCTGAGATGGGTGGATCACCTGAGATCAGGAGTTTGAGACCAGCCTGGCCAACATGGTGAAACCCCGACTCTATTAAAAATACAGAAATTAGCTGAGTGTGGTGGTTTAGGCCTGTAATCCCAGCTACTCGGGAAGCTGTGGCAGGAGAATCACTTGAACCTGGGAGGCGGAGGTTGCAGTGAGACGAGGTGGCACCACTGCACTCCAGCCTGGGTGACAGAGTGAGACTCCATCTAAAAAAAGAAACAAAACAAAACAAAACAAAACAAAACAAAAAAAGACCCTGACCAAGAGAGTGAAGGGGGAAGAAGAGGAAAAAAATATTTCATGTTTCTTTCCTGAGTGTAGGAATCCCTGGTGGAATTTCAGACATGATAATTCATGGATCTAACAGGTATTAATCATGTTCCTCTTATAAGCCATTCATAATGAATAAAGTAGGTCTAGTTCCTGCCCTCAACAATAAACACACACATGAATAACCAAAATAGGTACATGTTTTGGAAAATCTTACGTAGGAAATAAACAGGGTGCACTGATAGAGTCACTCATGGGGGAGAGCAGTTTTGGATAGGGTGGTCAGGGAAGGCCTCTCTGAGGAGGTGACAGTTAACTGAGACCTCAAGGTTGAAAAGGAAACAGCCACCGTGCAAAGATCAGGCAAAGGGCAGGGAACATGTGTTCCAGGCAGAAGGAGCTGAAAGTGTAAAGGCTTGGAGGTGGGAAAAGAGCTTTGTGGGAAAACCAGGATGTATGGCAACTGTTTGACTTTGGAGGAAATTAAAGACATATTTGCAAGCCACATGGAGAGTGGAAGGAAGACAAATGCGACTGGAGGAAGGGCCAGGTGGAGAGTGGGAGAGACGAGGCTGGACAGGAGCTCAGAGAATGTAGGGCAGGCCCTGTAGGCCAGGGTGAAGATGACGGTTTTTATTCCAAGTGTAGTGGGAAGCCAAGAAGAGTTTTAAAGAGCCGAGTCATGCAATCTGGTTTATCTTTCTAAAAGATCGCACTTGCTGCTCTATGAAGAAGGACTTGGGGAGAAACAAGTAGAATCAGGGAGAACAGTCCGAGGGCGATTAAAATAATCCAGACGGAAGATGACTACGTTTTAGTCTGAAGTGATAGGAGTGGTGATGGAGAAAAGCAGACGTCTGCGAGTTTTATTTTGGAGATAGAGCCACAGGACTTGGTAAGGATTGGGCATGCGGGGAGGCAAGGGGAAGGGAAGAGTCAAGGAAGCCTCCCAGGTTGCTGGCTTGGGCCTCGGTCTGCAGGGTGAAGCTGTTTATGGAGAGGTGGAAGACTAGGGGAAGAATAAGGATGGAAAGATTTTTAAGATGAAGATGTCCACGAGACATCCAGGGGAAATATCAAGCCGGTAGATCGCTGCCTGAACCTGGAGCCCAGATGACAAGTTTGAGCTGGAGGATCTTTTTTCTAATCTCTTAGTGGTCAAGTAGGCATCTCGGGTCAACCCAGCTTATGCCAAAAGAGACCTCCACCAGGCCTGTATGGACCTGTTAAAACTCTATATGGGGCTTAGATGTGAAGCCCCACTTAGTAAAAAGCATCCCTATACCCTGCTTTGTCATAAGTGCACATATTTTCTTTGAAGAAAAGGATTGCTAGTCAAAAACAAGATTTGAGAATTCCTAGGTCCCTGACTTAATACCCTCATAATCTTGCCCTTAGAGTTCCAATTTTAACATGACTTAACGGTATATTTAAAGAGAAAGCCCCAGAGTCCAGTTGGAGTGACAGACAATATTGTCCTCATGGGGAGACATGGGCCCATAGTAAGAGATAAAGTTCCAAAGCTTTTCCTTCTGGTTGTCATGGCAACAGCAGCAAGCGCTCTAGAGGTGGGAAGGAGGACAAGGAGGAGAGAGGAGCAACCAGAAGCTATGGTGGCTGTTAGTCTGCAGAAAATAATTCAAGACAGATATTTGCAAGCTGCATGGAGCACACGCCCTGTACATCCAGGTTAGTTGTAAGTATACAGTTTGTAAGTGGACAATTTGTTCTTTTTAAGAACCAGAGATACACATAAAAGCTTTGTCAGACTAGGGGGCCAGGAGTACATCATGCATCTGTTTTTTTTTTTTTTTTTTTTTTTTTTTTTTGAGACGGAGTCTCGCTCTGTCGCCCAGGCCGGACTGCAGACTGCAGTGGCGCAATCTCGGCTCACTGCAAGCTCCGCTTCCCGGGTTCACGCCATTCTCCTGCCTCAGCCTCCCCAGTAGCTGGGACTACAGGCGCCCACCACCGCGCCCGGCTAATTTTTTGTATTTTTAGTAGAGACGGGGTTTCACCTTGTTAGCCAGGATGGTCTCGATCTCCTGACCTCATGATCCACCCGCCTCGGCCTCCCAAAGTGCTGGGATTACAGGCGTGAGCCACCGCGCCCGGCCCATGCATCTGTTTTATCCCTTGCACTGAGTGGACTGCCTGGGGCTCCATGTACTTGAATAAATGAGCAAATGAGGTCTCAAAAGAAGAGTCACTACCCTGCTTATTTCATATGGGTTCAAAAGTTGCCAGGTGGATAGAGCCTTTGGATAAAGATTTTAGTTTACATCAGAACCATATGCATATTGTGGTCAGTGATTACAGAGTGACAAGAAGTGAAAAGAAGGCTAGCCCCCAAGCCAAAAGCCCAAGTCGGTGGGAAGTGGGACGTAGGTCTCGTTCCCCAAGATAGAAGCTGAAAATTATTCACTAACCATGGATAGGATGTTATATAATTGTACACTTCCCATCAGGATCCAGTTTATGATAGTTTTAGACTACATTCTTTTTTTTTCTCTCTTTTTTTTTTTTTTTGAGACAGAATCTCGCTCTATTGCTCAGGCTGGAGTGCAGTGGGGTGATCTTGGCTCACTGCAACCTCTGCCTCCCGGGTTCAAGAGATTCTCCTACCTCAGCCTCCCGAGTAGCTGGGACTACAGGCGTGTGCCACCATGACCAGCTTTTTTTATTATTATTATTTTTAAATAGAGATGGGGTTTCACCATATTGGCCAGGCTGGTCTCAAACTCCTGGCCTCATGTGATCCTCCTGCCTTGGCCTCCCAAAGTGCTGGGATTACAGGCGTGAGCCACCACACCCGGCCTGGACTAGATTCTTGAGGTGATTAAATATCATCTGTAACTGGGAATGTAACAAAGGCTGTGGAAGTAAGGAAAGGTGATGGTGTGATAAAGAATACAGACAAAAGGGCATGGATTCCTGCCTACCCTAAAAACAAGGAGACTTGAGGAGTTAAACTTTGTTCAAGAGAGTTTAGTATATCTGATGCACACAAATATCCAGATATTTGAAAAGGAAAATCCCCAGTGCTGTGGACCCTTGGAGAGCCTATTAAAATATCCCTCAAGACCTTTCATCTGTCTTTGCTCTAATTCTGTACTCACCAAGCAATCAATATTTTCATCACTAATTCTGTTTCTTTATATGCTAAAAAGGATACCCTGAATAAAAAACACGCATATCTGATCATAGGAAAAGTACATTCCCCTCTCCAAATTGCACTGATAATAAAATTCAGACACCTTATCAAGGACTTCCAGCCCTCCTGATTGGCCTCTGATGACCTCTGTGATCTCAGCTGCTGTCCCTCTCCCCTGTGACACTAAGCTCTAGTCACCTGGACCTTCTTTCCATTCCTGCAATACCACAGACTTCCTGCTCAGTCTGCCCCTTCCAGTTTCACCTGCCAGCCCTGCTCTTCCCCAGATATTCCCATGCTTGGTTACCTCTTACCTGCCCATCAGATCTTAGTTCAAATGTCACCTCCTCAGAGAGATTGCTGTGCCCGTTGTTGCAACCTTTCCCCACTTTACCTCCCCTAATGGTCACTTTCTATCCCTTCGTCTGTTTTCTCTTTCACTAAATAATATCTTATTTGTATACTTGCTTATTATCTGATTCTCTCCATTGGAATACAAGTCCAATGCCACTGTAGCCTCAGCACTTAGCACAGACTCAAGACTCAACAAGTATTTGTGTAATGAATGGAATGTGGGAAAGAATAAAATACGAGCTGCTATAGATGAGAGAGAGGAGATACAAATAGGGAGCACAGACGAGGTAAACAGAACACACACACTGTGATTTTTACAACACACCACTCATTGCAAATACAGCTCATGCATATAGCTTGTCTGTCTGTGTATGTCCCTTTACCCCTACTCTACTTTATTATTATTATTCTTTTAATAGAGACAAGGTCTCACTCTGCCAACCAGGCTTGAGTGCAATGACATGATCATAGCTCACTGCAGCCTCAAACCCCTGGGCTCAAAGGATCCTCCTGCCTTGGCCTCCCAAGTAGCTGGGACTTCCAACGTGCACCACCATGCCTGACTAGTTTTTAAATTTTTTGTTGAGATGGGGTCTCACTATGTTGCCCAGGCTGGTCTCAAATGCCTGGCCTCAAGTGATCCTCCCATCTCAGCCTCCCAAAATGTTGGGATTACCGTGAGCCACTGTACCTGGCTCTACTTCACTTTAGACTGTGAACAACTTGAGGACAAGGACCATCTTGTTCATGTTGGCATCCCCATGACCAAATAAATGTCTGTGGGACACTTTAATGCCCTTCTGATGGAAATGGGAAGTTCAGAGAAAATTTTGAGATTTTCTATTGGGTGAGCGTGGCTTAATTGGCTGGGTGAGAGCCTGCCAGAACAAGCAGTTTCTACAAGATAAAAGAAAAAAGATGTGTGGGTAGTGACAGCACCAAAAGATAGCCTACGGTGGGTCTTTTAGCCCTTCCTCCTCTGTAATCTCCATCAGCATCCTCCAGATCTAAAAAGATTCCAGGGAATTGCCTCAAGCTTCCCCCATTTTGCTGCCCCGATTGCCCCCAGATTGCTGCCCTGAGCTTTTCCGGCTAAAAATACCATAGCCTCACCTACCACCAGGGATACGGTTAAAAACATAAAAATAAAAATAAAGAAGGAAATGCCAGAGCCATCCCTGTACATAAAAGTTAGACAGGGCTGGGCGCGGTGGCTCACGCCTGTAATCCCAGCACTTTGGGAGGCCGAGGTGGGAGGATGATGAGATCAGAAGTTCAAGACTAGCCTGGCCAATGTGGTGAAACCCTATCTCTACTAAAAAAAAAAAAAAAAAAAAAAATAGCCAGGTGTGGTGGCATGCACCTGTAATCCCAGCTACTCAGGAGGCTGAGGCAGGAGAATCGCTTGAACCCGGGAGGCGAGGTTTCAATGAGCTGAGATCACACCATTGCACTCCAGCCTGGGTGACAGAGTGAGACTCTGTCTCAAAAAAAAAAAAAAAAAAAAAGTTAGACAGAAACAGCTCTCACTTGACAAAAATCCGGAAAGGGACTTAAGAAGACAGGCCAGCTGAAAACAAGGGTGCACAAAAGAGCACCAGTGAGAACCAGCATTCAACAAGGAGTGACTGGAAAGAACTGTTTCATGTTTCAAACATTGCCAGCTGAGTAACATGAGAGCGAACTCGTTATTTAGCTCAGCTATATATAGTTTGCATCCTGGAATCCACTCATACTATATATAGTAGAGTTTTATGCATGCACTTGAACTGATTGTGTGTGCTGGACTGGAGTGTTCTTGTGGTGCCAGAAATGAAGAGAAAATGGAAATCTTCCATGGGCCCATGGGTATGTTCATTACCACTGTTGCCATTTTCACAAATGTATGACAGTGGCAGAAAGCTAATTGAGACCAGCCATGGAATAACAGGGCAGAAACGGGTAAGGAATACTTTGGTTTAAGGATTTCTCTTGGAAAGGTGCCTCCTTTCCATCTATTCCTTGTGGAGTATTTAAAGACTGCCTATGGTCGTCGATCAGAAACAATATATATTAAAAGAAAGTTTCAAGGTCCAAATAATACCGAGGTGTTATACCAAAAAAAAAAAAAAACACACAAAAATAATTTATTGTCTGGTCTAACTCAACAAAACAGTTCTATCAAACTGCTCATCATTCCCTGGCTCCTAAAATTCAGTTTTGGGAATATAAGTAATTTTTTTGAACTTCTGCTTTTTCTTGATTAGAACAGCAATTTTTCTGACCTGCTTTGAAAAGTACAGTGTTCTCTGGATAGCCTATTTCAGGCCAAAAAAACTCTTATTTTAAATCAGGAGTCTCAAATCTCTTTTGAAAAGCTGCTTTTTTAGGTCAGGCACAGTGGCTCACGACTGTAATCCCAGCACTTTGAGAGGCTGAGGCGGGTGGATTACTTGAGTCTAGGGGTTCGAGACCAGCCTGGCCAACATGGTGAAACCCCATCTCTACAAATAATCCAAAAATTAGCCAGGCATGGTGGCTCATGCCTATAGTCCCAGCTACTTGGGAGGCTGAGGCAGGAGGATCATTTGAGCCCGGGATGCAAAGGTTGCAGTGAGCCAAGATGGTGCCATTGCACTCCAGCTTGAGAACACAGTAGTGTTTTTTTGGTGTTTTTTTGTTTGTTTGTTTGTTTGTTTTTGCAACGGAGTCTCACTCTATCGCCCAGGCTGGAGTGTAGTGGCTGCAATCTCGGCTCACTGCAACCTCCGCCTCCTGGGTTCAAGTGATTCTCCTGCCTCAGCCTCCTGAGTAGCTGGGATTACAGGCACCAGTCACCACGCCTGACTAATTTTTGCATTTTTAGTAGAGATGGGGTTTTGCCATGTTGGCCAGGGTGGTCTCAGACTCCTGACCTCAGGTGATCCACCAGCCTTGGCCTCCGAAAGTGCTGGGATTACAGGCGTGAGCCACCATGCCCTGCCAAGAGTAGTGTTTTTACTGTCCAATATCTAACATCCCTTCCTGATAATATACCCCAGTTTCACTTTTCTACCTATGCACTTCAGATGAAGCACTTCACTCCTATGCCCACAGTGGGGCATGTAACCTAGACTAAGCCAATGATGGCATGCCCTCTTTGGCGACAGTGATTGATGAGATGGGCAAAGGATTAAAACTGGGCCAATCAAAGCCCGTAAGACTCAATTCTGGAACTTTTATGGAAGCTATTAGAGGAAAAGTGGATCTTTCTTCCATAATTGGTTGTCGTGATGTTGATAGCCCGTAGCTGCTGGTGACCACTGGCAGGGTCTGAGAACAGAACCAACTCTGAGGAAGCAGAGCTGTGGACTGGATCCTTGTGTTCTCTAGTTTAATTCCTGAGTCAAGCTGTGCCTGAAGGTCTAGGCCTGGACTTTTCAGTTTACCTCAATCAATTCCCTTTCTTTGCTTAAATCAGCTGGGGTTGAGTTTTCTGACACCTGCATCAGATGCACGTGGAGCTTGCAGGAAAATGCGGTGCTTGAGGAGGGGAGGATTCAGTGGGTTGAGAATTCATGGAGCTGGTGGGAGCAATTGGCATGAGGGTCTACCAGGAAAGGTCTAGAGATAGCTCTATGGATCTCAGTCTACTGATTGAAGATCCTGATCTTCCAAGTAATTTTTATTTTAGTTTAACTGTGTGTTTCATGATTCAAAAATCAAAACTAAATAGGAAGGTATACACAAATAGTTTCCATTCATTCCTTTGCCCCTCTTTCCTCCATGGGTAACAACTCTAATATTTTTGGTCTATTCTTCAGTGTTTATTTATGCATATACAATCAAATATGAATATATTTTAAAAAGATATTATGCTTTGCTCTGTTCTACATGCATTTTATTTCTTCAATATATGTTCATTCAAAGAGTACCCTTCCTTGAAACTCTATAGTGCTTTTGAATATTCCTGGTCACCTTCCACATAATACTTCAAGTGGCTCAGAGCCTCATCTATCATATCCTACCACTTCTCTGCTCTATTACCCTGGAGACATCTTGGTTTAATACTGGAGAATCCTATTTCACTGGTGTCAGAAAATTACAATCAAGCAGCTAAAATATGGATCTGACTGTAAGTTAAAAAAAGAGAAACACATTTAGAAAGTATAATATGAATAATACTAACAAACAGAGACTATTGCAAGGGGAAGGGAATTGCTACAAAAATAAAAAAGCTATGAAAAATCTAAATTTTTAGCCAAAGAGAGATTAACATTGATGGACAGGTACATAGGCAAATATCCTAGAAAGAAGAGTAGTGTATTAATTGCCACCAAATGATCTATGATTTTGAATTCAGTCAAAATTCAGTCCTCTTAGTTGGGCAAAAACCCCTGATCAAAGCAATACACTGGCCCACATGCTTTTAACATTCACAGATGTCTTACTAACCCTTTCAACCGACAGTGACTTAAACAGGGCTTAGATCCAGGCTGACAGCCTCGGAACTGAAAACGTAGGATAATTCACTTAGGGCAATGTGAAAAAGAACACTTCAAACTGAGCCTACATGGTGGAAGATCTAAAATTAGTCTTTTTCTAAAAAGTTATATTCAGCCTTTAGTATGGGAGAAAATATCTAAAAATAGGAATTTCAATAAAACGATGGAGTGAAAATGAAAGATAATCTGCAGATACACGTAATTTCACTGCAGACAGACTTGATAATTCACCCTGTTCTGTTAGGCATTTGGCACTTGGATGGACTGAGCCCAGTGCTTGGCATGACCTGGTTGCTGACTACGTCTTTGTGGGTGAATGAACACATGAATGTCTCTGCATAGTGTGTTCATCATTTTTCCCATAATACGTAGGGGCAAACCACCATCTGTAGATGATAACTTCTTGTGTTTTAGTTCTTATGCAAGGGCTTCTTAGCTGTATTTGATAGGAAAAAACTATTGTAAGAAAAGGAAATTGCCATTGGATCTCATTTTTCTGGCCACATTTTTTTCTGTTATATTACAAAACTGTGTATTGATACACTTAGGGGAGGTTGATGTTTTCTCTGGATTGGTTAGATTTTAAATGAGTTACATAAACATATTTCTATTTTTATGGTCTCATGCACGTCTTAATTAGAAGCAAATGAGTCAGGGATTATGTTCTTTTATCCTATAATAAATTAGTACTTATTGCTTACTTTCCGTTTGATCTTCTAAAATTCTAACTAGGGAGTTAGAAGAGTCAGGAGAAAAACATTTTTAAATTTTTAGATAAATATATTTGCCATTTGTGTTTTATCAAGCTACAAAACCCAAGGAATAAATAAAAATTCAAAGCAGACATTTTCAAAGATAATAAGCCTTATAACAATATACTGCAGTTTCTGTAAGTCATAGACTTAAAAATTAGGGTTAAAGTTTTACCTTTTTGGTCTGAAAAATGAAATACTTGTTCATTGTACAGATGATACTGTGAATGCATTTCCAGATGCTAGGATCTTAGGAACAATTGTTGAACATACTTTATGTATAATATGTGCTATTTTTAATTAAGATATGTGGTTTATGGTATTGACAAATTGCAATAACTTTATTTTGGGTGCAATAAGGCAATCAAATAACATGTATTTTGGAGCTAATGCTATTATTCTAAGAAAGCACATTTTACAAGGGCTAATTCAGCATTAAACTTATTCCAGTCATAAATCCGTAGACTCAAAATGTGATTTAGCTCATGGATTTACACTTGTAAAATAAGCAAGGTTTTAATTAAAAGTCAATAGATTATGTCTAAGCATCAATGAATTTTTTGCCCTCGGGCATAAACCATTTCTATATTAAGTAGCCTAATAGAAAACACTTTACTTTCAAGGTTTTATTTCTTCACCAACACACCATGTATGAAACAATCCATTCTTGGCACAATATATTATACAATGGAGTTTGATTAGTTACATATGTTTCTGCCATTTACAAAACCCATATTGTCCTCAGAAGGTAGTACAGAGTATATTAGGCTACAGACTACAAACAACAGAAAAATAAGTTGGTCCATGATTTGAATAGACTAGAATGTGTAACCAATGGAGACACTCCTTGTTTGTGGCTTTTTTAGAATGTAGTAAACAACTGTCTTTCAGGATGGGCCACCAACCAAAAATTGTAACAAAACAAAATCTTAAGGAAGTCTTGCAGAAGAGAAACTAGTGCATTAGATGAGCAATCCAAAGAGAAAAAATGGAGACAATGAAATGTGCAAGAAGATTTGGCCATGAGGAATCAGAACTTTATGTGTAACTTAACTAATCCAAGTCTGATTCTGTTATGATGCAGACCTAACAATCTAAAAACAAGTACCAGATCTAAAAACCCATGGATCTAAAAACAACTACAACAATTAAAATCTTCCACTCTATTTCTTCTCTCTCTCTCTTTTTTTTTTTTTTTTTTGAGATGGAGTTTCACTGTTGTTGCCCAGGCTGGAGTGCAATGGCACGATCTTGGCTCACTGCAACCTCCGCCTCCCGGGTTCACGCCATTCTCCTGCCTCAGTCTCCTGAGTAGCTGGAATTAGAGGCACCCACCACCAAGCCCGGCTAATTTTTTGTATTTTTAGTAGAGACGGGGTTTCACTATGTTGGGTAGGCTGGTCTTGAACTCCTGACCTCAGATGATCCACCCACCTCGACCTCCCGAAGTGCTGGGATTACAGGCTTTAGCCACCGTGCCCAGCCTATTTCTTCTCTCCTAACAGCTAACTGTCCCTTTACTGAGCTTCCACTTCATCATACTTTGCCCATCAAGGATCTTTGATTCACTTTTACTCTTTACTAATTTAATTGACAATGATGCTGTTATAAATATCATATTATTCTTCATGAAATTGTCTACTTTATAATGACTAAACGTCACCATTAAATTCTAAATCCACTTCCCTCATAAAAATGTCTTTGTGGAATGAGTCATTTTTCTTTCAGCGTTTCTTAGAGTTTCTTATCAGTCATAATTTAAAAAATAGTATCAGGGCACAGATCTGCTAGGTCTCAAATCATTTTACTGGGCGTTTAAGTCTAATACTGCATTGTGCCCCTGTTGCATTTGTGTTAGGGCTGTTTGTACTGGACCTGAGGTTTTATGAAGTAGCCAATGAGGGATTAAATTTAGTTTAGGTTAGGTTTTTAGTCACTGGCTATCATAATATACATTTTCTTTTTTCTTTTCTTTTCTTTTTTTTTTTTTTTCTGAGACAGGGACTTGCTCTGTCACCCAGGTTGGAGTGCAGTGGTGCGATCTCGGCTCACTGCAACCTCAGCCTCCCAGGTGCAAGCAATTCCCCTGTCTCAGCCTCCTGAGTACCTGGGACTACAGGCTTATGCCACCATGCCCAGCTAATTTTTGTATTTTTAATAGAGACGGGGTTTTACCACATTGGTCAGGCTGGTTTCGAACTCCTGACCTCAAATGATCCACCCACCTCGGCCTCCCAAAGTGCTGGGATTACAGGCGTGAGCCACTATGTTTGGCCTTACATTTTCTACTATGTACGTATTTCTGTACATTTCTAGAACATCATGGTTTTGCTGTCTAACTTTGTGGAATTTGCAACTCCTTTAATTATCTCAGAGGATTTTTTAAATCCTTAAAACAAGATTAAATCACTTACATTTAAAAATATAATACATATATTTTTAAATAAATATATACATTATACCCTGTTTGTAGAGAGAAGGAATAACTCCAAACTAAATTCAAATAGATGTGGACATTTCTTTGCCCAAGATTCAGTTACTTACAATAGAGAACTCTTTGTATACTTCTCATGGTAAAGGAGAAGTCCTAATGATCAATATTCCACAGAATTCTATCCAACCAACCTGTATTGAGCTGCCTTTTTTTGAATGTTGTTTGCATAGTTTAGGCAAAAAAAAAAAAAAAAAAAAAAAGAAATATCCAGAAAGCAGTAATGGGAGAGGAAATAAATTCCTGTAATGTTAAGTTCGTATACATGCACTCTAATGATTTAAACATTACCCAGCACACGTGCTGGTCAGCTCAAGTTGCTACATAAATATAGGTCCCGGGAGGTTAATAAGTCTACCTGTCACCTTTGGAGAACTCTAGTTACAGGTCAGCCATTTCCTCTTCCTGTCCCTAGATCAACCATTTCCTCTTCCTGTCCCTACGTCTCAGTAAGTGACTTCTGTTTTACATTATCCAGAGTGACCAAGTCCAATTTAAATCAAACTTCGTGGTTTTTTTTTTGGTTTGTTTGTTTTTTTTTTTTTTTTTGAGATGGAGCCTTGCTCTGTCACCAGCCTGGATTGCAATGGCGAGATCTCGGCTCACTGCAATCTCCGCCTCCTGGGTTCAAGCGATTCTCCTGCCTCAGCCTCCCAAGTAGCTGGGACTTCAGGCACACGCCACCACACCCAGCTGATTTTTGTATTTTTAGTAGAGACGGGGTTTCACCATGTTGACCAAGATGGTCTCGATCTTTTGACCTCGTGATCTGCCCGCCTCAGCCTCCCAAAGTACTGGGATTACAGGCGTGAGCCACCTCACCCGGCCAACATCATGGTTCTTAATGAGAAGTTTCAAATGCCTTCATAGTTAGCTTTCCATGAACAGCCAGGACTAAAGAGCTGTTACTAAAATAGCTGTATTTTCTTTATAGCCAGTTCTTGCCCTGGGACTAAATCATGTTTGGTTAAGGATACTAAATTGAGACAGGCTCCTTCATTTAAAAAAAAAAAAAAAAAAATTAGGACAAGTTCTGCAATGTTTTTGTAACAATTCAAACTGAAAGCAAATGGATGTTCCGTTTTTCAGCCATACAAAAAAGAACGAGTGTATATTTCATCTTATTTATTTTTCAAGTTATTGCCAAGAAAAGACAGTTCTTTACACAAACCTATTTGGACTGAGTTCTTAGAGGTAAAAGAAAATTGACTCAGTACTTGTCTCGAGAAGAAGGATGCTATGGACCCCAAACAAAGAGGGGACTGAGAGGGAATAGCAAAAATGTTACTCACTCAGACTTGAAGGGGCTGTCCTTGATTTGAGATACTTTAGAATATCTTTAGAATATGTACTTTTTTAAAAAAAAGAATATTCTGTTAGTGTTTACCTTTTACACTTTCCTTCTTTGAAACCTGGCACTCTCAAATCCAATTACTATTATTATTATTATTTTTTTTTTGAGACGGAGTTTTGCTCTTTTCGACCAGGCTGGAGTGCAATGGTGTGCTCTCGACTCACTGCAACCTCTTCCTCCTGGGTTCAGGCCATTCTCCTGTCTCAGCCTCCCCAGTAGTTGGGATTACAGGTGCCCCGCCACCACGCCTGGCTAATTTTTTTATTTTTAGTAGAGATGGGGTTTCACCATGTTGGCCAAACTGCTGAGATTACTGGCGTGAGCCACCATGCCGGCCTATTTTTATTATTATTTTTTTAGTGACAGGGTCTTGCTCTGTCGCCCAGGCTGGAGTCCAGTGGCGTGATCAAGGCTGGCTGCAGCCTTGACCTCCTGGGCTCAAGTGATCCTTCCACCTCAGCCTCTCAAGTAACTGGGACAATAAGCATGCACCACCATACTCTGCTCATTTTTATGTTTTTTGTAGAGACGTTGCGGGGGCGTCTCACTATGTTGCCCAGGCTGGTCTTGAACTCCTGACCTCAAGTGATCCTCCCACCTTGGCCAATTGTTATTTTTATTCTCACTCCCGGACAGCTATACATGTCCCCCATTACCTTCCCTCCACCTCTCATACTATATAGCTCCCTAGCTCTTCCTCGGTCTCTTCATTTTACCCTTCTTTGCTCTTTCTTACCTTTCCTCCTGAAGGCGGCTTATTACTAAGCAGTGTTTCCAGGTTGTCTGTCACGTCCCAAGCACACATCTTAGGATCGCCTCAGGCCTTTCCTTTCCTCTGCCTACCATGGGCAGCCATGTGCTTGCTGCCCAGTCCTGCGATTCATGAATTCCTCTTGTCCTACTCTGTCCCTTTTCAAATGATAAAGGCGCTCTAAGGCTGAAAACACATCCAGCTAGAATGAACATGAAAACTGGCCAAAGAAAGACCCTTCATTTCCCCTTCTCATGTTTAGGAGGAAATACAAGATGTGAGTCTACATCTGTGTTAGCTCACTTAGTTTATACAGTTCCTTCAAGAAAGAGTTTTGATTCTTGGCACTGCCACTTATTGTCTGGGTGATCTTGGACAATTTACTTAACCAGTTGCCTGAAATCCTTTCTGGAACAAGGCAATGGTATAAATAAATGAACTCACTCAAACTTAATTTCCTAATTATGGAGGAAATCTAGCACAGAGATTAAAAGCATAGGCTCTGGACTTAACTCTAGTTTGTGGGGAGTCCTGGACTTTCCAGTGACTTGATAGGTGGCCTTAGTTTCCTCATTTGTGAAATAGGGCAAATAATTATGCGGTATCAACCTAATAAGGTTGTGGTGAGCACTGGATGAGAAATGCATAGAAAGCTTCTAAAACAGTGCCTGGCAGTCCATAAATGTTAACTATTACTATCACGAAGGCTGTTATTCTGGGTACCATTGGGCTGGGTGCAGTGGCTCACGCCTGTAATCCCAGCACTTTGGGAGGCCGAGGCAGGTGAATCACCTGAGGTCAAGAGTTCACAACCAGCCTGGCCAACATGGTGAAACCCCATCTCTACTAAAAATACAAAAAATGTGTCAGGTGTGGTGGCACCTGCCTGTAATCCCAGCTACTTGGGAGGCTGAGGCAGGAGAATGGCGTGAACCCGGGAGGCAGAGCTTGCAATGAGCTGAGATCACACCACTGTACTCCAGCCTGGGTGACAGAGCGAGATTCTGTCTCAAAAAAAAATAAAATAAAACAAAAAATAAAGCTCACAGGCTGTATTGTAAAGTTAAAAGTGAGATACCATACTTCTAATCACCAGGTCTATAGAAGAGTTTAAAAAAATGTGATATATACCATTTTATGAAAATAATCTATATTAAAAGAATTTCAAGCACATTTAAGTAATATCGAGTCTACTTTGTTAACACTCTAAATAGTTTTTGATTTTCTGATTTTATTTTATTGTTCATTTATTAATTTACTTATTTATTTATGTTTTAGAGAGCACGGTCTTGCTCTGTTGCCAGGGCTGGAGTGCAGTGGCATGATCATAGCTCATTGAAGCCTTGAACTCCTGGGCTCAAGCGATCCTTCTGCCTTGTACTGCAGGCATATGCCACCATGCCTGGCTGATTTTTTGTAGAGATGGGGTTTCGCTATGTTGTCCAGGCTGGTCTTGAAATCCTGGCCTCCAGCAATTCTCCCTCCTCAGCTTCCAGAAGTGCTGGGATGACAGGTATAAACCATCTTGCCTGGCTTTTTCTGATTTTAGAAGTGAAAACGCACTTGCTTGCCAAAGATTTCAGTTCTTTTGAACTTTAAAAATACATATATAGGTCAGGCACTGTGGCTCACACTTGTAATCTCAGCACTTTGGGAGGCCAGGGCAGGCAGATTGCTTTAGTCCAGGAGTTTGAGCCCAGCCTGGCAGCATGGCGAAACCCTGTCTCTACAAAAGATACAAAAATTAGCCTGGTGTAATTATGCATGCTTTGGTCCCAGGTACTTGGGGATTTGAGGGAGAGGATTGCTTGAGTCCAGGAAGTTGAGGCTATAGTGAGCCAAGATCGCACTGCTGCACTCCAGCCTGGGTGACAAAGCGAGACCCTGTCCTCCCCTCCTCCCAAAAAAAAAAAATGCATACAATATATATGCTGAGTGTGGTGGCTCTTGTCTGTCATCCCAATGCTTTGGGAGGTCAAGGCAGAAGGATCGCTTGAGCCCAGAAGTTCAAGAAGTTCAAGACCAGCCTGGACAACATAGCAAGACCTCGTCTCTACCAAAAGAAAAAAAATTAGGCAGTTGTGGTGGCAGGTGCCTGTAGTCCTAGCTACTTAGAAGACTGAAGCTGGAGGATTGATTGAACCCAAGAGTTTGAGGCTGCAGTGAGCCATGATTGCACCACTGCACTCCATCCTGGGTGGCAGAGTGAGAGACTCTGTCTCTTAAGGAAAAGAATTACAGGCTGGGCGCGGTGGCTCACACCTGTAATCCCAGCACTTCGGGAGGCTGAGGTGGGCAGATCACTTGAGGTCAGTAGTTCAAGACGAGCCTGGCCAACAAGGTGAAACCCGTCTTTACTAAAAAGATATAAAAATTACGCAGGAGAATTGCTTGAACCTGGAGGGAGGCGGAAGTTGCAGTGAGCTGAGATCGTGCCACCGCTGCACTCCAGCCTGGGCAACAGAGTGAGACTCCATCTCAAAAAAAAAAAAATTACATATGTATATTAATTTTTTAAAACTAGGGTCAAATACTGTTTATAGCCTGCCTTTTTCATTTAACAATATAAAATGGACATGTTTCCATGTAAACAAATGTGAGTCTACAACATAATTTCTAATGGCTATAAAGCACTTCAACATATGGTTATATCATCATTCATTTAACAAATTTCCTATTGTTGGCAATTAGGACATCTCCAATTTTGCTATTGTAAACAATAATAAAATAACCAACTATCTTTATTTTTGCTCACTCAATCAATTATTTTCCTTAGAAAAAGTCTTAAATGTGTTTCTTGGTTAAAGCGTATGAAAGAAAGAAAGAAAGAAGGAAAGGAAGAAAGGAAGGAAGGAAGGAAGGAAGGAAGGAAGGAAGGAAGGAAGGAAGAAAGGAAAAGAAAAAGATTTGGTATGTTACCTAATTGACTCCCAGAAGAAGCAGGAGCAATTTACTTGCAACAGTGGTGCATGGGAGCACCTATTTACACACATCTGCCTCAACAATGGGTCTCAGTAAACATTATCTTTGCCAGTCTGGCTACACTGATTCAGTCAAAGAGTTGCCATGTAACCCAAGCTTGGCCAGCCAAACTCCCTCCAGGACTTTGAATCTTGTTTGGAGTGACACAGAGATGGAAGAAACCATACGGTTGAGCAGTGGGTGATCAGCTCCTATTACCAAGACATTCTGGAAGCGCCAGGTCACTTTCTGTCTTCTTCGGCCTCCTTAACCTCTCCCATTCCTATTACTCTTTGAGGCCCTCACGGCTTTCCAATAAATTTCCTTTTTCTTAGATAGCTAGAATTAGTTTTTATAGCTGGTAACCAAACAGAAATACCAAGTTGGTTGTTGAATATGCAAGTCTGGGGCTCAGCTAGGGGGTAGCATGGGCAGAAGATGTAGATTTGGGAGACACTAAGTGCTGTAACTGATAAACATACTGAAGATAATATGAACTCCAGAAGGAGATGAAGTTCTTTTTTTTTTTTTTTTTTTCTGAGATGGAGTCTCACTCTGTCGCCAGGCTGGAGTACAGTGGCACAATCTCGGCTCACTGCAACCTCCACCTCCCGGGTTCAAGCGCTTCTCCCAGCTACTCAGCCTCCCAAGTAGCTAAGACTATAGGCACGCGCCACCATGTCTGCTAATTTTTGTATTTTTTGTAGAGACGGGGTTTCAGCATGTTGGCCAGGATGGTCTCAATCTCTCGACCTTGTGATCTGCCCGCCTGCACCTCCCAAAGTGCTGGAATTACAGGCGTGAGCCACCATGCCCGGCTGAAGTTTTCTAATTCCTTTTGTTGTTGTTTTTTGAAACGGGGTCTCGCTCTGTTGCTCAGGCTGCAGTGCAGTGGTGCAATCTCGGCCCACTACAACCTCAGCCTCCCGGGTTCAAGCAATTCTCCTGCCTCAGCCTCCCAAACTGGGATTACAGGCGCCTGCCACCACACCCAGCTAATTTTTGTATTTTTCTAGTAGAGGCGGGGTTTTACCATGTTGGCCAGGCTGGTCTGGAACTCCTGATCTCAAGTAATCCACCTGCCTCAACCTCCCAAAGTGTTGGGATTACAGGCATGAGCCCCTGGCCCCTCCTTCTAATTCCTAACCTAGTTCTTAGTAAAGTACTATATATATTTTAAAGACATGATCTTGCTCTGTTGCCTAGGCTGGAGTGTGGTGGCCCAATCATAGCTCACTGTAATCTCGAACTCCTAGGCTCAAGGGATCCTCCCGCCCCAGCCTCCCAAGTACCTGGGACTATAGGTGTGCACTACCGCACCTGGATAGTACTAATTTCTTTAGAACAAATTTGATTTTTTATTTATTTCACTGCCTTAGAAAACTATCAGAGGAAGCAAACTAACCATATTGGTTGACTTAAATAGCGTAGATATGTTTATTTATTTATTTATTTTGTTTTGTTTTCGTAGATGTGTTTTATATTGGAAAAAATACACACACACACATTCATAGGATAAATATTGTAAAATTGTGTTTTTTTTTTAAATAAAACCATGTCAGGCAAAAAAACATTTTTGAACTGGAGCCCAGGTTCACCGGGGACATTTCCTTAAAATTTGAATTAGTCTTTCTTAGGCCCGTATTCTCACAGTATCGCCTAGCAAAGAAGACATTACACTTCGTTTGATTTAGATCTTCTCATTTCCATTCTGAAAAGAAAGCCCAAACTCCAAAATGCCAGTCCAGAAATGTACCCTAAGAGTCCCAAACAGTATTGTGTAGAATAATACATTTTATTTGTCTTGAAGCAGTTTTGCCATGGAACTACCTGGAATGTAATGCCAGTTTCCTCAATATTTATATGCTCAAATGAGCAGAGTTCAGTATCATATATGGTAGTTACTGAAGAAAAAGATCTCTTCTGAAAAGATGAAAAATCATGAAAAGAGTGTCCTAGTGCTGACTCTATTAAGCCTGCAAAAGCACGAAGAGGGTTGGAAGAAGGAGCAATTAGAAAGTCAGGTGCCCTACTGTGGTTATACCATGCCTAAATTTGGATAAATGAGTGCCCTTAAACAATCTAAGAACAGTGCCTGGCAACTAGCAATAGTGCCTGGGTCAAATATATGTTGAAAGAATGAATAAGTTTATTAGTTATTAATAAATAAGAAATGTTTAAATAAAAGTTTGCATGTAAGTGAAAACCTAGGTGAATAAGATAAACATTTGCCTACTTGTTGTTATTGATTAGAAAAGTCTTGGCAATGCACAATGGCTCACACTTGTAATCCCAGAGCTTCAGGAGGCCAAGGTGGAAGGATCACTTGAGGCCAGGACTTGGAGATCAGACTGGGCAACATATGGAGACCCTATCTTTATAAAAAATGGAAAAAAAAATAGAAGTGACTTAAGTCTCTTTCCACACCTCAACTTATGAGTGAGAATATAAATATCCAGAGAGATTAATGACATTTGCAGTCACAATGTTAATGCTTTAGAAAAGTGAAAAGCAATTTTATTGTTCTGTATATCCTTAATTTTGGTTCTTATAGTTGATCATGGTTTCAGTTACTATTGCTGCATAAAAAACTACCCCAAAACGTAGTGGTGTAAAAGAAAACTGTTTTTGTTTTGTGTGTGTGTGTGTGGCTTTTTTTTTTTTGAGACGGAGTCTCGCTGTTTCCCCAGGCTGGAGTGCAGTGGCCTGATCATGGCTCAGTGCAGGCTCAACCTCCTGGTCTCTAGCAATCCTCCTGCCTCGGCCTCCTGAGTAGCCAGGACTACAGGTGCATGCCACAACATACATACAGCTAATTTTTAATTTTTTGTAGAGATGAAGTCTCACTATGTTGTGCAAGCTGGTCTCACACTCCTGAAGTCAAGTGATCCTCCCACCTTGACCTCCCAAAGTGCTGGGATTACAGGAGTCAGTCGCCATGCCAAGCCAAACAAAACCATTTTATTTTGCTCATGATTTTGACGGTCAGGAAACTGGGAAGAGCACTGATGGGCAGTTTGGTCTTGGGATCTCTCAGGTGGCTGCAGTCAGATGCTGGCTGGAGCTGCAGTTGCTTGAAGACAAGATTGGGCTGCACATCCAAGATGGCTCCCTGCATTGGCTGGCAGCTAGTTGATGCAGGCAGTTGGCTGGGAGCTTAGCTTGAACTATCTCCTGGATTGCATACACAATGGCTTCTCTAGCAGGTGGTCTCAAGGTTGTCAGACTTCTTACATGGTGGCTAACTTCCCACAGGACAAGGGTCCCAAGAAAACCAGGAGGAAGCTGCAGCACCTTTAATGACCCAGCCTCAGAAGTCACACATCAGCACTTCCTCTGTACTGGATTAGGCAGAGCAATCATAAGCGCATCCAGATTCAAAAGCAGAGGACATAGAGCCCCCTGCTTAATGGGATGAGTGTCAAAGAATTTGGGGACCATTGTCCTAAAACCACCACAGCCAGGTTGAGCATTTTTTGGCATAGTTAGCCCATGCTTTAGAAGAGTTAATTTAGTTTGTGGTATAACTATCTTTAGATTACATTTTCAAACTTTTTATTATGGAGACTTTCAAACATATATTAAAGCAAAAAGAATGGTATAATGAACCCCTGTGTGCCATTTCTCAGCTTCAATAATGATGAACTTTGTTTCATCTGTACCTCCACCTGCTTGCCCCATCTCAAACTCTCATATTATTCTGATGTAAAGGTAATACATCATATTTATTTATCTGTAATTATTTCAGTACATATCTTTAAAAGATAGGATTTTTAAAATAGTTGTATCAATTATAAACAAGAATTGCTTAATATGATCAAATATTTAGTTGGCATTTAAATTTTCAATGTCTCAAAAATGTCTTTTTTTTTTTTTTTTTTTTTTTTGAGACAGATTCTCGCTCTGTTGCCCAGGCTGGAGTGCAGTGGTGCGATCTCAGCTCACTGCAAGTTCTGCCTCCCGGGTTCACGCCATTCTCCTGCCTCAGCCTCCCGGGTAGCTGGGACTACAGGCGTGTGTCACCACAACCGGCTAATTTTCTGTATTTTTAGTAGAGATGGGGTTTCACCGTGTTAGCCAGGATGGTCTCGATCTCCTCACCTCATGATCCACCCACCTTGGCCTCCCAAAATGCTGGGATTACAGGCGTGAGCCACTGCACCCGGCCACAAATGTCATAATTTTATATTTGTTTGAGTCAGGATCAAAATAAGGTCCACATATTGCAATTTGTCAATGTGTCTTTAAAGTCTCTTTAAGGCTGGGTGCAGTGACTCATGTCTGTAATCCCAATATTCTGGGAGGCTGAGGTGGGAGGATCACTTGAGCCCAGGAATTTGAGACCAGCCTGGGTAACATAGTGAGACCTGGTCTCTAAATATTAAAAAAAAAAAAAGAAAGAAAGAAAGAAAGAAAAAAACCCAGAAAAATTAGCTGGGCATGGTGGGCCTGTGCTCCCAGCTACTCAAGAGGCTGAGGTGGGAGGATGGCTTGAGCCCAGTAGGTCGAGGCTGCATTGAGCCATGATTGTACCACTGCACTCCAGCCTGGGTGACACAATGAGACCCTGTCTTAAAAAAAAAAATTATAATTATACAGGCCAGGTGCAGTGGCGCCTGTAGTCCCAGCACTTTGGGAGGCCAACGTGGGAGGATCACTTGAGCCCAGGAGTTTGAGACCAGCCTGGGCAACATAGGGAAACCCCATCTCCTCAAGAAATACAAAAATTAGCCAGGCTTGGTGGTGCATGCCTGTAGTCCCAGCTTACTCAGGAGACTGAGGCGGGAGGATCACTTGAGCCCAGGAAATTGAGGCTGCAGTGAGCCGTGATCGGGTCACTACACTCCAGCCTGGGTTACAGTGAGACCCTGTTTCAAAAAAAAAAAAATTACAAAATGGTGTTATTTTAGGCTGGGCACGATGGCTCATGCCTATAATCCCAGCACTTTGGGACACCCAGGCAGGTGGATCACCTGAGGCCAGGAGTTCGAGATCAGCTTGGGCAACATGGTGAAACCCCATCTCTACTAAAAATACAAAAACTAGCTGGGAATGGTGGCGGGTGCCTGTAATCCCAGCTACTCGGGAGGCTGAAGCGGGAGGATTGCTTGAACCCTGGAGGCTGAGGTTGCAGTGAGCTGAGATCGTGCCACTGCACTCTAGCCTGGGTGACAGAGAGAGACTCCATCTCAAAAAAAAAAAAAAAATGGTGTTTAATTCAAACATTCTTTTTTTACTTGTTGGATGGAAGGGTTTAATAAAGAGAAAATTTTCCTCATTAATGCTGCCATTCAACTTTTTGTGTTCTAACTGTATCCTTGAGTAACAAACTTGAAGATGAGGAAACAGTTGAAACAGTGAGTTAGTAGATTACTTTAAAAAATCAAATAGGGATTTACTTTGCAAAAAACAAACAAACAAACTTTAGAAGGTATGTGGTTTTTTTTTTTGGTTGGTTTTGTTTTCTACATTTTAATGACACATAAAAACAAAAAGCTAGGAATTCCCAGATTGTCAGTTGTGTGCAGCTGTTGAGAGCACTCTGCCCAGACAGAACAAAGGAAGTTTCCGGAAGAGTTCTAGGAAAACTATGGAAATTACATGTGCGAATATTTGGGAGACATTTTGATATGTAAGTGACAGAGGTATTGAAATGCTTGGGGAAAAATTGGATGAGTTCGTGGGCAAATAGGCAAGTGAAAAAACATGGCAATTTTTAATATAGGAAAAATTTAAATACAAGAAAGGAGGTGTGGTTGAAAATAGAATACTATTTAATACTGTCTGATTTGGTTGTCACCAATATTTGCTCAGCCATAATAATATAAACACTGACTTTGGATATAACATAAAATGTCAATATGCTTAGGTAGAAAAAGAGATATGAGATGTCAATAGGCTTACATAGGGAAGGTGGGAGAAAGGGAAGTGGAAAAGGTGATATGGAAAAGGGAAACCCTCATCTATGATGGTGGGAAATCAATAGATTATACCTAAAATCTATCAGCTAAGAAGTTAAATAAAAACATATTATTTAAAAAGTGATTATAAATGTTAGAAGGAACAGCTGAGAGCTGAGGTGATTGTCTCAAGAGAGTAGAAGTATATAGGGATCAGACAGGGAACTTTTTTTTTTTTTTTTTGAGATGGGGTCTTGCTTTGTCACCCAAGCTGGAGTGCAGTGGCGCAATCTCAGCTCACTGCACTGTCCGCCTCCCGGGTTCATGCCATTCTCCTGCCTCAGCCTCCCCAGCAGCTGGGACTACAGGAGCACGCCGCCATGCCTGGCTAATTTTTTTGTATTTTTAATAGAGACGGGGTTTCACCGTGTTAGCCAGTATGGTCTCGATCTCCTGACCTCGTGATCCGCCCGCCTCGGCCTCCCAAAGTACTGGGATTACAGGCGTGAGCCACCGCTCCCAGCTTGATTTTTTTTAATTAGAAATTTTAGGCAATGCTACCCTTTTATACTATTGTGTACAGTTATGCACTGCTTAATGATGGGAGACATTCTGAGAAATGTATCACTGGGCGATTTCAACATTGTGCGAGCATCATAAAGTTTACTTACACAAACCTAGATGCTATAGTGTACTACACACATAGGCTATATGGTATAGCCTATTGCTCCTGGGTTACAAATCCGTACAGCATGTTACTGTACTGAATACTGTAGGCAATCATAACATAATGGTAAGTGTTTGTGTATCTAAACATATCTAAACATGGAAAAGATGCAGTAAAAATATGGCATTATAATCGTATGAGGCCACCCTCATATATGCAGTTCCTCATTGCCCCAAACCTCATTATGCAGCACATGACATTACATGTATAAAAACAAAAATTGGCCGGGCGCGGTGGCTCACGCCTGTAATCCCAGCACTTTGGGAGGCCGAGGCGGGTGGATCACGAGGTCAGGAGATCGAGACCATCCTGGCTAACACGGTGAAACCCCGTCTCTACTAAAAATATAAAAAATTAGCTGGGCGTAGTGGCGGGCGCCTGTAGTCCCAGCTACTCGGGAGGCTGAGGCAGGAGAATGGCATGAACCCCGGAGGCGGAGCTTGCAGCGAGCCGAGACTGCGCCACTGCATTCCAGCCTGGGGGACAGAGCCAGACTCCGTCTCAAAACAAACAAACAAACAAACAAACAAACAAACAAACAAAAAAATTAACCTGAAGATTGGGTGCAGTGGTTCACACCTATAATCCCAGCACTTTGGGAAGCTGAGGTGGGTGGATCAGTTGAGCCAAGGAGTTCAAGACCAGCCTGGGTGGCATGGCGAAATCTTATCTCGACAAAAAAAAAAAAAAATGTACTTGGGTGTGGTGCATGCCTGTAGTCCCAGCTACTTGGAAGGCCAAGGCAGGAGGATCAATTGAGCCCAGGAGATCGAGGCTGCAGTGAATGGTGATCATGCCACTGCACTCTGGCCTGGGCAACAGAACAAGACCCTGTCTCAAAAAAAAAAAAAAAAAAAAAAAAGAAAGAAAGAAAGAAAGAAATTAACCCTAAAATACAGGGCTACATTGTCCGTCCAATGTGAAAAATGTAGAAAAAAGAGAGCTGCAAAGTAAAGATTACTCTAAGATCAGAAAAAACAACACACAAATGTTTCAGCTTGTGTTTTACATGTGGATTTAATGATGATCTCTTTTCACCTGATGGACTTAACAGTGGCTTCCTACTGCCTTAAAAACCAGGATCATTTTTTTTTCTACTTCTAGTGCATTCTCAGTCATAATCACTAGCTTTCATTTCACCTCTTCACAGATTATTCAAAGTCACTTCATTTTATAATCGCATTCTCAACTCTAAGCATGATTTCAAGCTAAATCCTCTCCTGGAAATGACCTATAATTGCATTGATCTCACTGGACTACCCCAGGCCATTACAGAATAGTGGTTAAGGACTTGGAGCTCTGGAATCCAACAGACCTGGTTCTGTCCCCACTGGGCCACCTGGGGATTAGATGACCTTGGGAAAGTTGCTCTCTATAGATGCCTCAATTTCTTCCTTCATCTGTTCATGGGGGTAGTAAGAGCACCTATCTCACAGGTGCAAGGATTAGAAGAGGTAATATCTGCAAACAGAATAACTCTTCCAAATAAAGATGTGTTATTAAAGACTGGGCTAGTGTGCATTCAGAGGCACCTCTGCTAATTCTCATCTAGAGAAATTCAATGCAGTGTATTGCTGAGCAAGTGAACTAGAGAAGTCGGTTTACAGAATAACTGTGAGGGACCAGCTCGTGGTAGGCACTGGAGGTATCAAAGATGACTAAGACACATCTGTGGCTTTCAAGAGGCCTAAGACAAGAGCCGGGCACAGACAATAGTCCCCCCACTTATTCGTGGTTTTGTTTTCCCAGATTTTAGTTACTCATGGTCAACAGGGGGTCTGAAAATATTAAATGGAAAATTCCAGAAATAATGCATCAAATGTTTTAAACTGTGTCACTCTGAGTAGAATGATAAAAGCTTGTGCTGTCCTGCCCTACCCCACTGGGGACATGAACCATCCCTAGGTCCAGCATATCCAGGCTGATACGCTCCCCGCCCTGAAAGTCACTTAGTAGCCCTCTTGGTTATTGGTTATCAGATCAACTGTCATATCACAGTGCTTGTGTTCAGGTAACCTTTATTTTACTAATAATGGCCCCAAAGCACAAGAGCAGGGAGGCAGTTGATTTGTGCAAGGGCATTTAGGAGATTGTAGACTCTTCCCCTAGTGCCCCAAAGACAAACTCTTTTATTTTTTGAGATGGAGTTTTGCTCTTATTGCCCAGGCTGGAGTGCAATGGTGCGATCTTGGCTCACTGCAACCTCTGCCTCCCGGGTTCAAGCGATTCTCCTGCCTCAGCCTCCCGAGTAGCTGGGATTACAGGCACATGCCACCACGCCCGACTAATTTTGTGTTTTTAGTAGAGACAGAGTTTCTCCATGTTGGTCAGGCTGGTCTCGAACTCCCGACCTCAGGTGACCCACACCCCCTCAGCTTCCCAAAGTGCTGGGATTACAGGCGTGAGCCACTGCACCCAGTCGAGAAACTCTTTTGTAAAGCAGATATCCCTTCCCAACAATGGAATAAAGACATGAAATTTACCACCACAGTAGCAGGGATAGTGGTTGCAGTGGTGAGTCTTGCAATGGGTAAGAGCTGGTAAGCTCACCATAGACAGAATCAAGTGTCTCCTGAGCTCCATCCCACACTCCGATGGACACATGGATGATAACAGCACTGTGCTGGCCAGGCAAGACAAACACTAGGAATACTGCCAAGTGGGAAGGTCTGATAGATGCTAAAGGAGCAAAGTCGTTGTGTAATGAAGAATTAACCTGCCCCAAAGAGAGGTCTGGCTGTTGTCCTTGGCTACCAGGAGGTGATCTCTAGACCCCTGGAATGTCCTGACTGATAGGACTGTTTTTGTTTGCCTATAGGCTTTGGCCATTGAGCAGTCTAACAGTGTGATTTATGATGAAGGCTTTGGGTCATGTCACATCAGTTCTGACCTCTGGAAAGGACTAGATACCAAAATTTGTTGTAACTGAACTCCCACAAAAACCCTGAACACCAAAGGCTTAGGTGACCTTCTCATGTTGGCAATACAGAAGGTCTCTGACTTAGGATGGTTTGACTTAGATTTTTTGACTTTATGATGATGCAAAACTGTCACAATTTCTATGCAGTATACAGTATTCAATAAATCACATGAGATATTCACCACTTTATTACAAAACAGGCCTTACATTAGATGATTTTGCCCAAATATAGGCTAATATAAGCATTCTGAACACAATTAAGGTAGGCTAGGCAAAGCTGTGATGTTCGGTAGTTTAGGTGTATTAAATGCATTTTCGATTTGCAATATTTTCAGTTGGTTCATTGAGAGGTAATTCCATTGTAAGTCAAAGGGCATCTGTACTATATATTATCACACATCATGTTCAAGACTCCATGATTCTATGGAGAGATGATGACCAGAAGCTCCTCAAGTGGATATCGTTTGAAATCTGCTCTTGCATCTCTTCCCTTGGCTGATTTGAGTTTATCTTCTTTGCTACAATAAAATTGTAACCATAGGCCGGGCGTGGTGCCTCACGCCTGTAATCCTAGCACTTTGGGAGGCCGAGGCGGGCGGATCACGAGGTCAGGAGATCCAGACCAACCTGGCTAACACAATGAAACCCTGTCTCTACTAAAAGTACAAAAAATTAGCCAGGCGTGGTGGCAGGCGCCTGTAGTCCCAGCTACTCGGGAGGCTGAGGCAGGAGAATGGCTTGAACCCAGGAGGCGGAGCTTGCAGTGAGCCAAGATCGTGCCACTGCACTCCAGCCTGGGCAACGGTACAAGACTCCGTCTCAAAAAATAAAATAAAATAAAATTGTAACCGTAAGTATAGCACTTCCTGAGTTCTGTGAATCATTCTGTGAGGGTGGTTTTGAAAACCTCTGAGTTTGTAGCCATATAGTCTGAAGTGAGGGTGGTCCTGCAAACCCACAAACTTGTGGCTGGTGTCTGAAGTGAAGGCAGGCTTGCAGGGACGGTTCCCTCCAGCTGAACAGTTAGCTAAACTCCAGTGCAGCAGCTCAGCACTGGGGAGCTGCCAGAACAGAAGGACCACGTGGGAATGGAAGGTCCTTGTAGGTGAGTGTCAGGCCCTGCTTAGCTCTCCAGACTCTGCCGTGCCCTCTCCTCACACTTGTAACCACTGAGTACCCACCTCAGGCTTAGCACCTCTTTCCCACAGTGCCAAGTCTCAGAGACCAATGCTGACCTTAGATTGCAGGCGTTTAAGGAGCACTGATCCGGCTGGGCATGGTGGCTCACACCCATAATTCCAGCACTTTGGGAGGCTGAGGTGGGCAGATCACCTGAGGTCAGGTGTTCGAGACCAGCCTGCCCAACGTGGTGAAACCCTATCTCTACTAAAAACACAAAAATTAGCTGGGCGTGGTGGCATGCACCTGTAATTCCAGCTACTTGGGAGGCTGAGGCAGGAGAATCGCTTGAACCCAGGAGGTGGAGGTTGCAGTGAGCTGAGATTGCGCCACTGCACTCCAGCCTGGGCAACAGAGCAACACTCTGTCTCAAAAAAAAAAAAAAAAGCACTGATCCAATGCTCTGGGACTCAAATCACCACGCTGGCTGGAAAACAAAGAGAAGAGTAGCATGGGAGTTCAGGCTAAAGCCTTCAGCAGTAGACAGACCTGGTACAGCAGTCAGTCTTACCAGAAAGACCATAAGTCAAGAAGGACTTATTATAAAGAGGCTTCCTCCAAAAGAGTGGGCACTGGACAACCACAAGGGATAGAGCAGTAGCAGCCCTAGATTCAAAGACACAGAGAAGGAAATAGAAGGAGAAGATTATATAGAGAAAACCACTTTGTGGCACCACAAGCCAAAAGCACCCTCTCCTTTCTTCCCTCTTGTCTGTGGGGCTCTCCACTAACAGACCCAACTGGTGCTAGCGGGGAAAGGGAGGCTGTTGATGCAGCTCATAAGGTCAGCCTCTGGGGTGGAGAAGGACAGCAAGCTCAGCTAGAGGGATAAATGGAAGGTATTCAGCGCCTGGGTTCAAATCCTTGTTACCTACCGGCCATGTGATCTTCAACGTGTCACATGAGTTCCTCCATCTATAAAACTGAGTGCTTTGGTAAGTAGGCAAGGACCAAAGGAGGTAAGGCACATGAGTTGCTTGCTGTAGCACCTGCTTCATAGGAAGGGCTCAGTGTCCAGCAGACAGTAGTACTAGGTTTGCTGCTCTGCCTCTGGCTCCATGCCCAGCTATAATAACTGGGCTTCCAACTTGCTCCTGAAATCCAGTTGCCCCCAGTATCCCACTCTGATCATTGGATCCAGGTTATTTTCCTTGGGCCAGAGGCCCCCTGTCTTGCTATTTGCTTAATCCAGGGGTCTCCTGGGAATGGCACCTTGCTGTATGCTTGTAGGTAACCACGGAAACTGGCTGCCTTTGTCAGATAAAAGGCAAGTTGGTAACAGCCTGAATGGTGATGGGGAGAGAGGCTGAGAACAAAGATTTTTATGAGTCATGTTAAGCAAAATCCATGCTCCAGGTTAAATATTTTCATCCCTCAAGAGAGTTAGCACGTACCCAGTTCTACATTGAGAACCCTCTCCCTGAAACCACATTGAACATAGGACACAGAGTATCTTCAGCCTGCAAGGTGGAGTGTAAGGTCCCCATGCTACTCTGCCTGCCAACTTCCAATGAGCTCTGCATACCCATGAGCTCTGCTGGAGCCATTTTTATTGAAAAGCTCTCTGCAGATCTGCCTCTTCTGAAGCCTGGGTTCAGGAAACCAGGACTAGATTGGCCAGAAGCAGACTGGAACAGGCCTAGAGTTTTAGAGAAAAGAGGTGCATTTATTTTCTAGGGCTGCTGTAAGAAAATACCACAAACTGGGCCTGGTGTGGTGGCTCACACCTGTAATCCCAGCACTTTGAGGGGCCGAGGCGGGCGGATCACAAGTCAGGAGTTCGAGACCAGCCTGGCCAACATAGTGAAACCCTGTCTTTACTAAAAATACAAAAAATTAGCCAGGCGTGGTGGCAGGCGCCTGTAATCCCAGCTACTCAGGAGGCTGAGGTGGGAGAATTGCTTGAACCCACGAGGCGGAGGTTGCAGTGAGCCGAGATCATGCCACTGTACTCCAGCCTGGGCAACAGTGCGAGATTCTGTCTCAAATAAAAAAAAAGACAAGACCAGACCACAAACTGGGTGTCTTCAACAACAGAAGCGTATTGTCTCACAGTTCTAGAGGTCAGAAGTCCAAGGTCAAGGTGTCAGCAGGGTTGGTTCCTTCTGAGAGCTGTGAGATCGAATTTTTTCCATGCCTCTCCCCTCGCTTCTGGTGGCTTGCTGGCAGTCTTTGGCATTCCTCAGCATGTAGAACCATCACCCTGATCTCGCCTTCATTTTCACACAACATCCTCCCTGTGTGTGCATTTCTGTTTCCAAATTTCCCTTTTTTTTTTAAAGAAATTTCTATTTATTTTGAGACAGGGTTATGAGACTGGCTAATTTTTGTATTTTTGGTAGAGTCAGGGTTTCACCACGTTGGCCAGGCTGGTCTCAAACTCTAGGGCTCAAGCAATCCATCCTCCTTGGCCTCCCAAAGTGCTGGGATTACAAGTGTGAGTCCCTGCGCCTGGCCCAAATTTCCCTTCCTATAGGTACACAAATTATATAGGATTAAAGCCACCTGAATGACGTCATCTTAACTGCTTACATCTGTAACAACCCTGTTTGCAAATGAGATCACATTCTGAGGTACTGCGCCTTAGGACTTCAACATAAGAATTTGGGGAAGACACAATTCAACCCGTAACGGGGAAAAAGAGGAGAAAGTCTACCCTATGACATCTATCCTGGTTCTTAAATATTGACCCTTCTTGAATTTCTCAACCCAGGGCTACCTTGTTATCAGAAAGCCTCTGATATTCTACGTTGTGCCTTTTGCCCTATGACATCTAGTCCTGGCCCTCTACCTGTCCACTTTGGCAATCTAATTCTATCTAGTTCCAGCCCTCACTGCTGGGCAGGCATTTCAGTATCCCTTTTCTGCCAGTATTTGTTCTGCCAGCCATAGGAGACTTCCTCCGAGTTGAGCACGTTCCTCTTAGAACTGGCCTTGCCTTCGGCTGGCACAGTGGCTCATGCCTGTAATCCTAGCACTTTGTGAGGCCAAGACGGGTGGATCACCTGAAGTCAGGAGTTTGAGACCAGCCTGGCCAACATGGCGAAACCCCGTCTGTACTAAAAATACAAAAATTAGCTGAGCATGGTGGCGGGTGCCTATAATCCCAGCTACTCAGGAGGCTGAGGCAGGAGAATCGCTGGAACCCAGGAGGCGGAGGTTGGGGTGAGTCGAGATCGCGCCACTGCACTCCAGCCTGGGCGACAAAAAAAAAAAAAAAAAACTGGCCTTGACTCACAGGGTGCAGCTAATCCAAGTCCTTGTTTGTTTAGCTCTGCCCCAACCTTTGCAGGTGGTGGGGCCAAACCCAGCTGCACCCTAAGGCAAACCAGCAGGGTTTGAAGTGCAGGGTTTGAAGTGCATGGAAGTAGGGACAATAAGCAGGTATTTAGAGCCAGACGGGCAGGGTTCAGAGCTGGGTGGAAGCATGCTGCAGCATGGCACAGGGGCAGGGCTAGAGTGCAGCCTAGTGGATCTAAGGGTGTTTACTCTTGGCTTTATTTCTACTGCCCCTTGTATGGATGATCCGGGCCCACAAGGCTGGACATGGCCATACGAAGGTCTGCAGATGAGTCTTGCCCAGAGTAAAGCAGGAACAGTCTGGGGGTGGTTAGAAGCATAAACTTTGCTCACTAAGCCTCAATTTCTGCATCCATAAAATAAGACCTTTAACAAAACTCATCTGATGGGATTTTTGTGAGGATTAAATGAGTAATGAATATATAGCCTTTTTTTTCTTTTTTAAAAATTTGTTTCATTTATTTATTTTTTGGAGATGAGGTCTCACTCTGTCGCCCAGGCTGGAGTGCAGTGGCACCATCTTGGCTCACTACAACCTCTGGGCTCAAGTAATTCTCCCACAGCCTCCCAAGTAGCTGGGATTATAGGCATGTGCCACCACGCTCGACTAATGTTTATTTGTTTGTTTGTTTTTGTAGAAATGGAATTTCGCCATGTTGCCCAGGCTGGTCTTGAACGCTGGGACTCAATCCACATGCCTCTGCTTCCCAAAGTGCTGGAGTTACAGGTGTGAGCTATCCTGCCCGGCCAATATATGGCCTTAACTCAGGGCCTGGTACAAAGTAAGCATTCAAAGCTGGGTGTAGTGGCTCATGCCTGTAGTCCCAGTTACTCAGGAGGCTCGCTTGAGCCCGGGAGTTTGAGGATACAGAGAGCTATGATTGCACCACTGCACTCCAACCTGGACGACAGAGCAAGACTCTGTCTCCAAAAACCAAAGTAAGTGTTCAGCACATGTTAGCCATGGTGATCATCATGACCACTTATAGCATTTTACTGCCTCCGCAGAGTTTCATGATATTGGCTATCAGGTAGTTTCTGGGTATGACAGACTAAAACAGCTGCTCTTTTCTTATTGAAATAATGTACCCACACAAAATTAAACAGCCTCTCAGGAAAATGATGGCACTTCTTTGAGATCTTTTTCTTTCTTTTTTCTTTCTTTTTTTTTTTTTGAGACAGTTTAGCTCTTGTTGCCCAGGCTAGAGTGCAACGGCACAATCTTGGCTCACCACAACTTCCACCTCTCCGGTTCAAGCCATTCTCCTACCTCAACCTCCTGAGTAGCTGGGATTACAGGCATGCGCCACCACCTGGTTAATTTTGTATTTTTAGTAGAGACGGAGTTTCTCCATGTTGGTCAGCCTGGTCTCGAACCCCCGACCTCAGGTGATCCGCCCGCGTCCGCCTCCCAAAGTGCTGGGATTACAGGCGTGAGCCACCGCGCCCGGCTTCTTTGGGATATTTCTTAGTGTTATTGGATTATGACCATTGTTCCAGGATAGGAGCTATCAATGTGCAATCTACCTTAATTTTTTTTTTTTTTTTGAGACAGTGTCTCACTCTGTCACCCAGGCTGGAGCACAGTGGCACGATCTTGGTTCACTGCAACCCCTGCCTCCCAGGTTTAAACGATTCTCCTGCCTTAGGCTCCTGAGTAGCTGGGATTACAGGTGCTCACCACCACGCCCAGCTAATTTTTGTATTTTTAGTAGAGATGGGGTTTCTTTCTTTTCTTTTTTTCTTTTTTTGTTTTTTTGAGAGGGAGTTTCACTTTGTCACCCAGGCTGGAGTGCAGAGGCACAATCTTGGTTCACTGCAACCTCCACCTCCCATGTTCAAGCAAGTCTTCTGCCTCAGCCTCCTGAGTAGCTGGGACTACAGGCATGCGCCACCATGCCCAGCTACATTTTGTATTTTTAGTAGAGACGGGGTTTCACCATATTGGTCAGTCTGGTCTCGAACTCCTGACCTCGTGATCTGCCCACCTCGGCCTCCCAACGTGCTGAGATTACAGACGTTAGCCACCATGCCTGGCCTACCTTAATACTTGAAGCAGCTTCCTGCCACATGTAGGTATCTTTTCTTTCCTCCCCAGGGAGGGGATGGATTTTGTGGATTTCTGATTTTTTTTTTTTCTTTTGAGACAGAGTTTCACTCTTGTCACCCAGGCTGGAGTGCAATGGCATGATCTCGGCTCACTGCAACCTCCGCCTCCTGAGTTCAAGCAATTCTCCTGCCTCAGCCTCCCAAGTAGCTGGGATTACAGGTGCACGCCACCACAGCCAGCTAATTTTTGTATTTTTTTTTTTTTTTAAGTAGAGATGGGGTTTCACGATGTTGGCTGGTCTGGTCTTAAACTCCTGACCTCAGGTGATCCACCCGCCTCAGCTTCCCAAAGTGCTGGAATTACAGGTGTGTGCCACCATGCCCAGCTTTTTTTTTTTTTTTTTTTTTGACACAGGGTCTTGCTCTGTCTTCCAGGCTGGAATGCACTGGTGCAATCTTGGCTCACTGCAACCTCCGCATCCCAGGCTCAAGTGATCCACACACCTCAGCCTCCCTAGTAGCTGGGACCACAAGCATGCACCACTATGCCCAGCTAATTTTTGTATTTTTGGGTTTCGCCATATTGCCTAGCCTGATCTTGAACTCCTGGACTCAAACAATCCTTTTTCTCAGCCTCCCAAAGTGCTGGGATTACAGGCTTGAGCTACTGTGACCAGCCAGTTCCCGAGATTTTAACACTGGGCTAGAACTAGGTCCTCTGAGTGCTAACAATTATCCTTCACACTTCCAAAATTAGCTCAAAAATGCCCACGCTCTTAAGAACAGGGTCAGGAGCACCTGATCATTTTGAAGAGATAATTTCCTCAGATGAGAAGCCACATAAGTAGTCATTATGTGCATCCCCTCCTGCCTCGTCTTAGAAGCCAAGTATAATTTAATGTATTTTAGGAACTAAAGTTCAAAATGTGAATTTCCCGTGTAGAAAAAAAAAATCTGTCAGAAAGCACTTAGGAAAAGGCATGGCAGTCAGATCAAATAGTGTTCAAAGATCTGTCCTTGGCCCTCTTTTCAGATTTTCCTTGACAATGTCATTCAAACTCGAGCTTGTGATAGAGGATCACTCCCCTGCCTGTGGCAGCAGCCTCGCCCCATCTCTGGAGAGCTGGGTTCCAAGTCTCTACTGCCTACTCGAGACCCATCTATAACACTGTGAAATCAACATATCTCAGAGGGAAGAGACCATGTCTCTGCTCTTCCAGCCAACCCTACCTCCTTATGTCTTGCCTGTGACCCCTACTTGCATTCATGTTACTACCATCCTATTGGTCATCTAGGCTTGAAACCACTAAGTCCGTGATTTTTAACTTTTTTTTTTTCTTGAGACACAGTCTGGCTCCATCACCCAGGCTGGAGTGCAGTGGTGCAATCTCAGCTCACTGCAACCTCTGCCTCCCGGGCTCAAGCCATCCTCCCATCTCATCCTCCCATCTCAGCCTTCCAAGTAGCTGGGACTACAAGCACAATGCTACCACACCTGGCTAATTTTTATATTTTTTGTAGAGATGGGGTTTCACCATATTGCCCAGGCTGGCCTTGAACTTGTGAACTCAAACAATCCACTCACCTCAGCCTCCCAAAATGCTGGGATTACAGGCTCCAGTCACCACACCCGGCCTTCCTTAGCCTTTGTTGAAATCTCAGACACCTTTGAGGTTGGATGGGAGGTATGAACTCTCCCCAGGAAAAGAAGCATTCACACAAATATTTGCTCAAAATTTCAGGAGGTCTTTAGGCCCCCCTAGCTAAGTGATCTTGATTACTCTTTTTTATTTCCTAATAATACCTGCTCAAAAACCTTCAGTGGTGTTTGAGTGGCTCCCCACTATCCATAAAATATGTCCGTGTTTCTTAACTTAGAGCAGACCATGATCTGACTGCAGCTTCTCTTTCTAAAATAAATGGGTTAGGTTGGGCGCTGTGGCTCACGCCTGTAATCCCATCACTTTGGGAGGCTGAGGTGAGTGGATCATTTGAGATCAGAAGTTCGAGCCCAGTCCTGCCAACACGGTGAAACCCTGTCTCTACTAAAAATACAAAAATGTGTTGGGTGTGGTGGTGCATGCCTGTAATCCCAGCTACTGGGGAGGCTGAGGGAGGAGAATCGCTTGAACCCAGGAGGCAGAGGTTGCGGTGAGCCAAGATTGCACTACTGCACTCCAGCCTGGGTAACAGAACGAAACTGTCTCAAAAATTAAAACAAAGCAAAACAAAATAAAACAAAACAAAACAAAACAAAATAAAATAAAATAAAATAAAATAAAATAAAATAAAATAAAATAAAATAGTTAATATGTGCAAAACCCAGTAATGGCACCAGGTGAACTGTGGAAGTGTTAGCTATTACTGCTGTTGTGTCCTGTGTTTCAGCCCACCTAATGTCTCACTTGTCCCTTTACCTTTGCATGTCCTGTGTTCGCTCCCTCTGTGTCTTTTTATTCTCTCCTTGCCAATCATGTGTCCCTAAGTCCCCAAGCCTTCTCAGATCAGTTTCCCTAACTTAAGCCCCCATCCTATAGGAAACTCGATCTCTTCTTCAATATTTCTGAACCCACCCAGGGCTATTTCACCTTCTCCGGAAGTAAGCATTCAGTATATATTAGCTGAATGGTAAGTGGTCATCATGACCATCATAGCTAACCTGTGCCCAATGCTTACTTCTGGGGCTTACCTCCTCCTGCTCTGAATACCTGTCCTGGCTTTTTCTCCAGAGACTCTGGCTGTTGCACAGCTTTAGGAACCCCCCACTCCTTGTCACCACAAACATGGACACAGCCTCCCCCTCCATCTCCCCCACTAACTAACCCGGCAGCCAGAGCCATCTTTTTAAAATGTCATGAATCAGCTCGTCATTCGTCTAATCAGAACCTTTTAATAGCTTCCCGTCATACATAGAATAAAATCCAAATCCCTTCTTTAGCAGCAAACTGTATATCTTCTTGTACCTAGGGAAAGATTTAGGTTTTGTGGGTCCTGGAACTTACACAATTTCGTAAAGAGGGAGGAGCCTCTTTACGAAAAAAAATATAAAATCACAAATATTGTTACTTTTATTTTTATTTATTTTTAATTAATTTTTTTTTTTTTGAGACAGAGTCTAACTCTGTTGCCCAGGCTGGAGTGCAGTGACACGATCTCAGCTTATTGCAACCTCCGCCTCCCAGGCTTAAGCGATTCTTCTGCCTCAGCCTCCCAAGTAGCTGGGATTACAGGTACACACCACCATACCCAGCTAATTTTTATATTTTTAGTAGAGACAGGGTTTTGCCATTTGGTCAGGCTGGTCTCGAACTCCTGACCTCAGGTGATCCACCCGCCTCGGCCTCCCAAAGTGCTGAGATTATAGGTGTGAGCCACTGCGCCCGGCCTAAACACAAATAAAACACTAAATTGAAAATGAATATTTAGCTGGGCACAGTGGCTCACGCCTGTAATTCTGGCACTTTGGGAGGCTGAGGTGGGAAAATTGCTTAAGCCTAGGAGTTCGAGACCAGCCTGGGCAATGCAGGGAGACCCTGTCTCAAATAAAAAGCAAATAAATTAGTTGAGTATAGTAGTATGTCCCTGTAGTCCCAGCAACTGGGGAGGCTGAGGCAGGGGGATCCCTTGAGCTTGGGAGATCCAGGCTGTAGTGAGCTATGATTGTGCCACTGCATCCCAGCCTGGGCAACAGAGCTAGACCCTGTCTCAAAAAAAAAAAAGAAAAGAAAGAAAATGAATATTTGTTTAGAATCCAAGAAGAAACCACAATAAATTTCAAATTTTCAAAAACTTGCAAAAAATATCACCAAGTTTAGGAAAATAACCATAATTATATATTTATTACTATATTATATATTTATTACTACATATATAAGTATGTAATTTTTTAAAATGAAACAGGGTCTCACTCTGATGCCCAGGCTGGTCTTGTACTCCTGGGCTCAAGCAATCCTCCCACCTCAGCCTACCAAAGTGATGGGATTACAGGTGTGAGCCACTGCACACAGCCCAAAATATATTTTTTATGAATTAACTTATTAACACAACTAAAATACTTTTTGCTACATTTTTTCACTAGTCTTTGTCTCTTCATATGACAATTTAAAATATCTTTTTTTTGTTTTTTCATAGCTTACTGCAACCTCAAACTCCTGGGCTCAAGTGATCCTCCTGTCTCAGCCTCTTGAGTAGCTGGGACTACAGGTGTGTGCCACCACACCCAGCTAGTTTATTTCATTTTATTTTTAGTAGAGACGAGGTCTCACTAGGTTACCCAAGCTGGTCTCAAACTTCTGGGCTCAAGCAATCCTCCCGCCTCGGCCTCCCAAGGTGCTGGGATGGCAGGCATGAGTCACCATGCCCAGCCTAAATATCATTTTTAATTTCATTTTCTAAGGAAAGGGTAGAAAGATAATTCTCTGTCCTCCAGCATGGTTGCTTGAAATTTGTTTGTTTGTTTGTTTGTTTGTTTGTTTGTTTTTTGAGACGGAGTTTCACTCTTGTTGCCCAGGCTGGAGTACAATGACGCGATCTTGGCTCACTGCAACCTCCGCCTCCCAGGTTCAAGCTATTCTCCTGCCTCAGCCTCCCGAGTAGCTGGGACTACAGGCATGCGCCACCATGCCCGGCTAATTTTGTATTTTTAGTAGAGATGGGGTTTCTCCATGTTGGTCAGGCTGGTCTCGAACTTCCTGACCTCAAGTGATCTGCCTGCCTCAGCCTCCCAAAGTGTTGGGATTACAGGCGTGAGCCACCACACCCGGCTGAAATTTGGTTTTTATGATATTTTAAAAGAGTGTCTTTCAACTACATGATTCATTATTATGTAAAATTTTAGGACTGTTGTTAAAACCTCTATCAATTTTCTATCCCAAATGAGCTGTAAGATTTTAGGGCATTTCATGTTTTCTTGTTAAGATTAATCTTAAGTATTCTTTGATTTGACAATAACCATTATGAGTTGGTTGTTGAAGTCCTTGTTTTAGTGGTGAATCCTCAGTGTTATGTGACTTTTACTGATGTCAATATTTTGTGTTAAATCAGCAAGAACTCAAAATCTTTTTCTTAGGGGTTCCTATCTTTCCCTTATCTTCATTAATGGTATTATCCAGCAAGCTAGAAGCTTATTTATTACCTCTATTCAAGTGTTGTCTCTTCCTCTTAACACTAGTACTTTCTGTAGAATCTGAACTTTTTGTTGTTAATTCTTTTCTTGATGTTGGAGTATGTACTAATCACATATCTTCATCACTTTTGTTTTAATCACATATCTTCATCACTTTTGTTTTATATTCTACTGATTTTTTTCACCCTGTCTTGTTTTTTGTTTTTTTGTTTGTTTGTTTTTTGAGATGGAGTCTCACTCTGTCTCTCAGGCTGGAGTACCGTGGCACGATCTCAGCTCACTGCAACCTCCGCCTCCTGGGTTCAAGTGATTCTCCTCCCTCAGCCTCCCAAGTAGCTGGGATTACAGGCACACAGTACCACGCCTGGCTAATTTTTGTATTTTTAGTAGAGATGGGGTTTCATCATGTCGGCCAGGCTGGTTTCAAACTCCTGACCTCGGGATCTGCCTGCCTTGGCCTCCCAGAGTGATGGGATTACAGGCGTGAGCCACTGTGCCCAGCCCTCACCCTGTCTTATGGTGCTGATAGTCTATTAATTTTTAATCTGAAATTTTTACAGTTTCTTAATAAATAAATGTAAAAATTTCAACACAAGGTACCCTTCATATTCAAGTCAGGAGTCTGTGGCTTCTAGCTTTTTGGTTGACATGTTACAAAATGTCATTTCATTTGCTTCATGGGTAAAAATCAACCTCGCATTCCAGTGCATGTTCCCAGCCTCCCCCATGGCATGCTGCAGCCACCTGGCCATTGGGTTCTTTGAACAAGCCAAGCTTGTTCCAGCCTTGGGGCCTTTGTACTGTTCGAGATCTTTCCCTAGAATGCTCTTTCCTCCAGATCTTTACTTACCTAGCTGCTGATTACCATTCAGACCTCAAATGGTAAAAGTTCTGGGATTACAGGTGTGAGCCACTTCTTCAGAGAGGCCTTTCCTGGCCATCCTGGTCTTAAGTAGCCACCAGTGCTATTATATCAACCTACTTGAAAGCTTTACAATGCAATTATTGCTATCTATCATCTGTTTATCTTTCTGTTTCCCTCACTAGAATGTAAGCCCATGAAAACAGAAACCTGATCAGTCTTTTTTTTTTTTTTTTTTTTTTTTTCTGAGATGGAGTCTCGCTCAGTCACCTAGGCTGGAGTGCAGTGGAACAATCTCAGCTCACTGCAACCTCTGTCTCCTGGGTTCAAGCGACTCTCCTACCTCAGCCTCCCGAGTAGCTGGGATTACAGGTGCACACCACCACGTCCAGCTAATTTTTGTATTTGTGGTAGAGACGGGGTTTCACCATGTTGGCCAGGCTGGTCTCAAATTCCTGACCTCAAGTGATCTGCCCCCCTCGGCCCCCCAAAGTGCTGGGATTACAGGTGTGAGTTGCTGCGCCCAGCCTATTTTGGATAACGGAAGTGTTTAATAGGTACCGCCATTGCTGAAGTCGGTTGGCTCCTGCCATGGGGAATTTGGTAACTGGCCTGCTCTTCTTGACCCACAACATGTTGCCCTTTGCTAACTTCTCTTTTTCATAGAATTTCATTGCCTCCTTCCTCCTTTGAGTTCTAAGCCTCCTGAACTTCTGTTCTGAGGCCTGCCCGAAGGACACAAATATCATTTGACATTGCAACAACATCTCTGTCTCAAGAAAGACACAGATTTATTGGCTTCTCCAGAGGAATTCAGCTTCCTCTGGACTTCTACTTTCCCTCTCTTCCCTAGGGCTTGCGTTTCATAACCAAAAGACCCATCCATGATTTCTCCTAAAACAAGAGGAATTCTGTAGCATTCCTCATAATGTGAAAACTGTTGCCATCAAAAAATTTTTTAAATACAGGTAGTAATTTTCCCTTCCTTTGACACTTATTTCTTCACATCCAATTTTTTCCTCCAGTCTCTCCAGTCCCAAGTATGAGGACTACCTTTTCCACAAGGCCTTTCCCAACTTTCCAAGTCAAAAATAAATCTTTTCTTGAACTTCAGTTGTACTTTTTCTGTATGTGCCTTATACTTACTGCTTTCCATATTGTTTCTTTATATACATATCTTATCTCCCCTGTAACATTTGAAACTCCTTAAGATCTGTGTTTGGTTGATAGGGCACAGTGCCTTGAAAACAGTGGATGCTGGCTTTAGGGTTAATCGTGACCATCTAGAAGATCTCAAGGATACCCCCAAATAGTGCTAGGATCTTCTCAGCTGACACAGTTTCCACTTCCTGGAGAAATGAAACTGGGATGATCTTGGAAAACACTTTCACTTGTAAGTGGGCCAAGTGATTTGAATCTCCTCGCCATTTACTTAGTGTTAAAAGATACCCTTCAGAACTGGGAGTCAGCTTTGGAGAAGATCTGCTAGTGAACAGGTGTTTTTTAATTTATTTTTATTTGTGTGTGTGTGAGACAGGGTCTCATTCTGTTGCCCAGGCTGGAGTGCAGTGGCATAATCATGGCTTACTGCAGCCTCGACCTCCCTGGGCTCAAGGGATCCACCAATCTCAGCCTCCTGAGTAGCTGGGATTACAGGTTCCTGCAACCATGCCCAGCTAATTTTTGTATTTTTAGTAGAGACAGGGTTTCATCATGTTGCTCAGGCTGGTCTCGAACTCGTGACCTCAAGCAATTCACCTGCCTCTGCCTTGCAAAGTGCTGGGATTACAGGCATGAACCACCAAGCCTGGCCTGTATTTTTTTAAATGACATTAAAATTTATTAACAAAGGGGATTCACTTCATTTTCGTACTAGAATGGGAACTTAAGAAAATGGATATAGGATGGGAATATCATTAAATACTAAGCAAAATAACCCTGGAAAGTAGAATATCTATATAGATTACTGGAACAGGAGTTGAAGAGAAGAAACCCAGTATTTGCTCAGATAGAGATATGCAGAATAAATAATAATGAGGAGGAAGAGGAAAAGAAGTATTTATTGAGTTATTTGTATGTGCTGGGTACTACAGGTACATTATCTCATTAATCCAGCAAGCGTTAAGAGACTGAATGTTTGTGTTTCCCCAAAATTCATATGTTGAACTCTAAACCCCCAGTGTGATGGTGTTAGGAGGTAGGGCCTTTCGGAGGTGATGAGGTGATGAGGGTAAAGCCATCATGAATGAGATTAGTGCCCTTAGCAAAGAGACCCAGAGATCTCTCCAGCCCTCTTTCTGCCATATGAGGGAGGATACAAGCAGAGGTCAGCAGGCTGCAACCCAGAAGAGGGCCCTGCCCAGAGCCTGACCCTGCTGGCACCCTGATCTCAGACTTCTCGCCTCCAGAACTGTGAGAAATAACACTGTTGCTTCTAAGCCACTTAGTCTATGGTAGTTTCTATAGCAGCCTGAACCAAGACAGGTAGGAAATATTCATTACACAGGTCACTAGATAGAGATGACTCAGAATGTAAGTCATGGAGCTGGGATTCAAACCCAGTCCTGTCTATTTCCAGGGCACAAGTTCTCAAGTGCTCAGTGGGCAAACCCTGTTAGAAAGGAGTGGGCTCCCAGAAACTAAAGACGCCAGGACAGGTCAAGGCCCCTCTCCCTAGCACTGCTGCCAGCAGCTGCAGGCATCCCAATCCCCCTGCTCAGCCTCCCCAAAGAGCAAAGCTCGCTGCATGCCTAGGGGAGTGGGGGCAGAGAGAGGCGTCACCACCAAGGCTGAGAGGGAAGAAAGGGACCTTACTGTGTTCACAGTGTTAGGTGATGTTGGCTGGAATTGTTTGCCTTCGCCTCTAGCTGGAAAAATGGAATTTGCAGGCAGAGGTATTGTAGGATCTGCAGCTGTGTGCCAGGAACAGCACTATTGAGTCATGATGACACGAAACAGCCCAGTTTTAAAGAATGTTTTAGGTTCTGTTTCTTTTTTTTTTTTCTTTTTATTATTTTTTTTGAGACAGAGTTTCACTCTTGTCATTCAGGCTGGAGTGCAGTGGTACGATCTCGGCTCACTGCAACCTCTGCCTCCCGGGTTCAAGCAATTCTCCTGCCTCAGCCACCCGAGTAGCCGGGATTACAGGCACCTGCCACCATGCCCAGCTAATTTTTTGTATGTTTAGTAGAGACGGGGTTTCACCACATTGGCCAGGCTGGTCTCGAACTCCTGACTTCAGGTGATCTGCCCACCTCGGCCTCCCAAAGTGCTGGGATTACAGGCGTGAGCCACCGTGCCTGGCCTAGGTTCTGTTTCTGTTGTGACATTCTCACTAAGAGCCAGACACTGTGCTAAGAGTGATACAGGCATTATCTCATGTAATGTTTACAACAGCCCTTGTGACACCAGGGTTGTATTAACTGATAAACAACTAAACTTTGGAGAGATTAAGGAATTGTCCCCCAGGTCTTGCCGCTAGAAAAATTCATTTAGCAGGGAGTGGTGGCTGATGCCTATAGTCCTAGCTACTCTGGAGGCTGAGGAGGATGATCTCTTGAACCCAGGAATTTGAGTACATCTTAGGCAAGATAGTGACACCCTGTCTCTTAAAAAAAGAAAAAAAAGGCCAGGCACAGTGGCTCACGCCTGTAATCCCAGCACTTTGGGAGGCCGAGGCGGGTGGATCACGAGGTCAGGAGATCGAGACCATCCTGGCTAACACGGTGAAACCCCGTCTCTACTAAAAAAGTACAAAAAAATTAGCCAGGCGTGGTGGCAGGCGCCTGTAGTCCCCGCTACTCGGGAGGCTGAGGCAGGAGAACGGCGTCAACCCAGGAGGCAGAGTTTGCAGTGAACCAAGATCGCACCACTGCACTCCAGCCTGGGCGATAGAGCGAGACTCTGTCTCCAAAAAAAAAAAAAGAAAGAAAAAAATGTAGCAAGTGGAACCCAGGTCTATTAGGAATTTTATTGCTCTCTCTGCTAACTCCTCATGAAGTTGTAGCTCACCCTAATCTCTGTCAAAATGCTCACGTGATCCAGCTTAGAAATATCCAGCCATTGAGGCTGGGTGCGGTGGCTTATACCTGTAATCCCAGCACTTTGGGAGGCTGAGCTGGGTGGATCACTTGAGGTTAGGTGTTCGAGACCAACCTACCAAAATGGTGAAACCCCGTCTCTACTAAAATACAAAAATTAGCCAGGCATGGTGGTGTGCGTCTGTAGTCCCAGCTACTTGGGAGGCTGAGGTATGAGAATCGCTTGAACCCGGGAGGCAGAGGTTGCAGTGAGCCAAAATTGTGCCACTGCACTCCAGCCTGGGCAACAGAGGAAGACTCTGTCTCCAAAAAAAAAAAAGAAAAAAAAAAGAAATATCCAGCACAGCCTGGGCACAGTAGCTCACATCTATAATCCCAGCACTTCAGGAGGCCAAGGCAGGAGGATCACTTGAGGCTAGGAGTTCAAGACCAACCTGGGCAACATAGCAAGACCCCCGTCTCTACAAAATTAAAACATTAGCTAGGCATGGTGGAGTGTGCCTGTAGTCCTAGCTACTATGGAGGCTGAAGTGGGAGGATAGCTTAAGCCCAGGAGGTTGAGGCTGCAATGAGCCACAACTGTGTCACTGCACTCCAGACTTGGTGACACAGTGAGACCCAGTCTAAAAAAAAAGAAAAAGAAAATCCCAGCTACAGTCTTTGTACCAGCAGTACCTAACAAAGTGTTTTCTACATAGAAACTGAATTGAAGGTTGGGCAACTGAGCGAGACCCTGTCTCAAAAAAATAAAAATAAACAACTTTTTGGTAGCTTAAATAGTATGAAAAAAAGGAAACAGGCAGGCAGGGTGTGGTGGCTCACGCCTGTAATCCCAACACTTTGGGAAGCCGAGGCGGGTGGATCACCTGAGGTCAGGAGTTTGAGACCAGCCTGGCCAACATGGTGAAACCCCGTCTCTACTAAAAATACAAAAATTAGCCAGGTGTGGTGGCAGGCGCCTGTAATCCCAGCTACTCGGGAAGCTGAGGCAGGAGAATTGCTTGAACCCGGGAGGCAGAGGTTGCAGTGAGTCGAGATCGCGCCATCGCACTCCAGCCCGGGGGACAAGAGCGAGACTTCGTCTCAAAAAAAAAAAAAAAAAAGAAAGAAACTGAATTGAATTAAAAGATGCTGACAGATCTCTTTAATTATAGATGTCAATGTGATCTTTCACAAGCACACTGAAAAATTCACACCGTGGAAAAGAACTAAAGTCCCATCCTAATTCATCAGAGCCTTCTGTTTCCTGTAACAAAGAAGAACTCACAAGATCAGGATTCCAAGGTGATGCGTTTTTCTCTGACTAAAAGTACAAATGAGTCAGATGCTGTAATTGCTGCTGGAGATAGTAGTTAGGTAGGCACGTGTGGCTTCGTGAACAGCTTCCTCCTCAATGCTTCCCCTGCAGTGATGGGAAGAGTCTCAGCTGCCTGCTTTGGCTCCCCCTGTATCCCAGCAGCTAACAGTCCCTGGCAGGTAGGAAGCTCTAGGTAAATCGGTGTGGAAGGTCATTGGGCTGTTCTTAGGGTACTGGGACTGGGAAAAGTAATTCATGTTTATTGAGCACCCACCGCGCATCAGTACTAAGCTAAGTGATGGGGGTACAAAGGTGACTTCAGGACAGCTACACCATTTGCAGCGCCCAGTGCAGAATGATGAGGGGCACCTACATTTTATTCAGATACCGTAGTATTAAAAATTTCAAGACAGTGACAGCAGGGCATTGAACAAAGTGTGGGGTCCTTCTGATCATAGGGTCTTGTGAGACTGCACAGCTTACATGATCGGAAAGTTGGCCACGTGTGAAATACATATATATATATTTTTTTTTAATTTTATTTTTTTTAGAGATGGGGTTTTGCTATGTTGCCCAGATTGGTCTCAAACTCATGGCCTCAAGCAATCCTCCCTCCTTGGCCTCTCGAAATACTGGTATTATAGATGTGAGCCACAGTGCCTGGCCTATTCTTGATTTTTATTATTACTATTATTTTTAGGGACTGGGTCTCACTCTGTCACCCAGGCTGGAGTGCAGTGACATGATCATAGCTCACTGCAGTCTCTAACTTCTGGGATCAAGCGATCCTCCCACCTCAGCCTCCCAAGTAGCTGGGACTATAGGCATGCATCACCACACTGGGCTATCCCTGGATGAATTAGAAAGTTTCTGTCATCCCAGGGGTCTCAGTTCAGTGGACAAGACAGACAAAGACATACACAATGATAATTTGGTGTGATAACTATGTGTGTTTCAGGGGAGGAGAGCAAAGACTCACTTAGACCTCACACAGACATTATAATCATTTTTTTAATCTAAAATATTTTTTATCTATTTCTTGTTTAACAGATTTACTGAAACATAATTTGCCTACCATACCATTCTATTCTTTCATTTAAAGTGTACCATTCACTTGTTTTTAGTCTATTCACAGAGTTGTGCAACCAGTACCACGATACATTTTAGAGCATTTTATCACTCCCAAAAGCAACCCCATACCCATTAGCAGTCACATCCATTTTCCTCCATTTCTCCCAGTCCCTGGAAACCACTAATCTACTTTCTGTCTCCATGGATTTGCCTGTTCTGGACATTTCACATAAATGGAATGATACAATATGCTTTTATGACTGTCTTCTTTTGCTTAGCATAATATTTTCAAGGTTCATCCATGTCATAGCATCAGTATTCTATTTCTTTTTGTTGCCAAATAATATTCTACTGCACGGATATACTGCATTTTATGTGTCCATTCACCAGCTGATGAATATTTGGGTCTTTTTCCACTTTTTGGCTATTAAAAATAATGCTGCAGCCAGGCACAATGGCTCATGTCTGTAATCCCAGCACTTTGGGAGGCTGAAACAGGAGGATTGCTTGAGTCCAAGAGTTTGAGACCAGCCAAAGCAACATAGTAAGACCCCATCTCTATAAAAAATAATTAGTTGGGCTTGGGGCCAGGTGCGGTGGCTTGCGCCTGTAATTCCAGCACTTTGGGAGGCCGAGGCGGGCAGATTACCTGAGGTTAGGGGTTCAAGACCAGCCTCACCAACATGGTAAAATCCCATCTCTACTAAAAATACAAATATTAGCCTGGTGTGGTGGTGCACACCTAGAGTCCCAGCTACTCGGGAGTCTGAGGCAGGAGAATCGCTTGAACCTGGGAGGTGGGGGTTGCAGTGAGCCGAGATTGTGCCACTGAACTCCAGCCTGGGCAACAGAGTGAGACTCTGTCTCAAAAAAAAAAAAAAAAATTTAGTTGGGCTCAGTGATGTGAGCCTGTATTCTCAGCTACTTGGGAGGCTAAGGTGCGAGGATTGCTTGAACCCAGGAGGTCAGTCAAGACTGCAATAAGCCATGATTGCACCACTGCACTCCGGCCTAGACGACAGAGCAAGACATTGTCTCAAATAAATAATAATAATGCTGCTATGAATATCCATGTCAAGTTTTTGTGTGGGCATGTTTTTATTTCTTTTTCAGGTATATATCTAGAAGTGGAAGTGCTGGGTTATACGGTATGTTAGTCCGTTTGTATTGCTATAAAGGAATACCTGTGGCTGGGTAATTATAAAGAAAAAGGGTTTATTTTGGCTCATGGTCCTGCAGGCTGTACAGGAAGCATGGTGCCGAAGCTGGTGGGGGCCTCAGGGAGCTTATGATCATGGCGGGGTGAAGGAGGAGCAGGTACGTCACACAGTGAAAGAAGGAGTAAGGGCTGGAGAGGTGCCACGGTCCCCCAAACAACCAGATCTTGAGTCAACTCATAGAGTGAGAACTCGCTCATTACTGTGAAAACAACACCAAGCCATTCATGAAGGATACGACCCCATGACCCAAACACCTCCAGTTAAGGAGGGCCTTCCAATCACCTCCCAACATTGGAGGCCACATTTCAACGTGAGATTCAGAGAGGACAAAACATCCAAACCATACCATATGGTAACTCCATGTTATTGTATTTTTTTAAATAAGAACTTCATTGAGATAGAATTCACATAAAATATACCCTCTTGAAATGTACAATTCAGTGGTTTTTAGTATATTTACAAAATTGTGCAACCATTATCATCTAATTCTAGATCATTTTCCTCACCCACCCCCCCACCAAAAAAAATCCCCACATCCCTGAGGCAGTCAACTCCCATTCTCCACTTCCTGCAGGACCTGGCAATCACTCATCTATTTTCTGTCTCTATGGATTTGCCTATTCTAGACATTTCAGAGAAATGGAGTCATAGAATATATGACCTTTTGGCCAGGCGTCGTGGCTCTCGCCTGTAATCCCAGCACTTTGGGAGGCCAAGGCTGGTGGATTACCTGAGGTCAGGAGTTCGAGACCAGCCTGGCCAACATGGCGAAACCCTGTCTCTACTAAAAATACAAAAATTAGCAGGGAGTGGTGGCACATGCCTGTAGTCCCAGCTACTCAGGAGGTTGAGGCAGGATAATCGCTTCAACCCAGGAGGCAGAGGTTGCAGTGAGCCGAGATTGTGCCATTGTACTCCAGCCTGGGTGACAGAGTGAGACTCAGTCTCAAAAAATAATAAGAAGAATTTAAAAAAATAATATGTGATCTTTTGTGTCTAGCTTCTTTCACTTAGCATAATATTTCCAAGATTCATCCATGTTGGAGCATATATATATATGTGTGTATGTATAATGTCCTTTTTATAGATGACGAAATCAGGACTCTTGGAAGCTAAATGATTTACTGGAAGTCACACAAGTGGCAAGTAGCAGTATTAAGGTGACCAACCCATCCCAGTTCACCCAGGACTATCCCAATTTTAACACTGAAAGTCCCATGTCGTGGGAAACCCCTTAGTCCTGGGCAAACCAGGACACCTGGTCACCCTAGTTGGGATTCAGTAAAAGGTGAAAGAGAACCAGTGTATTCCTAGTTAGGATTCAGAATTGGTGTGCCTGAAATGCATACCAATTGTGAATACTAACTAGGAATACTTGAAATGGCTTCGTGTGATTAAAAGGTGCAGTATTCTTCAGGTGAAACCAAACCAGCATATCCTAGAATAATAGAAAATTTGGACATTATCTCAATATTCCCTAAATCCATCTCTATGCTTCTTTCATTTATTTATCTAAGTCTCCACTTTAGTATTTCCCAAATTGTCCCCTAACTCCTACTCGACTGTTTTTTCCCACAATTTATTTACTTATTATGTTTAGTGTCTCTGTCTGTCTCTCCCCCCCGGAATATAAGCTTCACAGGACCAGAGATCTCTGTTTTGTTCATTCAAGTATCCTAATTGTCTAAAATCATGTCTGGCTTGTAGTAGGCCAGACTCAAATAATCTTTACTGAATAATGCTTATGTGATACCTACAGCTTGTGTCAGAATGTCTAGCTAGTACATCTTAATATCTACCAGAAGAATAACAGTTACAATAAAATTCCGAGGCATAGTATGAAGTTTCTATTTTGGGAAAGTTTTACACTTCCAAACAAGCTGGAATAATAGTTCAATAAACATCCTAAACCTTTTACATAGATTTACCAATCATTAACATTTCACCACATTTTCTGCTACACACACACAGAACACTTTTTTTTTTTTTGAGTCTCGCTCTGTCACCTGGGCTGGAGTGCAGTGGCATGATCTTGGCTCACTGCAACCTCTGCCTCCCAGGTTCAAGTGATTCTCCTGCCTCAGCCTCCCGAGTAGCTGGGATTACAGGATCCCACCACCATGCCTGGCTAATTTTTTGTATTTTTAGTAGAGACGGGGTTTCACTATGTTGGCCAGGCTGGTCTCGAACACCTGACCTCGTGATCCACCAGCCTTGGCCTCCCAAAGTGCTGGGATTCCAGGCATGAGCCACCGTGCCCGGCCAGCACACTTTTTTAAAGGTAGTATGCAGCTGTCGTGACACCTCACCCCTAAATATCTCATTACAGATCTCCTAGGAAAAGGTCATTCTAGTATATAACCACAATAACACTCACTACAATCAGAATAAGAAAATTAACATCACTTCAAGAAGACAATTTAATATACTATCTCCAATGATCTTAAAAATGTCTTATCTAGCAGGCTTTCCCCCTCCCATCCAGGATCTACTCAAGGTTTACATATGGTATCTGGTTATCTCCTTGGTCTCTCTTAGTCTCAGAAAATCCCCACCTTTTGGTGTTTTCCATGACATTGAACTTTTTTAGAATCCAGGCCAGTTATCTTGCAGATTTTTTCCAGATTCTGAATTTCCTTGATTGTTCCCTTATGTTTATTTTCAGGTTAAACAATTCCAGCAGAATTCTATATATGGGTGTTGTGTATCTCTTAGTGCATTATAACAGGAGGCCATCCATTGTTTTACTATTAGTGATGCCAAGTTTGATTGCTTGGTTAAGAGGGTATTCACCAGATCTCTCCATGGTAAAGATACATTTTCCCTTTGAATTTATTAATTTTTTATTTTGAGGCGGAGTCTCACTCTATTGCCCAGGCTGGAGTGCTGGAGTGCAGTGGCACGATCTCAGCTTACTGCAACCTCCACCTGCCGGGTTCAAGCAATTCTCCTGCCTCAGCCTCCCAAGTAGCTGGGATTACAGGCGTGTGCTACCACAGCTGGCTAAGTTTTGTATTTTTAGTAGAGACAGGGTTTCACCATGTTAGCAAGGCTGGTCTCGAACTCCTGACCTCAGGTGATCCGCCCACCTCAGCCTCGCAAAGTGTTGGGATTACAGGTGTGAGCCACCATGCCTGGCCTGAATTTATTAATTGATCTCTGGGGTGCAACTCTGGAACCATGTAATTATCCTATTCCCCAACATCCTTTCACTCAATGATAAAATCATTGATGATAGCCAAACTGAATCAATGATTACATTGGCAGTTACAAACTCAAATTCTATCATTTGTCTACATTTATTAGCTGGCATGCTTCTGAATCACTGTGAATTCATAAGTCTTTTACATTTCATTTAACATGTTATAATCCATTATTTTTTGATGTACAAAATACATCAAATTGTCCTAAATTTGGCAAGTGGGAGCTCTGATGTTTGAAAGATCTTTATAATCATCTAACGTATATGTCACAAAACATGATGAGTTTGGAGGACATAAAACTCTAAAATGTAGCCAGGCATGGTGGCTCACACCTGTACTCTCAGCACTTTGGTAGGCCGAGGCGGGCGGATCACATGAGGTCAGGAGTTCAAGACCAGCCTGGGCAACATGGTGAAACCCCATCTCTACTAAAAATACAAAAATTACCCTGGTATGGTGGCGGGCACCTGTAATCCCAGCTATCTGAGAGGCTGAGGAAGGAGAATCGCTTGAACTCGGGAGGTGGAGGTTGCAGTGAACCAAGATTGTGCCACTGCACTCCAGCCTGGGCAATAGAGCAAGACTCTATCTCAAAAAAATTAAAAAACTCTAAAATATAGACTATAGTCATATATATATATAATTTATTTTCATTTTCATTTATTTATTTTTTTGAGACAGGGTCTTGCTCTGTCCCCCAGGCTGGAGTGCAGTGGCACCATCTTGGCTCACTGCAGCCTCCATCTCCCGGACTCAAGCGATCCTCCCACCTCAGCCTCCCAAATAGCAGGGACTACAGGCACAAGCCACCATCCCAGGCTAATTTTGTATTTTTTGTGGAGACAGGGTTTCACTATATTGCGCAGGCTGGTCTTGAACTCCTGGGCTCAGGCAATCCTCTAGCCTTGACCTCCCAAAGTGCTGGGATTACAGGTGTGAGTCACCATGCCCGGCCCTATTTATATATTTTTAAACACATTTTGGATAGCGTGTTGGCATAAAATGTTTGCTACCTAAAACAAGTTCAAAAAAATCTGTTGACAATCGCTTTGATTTTCTTAGCTGTATTACAGAACATTTTCTTTGAACTTGATGTTGATGTATTGTAATAAGACTTCTTCCTAAGAAACTCAATGGATTTTGATCTTTATATGTTATTTGAGTTTGTAACAAGATTTTAAATAATGTTAACTTCAACTTTTTAAAGTGGCACAGGAAGAGGGGGAGTTAATACAACTGCATTGCATGCCAGATCGCTGTTGCGTTTTCATTTCCTGAGCAATGTTGATGGACTGTGAAAATAGGAGGAAACTCTAAATAGCCCCAAATAGAAAGGCTTAGGGTTAGGTTGCAGGTAATAGAAAGCCAGATAATAATGGTTTTACTCCATGGGGACTGTATTTTTTCTCATGTAATAAGAAACCCAAAGGTATTCCACTCAGGGCTAGTGATGCTGCTCAATGATATCATTAAAGCTTCCTCTTTCTCTCCACTCCACCATCCTTAGTTTGTTGTTTTTGTCCTTGCGGTCACAAAATGGTTGCCGAACCTCTAAGCTATTGCATCTGTGTTCTAGGTCAGGAAGAAGAGGGAAGGGTCATGAGGCCAAATGGAAGCATCCCTATTCAGAAATTTTTGCTGGGCGCGGTGGCTCACGCTTGTAATCCCAGCACTTTGGGAGGCTGACACGGGCGGATCACGAGGTCAGGAGATCAAGACCATCCTGGCTAACACGGTGAAACCCCATCTCTACTAAAAAATACAAAAAATTAGCCAGGCATGGTGGCGGGCGCCTGTAGTCCCAGCTACCTGGGAGGCTGAGGCAGGAAGATCGCTGGAACCCAGGAGGTGGAGGTTGCGGTCAGCCAAGATCCCACCATTGTGCTCCAGCCTGGGTGACAGAGCAAGACTCTGTCTCCAAAATAAATAAATAAATGAATAAATAAATAAATAAATAAAATGATATACTGCTTCATTTGCTCTCTTTAGAACATATTTTTGAAAGTTCCAGGTAGGAAGTTCTAGGACTCTGGAAACAATCAAGTGTACTCAGCTTCATGTTGCCTCTTCACTACAGTTTCTTTTCTTTTCTCTTTTTTTTTTTTTTTTTTTGAGACGGAGTCTCTGTGATCCAGGCTGGAGTGCAGTGGCACAATCTTAGCTCACTGCAGCCTCCATGTCTCAGGTTCAAGCAATGCTCCTGCCTCAGCCTCCTGAGTTGCTGGGACTACAGGTGCATGCCACCATGCCCAGCTTTTTTTTTTTTTTTTTTTTCAGTAGAGACGGGGTTTCACCATGTTGACCAGTCTGGTCTCGAACACCTGATCTTTGGTGAGCCGCCCTCCTTGGCCTCCCAAAGTGCTGGGATTACAGGCATGAATCACCGTGCCTGGCCGCTTTTCTTTTTTTTTTTTTTCTTTTGAGACAGGGTCTTGCTCTGCCACCCAGGCTGGAGTGCAGTGGCACAATCTTGGCTCACTGCAACCTCTGCCTCCTAGACTCAAGCGATCCTCCCACCTGAGCCTCCTGAGTAGCTGGGACTACAGGTGAGAGCCACACAACAGATTCAAGTCCAACCAAAACACAGAGAAATCGAACCACTCCACTGAAGTAACTATTGTAGTCAAAAATATGATGTTTTTGGCCAGCCATGGTGGCCCACACCTGTAAACCCACCACTATGGGAGTCTGAGGCAGAAGGATCAATTGAGCCCAGAAGTTTGAGACCGGCCTGGGCAACACGGCGAAACCCTGTCTCTACAAAAAAATACAAAATTAGCCAGACGTGGTGATGCATGCCTATAGTCCCAGCTACTTGGGAGCCTGAGGGGAGGATCGCTTGAGTCCAGGAGGTTGAGGCTGCAGTGAGCCATGATGGAGCCACTGCATTCCAGCCTGGGTGACAAGTGAGACCCTGTATCAAAAAAAAAAAAAAAAAAAAATCAGTGTTGTCACCCAAAATATAACGTAAAAACCATAGCAATATTACTCTAATTCCTTGTCTTAGTAGGCAAAATATAAACATGTAAATATTTAAAAATAAAACTGTTGCATTAGGCTGCAAGCTCTCTTAAATCTTCTACATCTGAGATTGGCAAACTATGGCTTACAGGCCAAATTTGGACTGCTGCCTGTTGTAAATAAAGTTTTATTAGAACGCAGCCATATCCATTAGTTTATGTATTGGCTAAGACTGCTTTGTGACTACAAAGGCAGATCTGAATAGTTGTGATGGAGACTGAATGGACCTCAAAGCCTAAAATACTTACTATTTGGGCTGGGCATCATAGCTCATACCTGTAATCTCAGCACTTTCGGAGGCCAAGGCAAGTGGATCACCCGAGGTCAGGAGATCAAGACCAGCCTGGCCAACATGGTGAAACCCCGTCTCTACTAAAAAGACAAAAATTAGCTGGGCGTGGTGGTGGGCACCTGTAATCCCAGCTATTCAGAAGGCTGAGGCAGGAGAATCGCTTGAACCCAGAAGGTGGAGGTTGCAGTGAGCTGAGAACGTACCACTATACTCCAGCTGGGGAGACAGACTGGGACTGTGTCTCAAAAAACAAAGAAAAAAGAAATAAAGTAAATACAATCTGACACTTTTTATAGGAAAAGTTTTATTTATCTTTTTAAATTTTTATTTTTTTATTTTTATTTTATTTTATGTATTTTTTTTTTTTGAGACAGTCTCACTCTGTTGCCCAGGCTGGAGTGCAGTGGCACAATCTCAGCTCACTGCAACCTCCGCCTCCCGGGTTCAAGTAGTTCTCCCTGCCTCAGCCTCCCGAGTAGCTGGGATTACAGGGGCCCACCACCATGCCCAGCTAATCACCTGACCTCAGGTGATTCACCTGCCTTAGCCTCCCAAAGTGCTGGGATTACAGGCGTGAGCCACGGCACCCAGCCTATTTATTTATTTATTTATTTATTTATTTATTTATTTATTTTTAAGACAGGGTCTTGCTCTGTCATCCAGGCTAGAGTGCAACGGCACCATCATGGCTCACTGCAGCCTTGACCTCCTGGGCTCAAGTAGTCTTCCTGCCTCAGCCTCCCAAGTGGCTGGAACTACAGGCATGCACCACCACATCCAGCTAATTTTTAAAATTTTTTGTAAGATGAAGATGAAGAGATGAAGTCTTCCTGAGTTGCCCAGGCTCTTCTCGAACTCCTGGGCTCAAACAATCCTCCCGCCTCAGCCTCCTAAACTGCTGGGATTACAGGTGTGAGCCACGGCACCCAGCCTATTTATCTTTACTTTGCATATATTAGGTGCTCAATAAATGTTTCATGATTTATTGAAAGAATATATCAGAGCTTTCCAGTTGGACATGAAAAATTAACAAACTAGCTCTTTATATAAATTTCTAGGCACAATAGTCAATTTTAACAAATCGTAACACAAAGCATTTTGCAGTTCCCCAGTTTACCTGGTATTTGCTTGTTGCCTTGTCATTTGTTATTCAGAAGAAGACCACATGCCTTGAAAAAATCATATTAGTGCTTTAGCGTTCCAGATTGCAAAATGCTCTGTATTCATGTTTTCAAAGAGTTGGCCTTTGAGCTAAATATGTCTCATTGATATGTTTTATTTGGCTCAGAGTACTGTTGTTTGTTTTTAAGCAACATTAGCCGCCAACATTTAAAAATAAGGTGACTTCACATAATAATCCAAGTTTCCAGCTTCTCCTGAAAATGTGAAAGATCTAGCAATGTGGGTACACGGTTTGGTTAGGCCCATAATCACCTGGGACTGGTTGTTTCTGCTTCCTTAGATGGAGTGAGTACTCTCCTGTTTACCACAGTCCCCACCACTCCCAACAGCCTTACCTCTGGCTGCCTCCATCCAAGTACGATATCTGCGTGGCCTTTCTATAGACATTTGTATTTCGGATCCTTAGTCTAGGGGAGTATCATTTGCTACAAAGGCCCCTGAACTGCAACAGTAGCTGAAAACCACACATTTGCTTCATTTTCCAGGCTTGAAAACAGATTTGTGCATCTAAAGACAAAACAGGAAAGAATGACAATGCTATTAAGATGATGACTTTCATTCCAGCTAAAAGGCAACTTCATCCTCCCACCCCCTCTTTCCTTTTTCAAACAAGCCAGAGGACTTCACCCTCTTTCCTTTCCGCTATTCAGCTCCTTCCACCCACTCCATCTCCTGGTGTTGTTTACCTCAAACCCTGGGGTGCTGTCTCTCCCCAGTTCCCTGCTTCCTTGCTGACCTTAAAAACAACCTTGGTCATTTTTGTTTTTAGAGTTTTACTGCTAATCGCTGCAGCGAAACAGACAGGAAATAACAATACGGAGGAAATTATAAAGTTTAGAAGACCTTGTAGTTCTTAGTCATAGTCCCTGATTCCCTTAAAGCGGTGGCACCTGGAAGTGCATTATTTTTAGTCTCTCCTGTTAGACCCTCATAGCCGGTGGATGGAGAACAGAAAGGAAGAGTCTACCCTGCCTTGATAGAAGAGGAACCACTAGGTGGCAGCACAGGGCGTGTCTTTTCACGTCTTTCTACAACAGGCAGGCGGATGTGAGGCACCAACTTTTCTAGGAAGGGATAACTTAGTACCATATCAGGGCAAGCATTTGGGCTGAGACCAGTGAGAGAATACAAGTCAGCCAAGAGACTCCAGTCACATTGTGCTGTCAAGTAGCCAGCGTTGGAATTCTTGTCTCTTTGCCTTTCTCCCAAGTTGGCTGTTAGTTAACCTGTTAGGGCTGCTAGGAATCTTCTAGCCCAATACCTTCATTTTACAGATAAGTAAACCAAGGCCCTGAGAGACTTGACTCTCCTTTATTTATTTATTTTTTTTTTTTTGAGACAGGGTTTTGCTCTGTCACCCAGGCTGGGGTGCAGTGGGGCAATCATAGCTCACTGCAGCCTTGAACTCCCAGGCCCAAGCACCTCAGCCTCCTAAGTAGCTGGGACTACAGGTATGCACCACCAGATCTGGCTAATTTTTTACTCTTTTTGTAGAGATGGGGAGGGGGGTGGTCTTGCCATGTTGCTCAGGCTGGTCTCAAACTCTTGGCCTCAAGAGATCTTCCCAGCTCAGCCTCCGAGGTGTTAGAATTACAGGTGTGAGCGATGGCATCTGGCCTTGACTTTCCTCTTGCTGGTGTCATGCTAGGAGTCCAGCCAAGTGTCTTTCTGGTTTCATTAGTGCCGGCTTATCCTTCTGGTCTGTCCCTCCCAGTTAAAAAACATTTATTGGCTAGGATCATGCCTGTAATTCCGACACTTCGGGAGGCTGAGGTGGGAGGATCACTTGAGCCCAGGTGTTTGAGACAAGCCTGGGTAACATAGGGACACCCTGTCTCTATTTAAAAAGAAAATAGAAAAACGTTTATTGAAGTCTATTTAGTATGGTTAAAGGCTAATTTTCCTAGCTTCAGAGGTGAAACTAAGAGAGAATTCTTTGCCTCTGATGAAGTGGGACTTTCCACAGGAAACAGAGACTTACCAGGCACAGGAAAATAAAAGCTTTATGTCTGCTTCCAGCTACCTAACCCACCTGGGGGAAAAGCGAAGACCCCTCGTCCAGAAGGGGGTGTTACAGCTGTCAGCACTCTATGCGGGCTAGACTGTTTTGCCTTTTTATGGGATCAGCTGGTATAATTGTGGCGCTTATCAAGAGAATCCTAGGATTGCAGGGCTAGGCCATGCATACCCAAAATAACTCACCAATCTTCTCAAATTACATTAGTAAAACTATCTGTATTCCTAGATTTAAACACAAATTCAAACAACTGCACTATAACAAAAGCATGTCCTCAGGCTGCAGTTAATTTAGGGGGCAGTCTAGTGATCAAAGAGGAAACGCCTTATTGCAAGGTAGAATTTGCTTGAAGGGCTTGGGCCTCAGAAGGGAATTTTCCTAGAATACTACCAAAAGTCTTGCTTGTTTATGTTGAAGCACTATTCTGGGAATTACAAAGCCTTGCCACTCAAAAGTGTGGTCCTCCAACCAATAGCCGCACTTAGGTTGGCAATGCAGAATCTAGCCAGGCATGGTGATAGACGCCTATAGTCTCAGCTCCTTTGAGAAGCTGAGGTGGGAGGGTTGCTTGAGCCCAGGAGTTTGAGATTGCAGTGAGCTGTGACTGCACCACTGCACTCCAGCCTGGGCAACAGAGCAAAACTCCATTTAGAAAAAAAAAAAAAAAAAAGGAAAGAAAGAAAGCGAAGGAAGGAAGGAAAGAAAAGGAAGAAAGAAAGAGAGAGAAGAAACAAAGACAAAGAAATGCAGGATCTCAGGCCCAACCCATTCCTACTAAATCAGCTCTGCATTTTAGTAAGAAGCATTTAGCATTAATAAATATTTAACAGGTAACATTAATAAGCATATAATATGTAACAATAATAAGCATTTAATGTGCTTGTTAAAGTTTAAGAAGCACTGCTTTAGGATATCCAAGAGAAAAGGCCAAGAACAACAGCAACCAAACAAACCACACCCTTTCTCCTCCCAAATAGTCCCCACCTCAAGGAGCTTGTAGACTGGTTTAGGAACACAAACCACACATATGGAAAGTGGCATGAAAATGATCATTAAGAAAGATGCCGTTAATGCCGTGTGGGCTCCCCTAGGACATGTAGGACACACACATTTGGAGAGGGTGCATTTAAAAGAATGATTACAGTTAAGAGGCCAGGTGTGGTGACTCAGGCCTGTAATCTCAGCACTTTGAGAGGCGGAGGCAGGCAGATCACTTGAGGCCAGGAGTTTGAGACCAGCCTGATTAACATGGTGAAAACTCATCTCTACTAAAAATACAAAAATTAACCAGGCATGGTGGTGTGCACCTGTAATCTCAGCTACTCTGGAGGCTGAGGCAGGACAATTGCTTGAACCCAGGAGGCGAAGGTTGCAGTGAGCCCAGATCGGGCCAGTGCACTCCAGCCTAGATGACAGAGTGAGATTCTGTCTTAAAAAAGAAAAAAAAAAAAAAAGGATGATTACAGTTAAGAGGGGTCAGTCTGGGCAGTCTTCCTGCAGGTGGTGAGATTCTCCTTGGCTCTTGAATAAGGTGATAAGCATGTATTAATGGAGAAGGAAAGACAGAGAAGGGCATTGCAAGTGGACGGATCAGGACAAATCTGGGAGGAGGCAAATTGTAAATTCTAGACAGTGGCCTACAAATACTTAATTCTTTTATGCATATTCCCAGACTTTCACTAGATCCTTGCAGCTACACACGTCACACATTAACGTGGCTGCACACACGTTATTTAGTCACGTTACATTTTAGTCAGTGGTTCTCATGGAACTTCTTCAGATGTGTTCACCCACATACAGACTTTTTTCTTTGGATTCGTACAGGCAGGTCTTCACCTCTTCCTCTCTCGTGTCTTCAGCTGTGTTTTCTAGCTCTTCTTTCTAATCCGGTGGAAGGAAATCCCTTACATGTGCATTCTCCTGAATTGCTAGAGCCTTTCTTAACAGCGGTGCAAATCTTCTCTGTAAAGCTCTTAATCAGATCTCATAAACGATTAGCCCAAATGCGTTTTCAGTTTCTAAAGTTAATCATCCTTGAGGGCCAGGAGTTAACATGAAAATGGGGAACTTGCGGTTGTTCCCCTGTCTTAACATCCAGATTTAGTTTGCAAAGCAAAAGTCATTCCACAGAAGATGAAATCAAGAGTCTCAGCGTGTATTTTCCAAATGAGGTGGTGTGATTGTATCCTTCTCATCCTTGCACATATGTGGCAACCAAAAGAGTTGTCCCAGAGGTGAAATAGTGGGATGAAGTGAACAGTGTCAGAGCAGCCCACTGGGCCCCTGAGGGAAAGCACACAAAGGGAGCTGACCCCACAGCTTCCTGAAGTAACACCAGGAAATGAGACTCCAGATCATTTGGGGGGACATAATACCCTTTACATAGTTCTTTAGAAGAGTTCTCCCAGGCTGGGCACGGTGGCTCATGCCTGTAATCCCAGCACCTTTGGAGGCTGAGGCGAGAGGATTGCATGAGCCCAGTTCAACACCAACCTGGGCAACACAGGGGGACCCTGTCTCTACAGTTTTGTTAATTAGCCGGTCATGTTGACACACGGCTGTGGTCCTAATTACTCAGTAGGCTGAGGCAGGAGAATCGCTTGAGCCCGGAAGACTGAGGCTGCAGTAATGCGGTGAGCCAAGATCATGCTACCTGGGTGACAGAGCAAGCCCCTGTCTCAAAACAAAACAAAAGGAATAGTTCACCCATAAGCTGAGAGCCTCTTCCCTTGTCTGAGCCTTGCTGTGGGTTGCTGAAATCAGCATGGAGCACTGGGTCTGTTGGGGTGGTGTATGCTCATCGGCTTCAGGGCTGCAGATTCCTTTGCCCAGCAACGCCCTGGCAAGGACAGTGTTGACTGCCCAACAGCAGCCAAGTGTTCATCTCTGTCAGGGCCTATCGGCAAGCAGCTTGTCACCAGCTGCCCAGCACACCCGGAAAAAATGGCTCCTATGTTCACACAGATAATTTGGGTTGATAGGAACAGCATCAGGGGAAGACAATGGTGTCACCAAATCAATACTTGTGCTTCACAAATTAAAGTCTTGGCTCTGGCCCTGAGTTTATATTCAGGAGGGCACGACTCCCGGACAGAGACTAACTGCAACAGACATTTTGCTCCCAACAACAGCAAATTCTCTTTTCTTCGTAAGGAGTCAACTAGAGACTTGATATATTAAAGAAAATCCATTGAGGCTCATGCCCATAATCCCAGCACTTTGGGAGGCTGAGGTGGGTGGATCGCTTGAGCTCAGGACTTTGAGACCAGCTTAGGCAACATGGTGAAACCCTGTCTCTGCTTAAAAAAATATATATACATATATATATATAGAGAGAGAGAGAGAGAGACAGATAGACAGACAGACAGACAGAGAAAATCCATTGAGAGCATCCCTTAACTGTGAATTTATGTTTGTTGTGGCATCTCTCTAGAAAATAATGTTGGTAAGCTAGAAGAGGGGACCTGCATGCTGGCATAAATGAAGCTTTCTACACTCATGTTTGTAGCAGCATTATTCACAATAGCCAAAAGTTGGGAGCCAATCAAGTGTCCATTGATGGATGAATGGTAAACAAAATATGGTAGATACATACAGCAAAATATTCAACTTCAAAAGGAAGGAAATGTCAACATATGCTACAACATGGATGAAACTTGACAACCTTATGCTAAGTGAAATAAGACAGTCACAGAAAAGCAAGTACAGTATGATTCCACTTCAATGCGCTACCTAGAGTAGTCAAGTTCATAGAGACAAAAAATAGAATGGTGGGCCAGGCGCGGTGGCTCACACCTGTAACCCCAGCACTTTGGGAGGCTGAGGTGGGCAGATCATGAGGTCAGGAGATGGAGACCATCCTGGCTAACATGGTGAAACCCCATCTCTACTAAAAATACAAAAAAATTAGCTGGGCGTGGTGGCGCACACCTATAGTCCCAGCTACTTGGGAGGCTGAGGCAGGAGAATGGCGT